>NC_000012.12:2839460-4254190 GCF_000001405.40 Homo sapiens | reverse complement strand
TCCTCAGTCACATCAGAGAGATCCTGATGGTTTTCTTTTTGGAACTTAACAGTTTAAAAACCTAAATAGGATCATGCCAAACATATTGTTCTGTGACTTGATTTTTTTCAGTGAATAATCATCTCTTGGAGTCTTGCTATGCCAGTACATATACATCTACTTCATTCATTTTAAGTGCAGAATGCTTTTCAATAGCAAGGATATGCCAGAATTTTACGACTTCCCATAATTAATGGCATTTGGGGGCCCTCCTTCACCAGTTGTTTGCTTGTATACATAATGTGCCATCAGCATCGTCGCACTTGCTTCTTTATGCATTCAAGTGCCAGTGGAAGGAGAAAGAGCTTGAAGTCCTGATTCTATCAATTAAGTGGTCCAAGAAAGAGAATGAGCATCTTGAGGTCTCCATCTTCAACAGCCTTACAGTCTGGAGGGAAGCAGACACACACACAGCTTTTACTTAGGGAGACGGGGGTCAATTGAAGGTTAAGGGAGTGCAAAAAGAGGGAGACTGAGGGGTTCAGTCGAGGGGATGACTGAGAAGGCTGCCTGGAGGAGGTGTGCTTGAGTCCTGGGTTCAAGGGTTAAAAGGCTCTGATACTTGGTCTGCTAATCTTTCTTATCGTATCGTTGCCTGGCAGTATGCCTGTTATTTGAGTGGACTCTTCTTGGACCATTTGCTTGGATGAACAGTGGGCAGAAGTGGAAAGGAAGGGTGCTCTGGACAAAGGTGACAAAGCCCAGGAACAAAAGTCGGAAGGTGCACAGTGTGCCCAGAGGGCCAGGAATTGGGTGGAGTGACTGGCTCCTTGGTCGCTTGCAAGTAGCATGAGAATAGAGAGGGCTGGGAGATGCATTAAAAAGCACCAGGACAAATTTAGGTTTGCACAGAAAAGGACGTTTCGTCAGGGTACGTGAGGAAAGTTGAGTAGAGAATTTAGGAATGGAGCAGACGACTCTGGTTGGGATGATGAGAGCGGAGAGACAGATCCATGTTCTTTCCAGGTGCCCCAGCAGCTCCAGGTCTCGCTGAACCTGTTACTATGGCAGCGTCTATGCTTCACTTTTGAGGATTGCTTCTGCTTTGAAATAGCCGTGTGGAAGAAAAACTACAAAGTTTTGAGGGGGAAAAAACCCACCTAACTTTAGCTGCCGTTGTGTCTTCATCTGTAAAAATCTTCTTCATGTCTCATGGATTTCAACATGCAGTTTATCTTGGTTTGTTCCATAAAACATCAGATGCAACTTTAATGGCCTAACCCCAAAAAGATAACTTGGCAGCCATCAAGCATTCAGCAGCGTTCCAAATGCCCTCTTGCTGGAGCCAGCCTTCTACGGGGCCATGTGGATGTCAGGCACACACAATTTGAGTCACGCTGACATAGCTGGGATGCCTGGATTGCACTGGAATCTGGGGGGTACCAATCACAGGCCAGAGAGAAGCCATTGGCTGGAAGGAACAATGCCAGCGTGTTCACCGTCTCTGCAGAAGGAGGGGGTGTTGATGGTGAGGGGAATGACAGTTGCAGCCAAAGGAGCAAAATGACCCCAAAGCAGGGTGGGCACATGTCATTGATGCTGGGCAGAAGCACTCCAGGGGCTCAGGTCATGACCACACCCCTTTTCTCCTGCCCCACAACCAGAAAAACTAAGAAGGTACAAGATTTTCCCTAAAACTTAATGTACAGAATGCCCTGCTGTCTTCAGGTTTTTGGGAAATCCAGGGTTGACAACAACAGCCCAAATATATGAAGCACTTACCTCTACCAGGCACTGTCTGTATCTTACAAATAATTCGTTTAATTCTCACAACTCCTTAATGAGGTAAGTTTTACAATTTCCATTTTATGATGAGGGAAACTGAGGCTTAGAAAGATTAAGAAACTTGCCCAAATCCTGCAGCCAGAAATGGGCAGAATCAAGACATGAACCACAGTCTCTCAAAAGCCAAAGCCTGGGCACTCACTACTACCCTCAACAGCCCGGTGGCTGGTTCATGCCATCTCTGCCACCCTCACACAGCCACCTCTTGGATGGTAGAACCCTGTGTGTTGAACAAGTAGAGTAACATTCTAAAAGGATTCTTTTTCCTCCCCTGTTTTCCTGGGGGCTGAGTAGACATGTTTAAACATGCTGTTCATCTGACACTTGTTTACTTCAGTGGCTATGATGTGCAAGACCCCAGACCAGGAACAGTAAGAGGGCATGAGGATAACCCAGCGTGGAGACCACTCTGGAGGAGGCTGCAGACTGGAGGCGCTGTTGTAGCCAGCTGCATTTTGGAGGCTGGGTTGCCTGTCTTAGATCTCTAATGAGTTTGGTCATTATTTTTTCAGCCAGGGTTTTCTTCCTCCCTCCCTGTCTTCCTTCCCTTTCTCCTTCCTTCCTTCATTCCTTCCTTCCTTTCTTCCTTCCTTCTTTCCTCCCTCCCTCCCTCCCTCCCTCCCTTCCTTTCTCTCTTTCCTTCTATCTTTTATTTTCTCTCTTTCTCTGTCTCTCTCTTTCTCTCTTTCTTCCTCCCTCCCTCCCTTTCTCTCCTTCTTTCTTTCTCCCTCCCTCCTCTCCTCCCTCTCTTGGTCTCTCTCTCTCTCCCTTCCTTCCTTTGTTCTTTCAAGATTTTTCTTTCTTTCTTTCTTTCTTTTAAAGGTGTAAGCCTTTTTCTGGTTCACTACATGCCAAGGACTGCGCTAAATCATTCACATAAAACCACCAGCGTGCATCACCTCATTTGGTCCTCCCACAGTCTAACGGGTAGGTACTGTCATTACCCTCATTTTAAGAAAATGAAGAAACTGAAGCTCAGAGAGGTGAATTGATGTCTCCACCGTCTGCCTGATTCAGTACCCTGCACCCTTAACCACTATAAAAGAACAACATGCCAATAGTTCCCTAATGCTGTAAAAGGCACTGTTTTAAACGCATCCTTTATATCAACTCACTCACTCCTCCAAACAGGCGCAATAGAAATTACTATTATCCTTGTTTAATACATTGGGAAACCAAAGCACAGAAAAGTCATGTAATTTTCCCCAGGTCACCCAGCTAGTAAGTGACAGAGCTGGGCTTCTGTTTCACCGAGGAAGACATTCCTCAGTTTTTGTTCTGTTTTGTTTTTCACTTGAAATCCCCCGCGATGGCCCAGAGTGGAATGCCAGGGTCCTGAGAATAAAGTCTCTGAGCTGAACTGGGAAGGGGTGCCAGTGGCAGCTGTGTCCCCTACAGCTCTGGAAGGTGGAGGCGGTGGAGACAGCAACTACACAGCAGCCACAAGCCTGGGTCCCTGCCAGGGGAGACCTCAAAGTCCCCTCGAGGGTTGGCTTCTCTGTGCTGGGCCGTGCACAAAGGCGAGTCATGGCTTCCAGGAGGCCAGCAGAACATGGTCCTCGGGAGAGGAGAAAGCCCGAGGGAAGGGCTGATGGGACCTCAGCCCTCAGCTCTGAGAAGGGCTGCTCTTTAGGAGAGGGGATGTAGGTAACAGCTCCACCAAGAGCCAGGCAAGCAAAAGTAGGTTTCTGTTTGAGCAGCAGCTGGGGAATTTCAGGGAGAGAGAGGAATCCGTTCCCAACAGTGCATAATGTTCAACCCTGGAAGAGGTGACCATCAAGGGGGCCTCTAGAAAGAGTAGACGGGCTGCCCTTAGGCTGGCCTCTTTATTATCTCTGCCCCTGACCTTTGGGAATCCTGTCCATCTTTGAGTCCCTGGCGCCAGTGACTCCACTCTGCGAATCCCTTCCTGACCAGCCATCCCCCACACCCGTAAGACTCCAAGTTCTTTTTGGGGGACAGAAACCCCAAGTGTGCTGAGGTCCAGGCTGCTCCACATTCATCCCTGGGTGGGCTGTGGCTCAAACCAGTCATTTGGGTGACAGAAGTCTCAGACACTCTGGAAGCTGGCCCAGTTGGTCCTGGTGCCCCCAAGAACACTCATACCCTATTCTCCTGCAGCAAATATACCCTCTCTACTATTCGTTTGGCCTTGGCTATTAGGTATCATGTGACCTCGCTGGTGTGGCATCTCCTGGTGTTAGCGGCTTCTTGCATGAGTACATTTCTCAGATGATCAGACAACATTTATTGAACACTTACCATGTGCCACCTACCGCTGTAACTGCTTTATGGGGTTATCCATTTAATTCTCCCAAGAACCCCATGAGTTGATGTTGTTTTTATCACCATATTACAGAGAAGGAAATGGGGGCCTAAGTGCTCAGTGGCTACAGGATGAGCTGGGACTCAAACACAATATTGGAACCCCAGCCATCAAAATCTGTGATTTGTCCCTGGTTTGTGTCTCAACCAAAAGAAGTCAGAGTCTTTTTTACTCCCTTATATCTCCCGTAGCTCCCGGCCAGTGTCTGTATACAGTAGTTGTTCAAAAGATGTGGGCTTTTACTGACTGTTCAAAGACATTTCTAGGTTGGTTTTTTAATGATCAGTGAGACAGGGTGCCCTTAACAGGACAAAATAGTGTTGAATCCTTGGTAGACAAAATCAGGTGCTTTTTGGAAGAAATGAGAGAGAGATTTGCAGGCCATGTATTAGAAAACTTTGTTCCAAGTCTTTTTTTTTTTTTTTTTGAGACAGAGTCTCACTCTGTTGCCCAGGCTGGAGTGCAGCAGCATGATCTCGGCTCACAGTAACCTCTGCCTCCGTGGTTCAAGCAATTCTCCTGCCTCAGCTTCCCGAGTAGCTGGGATTACAGGCGTGCACCACGACGCCTGCCTAATTTTTGTATTTTTGTAGAGACGGGGTTTCACCATGTTGGCCAGGCTGGTCTGGAACTCCTGACCCCAAGTGATCTGCCTGCCTCAGCCTCCCAAAGTGCTGGGATTACAGGTGTGATCCACCATGCCCGGCCATGTTCCGAGTCCTTAAGGTAACAAGGAGAAATGTGAGAAGCCCATTTGGGAATGAAGGATGCAGGAAAGCCCTGTAACTGAGGCAGCCAATCAGAAGCTTTCATTAACGGCCCTCTTTCTTTTGTCCCCCACTTCCAGAAGAATCTACCATAAAACCAACAGACTCCTCCTGATCTCTACCTGTGCTGTCTGCCTCTCTAGTTCCGGACACTGAGAGCTGGTGCCCTGTGGCCACCTCAAGCTGGAACCCTGCAAGATCACCAAGAAGACTGCATGCCTCGCTCTAGCCTTCCTAAGGGAAAGTAGACTCCTGTTTTTGAGAGAAATTACCTGATTTCAAGAGAAACATAAAGGACTTTTTTTCCCTTAACATTCCACTCGTAAAAATGAAGTTTGGAAGAACTTCTGCAAACTCTGAGTGTTTTGGTCAATTGACCTTTTACTGTACTAAGCAAATCTGAAGCCACAAATACATTGGGGAGGAAGGTATACCCTTCACAAAAGATCCGTCACTTAGCCAGATACTCTGTTGCCATGCTTCTTTAAATAAAGCACATTTCTGGTATATTTTATTTATTTATTTTTATTTTTTAGAGTTGGGGTCTTGCTCTGTTGCTCAGGCTAGAATGCAGTGATATGATCAGAGCTTATTACAGCCTTGAACTCCTGGGCTCAAGTAATCTGCCTGCCTCAGCCTCACAATTCATTGGGATTACAAGCATGAGCCACCGTGCCTGGCTCTTTTCCTGGTATATTTTAAATTGTTTCATTTCCTTGAAAGTGAGATTTATCTATTACTTTCAGAAAATCTGGCAGGATATACCTGATTGCTTGAGATCCCTAAAAATCGTATTACATTAACATTGAAAGGGGCATTTGAGTCTCACATTCTCACTTGAAAGATGAAGAAACTGTGGCTTGGAGAGGTGAAGTGACTTGTCTTCATCACACAGTCTTGTGCGTAGCAGGCTGCCCAGTGTCCAGCTTTGTCCCGTTACTGTGCATCTTCCTTGCATCCAAAGTATACAGGGAAGCTGACCCTCCCAGTCAGGCCTCTCCACCTGGTCCTCAGCTGCCGTCACAGATGTTTAATCATTGATCCCTCTTTTGGATTTCATTGTTATTGCGTTTTCCTTTTATTATGGAAACGTTTCAAACATAAAAGTAGATCATATAAATAACTGCCACGCCCCCTCACCCAGCCTCTGCAATTATTAGCACGTGGCCAATGTGTTTTTCTCTATACCTGACCCCCGTTCCCCTCCACCCAGATGACCTTAAGGCAAATCCAAACATCGTGTCATTTCATCTGTGAGTGCTCCGTGTGTGACAGGGTGTGACCCCTCTCCTACATACACATATGTCCACAGTACAACTGTCACAACTAAAAAGAGTGAACGATAATTCCTTAATATCATCAAATTTCTCCGATTGTCCTTCTTACTATGTCTCTTTCTCTCTCTTTGCAATTGATTTATTAGAATCAAGATTATCGGGTAGAATTATGAGCTGATCATTCAAAGTCCTTGCATTAGAATTTTGCTGAATGAGGGACAATAAATTGCATAATAAGGAGATTTTATAATAACCATAGATCACATTCATACATGCCTTTATACTTCCTAAGTCTCTTTAACCATAACTTTTTTTTTTTTTTTTTTTTGAGATGGAGTCTCACTCTGTCGCCCAGGCTAGAGTGCGGTGGCACAATCTCAGCTCACTGCAACCTCCGTCTCCTGAGTTCAAGCAGTTTTCCTGACTTGGCCTCCCCAGTCGCTGGGATTATAGGTGCCTGCCACCACACCAACTATTTTTTTTTTTTTTTTTTGTATTTTTAGTAGAGACAGGGTTTCACCATGTTGGCCAGGCTGGTCTCGAACTCATGACCTCAAGTGATCCGCCTGCCTCAGCCTCCCAAAGTGCTTGGATTACAGGTGTGAGCCACTGCACTCGGCCAACCATAACTTTCATGTCAGATAAGGAGACAGGTATCATTTGCCTCCAACAGAGGAAAGTGAGGCCCGGAGGTGGCATGGAATCTAATTAGTGGTCGAGCTCAGATCTCCCACGCTTCCTGACTTGGCTCTTTTCACTGCAACAAAATCATTATAACTCCCATCTCATTAAAATTATAGCTTCAATTTTGTGCAGCTCACTAGGATCAAGCCTCTTCTAGATACTTCCTACGTAGAAGCTCATGGAACCGTCACGACAACCCTGTAGAGGAGATGCTCGGATTCTCATTGCACTGACGGGGAATCTCAGGCACAGAGGCGCAGAAACATTTTTCAAGGTCACCCAGCACCAGCATTTAAGCCCAGGTCTTTCTGATTCTAGAGCTCCTGCTTGCAATAACTATCACATGCTAACATCACGTAACAAGGTGACTGTAATTCACAGTAGTGAAAATTTTCTTCTATCAACTTTATCCTTATTCCCTTTTAGAATTTGGCTTAAAATGTGAAACCACATTTTTTAAAATGCTACTATTCAGACATTTCATAAATGTGGATGTGATTTTCCTTTGTTGGAATTCGTGAAAATCAACATGAGCCTCGACTGAAAAATGCAGAGCTGAAAATGAATCCAAGACCCCGGAACTGTCCATCCTGGCCTCACTCAGCCGGTGGCTAGTGCCACACGGTCCCTGCCTTGGTCTGACCCTGCTCGCTCTGTCTTGTGCTTTCAGGAGCAGTCAAAGCCCTTTTTAGAAAATATTTCTTGATCTTCTGTGGCATTGGATGGACAGAGTTTTCCGCTAGGCCTTTTTTTTTTTTTCCCAGCCACACTGGCCCTTAAGAAGATGTTACTCAAGGTTCCACACCTACTTCAAACATTTTTAGGGGCCCTGGCTGGGGCCTTGTGCAGAACTGCCAGGAACCCTACAGAGAGGAGGAGCCCAGCTCTGGGGGCCTCGCCTTGGTCCCAGTGTTTACCGAGCCCTTGCAGAGGCCCTGCTGTCAGTGTGCTCATTCTCTTTCTCACACTTCCCCAAACAGCATATTCTTGTTAGGCAGCTGTTGCTTGCAAGGCCTTCTTTCAGCCACGGTCGCTTTTCCCATGTTTATAGCCCTGGTGTTTTCCCCCCTTCCTTTTTTTTTTTGAAGGGCTTTTCCCCTAAGTCTTTCTGTCGCTGAACAGCTGTGCTCTGATATTAGATAGAATGTTTTCTGTCCTCACCACAAGCTTATGAACAAAAGGGTTTTAAGAACCCTGATAAATGAACAAGGTCTCTGGGAAGATGAAATGTTACCAACATTTCAAACAATCAAAATCCTTGTGCATCTCGAAGGGTTTGCCCTTTCAAAGCAGTGCCGGGTGGGTATTTTGTCTTGGAGCCTTGGAGACTATAATTTTTTTTTCAGTCTCCCTATCGACCTGACATGGGAAAGTTGGTCAGAAGATGGCCCTTTACTGCCATCAAAGCCCTGAGCCTGCTTTCCTATTGGCTGTTTGTCCTGCTTTGAGGCCCCTCTGGAGAGTTTCGGGGGGTTCTCTCAGCAAAGAGAGGCCGAGGCTGGGCATTTTGGTCTCTGTTATCTTCCAGTTTATGTTGGGGTTCTATCCTCATCTGAAACAAACTTGTGGCCACTCTTGATTAAGCGCTACCTGTGTGCAGGTGCTCTGCCAAGCACCTGCCATTATCCTGTTCCAGCTGCAGAGCAGCCTGTGATGTCTGCGTTGAGACCTCTAACTTTCACATGAGGAAACTGAGAGTCAGAGAAAATAAGCAGCTTGCCCAAGGTTGCTTAGCAAGGTTGTTTGCCACGTGGCTCCAACTTTCCAGCAAGTAGTAGGGCCAATATTCAAACCCAGATATTTTGGACTCTGAAGCCTCTGCTTTCTTCAGTAAAAATGGGATCCCTGAGTGGCCAGGGGTGGCCAGAGAGGGGGGCGCCTAGACTACTCTGCCTTCCTACTTCCATGTAGGACCTCCTTCTAAACCAAGGGGCTCTCCTTTATTTAAACTCTTCACCACCCATCTTTGCCCCCCCATCGTACCCCCTGGGATGTGCGCTGTCTTCCTTGACTTATTTTAAGGTTGTCGAAACCCTAGGTTATCTTCTCTGCTTCACTGACAGCCCAATCTGGGGTCCAAACCCAGACGTTTGCTCTCCAGCCCAAGCCCCTTCCTGGTACTGCCTCACATGGGAACAGAAAGGTCAAGGCTTAAAGTAAAATGACAGATGGAAAGAAAAGCCTCCACCAGCCCGTGGAGCTCCGTGAAATCCTTCATTATGGGATTTCCCTTGTCAGGGCTACAAGGAGAAGCCTGAAGGCTCATGGCAAAAATCAACAACACATAAAGGCACTGTACAGGCAGGCATTGCTCAGCACAGTGGAAACATCTGACGAGTAGTCGCAAGGGTGGTGCAGCGGGGTGATGGGGAAGGAGGAGGGGGAGAAGAAAGGGAAGAGAAGAGGAAAATGACCGGCATCGTGACTTCGTTTCCTGTCTGTTGGCACCATGCCTGCTCTCTTCCACAGAGATCTCCTTCTCTTCTGAAGAAGAGATCTTTTACAAATCCAGAAGAAAGACTTTGGCTAGATCCAAGGAAGACGATAGAAACCATCCAAATACAGAGACCCAAACATGTCCTTCTCTGGAGATCTTGAAGGCCAGGGTTCAGGCTTATCATTTGGGGAGTTTAGGGAAGGGCCTGCATGGAGGCAGAGGCATGGACTCAATGATGTCAGCCCTGTGGATTCAGGAGAGAGGAGTAGTGTTGGCCTTGGGGGCATTCTCATCTCAAGCCAGATAGGGCCAAGGCAGTAAGTCCACATAAGGGACCGAGAGGTGGGCATATATGGAGCAAACTCCAGACACACCTGTCCTTGCCCACACATCAGGCTGCACACCTTTTTCTCATCTGTCCTCACCCTTCCCAGTCTTTTCTAACTTCCTTTACCCTTTGAAGCTTCCTATCACCTCTACGGGAAAATGCAGACAAAGCATGTTTTCATGAGGTTTTCATGTCAATAAAGAAAAACACTTGCAGGACACGGAATTGATCACAAAGCATATGAGTCCAGCAGGCTTGGGAGGGGCTTCATTCTTTGGAAGAGAAGCAGGGGCAGGTTCTGTGCCCAGACCTGGAGAGGCTGCCCAGAAGGGAACTGCATCCCCTCGGCTGCCCTGTGCACTCGCTAAGTGGGGCACCTCCAGGTTCTTCAATGTTAGGGGAAACTGAAAAGTGCAAAGATGTTTCTGCAGTGGCTTTTGGGAGTATGCTGTGGCACCTCCAGGCGGGTATGGAATGTGTGTGACGCCGGTGACGGTGTGTGTGTGTGTCGCCGGTGACGGTGTGTGTGTGTGACACCGGTGACGGTGTGAGTGTGTGACGCCGGTGACGGTGTGAGTGTGTGACGCCGGTGACGGTGTGTGTGTGTGACGCCGGTGACGGTGTGTGTGACGCCGGTGACGGTGTGTGTGTGTGACGCCGGTGACGGTGTGTGTGTGTGACGCCGGTGACGGTGTGAGTGTGTGACGCCGGTGACGGTGTGTGTGTGTGACGCCGGTGACGGTGTGTATGTGTGACGCCGGTGACGGTGTGTGTGTGTGACGCCGGTGACGGTGTGAGTGTGTGATGCTGGTGACGGTATGGCACAGGGAAGGTCCCGTGGGTTCCACACCCAGTAAACAGTCGTGAGTCATCTCATCCTCTCTAGTCTCCATTTCTCCTTTGGTCAAAAAGGGTTCATCTTAAGCATCCTGCTTGCCTCGTAGGGAAAACAGGATCTAGGGAGAGAAAGTTTGGACAGTTCTTAGAAAGGTTAAAAGAGACACACAAGTGTGGTTGTTGTCATGCTGGATCTCAGGGAGTGGAGGAATAGGAACCTACACGAGGCTCCCCCAGCCCTAGCAGCCAGAATTTGTCAAAGCCTCTGCAGTGGCCGTGGCCATCCCCCACCAGAAGCCATGGGAGGAGAGGGGCTCCGGCAACCAGCGGCAGTTGGAACCCAGAGGGAAGTGTGGTTGCTGAGCCTGTGGTCAGCAGAAACCACCTCCTTCCCTCCCTGCCTGGCTTGCTCCAAACCCCAGGAAAGGCAGAGTCTCTGTGGATACTTAAGCTGTGCCTGCTGGACCAGGCTGGGTTGGGGGTGGGGGGCCGCTCTCTGCCAAATGGTGCCAGTGGGAATGGAGGGGGAGTGACAGCTGGGGGGTGGAGCGGTAGCAGGGTCAGAGCCTTCTCCTGCCAGCCTGTGCTGGGCCTGGGGGCTGCCGCCTGCTCTCAGCTTAGACAATGCATGAGGGACTCTGGGTGGGGGCAGGACGAGGCTCAGAGAACCTGTGTGTGGGATGCTGGAGAAGTCCAGGGCCAGCAGGCAGGGCATAAGGTGCGCACTGCCCATTGAAACCAGAGGAAAACAGGGTTGAGCCTGGCTGGCTCTGGCTGGCTCTTCCAACGGAGGAAGCGCCTTGCTTGGCTAGAATCATGTGCAAAGTTCACGGCCTCCCTTGCGGCTCCTGGAGTGCAGAGACCCCCTGTGGCTCTTCCCCCCAACCATCCTCACTCATACACATGAGCTCCACCCTCAGAAAGGCACTCAAATGGAGAGGACTCGCCAGTCTGCTCCTGCAGGCACAGGTATGTGCTGAAACGCTCTCAGTTCTCTCTTCTGCCCGGCCCCCTAGGCAAGAAGGTAGCCTCGCAGTGCAGGAGGCAGGGAAATGGAGTTGACAGAAAGGTCTACCCGAGGTGTGACTGCCACCACCTCAGGACTCTGGTGTTTCAAGGTCAGCTCTCCAGATATGGTTTTATCCTCCTAGGCACCGGGTAGCAATTTTTATAGTCTGGCCCCTGACATCGACTGGCCTCTCGTAAAAGGGCCCATATCCCTTTCTGCAGTACACAGCATTTTAAGACCAACTTAAATAGCACACAACATGGTTTTAAAAATGAAAGTGTATAGCTATTTCTACACATGGCCATGGAACCAATGACTTTGGCTCAAGGAGACCTTGATCCTTGTTTCAACCCCCATCACTGGGCATCCCCACCCCCACCCTCTACCTCCACGGGGCCTTGCAAGAGTGATTTGGCAACTCTGGGCCTCAGCTTTCTCAACCTGAAAGGAGGGGAGAGGGGCAAGATTTCTTTCCAAAAGGAAAACTCAGCAATAAAAGCACAATAGTATAATGCTGACTTTTGTGTGCTGTCTATGTACGCTCCTTTTTTTTTCTTTTAATTCATGCCCAAAAAGCTTTTATAAAAGGGCTTCACTGTCAATTCCTCTTAATGTCACTCACCCCATCTGAAGTTTCTCCAAGATGTTGATTTTGCCTCCATGCCCACTGAGTCTCTTAACCCCCTCCTTCCACTGGCATCCCTACTGTTTCCATGAGTGGCTGAGCCCCTTGTCAGCATTTTCCTGGAATGTTGCAATGGCCTGAAGCATGTCACTCTCCCTGGATGCAACTTCCATCCAAATGGTTCTTCGAGAGTTAAAGGGATGTGTTCATGTATCTGGTCTGTGATTGAGCCATCATTGGAACCAAAGACTTGTTGACTCCAAAGTTCACGCCCTTTACTGCACGCCACAATGTCTCATTCCCCAGCCTCACTGTCTGCTGCTTCTCACTTCCCTTACTTTATTATTCACACACCTTGAAGGTGCCACCAGTGTAAAGCCTCTGGCTATTGTTACAGAGCAGTCCTTCTGGCCAGTATGATACTCATATGCCTGCTTATGAAACACCTATTCAGGTACACTGCCGTCTCTATCCTTCTGTTACTCCGTCAATCATATCTCTGTCTGTTCTGTGGATCTGTGAGTAGCTTGAGGGTAGGGACCAGGTTTTATTTGTCATCAATTCCCTAAAGACAGTTACAGTACCTGACACTAATGTGTACTGAAAAGTTTTTCAAAGTACCATGTGCTTTACATGGATTATCTTATTTAAGTTCCTTAATAACCCTGTAAGAGATGGAGGGCTTCAAGATGCATCTGGTACTCACCTTTTCCATGGAGAGAAACCAATATAGCGAGTAGATAATACAACTTCAAATAGATCATCTAAGAGAGAACATTGGAATTCAACAGTGAAGTGACAGGACGCACCAAAAGCAAGGAAGGAGAGAGAGAAGCAAGGCAGCCTGCTTGGCTGGGAAGGAGACAGAAGCAAGGCAGCCTGCTTGGCTGGGAAGGAGAGACAGAAGCAAGGCAGCCTGCTTGGCTGGGAAGGAGAGAGAAGCAAGGCAGCCTGCTTGGCTGGGAAGGAGAGAGAAGCAAGGCAGTCTGCTTGGCCGGGATCGGTTGTGAGTCTGGAGAGGCTCCCTACTTGTGGGGAAAGGGTAAGCGAGAGGCCCTTAGTGGTCCACATTCCTGCTGTGGACTCCTACAGTCCTAGCCATGGGAGAGCATCTTGACCGTTACAGGCCCCCAGTCTAACATAAGGAGCTCTCTGGAGACCACACAGAGGCATTGCTCCAGAGAAGGAGCTCATGCTGGGTCCCATAAACCCCCAAGTCCTAAGCAGCCACAGCATGGTGGCATTTTGAGAGCTCAGCCCTCACGGACTGCATCCTGCTCTGCTTCTGGGGCCAAGACAGGGGCCATGGGCAACTATCGCACTATCTCCACCAGCAGATGGGCAGCTATGCATTTTCATGCACCCCGAGGACAAATTTCACTGCCCACAACCACTGCCCTGTAGGCTCTGTAGGGCTGAGGTGAGAGCAAAGCCTGTATTCTCCAGCTGCCTGCCTACTACTGCTCCCCAGGAAAGCAACCCCACCCTTCCCAGTAGCAGGAAGTGCAGCTAGGAGAATGTCGCAACGGCCTGAAGGATGGCTCTCATCAGCTGTCCCTACCTGAGCATTCTGTGGCAGCCAAGAGATTACCCTGCTTCTGCTACCACAGTCAGCACCTGCATGCACCACCGGGGAGACTAAGGTCAGGTCCACACAGCCCTGCACCACCTCCCTTCCACCCCCAGTACCCATGCACACTGTCTAGGGACCTGGGGAGCAATCAGCCCAGTCCACCACCATTGATACCTGAGCACTTCTCCTGGGGGCCTAAAGTCAGGCTTACCCAACCTGCCACTATCACTGCAGCTGGCACCCACCTGCACATGCCACCTGTGAGTCTGGGGACTGGTCCTCCCAACTCATTGCAGCCACTGCCCATATCAGGGTGAAGCACTTAGGTCCCAGAGGGTTGTCCTGCCACTGCTACTGCCATCACCCCTTCCATGCCCACCACCCAGGAACTTGGGAACCTGCCCTTATGCCTGATCCACCGCTGCCATTGCTAGAATGCAAGCAAGCCACTTAGAAGCCCAAGAAATGGCCTGTCTGGACTCATTAACACCAGTGCCACTCTGGCGCTCAAGATAGACACACTCACACCACTGCTGCCACCACTGGGGCCCAAAGATTGGCCCACCTGGCATCCTAGTCCCCAACAAAACTTCACCACAGCTTCCTCTACCAACTGCACCCTAAGCCACTGAAGAAATGACAGGCACCATTGATGCTGCTTACAGCCAAAAAAAATTATACAGAAACTGCACTACTGCGTGTACCCAGAATCAAAGCCAAAGTGCGCTACCCAACCACCACCATAGATTCCTCTTCAGGAAAATGTCCTTCCCCAAAAAAGCAAATTCAAAAAATTAGAAGAAGCTACTGTTACATTAGATGAGCAGACGTAAGACACAGAAAACATGAAAAAGCAAGGAAATATGACACCTCCAAGGGAACGCAATAATTGTGCAACAACAGATATCAATCAAAAAGAAATTCATGAAATCCTGGAAAAAGAATTTAAAATATTGATACTAAAGAATCACAGTGAGATACAAGAGAATTCTGAAAAACAATACAAATAAATCAGAAAAATAATTCAGTATATGAATGAGAAATTTACCAAAGGGATAGATATCATGAAAAAGAACCAAACAAATTCTGGAATGATAGAATTAATTGAATGAAATACAAAATACTTTCTGAAGCTTCAACAACACACTAGATCAAACAGAAGGAAGAATCTCAGAACTTAAAGACAGGTCTTTTGAAATAACCTACTCAGACAAAAATAAAGAGAAAAGTAATAAAATAATGAGCAAAAGCTTTGTGACATATAAGACTTTAGAAGTGACCAAATATTCAAATTTTCAATGTCCCAAAAGATGAAAAGAAAACAGAAGAGTTAGAAAACCTACTTAACAAAACAATAGATAAAAAGTTCCTAAGACTAGCAAGAGATTTAGACGTCCAGATACAGGAGGCCTAAAAATCCCCAAATAAGCACAATTCAAAAAGGCCTTTTCCATGGTATATTATAGTCAAACTGTCAAAAGTCAAGACAAGGGAAAATTCTGAAAACAACAAGAAAAAAGCATCTAGTCACCTATAAAGGAACCCTCATCAGACTAACAGCAGATTGCTCGGCAGAAATCTTACAGGCCAGGAGAGAATGGGATAATATATTCAGTGCTGAAAGAAAAAAAAAAAAAAAACACCTGTCTGTCAAAGATACTATACCCAGCAAAATTATCTTTTATACCTGAAGGATAATTAGTCTTTCTCAGACAAGTAAATGCTGAGGTAATTCATCACCACTAGACTGGCCCTGAAAGAAATGCTTGAGAGAGTCCTACACCTGGAAGTGAAAGAACAATAGCTACTATCATGAAAACACATGAAAATATAAAACCACTGGTCGAGCAAACATACAAATAAGGAAGAGGAAAAACTCAAATGTTACCACTATAGAATACCACCAAATCACAATGATAAACAAGAGAGAAATAAAGGAGCAAAGGATATACAAAATAATCAGAAATCAATGAAAATGACAGAAATAGTCCTCACATATCAATAATAACCTTGAAGGTAAATAGATTAAACTTTCCATTTAAAAGATATAGACTACCTGAATGGATGAAAAAAAAAAAAAACCATGACCAACTATATGCTGCCTGCAAGAAACATCTCATCTGTAAAGACACATATAGACTGCAAGTAAAGAAGTGGAAAAGATATCCCATGCAAATGGAAACCAAAAGCAAGCAGGAGTATATCAGATGAACTTAAGTAAAACAGGCTTTAAATCAAAAATAGTAAAAACAGACAAAGAAGGCCATTATATAATGATAAAGGATCAATTCAGCAAGAGGATATAACAATTCTAAACACACATGCACCCAACACTGGAGCACCCAGATATATAAAGCAAATAATATTAGATATAAAGGGAGAGATAGACTTTAATACATTAATAGTTGTAGATTTCAACACCCCACTCTCAGCATTGGACAGATCATCTAGACAGAAAATTTAAAAAACATTTTATTCAAACTTCATATTACACCAAATACGCATAACAGACATTTACAGAACATGTCATCAAACAGCTGCAGAGTACTCATTCTTCTCATCAGCACACAGAACAGTTTTCAGTATAGATCATATGTTAGGACACAAAACAATTCTCAAACAATTTTTAAAAATTAGAATCATATCAAGTATTTTCTCAGACCACAACAGAAGAAAACCAGAAATCAATATCAAGAGGAACTTTGGAAATTGTACAAATATGTGGAAATTAAGCAACAAGTTTCAGAATGACCATTGGCTCAAGGAAGAAATTAAGCAGGAAATAAAAAACAGCAGATTTCTCAGCAGAAACCTTACAGACCAGGAGAGAATGGAATAATACATTCAGTGCTGAAAGAAGAAAAAACCTGTCTGTCAAAGATACTATACCCAGCAAAATTATATTTTATACCTTGAAACAAATGAAAATCAAAATACAATATACCAAAACCTTTGAGATACAGCTAAAGCAGTGCTAAGAGGGAATCTTATAGCAATAAATACCTACGTCAAAAAAGTAGAAACATTTCAAGTAAACAATATAACAATCACCTCAAGGAACTAGAAAAGCAAGAATAAACCAAACCCCAAATTAGTAGTTGGAAAGAGAGACTAAAGATCAGAGTAGAACTAAATGAAATAGAAACTAAAAACAAAAAACAAGCAAACAAACAAACAAAAAAGGATAAACAAATGAAAAGTTAGTTTTTGGAGATGATAAACCAAATATATAAACCACTTTCTAGTCTAACAGAAGAAAGAAAGAAGACCCAAGAAAGAAGACCCAAATAAGCAAAATCAGAAATGAAAAATAATTTACAACTGATATCACAGAAATACAAAAGATCATCAGGACTACTAACTATATGCTAACAAACTGGAAAACCTAGAGGAAATGGATACATTCCAGAACACATGCAACCTATGGAGATTGAATCAGGAAGATAGAGAAAACCTGAATAGATCAATAACAAAATCATGAGATTTAATAAACAACAAAACATCTCCCCAAAAAAGGAAAGTCCAGAACAGGATCACGTCACCGCCAAATTTAGCCAAACATTCAAAGAAGAGCCAACACTAATTCTCCTCAAACTATTCAAAAAAATTGAAGCAAGGCCAGGCACAGTGGCTCACGCCTGTAATCCCAGCACTTAGGGAGGCCAAGGTGGGCAGATCACTTGAGGTCAAGAGTTTGAGACCAGCCTGGCCAACATGGTGAAACCCTGTATCTACTAAAAATACAAAAATTTACCAGGCATGGTGGCAGGTGCCTGTAATTCCAGCTACTCCAGAGGCTGAGGCAGGAGAATCACTTGAACCTGGGAGGCAGGGGTTGTGCCATTGCACTCTTGCCTTGGCAACAGAATGAGATTCCGTCTCAAAAAAAGAAAAAAAGAAGAAGAAAAGAAAAAAGTGAAGCAAAAGAAATTCTTCCTAAATCATTCTCTAAGGACAGCATTACCCTGATCCCAAAACTAGGCAAGGACCCAACCCAAAAAAGAAAACTACAGGCCAATATCCCTGATGAATACAGATGCAAAAATTCTTAACAAAATGATAGCAAACCAAATCCAACAGCACATCCAAAAAAAAAAAAAAAAAAACACACCATGATCAAGTGGTATTTATCCCAGTGATGCAAGGATGCTCAACATGCACAAATAAATGTGATACATCACATAAACAGAATGAAAAATAAAAACCATATGATGATATCAATAGATGCAGAAAAGGCATTTGATAAAATTCAGCAGTACTTCATGATTAAAAACTCTTCAACAAACTATGTATAGAAGGGACATACCTCAACATAATAAAGGCCATGTGTGACAAACCCACAACTAACATCATACTGAATGGGGAAAAGCTGAAAGCCTTTCCTCTAAGAACTGAAAAAAGATAAAGATGCCCACTTTCAACACTCCTATTCAACATAGTACTGGCAGTCCTAGCCAGAGCAATTAGGCAAGAGAAAGAAATAAAAGGCATCTAAATTGAAAAAGAAGTCAAATTGTCCCTCTTTTATGATGGCTCTATCTTATATATAAAAAATCTAAAGATTCTACCAAAAAACTCTTAGATCTGATAAATTCAGTAAAGTTTCAGGAAACAAAATTAACATACAAAAATCAGTAGCATTTCTATAAACCAATAATTAAGAAAGAAATCAAGAAGGCAATTTCATTTACAACAGTTATTAAGATATCTAGGAATAAATTTAACTAAGGATGTAAAAGAGCTCTACAAGGAAAACTACAAAGCACTGATGAAAGAAATTGAAGAGGACACAAATTGAAAAGACATCCCATGCTCATGGATGGGCTCAATAAATAGTATTGAGAAAATTGGACATGCACATGCAGAAAAGTGAAATTGAGCCCTTATCTCACCATATACAAAAATCAATTCAAGATGGATTAAAGACTTAAGCATAAGACTTGAAACTATAAAAATACTGGAAGAAAACATAGGGAAAACACTTTAGAATATTGGTCTAGGCAAATATTTTATGGCTGAGACCTCAAAAGCATAGGCAACAAAACCAAAAATAGACAGATGGGACTATATTAAACCAGAAAACTTCTTCACACCAAAGGAAACAATCAGCAGAGTAAAGAGAAAACCTGCAGAATGGGAGAAATCTATTTATCCAATAATGGACTAGCATTCAGAATATACAAGGAACTCAAACAATTCAACAGTAAACAAACAAACATATAATCCCATTAAAAATTTGGCAAAGGACATACAAAGACGTTTCTCAAAAGAAGACAAACGGTCAATAGTTATATAAACAATACTTAACATCGCTAATCATCAGAAAAATGCAAATCAATACCACAGTGAGGTATCATCTTAACCCAGTTAGAATGGCTGTGATTAAAAAGACAAAAAATAACAGATGCAGGTGAGGATGTGGAGAAAAGGGAACTCTTAAACACTTTGGTGGGAATGTAAATTAGTACAGCCATTATGGAGAACAGTGTGGAGATTATTCACAAAACTAAATACAGAACTACCATACAATCCAGCAATCCCACTTCTAGACATTTATCCAAAGGAAAGGAAATCAATATATTAAAGGGATACCCGCACTCACATGTTTTTTGCAGCACTATTCACAATAGCAATTACATGGAATCAACCTAAGTGTCCACCAAGGGACGGACACTTGGAATAGATAAAGGAAATGTGGTATAAATACACAACGGAATACTATTTGGTCATAAAAAAAGAATGAAATCATGTCATTTCCAAAAACATGGATGCAACTGGAGGTCGTTGTGTTTAGTGAAGTAAGCCAGACATAGAAAGACAAGTTTAGTGTGTTCTCACTCATAAGTGGGAGAGCTAAAATAGTTAATCTCATGGAAGTAGAAAGTAGAATGATGTTTACCAGGGGCTGGGAAGGGTGTGTGGATGGCAAGAGTTGGGGAAAGAAGAGAGGTTGGTGAATGGGTACAAACTTAACAGTTAGATAAAAGGAATAAGTTTTAATGTTTGACAACAGAGTAGGGTCACCATAGTTAGCAACAATGTATTGTCTATTTCGAAGTAGCTAGAAGAGAGAATTTAAATGTTCCCAACATATAGAAATGAAAAATACTCAAGGTGATGTATACCACAAATATCCTAACTTGATCATTACACATTCTCTGCATGCAACAGAATATCACATGTACCCTATAAATATGTAAAATATTAGATATCAATTTAAAAACCCTACAATATATTATTTCCCCCCTTTTCCAGATGAGGAAATTTAGAGGAAGGGAGCAGTGGCAGCTGTAGAATGTTAACCTATGACAGGGATTTATGGATTATAATTTGGTTGCAGGGATACCAGGAAGTTTTGTCCCGAAGCTGATTTTTGCTCTGTGTTGATTTTACTCTACACATTGCATGTTTGGGGGTGGCTATGGCAGTCATGGGGACTAAAACCCTCCTTTGCCAAGCAAAGGTACCACTTCTACAGGGAAGTTAAGTCAATTGCCAAAGATTGCATAGCTAGAAACTAGCAGAGTCAGAACTTAAACCCTGAGATAGTTGTCAGTAGGAGGTTAGTTAGAAGTCATTAGGTATTTTTGCCAAGACGCTAATAAGTCATTAACATGGAGTTTACAAGAAGAAGCCCAAAGGTCCCAGTTTTTTCCAGCTTCTAGATTAACAGGAGAAATAAGTCGTTAAAGTGTACATTATGACACATACAAAAAAGACAAACTCAGCAGGTGCAAAAAATAGCAATTGGGCAGAAATCTATGGGGAGTTGCAGAGCCATTGGTGAGGGGCACTGGGTAGGTGGGTTTCCAGGTGGTATAAGAGTATACGACTCAAAGTTTTGATGAGAGGAAATGTGCCGTCATATTTCAGCTGCAGCCGACCTAGTCTACCCACCATGTGGGTCCCAGTTTCCTCATCTACTTAAGGAAGGGTTAAGATTCAATAGTCTTCCAGCGTTGGTACTTTATGACTGGTTTTGTTTTCAAATCAGAGAAAATATGGAACACATACAGCTCTTAGACTCTCCTCTATTCCTGCAACTTTTAAAAAACTTTCCAGAGAATGGCTTCCTGGACACTGCCACGTAGAATGTCTATTCTGAGACTTGTCTCAGCCAATTCTCATCAGGAACCAGCTTCCCCTATCCCCGACCAGGGAATGCATGGATTTTAATATTCATTAGTGTCAGGAAAGTCAGCTTCAGGAAAAGAAAAGAAAATCATAACGTTCTCCAACTCCATCCAGGATTGGTTTGGGGTTCTTCATGATTTTATACTATCCTGGCCAATTCTTCCTTATGATAGTGTGCATGATCCAATACTTTCTTCTGAGACTGTGCGGGATCTGACATCTAATGGAGAAAAAGCTAGTCATGTTTTTGAGACGAGCCTTTTTGAGGGAAGCATGAACAGCTCTTCCCAGGCTGTTCTATTTTTCCTGCCCAGTCTGAAGTCAAACACTGTGGGGAAATCCGGCTGCTTCCTAGAAGCCAATCCATTCCACCCGCTTTGGAGAGGAAGAGAAAGATGGATTTAATGATTCTGGTTCTAAGCCCAAGGGTCATGGTTGTGTCATAGCAGAGGTTACCAGTACCCAGAGTCTAGGGGCCTAGTAGGGCCTGGGAAAGCCATAGCGCTGCCAAGCGCCTTCCATCCAATGATCCCAGCAGCATTTAGAGGGAAAAGGCACAAAGGGAATGCGGGGAGGGAGGCATGGAGGATTTTAGGAGAAGGCCACTGACGGGAACTAGTTCTGTTAAAGCTCTGGGCTCAGTGACTTTCTGGGGGCCACTGGGTTTCTTTAGGGCCTATGATTTCAAACAGCATACCCTCGATTCTGCTACGACCCACTCATATATCTTCTCAGGGAGCATATCTGGAGATCCTTCCAGGAGGGAAGAGGTAGCAAGTGGAGGGAGCATGGGCATGCACAGCTTCCACATAGCAGGGAAAACCCAGCAATGGGATATGGGGAGAAGGAGAGAGATAGAAGAGGGGCTGGGGCCCTTCACAGGGACTTGCTTCCTCTCCTCTTCAGGATCCATTGAACCTCCTGTGAATTCATAACTCAGCTCTCCTGCCCACTTGGGTATCTGGGTGATTTTCCCAGGGACTGGGCCAGCCAGTTTCTCCCAGCCTGGGCCCTAAACAGCCTCCTCCTCCCATGTCTAGATGCTTCTGCTGACAGACAGACTAATTCAAATGACCCCTGCTCAATCTCATGATTCCCAAGCAAGATCCTCACCTCCTTGCACAGTAATGGTCTCACCAAGCTTAAGGGAAGGATGGTCCATTTGTGATGTTCTCACGCATAGTGTGAACTAATGAGAAAGTGCTGCTCTTTCAACACAGAGAAAATGCTACTGACCACTCGCCCTTGCCCTCACCCTTCCTCAGTGTAGACTGTGCCAGGGCCATCCTGGGTGAGGGAGGCAGAAAACAAGGAGGCCACATCCATGGCCCTCAAAGCTCACTGTCTCTTGCTGGACACAGGTGTATATAAAACTAACTGTATTACTGGGGAGTAAATGCGGCTATGGAAATGCAGAGGATGGAGAGATTCTCATCACCACCCAGCATGTAGGAGTCAGGAAAGCTTAAAGGAGATGGAATTTTACTCTGAATTTAGGATTTTCATAGGGAGAGATGGATGGATGGCACTCCCAGGCATGGGGAGATTAGAGCAGAGGCGAGGGAAATGCTGTGTCTAAAAAATGGCCAGTGTTAAATTTGACTGAGCCATGGATGTTTGAGGGGGAAGTAGGTGATCAGAGTAAGGATTTAAGTGAGAGTGTAAAAGATGTTGCTGGAGATACAGGAGGCTCCAGCCGGATTATGGAGGACTTTAATTCTACCCTAAAGATTTTGTAGTTCATCCTCCAGGTGGACGGTTCCCTTGTACTCCACACCCATATTCCTTACTATTAATATCTTTTTTTTTTTGAGACAGAGTCTCACTCTGTTGCCCAGGCTGAAGTGCAACGACACGACCTCAGCTCACTGCAACCTCTGCCTCTCGGGTTCAAGTGATTCTCCTGCCTCAGCCTCCCGAGTAACTGAGACCACAGGCGCGTGCCACCATGCCTGGCTAATTTTTTTGTATTTTTGGTAGAGATGGGGTTTCACTGTGTTAGCCAGGATGGTCTCGATCTCCTGACCTCGTGATCCGCCTGCCTCGGCCTCCCAAAGTCCTGGGATTACAGGCGTGAGCCACCATGCCCGGCCTCTTACTATTAATATCTTACACTACTGTGGTACATTTGTCAAAATTAATGAACCAATACTGATACATTATTATTAACTAAGCCCCTGCTTTATGGTGGTATTCTTAAAATCAGTAGACGTTTACCTTGTTCTTCTTAACCCCCTGTGTCTTGTGCACCCCTGTGGTATATGTACCCATGGGGAGACCATTGCCCTCTACGGATCCATGGAAAGTTATGGATTTGAGCAACGCCATCTGTACTCATTTGTACCTTCCCATTTACAAGAGGACTGCCTGGGGCCAGAGCCCAGCCTGACAGATGCTAACCAGCCCAGATGAGCAACAACCCTGCGGACGCAACTGCCTTGGTTAGCACATACCTTGAACAGCCCGGGTGAGGCACCAGAGGAGGAGGCTGATGTGGATATTCTCGGGGAGGAGGAGCAAGATGGCTGGCAGAACCAGACAGTAGCTGGAACTTCTGCTAAGTGAGACTGAGGTCCCAGAAGCAATTCGGTGTAGTGAACAGGATGCCGAGACCCCAGGCTCAGGATACCCGGGCTCCCACTGATTCTGCCATGAGTGAGGTAAGTGGTGGTTGGAAAGACAATTCATTCAACACATTTACTGAGCACATATTACATGCCAGGCACCGGGCTGGAGATCCAAAATGAGTAAGACCCAGCCTCCATCCTCAGGGGTGCTCACAGTCTACACAAATAAGCAGGTGGTTTCAAAACCCCAGGTATTTATGAGGCCTTATGTTCCTTCCTTCAAGACTATCTGTGACCTCCTTGTTCTATGCCTCTGTTTCTACAGACCAGACCTAGGTGATAGTGAGGATGCCAGGCCATCAGGCACAACTCCCTGGGTTAATTTGTCCTCAAATGAGAAAACAATGCAGCTGATCTCAGAGGCACTGCTTCCCGAACTCCTCCAATCCACAGGCACCTTGCCTGCACAGCCACATAAAACCTTGTTCTTCCTCCTCTTTTCTGGGAATCAGAATTTAAACAGAAGCTGTCAGTAAGGGACATGTCATGTAGGCTCTGGATACATTCAGTCTATATTTCAGAAGAAAAGCCTTAATTCTCCTGATAGCTCTTATCTCATGGCCTGTCCAGGAAAAGGGAGTCTTGCTATAAATTTTCTCCAAAATTATGGCTGCCCTCCAGACACATGGGCCCCCAAGGGTCAAGGAAAAATCCCACTGCTTTAATGAGGAGCCAGGACACACAGAGCCTGGCAGAACAGACAGTGCCTTGGGCTTCGAGCAATGCAGACAGGCTCTGCAACAAGGAAAGTACCCAAGACTCGGGGCAGAAGTCTCCCACCCATCACTCTGACTTTTAGCCTTGCTTTGTGCTGCTTCCCAGCCCACGTTCCTCAGGCAACCCAGATTCCACCTCATTGCCACCCACACCTCACCTTTGCTCCTTCCCACTCCTGGGGTCTGCACATGGGCTAATCTCCACCTTGGAAATGCCACACCCTTCTCTTCATCAGTCCTTGTGTCTCCTAGCAATGCCTGGCTTCCCTGGTACCACTTCCAAGAAGCTTTCTGAACTCATCCCTAGTGACACCAGCCACTCTATTTCTTAGTACCTGCACAGTATTTAAACTCTTTGGACTCTAATATGGAACGCTTGGCCTCCTTTCACTGATGCTCCCTTTCAGTGCCTCATTCCTATGCTGCGTGACGAGGAAGAAGACTGACAGCCCTTGATATAGGGGCTTAAGCATTAAAGGCAATGGTCTTGTTGTGGGAAATAGAGGACCAGAGAGACCGATATGGGGAACAGGACGATTGTTTATTTAAGGTACGCACCAGCTCAGTGGATTCATATCCAAAAAGCTGAGCCAGTTAGCAACTTAAATAAACAATCCTACTGTTCCCCATGTCGGTCTCTCCGGTCCTCTATTTCCCACAATAGTCTCCCATGGGGTGTATATACACCATGGGGACTGCATGAGATGCATGGGGTTAGAAAGAGCACGGTAAACTTCTATTGATTTCAGAAACACCATCATTCAAGACCAGCCTGGGCAACATAGGGAGATCCCTTCTCTAAAAAAAATTTTTTTTTAATTTCACTAGGCAAAGTGGCATACACCTGTGGCCTCAGCTACTCGGGAGGCTGAGGCGGGAGGATTACTTGCACCTGGGTGATTGAGGCTGCAGTGAGCCTGATGGTGCCACTGCACTCCAGCCTGGGCAACAGAGTGAGACTCTGTCTCAAAAAAAGAAAATACCATTGTAAAGCAGGGGCTTCAATAATAATGTACCAATAATAATATGTTAACGATAACATAATGTTAACGATGTATCAATATAATTATTATTAATAATGTGTTAACAATATTGATATTGGTTCATTAATCGTGACAAATGTACTATAGTAATATAAGATATTACAGTAATAATAGGAGAAACTGGGTGTGGGTATATAAGAACCACAACTTCTCTCTAAATCTACACTTATTCTAAAATTAAAAGCTGATTTAAAAATACTAATATTTTCAGAGTCTATATTTTACAGGTGTTTCGTGATATGCGCAATGTTATTCTAAAAGCACAACATGGTTAAAATATAGATTCTGTTTCACGACAGCCGCACCCAAATGAGGTAGAAGTGTCCACAGGCAGATGACCCAGGCCGCTAAAACGTCTCTGCTCCATCAGACTATCCAAAGACTTGTGTCTTCCCTTTCCTGTTGCTTCAACAGTTTTTGATTTGTCCTTATCCATAGAGGCCGAGAGAGCTTGCTCCCCAGTCCATGCTCCAGGGGGCGGCATGAAGAAAGTGAAGTATAGGGGATCGTCTTCGTCCATTTGTGTTGCAGGAAAGGAATACCTGAGGCTGGATAATTTATAAAGAAAAAAGGATTTATTTGGCTCACCGTTCTGCAGGCCGTGCAAGAAGTTTGGCACCAACACCGCTTCTGGTGAGAGCTTCAGGCTGCTTCCACTCATGGCGGAAGGGGACGGGGTGTTGGCGTGTGCAGACATCACGTGGTGAGAGAGGCAACAATGAGTGAGGGGCGGTGGGGATTGCCCGGCTGTTTTAAACAACCAGCTCGGGCGGGAGCTAGTGAGTGAGAACTCACTCAGTATCGCGAGAACAGAACCAAGCGATTTCTCAGGGATCCACCTCTATGACCCAAACACCTCTAACATTGGGGATCCAATTTTAACATGAGGTTTGTGGGAACAAACATCCAAACTATAGCAGGGCAGGTTAAAAAAATGTACATATCACTTCCGCTGAAGTCTCCACAACGTGACCCAAACGGCTCTGCCCAGCTGCTAGGGCATGGAAAACAGAGTCTGAATTTTGAGTAGCTACAGGCCCAGCCGACATGTCGGGGGCTTAATACTGTAGAAGAAGGTAAACAGGATGTTGAGAGACAGCGAGCATTCTTTGCCATAGTTGATGATATTTCTATTTATTTATTTTATGATTTGTAAATAAGTAGATATACATATATTGAAAGGACTGTGCATTTTTTAACTGATAGAGGTGCACAGTAACAATAATATACGCCACCAGTTTCAGATACCAGCCAGGGCACAGTTTGTATTTCTGACTCAGGATTCTCGGATCCTGATGATGGGTGCTTTCACCCCAAGTTCTAACTGGATCTGCAGTTAGAACAGTTAGAACGTGTGTAAGTTTCTGTGAGGCTCAGTATATCCTAAAATCTTGTCTCCTTCGGGTCTGTTCCCTAGTTTCCCAGGATCTGTTAGCAACCTCTCACTTCTTGTGTGCAAGGAAAACTATCTGTTTTCTCTGGAAGATTTTCATTTCAGTCAGTGAGACTAGGGAGTGAGGAAGAGAGGTGAGGAAGGACAAGGACAGCGTCTGAGAGAGATGGGCAGTCAGAGAAAGAAACAGTAACAGATAAAGAATGAGAAAGGGATAAGGAGAGAGTGGTCAGACATTGGGACTGGAGCCCAGGAGAGGGGCTGCTGAGGTGGAGAGAGGCCAAGAGGAGGGAAGGCTCAGAGCGCGGCTGGCCCAAAGGCAGTGGGCATTTGTCTGGAGGCCTGTCAGGTCACTTGCTCTCAGAAGGTGGGGAAGGCAGACAGTGCATAGTGGGGCCTGGGAGGGCTGCTCGTAGCCAATGTCTGGGGGGCTACGCAGTCCACTTTGCCAAGGTTGTTCTACCCTAAAGATGATCTCAGAAGGGAAGAGGGGCAGGGCTGTTTTGTAGGTGGGAGGAGAGGGTCTGGTCACTTTTCTCTCCCCACTGTGTCCCCCTCTGCACTTACATGGGACAGACTTTGCGCAGGCTTTGTGTTTATTTGTATAGGTGGGTTTATTTCTTGGTCTATGTTCTTGTCTCCCAGGAGACGACACATGCCCCAAACACTTCCTCCCTGGTGTTTAGGGAAACAGAGTTTCCACCCAAGTGGAATAGGAGTGCCGAACGCTAGGGGTGATGTTCACCTGTGAAGACTGGGGAGGGCTTCATGGAGGAGGTATCAGTCTTGAAGGACAAGAAAGGGATTTTGCCAAGTAGAGATGGGATGAGGAGGAAGGGCATTCACAACAGTGGGAATCCTGTGATCGAAGGCCAGGAAGCCCAGGGTATAGCAACACCAAGGGAGCAAAGAGGAAGGAAGAGGGAGGGAGGAGAGGACCGGGAAGCTGGGGCTGCTCCCTGTACTGGTAACAGGAATGCAACAAAGTGGCTTCCATCAAATGATAAACAAAACTCACACAGCTGATAAACACAGCTCTGTGTTTCATATTCTGTCTGCAGAAGATAGGGTCAGGACCAGGTGTCAGGACTGTTGCTCTGACAATGGGCAGCATTCTGTAAACTCCATGGTCCCAGGAGACCCTGGGCATATGATTTTCATGTCCACAGAGGGATGCTTCTTTCTCACCCTAAAGGTCAATGTTTCCCAAGTCCTAGACACCAGAGTTATCGTGACCACCATGAAGTGGCCAGTGAGGGTGACCAAAGCTGTCAAACAGGCAATTCATCAGACAGGTAGTGTCAGTCAGCCAACATATAACTCTTCCCTCCCTCTTTTGCCACTGGCATCTGCACCACTCTATTGTTGCAGAACTAGTCCAGCTTTAGTTCCATACACGATTTCATTCTGCTTATCATGTATGTTTTCTTGAACATCTTCATTCCATGAGCTGGCGTGGCGGAGTGTGTTCTGATTCTCTTCCCGCCCTGGTGGTGCTCTTTCTCTGTCTCCTGTGCTCTTTCCTTTTCTTCTCTCCCTCTATGGGCCCTTCCGACTGCCTTTTTCCTCCTTGTGCACACTCCACTGAGTTTTACAAACACACCCATGGCTTTAGCAGGCACCTCTGTTAGGTGGATATTTATCTGCAGAGATTGTGGATTGCTTGGAATACTTTTAGCAGCACGTAATGGAGACCTTGGCTCAACTGGCTTAAACAAGAAGGACAGGAGTCCTGAGGTTGTTTCTAGGGTTGGATAACTTGGTGGGCTGATGATATCATCAGAGACCCAGTTTCTTTGCATCCTTCTGCTCTGCCATCCTTAGCATGTTGGTTTTGGCCTCAGCCATATCCTCTCATGGTCACCGGATGGCTGCAGCAGCTTCTGGCAATGCCTCCTCACAGAGCCGTAACTGCAGGGCAGATGCTCTTTTTGTCTCTTTTTAATCTCTTTAAAAATAAAGATGACTTTTCTCAAATCCTCCTTGCACACTTCCTCTACCATTTCATTGTCCAGACCTGTATTATGTTTCCAATCTTAAACACTGGCCGAGGGAATGGAATTCTCTGTGATTGTATTGGGCTAATCAAGATTTTGCTAGGGTCTAACGCTGGACTAGGATCCAGCCTCCTCTGAAAACGTGGCCGCTCGATATGTGAACAAACGTGGGACACAGTTAGCTGAGAAAAGGGAGAGAGTTGTTTGATAATCAACCGTTTCTGCCACATATGGTGGCCAGGTCTTTGTCTCCAACTCAGATGTTTCTCCTAAATCCAGACCTGTATTTTCAACTACCTTCTGGACATGTCTGCTTGGAGGTCTTAAAGACGCCTCACATTTAACATACTCCTGGCTGAGCACATTCCTCAGGACAGCTTTCTCTCTCTCTTGAGTCCCCTGAGTTGTTGATGACTCTACCATTCTCATAGGCTCCCAGATGGGAAACTTTCTGCAGGTCTTTGTCCTCCTGCCTTTCTTTGTCTCCATTTCAGCCACTAACAAGAATATCAGAGTTGCAGACAGTAAAGGGAAAATCTGGTCTTTGGGAATGCCCAAGTCAACCAGGGATGGCCAACAGCTTTTATCTTGCATACCTGCTTCCATTAATTAATAATAACTATCTGGAGACTTGTGTGAGACAGATTCTAAGGCAAGTCTGGGCTCTAGAAGACAAGTACGTCTTGATTGATCAGCAACACCTATTGTGGATATGGGAGACTAAAGTAGTGAGACACATGCCATATATTTGCTGTGCTTGTGCTGGGGTTGGTTTATGGAAAGTAACGGGATCAACTTGTGGCAACGTTAACAGAGATAAGATGATTAATGCTAGTTAACATGTATTGAACACAAACGGCACACCAGGCACTGTGAACAGGACGTCACGTGGATGGCCTTATTTGGTAATTTGTCTCATTTGACAACCCTGAGAAGGAAACACGGTGATTAATTACTCCTGCTGGGTAACTGAGACTTTGTTGAGTATCTTGCCCAAGATGATGCAGCCAACGAGTGGGAGAGCCAGGATTCCGTCTGGATCATTGGACTCCACAGTCCTTCCGCATTGTCAGCGGGTAACCTGGGCTGCTGGACCCACGTCCTCATTTTCCTTTACTAGAACATGCCTCTCACACCTGCAACGTGCATACAGGCTGCTGGAGGCTCTCGTTAAAATGCAGATTCTGACCGAGTGCATCTGGGGTGGGGTCTGAGCTTCTGCCTTTCTAATACTTCCCCAGGAAATGATGATGCTGCTGGTCCACGAACCACACTGAGAGCAGCAAGGTTTAGAAGTGCAAGGTCTGTAAATGCTCAATTTCCAGTGCTCAGAGCATATGTTAGGTGCTATACAATTATTTATTGGACCAATGATGAATCATTATTATCATAATTATCATCACTTCCACACACTGTGTGGCAATGTTGATATTTCAGAGCATTTTGATACCTGCCATCTAATTAAAAGTCAAAACAATCCCATGACCCCTACAAAGCAGATGCTGGGCTCCTATGACAGAGGCTGACTTGCTACTCATGAAACCTGTTCCCGTTTTCCCCCCCAGGTACGTGGCTCAGGTATGTTTCCCAGTCTTCTTTGGAGTGCAATGCTGCCATTGAATGAGCAAAAAATGATGTATGCAGTTTACAGGCCTGGTCCCTAGAATAGACGCCTCTCACAGAATCCTCACTCCACTTTCTCTACCCTATCTGGCAGCTGGATGTCACCATCTAGGTGTCCCTGGAAGCCAGGTTGAAGATGGCAGAGCCAGTGCCAGCCTGGGTTCCTGAATGATATTGTGAAGTGGCTCCCCATCTTTGGTACCAGGTGGACTTTAAGTGAATACGAAATTTGCTTTGTCTTAAGGCACTGAGATTTGGGACTTTCACTGCTATATTATTAGCTAGTGTTATCTTAACTAATGCAGTTCCCCATTTTTCAGATGAGGAAGCTGAGGTCAAGAACAGTAAAGTGATTTCTTTTTTTTTTTTTTTTCAGGAACACAAACAAGCTAAAGAAAGAAATGAAGCTCAAATCCAACTCTTCTGACTCTTGCTTCTGACCTTCCTTGAACTTCAGGGTGGAGACTCAGCCATGTTCTCTGAAGGCTTTCTCATTATTTGCTGCCTGCTCTTCCATTTTGCCCTCTAGGGCTGAGGCTAGGGTAGAGAGTAGGATAGCAAGACAGGGGCAGGCAGAGTAGAGAGACGTAGCTGTGAGAAAGGAACAACCCTAAGAATGCTGACGATCAGGCCAGACTTCTGCCAGCCAAAGATTCCCGTGGTTGCTTTCTCCATAGTTTGTAGAATTGAACTCTACAACTGGACCTGATTTTCTTGCATTCAGATCCATGCCACGCCTTTTTCAGAAATAGGGCTGTGCAACTTAATTTGTTTCTGGGTGACTGTGAGCCAAATCGTGAAGTAGCGAGGACTTGTCCTCAGAACCAATCCAACTCTCCAATACTTCACCCCGTTCTGTCCCTTTTCTGCTTTTCGAGATCCTTTTCTCATCTATAAAGTTGCAGGGGCCTGTTTTGTGTTTTCGCTGTGTATTATAACATAAATAGCACTTGAGAAGAGTCAGAAAAACTTAACCTTTCTGGGCCTTCAGCTATAGTGATCTCTAAAGTTCCTACAAGTTCTAATCATCTAAGAATTGTTCCAAAGGGAGGATCTAATGCTAGTCATTTGTTATCATAAATTTATACCCAAAGTGCTTTTCCAGATACATTTTAAACTTTATTTCTGACAGCAGAGTAAAATAATTTCATTTCTTGAGGTTCTATTTCTAGAGACTGATTGCATTTCCTATTAAAATTTGATTATTTTGTAGGAATAGAAAAAGTCATCCTAACATTCACATGGAATCTCAAGGAACCCAGATAGCCAAAACAATCTTGAAAAGGGAAAACAAAGTTGGAGGACTCATACTTCTTCATTTCAAAGCTTATTACAAAGCTATAGTAATCAAAACTGTGTGGTACTGACATAAAGACAGACATGTGGACCAGCAGAATAGCATAGAGAGTCCAGAAATAAACCTTCAAGTACATGGTAAAATGATTTTCAACAAGGGAGACAAGACTATTCAATAGGTAAAAGACAGTTTGCACAATAAATTGTGCTAGGAAAACTGAATTTTACAAGCAAAAGAATAAAGTTGGACTCCTACCTTATGCTATGTGCAAAAAATAGCTCAAAATGGATCAAAGACCTAAATGTAAGAGCTAAAACTATAAAGCTCTTAGGAGAAAAAGGAGAAAATTCTCATAATATTGGATTTGGCAATTAATTCTTGGATATGACACCAAAAGAACAGGCAATGAAAAATAAATAAATAAATTAGACTACATCAAAATTTAAAACTGTTGTGCCTCAAAGAACACTATTAAGAAAGTGTAGGCCGGGCGCAGTGGCTCATGCCTATAATCCCAGCACTTTGGGAGGTCAAGGTGAGTGGATCACAAGGTCAGGAGATCGAGACCATCCTGGCCAACATGGTAAAACCCTGTCTCTACTGAAAATACAAAAATTAGCCAGACATGGTGGTGTGTAATCCTGGCTGCTCTGGAGGCTGAGGCAGGAGAATCCCTTGAACCCGGGAGGCAGAGGTTTCAGTGAACTGAGATCATGCCACTGCACTCCAGCCTGGGCAACAGAGTGAGACTCCATCTTGAAAAAAAAAAAAGTGAAAAGACAACACACAGGATGGGAGAGAATATTTGCAAATTATGTATCTGATAAGGGATTAATATCAAGAATATATAAAGAATGCCTACAACTCAACAATAAAAAAACTAAACAACCAAATTAAAAAATGGGCAAGGAACTTGGATAGACATTTCTCCAAAGAGGGTCTATGAATGGCCAATAAGCACAGAAAACATGCTCGACATCACTAGTCATTAGAGAAATGCAAAGCAAAACCACAATGAGAAACCATTTCATACCCTTTAGGATAGCTATTATTAAAAACAAATTAAAAAACAAAACAGAACATAACAAATGATGCAAATATTGTGGAGAAATTGGGACACTCAAATATTGTGCTGGTGGAATGTAAGATGGAACAGCTGCTATGGAAAAATAGTTTGATGAGTTCTCAAAAAGCTAAACCATATGATCTGGCAATTCCAATCCTAGGTATACACCCAAAAGAATTGAAAGCAGGGACTTGAACAGATGCTTGTTCATCAATGTTCATAGCAGCATTACTCATGATAGCCAAAAGTTGGAAACAATCCAAATTCCATCAACAGAGAATGTATAAACAAAGTGTGGTATTTACATACAATAGACTATGATTTAGCCATAAAAATGAATGAAGTTCTGATACATGCTACAACGTGGATGAAACTTGAAGGCATTATGCTAAGTAAGCTAGACACAAAAGGACAAATATTGCATGATTCCACTTACATGAGGTATCTAGAGTAATCAAACTCACAGGGACAAGAAGTAGATTAGAGGTTGGTTACCAGGGGCTGGGAGAAGTGGGGAACGGGGGAATGGGTACAGAGTTTCCGTTAGAGATGATGAGGGATGTTGGAAATAGATAGTGGTGATGGTTGCACAACATTGTGAATATAATTAATGGCTCTAAACTGTATACTTTAAAATGTTTAAAATGGTGAATGGTTAAAATGTATATTTTATCAGAATAAAAATATGTATGAGAGAGAGAGAGAAGATTCAGTCATCAGTGGTGAGTGGCTGGGGGCCCCTGACCCAGTGCCACATTAAGGGCTGATTCCTTTTCCTTCATGCAAGCTTGCCTGGTGCAGCCTAAGCTCAGATAGGCCTGACGAATGCTCTCTGGGGTGATCATATCCATGGGCAACAGAGGAGACTGGAGGGAGGAAGAAAGAAAGATCTCCGCCAACATTTGACTCTGGCCAGCCTCTTGCCTCAGAGAAGGGCCTGTTGTTAGAACGCAGGGGCTCCTAGGGGATGGATTTTTGTCTTTCCGTTCTGGTAAGTTGATCCTTCAGCTCTTGGAGTTGCCCACTTAGCTGTCTCTGCTCCTTCCACAAAGCAACTGTGAAATGAAGGGCTCAGACCAGACTTAAAGAGGCCCCATATGTTTTCATGACCATCACTTCCCTGGCAGCCCCTCTGTTCCTGCATCACTAAATGAATTCATATCCTCTGCCCTTCTGTTGTTACCTTTGCTTTAATATCCAAATAATACAATTTGCACATTCATCGCAGTACCATGGGAAGCCCAGAGCCTTCCCTAGAACCCTCTCAAGTATTTCCCAGAATTCTGCTGGGGGGTTATAGTCTCATGTTCATATTTTCCTCTTAATTCTTTCCCTCATGAAGTTTTTGATTCTCACTTACATTTCGCTCCCCACTCCCCACCCCCACCGTGGGGGTAGCTGTTCTTCCTCATTTCTCTCTTGTCCAGAAGGCAGAGCCGCTTCTTTTCCCTGCAAAGCATCACTAACACAAGGCTATTGTACTGAAGAGACTTTTCCAAGGATTGAGAATCCCTGGCTGGGTGGCACAGAAGAGGAAAAACTACACACTGAAGGTCAGACACTACTGTTTCTGGAAACTCGCTGGCCCTTCTCTGATCTGGAATGCTTTTATTAGACATGCTCCTACTGAAGACCCTCCTTTCCAGATCCTTGCACCCATCTCCTCTCTTTCAGAATTCCAACACCTGTATAATGTCAAGATAGCTCTTTACCAGATCACTAAGCGATTTAGCTTTTAACTTCAATATCACACTGAGCTCTGAGATCTATCTCCCTTTGCATCCCTTTGAGATTTCCTAAACCCCAGGTGTTTTGTCATTAAGTACACAAAGAACCAAGAGAAACTCTGAAATTACAGTTTTCTTAATTTGAACTGGATCAAATCTTAGATAAGCAGGACTCACTCATCCACCAAACAGAGCTAGCCGCATAAGTTGTAAAGTTTTTCTTTTCCCATCACAAATGCTTCCCTGGGATTTAGTAAAACTGGAGGTAGGGGCTGGGCATGGTGGCTCACACCTGTAATCCCAGCACTTTGGGAGACTGAGGTGGGTGGATCACTTGAGGCCAGGAGTTCCAGACCAGCCTGGCCAATATGGTGAAACCCCATTTCTACTGAAAATACAAAAATTAGGCTGGCATGGTGGCGTATGCTTGTAATCCCAGTTACCCAGGAGGCTGAGGCAGAAGGATCACTTGAACCCAGGAGGCAGAGGTTGCAGTGAGCAAAGATCTCACCATTGCATTCCAGCCTGGGCAACAGAGCCAGACCCTGTCTCAAAAAAAGAAAACAATAACAACAACAAAAACGAAACAAAAAACTGGAGATGGGGACTCTGCCTGACTGGGATACTGTGAGACCTTCCAGAGGTGATGGAAGTTGTTTGGGATGGACAGAGGTGCCTGGTGCTAGAGGCAAGCAAGTTTGAGATTCTGGGCCCTGGCCACTGATGGCGAGAGTCCCTAGAGGAAGGTGCCTGATGGGAGCAAGAGCTTACTTTGCCCACTCCCTCTATGTGTAAAGACCTTTTGAGTGTAACAAGTGTCAGATTACAATTGAGTAGGTCAGAGAGAAAAGGAAATTCATCTGAACCATAAAGTTCTAAAGAGAGAGATAACATCATTGCCAATTTTGGGGGAAACAGAGCCACAAGAGGCTAATCACACACTGCCTGAGTAATGAAGACATTGTGGCAGCGCCACAGGATGGGCACATTGACTGATGGAATAGGATAGAGAATGCAGAAACAGACCTGTGTACTATCTGATAAATAAAGCTGAAAAAAAAAGGTTATCTATAAGGAAAATATGAAAATTATTCCCTGCCTCACACCATATAAAAACAAACAACTCCAGATTGACTTAATTGTCAAAAAAAAAACCTAAAATTTTTAAACTTCAGGCTGTAAATTCTAAATTTAGTTGAAAATATAGGCAAATATCTTTTAAACCTTGGAGCAGAGAAGAGTTTCTCAAAACAGAAAGTGCTAACCTTAGAGGTATTAAAGCAAAGAACATCATGTAATGCCTTGAATATACAGAAAAGACAACTTGTAAACAGATTAGTTTGAAGAATATTATAAAGAACTCCTAGAAATCAATAAGAAAAACATAAGCAAGCTGATAGAAAAATCATTAAGAGACCTGGACAGGTCTTCTGCGGAAGAGGAAACACACATAGTTAATAAACAAAGAGATACTCAACCTCATTGTGATCAGGGAAATGTGTTAATTCTACTGGCAAGTTACAAAGTCTAACCAAACCAAATGTTGCAGAAGATGTATGAATAAATCCACAAATCTCTCATTCCTTAAGGGTGTATAAATGATTACAACCATTTTGAAAAATGTTCACATACTTATTGCACAGCAATTTCACTCCTGGTTACATAAACAACCTTTTCACACACAGCAAAAGACATTCATAGCAATTGCTCACAATAGCAAAAATAAGAGAGTAGCTGAAAACATTATTTGTAGTATTTCACACAACGAAATATTACAGTGTTCAAAATTAATAAAACAGCCAGGCAAAGTAGCTCATGCCTGTAATCCCAGCTCTTTGGGAGGCTGAGATGGGAGGGTTGCTTGAGGCCAGGAGTTCCAGACCAGCCTAGGCAACATAGTGAGACCCTAATCTCTACAAAAAAATTAGAAGTAGCTGGGCATGATGGTGCCTGCCAGCGGTCCCAGCATTTTGGGAGGCTGAGGCAGGAGGATCGCTTGAGCCCAGGAGTTTGAGGCTGCAGTTAGCTATGATTGCACCACTGCACTCCAGCCTAGGTGACAGAGCAAGACTCTGTCTCTAAAATAAATAAATAAATAAATAAATAAAATGAAATTATATAAAAGGAAAGCAAGATAAAGATGCATCTAAAATGTAGTATGTTAATTACAGTGCATGGAAGAGGCAGGCAGAGTGGGATGAAGAAGAACCATGTGTTGGGTGGTATGTTTCTAGGAGCGTGTTACATTTTTCAAAACAATAGCCAAACAATCAAGTAGGGTTATGCATGGGGCAACTATAGGAGTGCAGAATGAAATAAGTATTATGATTAATCCATTTCCATGCGACTGAGATCCACTTAAGTAAATAAAACAGACCGGGGGCAAATTTGACATGGTCGTAGTGAGAAAAGTCCATTTGGAGTGAGAAGGTCCCCGTAAGTGGCCTTTCAAAAGCGATTTAATTATTCTGAGTCTCAATTTCCTGTACTATTCAATGGGTGAAACTACCAAGAGCTACACCAAGTGGGTTTGCTGCAAGGATGAAATGAGAAAATGTATGCGAAGTGTCACATATGCCAGCCCTGCCTCCTAACTTCCTCTCTCTCTGCTGTGCACCCCAGCAGCGAGTGGTGTATATGTGGGAGGTTCTGTTACAGTGAATATTAGGGGCACCTTGATAAGAAGAAGTCACAGAAGACTGGAAATCCATCTGAGAGGAAAGATGGGGGCAGTCCAGCTCCTCTGTCTGGGCACTAATTAGGTCGGGGATTTGGGGGCTGATTTGATGTACCAAAAAGTCTTGCGTTTTGTCTACAGCATGAACGGCTCCTCTATCTTCCCCAACTCACCCACTCCAGTCTTTTGTGTGCACGTGACAACCTCAGTGGCAATGTCATTAGAACATACTTTATTTTTTATTTTCAGTTTTAGAGGCAGTTTAGCATGGTAGAAAGCATGTTGGCTTTTGTAGCAGAGATTACTAGGGCTTCTCCATACCTGGTTTTCCTCTTTCCTGGGCACAGAGAAGTCTACTTTCCCAGGTTCCTTGAAGTTAGGTGGGGCCCTGTGAATGACTAGCTAATGGAATGTGTTTGGTGGTGATACAGTCAGGTCATCTTCAGCCCTAAGCATGGAAGCCCCTGCGTGAAGCTCCAGCCCTTTGTCTTCAGGTAGATTGACAATAGAGGCCCCATGTTGGGGTGGGAAAAGGGAAGGGTAGCTGAGCTGCCACAAGGAGGAAAACTACCCTGGAGATGCACTCAGATCTGCAACCACTTTTGCGTGGGTGAAAAATACACTTTTATTATACAAAGCCACGGAAACTTTAGAGTTTACTTGTACCTGCAGCATAGCTTGGCTTATCCTGACTTATCCAGCCTTTTCTCAGATTATCCTGGGTTAGAATGCTGATTCCATCAGCTATAGGCTGAAAGGTCAGGATGGAACAAGTCACTGAATGAATCTGATCCTTCATTCTTCGTCTTTCAAATGGTAACAATATCTGACTCATAGAATTCTCGTCAAGGTAAGGTAAGCTAATGTATTTACAGTTCCTTTTGCAGTGTCTGGAACAGAGTAGGCAGTCATAACTCATAGCTATTATTATTATTACTATTTGCTAGGTTTGATGCCAGGAATAATAGGAGGGAAGATAAAGCATCTCTCTTCCTTAAAGTGAACAGATTTTATTTGAGAAAATGAGCTGTGTGCTCAAGATAATTTAACAGACCTTACAAGGGATTGTTGAAAGAGCTAAACACACAATGGAGGGGCTACCCGCCTTCTCTCTGTCTCCCGGGAGCTACCTACCTGACACATCCTGAGTCATACAAGGACTTGCACTTTTTGAATATTCTCTAAAGCCCTGGGTAGTACATGTGAGCTACCAGGTCATCATCTATATCTGCATTAAGGCTCTCAGTGGCACTAGATGGTGAGCAGCTTTGGAGATTGACTGGTTGATCTGACTGAGGATCCACAAGCTCTGCACAGATGTGGGCTTAAGAAACATGGGGAGGCAGAGAGTCCTGGGGAGCTCTCGACGTGGTCAACCCAGAGGCAGTGGGATAAACCTGAGGACTTCCAAGGCTATTCCAGCCCCGAGACATTAAACTTCTCCAAGCCAGAACTGCAGAAGCGAGACACATGTGTGGCCATTTACTGAGTTAAGAAAATCTTCCCTTCAGCGTTTGGTGGGCACGTGGGAGGGCCCAGAGTAAAACGGGCAAGAAAGGAGACAGAGTTAGCCTCTGGGCCGTCAGAGATCCTGTTCCTGTTTTTATGAAGGTTCTGACAGAGAAGGCTCAGCAGGCTGGACAAGGGCCAGACCGCAGGGGCATGGCGCGGGTTGCTGGGTGAATGTTCAGAAGTTGAGAAGCTGTCAACGCCCTTGCTGGATGATGGTGATTGCACGTCTATTAAGCGTTGAGGGATCCTAGAAAAAGGGCATGTTTCCCCCACTCACCAGCTCCCTACCTCTGTCAAAGGAAACTGAAAGCAAATATACTACACAAGGGTTTCCCCAGAGCCCCAGGGACAGAAAATTTGCTACATTGGAGCACTGAAGCATGACTTTCAAATCTAGAACAAACTTGTCCCATCTTGAGACCACCGGCGCAAATCTCACTTGTCTGTTTAATCTTCTTTATGATCAACTATTTGCGCAATTTGGGCCAAAATCGGGGGCTCCACCCAAACGCTGCCACAGAACAGACTCAATTTCAGAAGGCACTTTCTTCTCGCCAGACCACTTGCTCAAGCCGCTATACAGCCCTCTGCTCAGGCCCCATGCCCAAAGATTGGGAAACTAAGGCCAGGGAAAGGGTGACGTGTGTGAAGAATGTCACAGCAGCTTAGACGAGGAACCAGGAATAAGCCTGACATAGCTTTTTAGACCAACATTTTGTTAAGAGGTTCATGCAGCTGATGATCTTGGTCCAGGCAAGTCGCTTAACCTTCCTAATCCTCAGTTTCATCATCATCTTCTTTTTTTTTTTTTTTTTTTTTTTAGACAGAGTCTTGCTCTGTCGCCCAGGCTGGAGTGCAGTGGCTCAATCTCGGCTCACTGCAAGCTCCGCCTCCCGGGTTCACGCCATTCTCCTGCCTCAGCCTCCCGAGTAGCTGGGACTACAGCCGCCCACCACCACGCCCGGCTAATTTTTTTGTATTTTTTTAGTAGAGACGGGGTTTCACCGTGTTAGCCAGGGTGGTCTCCATCTCCTGACCTCGTGATCCGCCCACCTCCCAAAGTGCTGGGATTACAGGCGTGAGCCACTGTACCTGGCCGGGCCTCTGGAGTTCTTAGGGACACACCTGCAATGAGCTTGGGAGGTCCCCTGCTCCCTCTCCATTTCTTTTCCCTTCTCTTCTAAACAGCCTTTGATGCCTGTCTGTTGGACAAGCTTGCATGTTCATTTAATGCAGGATAAAGATGTTGGCGCCTAAGAGGGCCACACTGTCTCATCTGTCCCCATTGGCAAATCTTCTTCTCCCAGTTCATTCCTCTTTTGCAAAACATGGATTATTATACCCATCTGACAAGGTCTTTGTGAGGATTCGAGAGAACACGCAAAGCCCGACATGTACTAGGCCCTTGATAAATGACTCTGGTGGTATTTGTGTGTCACGTGCCATATGTAATGCTGGACACTATACATGTTGGCACTGCCCCATCTCCTGTTTCCTAGATCTGCCCTGTGGGTGACAAAGCACAGGTGCCTTCACTTCCATGTGGTAACCCTTTACTATGGAAAGACAACAATTCGGTCCCCCAGAAATCTTTTCTCCAGGCTATGTGGACCTGGATCCTCAGCTTTTGTTCATGTGAACACTAGATCTCCTCATCTGTTCACACACCTTTGGGATGGGCTCAGATTTGCCAGTATCCCTTTTAAAATAGGACGCTAGGAATGAACTCTGTGTTTCATGAGAAGGATCACCAGGGAGGCCACCATGTTTCCTTGCAGACCCAGTGGAAGTTAATACCAGTCACACCAAATGACCTATTTCAGAGATGTGCCATAAGATTTCTGGGGACAGGAGACTAAACAAACAAACAAAAAATACATGTCCTCGCAGGCGGTAGGTGGACTTTGGGATTCTAGAATATTCCATTTCCTGACTTGGGTGATGGTTACATGGGTTATTCATCTTGCAATGATTCATTGAGCTAAGTGTTTTAAAATAGCAGCTTGGTTGAAATACAATTCACGTGTTATACAACTCGCTCATTCAGAGTGTACAATTCAGTGATTTTTGAGTATATTCACAGAGTTATGCAATCATCACCGCAGTCAATTTTAGAGCTTTTTCATCACATCAGAAAGAAACCCTGTGCCCTTTAGCTATCAGCCTCCTATAGCCCCATCTTCCTCAGCCCTAAGCGACCCCTAATCTGCTCTCTATCTCTAGAATCATTTTGGGGTCCGATGAAAGGTGAACTTTAACAACACGTGTCACTTATCCCATTTTATATATGGGGTAACTAAGGCTGAAGGCAGTAAAACAATTTGCCCAAGCTTCAGAGTAACTTAGACTGCAGAAATCCTCAGCATCGTCACCTAAGTGCAGTTGGCTGGCATGGAGGGGAGCTGCCTCCCTTGTCCTGATAAGCCCTTGGTTAGCGCTGGTGCCAGCTGCTAGCATCCATGCCCTCAGCCACTTAGCTGTATTCCTCCTCTCTGGTGGCCTGTGGGCTGGATTCATCCTTGTCCTATTGGGTGCAATATCTCCATGTCTCTAGTTTCATCCAGGCACTAGGTACCTCCAGCGCTTTGGAGCTTAACACAGGTGTGACAGCTGTGTTCTCCAGAAGGCAGATGCTGCGGTGGAGTTAGGAGTGCAGAAAGTTTGCAGGAAGAAGACCTGTGAGAGAAAAGGGGAGAAAGTAGAACAAGGCAGAAGGAGCCACAAGATTACCATGTACATCCAACAAAGTCCATGCCAGCCCAATGGGCAGCTCCAGAGCAAAGACTGCCCAATGAAGGAGTCCCACATAGCAAGGAAATTGGTATGCATTTTTGCTAGCACCTTGCTCGATCATTGGCTGATTCCCATCCATCCTCTTGCAAGGAATGTGTGACCTCAGGTAGGAAGTCATGGCGGACCCCAGGGAGCTAAAAGCTGGAGCCCATCAGCTAATCACACTCTGCAAGTCCTTTTCTGAAGCGACATCTGAGCACTGCATGTCCTTATCTGCCAGTGCCCCCAGCCCAAGCCAGACATCCCTGCTGGAATCAGTTATTGACAGGCTGGCTCAGGGAATCATCCAGAGTCCAGAACCATAGACTACGGACCTGGATTATCTACCAAAGAGCTGGTTATTCCAATCTCCCTGCTCCCCTTTTTTGGTAGTTCACGATAGGAGTGGTTTGTCACCAAACTGGGGGGATTCTGTAAGGTGTTTGGGCCTCAGCGCTCAAGGACCTGGGGACAGGTGTTCTTTGTACTGTTATTCCTGAATGAATTCAGGTCTCTGGTACTGGTCATAGTCATCGTTGTCAGCATCATCACCATCTTCCCCATAACCTTCTTTCCCAGCAGCAAACAGCATTTTTTAAATACCAAATTCTCAGTGATGCTAGATTGAATTTTAATGTAAAGGAAGGAAATATTCCAAGTTGTCCTGTCTACTAGAAACTTCTTGTATTAAGGGTAATCACTTACTAAGCCAAATACAGAATAAACATGGTGAACTTCTGGGCTCTAAGATCTCGGGTTTTTAATTTCCCCTCTGTAAGATGGGAATTACCTTGACTGCTTCCCTCTGATCCCTAAAGGACTGGAGAGACTTCAATGAGATAATGGAGGTGAGAGCCTTGAGCATCTCATTCCACTGTCATCAGAGCATCTTTTTGCCTACGGCTCTTGAAACCTCTTAAAAGCACCACCACATTTTCATCATATAAAAATTGCCCAAGAGACACTTCATCATTACCAGCACTTGGTGGGAACCTGGCATTCATGCTCACATTCCTCTATGATCACAGAGTCTTGTTGGTCCAAAGAGACCACAAAGGGCATCTTTCGTCTGGTCCGTCTGGGGCAGAAAGTAAAAAGCCCCAGAGGATCTTGTTTGCCTCCTCCCCTCTGCTTGGGCCCAGGCAGTTGCTTCTCTCAACACCTTGGTCTCCTTGGCACGCGTTCTCTGTTTGCCAAGGCAACTCTTATTTCATTGTACTTCCTCCTGTAGACCCACTAAGGGAATCTGCCCGCTGTTCATTTCCATGTGACAAACATGTTACGTGTGCAGAGCATGTCCAAGGTACTGTGGGAGCACATGAGGCAGGAGAAGAAAGAGCGTGGTGAAGCAGGAAGGAGCCTCACCCACCTCCATGTACAGGCGAGTCATAATTGTGAGCAGGCACAGCACGAGGCAGGACACAGCCCCTGACCACAGCAACCGGAGTGTCGCTTCTGAGATGGACATAACTTAAGCTTTGGAGAAAATCGGATCTGGCTCTGCCACTTACTAACTGTTTGACCTTGGGCAAATAATTTAACTGCAAAGAGCCTCAGTTTCCTTGGCTATAAATTAGAGATAATAATACCCATTCTGCAGGGAGGCTGTGAGAATTAGAGATAATATATGAGGAGTGACTGGATCGTAATAGGCACTCAAAAAGTAGCAATTATTATAACAATTACATTTTCTGCTATAAATTCAACAAGTAGCCATTGAACATGTTCCTTTATTCATTCATTTGTTCAAATATCCATTCATTCATAAAATGTTTATGAACTCAAGATTGTGCTGGGATCAAGGGAGGTCCTACCAAGAAATTAGAAGCAAGATTCCTTGGCTCAACAAACTGAAACTTGAGTTGAAAACGAGAGTAGTCAAATTATAACATAAACACAAACAGCTGGGCCTGATGGCTCACGCCTGTCATCCCAGCACTTTAGGGAGGTTGAGGCGGGCGGATCACCTGAGGTCAGGAGTTTGAGACCAGCCTGACCAACATGCTACACTAAAAATACAAAATTAGCTGGGCTTGGTGGCAGGTGCCTATAATCCCAGCTACTTGGGAGGCTGAGGCAGGAGAATCGCTTGAACCCAGGAGGCGGAGGTTGCAGTGAGCTGAGATAGTGCCATTGCACTCCAGCGTGGGCGATAAGAATGAAACTCTGTCTCAAAAAAAAAAAAAAAAAAGACAATCATACCTTCTTGTCTGTGTTGCCGTGAGAGTTAGGTGAGCTAAACCTGCAAGGTGGACAGCTCAGTATTGGCCCAGAGTAGATTCACTGAAGGAGAACCAGACTGGAGTTGAATCTTACTTGGGGATGGAGGTGAATTCATGGCTTCTACTTTGAAGCTCTGAAGCTTAAGCGTTAGTACCGACGCCTCACACAGATGGGCTTCTTTCAAAGCTCTGTATCTAATTTTGTTTTTCTTTCTTTATTCCTGCCAAGGGCTCCCCAAATTGCATAAGCTTCATGACCCAGAAACATTAGATTATCCTTCATGAGGGATTGGGTTTCAAAATCAGATGATAAAATAGAATTCTGCAAATACATGACTCACATCCAATGTTCTTGGAATGTCGGGACTATACAGATAAGGTTAAAAGCTGCCTTGAGGTCAGAAAGAAAGGTATTAATCAAGGAATTCTTAATAGTGGAGCAAGCAATTTGAAGACTGGAAGCTACATGGACTGAGAGAAAAGATGCAGGAGGCAGGTGGTGAGGAATACAGGGATGGGGAGATACCATTTTTACCTTACACGTCTAGGAAATATAATGGTAGGATGGGTGTTTGGAACCACAGTGGTCTGAGCTCTACGTATTTGAATATCGTGACTTTGGACAGGCCAAGTAATGTTTCAGAATTTCAGTTTCCTCTTTTGTAAAATGATAATATCTAGTAGTACTATTTAGTAATACAAGTAATCTTGCATGAAGTTAGAGACTTTTTGTAAAAGTGCTTTGTAAAACTGTAAAAAACTCTGTTTAATATTGGTTCCAATTTATTTTACTCATACTCAAGAAAGGATTTTCTTATTCACCAACCTGATAATAGTGGGAAGCATCCCTAAGGGGGAAAAACATCTAGAACTCCCTGAATAAAAATTCGGGCTTATTACATGACTTTGAGCAACTTCCTTAACTTCTCCAGCCTCGGTTTCTCCATCTAAAGCATGAGAATAATTACATTTTGCCTTTAGTGCAGTTATTAAACACCAGTGAAGTAATTTTTTAATCAGACTGATCTTTCAGTGCCGTGGGAGGAAATAGACATTTCTAATTCATTCTTCTTATTCTGACCATTACTAGCATGTGGAAAGAAGAATTTCTCAAGACTTTGAGTAAGAAGAAGGAGCAGCGACAGCAACAGTCCCCACTTGGACGGGACTGTAATGAAAATGAGGATGACAGAAGCTGTAGTTGGGCGCAGTAGTACAACCGTGTATTTGTGTACCACGGCCGATCCACAGTGCCTGCTAGCTGTTTTAACATAGAGCTTTGCATCCAATTCTCATAACGTGCCAAATGCTTGGTATTATGGTGTACCCTATACAGCTGAGGAAAACAGGGCTCCTGACCCTTGAGAAACTTCTTGAAAGTCTCACCTACAGCCAGTAAAAGAGCTTCAAACTCAGGTCAATGCTAGAGCTTGCTTTTCCTGGTATTCCTGGGTGATTTCCTGCTCCTCTGAGTCTAGAACAAAAAGGACTGTACCAGTGTTTACAAATGAGCCAGAAGAACTTTTCTGGGTGAGAAAGTTTGGAGAACCCAGCAAGTTGTGAAATTGCTAGTTATTGTTTTCATACCAGGAAGAAGGTCTGCATCTCTGCTCTTACGGAGAGGGAGTCAGTTACCAGTGTCCAGTGGTTTTTGCCACCAATGACATGTCACACTGATCACCCTCTCCCTGGCCTTCCTGGCGGTGTCTTTACTGCCCCCAGGCTCCCATGCTTATACCAGTCGGTTCACAGGTCTTCACTATTAGATGAGTAATAAACAGTAGAATATAAGCCTCTCCTCCTGGCCAATCCCAGAGCTAAACGAACATGTTCAAACACCCTGTCACTATTATTACCAATGATAATAAGAGCAATAACAAGCAGGAATTGCTTTTATTAAATAAATCAGGAAGATGCACTTTACAGCTAGTTCCAGAGACACCTCAAGAGGCCTCTAAATGCTCGGGTGATGTTGGAGCATGTGTTGTCATCTGTTATGGACGAGTTTCTCCACAATTACTAGTCTCTCCACAGCAGGTTAGGATGCATCTTCTAACTGTATAATAACATAAATGGGTTTTCTGTTTATCAACTATTACATTATAAGTGTGCATTTCCTCCCTATAAAGCCTTCTTTTTAATAGGTGTGCTTTGGAAATGATACTGTAATTGTAGCTTTTTTAAACAGCAAGATTTTTTCTTTCTTTCTTTCTTTCTTTTTTTTTTTTTTTTTTTTTTTTTTTGCTGAGATGGAGTCTCACTCTGTTGCCCAGCCTGGAGTGTAGCCTTTTAAACAGCACAAATTTTTTTCTTTCTTTCTTTCTTTTCTTTCTTTTCTTTTCTGAGATGGAGTCTCACTCTGTTGCCCAGCCTGGAGTGCAGTGGCGTGATCTCGGCTCACTGCAACCTCCACCTTCTGGGTTCAAGCGATTCTCCTGCCTCAGCCTCCCAAATAGCTGGGATTACAGGTGCACACCACCACGCCCAGCTAATTTTTGTATTTTTAGTAGAGACAGGGTTTCACCATGTTGGCCAGGCTGGTGTCAAACTCCTGACCTCAGGTGATCTGCCCACCTTGGCCTCCCAAAGTGCTGGAATTACAGGTGTGAGCCACTGTGTCCAACCAACCAAACAGCAAGATATTTAGCCTTCATCTGGTGCTGGTTTTCTCAGTTTGGGTAGATGCAGGGAGACCTTAGCCTCCTTAACCCTGTAACCTCCAGGTCAAGTGCAGAGCTCTGCCAGGCCAATGTGCACTAAGGCTGCCCAATAAGTGCTTTTTGAATGTATGAGTGGTAAGAGCAGAGAGCTCCTGGGCCATCTGCATCACCCCCTTGCTTCTTGATGGGGCTGTATCTGAAACCATCCTAGGAGGGTAGCAATAACAAGATCACAGGGCATGGCTCTTGAGAGTCAAATATGTCCATCACTGGAATTCAGTGTGTTTGGTTGAGTGGTACACACAGTCTTTGCTGTGCCTAGTGCATCTGAACCTGGAGTTGTTAATATTTGATACCTCCTCCCTCTGAACCTCAAAACTATTTTCCATAATAGCCACATAGTAATAATTATTTTCTTAATTAGTTCTTCATGTAATCATCATTATTTTCTTGATTTGTTCTTTACTTTAAAAATAACAACTAAAAAATAAACAGCAATATTAAAGATATTATCCACAGTTTGTAGAACATTTTATGCTTGAACCCATATGAACTATTACCAAACAAAACATTATACCTTGCAGTTCACACTTTATTTCACTGTTTTCAATTTTAAGTGCAGATAAAAACTCTAAGTTCTCACATAGGATGGCAGAATTGAAGTCACTCACACTCTGTTTCTTTGCCTTTATTAATATAATCAATGTGCTTATTTTTTTCAAGCAAACTGTTTAAGTGCAAGAATATGTGATACCATAGGGGCAGACTATACCTGAAAGAAAGTTCTAACCATTCCAAACCATTATGCCATTAGGAATAGCTCTGGAAACAGACGCATTTAGCTAATCTTTTGGGGCTGGGGTTAGTCGCTGGGGAGAGCACTATACGATTGGGAGTTCTCAAAATTAACTGCCATAGAGAACACAATGATTATTAAAAGTAAGCAATGAAAAGGTAATCATCTACATCATATAACAATATTATACAGATGTAATTATATATCTATATGTAATTAAAGTCAATAAATAGTAATCACAGCAACTATTTGGGACTTAGACCAAGATAAGGTTTGTCTTGAGGGGGGCAGTATTGTGTCACTGACTTTCTTTAGAACTTCAAACAGATGGTGATAATAAAAGTCAGACCCACTTGAGTTTCCCTAAGTTCCAAATCCCCTGTTGACGATGCACCCCTCCGCCCACCCCCCACCCACAAACTTAATTTTCTCCATGCGAGTGGCTGATACCTGGGAAACCTCCTCCTAAAGGAACAGGAGGACAAGCGTGATCTAGTGACAAGGCTTAGTCACCAGTGGGAGAGGTGAAGGTCTTAGCGCTGCACAGCCTCGCCTCTCCCACCAGTCACATGGCTGTCCCGGTCCAGCTTCCCCTGCACTCAGGTCTGAGTCTTGCAGGGTTGAGGGGGTGGTGACAGAAAGGGCTGTTGAGTCACCCTCTGAGATGTTTAGAGTATAATAATCTGCTTGAAGTTCAGACCATTGCCCAAAAGGAACAGGAGTCATTTTGCCCCCCACCATAGAACACCATTTGGCGGAGTGACCTGCCGTGTGTGGCAGTGCCCAGTGCCTAGCAGAGGGTGACTGGCAGGAGACAAAAGGCAAGGGACATAGCCCAAGTAGGAGCTGACGTGGTGGTGATCCCGCAGGCACTCCAGTAAAACACTGGATGCACCTGTAATTATACCGTGAAGTAAGATTTCTGTGGTCTTGCAACTAAATGAGAACTTTCCCAGACATGATCTTGTTTCCGCCTCCCAATAGTTCTGCAAGGTGGATACCGTCATTACCAGTCCTACTTTATGGTTTAGAAACTCAGATCCAGGAAGGATGGTCAACTCTCTGAAGATCCCAGAGCAAACCCTTGAACCCTGTTCTTTCTAAGCTTGCATTTTTCTCAGTGAATCTCATAAGCTTGAGCAGCAAAGAAGAAACCATGAAACGTGCACTAAAAATTCTGGTATTACGCGGCATGTGAATATGTAACTTCAGAAACCCGGAAGTGGAGAACTAAGGCCTCTTTTTAAATTCATTTTAAAAAACTGAGATAGTGGGCTGGGTGCAGTGGCTCACACCTGTAATCCCAGCACTTTGGGAGGCTGAGGCGATGGATCACCTGAGGTCGGGAGTTCGAGACCAGCCTGACCAACATGGAGAAACCCCATCTCTACTAAAAATACAAAAATTAGCCAGGTGTGGTGGTGCATGCCTGTAACCCCAGCTACTCGGGACGCTGAGGTAGGATAATCGCTTGAACCCGGGGCGGGGAGGTTGCAGTGAGCTGAGATGGCGCCACTGCACTCCAGCCTGGGAGACAAAGCCAGACTCCATCTCAAAACAAAACAAAACAAAACCCTGAGATATAACTTCACAGAGTAAAGTGCACAGTCCTCAATATGCAGCAGGTGACAGTAAGCCTCTAACCTCCACCTCGATCAAGATGTGGAACCGCCCCAGCTCCCTCACCCCTCAGCCATAACCCACCCTCTCCCACAGCAACCACTCCCCCTGATTCTATCTCAGAGATTAATCTTAAGATTTTCCCCGTCTTTTTTTGGCATTTAAAATACCAAACAACTTATCGGACTGACATTTTTCATATTAATCTATCTTTGTAAGTAACTGAGCAAAGTGGGCCACTCCAGCTCAGAGCCTTTGTCCTTGCTCTCCCACTGTTGGAATGAGGCTTCCCCAGAGAGCCCCATGCTGTATTCCCCACCTCTGTCAGCTCCTTGTTCAAATCCCTTCTTTCCAGCAAGGCCTCCCCTGAACAGACTATTTAAAATTGCAAACCCCACTCCTGGCATTCCCAATTCTGCTGTCTACTTTGTTTGATACCACAATCCTCTGCACTTCCTGACATAGTCTAGGTTTTCCTTATTTGTTTATTCTCCATCTTCCCCAAGTAGAATGTAAGCTCCTTGAAGACAGAGCTGTTGGGCTCTTCTGGTCACAAACAGTTTTCCCTGTGTCCTCAAACGATAGCATCTGGCACTTAGTATCAGATCAGTCAATATTTGTTTAAGAAGTGAATACCACGTAGACTGACTTGATCAACTCAAGTAAATGACTCAAAACATAGTTTTAACACTTACTTCTCATTCAGGAAATTAAAAATGTAATTGCATACCTTTTATTGGGAATTATGAGCTCATTCTACAGTAGGTTACTATGACCTGCAAACGTGAAGACAGAAACTAAAGGAAAAATCAAGACCTTCGGAGTCAGAAGGAATCCCAGCCTCACTATTTCCAGCTATGTGAACTTGGGCAAATTAGTTTACCTCCATGAGCTTTAGTTTTCTTCTCAGCTGAAAATGGTCATAGCAATATCTATTTCAGAGGATAGTTGTGGGCATTACATAAAGCACGCTTCGATAAATAGAAATGTATTTATTACAGTGTTCTTGGAGTCATATCACACAGCTCAAAGCACAGCAAGGAAGCAGGTGCTGGTCCTCCCCCTGTAACTGCAACTATAAAGAGGGTGCCTTGTAAATGAGTGATTATCTTCCTGAAAGTTCCTTAAACCCACACTCATTGTCTGTGATTACAGCCCATATCACTGGGACAAGAGAAGAGTTAAGAGTGCTGCAGCCAAATGCCTGTGAGATACACCTGCCAATGGAAATTTTATGCAGAGTGGTGGCTGCAAGGAAGACCCAGCCACGTACCTTGAAGGTCCCTCCAGGTTTATCTTCAGGCCATGCAACACTTTATTGTTATCAGCTCCTTAGATTCAGGGTCTCCATGCTCGTCAACATGGCTAGATGGCCTGTAAGGTCTTTCTTTTTTCAAGACACTTAAGAGTTAGAGCAGGAAGGAGCAGGGCAGAGCCTTCTAAGCAGGTGCTTCTGCATGCCTGGAATCCCTCTGTGGCTTTATTCCTCAGTGTGGGTTCTCTTTTAGTCTGCAGGGACACCTGGGAAGTCAACAGTCATTTACATCTTAATGTGAATAAGGTTTTTTTTAAAGCTCCTTTTGCAAGAGCAAGTGAAATGAGGAAAGAGGGAAATAAGAAAGAGAAAAGAAGAAGTAACTGAGGAAAAGCTGCCAGCCATGAAGAAAACAGCTGATGAAAGGGGCTAAAGCTAGCTTCATTTCTTGCAGGTCTAGTTCTGAGTCTAGGGACAGAAGTTTTAGCTTTGGCTGGACACCCATAGCCCTCTGTGACCTGTCAGTATTTTTAACTTCACGATGACTCCTAAGTGGACTGCTGTCCACTGGCCACAACTTACTGAAACTTTCTCCATATTCAGCATTTATTAAGGACTGGAGGTTCCAAGGTAAGTCTGGAAGCAGAAGAAACTGCGTCCATAAATTGAAGCCAAACAAACAAAACACAGATTGAAGGGAGCAGTATTCCCATCCAGGGTATGTACTCTGTGTGAACTTAACCTACTGCTGCAGTCGCAGTTTCCTTGCAATTAGATTTCAGTGCAAATTAAGAAAAAAAAAGTTTTTAATCTATAGCTTATAACAATAATTGTACTGTGCAATCAAGTGTAATGTAATAAATACTTTTGACCAATAATTCATGATTTTATTTAATTAATTAATATATTTATTTATTATATGTTAAACATGGGGCAGGTGCCTGCTTCAGCAAGCAAGACAGACAAGACCCCTGCTTTCCTGGAATTTGAGGCTGGGGCAAGGGGATACAGATAGCAAACAACTAAATATAAATATGAACATTTTAGAAAGTAATAAATTCCATGAAGAAAATAAAAAGTACTGTGATGGGGAGGGCCTGTGTGTGATGAAGCAGGTCAGGAAAATCCTTTCTGGGAATATGACATTGGCGGCACTCAGACCTGAATTATGCGAATGGTGCAGACATGTATGCACGGGGGAAATAGCATGCACAAAGGCCCTGAGGCAGGAAGCAGCCTAGTTGGTGTCACTGAGGACTTGAAAGGTCAGTGTACTCAGGATCTAGAGAAGGAGGTGGGAAGTGGCAGAAGATGGGGTCAAACGGATGGGGCAAATTGTTAAGACCTTGTCAGCTATTAGTAAGAAGTGTCACAGACAACGAGATGAGATTAAGTGTTTTTAGAGCCAGGGAACAAAATGATGTTACTATTTCCTGGAGTATGTCCCAATTTCACAATGAGTTTGGAAAGAAAATATGTTCCAGTTTGCTGTTTCCTTTGTTTTAAAGATGTTTAGTAAATATCTGTTGAGTTAATGAACACATGGATGAATGAAGGAATTGATCGCAAGAGTGGGCAAAGTCAGAGTGGAAAAGGCATTGACCTCCACCTGAAGTTACACAAAGCAGTGGTACCGCTTGCTGGTTATGTGACCTTGGGCAATTCACACAACCCAGTTTTGAACCTCAACTTCCTCATTGGTAGGATGGGGTTATACCTCCCCGAGCTGCTCTCCAGAAGTGTGATGAGGATCAAATGAGAAAATGTGCAAAATGCATATACGAAGAGTAACGGATGACAATGGAGATGATCGTGACAACTTTTTTGGTGGCGTTAAGCCACAGTGGAGTCCCTTGATTTTAACCTGGAAGCCCCTGATATTGGTGAATTGTCTTAAAGTTTTGTTTGGAGCCTGTTGCACTCCTCAGTCCACACTGCTCTCAGTTGGGTAGTTTGCTGCCCTCTGTGTAAAGCGATGCTGCATTTATTTACTCCTTAAAGCCTCATGGGAGAGACCCCAGCTCCTGCGCACAATAAAAATCCCTCATCCTCGCCTTGGCACCAAACAGTAGACAAATGCTTGCAGAGATGTTATCTCCTTTTATCCTGGCAAGTCTGTAAAGGAGGCAGGTCAGGTTTGATTTCGCCCGCTAGAACTCCCCATCAACCCCGCTTCATTTCACGAGACTCACGTCCATAGTCTTTCTAGGTTGAAAAGCCTGAAACTTTCTGGTTTGTCCTCCTAGGGAGACTATTCCTAAGTAGGGTGATGGGATTATATTTCCTGGGAAAGAGTTTCTGTAAACTCTCCCTAATTACCCGCTGAGTTTAGCAACTTGTCAGGAAGCCCTTCTCTCTAATCTAAAACCTCTGGCTGTAATTGCAGCCCCTGACCCCTGGTTCTGCCTTCAGATGCAATCTGGAACAGCGTCGCCCCTGGCAGCAACATATCTGTATCAACTTACCTTGCAGGTTGTCGGTGGGGGGGAAGGAGACTTGGTGACCAGGGAACCTGAAGCCTAGCAGGATGTGGCCCCAGGGTGAGAGACCACTGAGGCTCCTTCGAAGGCTCATGGCGGTATTATATACTGCGTCCCTCTCAACTTCACCGCTTACTCCCCAAGCCACCAGGACCAGTGTTTAAGAACACGGCAAGCTTTCAATGCCAACAGTAGGGTCTGAACCGGAACTGATTTGCAGGGTAACTGTGAGTGGACCCCTCTGGATTCCTGCTAGTGCAGGGCTTCAGAAGGAGGAAGCTCAAAAGAGCCACTAAGTGAAGCATAGCCTGGGCTGGCATCTTGGGGCTGAGCGGTTTGCTCCCCAGGGTGTGTGGCAGTGCGGTGGCAGATCTCTCACTTACAAACTGTAAGGCAGGTGCTGCCCCTGTCTGAGTGTTGATGCTCTCATCTGCTGAATGGGGAAAGAATCATGGGTGATTTCGGAGGATTAAATCCACCTCTGCATGGTGCCTGGGCTCCCCTCCCTGCTATTGCTTTGGGTTCTGCCTCTCCAACTTCCAGCCAGAGTTGGGGTTTGGAGTAGATGGGCTCAGAAGACGAGGAAAGAAAGGCCTCTTAGATATCAAATGGCTCTCACAAACCAGACTTTGCTGAGCTCTTTTCAGTGAATCAGCCTCCCATGAGTTACATTACTCTTGAAATGCAGAAAGCTGTGAAAATCAAGGGAGAATATGCTGGAGGCAAATACTTTTTGGGATCTACCAGCTCAAGCTCCTGCAAAAAGTAAATCTACGAGAGATGCTGGACCAAACCCCATCCACTGCAGCTCAGTTGGCCTGTGGACATGCAGGGGAAAGGCAGGACTGCCTTCACCAGGAGCTCCCGGTGCCCCACACCCATGACTACCCAGCGTCAAGATGTACTAGGGGAGATGGGGTCCCACTGTGCAAAAGGGTCTACAACACGGTTCATCTAAATATACATCTGCCAAATGATCTAATTTCTTAAACATTGATTTATAACCTTGGTCAATAGAGATGCATTTGCATCCCTAATCAGGGGTCATGGCCTTAGTAATATTTAAGAGTTGTTTGTTTTTCTTGGTGCAGGTAGGCAGCGGACCTACCTTCAGCTCCTTCCTTCAAGGTTTCTTCAATGCATTTCCATTCCCTGAGCACACACTTATTTTGTGAGAGGTAGAATGGGGATGGAGAATGGACTAGAGGCCAGTGCTGAGGACAGGGGGGAGCGGAACTTGCATATACACAGAACAGGTGAGATGGTGTCTCAGGGCTGGGCAGATGGTTTACGTGTGCCGTGGAACCTTGGAGTGCGCGGGTGGAATTTACGGGAGGGCACCACGCTGCACCGCACGGCTCTCCATCTTGGTTGCTGTCCAGTGCGGCTCCCCGCATCTGCCCTCACTCATGAATGAGCACGTGGGATGACAGGAGTACCCTTTTCCCTAAAAGACTCCCTAATGGGGCCTAGGCTTTGCTGGGATATACAGATCACCGTGAAGTGACTTAAAGGCTTCATGGCTTGTCTACCGCAGTCCTTCCCCGTTCCTGTTTAGAATTGCTGGCACTCACCTCACGAGGCTCCCAGCACTCACATTTCCCCCACCCCATGCTTATGATAGATTCACTCACATGAAGAGTGTGGGGCAGGCATAGGGGAGGGGAGAATGTCTTTGGGAGTATTCAGAGAAAGCTTCCACACTGGGCGGGTGTTTAATTTACCTGCGAGTTCGTCCCGTCTTCCCCAGGCCAGCTTTTGGCCGTGTCCTGCCTGGTGGTAAGTTAAGGCTTTTGGATTTTGCTATAACAAAAGCAGTGCCTCCTTAAAGGAAGGAGCAAGGGCTATTTGAGGCAGCCCAGTGCACACCAGGGCGAGGATTTTGTAAACAACCCAGAGTCAGGAAGGACAGAGGCTGATGGATAACCACGCGTTAGGTTCCGAGTGGAATCTTGCACCCCTCCCTTTTCCTCCCCGCTTTCCTCACCTTCTCCTCCTCTGTGCATCCTTTGTTCCACGCTAGCCCAATCTGTGTCCCGTCCAGTGATTCAGGGAGCATAAGATGGTGTGAGAGCCCTTATAGGAGATTCAACCTCACGGGACCCCTTTCACCAGAGAGGCAAAGCCTGAACAATCTGTTATATGAAAGATGGAAAGACTGGCCTCTGCTCAGTGTGTTAGGAAGTGCTAAGAGAACATCATTTGCAAAGGGGATGAGAAACCCCTTTTATCTTGGCCTGTTTCTTTTAAGCAGTTCTTCCACTGTAAGTCTACTTACCTGGTAAAAAGTATACTGAATGCCCACTGCCTGCTTCCTGTCTATCTGCAAAAGGGAGGCTTCTTCTCACCTCACCCCTACTGAGTGTTCTATATTCTTGCAAATAATTGCGTGCCTACTGGTGCAGAAAATGGAAAACTGTAAGCTAGGGTGATGGCAAAAATTAATTTCATTTGACACCCATGGTAGAAAGAACAGAGCTGACCCACGTTTGTGTGGACAAGCATATCCTGAAAAGCTAGAAGGAAGCACGGTGGTGGAAGAACAGTCTTTGGCATCAGCCAGAACTGAGTTCTGATCCTGTCTCCATTACTTATAAAGCTGTATGCCTTTGGGCAAATGATCTTCTTTTTAAATATCTTCTTCGCATATTTGTTGTAAAGATTAAAAATAATGTATGTAATGGACCTGGAACATAATACATACTAAATAAATAATAATTAAGGCGATCTTGATTGAAGTTGTTTGCAACACATTCCTCAACCGGTTTTTACTATGTATGTGTTGTTAATTAATTCATTTAGGCAGCCAATCAGCAAATATTGATGTATAAGAAACATATATTGAACAACAACAATATTATGAGTAAGTAAAGAGTTATGCCAGGAACCCAAACTTGTAATTTTGGATGAAAACACTGACCTAGATGTAGACTAAACAGCAATCCTTTGATTCATACTATACAGGCCTCCACTGCATCCGGCGATGGCAAGGGCAAGTTGCAGGATGGAGGCGGCACCTGGTCATCCTCTTGGGGCAAAGCTCCGGTTAGCACCTCCATTTAGGGGTCATTTGTTTCAGCTACGCATCCAGTGCCCTCGAATAGTCTAAATGTCCTGAGAGCAGGAGCTCTCATGAAGCCACTGCTTACAATTCAATGGGTACTGACTGCTTGGAAAATCTGCTCTGTTGCTGAACAGAGAGGGGAGGGGAGAGAAGTGGGAAAGGACTCCCAGCTCTCACTGTGGGCCCTCTGCTTTCTGCTCTCAGATTCGCTCTGATTCGAGTAGTTTAGTACAAGGAGTGGGGTCCTGGCTTCCAGGCCTCCCTCTGCCCCTGACTTACCATGTTCCTCGGGGGAAGCCCCTCATCTTCTGAGCCTCAGTGTCCTGGGATGGAAGATGAAGGGGTTGGCAAGGTCATTGCTATGGGTTCTCATGCAACAAACATTCTGTGACTCACTTTCCATAGTTGATGTTCACGAAAGGTATGGTTTTGGACACTTACTAGTTGGACTTTTTCTACTATGGATTCCAGGATGCCAGAGGCTTCTAGATAATGAGTTCTTCGCAGGGAAGTGAACCTGTCGCTTTCAGGTCACGCCTTGGGTGTTAATCATGTAAACAAGGTCAGGAAGTCATGGCCTCTTAGCTTAGGGACTCAGTGCCACACAGTGGACCTACAGCTACTGAACCTGTCAGGCCTGAGCGGGGAGGAGTCGATTTCCTGCTTAAACATATGACGGTCTGCACCACCCGGTGATCTGTCTCTGTAGGCAGCTCCTAGGGAAGCCATAATTCACCTGTTGCTTCTCTCCACTTGTCTGCAGATCCCTGAAGATGTAGGAATTCAGTTATCACCTTATCCTTATCACTACAGTGACTAGATGGGATAAGCTAGTAGGAAGCTAGCTCCATAGCTGTGCCTCCATATAGCTTCATGCTTGCTCTTTAACTATTCATTGATTCCTAGCACACACCTGACTACGTGTGTGACTACGTGTCAGGTGTGTGCTAGGCATCGGCAATTCAATAGTGAGCAAAACCAGACACAGCCTCTGCTGTTACGGAGTTTACAGTCCAGCGGGAAGGCAGATATTAATAAAACACACAAACACTGAATCTAAGGAATGTGTAACTGCGAACTGGGGGAAGTGTTATGAAGGAGAGGGAACAGCTCCGTGAAAGTCTATGTGGCAGAGGCTGCCAGTTTCTTCCTCAATATCCAGTCTCCTCTCTTCTTTCCTCATTGGATCCCTATTTGGTTAGGGAGAAAAATGGGTCCAGCTAGAATGCTACATTTCTAAGCATCCCCTGGAGCAGCTGTTTAGCTCATTTGAGGTGAATAAGCTATAGTAAAATTCTTTTCTTTTTCTTTTTCTTTGAGACAGGGTCTCACTCTGTCACTCGGGCTGGAGTGCAGTGACATGATCACGGCTCACTGCAGCCTCAGACTCCCCAGGCTCAAGCAATCCTCCCGCCTCAGCCTCCCTAGTAGCTGGGACTACAGGCCTGTGCTACCATGCCTGGCTAATTTTTTTTTTTTAAGAGTAAAATTTCTGGAGCGGGACTTCTGGGGAAGCTCTCTAATAGGGAGTGAGTGCAATGCTGGCCAGGGCCCCAGGAAGGTGAGCCTGAGGAGGAGACCTCTGCACAGGGCCCGGGGTGGGCCTGCCCCCGCTGCCTACCTCTGGGCTGCTAGCCTCATGAGAGAAAGGAACTCCCCCACTGCCGCCTGGTGCCCCTACCCATTCTGGTTAAGCCACCATTGGGAAAGGAATCTTAATTGCTTAGAGATAAATGTAACTCCCAATTGATACAGTGTTTACATGGAAACCTGACCTACATGGAGGTGTGAGGGTAGGGTGGCGAGTACCAAGGAGGAGTGGGGGTAAGTAGCCAGGTGCTCGGGCAGAGGGCTGCAGGGTTTGGACAAGGGGTCAGCCTGGGTAGAGGCCCCATGGGGACAGCAAGCACAGCGCAGAACAGACACTGGAAGCCCAGTGCAGGGAGGATGCAGATTGGAGGGGAAGGGTGGTGTGGGATGGGGCTGGGAAGGGCTGGGCCCCCACCATGCAGGACTGGGCAGTCATGTTAGGGACTCTGGGCATTTTCTTGGGAGCAACAAGAAGACACTAATGAGTCAAAAGCAAAGGGGAGCATGATCAAAACATCACTTAGTGTCCATTTTCCTATGTGAGAAATGAATAATATTGCTTCTAGGAAAATGTCCCTAAATAATACTCAACTCTCAGATCTGCCATGAGGATTAAGATAACATATGTAAAACTACTTTAAAAAGGAAAGCATTACAAATTCAAGTCATTATGCTTTCTATTAATAACAAAATAAGAAAACTTTTTGGACCATCTCAGCTTTTAGTAACAAAAATTAAAAATTGTATTTATTACTTATTGAATACTGAGTACCAGATACTGTGCTACACAAATATGATCTATTTTTAAACGTCACAGCAATCTTTAAGATAGGTATTACTCTCCCCATTTTTCAAGTGAAGAAACTGAGAATTGAAAAGAACATGTAACTGTCCCCTAGTCACACAGCTAGCAAATGATAAAAGCTGGATTTGGACCTGGGCTGATTTCAGTTTTTTTTTTTTTCTTTTTTCCAAGATGGAGTCTCGCTCTGTCACCAGGCTGGACTGCAGTGGCGTGCTCTCGGCTCACTGCAACCTCTTCCTCCCGGGTTCAAGCAATTCTCCTGCCTCAGCCTCCCGAGTAGCTGAGATTACAGGCGCCTGCCACCACACCCAGCTAATTTTTGTATTTTTAATAGAGACGGGGTTTCACCATGTTGGCCAGGATGGTCTTGATCTCTTGACCTCGTGGATCCACCCGCCTCAGCCTCCCAAAGTGCTGGGATTACAAGTGTGAGCCACTGCACCCGGCCGGATTTCAAATTCTTAAGCAATGTGCCACACAGGCACCTGAGTCCCAGATCGCCACCTGGTCACGCTGCGTGTGACACTGTCATGCCTTCTGTGATCTGCATGCACAAGTTAACTTATTTTTCAATAGCAGGGCTGTGCTTTTCAGGTGGAACTGACATTGCTGGTGCACCTGTGAGGCCCTGGCTCTATGTGAAATTGTTTTTCTCACGTGATACTTTTTCACCTTTCCCTACCACTGCTTTTCTTTCCTTCCCAGCACTAAATGTCACTGTGATTATACTATGTCTACTTATTTATCAGTTTGTGGCTGGATGACCCAACTGGAAGGTGGGCTCCTTCAAGGCAGTCGTCTCCTCCTTCTTGTTTCCCTCCTGTGCTCTCCAGAGAGCACACTAGTGCCAGGCACAAGGTGGGCACACAGTATACACGGGTCAAATGGAGGAACAGACAAGGAGGACATGGGTTTGAAATCATTCACGCGCATGCTTTTATCTGTCTTCTTAAGCCTAATGGCCACATCTGTGGAAAGGGAGGGGTGAGAGGGACCCCTCAGACTGGAATATGCTCTGTGAAAGTGCTTTTCGTAAAGGGGAGGGAACACCAGAATTCTTTGTGTGGTTTTTCCAGAATAAATGGCCTGCCCAAGCCCTAACCCCAATTCTCCCCTCTCTTTCTCACCTCTCTTTCTTTTTTCTTTTTTGGGACAGAGTTTTGCTCTGTCACCCAGGCTGGAGTGCAATGGTGCGATCTCAGCTCACCACAACCTCGCCTCCTGGGTTCAAGCGATTCTCCTGCCTCAGCCTCCTGAGTAGCTGGGATTACAGGCATGAGCCACCATACCCGGCTAATTTTGTATTTTTAGTAGAGATGGGGTTTCTCCATGTTGGTCAGACTGGTCTCCAACTCCCGACCTCAGGTGATCTGCCCGCCTTGGCCTCCCACAGTGCTGGGATTACAGGCGTGAGCCACCGCGCCAGCCCTCACCTCTCTTTCTTCCTCCCCCATGGGTTTCTTACTCCTCCATGGGACTGGGGGGCTTTCCAAGGGCAGGGAGCGCATCTCGGTCATAGTTGGTGTCCCAGCCGCACTCGATGAGTGCACAGGAAATAGTGAATGACACCCATGGTCCTGGTGTCTTTAGCATGATGCTCCAACACCTGGGCCAACTGTGGCTCCAGGTACCGACCCATGAGGACCAAACCTGCTTATATCAAAGCTGGCTTAAAGGCACAGTCAGGTCAGGAAAGACGGAGTGCTCTCCAGGCTGGGTTGATAACTTCAGCTATGCAGGGCCAGGAGGAGAGGGAGGACTAGCAGGGAGGTGCGGAGGGGAGGAAAGCGGGGTCCGCCAGGGGGAAGGCTGCATGCATCCCAGGGTCCTGTCCATTGTTGTCACCCAGGAGTGACAGAAATTCTACCACATGTAACCCCCACTAATACATAGTTAGGGAGAAGTAGATGAGAAAGGTAAGGGATTGAAGCGGGATTCAAACTGGGTTTGGATTTCCCTTGTACTGCATAAGGAAAGTTTCTTGGCTCACCCAACCTCCAGTGCCTCCTCTGCAAAATGGAGACAGCAATACCTTTATTGAGTTGTTATGAAAATCAAATGAGATGATTTGTATAAAGAACAGAGCACTGTATCTGGGGCTTAGCTGCACTCAAAAAGTCCTTACTAAATTGCGTTACAAACTATAAAATTCTGTGCCAATGAAAGGGTTTATTATATAGACAGCAGGAGGCTACCCACGGACTGGGAAAGGACACCCTCCCCACTAGTCTCACTCCTCCTGCCCTACCCAGAAGCTTGACATTACAGCCTCTGGCCCTTTGGGAGCTCAGGTTTAAAGGCAGATTTTATCAGGTGGTGTTTAATGGCATTCATTTAAGTTATTAGCACCTCAACTCTAATCAGATTAACCTCTGCTGCAAAAGGAGTCTTGGGCCCGGAAATGTGAAGTGACGGAGAATGGTAGCGGTAGGGATGCACATGGTCCTTAACCCTTAGATGGCCGTGGAGGACCTGGAGAAGCTGTAAGCATGGCAGGCACTGCGTGTGGTTTGAAGAAGAAAGAGGACTTGAATATAGATGGAGCAACGTTGTCTTCGATGGGTGCTGATGCCGTGGGGATGAATAAACTATTGATTTATTTACTTTTTTATTTTAAAAAGCTTTTAGGCATTTACAGGGTCTTGCTCATCCTGTAATTTCTCAATCAAAAGATCTTAAAATGTTAGCTTCTCTCCTGGGAAGGGGGAGGGGAGATAGAGAGGAAAGACTTATATCTGTGTAAGAAGGTCTTTTTTTAAATTAATAGATTTTATTTTTTAGAGCAATGTTACACTTGCAGAAAAATTGAGCACAGAATACAAAGAGTTCCCATATACTACCAGTCACTTGCCTCAGTTTCCCCTATTATTAACATCTGGCATTGGTGTGATGCATTTGTTACAAATGATGAACCAATATCCATGCATTATTATCAACTAAAGTCCACAGGTCCACAGTTTGCATTAGAGTTCACTCTTTGTGTTGTACAGTCCTACAGGCTTTGCCTAATGCATAATGTTATGTACCCACCATTACAGTCTCATTCAGAAGAGTTTCACCGCCCTGAAAGTCACCATGATGTTAGGGGTCCTTATCCTCAGAGGCTGGAAACCACTGGGTTAGAGCTGGGGCCTTGTTTGGGGGAATGGATTTGCAAGAGAGCCACAGGTGGGGATGCAGCTCCTGGAGAAAGACACAGCCCAACTTGTGGGTACTTACAGGGCTGGAGCCTGGGCTGGTCTCAGCATTTGTGGGGTGAAAGAAATAGTTCTGTCCTCTTTTATTTTTCCTTTCCCCTGTCTCTCTTTTGTTAATACTTTTTCCTCTTCAGGTTTCAAATCTTTTGATAGGCCCTTTATAAAAGTCTTAGAGGTCCTTTGGCATTGGTTCTTAACCTTAAGTGTGCATTTGAAGTATATATAGCAGTTTAAAAAAATCATGGGTGTAGTGCCGCCCACCTCTAGTCCCAGCTACTCGGGAGGCCAAGGTGGGAAGATTGCTTGAAGCCAGGAGTTCAAGACCAGCCTGGATAACATAGTAAGACCCTGCCTCTACAAAAAAATTTTAAAAAAATTAGCTGAGCGTGGTGGTACACACCTGCAGTCCCAGCTACTAAGAAGGCTGAGGCGGGAGGATCGCTTGAGCCCAGGAGTTCGAGGCTGCAGTGAGCTATAATTGCACCACTGCATTCCAGCTTGGATGATGGAGTGAGACCCTATCTCTTCAAAAAAAAAAAAAAAAATCATCCTGATGCCTGGAACTAACCTTGGTTGAGTTAAATCAGATCTTCTGGAGATGAGACCCAGGCATAGATGCTTCTTCAGAATCTTCCCAGATGACCCTAATGGCAGCTAGTGTGGTAAGCCACTGTCCTAGCTAATGTTCCTGCAGTGACTTGGATTCTTGGAGGTGTTGAGGCCCAGACACCTGGGCCTTCTTCAAGGGTCCTACTGTAGGGCAAGAAGAGCTCACAGGTGTCTCTATTGTATAAGCAGTGACAGAGAGAGTATTTTGCATTCTCACACAGATTCACAGAGAGGCAGGTATAGCATGTTGAGGGCTACCTTACTAAAAAATACTGAAAAACCAGAAAAACCTGAATCTGCACTAATAGTAGATGATTACATAAAAATGATAGCTCCATGCTCAAGAACACGACACAGCGATATAAATGAAGTGAGACACGCCTGTAGGTATTGGCATGCAGGGTGATATTCAAAGTCTGCAACCAACCAGGTGCGGTGGCTCACACCTTTAATTCCAGTACTTGGGAGGCCAAGGCAAGGAGGATCGCTTGAACCCAGGGGTTCAAGACCAGCCTGGGCAACGAAGCAAGACTCCATCTCTATAAAAAATTAGCCAGGTATGGTGGTGCATGCCTGTAGTTGCAGCTACTCAGGAGGCTGAGGTGGGAGTATCATCTGAGCACAGGAGGTCAAGGCTGCAGTAAGCCATGATTGTGCCACTGCACTCTAACCTGGGTGACACAGTAAGACCCTGTGTCAAAAACAAAAACAACCCAAAGCCTGCAGCTCCTGCTTCAGCATGACCAGTCAGAACAGACACCTGAGCAGCAGAGCAGAACCTGGCCCCGCTGACGTACTGGTGCACACAGAGTGAAGATCAGCTTTGCTGACACATGAAAAAAATCTCCAGGGTGTTGTTAAGTGGAAAATGTCAGTACCAGAACAGCACAAGGAGTGTGATCCCCTTTAGGTAAATAAAAAACAAGCCCTAAAAATAGGTGTCCATATACATATTTGACAGTAAATGTAGAGAAAAACAATCCAGGAAGGAGAAGGATGCAAGTATGATGACCTCTCGGCTGGGAATTAGTTCTGGGAGTGGGTTGGAGGGGGCAAAAAGGCTCTGTAACATTTTGCTTTATTTAATTCTGTATTATTAAAAACTTTTTTAATGGTGAACACATGTTTATATATTGTAAGTGCAATGAAAAAATGAATAATTTTTTTACGAGAAGAAAAATGCCTGTGGGGGCCAAAGTTCCAGGCTGCAGTCTGGGTTTTGTCACTTATTAACACGGCTTGCACAGAGTCTTCTATAGCTCAGTTTTCCCATCCATGAAATGGGGATAACACTGTTTCATACTTCACATGGTTGCAGTAAAGTTGAGGTGAATGGAGATACATGATCTTGGGTATGGTTAAAAATGTGTAACTAGAGAGCGTGGAGAAGGTTAACTTATTCCACCAGATAAATGTGGAAAGAATTCACTTTTCAGCAATTCCCACTGAGAATGAGTGAAAATGATTGATATGAAAAGCATGTACATTAGAGCTCTATGCCAGAGAGGGGAATTATTAACCTCACTTCCTATTTCTCACCAAGCTCCTCTATTCCTATTCATTTATTCATTCACCTATTAATCCATTCATCAAATGTATATGAAGCAAGTGTTACAGGTTGAATTGCGTCTCCCAAAAAGTTATGTTGAAGTCCTAACCCCCGGTACCTCATAATGTTACCTTATTTGGAAATGAGGGTTGTTGCAAATGTGATTACTTAAGATAAGGCCATACTGCAGTAGGATGGGCCCTTAATCCTATATGACTGGTATCCTTGCAAGAAGAGGAAAAGAGACACAGAGGCATTGATAAACAAGGGGAGAACGCCATGTGATGATGGAGACAGAGTGAAGTTTCTGCAATTGCAAGGCAACAAATGCCAAAGATTACTGGCCACCCCCAGAGCTAGGAAGAGGCAATGAAGGACTCACCCCTACATGTTTCAAAGAGAGCACAGCCCTGAGGACACCTGGATTTTGCTCTTCTTGCCTCCAGAACAGTGAAATAATAAATTTCTGTTTTCTTAAGCTACCCAGTTTGTGGCAATGTGTTGCATCAGCCCTCGGAAACTAATGTAGCAAGCAACATGGGGAGGGGAAAGAGCATATGTGGGCTTTGGAATCAGAGACATCTGGGTTTAAATTCTGTGTCTGTCATACTAGTTGTGTGATCCCGGATACATTATTTAATGTGTCTGAATCCTGCTTTCCTTACCTATATGGATGGAGAAAAGAACCCTGCCCATATGTCACAGAATCATCAGGACTATTGAATGAAATAACATGCAGACAGTACTCAGCACAGTCCTTGGTACATACGAGACACCGAGTAAAATGTTAGTTCCCCTTTAAACATTTACTATAGTCCAAGCCCTGAGTTAAATATGGGTTGCAGAGTTTAAAAGAGCACCATTTGCACCCTAGAAAGAATTAGACTTGGAGAAAAGCCAAATAAATTGAATTTTTTTGTCTCTCCCTGACATTTCCCGTCTATATGTCTGTTAGGGGTGGTGAAATCCTCCACACGGTGTATCAAGAGAGGAAACCAACACGAACTCTGTTATGCCAGACAACTTACATGGCAGCCCTGAGGTGGGGACTATTTTATTCTCATTTCCACCACAAGGACATACATAATTTCTACTACAGTCTAACCTGGATTCAGGACTCATTGCCGTGTGTTCCCAGCTCAAGTCTACCCCAGCCTCTAGAGGCACCACGACTCTCCAACAATGCTTGGGCAAACCCAGTGTTGAGATGCCCTTCCCATCTCAGGGCCTTTGCCCCTGCTGCCTTTCTACAGTCGGCGGAACACTCGTGTGCCATTTCCAATCCCCCCGGCCCTCCCTCTTCATCCAGCCTCTGTATGGCGACCATCCGCACAGGCTTCGCGCATCCTTGTTCAGGTTCCCATTACAGCACCTCAGGCAGCTGACCTGTGCCTCTGTTTCCCATTCTGGGGCCTGGGCTTCCTGGGGAATCTATTCACACAAGCACAACTGGCGGGGCCACCCTTGAGCTAAGGGATACAAGAGATTGTATCCCTTAGCTTCATCTTGGGTTCTTCATCCTGTGTTCTCAGGACCGTGGGTCAACATGCATTTCATAAGCTCCTCAGAGGAATCCCACGGGATCTAGCACCCTTTGCCCTTACTAGTGGCCGACTAAATAAAGCATTCTTGTATAAATGTTCCCTTCTTCTCTGCTCCCTAGAATCATGTTTTCAAACAAATGTTTGTCTCAAACTCTGCTTTCAGGAAATCCCAAGGTGTAGATCAAATATCCAGAAATGGAAGCCATCACCCCACCCCATTGCCATTTCCACAGCACACGGTACAGAACACTGCAGAGACAAGCTTAGTCTCCAGGTCTCAGGAGGCTCCAGCCTCTTGGATGCTCAGGCACCCAGGCCTTGCAGCTCCACCTTGCACCCTGTGCACTCTTTCGTGGAGCCCTCACCACACGCCTTTTTAACTGCAACTAGTGAGTTCTACCAGCAGAGCCCATTGGAAGAAGAGCCTGTATCTTATTCATTGTTGATGCCTAGTGCCTCGTCCAGCAGTGTCATGGCAGGTGCTCAAAGAGTCTGTTAAATGTATTCCTTGGGTTATAAGTAGAAAACTTGGGGTGTGTGCTCAGTAGCCTTGGCTCTGGTTGAAGCCCCCTGAGGCCTCCTAAGGCCCCTTGCCTGTCCCCTCCCCTCCCCCAACCCCTGCCCTCAGGGTCTTGGGAGCTTCCTACACCCAACCTCAGGGTGATTGTTAATGTCTTCCTTCTACTCCACCACTTGGCAACTTCTACTGCAGAATATCTAGTCACCTCTATTTCTCTCTTCCTATCAGGTACTACACTTCACAAGAAGGGCTCCTGAGAGTCTCCAGCTCCTTTCTTCCATGAGCTTGAGTCAGAAACTTGTAATGGCTTGTGTTGCCTATGAAAGCATTTCTTCCCAAGAAGGTGCTGCCTACATAATGTAAAATGAAATACAAGTATCAACATAATTCCAGTTGTTCATGATATAATATTAAAGGAAATGATGAACATACAAAACCACACATGCATACATGGTTTGATCTTTTTTTTTTTTTGACAGGGTCTCACTCTGTCACCCAGGCTGGAGTACAGTCACACGATCACAGCTCACTGCAGCCTCGACCACCCAAGGCTTAGGTGATCCTCCTACCTCAGCATCCCCACCCACCCCCAACCCCTGCCCCACGGTAGCTGGGACTACAGGCGCACACCACCACACCTGGGTAATTTTTGTATTTTTAGTAGGGACAGGGTTTTGCCACCTTGCCCAGGCTGCTCTCAAACTCCTGGACTCAAGCAATCCACCCACCCTGTCCTCCCAAAGTGCTGGGATTACAGGCATGAACCATAGCACCCAGCCCATGGTATGATCTTAACACACCTGCTAAAAAATTACATGCATAGAAAAAAAGCTTTTTACAACTCCTGCAAAGCGAACATAAAATAATAATAATAAAATAATAAAAATAATTAAAAATAAATAATAATTACTGGAAAATAATCACACCAAAATGTTATCTTTGGTGGCGAGATTATGTGTTTTTCTTCCTCACTGTTTTGATATTTTCTATTACTTTAAAAAATATGTTCTACATGTCTATCGTACAAAAATTAGATATTTCGTGAAAAGAAAGTCCCCCTTCCATCCCTCTTCCCCATCTACCTGGCTACTTTCTTCAGAGGCAACCACAGTTACCAGCTGCTTAATACACACACACACCCCCCCATGCATTTATACACAATATATTTTATACAAGTGGTAGCATATTATATACATTGTTCTGTACCTTGTCTTTTTTATTTATCTTAGCAATTTTTCTGAATCAGGACAAAAAGCTGCTATACAGTTTTTAATAGACCAAGCATACTATTCCATTGTATGGCTATATCAAAATTTAATTAAGTGGAGCACGGCAGCTCACACCTGTAAGCCCAGCACTTTGGGAAGCTGAGGCAGGCAGATCGTTTGAGCTCAGAAGTATGAGAACAGCGTGGGAAACATGGCAAAACCCCATCTCTACAAAAAATACAAAACTTAGCTGGATGTGGTTGTGGGTGCCTGCAGTACCAGCTACTTGGGGGCTGAGGTGGGAGGATGGCTTGAGCCTAGGAGGTTGAGGCTGCAGTGAGCCAAGGTCACACCACTGCACTCCAGCCTGGGTGACAAAGTGAGACCCTGTCTCAAAATAAAACATTAATTAATGTTTCTGTAAATAGTAATTTTTCATATGTGCAAGCATATTTGCAGGATAGATGCCTAGAAATGAAACTGTTGACTCAAAGGATATGTGAATTTGTAATTTTGATAGTTTGGCAAATGTCCCTGCATAGAAGATGCATCAATTTATACTCCCATCAACAGTATGTGAATGCTTTCACACTTTTTTTTTTTTTTTTTGAGACAGGGTTAACTCTTGTTGTTCAGACTGGAGTGTAATGGCGTGATCTCGGCTCACTGCAACCTCTGCCTCCTGGGTCTCAAGCGATTCTCCTGCCTCAGCCTCCTGAGTAGCTGGTATTACAGGTGCCCACCACCATGTCCAGCTAATTTTTTGTATTTTTAGTAGAGACGGGGTTTCCCCATGTTGACCAAGCTGGTCTCGAACTCCTGACCTTAGGTGATCCACCCGCCTCGGCCTCTCAAAGTGCTGGGATTACAGGCGTGAGCCACCATGCCCAGCCCACATTATTATTAGTAGAGTAGGTTATCGAACTTTAAAGGAAATCCTTACCAACTTTATAGGTGAAAAAAATGACGTTTCATTGTAGCTTTAATTTGCTTTTGTTTTAATGAGGCTGACATCTTTTCAAATGTTCAGGAGTTATTTGGGTTTCTTTTTTGTGAACTATTCCTGTTCTTTGTTCATTTTTCTATTGGATTGTGGCTTTTCTCTTATTTATTTTTAGTTCTCTATATGTTAATGAATGTAGCATTTTCCTGTCATATGAATTATAAATATTTTTCCCAGTTCTTTATCAATGAAGTCTTATTGAGGGATTATTATTATTTTATATTTTTGCTTTCCATAAGTTGTAAAAGGTTTTAATAGTTTGAAATTCATTAGTCTTTTTTTAATGTGTTGGAGTTTTGTGCCATACTTTCTCTCACATGAGTTATAAACTCTTCTCATGTTTTCTCGTAATTTTATGATTTCATTTAAATCTTTTGTCTATCACAATCTACTTCAGCACTAGTTGTAAAGTAGGGATCACCTTTATTGTTTCTTCATATGGATATCCAGTTGAACCAACATTATTTATTGAATGTGCAAAATTCTCACATATACTTAAATCTATTTGTGAATTTTCTATTTGATTTTAGTGGTCTTTCTACTCACATTGTTTTTCTTATTGAGGACATATAATAGGTTTTGATACATGGTAGTTTTAACTTTCCTTGTTCCTTTAATTTTTCCAAAATTTTCCTGACTATTCTTGGTAATTTTTCCACATGAAATTTAGAACCAGCTAGTTTGGTTCCCAAAAAATACCCTTTTGGTATTTTTATTGGGCTCACATTAAATTTATAGATTAACTATCTTTGACAGCTTTATGATGTGGAGAATCTAAGAACATGATGTTTCTTTGCATTGTTAAGCCTTCTTTTGTGTCCTTCCGTACCATTAACATTTTAAATTATAGGTCCTGCATATTTCTTAAGTTTATTCTTAGGAATTTTATTTTTTGTTGCCATTTTAAGTGGGATCTTTTCTTTCTTTATATCTTCTAACCAGCTATTTTTGTAGATGTGAGTGCTGTTTGATTTCCACATGTATAAATGGAATTTATTGAATTCTGTTTGAGTTTTGTAATGTTTTTATTTGATTTTTTTTCCGGATATACCAGGGAACTGTAAACTATAGCCTATGGGTCAAATCCAGTGATGGCATGTTTCTACACATCCAAGAACTAAGACTAGTTTTTACATTTTAAAACGATGGTTAAAAAAAAGAAGAAGAAGAAGAAAAATATGTGACAGCAACCATGGGCAGCCCACCAAGTCTACAATCTTTACTATTTGGACATTTAAAGTAAATGTCTGCCAACCCTTGATATATACAATAATGTCATTTACAGGTAATGATAACTGATCTCTGTCTTTCTAATTTTATGTCTGATTTCTGTTTCTTCTTTAATTACATTTTCTGGTTCCTGGATAGTGAACATCCTTGTCCTGTTCTGAGATTAATAGGATTCCTTTTCATATTTTTGTACTTAGGAGGATACTTGACTTTTAGGTGTGATAGATGTATGCTCTCATGTAAAGAAAATACTCATTTATTCTTATTTTCTTAAGCGTTTTACAGAAGAAAAGATGTTTAATTTTATTTTTCAGCATCTATGTAGAATTTTATCTTTTAATCTATTAAAATGAAGAATTATATCAAAGATTTAAAAATATTGAATTACCCTTACAAATTCTGGGATCAACACTTTCTTTGGGTATTCATAAGTGAAAATCGTTTGCTTATTTTTATTTAAAGGTTGTCAGGTTTACTTCATCCACAAATATAATTTGAAGGCTTTTCTTTCTAAAAGTCAAAGATACAGGTACCAACAATTTAAAGAAGCAATTAACTACAAGATTTATTATAAGAAGGAGAACTCCCCTGGTCCACTTCTTATCTCATCTCCTAGTCTCTAGAAGCAACAACTTTTGATTCTTTTGGTAAAGCCATTTCTTTTGGTATTTACTTTCACATATTTAAATAATAGTTTATACTTCCATCTTGAATTTCTACTTAGGAATTACTTATTAAATTCTTATAATGGAAAGTGAGAAATTAGCTTTCTTTTTACTCCAACTCTACCACATCACACAAATACACTTTTGGCTTCACTACCCTTCCAATACAATTACAATTTTCCTTAGATCAATATTCAAAATTAACATCATTATATATTATGCATTCATAGTTTAACCATATAACACATTATGACCTAGTTTACTTTTATACATAATTTTTGTTTTGTTTTTTTCAATAGTTATTAATTGCCTTTCAGTTTTTTTCTTTGTTTAGTTTTCTATGTACCTATAGCTAATTTACCCCTGTGCTTCTCAGCCTGTTCAGATATATCAAGTATTTCATCAGTTTCATCTTCTTGAAGACATTGCTCTCTTGGAGCCTTCTAACTGGCTCCACAATTTACTGGTTACTTTCTAGGCTTGGTGCACAGGTATAATCCTAGTATATGCCTGCAGAAACATCCTGGGAATTTCCTTTGACTTTCTCTTTTGTTGGATTCTCTATTTCCTTGATCCAGTGAGTATTTGTTAGAATACAGTTTGACTTCTATAATTGATAACTAAAATAACAGTCAAATAGATAAGATAGAAGTTTATTTCTGTCTTACGTAGTGGTCTGGGCATAAGCAGCTCAGGACTGGTAGGTGGTCTATTTTACTGTTCCTTCTCAAGGCTGTTGCTCTGACACGTATAATTCAAAATGTCTCACTGACTTGTTTTTACTTTAGCTTAGTAGGGGGAGAGAAAGAGAGGACATGGAGGGCATATCCCTTTAAGCTCAATACTTAGAACATAGCTCACTTCATTTCCATGATCATATCTCATTGACAAAGAACCTAGTTACATGCTGCCTCTAGCTGCAAGGAAGCCTGGGAAGTGTCATCTTTATTAGCATGGCCAGATGCTCTGTTTAGACATAGTGAAGTCTATCATTACAATGAAAGAAAGAAAGGTATTGAGAGAAAAGTAACAGTATTTCCATGGTATGCTTTCCTTAGTTTACTTTCCCTTTTTAGAGCACCTCCTAGTATTTCCTGAGAAAGAACCCAGGGGAGGTAAAGGTTTTGAGATCTTTCATGTGAGAAATATCTTAATTATTATCTTCACTTAGTTGATAGTCTGGATAGATATAGAATTCTTGGTTGAGAATTGTTGTTCTTCAAAATTATGAAGGCATTTTTCAATGTTTTCCTAAATTTCAGTGTTGCTCTTGAGAAGTCTGATGTTAGTCTTTTTAATGAGCCTTGGTTTGTAGTAATCTGTGTTTTTACTTTCTAGAAACTAAGGATATTCTCTAATTCTCAGGAGCTCTGAAATACAATAATATAACTTGGTGTAAATTTATTTTTGTCTATGTGCTAGTCACTCAACAAGACTTTTCAATATGGAAACCCATGCCTTTCAATTCTAGATAAGTTTTTCTAGAATTATTTCTTCGATAATGTCTGCACCTACATTTCTTTTCTGTTCTCTTTTCTGGAACTCTTATAATTTGGGTGTAGGATTGCTTTGATGTATCTTCTAATTTGGCTGTTTTTCTTTCTTATTTTTCATTTCTTTGCTTTATTGCTGCACTTTGGAAGACTTTTTCAACCTTATCTTTTAATTTGTCTACTAACGTTTCATGTTTGCTCTCATATTTCACTCTTTTACAATGGCATTGGCTACTTCCTCCAGAATAAAGTTAAATAACAGTGAAAATAGTGGAATATTGATTCTGTTCTTACCCTTTTGGGGAATGTTTCTAGAAATTTTCTGTTAAGCATCCTGCTAGTCAGTTGATATGATAGATTTAACTGTCTATCAAGCTATCACTGTCATTTCCTTCCGTTTCTTCTCAAATGTCACTTTAGCAGTAATCCCTAAACAGCATATAAAAAAATAGCCTTCCTCCAATCACCTGTAGCACATTTTATGTTTTTACCTGCTTTATTAACACTTATAACCACCAGGCACACACTATTTGTGTGTTTATTACTGCCTTTAAAAGGCAAGGACAATGAGGATAAGAATTTCTTGTCTGTTTGTTTAGCACTATACTGCAACACCCAGAATCGTGTCTCTCACATAGCAGGTACTCAAGTATTTCTTGAATAAGTAGTTATATACGTAATGACTTCTCATGTTAAATGTACTTCCATTTTTTTCTGTTTTATTGACAGATAAATTTCTTCAAATGCCTGTTTAGTATCTATAAGAAAGACAATATTTAGTCTTTGCTCTATTAATATGGTAAACTGCATTAGCAGATATCCTAATTTTGGACCATCCTTACATTTCCTAAATTGACTCCAGTCGTAGTATAATATATTTAGTCACGGTATAGTATATTTTTAATGTGCTTCTGGTTTCTATTTGTTAATGTTTTATTTAGAATGTTTGCTTTGGTGTTCATGATATTCATTGGTAAGGTTGGGTTTGAGGTTTTCTTTGCTGTGCTTAGGAGTTAAATTTTCTGCATCGATCGAGATAATCATTTTTTTTCTTCTGTTAATATGTTTCTGTCTTTTAATATGGTAAATTATATTCAGTGACTATCAATGCTGAACCAGCATTGCATTCCTAGTATAATCCTCACTTCTATTGTAAAATGTTGTATTGTTATCCCTTTTATATATTGCTGAATTTGATCAGGATTTTCTCATCTATGTTCATGAGGGATATGGGTCTGTAGTTTTCTTGAAATTCATTTGTCTGATTTTGGTATCAGAATAATGTTTGGCTCACAAAATGAGTTGGGAAATGTTTCCTTCTATTTTCTGGAGAAATTGTGTATAATTGGTATTCTCTAAACATTTGATATAATTCAGCAGAAAAATCATTTGGGCCTAAAGTTTTATTTCTGGGAAGGTTTTTAAGTACAAATTCAATTTCTGGCCGGGTGCGGGTGGCTCACGCCTGTAATCCCAGCGCTTTGGGAGGCTGAGGCGGGCGGATCACGAGGTCAGGAGATGGAGACCACGGTGAAACCCCGTCTCTACTAAAAATACAAAAAATTAGCCGGGCATGGTGGCGAGCGCCTGTCCCAGCTACTCTGGAGGCTGAGGCAGGAGAATGGCGTGAACCCGGGAGGTGGAGCTTGCAGTGAGCCAAGATCGCGCCATTGCACTCCAGCCTGGGCGACAGAGCGAGACTCCGTCTCAAAACAAAAACAAAAAAACAAATTCACTTTCTTTAATAAATATAGGGCTATTCAGGCCGGGCACGGTGGCTCATGCCTGTAATCCCAGCACTTTGGGAGGCCAAGGCGGGCAGATTACGAGGTCAGGAGTTCGAGACCAGCCTGACCAGCATAGTGAAACCCCGTCTGTACTAAAAATACAAAAAAATTAGCCAGGCGTGGGGGCGGGAGCCTGTAATCTTAGCTACTCGGGAGGCTGAGGCAGGAGAATCACTTGAACCTGGGAGGTAGAGATTGCATTTAGCCAAGATCGTGCCACTACACTCCAGCCTGGGCAACAGCGCTAGACTCCGTCTTAAATAGATAAATAAATAAGTACAGGGCTATTCAAGGAATCTGTTTCTTTTGGGTGAGTTTTGGTAGTTTGTGGCTTTCAAGAAGTATGTCATTTCTTTTAAACTGTAGAATCTATGGGCATAGGTTTGTTTGAAGCATTCCTTTATTATTCTTTTAGTATCTTCAGAGTTGTGGTGACATAATTCCTTTTTCCTCCCCAATACTGGTAATTTATGTCTTCTCTCATATTTCTTTTTCAGTATGACTTGAGGTTTATCCATTTTATTGATCCCTTCAAAGTATGCATTTTTGGTTTTATTGGCTTTCTTTTTTGTTTTTAATTATACTGATTTTCGTTGAGTTTATTATCTTCTTCTTGTTAACACAAGCATTTAAATGCTATACATTTCCTTCTGAGCACTGCTTTAACTACATCCTACAAATTTGGATATGTCGTATTTTATTTTATTTAGTCCAAACTATTTTCTAGTTTTCCTTGAGATCTCCTTTGATCCATATATTATTTAGAAATATATTGCTTAATTTCCAACTATTTAAAATTTTTCAACAAAAGACAAAATTGACAAATGGGATCTAATTAAACTAAAGATCTTCTGCACAGCAAAAGAAACTACCATCAGAGTGAACAGGCAACCTACAAAATGGGAGAAAATTTGTGCAACCTACTCATCTGACAAAGGGCTAATATCCAGAATCTACAATGAACTCCAACAAATTTACAAGAAAAAAACAAACAACCCCATCAAAAAGTGGGCAAAGGACATGAACAGACACTTCTCAAAAGAAGACATTTATGCAGCCAAAAAACACATGAAAAAATGCTCACCATCACTGGCCATCAGAGAAATGCAAATCAAAACCACAATGAGATACCATCTCACACCAGTTAGAATGGCAATCATTAAAAAGTCAGGAAACAACAAGTGCTGGAGAGGATGTGAAGAAATAGGAACACTTTTACACTGTTGGTGGGACTGTAAACTAGTTCAACCATTGTGGAAGTCAATGTGGCGATTCCTCAGGGATCTAGAACTAGAAATACCATTTGACCCAGCCATCCCATTACTGGGTATATACCCAAAGGACTATAAATCATGCTGCTATAAAGACACATGCACATGTATGTTTATTGCGGCACTATTCACAATAGCAAAGACTTGGAACCAACCCAAATGTCCAACAATGATAGACTGGATTAAGAAAATGTGGCACATATACACCATGGAATACTATGCAGCCATAAAAAAGGATGAGTTCATGTCCTTTGTAGGGACATGGATGAAATTGGAAATCATCATTCTCAGTAAACTATCACAAGAACAAAAAACCAAACACCACATATTCTCACTCATAGGTGGGAATTGAACAATGAGATCACATGGACACAGGAAGGGGAACATCACACTCTGGGGACTGTTGTGGGGTGGGGGGAGGGGGGAGGGATAGCATTGGGAGATATACCTAATGCTAGATGACAAGTTAGTGGGTGCAGCGCACCAGTGTGGCACATGTATACATATGTAACTAACCTGCACAATGTGCACATGTACCCTAAAACTTGAAGTATAATAATAAAAGAAAAAAATAAAAATAAAAAAAAGAAAATTTTTTTTCAGATATCTTTCTGTTATCGATTTCTATTTTAATTCTGTTGTGAACAGAGAATATCCAAGGTGGGCAGATCACCTGAGCTCAGGAGTATACAAGATCTACATTTTTTTTTAAAGCTTAATAGTGTTTCTTTATGGCCTAGAATATGATCTGTCTTGGTGAATGTTCCATGTGCATTTGAAAAGAATGTTTATTTTAGATTTAGTAGAGTGTTCTATAAATATCAATTAGGGTAAGTGAGTTCATAGGTTGCTCAGTTCTTATATTGTCTTGCTGATTTCCTGTTTGTTGTATTGATTACTGAAGTAGTTTTGAAATTTCTAAATACAATGTGGATTTTACTAATTTTTCTCCTCCCCCTCCCCTCCTTCTTCTTCATCTAAATTGCACTCTAAATATTAATATGTAGTTCTGTTGTCTTCCGACCTGTACTATTTCTGACAATAAGTGATCCCTCTCCTTTCACCCCAACCCCACTCTCTAGTTGTTTTGAATATTTTCTCCTCTTCACTGATTTTTAGCAATTTAATTATAATGTGCCCTGCGTGGTTTTATTTGTTGTTGTTGTTGTTGTGTGTGTGTGTGTTTGTTTTTGTTTAGCTTGGAGTTTGCTGAGATTCATGGATCTGTGAGTTCATACTTTCCATCAAATTTGGAACATTTTTGACTATTATTTCTTCACATACTTTCAGCCTCTCATCCCCTTTCTGAAACTGTAGTGTTGGGCTTTTTGATATGGTGATGGTGGTGGTCACTGAGGATCTGCTCCTTTTTTGCCAGTGTTTTAAAATCTTTACACTGATCTTCACTGAGGGTTGTTTTTGGTTTTTGGTTTTTGGTTTTGTTTTTGCTGTGCTTAATCTGCATTTAGTCTCTCCAGTGAATTTTTATTTTCAGATATTGTATTTCTAAGCTCTAAGCTATACAAGTTACTTAGTTCATTTTTACATCTTCCATTTCTTTATTCATTCTATTTATCTTTTCCTTTAAATTTGATATTTAAAACAGATGCTGTGATGGCCTCAATGGCTAATCTCATCGTATCTGCTGTTCCTGGATCTCCTTCTACTGACTAATTTTTTTCCTGGCTATGAGTCATATTTTCTTGCTTCTTGACATGTCTAGTAGAATTGGATTGAATGGGTACGTCGTGATGACAAAGTCGTTGAGTGCTGGATTGTGTAGTCCTCCTTTAAGAGTGTTTCAGTTAGTTTTGTCAGACAGTTTAGTTATTTGTGGATCAGCTTGATCCTTTCTGGACTTGTTTTTAAGCTTTGTTAAGGTAAATCTGAAGTAAGCTTTTCACTAGGATGAATTTAACCCTACTACTAAAACATGACCCTGCTGGGGATTAAAATCTCGGGTATTAAATGAGGTTTCTTTCTTTTTTTTTCTTTTTTTTGAGACTGAGTCTGGCTCTGTTGCCCAGGCTAGAGTGCAGTGGCATAATCTTGGCTCACTGCAACCTCTGCCTCCAGGGTTCAAGTGATTCTCCTGCCTCAGCCTCCCGAGTAGCTGGGATTACAGGCATGCACCACCCCACCCAGCTAATTTTCCTATTGTTAGTAGAGATGGGGATTCACCATGTTGGCCAGGCTGGTCTCGAACTCCTGACCTCAGGTGATCTGCCCGCCTCGACCTTCCAAAGTGCTGAGATTACAGGCGTGGGCCACCATGCCTGGCCTTAAATGAGGTTTCTTTTTTTTATATTTTTATACTTTTTATTTTTTTGAGACAGAGTCTCACTCTGTTGCCTGGGCTGGAGTGTGGTGGCATGATCTCGGCTCACTGCAACCTGCGCCTCCCAGGTTCAAGCAATTCTCCTGTTTCAGCCTCCCGAGTAGCTGGGACTTGGGACTCCAGGCACACGCCACCACACCCAGCTAATTTTTGTATTTCTAGTAGAGATGGGATTTCGCCATATTCGTCAGGCTGGTCTCGAACTCCTGGCCTCAGGTGATCCACCCGCCTCAGCCTCCCAAAGGGCTGGGATTACACGTGTGAGCCACTACGCCTGGCCCTAAATGAGATTTCTTTACCCTTATTGGTGGAGGCTTAATGTCTCCCAGCTCTGAATGGGCACTGAGACTTATCGGCTCCCAGTGTCCAGTAGTCATTCTTTCCTGGTGGTTTTCTTTATCTGGTCTCATGAAGTTTTATTCTATACATGTACAGCTTAGTATTCAACCAAAGACTCAAAGGAATCGCTATGTAGATATTGGAGTTCTTTCTCTACAGAACTTCCTCTTATCAATATTCTGCCCCACAAACTCCAGCCACCTCAACCTCCCCAAACCCTGTTCCTCTTCTTTGTGCTGTGGTTCAGATAGAAACCAGGGAAATTGCAGGGCTTACCTCATTATTTTCTTTCTCTCAAGGATGAAAGTCTTGCACTACCTGTTGTTTAATATGTGAAAACTTGTTCCATACATTTAATCTAGCTTTCTAGTTGCTTATAGAGATGGGGCAAATTTGCTTCCATGCATTCCATCATGGCCAGAAGGTGGAAATCTCTGGAGATTTTATTGGAATCATACTAAATATGCATATCAAATCTTCCATCCCAAAGATATTTTCTGTCTGTCCACACACTTGGTATTTCTTTAGTGTTGTTTATTTAAGAGCTAATGCATAAAGCCAAGCGTGGTGGCTCATGCCTGTAATCCTAGCACTTTGGGAGGCCAAAGCGGGCAGATCACCTGAGCTCAGGAGTTCGAGATCAGCCTGGCAAACATGGCAAAACCCCATCTCCACTAAAAATACAAAAAAATTGATCAGGCATGGTGGCATACAGCTGTCGTCCCAGCTACTCTGGCGGTTGAGGCACGAGAATCACTTGAACCTGGGAGGCAGAGGTTGCAGTGAACTGAGATCACACCACTACATCTCAAAAAAAAAAAAAAAAGAACTAGAGCTAATGAACACAAATATCAGAAAGCATTAAAATGTATAATGTGAAAGGTTCCCCTCCCATTTATTCTCACAAATTCCCTTCTACTCCAAATAGAAAACCACTGTTATTAGTCTTTTATATCTTTCCAGATGAAATTTTAATGTGAAAACAGGAAGATAGAATACACACTCTTCTGCACAGCAATTTTTTGTGTGTAACAATGTATCTTGGCGTTGTTTCTATAGAAGTACATCAAAACTTTCCTTATGGTTTGTTTCATCACAGCTGATTATAATTCATATTAATGCTACTTCATAATTTGTTTCAGCAGTCTCTTATTGATGGATATTTTTTAAAATTAATGAGAATTTTGCAATATTGCAGGATAATCAATACACAAAATGATTATAATTATCATCATTTGATAGGTTTTTGAAATACTATCTAATCCATTATTTATCTATCTTATCTATCATCTATCTATCTATTTATCTATCTATCTATCATCTACCAATCACCTAAGAATTATTGATCTTTTTGTTGTTCTCTTGAGACATATCTTCCAGAGATAGCTGCTATCCATTCTCTTCTGCTGTTTAGGGGTACTTTGATGGAAACTTTTGAAAGCAGTAAGTAATGGAAGTTTATTATTGAGTCAGAAGGAACTAGGGCTGAATTTCAGCTATTCCACTTTCTCAAACTCTCTAAACCTGTTTATTTTATGTTATTTTATTTTATTTTGAGACGGAGTCTCGCTCTGTCACCCAGGCTGGAGTGCAGTGGCATGATCTCAGCTCACTGCAACCTCCGACTCCCGGGTTCAAGCAATTCCCTGCCTCAGCCTCCTGAGTAGCTGGGATTACAGGCACCCGCCACCACGCCTGGCTAATTTTTGTATTTTTAGTAGAGACGGGGTTTCACCATCTTGGTCAGGCTGGGCTTGAACTCCTGACATCGTGATCCACCCACTTTGGCCTCCCAACGTGCTAGGATTACAGGCGTGTTTCCCACAATTTCCTGGACAAATTATGTTCCAGGAAAATATTTGATAATGAACTATCTAAATTGATATGTATCTCAGCAAATTTACTGGAATTCTAGGATTAAGGATTTTTTAAATCAGAAAAATGATAAAAATAATAAATAATGTTATGGGCATCCAAACAAAAATTCAAGTTACCTATGAGGAAAAATACTATCAGGCTGGCTGAGACTTCAACAAAAAAAATTCTTACATTAGAGGAAAGTGAAGCAAGGTCTATAAAACCTCAAGGAAATGGTGTCACACAAGAACAGTATAAACAAAGAGCTGTCATTTCATATAAAAGCACTGACAGATATTTTTAATCATATGCAATTTTGTAAATATACAAAATATATACAAAATACAAAAAAATACTGCTTAACAAACCTTCTTGAATATCTATTAGATTAAGCATATGAAATAGGCATTTTTCTGAGCAACAGTGGTCAAATATCAGCAATTTTATATGGTTTCACATAATATTTATTCACAAAAAGATAAATGAAAAAGCTATGTTGAAAAAATTTAAATATAGAATACAATTTTAAAAGTGTATGACTTGTGGTTTCAGAACAGAATGTAAGTGCTATCAATTTGACAAGGTGGAAATAATAAAGGGCCGGGCATGGTGGCTCACACCTGTAATCCCAGCACTTTGGGAGGCCAAGGCAGGTGGATCACCTGAGGTCAGGAGTTCGAGACCAGCCCGACCAACATGGAGAAACCCCGTCTCTACTAAAAATACAAAAAAATTAGCTGGGCATGGTAGTGCATGCCTGTAACCCCAGCTACTCGGGAGGCCGAGGCAGAAGAATCGCTTGAACCCAGGAGGCGGAGGTTGCAGTGAGCCGAGATTGCGCCATTGCACTCCAGCCTGGGCAACAAGAGCAAAATTCCATCCCAGAAAAATAAATAGTAATAAAAGTAATAAGAAATGTTGAGATGGAGGAAGAAGAGGTTAGAAGAAGTTTAATTATACCTATTTCTTCATCATTAATATGGGGAGCAGGGAGGTCCGTAATCAACAGAATCTGTTTAACACCAGTATGAATTGGCGAGCCCCTGTCTTAGACCATTTTGTGTTGCTATAAAGGAATACCTAAGGCTGGGTAATTTATGAAGAAAAGAAGTTCATTTGACTCACAGCTCTGCAGACTGTAAGAAGCATGGTGCCAGCATGTGCTTCCGGTGAGGGCCTCAGATTGCTTTACTCTTGGTGAAAGGGGAAGGAGAGCAAGCATCCAATGGCAATAGAGGAAAAAACAGAGAGGGGAGGGGGTGCCAGGCTCTTTTTAACAATCAGATGTTGTGGGGACTGATAGAGAGGGAAGTCACTCATTGCTCTGAGGATGGCACCAAGCCTTTCAAGAGGGATCTGCTCCCACGACTGAAATATCTCCCAGCAGACCCCAACTCCAAAACTGGGGATCACATTTCAATATGAGATTTGGAGGGACTAACATAGAGACTATATCAGCCCCCATTTATCTGTAATCCTTCTCTTTCTTTAATAGAAGTTGGAGAGCTAAAATTGTAGCCATCTCAACATCCTTTGCAACTAGGGAGAGTAAGACAGCACCATTTCTACCCCATGCGATATATGTGCAGATCTGCTTGGAGAGGGTCTCTTTTTTGAATAAAAAGACAAAGCTACAAAAGAAGAAAATGGCTCTGTTCTTTCTGCCTAGATGTAGACAAGACCCCAGGAGCTGCAGCAGTCATCTGCTCACACTGAAGTTCGTAGAACTAAAAGACGGAAGGAGCCTGGGATGCTGATGAAATTGTGAAGCTACTGACACAAGCCCTGGACTGCCTATCTCGTAAGCTTTTATTTAAGCCTTCTTATTTAACAAGTTATTGATTATTAAAGCCAAACTCTTTTTTAACTGATCCAGAGTTTGGTACCCATAGGTGAGGCACGGTAAGCAGCAGAGTCTAGTGCATAGAACTGGCTGAAAGGAGAGCACAGATTAATCTTTCATGGCACAGGTCTGGAGGTAGACAAACCTGTGCTTGTGTCCTGGCCCTGCCACTAACTGGCTTTGTACCCTGGTCAAATTACTTAATCCACGACTTCCTTTCCTCATCTTACATCTGCATGATGAAAACAGTATTTTTAACACTATTTTGTACATTAAAAGAGAAATGCATGTGTATAACACAGCGGCTGGCACATAATTGTGCCAACTAATGGTAGCTTTTTAAAAGCCACGGGTAAGCTGGGGCCACTGTACCTTTCTAAGACATGATTATATTTGGCTTGAACCCCTATTCCACAACCTGTGAAAATCTAGACCTTACCTGTGATAGGAAGACTTCCAAGGTGGCCCCAGTGACTCCTGCCTCTTGGTATTCCTGTCCTTGTATAGAACTCCCTCTGCTTGAGTAGGAGCTGGACCTATTGACTTAATTTTAATCAATACAATATGGCAAAGTTGAAGGGACATCACTTCTGTGATTAGGTTACAAGATATTTTGACTTCTCTCTTGCTAGTGGACTCTACTGGATGGGTCCACATGGCAAGGAACCAAGGGTAGCCTCTGGCCAGCAACCAGAGAAGATAAAGATCTCCAACAACGTCTGCGTTTGGAAGAGGATTGTTCTTCCGTAGAGTTTTCTGATGAGGCCCCAGCCTTGGCAACATCTTGACTGTCTCCTTGTAAAGGGACCTTGAGACAGAGGACTCAGCTCAGCCGTGCCAGACTCCTGACTCACAGAAACAGTGAGATTATAAAAACAAACTGTTTTAAGCCACTAAGTTTTGAGTAATTTGTCACACAGTAGATAATAAACTTCCATAGAATCTTGATATTGATCATATTTCTCTTTGCCTTAACAATCTTGTGTCTGTGCCCCTACCCTGTTTTCCACAAAAATATCCAGAGAGACCCAACTATTTTGCGAGTGAGGTATTTTTCATGAGAATTTAGGGCAAGCAGAGACTTCATCCTCTCTCCTCTCTTTTCCTTTCCCCTGAGCAATGGACAATAGCATATTATTTACCTTGACCTGTGACAAACAGTTCTACCCATATTCAGGCCCAAGCACCTGTCAAAAACTACAGTTTCCCTAAAGGAAAACTAATGATTATAGTAAAAAAGACACCTGCATTCATATGTTTATTGCAGCACTATTCACAATAGCAAAGTCATGGAATCAATGTAAGTGTCCAGCAACAGATTCAGAAGGTACAGAAAATGTGGATACAAAAAATGTGGTGTGTGTGTGTATATATATATATATATATATGTATTTATTTATATATGTGTGTGTATATATATGTATATACCACAGTTAGTATTCCATGGTGTGTATATATATAATATTAATATTAATATAGGTACCAATATAGTACTTAGTATTAATTAGGATTACGATACTAATTAATAGTATATTGCTAATACTAATTAGTACCAATATTAATGTTAGTATTAATATTAATTAGTATAGTAATACTAATTGGTATATAATATATAGTACATATAGTATATAGAATGTTATATATACTATATGTATATATGTACTATATACATATATATAATATGTGTATATATATGTATATATGTATATATATACTATATGTATATAGTAGAATTAATACTAATACTTTAGTATACTAAATAATTAGAATTAATATTAGTACTAAAGTGTAGCATTAACTCTATATAGTATTAATATAGTAATATATTAATAATTAATACTTGATACTCATTAACATATACTGTATTTATATATTACCATATATTAGTATACTGTAATATATGAATATACTATATTTATATGTTATAATACTATTAATACCATATAAATAGATAGTATATATTAATGTATCAATTATTAATTATTTATTTATTAATAATTAATATATCAATACTAGATATGGTATAAATACTACACACACACACACACACACACACACACACCTTGGAATACTATTCAGCCACAAAACAGAATGAAATCATGCCTTTTGCAGCAACATGGATGAAACTGGAGGATACTCTCCTAAATGAAATAACTCAGAAACAGAAAGTCAAATACTGCATATTCTCACTCACAAGTTAGCGCTAACACTGGGTACACACGGACGTACAGAGTAGCATAACAGACACTGGAGGCTGCAAAAGGTGGGAGGGTGGGAGGGGGTGACGGAGGAAAAATTACCCATTGGGTACAACGTACGCAATTTGGGTGATGGCTACACTAAAAGCCCAGACTTTCCACTATGCAATATATCCATGTAACACAAGTGCACTTGTACCACCTATATCTATTTATTAAAGTACAATTTCCCTCCTAAGAGAAATTCTGGAGAATCCAAGTTTTTCTATCTCGTTACATAGCATTAGTATTGCCGTTCGTGGACCAAAACTAAATTGAAAGGAACAATGGGCAAATAGGAGAATAGAAGTAGAAGTCTGAGACAGACATGGTGTGATTCTGAAAAGAGAAGAAGAAACTCCCGTGTGCACAGAGAAAAGACGAAAAAAAGAAGATGCATTTTCACTTTAGCAAGAGATAGAGGAGCTAAGATCTTTCCTGCAAGGCAGTGGGCTGCATGTTCAGTTATTCATTTGTCTGGAATCTTTAGATGTCACCCCTTCTGGAGGCCAAAGAATGATGTCAATCTGGAGGCCAACAGATTCTCATCAGCCGTCTGAAGAGCACGGTATTATTCTCAGTCCAAATGGGAAAGATCAGAGAGAATACCTTCTCTGGGCTCACTCAGCAGATAGCACTGCCTTCGCCTGAATTTGCTGCCTGACTCTTGTGATGTCCCCTAGACCTTGCCACCTGACTGGGTTTAAAAGGTAGAGGCCAGAGGAAAACAACTCCTTATTTTCTGTCTAACATTGGTGAGAGAGGATGAGTATCAGAACGAAGCCAAGTCCTTGAAATGAAAGCTTTGGGCATGAACAATAGAGAATTACTGATACTCAGTATATGGGAGTGGTAACGTCCTGGAGATTGAACACTTTCAGAGAAAACTGTTGGCGACTGGAATTGAGAGGCAGAGATAAGGGCCAAGTACTCAGCACTGAAGATGGTATAGAGGCCGTGGGTAACAGTGTGTTCTGGCACACAGACATCCACATGTACACCTCTCCTTTCTTTTTCTTTTTTCGTTTTTGAGACAGGGTCTCACTCTGTCGCCCAGGCTGGAGTGCAGTGGCACTATCTCAGCTCACTGCAACCTCCACCTCCCTGGCTCAAGTGATTCTCCCACCTCAGCCTCCCGAGTAGCTGGGACTACAGGCGTGCGCCACAATGCCCCTGGCTAACTTTTGTATTTTTTGCAGAGATGTGGTTTTGTCATGTTGCTCAGGCTGGTCTTGAACTCCTGGACTCAAGTGATCCGCTCTCCTTGGCCTCCCAATGTATTTGGCATTGTCCTCCTGGCCCCTCATGCCCTGGTGTTTATCTTCAATCCAGGTTAGGAAGTGGTAGGGCTGGGATTCTACTCAGGCTTCCTGACTCCAATTCAAGGCTTTTTCTGCAAGGTGTAGGAAGTGCTACATACTCAGTGGTCTGTCGCTTAGAAATCCAATTGCCCTTTGAAGGAGAGAAGAGGGATTACTAGAACACACAGAAGGACCCAAACTTACCAGTTGTGAGAACTAGAGCAAGACAGTCACTTTCTCTCACAAAGATTATTCACTTCCCCTCAACTCTCAGGATGTTTCCACTTCCACGATGACTCTCCGCTGGTGATGTCAACTCTGACTTCAGAGGGAAAACATAGAAGCCCTCAAATGGAGCTCACAACCTACTTGCATTCCTCCTCCCTCTTCCGTCCACAGGTCTCTCCAGTCTAAGGTGATCTCTCCCCACATGTTTCAGAGTCTATCCTCTCCTGCCTTCTTAACCTTAGGGCTACTGATGCTTTTTCTCCTCTCTTATTTCTTCCACTTCCTTCTCCCTTTCTAAAGACTTCTCATAAAGAAAAAACATGTTCAAAACCTTCCCTTCATCTTGCACCATCTTCTGGTCTTTTCTTTCTCTTCCCTTCACAGCCAAACTTCCAAAGAGCTGTCCAAATGCGTCTCTTTCTTCTCAAGTTTCATTTTCTCCTCAATCCTCAGCAAGCTAGATTTCATCCTAACCACTTCCGTGAGACGGTGCCCACGAGGATCACCAAGGATCTCCGTATCACTGACTTCATGAGTACATTTCAGTCCTTAGCTTACTTGGTATCTCTGCAATATTTGACACAGCAGTCCATTTGCTCCTAGAAACAAAAGCTTTCCTGGGGTTCCATGAGACCACACTCTACTGGTTTTCCTCCTTCTTTTCTGACTTTTCTTTGATCTGCTTGCAACTTCTTCACCTCTATTCACTCCTAAAGTAAGCTCTGTGCTGGGCTGTTTTCTAGCCTCACCTTGCACTCTCTTCCTTGGTATCACAACCTCCTTCATGGCTTTATTATAAACCGCTGATGACTCCAAAATCTAGTTTTTTGGTTTTTTTTTTTGAGACACAATCTCACTCTGTTGCCCAGACTAGAGTGCAATAGTGTGATCTTGACTCACTGCAACCTCTGCCTCCTGGGCTTAAGTGGCTCTCATGCCTCAGCCTCCTGAATAGCTGGGATTACAGGCACGTGCCACCATGCCTGGCTAATTTTTTTTATTTTTAGTAGAGACGGGATTTAACCATGTTTGCCAGGCTGGTCTTGAACGCCTGACCTCAAGTGATCCGCCCGCCTCAGCCTCCCAAAGTGCTGGGATTACAGGCATGAGTCACCATGCCCGACCAAAATCTATTTTTTAACACATATTTCTTTTATTGAAATCCAATTGCCCACTAGAAATTTCCATCTGGATGTGTCTCCAGCCCCTTAACTTCAACATGGTCAAAATGGAACTCAACTTTTCCCAAAGCTGCTTTTTCTTTTTTTTTCTATCTTGTTAAATCATGCTAAAACACACTCCATTATCTAAGCCAGAAACCTGGACATCATTCTTGATTGTTCTGTTATTCCTCACATTTTTGCATTTAACCAAACACCAAGTCCTGTGATTCTATATCTGGAGTCTCTCTTGAGTGAAGCCATTTCTACCCCTCCCCCGCTGCTACCACCTGAGACCAGGCCCCTACATATCTCACCTGTGTTATCACAATCATTTTTTAAAACTGGTCTTCCTACTTACACTGCTGATCCCTTCCCATTGATTCTCCAAACTGCAACCAGAATAGTCCTCCTGAATATAAATCTGATCTTTTTTTTTAAATCCTCCAATGTCTTTTCATTGCCAGTGAATCTCCTTAACAAACCTTGGAACTTTTCTCATTCTCTGGCCTCTACCTTTGCTCACTGCTAGCTGCTTCCTACCTCATGTTTTATATCCATTCTAACCCAGTGTTCTCAAATTGGCTACCCATTGGCCCATTAAAACCCACAGGTGTGTTTTATTTGGCACATGCAGTATATTTTTAAAGTTGAGCCAACATTTAAAATCAGGGAATTTCTCATAAAAATCCAGGTTTTCAGTTTCTTTTGAAAAGTTGGAACAGGCATTAGCACCCCTCCTCCCACCCTTCTTGCATGGCCACAGTTGGTTGGAGCTGAGTACTTTAGCTCTCTAGCGCTCACAGTCCCCGGCTCCCTAGGGCCTCTGTGACGCTGAGGCTGAACATTCAGTGAACGTTGCTGTCACGGTGATTCTGTTTTCGCTGTCTGCAATACACTCATTCATTTCTCCTTGCCTGGCTAGCTCCTACTTTTCCTTGGATCTCATTTTGATCATCACTTCCCAGGGAGACCTCCCTTAAGCCCTAGGGTCTTATATACATGGTCCTATAACACAAAAGCGAAGAACCTCTCCCACACTAGGGACTTAGTATTGGCCAGGTAAAGAAGGGAGGTAGGCTCTGAGGTGGTAAAGGGAGACTGTAAGTAGAGCACAGGACGAGCCATTGATTTTGGGGACCACACCCATGTCCCTGAGCAGAAGGCTGAGGCAGGCAACCCTCACAACATGACATGCTTTCCTAGGTCGTGTTGAAAGTGGCTTCCAGTGCATTGGTCTGTCATGTATTTCTTCTGGGTGCTATTCTTATGCTTCTTATGATATGGAGAACAAAGTCAATTAAGAGTTGATTTAAGTACCTAAAAGGTACTCTGTGTTGTACTAGGAATAGGACAGGTATACATAAATAATTCACAGTCTTATCTTGAGAAGAGTACATGATCCAGTGGAGAAAACATGCACAAATACAAATAATCGGAGTAAAATTGTGAAGATAATAAAGGTGTGTATACAAGGCATAACCAGAATATGATTGCAGGGAGATTATCTCTGCTGAGGAAATCAGGGAAAGCTATTAAGAGGAAATGCATGAACTAAATGTTATGGGATTGGAAAACCCACCACAAAACAAAGCTGGAAGGAAAGCCATGAGAAGTAGCATGAGTCCATCCTAATTCTACAGTGTTAAACGAACTTATGCTAACAGAGTTTCAAAATACACAAAGCAAAATGTGATAGAACTGAAAGAAGAAATAAGTCAGTTCTACAGTTACTATTGAACATTTCAGTGCTCTTCTCCTACTAATTCATGCCCTGGAGAAATCACTCAGCCTTCTGCAGACTTAGTCTGCTCATCTCTAGAGGAGGGAGAATGCTATGTTATGCTTACGTTTTACAGTCATGGGAATGAAATGGCATGGAGGAACTTAGCAGTCTTTTAAGAGCTGTACAAATGTAAGATTTATCACTTTCCTACTATTCAAAATCAATACTTTTCTCATCATTGTACAGCAAACAAATAGGTTGATAAACTCTTGAACATTTACTTTCTGCCAGCCACTAGGCTAGACGCTGAGCTCAAGAGGTATCAGAAAACGTTAGCAGCCTGGAGTGGCTCACAGTCTAATACAGATGACAGACACTGATAATTGTATGTTATATACTTACATATTGTGTGTATATATGTATATATAATTATATATTACATATAATAGGTATTATATGTTAATATATGTTTATATACTATAAATAATAATTTGGCCAGGCGCGGTGGCTCACTCCTGTAATCCCAGCACTTTGAAAGGCCAAGGTAGGCAGATCACTTGAGGTCAGGAGTTCGAGACCAACCCGGCCAACATGGTGAAACCCCATCTCTACTAAAAATAGAAAAATTAGCTGGGCGTGGTGGTGCGCACCTGTAATTCCAGCTACTTGGGAGGCTGAGGCAAGATAATCACTTGAACCTGGGAGGCGGAGGATGCAGCAAGTCAAGATCACACCACTGTACTGAAGCCTGGGCGACAGACTGAGATTCCATCTCAAAAAACAAAAAATACTTTGGATTATTAGGAAAGCTTTAACACAGAAGGAAGCAGAGGGCACCAGGTATCACAAACACCTAGCATTTCTTCCTTTGTTGACATATTCAGATGTGAACTTCCTGGGCGCCAGGCCCATCCTGCAACTTTACAAATGGTGAGTGACACTGGCCAAGTCTCTTTGCCTGTAGAACTCATGTACTTGTGAGCTGGGTGTGTTCGGAAGGGGTTTTGGTAGGGGGAGGTGATGGTAGCACTGCAGATAATAAGTAAATAAATAAGTAAACAAAATAAGTAAACAAGATCAAATAATGACATTCCTGGAAGGAAACTGACAGGGTAATATAACAGACACTGAGCAGGGCAATTTTAGATACTACAGTTGGTGAAGGCCTCTTTGATGGAGGCCTGAAAGGTGAGGAGTCAGCTAGGTGAGTGGTGATGGTGATGGGTGTGTGTGTGTGCAGGGAAGAGGGGAAGAGAGCATTTGTGATGGGGAACCACCAGTTTGGCTATATTAGTATATTTCTATTTTCTATATTTCTATTATTTTCTATTTTCTATTCGCTATTTTCTATTGGTAGTTGGGTGACTCCAACTTGAACAAAGTGGACCCAGCACAGAATGAAGCTATGTGCAAACTTTTTAGAGGAGGGATCCCAGAGGGCAGGGACATTACGCCAGTAACCCAGATAGGAGCCCACCCTCTGGCTGGAGTCTCAGGAAAAGCAGGGAAGGAGTAGACCACCCACCTTTCCTGCAAACCCTGCACAGTTTGAGAAGTGACTTGGAGAGAGATAGAGCCACTTTCCCTTGCCTTTCTGAGCCTCACCCCCTACTCCATCTTCTCCTTGTCCCATTACCCTGAGGGTATGGGGGCATGTGCCATTCTTCCAAGAGGTACTTGCATTTAAGCCAAAAACCCTGGAAGACTGGAAACCCTGAAGCTCCCAAAGGAATTTAGCTAATGTGGGAAATTCAGACACCACTTGAAGAATCATGGTCACTATGGACACTATGTTCTCATTGGGCGCCACAGCCATGCTCCCAGTCCCAGGCAGACCGGGGGCTCTGAGGATGGTGCCTCTGGTCTGTTGGCCCCCTGGTCCCATGGCAGCTCTGAGATTCAGGTTTCCGTTGCTGCCATGAGGAGGAAATGGGGAAGAAAACGCCTTCGCCTGAATTCATGCCTTTTGGTTGTATTGGGGCTGGAGTGAGTTAGGACGGGTATGGGGGATGCGGTGGGGACGGCGGGGGGCGAGTGTGCCTGCCTGAGTACAAGCCGGGCCCGTGCGAGTGTATGTGTGCAGCTCTGTGGACGAGATTCTAGTCTGGGGGACGTTTTACATAAAGTGAGCGTTTAGCCACGTTCACTTCCTCTCCCGTCTGCCCCTGTCCCAGAATTGCAGCTTCCTTTCCTTCCACGTCGAGCCCTCCTGGCTGTCCAATGCGTCTCTCCTGGATAGAGAGAGGGGCGCGGGGAGCTGGGCTCGGGGAGCGGCCTGGGTGGAAGAGCTGGGGCACCCCTGGGCTCAGATGCCGCGCAGATGAGGTCACATCCTCTCCCTCCCGGCTCCTCCGCGCATGAAAGGCGAGAGGAGACTGAAATGCATGTGGAGCGAGTAGGGCCAGGCTTTGCTTGGCCGGGGCTGGAATGAGCTCATAGTGATGTGGGAGATCCGGGCCCACCTTCCAGCTCTCCCCGGGGCGGACGGCGAGGCTGGGACCGCGTGCGTGGCCCGCGACTGTCGGTCCCCCAGGCTCCAGGGAAGGGGACTCGGGGCGGGGAGGCCAGGACGCAGGGCGCGCGGCTCCGCTGGAAGGAGGCGAGGCCCGGGTGCCGCTTTGGGAACTGGGGGGCGGGGACTGCGGGGAAGCGAGGAGACCCCGGAGCCGAGAGGCAGGAAGAGTGAAGAGAGGAGGAGCAGGAGAAGGCGGGGTTGGGGGTTAGCGAAGGGGACGGCTCACGGCTCCAGGCCCATTCCCTGCAAGAAAAAAAAAAAAAAAAAAAAAAGGCAGCTGCGATGGTTGTTACCCAGGCAGTGAAAATGATGACAAATTCGCTGGATAGGAACGTTCTCTTGAAACGAGTGAGAAAGTGGGGGAAAGAGAGAAACTAGAGGGAATGGGAGCGTTGGTGTGTCTCACGCCCTGGGGACCAACCTGAGAATGGAAGCAAGGAGGTGAGCTTGGGACTTGAACCAAGAAGTCGCCCTCCTTGAAGATGCACAGAGACAGCCCTAGGAAGCCGCTGTCCTGGGGAGCGGAGCTGCGGAGACCAGAAGGGTGGCCTTCGCATGCCCCTAAGACAATTTGGAACATAATTTTGAAAATGACCCGTCAAGCATCTAAAATGCTTTATCATAAGTTTAAATACTTACAAATGGTGTGACTTTTGCCATATTGACATTTTATTGACATTTAAAAATATACTGTTATCTCACTATGAAATATCTCAAGTGGAATCTACTGACTTGATCTCGATCACCATCCATTTAAAAAAATGCATGTAAAAGCCCTTGAGAGCTGGAGGTTTGACATAGCTGCCTTGTCTCCTTCAGCTCCACAGAATTGTATCTAATCATATTTTTTTGGATTGAAAATATTTTATTTTCCAATCGCCTGAGAACACGAGCTCGAGACCAGCCTGGGCAACATGGCGAGACCCTGTCTCTATTTTTAAAATCCAAAAATTAGCTAGGCGTGGTGGCGCATGCCTGTAGTCCTAGCTACTCGGGATGCTGAGGATCGCTTGTGCCCAGGAGGTGAAGGCTGCAGTGAACTGTGATTGTGTCACTGCACTTCAGCCTGGGTGACAGAGTGAGACCCTGTCTCAAAAAAAAAAAAAAGAAAAAATATTTTATTTTATTCATTTTGTTATGTTTCTCTGCCACAAAAATGTGTGTTTATATTGGAATAAATTTTTCTTTGACTTCACATAATATTCATACTTTTATAAATAATTACTTAATAAAAGATAAAATTTTACCACAAAAGTATTTTCAATTAGGCCATATGTCCATGGATGAATATTACTTACATGATTCAAGATCAATTTCATTCTGATTTTTCTTTTTTTTTTTTTGAGACAGAGTCTCGCTCTGTCGCCCAGGCTGGAGTGCAGTGGGTGGTCTCGGCTCACTGCAAGCTCCGCCTCCTGGGTTCACACCTTTCTCCTGCCTCAGCCTCCCGAGTAGCTGGGACTACAGGCGCCAGCCACCACGCCCAGCTAATTTTTTGTATTTTTAGTAGAGACGGGGTTTCACCGTGTTAGCCAGGATGGTCTCGATCTCCTGACCTCGTGATCCACCCGCTTTGGCCTCCCAAAGTGCTGGGATTACAGGCGTGAGCCACCGCGACTGGCCTGATTTTTCATTTTTATGGATACTTTGTTCACATTAAAAGTAGATGGCAAGAGAAGTTTTACAATGGCAATGTCATCCAATTCTTTGAACTACTTCCAAATTATTTGCTGAAAAATCACATGGTGATGTATCATCAAAACTATTTTTTTGTCAGTTGATAATACATCAACTGATAACTTGAGTCCTTTTTCAGTATGTTGAAAACAAAGAAATAAAAGTCATTTGACTTACAAATGATTTGTTACTCAGGTAATAGTGTCATTCTTTCCCATTTCTGGCAATTCAACTAAGAAGGCTTTACCCAGGCAGGGCACGGTGGCTCACGCTGTAATCCCAGCACTTTGGGAGGCTGAGGCAGGCGGATCATGAGGTCAGGAGATCGAGACCATCCCGGCCAACATGGTGAAACCCTGTCTCTACTAAAAATACAAAAATTAGCCGGGCATGGTGGTGTGTGTCTGTAATCCCAGTTACTTGGGAGGCTGAGACAGGAGAATCCCTTGAACCGGGGAGGCAGAGGTTGCAGTGAGCTGAGATCGCACCACTGCACTCCAGCCTGGGCAACAGAGCAAGACCCCATCTCAAAAAAAAAAAAAGGCTTTACCCAGGCATATTAAATGGCTTTTAATTATACCTGTCACTCTTTCACTTAAAGGCAGCTTGTTTAACCAGATGTTCTCAGAAAGGTTTAGGGAAAATAGAAATATTCATTAATTTTAATTATATCTTTGTATTAACATGCTTTTATCAATTGCTTTAAATATATATTTCATAAAATCCTTAGTGGTACAAATTTGTTTCACTCAATTTGTGAAAAATATTTAATGGATAGCCAAGCAGCCAAGTTAGACTTAACTTCTGTCAGAAAGAGCCTGCCTTCCTTTTTCAATTCAAAGAAATGTGTTCATAGGAAGGAACCTTTTTGACAACCTTGTCAAGGAGGCTTGCCATGCATTCGTCACCTGGGGGGATATGGAGGCAGCACCTTCCATATTCCCAGTGAAGCTCTCTGGGCTGTGGTCTCATGGGACTGTCTCCCAGAAGCTACACAACCTTTCACAAGAGTGAGATGGAAGAGGTCATTGCATAAACATTGTCATCCTTCCACCTTTGTTCTACAGCATCACTAAATTGAAAACTCCCATCATAGGCCAAATTACCCCATTTCTAAGGCCAAGCTTTGCCCTTAACAGAAATATGTATAAACCAGAAAGGGAAGCCCCAACCTCACTAACGCTGTACCCGAAAGGGGGTAAGTTTAACGGATGATGTGTTGCCCTGACAATTAGCTGAGAGAAAAAGTGGAATGGAGTAAGGAGAATGGAGTAAGGGACTTTGGAGTAAGGGGCTTTGGAATGGAGTAAGGAGAATGGAGTAAGGGATTTGGCCAAAGGTGACCTTCACCTGCTATTTGTCTCAACTGTTTTCTGGGTCTGGCTACTTTGATAATATAAGTGAGCATCAGGATGACAGAAGGAAAGCCTTCCAGACAGGAAACTATGGCCACCCTGTTCTCTGTCCTATGGGTTGACAGACCGTATGATCCTGGAATATCTCTCCACTGGGTTTCACTGCAGAGCAGGATTAGATGGCAGGCCAGGCAAGCTATTGGGAGGGGCAACATTCTGTAGGGGTTTTAAAACATGAATGTCATGTACCAAAATAAAAACTTTAAAACAAATAGGTGGCTGGGCATGGTGGCTTATGCCTGTAATCCCAGCACTTTGGGAGGCTGAGGCAGGCAGATCACCTGAGGTCAGTAGTTCGAGACCAGCTGGCCAACATGGTGAAACCCTATCTCTACTGAAAATACGAAAATTAGCTGGGCACGGTGGCACATGCCTGTAGTCCCAACTACTCAGGAGGCTGAAGCAGGAGAATCACTTGAACCCAGGAGGTGGAGGTTGCAGTGAGCCGAGATCACACCACTGCACTCCAGCCTGGGCGACAGAGCGAGACTCTGTCTCAAAAAAACAAAAAAACAAAACAAAACAAAACAAAAAAACAAAAACAAAACAAACACAATAACACCTCTTACAGACAGCAGTATACATGATTAGAATACTTTGATAAGCTACTTGATGGGTATTTGTGTAGGTAAAACACCAAGGGACGTACTCAGGTAATAACTAATAATGCCTTCATTAATTATTTAGTTCTTGTTGAATGGGGGTATGCAAGCATGGGCCAGAGCTGAATTGTTCAGGGCCATGAATAGCATCTTTACTGCATGCCCCCCAGGAAGCACCTAGCATCTCTAAACAAATGTTGAACATCTTCTGGAGAAAATGTGATCTTATCTATTCTTACCAAGCAGTAGCATTTCAGAGCAGATTCTAACATCTGCTAGGAAGGTCTGTAGCCCGAATGAGTCAATTCAGTTCTCAGTCAGTTATTAGTAAGCTTATGTGGCATGATTTAAATTGTGGCATCTAATATGTCTGCATCAGTTATCAAGGTAGAATTTTGATATGCATCTGTCTGAATCTGGTATTTAGATCTCTATTAAGAGCTAGAGCAGGAAAAGGGGGTTTTATATATTTAGTCCCCACATTAGTTTTCTAGGGTTACCATAACAAATTACTACAAAATGATTGACTTTAACAGCAGAAGTGTATTCTTTCACAGATGTGGAGGCCAGAAGTCTGAAACTGAAGTGTAAGCAGGGCCACACTCCCTCTGAGGGCTCCTTCCTTGCATCTTCCAGTTTCTCTTGGTGGCTTCTGTTGTTCTCCGGTTTGTGGCAGCATCACTCCAATCTCTGCCTCAGTCTTCCCATGGCCTTCTTCCTTGTGTCTCTTCCTCTGTGTCTGTGTGTCTCAAATCTCCTTCTCCTTTTTCTTGTGACATCAGCTGTTGGATTTTAGGGTGCATTGCAAATCTAGGAAGATCTTATCTGGAGATCCTTAACTTAATCACATCTACAAGGAACCTATTTCCAAATAAGATCAGGGTTGAGGTTCGGACATATTTTTCTGGGAGACACCATCCAGCCCATTACACTCCCTAGACTCAAACATCTCATTAATGAGCAGAGACTACTGAGAAATGCATAATGACTGTCATTTGTGAAGCACATGACATGTGTACATTGAGGCTTTGGATGTGTCCAGAATGTAGGCTGCTAGGCATTTGCAATTGGGACACTCAGGGCTTTGACCTTGGCAGTTGGTAGCAGTGCTTGCATCATGCTGTGTAACTTGTTTTGACTGCTGTGCTTTTTAAAAAAAATTATCTTTTTTTGTTTTTGTGGAGATGGGGGTCTCACTATGTTGCCCGGGCTGGTCTCAAACTCTTGGCCTCAAGCAGTCTTCCTGCCTTGGCCCCCAAAGTGCTGGGATTACAGGAGTGAAAAAAATTATCTTTTTATTGACTTACACATATCATAGGTGGATAGTTTGATAAGTTGTTTTTTGTTTGTTTGTTTTTTGTTTTTTTTGAGACAGAGTCTCACTCTATTGCCCAAGCTGGAGTGCAGTGGCATGATCTTGGCTCACCGCAACCTCCGCCTCCCCAGTTTAAACGAGTCTCCTGCCTCAGCCTCCCGAGTAGCTGGGACTACAGGCGCATGCCACCATGCCCAGCTAATTTCTGTATTTTTAGTAGAGACGGGGTTTCACCATGTTGGCCAGGATGGTCTCGATCTCGTGACCTCGTGATCCGCCTGCCTCAGCCTCCCAATGTGCTGGGATTACAGGCGTGAACGACCATGCCCAGTCTAGTTTGATGCATTTTTACAAACAGAACACTTATGTAACCAGCACCCAAATCAAGAAATAGAACGTTACCAGCATCCCAGAAGCCTTCCGTGCCAGTCACAACCTGCCAACTAATAGCCTGAGTTCTAATAGCATAGGATTTGTTTTTGCTTGCTTTTATAATTTATATAAATGTAATCATACAGTATAAACTTCTCTGTGTCTGAATTCTTTCACTCAATCTTATATTGCTGGGTATGGTGGCATGCAGCTATAGTCCCAGCTACTCAGGAGGCTGAGGCTTGAGCCCAGGAATTCTAGGCTGCAGTGAGCTATGGTTGCAACATTGCACCTCAGCCCTGGGCAACAGAGCAAGACCCTGTCTCAAATAAAAAAAGATGAATGAGAACATTTCAGTATACAGTATAAGCTTCTTAAGTATTAGGGAGCAGCACAATTTTACTGTGTTCCTTGTTTTCAAGCCAGGAGGTCAGGACTTTAAACCGAGGCTCTGCATATTTTTCAGAATAGCAGTGAGTGTTAGTGGCAGGTGTCTCTAAGTGGTATAAGATAAACTATCCCCAAGTTCTGCTCTTCTTTTGTGTTGCTATAAATTATCTTCAGGGCAGAGAGAGGGAACTATAGAAGAACTAAGTTAATTCCTGTAACTTGCCCACAGTTTCAAAAGAAACGCCCACCATGTGACTTCAAATGGTTCTGGAATTGTTACTGATATAAACTCTTAACTATTTTTCTAAATGTTGAGGACCCACATTGTGGCTTCACCCACAAAAGGATAGTAGGTTTTATTATGAAGAAAACAAGTAAAAAAGAACGACGTTTCTCATCACAGAGAGAATGGCACCTTCTCAGTTTGTGGTAGAGAGATCTATATTATCAAAAACCCAAGACTAATTGTTCTTACAGAGGGGAATAAAGATGAGGAACACATTTCAGAGAAGTCTATAACAGAAACAGTGTCTGAATTCCAGTGAGGTCCAATAGAGGAAGAGAAGCTAGATTTCAAAAAAAAAAAAAAAAAAAAAAACAGAATGAGTTTTTTTAGGAGTAGCCAGCATCCAGGAAAATTTGAGAAGTCCTCCTAGATCTGCCTAGAGCAGGGCTGCTCAGTAAGAACATTGTAAAAACTATGGGATGGCACCTGAATATTCCAAAGAATAAATCCTTTTTTTTTTTTTTTTGAGACAGAGTTTCACTGTTGTCACCCAGGCTGGAGTGCAATGGCACAATCTCCACTCACTGCTCACCTCTGCCTCCCAGGTTCAAGCGATTCTCCAGCCCCAGTAGCTGGAATTATAGGCACCTGCCACCACGCCTGGCTAATATTTGTATTTTTAGTAGAGAGGGGGTTTCACCATGTTGGTCAGGCTGGTCTCAAACTCCTGACCTCCGGTGATCTGCCGTCCACCGCCTCCCAAAGTGCTGGGATTACAGGCATGAGCCACCTCACCTGGCCAAGAGTAAATCCTTTTTTTTTTTTTTGAGATGGAGTTTCACTCTCGTTACCCAAGCTGGAGTGTAATGGTGCGATCTTGGCTCACTGCAACCTCCGCCTCCCGGGTTCAAGCTATTCTCCTGTCTCAGACTCCTGAGTAGCTGGGATTACAGGCATGCGCCACCACGCTCAGTGAATTTTTGTATTTTTAGTAGAGACGGGGTTTCTCCATGTTGGTCAGGCTGGTCTCGAACTCCCGACCTCAGGTGATCCCCACACCTCGGCCTCCCAAAGTGCTGGGATTACAGGTGTGAGCCACCACGCCCGGCCGTATAAAACCTTTTATAAGATAAATTTCAAAGAAATGAAAATCTAAAATGAAATTCTCTTGCCCTTATCAGTTAAAGTCCAAAATCCCCAAATTTAAATCCTTTCAGAGGTGAGAGATCAAAGATATGAAAATCTAAAATCAAAGTCCAAAATCTGAAGTTTTAAAATTAAGCTGAAGTTTGAATATATTCAAACTTCGGATCCTGCTCAGTCTCACAATGGGATGATAACTAAAGTGCTTACAAAAGTGTAGACAGATTTAGAATGAAAGACCAGAAAGATCAGTGTAAAATACTAGAAAAAAAAATCATTGTGTGAACTTTCTTGTGACCCAGGAAATGCCTGTGCCTAAGGGAATACCTGAGAAATTCATGGAATTTGGTCTCTAAAGGCAAGCACAGGAAAGACGAGATATATTAAAGTGTAGCCAGAGAGGACAAAAACAGAACAAGTCCAGGCCTGGGATCAGTGCTAGACAGATGGAAGACCTCCTGGTGGGAGTTTCCAGCTCAACAAGGTGAAGATGGGCAAGGCTTGGCTGAACAGCGATTGCTTTGAACAGACACAGAATTAATGATTTTATATCTCTCATTATGGGAAATCCCATCAGAAAAAAATCTAGAGGATTATGTTAAGAAAAAACAATTATTGGAAAATAAAACTGGTTTTATATGAAATAAATGGACTGACTTGAACGAAAGGTTAAACTGACACAAAACTGGGCCTTCCTGAAAGAAATAGGGGAAAGTCAAGAGAAATAAAACACTAGAACAATATTCCACAATTGCAGAAAAAGATGTCACAAGAATAAATAGTATTCAAGGGATTGGCACTTTTCAAAATCTATGACAGTGTCTTGAGAAGTAAATGCAGAGAGATTGGTCCTTACCAGGCCCCTAGGGCCACAGATTTCAGAAGCACACATACAGCTTTAGTTCAGGATTCTGCCAAAGGGATCCCCTAGTTGGAGCAAATGGGGGATGAAGGGGAAATCTTTCTCATGGAGACAGTTTTCACAGGCCTAAGCACCTCCACAGCAAAAGGCAATGGAATGATACCAAAGATGCTGCCCTGGGGCTCAAAAGGAAATGGATATAAAGAGGTTTGACTATTCTAATTGCAAAAGAAAGAAAGGCACCTCAAGCAAGAAGTCCTGGTGGCTGAAGCTGCCTTTGTTGAAATTTGCTAAAGTTAGCCTGAAGGTGGTGAAGTCTTAAATGCCACTGAGAGGAAACCATATGTGCAGACCTCCCCACACCTCCCAACACGCACTTGCATAACGGCAAAGTAATCTCAAGGGGAGCTCTGACCTTACTGGGTTTAGGGAGACTCCAGAACCCAGTCTAACTGGCATCCTGGCAGAATGGAAATGATTTTCTTGATCAATGTCTTTCTCTGACATCCTCTGGGTCTCTCCTATGGTTGGCAGTACTCCTATAAGGGTTTGGGAATACAGTTTTGATAGTCAGAACTGCTCCAAGAGCTAGGGATTTGTTGAGTGTGGAGCTGACAAAGCGTTACTCTCTTGGGTTCAACTCGTTAGCTGTTTGGATGCTTTTAAGGTGAGGTTTATGAGAGACTTGGCCACCAGCACTTACAAAGTACAAAAGAAACCGCACTCATTTCCACCAGAGAAAGGCCAGACTGCGGCCACTGAAGGAACCTAACTCTACCCAGACACTCAGAACACCCTGACCTGATCGTGAAAAGGCATCGGAAAACCCAAACAAGGAACAACTCACAAAAAAGGAGGGAAGACTGTACTCAAAAAAAAGTCAGGCCGGGTGTGGTGGCTCACGCCTGTAATCCCAGCACTTTGGGAGGCTGAGGCAGGCAGATCACAAGATTAAGAGATCAAGACCATCCTGGACAACATGGTGAAACCCCGTCTCTACTAAAAATACAAAAAAATTAGCTGGGCGTGGTAGCGCATGCCTGTAGTCCCAGATACGTGGCCAGCTGAGGCAGGAGAATAGCTTGAATGTGGAAGGTGGAGGTTGCAGTGAGCCAAGATCGTGCCACCACACTCCAGCCTGGGCGACAGAGCAAGACTCCGTCTCAAAAAAAAAAAAAAAAAAAAAAGTCATAAGAGGAAAAGAAAGACTGTGGAAATCTTCCAGATCTGCACCATCCAAGATGGTAGCCACTAGCCACATGAGCACGTGTCAAACCCCCTCATTTCATAGCTAAGGAAATTGAAATGAAGATCTAGAAAGGTTAAGTAATTACCCAAGAAGGTAGAAGTATTTAAAAAAATTAATTGACAAAATTTTTAATCAGTTTTAGATTTACAGAAAAATTGAGTGGAAAGTACAGAGAGTTCCCATATGCCATCCCTCCCAATTTCCCCTATTATTAACATCTTGCACTGGTTTGGCACATTTCTTATAATTGATGAGCTAATATTGCTGCATTATTGTTAACTAAAATCGGTGGTTTACATCAGGGTTCACTCCTGTTGTTCATTTTATGATTTTTGACAAATGTATGGTGACATATACACCATTACAGTATCTAACGGCATAGTTTCACTGCCTTCAAAATCCCCTATGCCCTCTATTCATCTCTCACCCCTCCCCACAAATCCCCAGAAAATCTTTTAACTGTAGTTTTGCCTTTTCCTGAATGTCCTACAGCTGGAACCATACAGTATGTAAACTTTCAGATTAGCTTCTTTCATTTCACAGCATGCATTTGAGGTTCCTTCCTGTCTTTTCGTGGTTTGACAGCTCATTTCTTTTCAGAGTTGAATAATACTCCATTATGTGGATGCACCATTGTTGGTTGCTCCATTCACCTGCTGAAGGATATCTTGGTTATTTCCAAGGTTTGGCAATTAAGAATAAAGCTGCTGGCTGGGCACGGTGGCCCTCACCTGTAATCCCAGCACTCTGGGAGGCCGAGGCAGGTGCATCACCTGAGGTCAAGAGTTCAAGACCAGCCTGGCCAACATGGCGAAACCCCTGCTAAAAATGCAAAAACTAGCCGGGCATGGTGGTGGGCACCTGTAATCCCAGCTACTCGGGCAGCTGAGGCAGGAGAATCGCTTGAACCCAGGAAGCAGAGGTTGTAGTGAGCCAAGGTCGTGCCGTTGCTCTCCAGCCTGGGCGATAGAGCAAGACTCCATCTCAAAACAAAACAAAAGAAAACAAAACAACAAGCTGCTATAAATATCTGTGTGCAGGTTTTTGTGTGGACATAAATACCAAGGAGTTCAATCAGTTGTTGGCTTGTGTGGTAAAAGTGCATTTAGTTTTGTGAAAAACTGCCAAACTTGTCTTCCAAAGTGACTGTACCATTTTGCATCCCTGCTAGCAATGAATGAAAGTTCCTGTTGCTTCACATTCTGTCCAGCATTTGGTGTTTTCTATGTTCTGGAGCTGGCCATTCTAATAGCGTGTAATGGTGTCTTATCATTGTATTAATTTGCATTTCCCTGATGACATATGATGTTGAACATCTTTTCATGTGCTTATTTGCCATCTGTGTATCTTCTTTGGTGAGATATATTCAGTCTTTTTTTTTTTTTTTTTAGAGGCGGTGTCTTGCTATGTTGCCCAGGCTGGTCTCAAACTCCTGGGCTCAAGCAACCCTCCCGCCTCAGCCTCCCAAAGCGCTGGGACTACAGGTGAATCACCACACCCAGCCTATGCAAAGTCTTTGGTCTTTTTTAAAAATCAGATCGATTGTTTATCTCATTTAATTTTCACAACAGCCTTCTGAAGTTGCCCTGAGATGGAATATTATCCCAATTTTATAGGTAGCAGGGGGACCGGCGGGGCGCAGAGTTAAATGGCTTGCCCAAGCTCATAAGTAGACACACCTAGATGGCTGGCCTGCTGCTTCCTGGTTCTGTTCTCCTTTGGCTCATTCACCAGGTGGCCTATCCCCAGCCCCCACCCAGTTTTGTTGAAAGCAGCTGAGGACAAGATAGCAAAGTTCTGATAATCCCAGGCAGGCTTCCTGGAATCAGTGTGGGGGAGCTGGGGAACACCCCAGAATAGTGCCAAGACCTTGCTGAGGACTCCACCCACAGGAAATCCCCTGGTCTGTGGCGCCTCTGATGACAGATTTGACCAACTGCCCTGAAGTGTGTGATACAAGGCCTGCTCAGGACTGTTTCCTGGGTGCTTCTTGGGGCCAGGCCATGGGCTGGACGTGAGACAGTGGGTGGAAGTGGGGTGGAAATTCTACTAATTGCTATGGCTTTTGCTTCTGGGGAATTCCACTCTCACCCCATAGCCCTCTGCAGCCATCACAGTAAGCCTGCTTTCTTTAAAAGTAGGAAGTCACTGACACCTGTCACCCTCTATGTCTTAATTTTCCCCATTTCTTTCCCCATCGAACTCAGGAACCATAATCAAGAATTATCATGAAAGACCCTGTTAGTTCCAGTTTCCAGATGAGTAGAAAGTATCGCAATTTTTTGTTATGTTTTAATTAATTGTTAAGTATCTAAACAACGTAAAACTGATTCTCCCTGTAAAACTTGGACCTTACACATAAAGTCCCATAGGACCAGGCCGGGCGCAGTGGCTCACACCTGTAATCCCAGCACTTTAGGAGGCTGAGGCGGGTGCATCACCTGAGGTGAGGAGTCCAAGACCAGCCTGGCCAACATGGTGAAACCCTGTCTCTACTAAAAGTACAAAAATTAGCCGGGCATGATGGCAGGCACCTCTAATCCCAGCTACTCGGGAGGCTGAGGCAGGAGAATCACTTGAACCCGGTAGGTGGAGGTTGCAGTGAGCTCAGATCGCGCCACTGCACTCCGGTCTGGGTGACAGAGGAATACCCTGTCTAAAAACAAACAAACAAAAAAAACCTCCTGCAGGATCAGACAGCACCTACTCTATCTCCTGGTAACCAGGCCTGCCTGTAAAACAGGACCAGTGGAGGTCTCTTGCTTTCCCATCTTCTCTTCCCGCTGCCCCTTCCCTGGACCTAAGGGTGCGCACAAAGGCAACAATTGTCAGGAAAATGGATCCAGAAATGTAGCAGGCTCGGGAGTCTCTCGCAAGAGAATTCTGGCGTCCCAGTTTCCAGGGACTGTGATCTGGAAAGGGAAGTGCCACTAAATGCAGAACTTTTTGTCCCAAGGGAAGGATCCAGAGGGGACCAGAGTAGGACATCATTGACCTGGATTTAAGGGCAATGTTGCTGGGATCCTTCTCCCCTCTCTCACTAAACTCGAAGCTGTTACCAGGTTTCCCTTTAATTTACTGACATATGGAATACAGTGTCTTTATGCATAGAGAATGAAAAGCATTGTTACAAAGGTTATTTCCCTTCACTGCATGAATAAGATCATACTGTATGTATTGTGCTTCAGCTTGCTTTTGTTCACTTAACTCTGCAGTGGGGATTTTTCCACGTAGCTCTATGTTTTTGTTTTCAACTATGGCTTAGTATCCTGTGGGTGTGATTACACTCTAGTTCAGTTAAAGATAAGCACTATTGGTTTAGTACAGGTTAGGTGCTGTAACATAATACATACATTCCTGAAAAACTTTGTATTCTGTAAAACTGCACACTAAAAATAACAGGCTAAAAATAATAGGATTGGGCAGGCCTGAGAAATCTATGCAACTCGGTAATAGAGCACTAATAAAAACAGTAATTGGTGCCTTCAGAGAAAACCTAGACAGCCCAGGCAACAATTCTACTTTGGAAAGTTGCCTCTGGGGATATTAAAACTTGCACAAAACTATAGAGTGGTACTGCTGGTTGCAGGTGCTGAGATGGTGCAGATGGAAGTGGACTCTGGGCCAGGTGGGCATAGGAGGAAGTGCAACCTGCTTCCTAGGATGAGCCTTTCTGGGAAGCAAACCCAGGTGCAGGCATGCATTTGCAATTTTCTTAAAATAGAGCTGAAAGGGCTCTTACCTAAGCAAAAGCCAAGTTGAGGGCTTTTCCCTTTCTTGTTGAAGGTTAGAATTCTACTCCTGCTACTTTAGCTCTTCTTGCTAGGAAAAAATCCATATGAACCCACCCAACTTTCACTTTATAAGCACTTAATTTCCCTATTTATTAGCTGTGGATGAGTTCTTATAGGAACATGTGTTGTAGAAGAATAGATGGTAGACTAGAACATAGTATATGCTCAGTAAATATTTGTATAGGAAAAGAGGAAAGGAAGGAAAAAGGAGAAAGAGAAAGAAAAGAGGGAAGGAGGGAGGAAGGAAGGAAGAAGAGAAGGAAGAAAGGAAAGAAAGAAAGAGGAAAGGAGGGAAAGACTAAGAATAATTTTCTTTTTTTTGGGATGGAGTTTCACTCTTGTTGCCCAGGCTGGAGTGCAGTAGCACGATCTCTGCTCACTGCAACCTCCGCCTCCCGGGTTCAAGTGATTCTCCTGCCTCAGCCTCCTGAGTAGCTGGGATTATAGGTGTGCGCCACCATGCCCAGCTAATTTTTTGTATTTTTAGTAGAGACGGGGTTTCACCATGTTGGTCAGGCTGGTCTTGAACTCCTGACCTCAGGTGATCCAGCTGCCTCAGACTCCCAAAATGCTGGGATTACAGGTGTGAGCCATTGCGCCCAGCCAAGAGTAAGAATAATTTAAGAAAATAGACAATTGGTTAAGAGTGCCTACTTGACATCTTCAAGTTCAGTCACTCCTAAATGAGAGGCCATGGTAGATCGCTGAAGGCTCTCAATGACATATTTGCTGGTCTGAGAAAAAATAAAGACTATGCATGTGGGTGGAAAACGTTTGTTGAAGGATATCTTTATTCTGAGATTATAGTTTGCTTTTTGTTATGAAAATGTCCTTTTGTCTAATATCCAGCATCCATAAGAACTTAAACAAATTTACAAGAGAAAAACAACCCCATCAAAAAATGGGCAAAGGACATGAACAGACATTTTTCAAAAGAAGACATACATGCAGCCAACAAACATATGAAAAAAAATCTCAACATCACTGATCATTAGAGAAATGCAAATCAAAAACCACAATGAGATACCATCTCACACCAGTCAGAATGGCCATTACTAAAAAGTCAGGCCAGGCGCGGTGGCTCATGCCTGTCATCCCAGCACTTTGGGAGGCCAAGGCGGGTGGATCCCTTGAGGTCGGGAGTTCGAGACCAGCCTTACCAACATGGAGAAACCCTGTCTCTACTAAAAATACAAGATTAGCCAGGTGTGGTGGCACATGTCTGTAATCCCAGCTACTTGGAGGCTGAGGCAGGAGAATCGTTTGAACCCGGGAGGCGGAGGTTGTAGTGAGCCGAGATCGCGCCATTGCTCTCCAGCCTGGGCAACAAGAGTGAAACTCTGTTTAAAAAAAAAAAAAGTCAAAAAATAACAGGTGCTGGTGAGGTTGTGGAGAAAAGGAAACACTTATACACTGTTGGTGGGACTGTAAATTAGTTCAACCATTGTGAAAAGCACTGTGGAGGTTCCTCGAAGAGCTAAAAACAGAACTACCAAATGACCCAGTAATCTCATTACTGGGTATATGCCCAGAGGAATATAAACCATTCCACCATAAAGACACATGCATGTGTATGTTCACTGCAGCACTATTCACCATAGCAAAGACATGGAATCAACCTAAATGCCCGTCAATGACAGATTGAATAAAGAAAATGTGGTACATATACATCATGCAATACTATGCAGCCATAAAAAAGAATGAGATCATGTCCTTTGCAAGAACACGGAGGAGCTGGAGGCCATTATCCTTAGCAAACTAATGCAGGAACAGAAAACCAAATACCGCATGTTCTCACTTGTAAGTGGAAGCTAAATGATGAGAACTCATGAATACAAAGAAGGACATAGATGCTGGGGTCTACTTGAGGGTGGAGGGTGGGAGAAGGGAGAGGAGCAGAAAAAATAATTATTGGATACTAGGTTTAATATCTGGGTGATAAAATAATTTCTACAACAAACCCCTGTGACATGAGTTTACCTATATAACAGACCTTCACATGTACCCCCAAACCTAAAAAAGAAGTTAAAAATAAATATATACGGCCAGGCGCGGTGGCTCACGCCTGTAATCCCAGCACTTTGGGAGGCCAAGGCGGGCGGATCACGAGTTCAGGAGATCGAGACCATCCTGGCTAACACGGTGAAACTCCGTCTCTACTAAAAATACAAAAAATTAGCCGGGCGTGGTGGCGGGCGCCTGTAGTCCCAGCTACTCCGGAGGCTGAGACAGGAGAATGGCGTGAACCCCAGGGGGGCGGAGCCTGCAGTGAGCCGAGACCGTGCCACTGCACTCCAGCCTGGGCAACAGCGAGACTCCGTCTCAAAAATAAAAAATAAAATAATAAATAAATAAATATATACATACATAAATAAAACGTCTTTCTTTGTGAAACAACAGTGAAAGCAAATAGTATTTCTTTATCTCTCTCTCTCCATACATAGATCCTTATTTGGCAAAATACAAAGTTGCCAGCCTTTTGTTGGTCCTTAAATTTGTTGTGTGTGTCGAGTTTTGCTGATCTACCAAATGGCAAAAGTCTCGAAACCACTGAGTTTCGGGCCATCTCTGATCTTCAAGCAAAATGGTCCCTAAACCATCCTGGAAAAATGGTGTCTCATCTATCCCTCAGATCCTGAACTCCTTCAGGGCTTCCCAAGGGGAAATCCTGTCCTTCAATCTTCCAGCCTCAAGGTTAAATCTATATAGGATGTTCTCTCTAAATGTAGTTCTATTTCAGAAAGAAAGGTTACTTTAAATCTTCTTTGAATTTCATGCTATGGAAGCTCCTTTCAAGTATAACTATGAATTTTTTACCATGTAAATGGGGGAAATTTGGAGGATCAAGACCCAGAGAAGGGAGTGGACCCCTGGGTCTACTGCGGAGTCTCGCTCACTAGCCCCCAGTTCTCTGAGGCTCTCTTTTGCTCTCCCTGGACTGGCTTTATGGGAACTTTACCTTCACAAATGGGAGGCCAGGGGAGAAGCTGGAGCCGAGGCTCAGGTGCCTCTCAACATGAACTTGGTCTCTATGGGCCAAGGGCACACACCCAGATTTCTCTCTGTTAAGAGGAACTGAAGCCAGGCCTGGGGTTCTCCCTAATAGGCTGTGGCCCAGGGCACTGGGCTGAGGCACTCTGGGCTGGCTGCCAAGATCTGCCACCGTCTGTGGGCTCACCCAACTATTCTTGGGGGTAGTGCTGGCAGCAGTAGTTTAATGAGATCACCTCCCTTCTGTAGGCATCCGTGTGTTCACCTGCAGTGGAAGAGGCTGATCCCATGATCTCTAAGTCTTCTTCTAGCATTAACATCCCCTGGCCCCAGCTTCACCCACCTTAACTAAAGGCTGTCATCCAGCGATGGGCTCTGATAAAAGCACAGGACTTTAAAAATCCAGTTTCAAAGTCTTGCACATGTAGAGAAAGAGAGGGAAACAGACTTCAAATGATTTATGAAGTATAAAAGCAAAGTGCAAAACAATAATATGTTACCATTTGGGGTAAAAGGGTATACAAAAAATATTTATACATATTAGTATGTATATGCAGATCTGGGCAAGGTGGTGTGTGCCTTAGTCCCAGCAGCTTGGGAGGCTGAGGTGGGAGGATTGCTTGAGTCCAGGAGCTTGAGGCTGCAGTGAGCTATGATCATGACAGAGTGAGACCCCTTCTGTACAAAAAGAAAAAGAAAGAATGTATATGTAAAGAATAATTTTTGGAGTGATACGTCTGATGTATCCTGGTAGCCTTGAGGTAAGGTGGCCGTGCTGGGGGAAAGGGATGGGAGAGAGGTTTTTCATTGTATAAACTTTTGTACATGAATTTTGAACCAATAAAATTATGAAAATCAAGTTACAAAAAGCCCTGGCTCAGCCATTTACTAACTACTCGTGTTTGGGCCAGTGATAGAAGTTCTGATTTTAGTTCCTCATCTAGAAAATGAAGATAATCGTCCCATAATGTTGTAAGTGAAAATTAAATGAGAAAATAATATATAAAAAGCTGAGCACAATGCCTGGAGCTTAATAAAGATTCGCTGAGTAGAAGCTAATTAGTTATGAGACATATAAGATTTCAGCTCCCTGTCTTGAAGAAGCTCAGAAACAAATTGGGAAGACAATGTCAGCAAGGAACAATAACCTTTGTGTAGGGCATGGAAGTTTACAAGGAGATATCTTCCTTCTTAGCCCACTTCCTCTGCACAACAGCCTGGTGCGGGGCAGTGGATGCTTTGCCATCCTTGTTTTGCAAATGAGGAAACTGGAGCTGACCTGTTTAGGGTCACACCTATGATGGCAGAACGTGTCTAGAATTCGGGTCTTATAATTTTCTGACTTGACCTCTTTGTGGTCATGCTTCCCTGGCGTGAAGGCCATTCTGCACTGGCTGTGGGGTCAGGTTGGCAGAGACGCCTGGAACCTCTCGCATGGGCAGGTGCTTGTGGCAGGCATGGGACTGAGGAAGGCTGACAGACAGCAGCCCCCCTGCAGGGGTAGAGAAGCAGTCAGTGCTTCATTCCTTGAACCCCATTCAGGGGCACTCTCCCTTACTCCCGGTCCACTATCATCATTTGCATTTCCTACATGCTGCCCCTCTCACTTCCTATTTCCACTCTGGGTGTTACATAACCAGTTTTCTCAACTTTAAAAGAGGCGTGTTGGATTAATCAGATTCTTTGAATCCTGGGATGCTAGGCTGCAAAAATATGGAACTTCCCCTTCAATGTTACTCCATGTCCAATATTACAGAGAGGAACATGGAGGGCTGGAGAATGAGAGTGATACCATCAAGGGTCAGCACTGCTTAGTACAAGGCTGACACTTGAACCCAGAGCTTCTCTCTAGGACAAGTAGCAATAGAGGTTCTCAAGGTTTTTAGCTTCGGCAAATAGCAACAGAATCTTTTCTGTGGATTCGTTTGTGTCTCTGCATACGCATATGCAGAGGGAGTTGGGGTCAACAGACAAGTGTTGGTATTAACTTGCCAGGCAGGGTGCTAAATACAAGTCATTGAAACCTCCCTAAGATTCAGAAAGGTAAACATCATTCTCCCCATACAGATGAGGAGATGGAGGTTCAGATAGCCTAAGTAAACTGCGCAGGGTCTGACAGCTGACGAGATAAAACCAGAATTTGAACCCACATCCATCTGCTTTCTTCACAATAAAGCTCAGAACTGGAAACAGAACATGAAGTTTCCCATCACACTCTCCTCACAGGTTTTGCACATGAAATCACTGTGTGGGGAGGCGAGTGGAACAGGTACCTTTTTTTGTGTCTGATCGAGACATCACGAGTCAGCCTCTGAGCCTGGGGACTGCCAGCGAAATTCCCCTTGAAGGTGAATGTACAGAGTTCCTGGATTAATGAAAGATGAAACTAAGAGCTGGTTCTCAGAATTGAGCGTGAGCCAGTGTGATCTAGGATGCTCTGAGGACCACAACTCACTTGTCACAGGCAGCACCTTCCACAGCCAGTGGTCATGTCCTGTGCTATGAGTTCTGCCACTCAGGTTGCAGAAAGCTGACCAAGGGATTGGCACCCAAGCCAGAAAGTAGTCTGACTCCTTCGAGGTGGCTTGGCAAAACACTCTGTTCCATAGGGGTCTTCCCCATGAGACAGTGACACGGTGACTCCATCGGACACTTTCTCTTGGAAAGTGTGAGTACAAGATGTACACTGAGAAGTGAGTCACTATCGCTTGGAGCTGTGCCCCGAGAAAGGATGAGCGATGGTGGTGGGTTTCTAGGCAGGCTGAACTGCAAAGTACTAACTTCAGGGGAACCACTAAGCACAGTTGCTGGGTCTCCTCCAGGGATAGTTTAGGGTCCTCATAAATCCTCATGTAACCCAAGACTCCCCCATTTCTTCAGCCTTCAGGGAGCATGCTTTGTTTTCGTGTCCTAGTAACATCAACTGGCATTCCCTATCCCCTGTAGCTCTAGGGACCCCCAGCGTTTCCAAGGAGCACCCAGGAATGCTCACACATTATGGTGGTCTTGATACCTCTGCCAGCTGCCTTATGCTCCTCAGCTCATATCTTGCTGTGGTAAAGCAAGAAAAGGTAAGGAATTGAGGAGGTGTGCAAGGGGGTGATCACAATGACTGGCCATGAAATTGAAGGTGGGTAGTAAGAAGGGGAGAGGGAGTGAGGCCAGTGAAGAAGAGATAATATCAATGGATGGCAGGATCTGGTGGGGTCCAAGGCTGAGTGGAATTGAGGTTCTAGAGGGGTCAGCTGGAAAGGCAGGAGGTGGGATTAAAGAGTGGCATGCCTGGCCAGGTGAGGTGGCTCACGCCTGTAATCCCAGTACTTTGGGAGGCTAGTGGATCACGAGGTCAGGAGTTCGAGACGAGCCTGACCAACATGGTGAAACCCTGTCTCTACTAAAAATGCAAAAAAATTAGCTGGGCATGGTGGCGGGCGCCTATAATCCCAGCTGCTCAGGAGGCTGAGGCAGGAGAATAGCTTGAACCCAGGAGGCAGGGGTTGCAGTGAGCTGAGATCGCACCACTGCACTCCAGCCTGGCGACAGAGCAAAACTCCGTCTAAAAAAAAAAAAAGAGCCGGAAATTGAGGTTACAGTGGGATTGAAATTATTGATAATAACAAGGTCTAGTGTGTGGACCATGGGGGAGGTGGATACAGTGTGGCAGGGGAAAAGAGGTGTCCCAAGAAGCGTGCTTACTGTATTTTAAAATCTCCAAGACAAAAGATAGGACTGGAGAGAGTGACAGTGGGCTAGGAGCTGAAATCATGGAGAAATGATGGAGCATGAGCCAGGCCAAGAAGAATTCACATATGCCTTAGGGATAACCGTCTCTTTTCTGAATTCTGATTTTCAGATAGATTGATAGGAAAGGCATGGACTTGCCCTGTGCTTATCTCCTGGAAGAAATCAGGTGACAACCTGATAGTTCACACTGATAGCCGCTTGCTGTGCTCTCACAGGTCTCTCCTTGAGGCAAGGTCTCTTTTGACTTTTGCAGGAGGAAAGAAGAAGTAAGGTGGTTAAATAGAAATTATCAGCATTCTTGCCCCTGCTCTACACTGTATCTGAATTCAGTGTATCCCATGGCAGACAAAACACTCCCATTTCCACCATGGAGCTTCGACCTTAGAATAAATATGTGTAAGGCAAGAAGAGCCTTAAGTAAAGAAGGCTGCTCTTTACTGATGCCAAGGTTTTGTTTGTTCCCTTGTTTGAGGCCCCAGACCATTTATACCCGGGATGTAGTAAGATGCAGGATGGGTGAGAGGTGCATTTTTTTCTGTAAAGTGAGAGGAGAACAATTGTGAGGCGGGACAGTAGGCAGATCTAGACAGAAATGAGCACTGTGGAAGCTGAAGTCAGGAAAGGGATGCCTTGAAGCTGCCCGGGCTGGCATATTTCTTGGGAAGTGTTTGAAGATCACTGGCCTATTTGGCACTGGTTTTCTGGGTCTCAGTTTTCCTTTCTATAAAATTAAGAGGTGCCACTCCATGATCCCTAAACTGCATTTCAGCTTTCAATATTTAATTCCACGCATTAGGCTGGGCTCCTGGCTAATGTGTGCATCTGCCGAGGTCATTCCTGTCTCCTAGGCAAGTGTGAACAGACTGGGCAATGCCCCCACTTCTCAGTGTGTTGTATCCCACCTGTCTCTTTCCCTAGTAGCAGGTCGTTTTTTTTGTTTTTTTGTTTTTCTCTCTGTCTCACGATATCACCAAGTGGCACTACCACGTCCTAGCCTAGTGATGTTGGGCAAGTTAACTTAACCTCTCAGAGCTTCAGGTAACAGTGTGCATTCAATAGGAATTCTGCTGCACAGACTCACTACAATATAGGATTTTAAAAAATGCTGAACTATTAAAAGAGGCGGCTTTTGGAGGATGAGATTCTTGAAACTATGTCTTCCATTTCTGTGCTGTTTGAGTTTTTGCTGTGAGCATGTACCTTGCTTTCACAGTAAAATGTGTATTTTAAATGTTATGATTTTGTGTTTTTGACTTAAATGATGCCCACTCAGTATTGCATTATGCTTAATATGCAGCTCGGAGGCTGTGGTCATTACACATGTCTTTGATAACTTTTTATTTATTTTATTTTATTATTATTATTTGAGATGGAGTCTTGCTCTGTCACCCGGGCTGGAGTGCAATGGCGCTATCTCGGTTCACTGCAACCTCCACCTGCCAGTTCAAGCAATTCTCCTGCCTCAGCCTCCCGAATAGCTGGGATTACAGGTGCCTGCCACCACGCCTGACTAATTTTTTGTATTTTTAGTAGAGACGGGGTTTCACCACGTTGGCCAGGCTGGTCTCGAACTCCTGACCTCAGGTGATCCTCCCGCCTTGGCCTCCCAAAGTGCTGAGATTACAGATGTGAGACGCTGCGCCCAGCCGTCTTTGATCCATTTTTTAAATGAAAGAACTGGTTCTTATTTAATAAATAGGGTGAGGATATGAATAGGAGTCAGGGTTGATAAGAAGGCTGGGGTGTTCGCTGTTCTCGAAGGATGTGCCTCCTCTGCAGTACGCACGGTTTTGACTTCCGCCTGGGCAGTGGGAGGGGAGGAACAGAGTCCTTGAGGTGGTGCCAAGGGTGGGGCTCAGGCACGACCGTCAGTGGGGTTCAGGGCTTGGTCTGGGAAGGGCGAGGCAGGAGCAAGCCCTACAAGACAGGAGTGGCTTAGCTGCACTCAGCGCTCGAGGGAAGGAAGCAGCGGGAAGTGGGTGGTTTCAAGTTTTACTTTCAGTTTTCACTCAAAGTCATTTCAGGATGAAACCCATTTAACGGTCAGATCTCTCAGCCAGATTTCTCAGCAAACCTGTGCTCCACCCCACCCAGGTCCTCCAGGTGGAGCTTGCGGGCGGGCGGGGGAAGGTGAGCAGCAGGAATAGAACGTTCTGCAGTGCCTGGCCTGGACCTGGGAGCTGTCCGTCATCCGCATATCTGCAAATTGTCACACCTGGGCTGGGATCAGCTCTACTGCTAGATTCGGGTGAATATGGGCAAGACATTGCACCTCTCTACTCCAGAAATGTGGTCCGCGCTCTTCCAGGTGTCCCCTCAAGTTATTTTCATGGTCTTTACTGTGACCCAAAGGCAATGTTTCTGAAATGTTGACCTGCAGATCCCCTCCCAGAATCCCTTGAGGTGATTGTCCAAATGCAGACTCCTAGGTCACCCCCTGACCCATTGGACCAGTTTCCAGGAGTGGAGTTGAGCATCTTGCTTTTTGATAAACTCTCACGTACTTCAAAGGCTGAGATCCTCTGTCCTAGGGGGTAGAAATTTTACCTTGGTATGTTATACTAATAAGCAACCTGAGCTCAATGGTGGAGCAGGTGCTCCCACCTTCATCCCAGCACTTTGGGAGGCTGAGGCAGGAGGATTGCTTGAGCCCAGGAGTTTGAGACCAACCTGAGCAGCATGGCAAAACCTCGTCTCTAGAAAATACAAAAAAATTAGCCCAGTGTGGTGATGTGGGCCCATAGTTCCAGCTACTTAGGAGGCTGAGGTGGGAGGATCACCTGAGCCCAGGGAGGTTGAGGCTGCAGTGAGCTGTGATCACATCACTGTACTACAGCCTGGGTGACAGAGTGAGACCCCATCTCAAAAGGAAAAGAAAAACCTGAGCTCAAGACACAAACTACACTGCTCAGGATCTGCCAAAGAACCAATCGTAGAGACTTGATTCAAACCCAGAGCTAGGGTGATGGGTGTCCCACTTTGCCTGGGAAAATTCTGGTTTATGCCTGTTGGCATACCTCATTAACAGTAGCCATTTTCCCCACTTGCAAAAGCATCCTGGATTGGATAATACATTTTATGTCTTCCCTATTCAGAGCCCCTAGCCATGACTATACCATACTACTGCCCCTTCAAAAAGGTCAGCTAATGTGGTTCTGGGAACACACAGGATAAAGGGGGCATAACCTGGCTGGGGAGGTAGGTCAGGGGAGACACCTTAGCTATGTATGATTCTCAAATCCCCTCTCTGCCTTTAGGACAGCATTATAGGCAATGGGTACTCTCAAGAAGGACACTGATGAGTAACTGATTTCCATCTCCACTGAAAGCTGCAACCATAGCAGCAATTATGATAATATCTAACACTTACGTAGTGCTCACTATGTGCCAAGCACCATTCTAAGCACTTTGCATATGTCATGGAGATGAGCACAGACCCTCAACAGCAGCCAGAGGAATTGAGCTGGACAGCAAGAACTCTTGCGTGGGAAACTTGTGATGACAATGCACTATTGACCGAAGGCCCAGGAGTCCAGACAGCCAGCCAAGTCACAGGGCAATTTCGGATGTAGCCTTTGTAAACTGTGACCTTTCTGGATGATCTGGAAAAAGTCAACACCAGGATCCTGAGCCTAATATGCAGTGAAAAGGAGCCCGGTTTTCCTTCTCCAGGGACCTTTAAGAACAGAGCTGCCTGCACATCTTGACTAATTTACATCCAGCCCCACCAGGAAGCAGGAGGATGGAGATGACCTCTGAGGTCCCTTTGAGCCTAAGGGGTCTGTGATCATTACAACCACATGTCAAGACCCGGGAGACATTCCCGTTTCCTGCTCTTTCACCTGGGGACCCAGGCTGTGGGGCCCCTTTTGCCTGTGTATTTAGTGGGTCATGACCTTTTCCCTGGGCCTCCAGGTCTCCTCTTTAGCATTCACTCCCACCCACCCACAGGCCCCTGAGCTCTTTCTTTTCTGGGGTCTCCCCTGAGGAGTTTTGGGTAGATGCAGAAAGTAAGCCCTTGTCTTCTCTCTACTTCACCTCTAACACACATCTGGACTTTCCCAGCCATGCCTGGGGCTTTTGCGGCAACCAAACCATTTTAGGGACCTGGAGCAGAACCCGTTCTCCCTAAAAAAGAGTTAAGGCAGCCTCCAAACCTGTCACCTGGAAACATGCGTCCCCTTCAGGGCAGCAGAGACGGTAGTCATGATGGCGGAGGGTGTTGCCCAAACTGGCCAGAGGCGCTGCCCCAGCCAAAGGCAGAGATTCCCCAGTGTGCTTTTTAACCCAGGAGGCTAGTGAAGGGAGTCCCTGGAAGACACTACCCCCACCCCCACATTTCTTATTTAGATCATCCTACATCAGGCAGCTGGAGGGAAGGCACTGGCTGAGGGCCCAGCTGCTTGGCTGGAGCAAAACTGACACTTTTCTTTTTCCCCTCTAGTTGGAGAGAGAGGGGGAGAAAGAGAAGAGAGAAGCGAGGAGAGGACAAGGAACAGAGTGAAAGGAGAGAGGAAAGGAAAACAGTGTGGAAAGGAAAGGATGAAGACGAGAAAAGTGGGAGAACAGGAGAAAGGGGAGAGTGATGCTGCCAGATCCACCAGCATCAACTTAAGGAAACAGATTTTAGGGTAGGGGTTTCATCATGGGCCTATAGGAGATCAAGGGGTGGGGGCAGGGTTGAGGGTGGGGAGGAAGTTACAGTGAACTGTGCTTAGCACAGTTGACTCTTACAGTAGGACCTCAACCCCTCAAAACCCAGCTCTTTGGGGGACTCTAGACAGTCTCTGCGAGGGGGTTCATTGGGTAAAGAGAGAAAGAAAGTGTTACAGCAACCCACAGGCACTGTGCATTCAATTTAGTTCATCCTTTTAAAAGTTACTTATTTATTCTTATAGACAGGGTCTCCCTTTGTGGCCCAAGCTGTAGTGCAGTGGTACCATCATAGCTCACTGCCTCCTTGACTTCTTCAGCTCAGAAGATCCTCCCAGCTCAGCCTCCAAGTAGCTGGGGCCACAGGCATGTGCCATCATGCCTAGCTAATTAAAAAATTTTTTTTTCTTTTTGTAGCGACAGGGTCTCACCATCTTGCCCAGGTTGGTCTTGAACCCCTGGGCTCAAGCAATCCTCCCGCCTTGACCTCCTAAAGTTCTAGGACTACAGGCATGAGCCCCCATGCTCAGCCTAGCTTATACTATTTATGCACCTACTTTTTATATGCCAAGCTCCATAGTAGGTGCTGGGCACATCACAGGTGAATGAGATAAAATCTCTGGCAACATTCTGGGGAGGATGTGCAGTGTGTTCAGTAGGCTGTGTGTGTGTGCATATGTGTGATGGGCTGTGGGCACTGAGACTCCTTCCAGAAGGATAAGAAAATACATATTCGTTTTTATGTATGAGTTAGGGGATCTAAGAGCTGGAAGATCCTTAGAAAGCCAGCTTGTAGGATGGTCCCTAAAAAACATCCAGATGAAAGATTCCTTCTTATATGCTAGCAGATGCCTCAGAGAGGGCAGTACTCCAGCTGATCCCAGGCACAGGGTAGGAGACGAGACATTGGCTCTACTGGTCAGATCAGGAAACCCAAGTAGGAGGAGGCTTAAGAGGCCATCTCCTTCCATCCTCTCTCCAAGGCAGTAATCTCCTACTCAGCTGAAGGCATGCAATATTTGCATGCCACCCCCGGGGCAAGGAAGCTAGCTACCTACAAAAACCCCTCGCTGCAATGGTAAATGCTAATATCCAGAATCTACAAAGAACTTAAACAAATTTACAAGAAAAAATCAAACAACTCCATCAAAAAGTGGGTGAAGGATATGAACAGACACTTTTCAAAAGAAGACATTTATGCAGCCAACAGACACAGGAAAAAATGCTCATCATCACTGGCCATCAGAGAAATGCAAATCAAAACCACAGTGAGATACCATCTCACACCAGTTAGAATGGCAATCATTAAAAAGTCAGGAAACAACAGGTGCTGGAGAGGATGTGGAGAAATAGGAATAATTTTACACTGTTGGTGGGACTGTAAACTAGTTCAACCATTGTGGAAGTCAGTGTGGCAATTCCTCAAGGATCTAGAACTAGAAATACCATTTGACCCAGCCATCCCATTACTGGATATATACCCAAAGGATTATAAATCATGCTGCTATAAAGACACATGCACACATATGTTTATTGCAGCACTATTCACAATAGCAAAGACTTGGAAGCAACCCAAATGTCCAACAATGATAGACTGGATTAAGAAAATGTGGCACATATACACCATGGAATACTATGCAGCCATGAAAAAGGATGAGTTCATGTCCTTTGTAGGGACATGGAAGAAGCTGGAAACCATCATTCTGAGCAAACTATCGCAAGGACAGAAAACCAAACACCACGTGTTTTCACTCATAGATGGGAATTCAATAATGAGAACACTTGGACACAGGGTGGGGAACATCACACACCAGGGCCTGCCATGGGGTGGGGGAACGGGGGAGGGATAGCATTAGGAGATATACCTAATGTAAATGACGAGTTAATGGGTGTAGCAAAGCAACATGGCACATGTATACATATGTAACAAACCTGCACGTTGTGCACATGTACCCTAGAACTTAAAGTATAATTAAAAAAAAAAAAAGGCTGTGGATATTGTTTCCCAAAGTGTGTTCCTCAGGGTATTTAGTTCCTGGTGTTGTTAATAGGCATTCCTTAGGATGGGGAAAAAAGAGTGCCCTGGAAAAATAACATTGGGTTAAATAAAGTTTTTTTCCTTATTATTATTATTTTTTTGGTCGTGGGAGGAGTTTCCTATTTTGGGTATTTTTTTGTTTACTTTTGGTTTTGTCTGCAGGATTTCTCAGAGCTGTTAATATGTCCATTCCTAAGACTTGGATAGTATGAGGTAACTCTGAAACTTGCTTTACCTTATAGCTTTTTTTTTTTTTTTTTTTGAGATAGGGTCTCACTCTGTCACCCAGGCTGGAGCACAGTGATGTGATCACAGCTCACTGCAGCCTCGACTTCCCGTTCTCAAGCAATCCACCTGCCTCAGCCTTCTGAGTAGCTGGGACCACAGGCTAATTTTTTAATTTTTTTTGGTAGAGATGGGGTCCCACTACGTTGCTCAAGCTGGTCTTGAACTGGACTCAAGCAATCCTCCTGCCTCAGCCTCCAAAAGTGCTGGGATTACAGGTGTGAGCCCCTGCGCCTGGCCTCATCAAACTTTTTGAGTTAACAGTATATCGCGCAACTTACTCTGGGATATTCTGCTCCAGTGATGGAAAGAACTTTCCTATGTTGAAGTGAAGAAAAGACTGTGGGTGGGGGACTGGGCGATATGCCCTTCCTGGGAGGTCTGAGCCTCTAGTCTGCCACCCACCTGTTCCTAAAAGCTCTTTGAAAACCCTTCAACTGGATTAAGGCTTTCATTAACTTGCCTTTGTTCTCAGTGATTTGACCTTGGGTGAACTGCTCCATTTCTTTATGGCCCTTCCATTTTCTCCTCATTGAACTGGGATAATGGTCCCCAATGCAGTCCTGTCTTCCCGGGGCCTTTGGAGTCCCCAAAGTGTTTCTGTATGATATTTCCCTGAATTGTTCTGTATTATTTCCTCTGCAGCTTCTGTCTCCCCAGCTGGGTTGAAAGCACCTTGAGGGCAGTGGCCCTTCTTCGGATAGTGGTTCCAGGCTCCCCTAACACGGTGATAAGATGTAAACATCTTGGGGGAACCTCAAGTCTGGGAACTGGATTTGCTTCCCCACTCTGCCACTTAATGGTCACGTGACAAATCACTCAAGCTCCTGGAGGCTTATTTCCTTCTGCTTTAAAACAGTGGGGCTAACTGAGCAGAGGGAAAGTGATTTATAAACTCAGTTTCCATAGAATCCTAGTTATTTTTATTAGTCATTTATCCGACACATGCTAATTGTATTCCAGGCATTGTGGGAGATGTTGCTTCTGGGTCATCCACCTCATCTCTCCTTGTCTCTATTCGCCCATAGGGTGATGATCCTGGAAAATCATTCTTATAACGTCTGTGAGAAGCTCAGCACTCTGAAGAGATACACAGAGACTGTTCACATGAAGGAGTAACGGGTGACATCACATCAGCTCCGGTCCCCCAACCTTCCCTTCCTCTTAGGGGCAGCCATATACACAACCAAAAGCAAGCACACGGGACAAACTACTTTTTATTCTAGAAAGAGAAAAAGGGATTTCTGAACTCAGGTAAACTGGAAGTGAGGGATGTTGGGGGGAAGGGAAGGATCGAGGCAGAAAGGAGGGCCCAGGGATGAATGGAATTGCAGGGCCCAGCGGCAGAGCAGACAGACCCCCAGCACACATGTCAAACCCAAACAAGGGAATGTTTTGAGGCTGTGCGTCCGGCATGCCTCCGTCCCAGCCCCCTTAAGGACCACCCTGGGAAGTTCTCTAGAAAACCCATCCATCACAGACAACAGTCTGCTTTCTTTCCCCGCTGGTTCAACATCCATAGCACAAAAATGTGCTTCACTAATGGAAACCTTGTGCTGGGTTCTTGGAGCATTATGGCAGTGAGCGGCAGAAGAGGAAGTGAGTGTGTTTGAAAGAACACACACACACACCACGCACACACACACACACACGCATACACAGAAACAGGCCCAAGCCCCCTGTCCACAAATTCATGCACACAACCATTCACATAACTGTGGATACACAGAGGTGAACAGGGAACGCCTCACGACACTGGGACTGTGACAGCAACAACAGCTGATGAAGTCATTGCCCTCCAGCTCCCCCATCACCAAGAAGGGATGGGCGCCTCCCGCTTCTGTGTTTCTCAATGATTCAGTGTGTCTGGCTGGGGTTTTCACTGGCTCTTTCATACATTGTTGGAGAAAAAAAGAAAGAAAGAAGGAAAAAGATCAAATTTCAGTTCCCCTCAATTGCTCTGGGTTTGTGCAACCAAGTGTCATTGTGAGACTTCTGCCGCCCACGTCCTCAAAGGGCCCAGCACGTGGCTCAGTCTGCACCTAGACCGGGGCAATTAGTAGTTCCTTTTTCCTGTCATGAAGGGCAGCCCAAACATCAAAGGTCCCCATGTTGTTACCCTATCAACTGGTTTAGACCACGAGGCTGACTGAAGGCAGAGGCAACCAAGAAGCACTTTTGTATGTGAATAAAAAACAAGTATGGAATGTGGGCCGGGCAGGTGGCTCACGCCTGTAATCCCAGCGCTTTGGGAGGCCGAGGCAGGTAGATCACGAGGTCAGGAGATCGAGACTATCCTGGCTAACGTGGTGAAACCCCATCTCTACTAAAAATACAAAAAAATTAGCAGGGCGTGGTGGTGGGCACCCGTAGCCACAGCTACTCGGGAGGCTGAGGCAGGAGAATGGCGTGAACCTGGGAGGAGGAGCTTGCAGTGAGCCGAGATCGCGCCACTGTACTCCAGCCTGGGCGACAGAGCAAGACTCTCTCTCAAAAACAAAACAAAACAAAACAAATAAAACAAGTATGGAATGTGGAAAGAGCAGAGCCCTGGCCTAAACCTCAGGAGAACTAAGTTCTAGCCCTGGAGGCGCTAGGAACTGGCTGTGTGACCTTAGTCAGGTTACCCAGCCTCTCTGATTCTTAGAGCTGTCTGCTGTAAAATGAACAGGGCAGATAATGACAGTCTCCGAGGCCCTCCATTTCTGACCTTCTGTGATGAGAATGTTGTTCACTGGTTGCTATCTACATGAATGAAGATTTGCGGGGCATGGATAATACAAAACAATGGTGAGCTAACTTTAATGTTTTCTATTTTACTTTGTTTGCCTTTGGAATGTAACCAGAGCACACATTCAGACACTCACAAACTTCCTTCCTTCCCTGCCCCCTTTCCCTGCTCCTCTGTTTGGCCCTCCTGGCCAGGGGTGGGGGTGGAAGAATGTGAGGTTGGCTGGAAAGGCCGAGAGGATGCAGGAAGGTTTCTGGTTGGGGGCACGGAGGTTGTGGGGGAGGGGTGCTCCAGGGACCTGAGAATCGATTAGCTATAAGATCATTTTAATCCCTTCCGCTATCCAGAAAGGTGGGAGATTGTGAATAGCACATTCCTCACGCGAAATACCGTATATCCTTGCCTATGAGAAGCCCCGGGAAAAATAGTAGTGTGTTTAAATGATGAGCCTCAAGGAAAATCATCAGAGAAGTCCTCCTTCTTGTCAATTGTATATTTCAGTTTTCCTTTCCAGCCAAGATAGGGCCCCTGCAAAATCACGATTCCTAGGGCAGTCGTCATGCTTGTGGGGGTGGAGACTGGGAAGAGAGACAGGACCTTCATGGGGAAATAAATGTGCTATTTTTCTATTTTTACTCCACCTTGGCTTGGAAAATAGGATACTTTTCTTTTGCTGCAGCATCTCATATGTGAGCATATACGGTAATGGAGGCATTCCAGAGTCCAGCTGATAGCCAATCAGGAATTGGGGCCTTTCTGCATTTTTCCCTTTAAGAAAAAGTTTTGGGTCCTCTCAGGAGCAGCAAATCAACTGCAGTCTGCAGAGTTACCATCCCCTCCCCCACCTCCCACCCACCATCATGGGGACGGGGCGTTCGTGTTAGTTAGGTCAACCTGGGTCCTCTTCCTAGGGACAGCCCCGTGAAACACAAAGTCTTAGGTTTTGAAAGTAGGGTGCTGGGGATGGGAGAGAGAGGCTGGCAGGGGCTGGTGGCTGACCAGCTGGGGCCATTGCTTGGGGTGAGGGTGGTTGGAGGGAGAAAGAAGGAAGAGAGAGAACTCCGGGATGACATGCAGCTATGGATGCTCGCGTGGGTGTGCATATACGTGTGTGTGCGTGCGTGTGTCTCCCCACAGGACTGGACCAGTAGCAGGCTGGTGGAAAGCATGAGCAGCTCCATTCAGGAAGGGGAAGCAGCAGCTGTTTCCCCAGGAGACAGTGTCTGGGAGCAGCTGCAAGCTGGGAAGAGCCTGATGGCAAGGGAGCTGCCGACTGTAGGATAGACAAGGAGAGCCAGGCTGGGTGCTACCATCTGGCTGGGCTGTGGGGCTCTAGCTTGTAGCTGGCCAGCCTCAGCTTTCTCTCCTGCTTGTGAAACCTGGGCCTTAACTCTCCTGTCCTTCCCTCCTCCTTAGCCTTGACTGGACTCTGCCACTCTGCCTGCTCTATCACTATGGCCTCCGCTCAGCTTCCAGGCTTGCTTCTCGTTTCTCTCTTTAACGTTTCTAATGTTGGTGACTCGCCACTTCCAGTTGCCCTCCTGTTTCTTCTTCACTTCTCCTTCATTTCTTAGTTCTCCTTTCGTTCAGGGCTAGGCAGACCTGAAAGGCAGTGGGAAAATCGAACAGCACACTGGAAAGAGGCCATCTGTCCCCTGTCCTCTGGGCATACTCCTTGGTCTGAGTACTGGATATACTCAGACTCTTCCCTTAATACTTCCTTTAAATGGTGGACTCTTATCCAGATGAGGAAACTGAGATTACAGGAGGTAAAATAAAGTAGCTCCCAACTCAAGCACTCACCAAACATTCACCAAGCATCTGGCAAGTGTTGGAATCAGAGCTTGTGAAGGTAAGTGTGCTCTGTCCCTAATCTATGCTACCTCCAGAACTCATGCCCTCAGTGTGATCCCCTACTCATCAGTAACATTATTTAGGAACTTCTTAGAAATGCAGACTCTCAGGCCCCACCTCAGCCGGCTGAATCAGAGACACTGGGAGTGGTGGTGCCCGGAGATCTGCATTCCTCCCACCCCTGCCCACAGGTGATTCCCATGCTCACTAACGTTTGAAAGCATGGCCCTAGACAAGTGACCTCACTGGGCCTTCCTTGCTGGAGGACAGTCCTCTGGGCCACGTAAGCTTGAGCTCCATTTTCCAGCTCCAAGGTTCCTGTTTCAAGGATGTCACCACAGAAGGCAGTGGAGTATTTACCCGCAGCAGGCCTGGGTGTAACTCCCCTTTTCAGGGGGAGTGACCTGGGCCCTTATGACCCTTTGCTTGGCCTTCTGAGAATAAGGGTGATCAATCGTGGCTCATTTTACTCCCTGTTCCTTCTTTCACTTGATCATTTTCAGCATTTCCTTTTTTTTCCCCCTTTGGCAAAAGTTTTCAGAGTTTTTCTCAGACATGTGGTTTGAAGAATTTCAAGCCTAGAAGACACAGCGCAAGGAAGAGAGTTTCTATGCTCTGAACACAGGATAACAGATAATACAGCAGGAGAGACTTGGGTTAGATCATCAGTTCAGTAGTAGAACTGGGAACCCCGCGTCAGGGAGACCCTCTCCGGTCCAGGGGTTTGTATGACGTGGAGGCACAGACAATTTGGTGATGGGCCTTTGTGGGCAAACAGTCCAGGGATGAGGCTGGGGCTTTAGGCGACTTACATGTTTTCATTTTGATTCTTCTCACTAATAGTAGGATGTAGGCAAGTCTCTTACCTTTTCTGTAATTCAGCTTCTCATTTTTAACACAGACGTAGAAGCATCTTTCGTAGGACTTCCATTTGTTTTCATTCGTTTTTTTTAAACTTTTCATTTTGAAGTGATTAGCAGACAATTTTCCATGGGTCTCTCATGTTTCTGCGTGTCTTGTGAAGAAAGGCACAGACAGCCTTTCATTCTGGACTTTTTAAGGATTTTTACATAGTGAACAGCCTTAGATAATAGAAAATATTATCCCTCAATTTAGATGTATATACCCAGCAAAGCAATCTTTCAAGAATGAGGATAAGGTTAAGATATTTTCAACAAACAAAAGCTAGCTGAGTTTACTACTGGATCCTCAGTAAAGGAATTTCCAGATGGGTATATTTCAGGAAGAAAAAATGATTCCAGAAGGAAGAATTGAGATGCAAGAAGGAGAGGTGACAGAGAAAAAGACCAACACATGAGTAAATCTAGACAAAGTGGTAATAATAATGAATAACTCAGGGGAGTTAAGAAACAGAACTGAAATAGATTTAAGAAGCATAAAATTTGGAGTGGGGTACAAATATGGATGAAACTTGCTAAGGTCCTTCCATTCGTGAGATGAGTAAAAATACTAATTTTAGGTTTTAAGTTAAATACTCACTTAAATAATAGAAATAGAGTGTATAACCTCCAAAACAGTAGAAGGAAAACTAGAATAAAAATGTTTTAAACAAACAAACAAAAGCAAAAAGGAAGGGGAAGAAACAAAGAACAATATGGTAGAAATAACTTGTTATGGCAGTAACCACTATAAATGTAAATGGACAAAACTTCTATTTATAAGAATGTAGTAATTATTGATAAAAGTCTTCTGTGAAAGGGCAAATATGGATAGACTAGATCTGAAAATCTAATTTTTCCTGTTCTCTAGAGTCATACACTAAAACATAAAGACACTGAAATTTTGAAAACAAAAATGGCCAGGTGCAGTGGCCTATAACCCCAGCACTTTGGGAGGCCAAGGCAGGAGGATTGCTTGCATCCAGGAGTTCAAGACCAGTTGGGCAACATAGCAAAACCTGGTCTCTACAACAAATAAAAAATTAGGTCGGCATGGTGGTCAGCACCTACAGTCCCAGCTACTCGGGAGGCTCAGGTGGGAGGGTCACTTGAGACAGGTAGGTCGAGCTGCAGTAAGCTGTGACCACACCATGGCACTCAGCCTGGGCAACAGAGAGAGAACTTGTTTCAGAAAAAAGAAAAAGAAAGAAAGTAAAATACAGAAAAAGAGATATCTGATAAAGAGTAATAAAACAGGAAGCTAAATAATCATATTAATATCAGACAAATTTCACTGTAAGGCAAATAGCCTTATTAGACATAAAGAGAGATACTACCGAATAGTAAAAAGTTCATATCACCAGAAGAATATAATAGTATTAAACTGGTATGTAATCAGTAACATAGCTTCAAAATATATAAAACAAAATTGCAAGAACCATGAGGAAAAACTGACAAATCTACATCATAGTGAGAGGTTTTAATATCCTCTCTCATTATTTGATAGATCAAGCAACAGAAAAATCAGAGATTTTAGAAGATCTGAACATGCAGTTAATAAGCTTGATCTAATGGATGTATATTGAATTTTGTACCCAAGAAATAAAAAAGACACATTCTTTTCAAGTACATTTGGAACATTTCAGAATCGTCTATATAGTATGCCATAAAGCAAGTCTCAACAAATTTCAGCCAGTATCTTACAGTTTACATACTTTGACTCCAAAGAATTTAAGAAATGAATAACAAAAAGAGGACAAAAAAAAAAATCCTGTGTTTGGAAATTTAAAGACACACTTCTAAATAACTTCAGGGTCAAAAAAGAAATCATAATGGAAATGAGGAAATACTTAATATTGATTGATAAAGATAATGTTTCACTTTTAAATTTAGGGAATAAAGTGTTTTGACATGGTTAGAGGAAAATATATAGCATGTATGCTAATATATTAGGAAAGAAGAATGTCTGAATAGCAGCAAGGTAAACATCCAAATTAAGAAATTAGAATAAGCAAAAGAATAATCTTTTTAAAAATAGAAGGGATGAATTAATAAAGAGGAGATTTACTGAAATAGGAGCAAAAAATAAAATAGAATTAACAAAGCTGAAAAATGCTTTTTTAAAAATATGCATGCAATTGAAAACTGCCAGCAAAGGTAACTAAGAGATCAAGAGAAACGGCAAAAAAATGGCAAGATTAGTAATGAGAAAGAGGATTTCACTACTTATCATGGGCTGAACTGTATCCTCTCAAAAGCTATGTAGAGTTCCTAACTCCCAATACCTGTGAATGTCATCTTATTAAAAAAACAGGGCGCGGAGGCTCACGCCTGTAATCCCAGCACTTTGGGAGGCCGAGGCGGACAGATCACTTGAAGTCCAGAGTTCGAGACCAGCCTGGACAATATGGTAAAACCCCATCTCTACTAAAAATACAAAAAAATTTAGCCAAGTGTGGCGGCATACACCTGTAGTCCCAGCTACTCAGGAGGCTGAGGCAGGAGAATCACTTGAACCTGGGAAGCAGAGGCTGCAGTGAGCTGAGATCACGTCACTGCACTCCAGCCTGGGCAACAGAGCGAGACTCCATCTAAAAAAACAAAAAAACAAAACAAAACAAAACAAAAAACAGGGTCTTTGCAGCTGTCATCAAGCTAAGATGAGGTCAATAAGGTGAGCTCTAATCCCTTATAACTGATGTCCTTGTAAGAAGAGGAGAAGAGGCTGACGCAGACACAGGGAGAATACCATGTGAAGATAAAGTGAATATTGGAGTGATGGATTCACAAGCCAAGGAATGCCAAAGACCCCAGCCATCAGCAGAACTGGGAGAGAGGCATGGAACAGAGCACAGCGCTCAGAGGGAACCAACTCTTTCAACACCTTCATCTTGAATTCCTAGCTTCCAGAACTATGAGATAACACATTCTATTGTATTAAGCTGCCCAGTTTCTGGTACTTTGTTAAAGCAATCCTAGGAAATTAATACACTACAGATGCAATGGGAATTAAAATACAATGAGAAAATAATATGACATTTATTGCCAATAAATTTGAAAATTAAAAAAGGGACAAATGGCTAGTAAAATATTAATTGCCAAAAGGTTCAAGAGGAAGTAAAAATCCTGAATATAACTATTTAAAACCATTAAATTGAGGTAATGAACACTTAACAACCTCACTACAAAGAAAATATCAGGGCCGGAGGCCGGGCACGGTGGCTCATGCCTGTACTCCCAGCACTTTGGGAGGCCGAGGCGGGTGGATCACCTGAGGTTGGGAGTTCAAGAACAGCCTGACCAACATGGAGAAACTCCGTCTCTACTAAAAATACACAATTAGCCGGGCATGGTGGCACATGCCTGTAATCCCAGTTACTCAGGAAGCTGAGGCAGGAGAATCACTGGAATCCAGGAGGCGGAGGTTGTGGTGAGCCAAGATCGTGCCCTTGCACTCCAGCCTGGGCAGTAAGAGTGAAACTCCGTCTCAAACAAACAAACAAACAAAAAACAGAAAAGAAAATATCAATCCCAGATGATTTTATAGGCAAGATAGGTCCGACATTAAAGAAAAAGATAATTCCAATATTATTTAAATTCTTCTATAGAGTAGAAGAAAAGGAAACATTCCCCTAGTCATTTTTATGAGGCCAGCAGATGCTTGATACTAAAATTAGATATAGTTGTAGGAAAAAAAATCACAGAACCATTTCACTAACAAACATAGATGCAAAACTCCTTAACACGGTATTAACATATTAACACTAACCATGTATTTAAAAGATAATCAATGAAGACCAAGTTTAATTCATTCCACAAATGCAAAGCAGGTCAGCATCAGAAAATTTCTAAATGTAGTTCATCACTTGATCATTCCTTAAAAGGAGAAAAGCCATATGATCATCTCAATAGAGGAAGAAAGTGTTTAATAACATTCAATATTTCTTTATGATAACCATTCTTGACCAACGAGGAATCAAAGGTGATTTAACCTGTTATGAGTTTTACGTGTGTGGATGCATGCATGCATGTGCACATGCTCACAGACACACACACACACATACACACACACATGCGGTTGTAGTAACTACATATTCAACAGTAAAATATTTTAAAATTTCTCTTTGGGATCAATAGCCGGCCAAGGCTATTATTTTCATTGGTTCGTTCAATGTTGCTGGAAATTCTGGCCAGTACACTACGAAAGAAAAGGAAACGGAAAGAAATGGAAAGGAAAGAAAGAGATAACCTAAAGTATTTTTAGGTTAAATTTTAAGTTAAATTAGTAGGATGAGGCTGGGCATGGTAGTTCCTACCTGTAATCCCAGCACTTTGGGAGGCCAGGGTGGGTGGACTGCCTGAGCTCAGGAGTTCGAGATCAGCCTGGGCAACATAACGATATCTCATCTCTACAAATAATACAAAAATTAGCCAGGTGCAATGGTGTGTACCTGCAGTCCCAGCTACTTTCAGGGCTGAGGTGGGAGGATTGCTTGAGCCCAGGATGTTGAGGCTGCAGTGAGCCGAGATCCTGCCACTGCACTCCAGCCTGGGTAACAGAGTGAGACCCTGTCTCAAAAAACAAAAAAATTACTAAGATGAATAGGAAAGTTTATCAAAGCTGTCAGATAAAAGATCACAATACAAAAGTTAATTTTTATGCACCACCAGGGAATTCACTTTAAAAAAAGGATAACATGAGGGTAACAAAAAGTAAGATACCAAGGAATATTTTACAGATGTGCCAGTCTTTTATGAGGAAAAATACAAAATGTTCTCAAACCTCATTTGGAATGACTACATAAAATGAAGAGATAAGCCATGGCTTGGGTAGGAAGACTCACTCATGAACAACTGCAAATTCTTCTGATTTTGATTTTTTTTTAGGTTCAGTTAAATTGTAACAAAAATACCAGCAGTTGGGTTGTTTTTTGGTTTTGGTACCATGTGGCAGTCTGATTTCAAAATTTAATTGAAGCACAAAAGACCAGGAATAGCTGAGAAACTCCTAAAGAAGTCAAGGTGAGGAGATTATCCTACTCAACATCAAGACTTATTCAAAAGCTATGGTAGTTAAGACAGTTGGTAATGATAAAAGAACAAACAGATCAATGGGACAAGATACAGTTCAGAAACCAATTCATACATATTTAGAAACTTGATATAATATAATACAGAATGGCCACTGAAGATCAGTGGGGAAAATATAGATTATTCGATACATGGTGCTGGGACAGCTGGTTTTCCATGTGAAATTGCATCTATACCTCACACAGTATATGTAATTTTTAAAAACTTAAGATGAATTAAAATTTAAATATAAAAGTCCAAACTTTAGACCTTTTAGCAGAAAACGCTGGCAAGGATCTTTATGAATTTAAGATATGGCAGGATTTTATAAACAGAGCACAATATGTAAAATAACAGAAGAGAATGGATTGATAATTTTGATCATGTTAAAATGAAGAACTTCTGGTCATCAAGTCGCCATTAAAGGAACAAAAAGGTACAGACTGAGAAATGTATTGGTATTCAGCATGTATAAAGAATTCATCTAATCAGTAAGAAAAACACAACTTAATAGAAAAGTGAGCAAAAGACACAAACAGGCGTTTTACATAAAAGGAAAGCTGAGTGGCCAAAGAGTCTGAGAAAGGATGTTTAACCTCTCTAATATCCAGGGATGTGCAAACTGAAACCACAAAGTGTGATTTTTAAGTTAAAAAGTCTACCAGCACCAAGCGTAGATAACGAGGAACACTGAAAACTTTTGTGCGCTGCTGCCGGGTGTGAAGATTGGTATGAGACTCTGGAAAATGGTTTGGTCTTCTCTAGCGCAGATGAAGGTTCTTGGCATATGAATCTTGCTACCTGGGGACCCAGTAACTCCATACCTAGGTTCAAACCCTGGAGAAACTTTGAACATGTACACGATTTTTTTCTTTTTTTGAGATGGAGTCTCGCTCTGTCCCCCAGGCTGGAGTGCAGTGGCACGATCTCGGCTCACTGCAAGCTCTGCCTCCCGGGTTCACGCCATTCTCCTGCCTCAGCCTCCCGAGTAGCTGGGACTACAGGCACCCACCACCATGCCTGGCTAATTTTTTCGTATTTTTAGTAGAGATGGGGTTTCACCGTATTAGCCAGGATGGTCTTGATCTCCTGACCTCGTGATCTGCCCGCCTCGGCCTCCCAAAGTGCTGGGATTACAGGTGTGAGCCACCGCGCCCGGCCAAACGTGTACGCTATTATTAAACATGTACACAAATGTTCACACAGCATAGTGTGGGACAGCTGAAACCTATAAGCAATCTACGTGTCAACCAACAGTAGAATGATACAAAATTATGGTGTACAAACACAAAGGAACACTATACAATTATGAAAATGAAGAGATTGGAGGTATGCATCAACTGGATAGACGGATAGATTTATCACCAATGCAGATAGATCTCAAAATTAATGTTGTGAAAAAAGTAAACGAAGGATATGTAAAGTATGATGCCACTTATATAAACGTCAAAAAATGAACAGTATCCTAATTTCAAGGCTTACTAGAAAGCTACAACAATCAAGACATTGTAGTATTGGTCTATGGTGTAATAGAGACACAGATAAATGGAAAAGAATAGGGAATCCAGAAATCAATCACACATATGTGGTCAACTCACTTTTGACAAAAGTATCAAGGCAATTTAGTGAGAAAGTACAGACTTTTCAACAAACACGGTGCTGGAGCATTTAGACACCCAAATGAAAAAGAATAAACCTTGATTCAGACCTCACACCATATATAAAGAGTAACTCAAAATGGATCAGAGACCTAAATGTAAAACCTAAAACTATAAAACTGCTAACATAAACAGGGGAAAATCTTTGTGACTTTAGGCTATTCAAAGATGTCTTAGAGGACACTGAAAGCATTAACTGTAAAAGAAAAAAGGAATAAAATGGGCTTCATCAAAACTAAAAACTTCTACTCTTTGAAAGCTAAGGTTAGGTGACTAGAAAGACAAGTCACAGAATAAGAGAAAATATTTGCTATATATATATCTGATAAAGCACTGGTATCCAGAATATATAAAGAACATGCACAACACGATAATCAGAAAGTAAACAATCCAATAAAAAAGAGGCACAAAGATTCCAACAGAAACTTCCCAAGAGAAGAGATACAAATTACAAAAAACTGCATGAAAAGGTGTTCAACATCATTAGTCATTAGAATATGCAAATTAAAACATCTATTTATGATTTATTTATTTATTTAATTTTATTTTTTTTTTTGAGATGGAATTTTGTTCTTGTCACCCAGGTTGGAGTGCAATGGTGCAATCTCGGCTCCCTGCAGCCTCTGCCTCCCACGTTCAAGTGATTCTCATGCCTCAGACTCCCGAGTAGTTGGGATTACAGGCTCCTGCCACCACGCCCGGCTAATTTTTGTATTTTTAGTAGAGATGGGGTTTCAGCTTGTTGGTCAGGCTGGTCTCGGACTCCTGACCTCAGGCGATCTGCCCGCCTCGGCCTCCCAAAGTGCTGGGACTACAGGCATGAGCCACCGTGCCCGGCCAAAACTATTTTTATAAGTAGGTATTTCAGAAATATCTGAGAGTGAGGGAGTTCCGCAGGATTCTGAAGAGAGACACAGGTGGCCTCAATGGTTTGGTGGTGTCCTGTGTTTTAAGGTGGAAGCTGAATGGAAATCAGCTGTTAAAACAGGATGGTATTATTCGGGAGGAAGGGATGAAGCCCTAGCCCCGTCCTCCTGGCTTGGAGTCAGGGTCATCAGTCATCCACCCGCCTGGAAGCGCCTAGGGGGAAGTGAGGGTGACCGCAGGTGTGGAAGTTTGAGCAACAAAAGGAGGGACAGGCACTGTTCACTGTCCCCCGAACATCATTCTCCACTCCTCCTTGTGGAGCACTTGAGAATGTAGCTGGAGACAGAGGTAGCCCTTAGTGCTCTCCCCATCCTACCCTTGTATGAGAAGAAAAGAGGCCGGGCGCGGCGGCTCACGCCTGTAATCCCAGCACTTTGGGAGGCTGAGGCGGGCGGATCACGAGGTCAGGAGTCCGAGACCAGCCTGACCAACACGGTGAAACCCCGTCTCTACTAAAAATACAAAAATGAGCCGGGTGTGGTGGCGCATGCCTGTAATCCCAGCTACTCGGGAGGCTGAGGCAGAATTGCCTGAACCCGGGAGGCGGAGGTCGCAGTGAGCCGAGATCGCGCCACTGCACTCCAGCCTGGGCGACAGAGCGAGACGCCGTCTCAAAAGAAAAAAAAAAGTGAAGAAGAGATTACAAACTGGGTTCTTAGTCACAGAGGGGAGCTTCAGGCAGGGGAGCATTCTCGTCCCTCTCCCGCACCTCACCTCCCACACACGCTTTCTTACTTAAAGATACACTGGAGAGGAAAGTCCTTGAAGGCAGGGGCCGCATGAAGTCAAGGGAAAGAACACAGGCTTTAGAGTCAGAATAGGTGCGGAATCCAGGCTGGTTTATGAAGTTAAGCGCCTTTGGGCAAGTTAATTACCCCTTTGCAATCTCTATTTCCTTGCTTATAAAAGTGGGCATAGTAATACTTACCTAACAGTCAGGGCTTTGATGTATTCTGATGTGTTTTGAAATAAAGAGGTACAGTCTGACAGTGCCATAGAACGGGAAGGCTGGGAGCTTCCTGGGAAGACCAGCTCACTGTGGTGTGACTTAGGCCAGCCTGCAGCCCTCTGTCCTACTGTTCAAATGCTGGGTCCCAGCAGTGGCCCAGGGTGAATGGGACTGCTGGGGGGGATGCTGACTCACCCTACCAGCCAGCTGTGGACATCAGAATGGAACTGCTGAGGGGATAACACCCATTCTCTCCTTGAGGACCAAGTACTTGGGAAGCCAGCTTACAGTCACATGGCTGCTCGCTGAGTACAGAGTGAAAACACCGAGGTTAGTTGGAAAATTAAAATGCATAATCATATCAGGTGATGATAATTTGAGTGCCCATCTCCACAAAAAATACACAGGCACCTTTAGGACCAAGGTCCTCTTCCTCCAGGTCAGGGCTCTGGGTTTTCTCTAGGACTCTCCTTTTCTGTGTTTTCGTTACTGACCTACCTCTCCCTTAGGACTGACCATCTTTTCTGTAGACAGCCTTTCAATTAACTTCCAGGGGGGACTCGATGCCTCGAGAATCATTCTTTCTTGAGTGATTGCAGGCTTGGCTCTGATGCATTGTGTGTTCATTTCAGGGTTTCCAAGAGCAGTTTCCTTTCCTTCATTTCCAAATATCTGGGGCACAGTAGAGGGGAAAAGGGTGTATTTCAGTGTACAATGTATGCACCATCCACCCGTATGTACATCCATGGTATGTCTTTGAGAAATATTCTCTTTCTACGTATGTTAAGGCTTCATTCATCATGCAAGCTATTTTTTGAGGCTGTGTGTGTGTGTGTGTGTGTGCACGCGCATACGATTGCGCAGGGTTCTAGCAAGATGTTGACCGTCCATTATGCTGCTTGAGGGTTTTCTGTTGGTGGAGAGAAGTCCACTTCACCCCCAGCCAAAACACAATATCACAGAATATGGAGGCATTTTCCTGGGTGATCTCTTAAGAATGGAGGGAGAGGGCTGGGCGCGGTGGCTCACGCCTGTAATCCCAGCACTTTAGGAGGCTGAGGCAGGTGAATCACGAGGTCAGGAGATCGAACCATCCTGGCTTACACGGTGAAACCCCGTCTCTACTAAAAAATACAAAAAAATTAGCCGGGCGTGGTGGTGGGTGCCTGTAGTCCCAGCTACTCAGGAGGCTGAGGCAGGAGAATGGCGTGAATCCAGGAGGCAGAGCTTGCAGTGAGCCGAGATCACGATCGCGCCACTGCACTCCAGCCTGGGCGACAGAGTGAGACTCCGTCTCAAAAAAGAAAAAAAAAAAAAGAATGGAGGGAGAGTGGGCACGGTGGCTCACGCCTGTAATCCCAGCACTTTGGGAGGCCGTGGCAAGTGGATCACCTGAGGTCAGGAGTTTGAGACCAGCCTGGCCAACAGGGTGAAACCCCGTCTCTACTGAAAATACAAAAATCAGCTGGGCATGGTGGCGGGAGCCTGTAATCCCAGCTACTCGGGAGGCTGAGGCAGGAGAATTGCTTGAACCCGGGAGACGGAGGTTGCAGGGAGCCGAGATCACGCCATTGCATTCCAGCCTGAGCAACAAGAGCGAAACTCTGTCTCAAAAAACAAAACAAAACAAAAAGAATGGAGGGAGAGTCTATAAGAATTCAGTCACACTAGTTGCTGGACATTTTCATACTTTTTAACCAATTAGTAAACCGGCCAATCACCCAGACACCAGGACAGGAAGACAATCTGGGCTGATAGTTGCCTATGCAGGAGTGTTTGCTATACCAGGCACTATGTTATTAATACATTCTTGACACCCATATTCATTGAACTCTTACAACAACCTTGTAGAGTAGGTAATAGTAGGCTCATTTCGTAGGTAACAGAGCGAGGCTTGGAGGTGTTAAAAAACCTGCTCAAGCTCACCACTACTAGTAACAGTGAGGCTTGGATTCAAACCTCGTTTTGCCAACCCCAGGCTCCTCATCAACTCTCTATCATACCCAGAAACAATGGCATCTGCAGTCTCAGGGGGGCTGCAGCCACAGGACAGCCATTAAGCCCACACTCCTCCCTCTGCTCTTCCAGAGATGACCTCCTGACACACGATAGGAAGCGTGACCTCTCCATGGCATGCAGGAGTAAAGCCAGCCACTCACAGCCACTTGGGGCCCCACCCAGCAAGACCCCAACACTCCTTTATAATCTCCTCTCTGCCCATAAACCACAGCTTCTCCTGCACACGGTCTGTCTTTCTCAGTGTCTCTTGGATTTACTGCTCCTTCAACTGGCATCAAACATTTGCTCCTATGCTTTTGGCTGAAGAGGGTCACCAGCCATCACTCAAGGTTCTGCGGGAGTCCCACCACTACAGCAAGGCTAGACAGCCCCTAGACCTTGTCTTTCTCTGAACAACCACCACGTCACATCCCTCACTCTTGAGGCTTACTGGGTATTCATCTTTCAAAGCCACAGGGCGAACTGGGAGGCAGGGAGGCGAGAAGAGGTCAGAGCTGATGAGGTGATCCCTCTTGCTCTCAGGTCTGGGAATATTTACTCTCTCCGCTGTGTCATTGATCATGCTTCCCAAATGATCACATCTCTAGCAGAAGAACGGAGTTTACAATATTTTGTTCTTTCTCAATGTTTAGCACACATGGTAGATAGTAAGTCTTTTACTTGGTATATGAATGAGTGATTGAAGTGAATGAATGAAGGAAGAAGAGGACAGCTGAATGAAACCAGTAGTTAGGAGATGGTGCTTAAATCCTGGTATGCCTATCTGGGAGACAAAGGATTGAGGAGGCATCAGAAAGACAGTTTGTTGTTGATGCTGAGAGCCTGAACTTTGAAATTTGATAAGATTTGAATCCAAGCTCTGCCACTTGAGTTGTATGAACTTGGCCAAATTACTAACCTCTCTGTGCTTCGACTCCATCTGTAAGAAGAGAATGAATACCGACCCTGTAGGGCCATTATGATGATTAAACAAGATAATTTGTTTAAGTGCCTGGTATGGAGGGAATATTCCATAAAAAATAGTTCATTATGATCAGTGAGGGAAGGAAGAAGAGGATGTTTGGAGGAAGACTTCTTTTATGGAGTTTTGGAAGTATGTGCAGAGCTGTCCCCCAGGTCCCATCCCCCGTCACTGCCCTCTGGCCCTGTGACCATCAGTATCTCCATTGTCTTGACAGAGACATTCTGGAGCCTCACTTTGGTCATGGATCTCTCTAGTTTCTGGAACTGGCAGCAGCAGCTGTCTGCTGGGTGGTGGCATGGTGCAGGCTGTTGCTAGGAGGATGGCTGATATTAAGGTGGGGTGAGGAAGACAGGATGGTGGGTGGGGAGGATGGCAGCTGAACCGTTGGTTTATTTCAAGGTTCCAAGACCTCCAACCATCTCTTCCTACAAGCCCCCCAACACAGGGTGGAGGTGCGGAACCCAGACCAGATGTTTCCTCTCTTTCACTATCGATGGATGGTTTGAGGACACAGGGGAAGGGAGGGGGAAGGAAATGAAGGCAGTGAGAGAGAATCCTTATTTGGGAGCCCATCCTTCTCCACCTGGGGTCTGCAGCCTCCGTGTCCACTCCCTGAAGTTCTAGTAGGCACCCAATGGATGTTAATCACATTGCCAAAGCCAGGGTCAAGGCAAACCAAGGGCATGGATGTGGGATGGCCCATTACCTGGAGGTACCTGCTGCACAGCAGCCTCCTGGTAGCTTGGAAATTACGTCACTAGCCATAGGCACGGCCTGCCAGAGGCACCATGTGGTCCACTGAGGTGGGACCTAACTGGGTAACAGTGAATTTTTTCCCCGTGGGTCAGCCTTGACCTGGATGATCTCCCACCCACCCTTGACCTGGATGATCTCCCAACCCTCCCTTGACTGGGATGATCTCCCACCCACCCTTGACCGGGATGATCTCCCAACCCACCCTTGACCGGGATGATCTCCCAACCCACCCTTGACCGGGATGATCTCCCAACCCACCCTTGACCGGGATGATCTCCCAACCCACCCTTGACCGGGATGATCTCCCACGCACCCTTGACCGGGATGATCTCCCACCCACCCTTGACAGGGATGATCTCCCACCCAGAAATGACTTCACCTCCCTAAGTTCCTTGGTAGGGAACTTGAGGGGTGGTTAGAAACTTCCACTCAACTCACTGCATAATAACTCAGGACAGGAGAGGATAAGAACAGCTCTTTGTGTCACCGGCACCACTAGGAGAAACAGCCTAAAAGGCAGGGAGAGCAGCTTGGAGAATTCCAGCAGCTTCAAACTACACCACCAGGATCTCTGTGGGTCTCAGTTTCCATGTCTGTAAAATGGGGAGAATAATACATGCCAAGTGACCATCCTCCCTCAGCAAGAGAACTTTGTGAGTAATAATTGTCATGACAGCACTTTCCAAATGTGTAGGATCAGCGAGAAAGAGATTTCACAGAGATTTCACAGGGCATCAACAGCTCAGGGGATGTTGGCTACAGGCGGGGAAAGCACCTATATGCCCTTCTACCTGCCGCACCCACGGAGGAGGCTCAGCTGGAAGGACAGGTGCACTCCTTCCAGAATACTCTGAAATCATTGTGGGTGCCCAGTAAGCACTTCTTGGTCAGAGTCTGAGAGTAACAACTGAAAGTACTGAGGGCTCAAAATCACCTGCTCCAGTTAATCATTTTGAGGGCTTTGGTGTCATATCCTTCCCTGAGTTACGTCTTCTTTCTCAGGCACATGTCCGTGAGGCCCCTGTGTATCTGGGTAGGTCAAACTGCATTGGGTGCATACTTTTTCTTGGTCAGCATCTCGGTTTCTATTTCTAAAGTCAAAAGAAGTGCCTCGATTCCTCCCAAGACTTGACAAGCCCAGCAGGGTTGGTGGCTTCTTTGCTGTGTTGCTGAAAATGGAACAGGCTGCCCTGGAGGTGGTGAGCCCCCTGCCCCGGAGATGTTCAGTGAGATCACCTGTGACTACATGCTGTGCTAAGGACCTTGTGTGCCTCACCTTCATCACTGCAACAACCCATGAGGAGCCCATATCATGATCACCTCCATCTCACAGATAACAGGGGAGGGTACCTGCCACACAGCAGCCTTCTACTAACTTGGGAATCACGCCACTAGCCATAGGCACAACCTGCCAGAAGCACCATGTGGTCCACTGAGGTGGGAGCTAACTGGGTAACAGTGAATTTTTTCCCTGTGGGTCAGCCATGACGGCTCCCCCACCCCGCCTTTGACCGGGATGATCTCCCACCCAGAGATGACTTCACCTCCCTAAGCCAGACAGGACTGAATGGGAGAACAGCTGGGGAGGTGCATGCAGCACAACCTGGAAAGTGTGTGTGTGTGAGTGTGAGTGTGTGTGAGAGACTGTGTGTGTGTGAGAGAGAGAGAAACAGAGAGAGAGAGGGTGAAAGAGAGAGAATTGCTTTTGTATGAATCTGTCTCTTTCTTTTTCTTTCTTTTTTTCAGCAAACCACAGACCGGCTACACATTCTTGGGCAGTTTCCTGAAGATGAACTTAAGATTTTGAGAGAGAGAGAAAAAAAAGAAAAGAGTAGGGGTGGAGGAAGAAGCGAGGCAGAAAGTAATCAAGCTCACGTGCATGTGCATGCGCGTGCTCACACACACACACACACACACTCTTCACACACAACTCCTGGCAATAAGGAAGTGAGACTAGATCTTTTTCATGAATGGGCTTAACTCAGCCTTGCTGAACTTCCGCTCTCCCATTCACCAGCATTCAAATTTCACCTTCTGACCATCCAAGGCAGCTGGCTGCTGGCCCAGGAACTAAGAGCACTTTGAGATCATCCCTCTGACCACAGGCAACTGTGTGCTTGCAAGGAATCTTCTTTCCTGAGCCGGTAAATTCAAAATGACCAGGGTGTTCACAGGGTACCAGGTTTGAGGGCCACTGACCCTTGAACCCCCAACCCTACCTACTGCCCTATTCACCCAGGACCACAGCTTACACTCTGGAAAAGCCAAGAAATGACAGCAGGCAATGCACACGGAGGAAACATTTCTGCACAGCAACTGCACAGGAGGACAGCCCAGGTGAACTCTCTGGGGAACGTTCACGCCTGCCTTAAATTAGGCTGGGGGAAATGACAGTCACCATTTTGGAAAGGACACTTTATGCCTTTTCCCATGGGAGCTAGGGAGCAATGAACTGGGGCGTGTGACCTATAAGTGTGCCATTCTTTCGTATTGGGTGGGAGCTAGGCGAGGCACAGGCAGCGGTGGAAGTTTCTGTTCCCTTGAAAATCAGCCTCGAGATGCCTGGCAGGGTGTGTCCAGGCAGTGGAAGGACCGGTGAAGGGTCTTGAGCAAAAGTCACTTCATGTTGCTGTGCCCCAGCTTCCTCATTTGTCAAGAGGTGGCAATAAGACCTCCCTGGGACAACCACTGGGGTGACCCAGTGAGCTAAGGCCAAAGACCTGACTCCCCAGTGTGAATGACCCGGGCTCATCGGCAACCCAGTTAGGGAAACCCCTACCACCTAGAGCTGACAAAGCAGGTGCCACTGTTCCGAAAGGATAAGGATAGCTTTATCTCTGAACTTCCAGAAATGGTGACTGTGACAGACTAGTGGCCCAGAAGCGAGGAAAGCGATGGGAGGCAGACAGGGCTGGCCTGCCCCAAGACCAAAGGAGGAGCAGGAGAGAAGTCGGGGTAGAGACACCACGGAGGCTCAGCTTTTCTTTTCCTGATTTCTTTCCCCTCTCCTGCAAGTCCTTCTAATGGAAGCTCAAGGAGGCAACGGAGAAAGGGACATCCTTTTCCTGACTCCACCTTGTATCCTTAGAATCCTCATGCAGGCTCCCTGGTCCCCACACTTGGGCTACAGGGGGTTTCCAAGCCCTGTGTCTTACAATGTTTGGGCCCAGAGGCAGGAGCATAGACGAGATGACCTTCAGAGCACCTTCCCCGCTTGGGGCAAGGAGTCTTTCTCCAAGGCTGAATCTAGGGCAGCATGCTAGAGAACTGCATTCCACTCCTTGCAGCTGCTGAGCTACTGGGTCCAGCTCTGGGCACTGGGAATGGACTCGGAAATACCAGTGGGCTTTGTTTGGGCCGATTACTCACAGTACAGGAATGATATCCATTCCACTGGACTTTCTAGGAACTTGCCTGCAGCTGGAGCGGTCCCTGTCCCTAGGTTTCCTCTAGCACAGAGAGGCTGCTAGCAGAGGCCTGGCTGGGGAGGGAATGTGCAGCTTACAGGGGATGCCAGTGGGCCCCAGGAAGCACTGATGCAATGCTCTTTTTATTAAGTTGGGCTCTGAGCCCTTCTCCCCTGTGATAACTTCCGGGAGTAGCTGTCCCCATTTCCCTGGTCTCCTCTCCCTCTCCTGCTTCAAGAGCCAAATTCCTGCAGGACAGCAGCACCTGAGGAATCCGAATTCACACAATAGTAATGCAGGTGGACAGAGGAAATGCCTGTTGGTCTAAGGAGCTTGGGTAATAAAGGTTGCCGTCTGCCGAAGCCTCACATGCCAGGTGCGTGCCCAGCCCTGCAGGCTCTGCCTCCCTCAATCCTTCCAGCACCCTGGTTGTGCAGGTGCTGTCCTTGTGACCTTTTTACACATGAGGAAGTGGAGCCTTAGGTCAGGAAATGCTTTTAAGATCACGTAGTTAGCAAATGGCAGAGCTGGGAATTAAGTCCATTTCTGCTCAATTACAAAACACGCGAGTTTAGTCACTGGACTCCGATTTTTGTGTGTACTGTAGTAGCTCGGCTTTTATGAGAACCGGAGATTAAGCTCCCTGAGGGTAAAGGCTATGTCTTATTTTTTATTTTCTTTTATTTTCTACCCTATTTATCTCTATAAGATGCCAGGAACTCGTTTTAAAATGCACCTGCCAAAACATGCTGAGATGGTGGGCGGCGGCTGCCCATGGATGATATGGAGGCCACTGCAGCTGAAGGGACAAAAATCAACCCTGGAACTGTCCATGCTGCAGACAGACCTTTCAGTTTGCTCTCACCCTGCTTCTCCCGTGGCTGTGGTATTTTTCTCCCGTCTGCCTCCTGGTTTCTGCCCACTGGAGGCTTTTCCAGCCTCGTGACCTCTATTACTGCCCCCTCTCTGCAAATGCCTGCACCTACTCATCGCCCTGTCTTCAAGCCGCTACCGCATGACTGAGGTTCCTTTACTCTTCTTCCCTGTGCCACGTCCCTGTTCCCTAACGGCTCCTCTGGCTCGCTCTCTGTGTCTCTAAGCGCCTGGGCCACCTCACTCTCCATTCCTGCTGAGGGTGTCTGAGAGAGTCCCTGATGGGTTAGTGACAACCCAAATCTGGAGATACCTGTTGGTCCCAGTCTCACCAGCTTAGCTTTTAGGCTGCCCACATTCTGTAAGGCAGTGGTCTGCAACCTTTTTGGCACCAGAGATGGGTTTCGTGGGCGACAATTTTTCCATGAATGGGGCAGGGGAGGAAAGGGTGGTTTCAGGATGACTGAAGCACATGACATTTATTGTGCACTTTATTTCTATTATTACTACATTATAATATATTATGAAATCATTATACAACTCACCATAATGTAGAATCAGTGGAAGCCCTGAGCTTGTTTTCCTGCAACTAGACAGTCCCATGTGAGGGTGATGGGAGACAGTGAGAGATCATCAGGCATTAGGGTTTCACAAGGAGCACGCAGCCTAGATCCCTCGCAAGCGCAGTTCACAGTAGGGTTTGTGCTCCTATGAGAATCTTATGCAGTCGCCAATCTGACAGGGGGTGGAGCTCAGGTGGTGATGTGAGCAATGGGGAGTGGCTATAAATACAGATGAAGCTTCACTCACTTGCCCACCATTCATTTCCTGCGTGTGGCCAGGATCCCCCCGATAGCAGCGGCTCACCTCAGGTCCTCCAATTTAAAGAGCAGGCACTTGAAGCTCAGAAACATTAAGCAACTTGCCTGAGGTCACACATTTAGAAGGTGATAGAATCCAGATCAGAACACACATCAGTCTGGGAAGATGAAAAAAAATCTGGAGATGAACGGTGGTGATGGTTGCACAACGATGTGAATGTACTTAATGCCACTGAATCCTTTAAAATGGTGAAAACGGTAAATTTTGTCATGTATGTTTTACCATAATAAAAAGTGGCTAAAATGGCAAAAAGAAACAATGAACAAAATAACCTCATGGGATTTTAAATTGGGTTAAATGAGGTATTGTACCTAAACCCTTATCTTCATGCCTGGCACATAGGAGCTAATACGATGATTAATTATGTTAATATTACTTTTTTAGTTTCCTCATCTATAAAGTGGGGATAATAAAGATACCTCTCAGGGCTTTTTTTTTTTTTTTTTTTTTTTTTTGAGACGGAGTCTCGCTCTGTCATCAGGCTGGAGTTCAGCGGCACAATCTCGGCTCACTGCAACCTCCACCTCCCGGGTTCAAGCGATTCTCCTGCCTCCGCTTCCCAAGTAGCTGGGACTATAGGCGCGTGCCACCTCGCCCAGCTAATTTGTTGTATTTTTAGTAGAGACGGGGTTTCACCATGTTGGCCAGGATGGTCTTGATCTCTTGACTTCATGATCCGCCCGCCTCGGCCTCCCAAAGTGCTGGGATTACAGACGTGAGCCACCACGCCCGGCCTGGGCTTTTTTTCCCTTATTTCTTTTTTTTTTTTTTTTTTATGAGACGGAGTCTCGCTCTGTCACCCAGGCTGGAGTGCAGTGGCGCGATCTCGGCTCACTGCAAGCTCCGCCTCCCAGGTTCACGCCATTCTCCTGCCTCAGTCTCCCGAGTAGCTGGTTTTTCCCTTATTTCTTAGAAATTTATTGTGGCAGATTTATGCATATATAAGTTGCATTCATTGTTTAAAATGGAGACATCACCTACTTGAAGAGCATAAGTACCAAGTATACAGCTGGATGGATTTTACATATGTATTTATCAGTGTACTCACCACCCAGGCCAAGGTAGAGACATTTTCCATGCCCTGAAAACTTCCTTGTGTCCCTCCAGGTTAGGACCAGCTTCCTTCCCACTCTTAGGGGTTTTGATTGGATTAAACACAACCTCTAGCACCTTGTCTGACACAGACTTGCTTGATCAATGTTATTAATAATCAATACTATTATTAATAACACACTAATTACTGCTGTTTGACAAAGGGTAAAAACAATAGAACTGCTAATGATGACAATACTCCAAACCACAAAACTCACACAAGACCACCGGCCATAGAGCTAAGAGGTTGGCCCTTTGGCTGCCATCCACCAGCCATGCAGCTTGGGCCAAGAGGATGCCCCTCTGAGCTTCAGGGTCCTCATCCCTCAAGTGAGGCCTCAGTCTAAGTATCTAGAGTCTAAGGATCTCTGTGGCGCCTTCTAGTTCTAACATTCGACAAGTCTAGGAATTCGGCTTTGTAACCTGGCAAGGGGCTGAAAAAAGTGTGGAAACTGAGGGTTACAGCAAAGTCAAGCCCATAGACCTCTTGCACCCCAGCAGCTGGAGTGGTGTTCATGGTGCCTGGCTGCAGGGACAATACAGAAAGGCTCTTGCTACAACTTTTGAAGACTTCTAGGTCAAACCATACTAATGGGTTGACCTGTAGAGATGAAAAACCTTTCTCCACATTAGGGTTGACATGCACAGGTCATACCAGTGGCCAAGTCCACCCACTCTATTCTCAGCTGCTGGATTCTCTGGGTGGCAGAGTTTCCATCTGCTCACACAGCTGTGCTGAGAGCTGAATGGTCTGGGGTGGTCTCTGTTCACCGGCCAGCTGTTTAAGCAGCAGGCAGGGGGAGCTTCCCCTGGCTTCCTCAGGACTGCAGCTGTTCAGAGCATCATGGGAACAAAGGCTGACTTCTATGACAAGAATGTGTCAAAACCAATTTTTCTTAATGCAGGAAATTATTTCAAGTTGACTTATAAACTAGTCCAAACATGTTCTCTGCAACATAAAACACAGTAATAAAGTGCCTAAAAGAGTGTCTCACATAGAACAGGTACTCAGTAAATGTCAGTTCCTGGATGCCTCAGCCTATATTAATCTCTGTCATTCATTCATTCATTCATTCATTCATTCACTCACTCAGCAAACACTTTTCAGTGCTGTGCGTTCCAGATATTGAAGACACCATAATGAACAACACAGACAAAATCCCTGCCCTTGAATTTTATAGTCTGGTGGGTAGAGACTGACAATTGACAATTACAATTAAAAAAAAAAAGACAACAGGCATTCAGTTGATCAAATATTTACTGAGCACCTAGTAGTGCCAGACACAGTTTTAGGTATTAGGGATACAGCGTTAAACAAGACACACGTAGTTTCTCAACTTAAAAAGCTTTACTTCTAGTGGAGAACCAGACAGTAACCATATGAACAAATGAGTAAAAGAGTTTCGTGATGGTGTTTGAGGGAAATGAATGTAGCAGGGGTGAAGCACAGTGGGAGAATGTGCTGCTTTGACAGAGGGAGCCAGGCTTCAGTCATTTCTAGAGAATACTAAGCACAAAGAAAACTTCCATTGACCGCATGGTTATGTCACTGGTTTTCCTGTTGCAGGTTGTTAAACGCGTCTCCTGTGTAAATGTTTCTGGAGCCCTGGTTTGCCTGCTTTCTTGGATGGCACGAGGGTAAGCTCCTTGAGGTCAGGAACTGTATCTCAGTTTGAGTGCTCCAGAAACCCAAATATACCAGCCAACTACTATAGGTTGAGTATCACTCGTCCAAAATGCTTGGGAACAGCAGTGCTCTGGATTTTTTATATTTTCAGACTTTGGAATATTTTGCACATAATGAATATCTTGGGGATGGGATCCAAGTCTAAACACAAAACTAATTTATTTTTCGTATACGCCTTATATACATAGCCTGAAGGTAATTTTAGAAAATATTTTAAGTAATTTTGTGCATGAAACAGGGTTTGTGTTAAGTACTTAATGTATAAAAATTCTCACTTGTGGCATCATGTCCACACTCAAAAATTTGGATCTGAAGCATTTCAGATTTTGGATTTTTGGATTAGGGATGCTGAACTTGTATATTTGAGGGATTTCTTGACTGAATTTAGCAGAGGGTGGGTAAGGGTGCTCTCTGACTTGATTGAAGATGTGTCTGCAGTGTCTCCCTCACAAAGATCTTAAGAATTGGGGGCTTATGGAACAGGGACAGGTAGGGATTGCTGGTGGAAAAAACACTTTGAGGAGGAGCCCTGCAGAATGAGACTCTAAAGAAGTTCTAGAACACAGAGGATTTAATTCCAATGAAAAGCATGGAATGATATGACGGACGGTTGGAAGCAAAAGTTGGCTCTTTCCCACCTCTGCCATCTGATGACAGTCCTGGCAACACCACGGCCTCACTTCTCTATCAAGATTTTAACTATCCAAACACTCTTCCTTCCAGCTTGAGTTTGCAAAATAAAAGTGATGCCGGCTATTAACTCTGTTCGAGAGTGAGGAAACTGAGAGAAAAAGGAAGTTGGGGCAGAAACCAGGAATGGACAGAGCTCTCCTAACTCAGGGTTGGTAGCATCATTTGCCAGATCTACAAGAACTGCATTCATCCTTAACTCTTTTGTGCATTAGAATAAATATCTGGCTTAGAATTTTTATTCAAAAAATGTCTGAACCTTCCTTCTCTTTGACTCCCTAGCCACTGCCTAGCCTTCTTTTTCTTCACTTCCAGCTTCCTACATCTTCTTCTTGGGTGGCAGGGAAGGAACCATAAGCACGGGCAGGGTGGGAGGCGAACACTCGGGGTTGCAGCTGTCACTGATTATGGAAGGGTGTGTAAGATCCCCAAGCACACGCGCTTTGCCTCAGTTGCTGAATGCAGATTTGAAAACCACAGCAAGAGTGAAGACCAGAAAGGACAGTTGCTGGGTGGGTCAGGCTGGTGGAGATCTACCCCAGCTCCCAAGTCTAGCTTCTACTTTCTCCACCTGGGTTTTCTTCCCTTCAAGAAGATGTGCAGGGCCAGTGTGGATGGGCAGTGCCACACGAACCATTCAAAAGACGGCAATTTCCTATTCTGTACCAACCTCCACAGGGATCTCCTTGCCATGACTCCCCTGGGTTCCACCCTCTTCCCTTGCAGGCACCATACAGCAATCACAGCAGTCGTTGAAGACATAGATCTCGTGTCTCTACCCTGCTTAAAATACTTCAAAGTCCCACCCTCACTCTAAGGATAGTCTCAACATGGCTTCTAACCCCTGCTTAATTCTCTAGCAGCAGCCCAGGTCAGCTCCTCTTGCCTGACTCCTCCCACACTTCCTTCTGATCCTCAAAGAGCCAAAGTCTCCCGCCATAGGCTTTTTTTTTTTTTTGAGTCAAGATTTCACTCTGCTGCCCAGGCTGGAGTGCAGTGACACGATCACAGCTCACTGCAGCCTTGAACTCCTGGGCTCAAGCGATGCTCCCATCTCAGCATCCCAAGAAGCTGGGGCTACAGGCGTATGCCACCATGCCTGGCTAATTTTTTTTAGAAAAAATTTTTGTAGAGACGGGGGCCCCACTATTTTGCTCAGGCTGGTTTCAAACTCCTGGCCTCAAGCAATGCTCCCCTCCCACCTTGGCCTCCCAAAGTGCTAGGATTATAGGCATGAGCCATGCTCCCAGCATCCATGGGGCTTTTATAAAGGCTGTTTCCTAGACTTATTTGCTTAGGTATCTCTTCTTCAGCTTTCAGGTCTCAGCTTAAATGTCATTTCCCTTCTGGACCTGGCAGGGCAGAAGGTGCCATCGAGGGAGTTGATGTTTGCCATGACAAGGACCAAAAGGTTCGGCATCAGGAGCCCAAGAGCCAGGACATCCACCAAAGGCTGTTGGTCAAGCTGTTCAGGTTTCCGGCCAGATGAACCAACTCCACCTTCAACCAGGTTGTGCTGAAGACATTGTTAATGAGTCACAGAAACTGGCCACCTCTGTCTCTCTCCCATATGATGGGGAAGATGAAGCTTTCTGGCTGGAAGAACAAAACAGCTGTGGTTGTGGGGATCATAATGGATGTTGTGCCCGTGCTGGAGGTGCCCAAACTCAAGGTGTGTGCATTGCATGTGAGCAGCAGATCTACAGCCGCATCCTCAAGCCTGGGCAAAACCCTCACCTTTGCCCAGCTGGCCCTGGCCTTCCCAAGGCCTGTGGCTTCAGCCTGCTCTCCCATACTTACAAGGGCCAAGGTGTACAGGCATTTCGGCCAGGCCTGGGGAACCCCACACAGCCACACCAAACCCTATGTCCACCCCAAGGGCCAGCCCCAGCTAAAAAAAAACTAACCCTGGGTCATCCTCTCTTATTTAAATATTTTAGGACCAGAGGCAATGGTTCATTCCAGTAATCTCAGCACTTTGGTATGCTGGGGTGAGAGTATCACTTGAGGTCAGAAGTTTGAGATCAGCCTGGGCAACATAGCAAGACCTCGTCTCTATGTCTCTACTAAAAATTAAAAAAAAAAAAATTGGATGCTGAAAAAAAAAGAAAAATGTCACTTCCCTTCTAGTTTGAAGAAAGTTTCCTGGGTTCTTCAGATTAGGTTATATGCCCCACTATATTTTTTTCATAGCATTTTTTTCACTTCTGTAAAGTAGCCCCTATTATATTAATAGTGATGTGAATTTTTTAAAAAAATTGTTTTTAAAAATTTTTAGTTGCTGTTCCCATTCTCCTCCTCTTCCTCCTTTCTCTCTTCCCCCTTTCTTTCCTCTCTCCTCCTCTGTGCCCTTCTCTTCCTCCTCCTTCTTTCGATAACATCATCTTCTTAGTTCCTAGGACACAGCCTGGCACTCTGTGCATATTTGCTGAATGAGTGTGTGGATCTGTATGCCCTAGGAGTTGGGAGGACCTTTAAGATGATTGAATCCCATGAGTCTCCTTTGCAGCACCCCAGCCAGATGTCCCTAGCCTCTGCTCCAATGCCTCTGTACTGTGAACTTGTAGACTCCCAGGGCAGCCCGTTCTGTCTAAGGAGGCAGCCTCGCGGCATGGTTAAATGCTCAGGGTCATACTGAATATGTTATTTAATTCTTCTCAGCCTGTTTCCTCATCTGTAAAAAGGTGGTCATAGTAATACCCACTCCACAGCAATGTTGCAATTGTCAAATGAAATCAGGCATGTGGAACACAGCGCCTAGCCACAAGGGATGGTTAAATAAATGTGATTTATTGTCATGATGATTATTATTTTACCGTAACCATCATCAGCCTGTCTTCAGATGGTGATGACAGAAGGTGAAGTTGTTCTTACATTGCATAGTGATCAATTTCTCTCTAACTTCTGATTCTCTCTTTGGGTTTGCAGGTTCCACATGACAACCATTGGTGTCAGAGGCCAGTGCCTTGATGAATATGTGTCTTCTCTTCTCTAGTTTACCATGGGACAGATAGCTACTGCACCAGTTTCAGGTCTTCTCACCATCTTGGCCTCTTTCTGAATAACTCCTCTTTTGCGATGTCCCCTTACTGCTCAGGCCATCCTAGGGATGAAGAAAGTACTGGGCCAAAGAGATCCATGGGCATCCGTGTAGGGAGTGCCAAGAAATTAGGATTATCCTGCCTCGGCGCCCAGCCAAGGTTAACAAGCTTTATGGTCTGTTCGGCAAACCTGAGGGGACCCGGTCCTCCATTGTGGGATGGGAGTTGAAGGAAACAGTGTTCAGGTCTGGCCCAAGCCAAAACCCATCTATTGCAACCTACCATTTCTTTTCTGCCTACTTCTTCTATTTACTTTTTCTGTTGTTGTTGAGACCAGGTCTTGCTCTGTTGTCCAGGCTGGAGTGCAGTGGCACAATTATAGCTCACTGCAGCCTCAATCTCCTGGGTTCAAGTGATCCTCCTGCCTCAGCCTCCCGAGTAGCTTGGGACCACAGGCACATGCCACCACACCCAGCTAATTTATTTTCTTTTTGTAGAGACAGGGTCTTGCTATGTTACCCGGGCTGGTCTGGAGCTCCTGGGCTCAAGCGATCCTCCTGCCTTGGCCTCCCAAAGTGTTGGGATTACAGGTGTGAGCCACTGTGTCTGGGCACCTTCTTTTTTTTTTTTTTTTTCTTTTAAAGAAGGCTATTAAGTGTCCAGTGCCTGGAAAGTTCCTTTCTTTCCTGAATTAATATACCAAATTAGTTCCTGCTAAAGTGTTAATGACTAACCCCAGTTTCACTTCTTGTCAGCAATCTGCCCTCCTCCATAAAGGGTTGAATAAATAGGACTTTTAGACATAAGTGACCGAGTCTGTGAGGGAGTAAATTTTGAGCAGGGGGAGCTCTCACGCAGGGCTCTCCAATTTACACTGCGGAGGTAGCTTCCTTTTCCACCTCTGCAATAAGCCAACCAACCCTACAAATATCTGGTAGAAAGAAGGGCTGTTCCAGTGAAGAGTCAATTAGTATGAAGACCGCCATCTACTGGCAGATGATATCTACTGGCCCCATTGGTGCGCTAGATAAGTTTTGTCATTGCAGGGGGTTTCCCGATTGGGTTGCTTGAATGCTGAGAACCAGTCCTCTCCCCCATTCCTTTTGCCTAATTTCCCTTTTACATTATTGCTTTGTTACTTTGATTCCTCAACATATACAGTATTTCACAGAGCCTTTATGCTACAGGGGATCTTTGGAGGGTATAACTGTTGTGTGTCATTAACACTTTAGTATAAATTAACTCAATTGACTACCACTAGTCCAGAAGTTGAGAAATTCCAGTTTGTCCCCTTTTTTCTCCCTTTCTTCCTCTCTTTCTCCTATCACTGAATATAGAAGTCAGGCTCAAAAACACATCTTAGCTCTGGAGAGGAAAGGACTTCAGGACATTTTCATTTACCAGAAGACAGCTGTGGAAGTTTTAAAACGGTATCAGCACACTGGCCTTCCTTACTCCATCAAATCTCATGTGTGCCCTTCTCGGAGTCTCTAAAACAAATGCAACTCCAGGAAGTCTCCCTAGTCTCTGAGATCCCGTATTTCCAGTTCCTTCACCCCTCTAGCTGTCTGCCCCATCTTTTTTAACAAGAAGCGTAAATATCTCCACTGTATTCTTATGCACATTTCATGTGTGGTGCGTCTGTTTCATGTGTGGTCTGTCTGGCCTCTTGTCATGGGCTGTTTACTTCCTGGAGGCACTTTGGTTTTTCTTTCTCAGTATTTCACCATTGCACTAAGTCTAAGTTGTGGCACTGATCACGGTATGTGCTGCCTGCACATTGTGAGATGTTCCGTGGTCAGGGTTCGAGCAGTGGGGAAATGGTGGCTCGGAAGGTCTTGGTGAAGCTCATAACATGTTCTATGTCTCTACACACCTATTTATAGGTGTGGTTTGCAAGGAGGGGGTATTAGAACCACCGTTTACAACCTGGAGTGTGAGTGTCCCTGAAGAGACAGGAAGACTTCCCAGGGGGTATTTGGGCATGAATTGTTTCAAGGCACTCCATTTCCAGATGCTGAATGCCGTATCTGCCCTTCCCTGAACTGATCTAGCAGACAGTGCACCTGCAGCTGGGGGGTCGGGCTGGTTCTCTGGTCCTGCCTGCCCTTTCTCAATAGCGCTTTTCCCACTTTACAAAAGGAAAAAATTCTGTTAACTCTCTCTCATCCCAAATCTTACTTACTATGGTGCATTAGGCCAAGTGTACAAACTTCCATGGCATCCAAAAAAGGACAACTGAAAATATTAATGAAGGCAACATAAATCTCTAAGGTTTTGTGTCTCTCTCTGTCTTATACATACGTCTGTGACGGGCAAAGCATGGAATTAGACACAGGGCAAGATAGGTTGTGTGGTAAGGCAAAAATATGATACCAATATTTGTCTAATGAGTCCCCTCATCCTTCCCCCAAGGATTATCAAAGAACATATTGCCATCATGCAAATCTCATGAAAATAAAATAAGGTTAGTGAAGGTAGGAAGTATTGAGGGTGGTGGCACATTATTTCATCCCGGTGATAAATTCATGGTACAGCTTCATGCTCTATCAATATCTATCTATCTATCTGTCTGTCTGTCTATCTATCTATCATCTATCTATCTATCTAATCTAGTATGTCTACTATCTTAGAATTAGAATGCAGAATGTTTGTCTTGGGGACATATATTAACTCATTGATTTGGCTTGAAAAATGAAAACTGGACGAGCACGGTGACTTATGCCTGTAATCCCAGCATTTTGGGGGGCCGAGGCGGGCAGATCATGAGGTCAAGAGATGAAGACCATCCTGGCCAACATGGTGAAACCCTGTCTCTACTAAAAATACAAAAATTAGCTGGATGTGATTGCTTATGCCTGTAGTCCCAGCTACTCAGGAGGTTGAGGCAGAAGACTCACTTGAACCTGGGAGGCAGAGGTTGCAGTGAGCCGAGATAGTGCCATTGCACTCCAGCCTGGCAACAGAGAGAGACTCCGTCTCAAAAAAAAAGAAAAGAAAAAAAAAATGAAAACTAAGTGTTTTGGTGGGGGACAAAGAATAAGTCTACTCTGGGTGATTAATTTTATGACCCACTTCAACAATTACCTTAAAGTGCCATAAACTGAATGTGCTAAATTTTCAGCTCTTAAAATTTCCACAATAAAAATAAAGTATATGATAATATAAAATCAATGTACAAAAAAGTTTTGGTAAACTTATATTGAAATGAAAGATATTTCAATTTCTCCAACCCTTTTTAAGTATATCAAATTAGAAGGTGTCTTTATGAGAAAGAATAACAAGCATAATTAACAATCATTTAATAAGTCTTGATAAAGTATTTTAGGTGATTTCCCAGAAAAAGAGGACTTAATGACCACAAAGACTAGGTAATAAATATTTGCAAGTCAGATGTTTTCCAATTCTTTGCTTTCAACAATATCAGAAGAGGACCTAATGGAGTTGTCAGCTGATAGATTATTAAAAATAATTCTTGATGATAGAGCAGTATGTTATTTTTGGCTTAGAACTTGGAAAGAGTTCAGAGAGCCAAATCATATTGCTATAATAAAACTCCATCCAAACTTATTTACGTGAACAAGGTTTCCCAGCATTACTTCTATAAAAATGAAAAGTATGAATAGAATGGATGCTATTCCTTGTCTAACTCTAATAACAAGTAATGTCATGCATGAGTGCATGAATTAATTAAAGATAAAAGCCTTATTCGGCTGGGCGCGGTGGCCCGTGCCTGTAATGCCAGCACTTTGGGAGGCCGAGGCAGGCGGATCACAAGGTCAGGAGCTCGAGGCCATCCTGGCTAACACGGTGAAAACCTGTCTCTACTAAAAATACAAAAAATTAGCCGGGTGTGGTGGCGGGCGCCTGTAGTCCCAGCCACTCGGGAGGCTGAGGCAGGAGAATGGCGTGAACCTGGGAGGTGGAGATTGCAGTGAGTCGAGATCACGCCACTCCCCTCCAGCCTGGGCGACAGAACGAGACTCCGTCTCAATAAATAAATAAATAAATAAGTAAGCCTTATTCATTTCATTAAAAGATATGAGGCGGGCGGATCACCTGAGATCGAGAGTTCAAGACCAGCCTGACCAACATGGAGAAACCCTGTCTCTACTAAAAATACAAAATTAGCCAGGCTTGGTGGTGCACGCCTGTAATCCCAGCTACTCCAGAGGCTGAGGCAGGAGAATCGCTTGAACCCGGGAGGGGGGTGTTGCGGTGAGCAGAGATCGCACCATTGCACTCCAGCCTGGGCAACAAAGAGTGAAACTCCGTCTCAAATAAAATAAAAGAGATACATTACTATTTTTTTTTTTTTTTTTGAGACAGGGTCTTGCACTGTTGGGCAAACCAGGATATTGATATTGATACAGTCAAGATACAAAACATTTCTATCACCACCAGAATTCCTGAAGTTGGCTTCTTATAATCACAACTACTTTCCTCTCAGTCTCTCAAACTTAATCTCTGGCAACCATTCATTTCATCTCCATTTCTATGATTTTGTCATTTCAAGAATGTTAAATAAATGGACTCATACATATATAACTTTCTGACATTGGCTTTTTCTTCTCGGCATAAGTCTCTGGAGAGCCATCCATGTTGTGGAGTATATGAATAGCTCCTTCCTTTTTCGTGCTGAGTAGTACTCCCTGCTGTGAATATATCACAGTTTGTTTAACCATTCATCCATTAAAACACACCTAGGTTGTTTCCAGCATGGGATTATTGCACATAAAGCTTCTGTAAACATTCATGTGCAAGTTTTTTGTGAGCATAGGTTTTCATTTCTCTGGGATAAATATCCAGAAATGCAATTGTTGAGTGGTGTGGTCATTGTGTGTTTAAAATTTTAAAGAAATTGCCAAAAAAAAAGAAATTGCCAAACTCTTCCAGAGTGGTGGTACCATTTTACATTCCCTCCACATTGTATTAGTGATCTAGCCTCTCTACATCCTCACCAGCATTTGGTCTGTCACTATTTTTTCCCACATTATTTTAAATCAAACTTTAATTTTAAGATAGTTCTAGATTTACAGAAAAGTTGTGAAGATCGTACAGACTTCTCATATACCCCTCACCCAGTTTCCCCTACTGTTAACATCTCTTCATTTTATGGAACCTTTGTCACAACTAAGGAGCCGGCACCAGCGCACTGGTACTAACTAAACTCTGCAGTTGATTTGCATGTTACTAGTTTGCCCCACTGTCCTTCTGGCTCTGGATACCACATTACTTTTCTTTGCCAGCCTTTCTTGTCTGTGAGAGTTTCTCAGACTTTCCTTGTTTTGGATGACCTTGACAGTTTTGAGGAATGCTGGCCGGGTACTGTGTAGAATATCCCTCAATTTGGGTTTGTTTGATGTTTTTCTCATGGCAAGACTGGGGTAATGGATTTTGGGAGGATTACCACAAAGGGGCAGGGCCATTCCCATCACATGGTATTAAAGGGACATACATGAAATTGACATGACAGATGACGTCGACCTTATCACCTGGGTAAGGGCTTTTGCCAGGTCTCTCTCCTATAAAGTTAATCTTTTCCTCCTTTTCCACACTTTACGGTCCAAAGGCAAGTTACTGAGTGCCAACCAGTACTCAAATGGTTAAGAGTTAAGCCCCATCTCCTTGAGGGAGAAATATCTGCATAAACTGTTTAGAATTATTAGAATTCTCCTTTCTGGGCCGGGCTCACGCCTGTAATCCCAACACTTTGGGAGGCCGAGGAGGGTGGATCACGAGGTTAGGAGTTCAAGACCAGCCTAGCCAAGACAGTGAAACCCTGTCTCTACTAAAAATACAAAAAATTAGCCAGGCATGGTGACAGGTGCCTGTAATCCCAGCTTCTCGGGAGGCTGAGGCAGGAGAATCGCTTGAACCCAGGACACGGAGCTTGCAGTGAGCCGAGATTGCGCCACTGCACTCCAGCCTGGGCGACAGAGTGAGACTCCATCTCAAAAAAAAAATTCTCCTTTATGGAAGATTTAACTATTTTTAAGAGTTAATAGATGTATTTTAGAGCAGTTATATTTTTTCAGACAAATTGAACAGAGTGCAGAGTCTCCACAGGCTTCCTCTCCCTCTCTTCCCCTGCCACCTCAGCAGTTTCCATTAGCAACATCTCCCATTAATGTAGTACATTTGTTACAATAAACAAATCAATATTGATATATTATTCGCTAAATTATTAGTTACAGTTTTCATTAACTAATTTGATACATTATTAACTTAATTATAATCTAGATATTGATATATTATTAACTGAAGTCCACAGTTTACACTAGGGTTCTCTTCCTGTTATATAGTTCTCTGGATTTTATCAAATGCATAATGTGTCATGCATCCCCCATACAATCCCAAGATATGTACACAGTACCCAAATACACTCTACAAAATACCTTCACTGCCTTAAAAATCCTCTGTGCTCTGCCTATTCATCCTTCCATCCCCCTCAACCTTTGGCAACTACTATCTTTACTGTGTCTATAATTTCACCTTTTCTAGAATCTCATATAGTTAGAATCATACGGCATGTGATTTTTTTAGATTGATATTTTTCACATAGCCATAAGCTTTTAAGGTTCCTCTATGTCTTTTCATGGCTTGATAGCTCACTTCTTTTCAGCCTGAATAATACTTCATTGAATCCACGTATCACAGTTTGTTTATCTGTTCATCTACTGAAGGATATCTTGGTTGCTTCCCAGTTGTGGCAATTAAGAATAAATCCTCTATAAACATTCATGTGCAGATTTTTGTGTGGATATGTTTCCAACTACTTGGGTAAATACCAAGGAGTGCAGCTGCTGGGTCATGTGGTAAGACAACGTTAAGAAACAGACAAAATCCTACACATTGGGTACAGCGTACACCACTCGGGTGATGGATGCACCAGGATCTCAGAAATCACCACTCAAGTACTTATCCATGTAACTAAACACCACTCGCTCCCCCCAAAAACTATTAAAAAAAACAGACATTCTTCCAAGTGGCGATATCATTTTGCATTCCCACCATCAATGAATGAGAGTTGCTATTATTCTACCTCCTCCTCACCATTTGGTGTGTCAGTATTATGAATTTTTGCTATTATTCTGATGAATATGCCGTGGTATCTTACTATTTTAATGTGCATTCCCTAATGATGTGTGATATTAAGCGTATTTTCATATGCTTATTTGTCATGTGTATATCTCCTTTGGTGAGATGCCTGTTCAGATCTTTTGCCCACTTTTATTTATTTATTTATTTATTTTTGGGATGGAATCTTGCTCTGTCGCCCAGGCTGGAGTGCAGTGGCGTGATATTGGCTCACTCCGCCTCCCGGGTTCACGCCATTCTCCTGCCTCAGCCTCCCGAGTACCCGGGACCAGAGGGGCCCGCCACCACGCCCGGCTAATTTTTTGAATTTTTGTAGAGACAGAGTTTCACCGTGTTAGCCAGGATGGTCTCGATCTCCTGACCTCGTGGTCCACCCGCCTCAGCCTCCCGAAGTGCTGGGATTACAGGCATGAGCCACTGCGCCTGGCCGCTTGCCCACTTTTTAATTGGACTGTTTGTTTTCTTATTGTTGAGTGTTAAGAGTTCTTTGTATATTTTGTGTACAAATTCTTTATCGGATATGTGTTTTGCAAAGATTTTCTCCCAGTCTGTGGCTTGTCTTTTCCTTCCCTTAACAATATCTTTCACAGAAGTTTTCATTTTAATAAAATATAAGTTATTACATTTTTCTTTCATAGATTGTATTTTTAGTGTTGTATCTAAAAAGTCGTCACCAAACCCAAGATCATCTAGATTTTCTCCTATATTATCTTCTAAAAGTTTTACAGTTTAGTATTTTACATTTAGGTTTAGGATCCACTATTAATTTTTTTGTGTGTGAAAAGGGTAAGGTCTGTATCTTTTTTTTTTTTTTTTTTTTTTGTATGTACGATTGTTCTCAGCAATGTTTGTTGGAAATACTGTCCTTTCTCCATTGGATTGCTTTTGGTCCTTTGTCAAAGATCATTTGACTATATTTATATGGGTCTATTTCTGGGCTCTCTCTTCTGTTCCATGGATCTATTTGTCTATTCTTTTGCTAGCACCACAGTCTTGATTGCTGTAGCTTTATAGCATGTCTTGACATTGGGTAGTGTCAGTTTTCCAACTTTGTGCTTATCTACTTCAATATTTGTTGGGTATCCCGGGTCTTTCGCCTTCCCATATATACTTTAGAATCAGTTTGTTAATATCCACAAAATAACTTGCTGGGATTTTGACTGTGATTGCATTGAACTGACGGATTATTTGGAAAGAACTGACATCTTAACCATATTGAGTCTACCTGTTCGTGAAGGTAGACTTTCTCTTCACTTACTTAGATTGTTGATTTCTTTCATCAGAGTTTTATAGTTTTTCTCATGTAGTTTCCTTGCGCACATTTTGTTAGATTTATACCTAAGTATTTCATTTTTGGGGGTGCTAATGTAAATGGTGATACGTTTTTAATTATAAATTCCAATTGTTCACTGCTGGTATATAGGAAAGCAACTGACTTGTATATTAACCTTGTATCCTGCAACCTCGTATAATCATTTATTAGATCAAGTTTTTGTGTATGTGAATTTTTTTAATTTTCTACATAGACAATCATGTAATCTGCAAATAAAGTTTTCTTTCTTTCTTCTCAATTTCTATACCCTTTATTTCCTTTTCTTTTCTTAATGTACTAGCTAGGATTTACAGTATAATGACAAATTGGAGTGGTGAGAAGAAACATTCTTGCACTATTAATTCGAATATTTTTATGGTGCCAATTTTAAATAGTTGTATTTAAGACATTGAATTTTCCACTTACAATACAGTGTTTATGAAGCGCAATGTTATTTCCTTCCCCTGTGCTTATATTCCATATTCAAGTATTGAGAATGCCCCATAACTTACTATAGCAGCTGAACTTTTTTAAACTGCCACAGAATTTGCTACAAATTTAGATCCTTCAATGTTTTATATGTGTGGAACAATGCTACATCTATACTTGGGTCGGCTTAATCAACCTCTTCAATGGTGGGCCCTGAGGAAGCACCACCAGAGGGAGGAGCTCCACCACCAGGGAATCCCCCAGGCATTCGTCCCGGCATGCCTCCTGCACTCTGGTACAGCTTGGTGATGATGGGGTTGCAGACTTTCTCCAGCTCTTTCTGCTGATGTTCAAATTCTTCCTTCTTGGCAGTCTCATTCTCATTGAGCCAGATGATAATTTCATTACACTTGTCCAGAATCTTCTCTTTGTCCTCATCGTTAATCTTGCCTTGAAGTTTCTCATCTTCGACAGTTGCTTTCATGTTGAATGCATAGGACTCAAGTGAATTCTTGGATGACACTTTGTCCCTCTGCTTTTCATCTTCAGCTTTGTACTTCTCAGCTTCCTGGACCATACGTTCAATGTCTTCCTTGCTCAAACAGCCCTTGTCATTAGTGATAGTAATCTTGTTCTCTTTTCCTGTACTCTTGTCCACAGCAGAGACATTGAGGATGCCATTGGCATCACTGTCAAAAGTGACTTCAGTCTGAGGAACACCTCGGGGTGCAGGAGGTATGCCCATGAGTTCAAACTTGCCAAGCAGGTTGTTATCCTTGGTCATGGCATGCTTACCTTCATAAGCCTGAATAAGCACACCAGGCTGGCTGTCAGAATAGGTAGTGAGGATCTGTGTCTGCTTGGTAAGAATGGTAGTATTATACTTGATGAGGACGGTCATGTGACTCCACCAGCAGTTTCAATACCAAGGGAAAGAGGAGTAACATCAAAGAGCAGCAAATCTTGAACATTTTCAGACTTGTCTCCAGACAGAATGGCTGCCTGGACAGCTATACCATATGCAACAGCTTCATCAGCGTTGATGCCCTTATTCAGTTCTTTCCCATTGAAGAAGTCTTGGAGAAGCTTCTGAATCTTGGGGATACGAGTAGAACCACCAGCCAGGACAATATCATGAATCTGTGACTTGTCAAATTTGGCATCTCGAAGGGCTTTCTCTACGGGGTCCAGGGTGCCACGGAACAGGTCAGCATTCAGTTCTTCAAATCGGGCATGGGTAATGGAGGTACAGAAGTTGATTCCTTCATAGAGACAATCGATCTCAATATGGCCTGGGTGCTGGAAGAGAGAGTATGCTTAGCATGTTCACAAGCAGTACGGAGGCATCTTACAGCTCTCTTATTCTCACTGATGTCCTCCTTATGCTTGTGCTTGAACTCAGCAATAAAATGGTTGACCATTCAGTTGTCAAAATCTCCACCCGAGTGGGTGTCTCTGGCTGTAGATTTGACCTCAGAGATTCCATCCTCAAAACGGCACGCTCACCTTCATAAACCTGAACCAGCACACCAGGCTGGCTGTCAGAATAGGTAGTGAGGATCTGTGTCTGCTTGGTAAGAATGGTAGTATTATACTTGATGAGGACGGTCATGACTCCACCAGCCGTTTCAATACCAAGGGATTGACACATCAAAAGTGCCACCTCCCAGGTCAAAGATCAGTACATTTCTTTCTGTTCCAACCTTTTGTCTAAGCCATAAGCAGCAGCAGTTGGCTCATTAATAATTCTAAGTACATTGAGACCAACAATAGTTCCAGCATCTTTGGTAGCCTGACGCTGAGAGTCATTAAAGTAAGCTGGCACTGCGACCACAGCATGGGTAACAGTCTTCCCAAGGTAGGCTTCTGCAATTTCCTTCATATTTGTCAGAACCATAGAGGATACCTTCTCTGGATAGAAGCTTTTGCTCTCTCCCTTGTATTCCACTTGGACCTTGGGCCTGCCAGCATCATTCACCACCATGAAGGGCCAATGCTTCATCTCAGACTGGACAACAGCATCATCAAATCTGTGTGCAATCAGACGTTTGGCATCAAAAACCATGTTGGTGGGGTTCATTGCAACTTGATTCTTTGCGGCATCACCAGTCATTCGTTCAGTGTCCGTAGAGGCGACATAGCTGAGAGTGGTTCAGTTTCCCTGATCACTGGCAATTAACTCTACTTTTCCACGCTGGAAAACACCCACACAAGACTAGCTGGTGCAGGGATCAATACCAACTGCAGGTCCCTTCGACATGGTGGCTGGCACGTAGGCCTGGCTCCAACAACGAAGAAAGACACAGGAACCCCAAGAGCTGCAGGTGAGTTCAATGAGCTAATTCAATATTTTTATTTCAGCTATTCTGATAGGCATGTAATTCTGTCTTATGATTTTTTGCATTTCCCTAATGACTAATGATATTGAATATTTTTTCATGTACTTATTTGCTATCTGTAGATTCTCTTTAATGAATTTTTTCATGTCTTTTGCTTATTTTCTAATTGGATTGACTTTTTTCCTTCTGAGTTTTGAGAGTTCCTTATATAATCCAGATATGAGTATTTTATCAGATATGTGACTTGTAAATATTTTCTCTCTGTCTGTAGCTTGACTTCTTATCCTCTTAACAGAGTCTTTTGCAGAGTAAAAGCTTTTGGTGTCAAGGCTAAGAACTCTTTGCTTATGCCTAAATCCTGATGATTTTTTTTTTCTTTTCTTTCTTTTTTTTTTTTTTTTTGAGACGGAGTCTTGCTCTATTGCCCTGGCTGGAGCGCAGTGGCCCGATCTTGGCTCACTGCAACCTCCGCCTCCCGGGTTCAAGTGATTCTCCTGCCTCAGCCTCCCACATAGCTGGGACTACAGGCGCGGGCCACCACGTCCGGCTAATTTTTGTATTTTTAGTAGAGATGGGGTTTCACTGTGTTAGCCAGGATGGTCTCAATCTCCTGACCTCAAGATCTGCCCGCGCTGTCCTCCTGAAGTGCTGGAATTACAGGCATGAGCCACCGTGCTCAGCCCTGATGATTTTCTTCTAAAAATTTTATAGCTTTACCTTTTACATTTAAATCTTGACCCATTTTGAGTTAACTTTGGCATAAGGTATGAGACTTGAGGGTTTTTAAAAAAATTCTTCTGTATTTTTTTGTCTGTGGATGTCTAATTGCTTCAAAACCATTTATAGAAAAGGCTATCTTTCAGCCGGGCGCAGTGGCTCACGCCTGTAATCCCAGCACTTTGGAAGGCCGAGGCGGGCAGATCACCTGAGGTCGGGAGTTCGAGACCAGCCTGATCAACATGAAGAAGCCCTATCTCTACTAAAAATACAAAATTAGCTGGGCGTGGTGGCATGTACCCATAATCCCAGCTACTCGGGAGGGTGAGGCAGGAGAATCGCTTGAACCCGGGAGGCGGAGGTTGAGGTGAGATGAGATCGCGTCACTGCACTCCAGCCTGGGTAACGAGAGCAAAACTCTGTCTCGAAAGAAAGAAGGAAGGAAGGAAGGAAGGAAGGAAGGAAGGAAGGAAAAGGCTATCTTTCCTCCACTGAATTCCTTTGGCACCTTTGTCAAGAAGCAGTTGGGGTCATTTGTGTGGAGCTATTTCCAGGTTCTCTATTCTGTTTTATTGGTCCGTATGTCTTTTCTTCCACCACACGATTTGGTTTTATTGTAGCTGTAAGATAAGTCTTGAAATCATGTAGACTAATTTCTCCCAATTTATCTTTCAAATTGTTGTGGCAGTTCTAGCTCCTCTGCTTTAAAATATAAAATTTAAAATACTCTGCTGTATATTTACCAAAAAACTTGCTGGGATTTTTAATAAGAACTGTGCTGTATATGTATATCAATTTAGGGAGAACTGACATATTTATTATGTAAAATCTTTTTTTTTTTTTTTTTTTTTTTCTTGAGACGGATTCTCCCTCTGTCGCCCAGGCTGGAGCGCAGTGAAGCAATCTCGGCTCACTGCAAGCTCCGCCTCCCAGGTTCTCGCCATTCTCCTGCCTCAGCCTCCTGAGCAGCTAGGACTACAGGCGCCCGCCACCACGCCCAGCTAATTTTTTGTGTTTTTAGTAGAGACGGGGTTTCACCGTGTTAGCCAGGATGGTCTCGATCTCCTGACCTCGTGATCTGCCCGCCTCAGCCTCCCAAAGTGCTGAGATTACAGGCGTGAGCCATCGTGCCCAGCCTATGTTAAATATTTTTTGTTTATTTTTAAAATTTAGAGACATGGTTTCATTCTGTTGCCCAGGCTGGAATGCAATGATGCCATCAATCATAGCTCACTGCAACTTCAACCTCTTGGGCTTAAGCAATCCCCCCACCTCAGGCTCCTAAGTAGCTAGTGCTACAGGTGCATAAGAGAGGGTCTCACTGTTGCCCCAGCTGGTCTCCAACTCCTGACTTCAAGCAATCCCGCAACCTCAGTCTCCCAAGGTGCTAGGATTACAGGAGTGAGCTACCACACTCATCAGTTAAATCTTTCAATACATAAACACAGCATATCTCTTCATTTATACAGATCTGATTGATTTCTTTCATCAGCATTGTGTGGTTTTTGGTGTAAAAAAAAAAATCCTATACATGCTTTGTTAGATTTAAGTATTTTTTTGAACAATTGTACATGGTATTGTAATTAATTTTAGTGTCCACATACTTGGTGCCAGAATATAGGAATACAATTGATTGACTTTTGTATGTTTACCTCATATCCTTCAAACTTGCTAAACTTACTTATTAGACCTAGAAGTTTTTTTGAAGATTCCTTGGAATTTTCTTCATAAAGAATCATGGCACCTGCAATATAGTTTTCTTTTTTTTTTTTTCTAATCTGTATGCTTTTTATTTCCTTTTTTGCCTTTTTGCCCTAGCTAGAACTTTCAGCACTATGTTGACTAAGAGTATTGAGAACAGACATCCTTGTCAGGTTCCCAAACTTAGAGGGAAAATATTTGGTCTTTTACCTTTAAGTATAACGTTAGCTACAGATTTTTGTAGATATTCATCAGGTTGAGGAAGTTCCTCTCTATTCCTGTTTTTTTCTGAGATTTTTTTTTTATCATAAATGGATGGTGAATTTTGTCAGAAGCTTTTTTTTCCCATTGGTTGATATGCTCATGTAATTTTTCTTTTTTAGGTTGTTAATATGATTGATTACATTGAGAGGTTTTAAAATATTGAGCCAGCCTTACTTCCCTGAAATAAATCCCATTGGCATGGTGTATAATTCTTTTTACACATTGCTGAATTCTATTTGCTAATATTTTATCAATGATTTTTGTGTCTACATTTTTGCTAATATTTTATCAATGATTTTTGTGTCTACATTTATGAGATTTATTGGTCTGCAGCTTCCTTTTCTTTCTTTTCTTCCCTTTCTCCCTCCCTTTCTCCCTCCTTCCTTCCCTCCCTCCCTCCCTTCCTTCCTTCCTTTTTTGTAGTGTCTCTTTCTGGTTTTAATATCAGGGTAACATGAAGCTTCATAAACTCTGCCAAACTCTTCTTCTTCAGTTTTCTGCAGGAGATTGTATAAAATTGGCATTAATTTCTCTCTAAAGGGTGGTAGAGTTCTCCAGTGAAACTCATCTAGACTGCAGATTTGTGTTTTGGTAGTTTTAAAATTGTGGATTTAATTTTATAAATGGTTATAGAGTTATTCTGATGATCTATTTCATTTTGGGTGAACTGTGATAGTGTGTGTTTTTTGAGAAATTGGTCCATCTCATCTAAGTTGTTAAATGTATGAGAGTAGAGTTTTTTGTAGCATTCGTTTATCATCATTTAGACACCTTCAGGGTCTGTAGTGATATCTCCTGTTTCATTCCGGATATTGGTCATTTGTGTCTTTTCTCTTGGTCAGTCTTGCTGGAGATATGCCGATTTTATTGATCTTCTCAAATAACCAGCTCTTTGTTTCAGATTTTTATCTATTGCTTTTCTGTTTTTAAATTTTATTGATTTCTGTTCTTATCTTTAGTATTTTTTTCCTCTGTTTGCCCTTGGGTTAATTTTGCCCTTTATTTTCCAGGTTCTTGAGGTGGGATATTTGGTTTTTGATTTGAGACTGTTCCTCTTTTCTAATATAAGTATTTGTGGCTACATACTTTCCTTTCAGCACTGCCCAGCTCTGTTCCATAACATTTGATATGCAGTACTTTCATTTTTTTTTTCCAGTTCAATGTATTTTTGGATTTCCCTTGAGACTTCCTCTCTTCCCATGGATTATTTAGAAGTGTTTTTATATTTTTCTGTTATCTTTCTGTTATTTATTTCTCTTTGATTCCACTGTGGTTGGAGAACACGCTGTATTATTCCAATTCTTTTAAATTCATTTAGGTTGTTTTATGAACCAAGATACTGTCTATGTTGGTACTTGGTTTTTTTTTTTTAAGTGGTATCAGAATGTGTAATATATTTTTATCAATTATATACTAAAAATAACCATCATTATAACCTAATACAGAACAATCTCAACAACTAGAACATAATAGTTATAGGAACTTGAAAATACTATGTTTTTGAACACATTTTTGTTGAAGAAAATTTTGGCAGGTGAAGTGAAATACAAGTATAATTTTAAAATGAAAAGGAAACAATATAGGAATTCTAACTATACAGAAGAATTTGGGCTGGGCATGGTGGCTCACGCCTGCAATCCCAACACTTTGGAAGGCTGAGGTGGACAGATGGCTTGAGCCCAGGAGTTCAAAACAAGGCTGGACAAATGGTGAAACTTCATCTCTACTAAAAGTACAAAAATTAGCCAGGCATGGTGGTGCACACCTGTAGTCTCAGCTACTCGGGAGGCTGAGATGGGAGGATCACCTAAGCCCAGAAAGGTTGAGGCTGCAGTGAGCCATAATCACATCACTGCACTCCAGCCTGGGTGATAGAGCAGGACCCTGTCTCAAACAACAACAACAACAAGAACAAACAGAAGAATATGTTTTGTTTATAATTTTTTTAATGTGAGATATTGCGTATCAAATATTTATGGCAACTATTTACCATTGGCTATAGGATGTAAACATGTGACTGAATAATTTTATTTAAAAATTTTAATATTTATAATAATCTGAAAAGTTTCTATTTTAACTACATAGTAAAACTTTTTATGTAAGCTTTTGGATGTTGACTTACAAAAAAATAAATGAGGGAATATATGATTTGTCACATTTTGGGGCGAGGGAGTCAAGTCAGCACCACCATGGGAAGCTCCCTGTTCTGGATACAAAGCCAAGATCAGAAAGGAGGTGAAGATTAAGGAGACTATGAAGTCATGATCAAGATGCTCTACCTCCTTGGGTATTTCTTCATTCATTCACTCACCCACTCAACCACCTGTATTTATTAAGTAACATTTTTTATCATGTGCCACTTCCTTTGTTAAGGGCTAGGAATATATAGGTGACTAATGGAAGGTCCCAGCCCTCCAGGAGAGGATCTCTTGCCAAGAAGCCATGAGCAACATCACCATTCTGTGGAGTACCTGGGTCTATTCCTGCCCTGCGGCCTTGATGGCTGTAATGGGTCGGTGCCTGAGGATGTGTGGAGGTGACATTCTTTAGACCTAGACCAAGGTGTGTATGGCCCCACCCTGCACCTCACCTTCTATAGTTACTCTAGTCCACAGCACATCATTGTCTGTGTGAATTTGTTCACACAGTAACAGGAATAACAGGGCACAAGCTATACTGACTTAAGCAAATTATAGGCAACCAGCTTTGGCACAGAAGTTCGGCTGGATCTGGTTTACCACAGAAGAAGTCTGGCTTCTCGGCTCGGAACTTCTTCACCTCAGGCCCGCCAGACTTCTCCCTGCGGCAGCCACTGGTTCTTGAGGAAGAAAGACGTGCAGTGTGGTAGAGTGGGAAGGGCTTGGTGTGAACCAGGTGAACTAGGCTCTTGTACTAGCTGCAGCCCTGTGTCACTTTTTATTTATTTTTTTGAGACAGGGTCTCACTCTGTCACCCAGGCTGGAGTGCGGTGGCAGGATCATAGCTCACTGCAGCCTTGACCACCTGGGCTCAAGCCACCCTACTTTCTCAGCCTCCTGAGCAGCTGGGATTACAGATGTCAGCCACCATGCCCAGTCCTATGTCACTTTAAATGAGACTTCCCTTTTCTGAGCTGCAGTATCTTCATCTGCAAAAGAGAGGCGTGGGATAGATTATTTATAAGAGCTCTTCCTGCTGAGGACTGTATGCTGCTAAGTCCCCTCTGGCTGAGTTCCACAGATAATTCTCAAGTCCCAAGCACTCTTTCTGTGTTTTGCTAGGGTTTCTCACTCTGAATCAAGTTCCTTGCCTACAGCCTGTCTAACTAGTCTCTTCCTCAGTCCAGGTTCTGCCAACTTATTGCCTCCTCCAGTTCCCTTCTTCTGAGAGTAGCTGCATTTCTCCAGGTTCTCTACCCCACGATTTCTCAAGCTACCTCCCTCAGCAGGCAGGACCTGCACCAGGCTCTTCCTTGATTGCTTCACGCTTCCTGTCTCTGGGAACCCCCTCTGGAGGGAGTCCACCAGGCACTTTCTAATTTCTGGATTACTAGCTCATGAATGTGGACCACACCCACAGGATACCATGTAAAGGAAAAATTGCCTACACTTATAAATGGGTGACAGCTCTTCTACCACATTTTAGATGAGACTCTTCTCTCCTAAGCAAAGAAGGCTTTAGGCAAAGGCCGCAGCCCCATTAAAGCTGCAAAACTGTGGTTTTTAAATGTAACTCAGAGCAGCCTTCAAACCTGGCATCCAAGGGAATATGGTAGGTAGTCCAGGTAATCTAAGATAATGTGGAATTTAAATGTTCTATCTTTGGTCTCCATGAGCCATCAAAATACCTGGAAACCAATCTGAACACATTAACCTTTCTCTGCACTAAAATTGGGACAACCAGGTAGTATATGCTTCCTGAATGATACAATAGGAAGTACCCTGTACCATCTATGTGGTATTCTTGCTGAAAAGTGAACCTCATCAAGCCTTTAGATCTATACCTTTGCAGAAAATACAGGCGATAGAAGAACAAGTTAAATACCACCATGGGGAAGCAATCCAACCAAATCCAGAATGTGGCATATTCTGCAGGATGATGGGCACAGTTTCTTTAGCAATCAATGACACAGAAAAGGGAAAAAACAGATAAAATTTTAATTAAAAGGCTTAGGAGACATAACCAAATGCAATATATGAATTTGCTGGATGCTTATTTGAGCAAGGCAAATATAAAACAGCAGTTTTTAAGACACTAGGAGAAATTTGAATTGAACTGGGTATTAGGTGATAAGAAATTATTATTTTTGTTAGGTATTTGGTTTTGTAGTTATATAAGAAGCCCCTCCTTCCTACCTCCCTTCTCCCCTCTTTTTAGAGCTACATATGGAAGTATTTAGGAGCAAAATGACACACAATGTCAGGAATTTTCTTTAAAGTACTGCAGGAAAAAAAGAAAAAGGAGAAATGGATAGATGCACACTGGTAATTGCCAGACCTGGGGGATGGGGGTTCATTTCCTATTCCTATAACTTTTCTGAATGTTTGAAAACTTTCATTATAAAAAGCTTTTAAAAGAAGGTCTGGGAAATACCAGTGTTTTGGTGTCAAAATGATATGTGACTCTTTACAAAGCCCAGACTTACATCTCAGAGCTGAGTGCTATGGTAAAGTGTATGAGCTGTGGAGTCAGACGGGACGGGGTTGCAATCCTTGCTTTGCTATTTACTAGCTAGACGGTCTTGGATGAAACCTCTCTGAACCTCACTTCTTTATGTGGTTGGTATGGGATTAAATGAAATAATGCATGTAAAATGCCCAGCAAAGTAGACATCTGTCAAATCATTTAAATGGAGGCTACTGTCATCATTAACCTTAAACCCCAAAGTATCAGAGAAATCCTTTGTCAGGCCATGTGTCCTAAGTTAGGTTCAGAAAATAGAAACTCAGAGAAGTAAAACTCAGGACAAGATGTGAAACAAATGGCCCACGTTCTCAGAGGTGTATAAGACTCTGAAGTCCCCAAGGATAAAGCTGGGACTCTGTGCAGAGACAGCCCCATTAACCTCAACGGACCATGCCAGGCAGGGAGTGGGCCCAGGCCTTGGGCAGAGAAGTTACCCAGTCAAGGGCCTTGCGGGGGTGGGAGGGTAGGGGATCCAGGAGGAGGAGTCAAGCTTCCTGCCTCCCAGCTTGGTCTGCATCCGCCAGGAGGCTTTGTTGCTAGGAAGAATCTAAATATATAGTGTGTGGCTGCAATGTTTCCTTCTGACAGCGCGCTGAGCATTTTCTCTCATGGAGCTCAGATTCCCCAAACTGGAAAGTGAAATCTTTGCAGACTCCCAAGGGACCCAAGAGCCCCGGATTCATTTTTCCCTAGAGAAAGCATGTTTGCTGGAAATTAGAGAAGGTAATTGGAGAGGCCTAGGGCAGAAAGGGACTTGCAGGGGTCATTTAGTCCATCCTCTGGCCTCCTGGCAGGAGTGAAACTAACCCTTTCCAGATGGTGACTGTCCTCCTGTCTGCTGAAGATCTCTAGGAGAAACCCTTGAAGCCTGACTCAGCAGCTCATTCCAGAGGAGACTGTGCTCATGGACTTTAGGTCTAATTTCGGCCCGGCCACTGACCCACCGTGGGGATTGAACAAGTTATTTATCTTGGCCCGTTTTCCAATCTATAGAATGCGGAAGATTGGTACCTGCCTTGCTGCTCTGAGGTTAAGGCATAATACAAAACGGAAAAGAGCTGTGTGCCCAAGAAGGGGCCGTGCACAAAAGGCCGGACAGCATTCTCCCATCAGGTTGTTGAAGAGGTTTAAGATTTTTTAAACCTTTTACTCATTGAAACAACGGCCTATTCTCACTGTGCCTTCTTTCCTTATAGACTACAATGGGAAGTGGCAATATATCGCGAAACAGAAAATCCCCACTGGTTTCACAAAAATATTGCGTTGGTATCATTCACTCAGAACAAATCGAGGCTTCTGACAGCAATGAAGAAATACACAGAGGTAACAACATCATGTTAGAGAATAACTCAGCAGCAACGCGCTTGAGCCAGGTTTTTCATTCGCGTTATGTCAGCAGAGCTAAGGAAGACAACTGAGTGAAGATCTGAAGCCAAGGCATTGAGGCCCAGAGAGGTTCAATCACTTGCTCCAGGCAGCACATCAATTAAGGGGTGGAAGAGGACTAGGACTAGTGCGCTTTTTATTTACTGGGCTCCTGCTCTGTGCTTAGCAGTTAGTGGAGATGGTTATGAAAAAGAACGGCCAGGCATGGTGGCTCACGCCTGTAATCCCAGCACTTCGGGAGGCTGAGGCGGTCAGATCACCTGAGGTCAGGAGTGTGAGACCAGCTTGATCAACATGGAGAAACCCTGTCTTTACTAAAAATACAAAATTAGCCGGGCATAGTGGCACATGCCTGTAATCCCAGCTACTCAGGAGGCTGAGGCAGGAGAATCCCTTGAACCCGGAAGGTGGAGGTTGCAGTGAGCCAAGATTGCGCCATTGCACTCCAGCCTGGGCAACAGGAGCGAAACTTTGTCTCAAAAAAAAAGAAAAAAAGAAAAAGAACGGCCAGCCCTCAGGAAGCTAAGAGGCTAATGGTGAAGTCAGAAAACGAACAGCTAGTCACACATGCAGAAGCAACTGTAGGAAGGGTTCCAAAGGAGAATGCCAGGGGACCATGACAGCAGGTCAGAGGCAAGCATGGCCCAGCCAACCTCTCTATTTCTCAGTCCACAGGGGAAGCCCGTCAGTAAAGCAAAGTCAGTGCAACCTTTCCGGTGGGTGCCCTGCATGTGGTCCTTAGCCCTAATCACACCTGGGCTCCTATCATCTCTTCTACAGTTATTTGACTCTGGTATTTTCTTTTAAGACGTTATTTTTTTTTAAGAGCAGTTGCAGGTTCACAGCAAAATTAACTAGTATCTCTTTAACATTTTCTAAGTTGAACTGAAATTTACATGACATAAAATTAGCCATTTTAAAGTGAACAATTGAGTGGCATTTAGTAGGTTCACGATGTTGTACAATTCCACCTCTATCTAGTTCCAAAACATGTTCATCACCCCAAAATAAAACCCATGAAGCAGTTACTCCCCATCCCTCCCTGTTCTCAGCTCTTTCCAAACACCAGTCTCCTTTCTGTTCCTACGGAACTGCACATTCTGGATTTTTCATACAAATGGAATCATGTAATATGTGACCTCGTGTGTCTGGCTTCTTTCACTTGGCAAAACGTTTTCAAGGATCATACATGTAGCATGGACCAATACTTCATTCCTTTTCTGTGGCTGACTAATATCTCTGACATTTTTATAAAGGTTAACAAATGGATGTTCTAGAAAGATCACTGAATTTAATATGGAGAAACCTGACTCTACCAAATGCCAGTTACTCTGAACCTCAGTTTTCTTTTTCTTTTTTTTTTTTTCTGAGACGGAGTCTCGCTCTGTTGCCCAGTTTGAAGTGCAGTGGCGTGATCTCGGCTCACTGCGAGCTCTGCCTCCTAGAAGAACCTCAGTTTTCTAGCCCATAAAGTAGGCAGTGATAATACTAATCCAATTCACCTCAAAGAAAGTTTAAGAGATAAAAGGAGTTGTAATTATAAATAATAATATATTTTAAAATATAACTACTTGAAACTACTAACAACAATTAATAAATGTCTCATGTATATATCTTTTTTCTACAACTATGTTTTAAGTTCTTTGGAGGCAGTGACTATGTCATACCCGTTTCTACCTTCATGACACTTCGAATTATGTCTGTCACTTACTAGTTATTCAATACATGCCCCTTGGATAGATAACTACTTGAAAAAGTGAATGAATGAAGTGTTACCTGACCTGTGAGGAAAGTGCCTTCTTCCAGGTCACTCAATCAGTATTCATTGAATGACTGGAGTGGTAGAAAGGAAGCAGTAACATCTGGTCTGGAATTATAGGACTCTGCCTTCCCTCTCCCCAGCTGTGCAGCACTAGGCCCAGCCTTGCAGTGAGGCCTGAAAGGGATAACTATGAAAACCAGAAGTTGCACTATTGCTTTTTTCAGACTTTCAGTCTGGAAACGATGTCATAGGCAAAGAACAGTGGGAGTTCAGAGACTGCTCTTGGTGTGAAGTCTTCCCCAACTGTTCAGACCCCAAAGAGAATCAAGTATGAACAAGGACTGGAGGGACAAGCTCAGATGCCTTGCTTGAAAAATAATCCAACATAACTTGATCCTCCCTGAGGTGGGCTAGGAATAAAGGGGCATGTGGAGGAACAACACTTGTCATCTGAAAATTCATTGTCCCAAACTTTGAGTTATGAAATAAACCAGGGGAGGAAATGTCATACCAACACAAAAATACTCATTAATGAACTGACCTAAAATTAGTACACCTTCAACTATCCCTTTTTAGCACAGGTGTATCCTTGCAAAATAAAACTGCCAATCTTGCAGAAGACATCGAATCTTATCAGGTTGATTAAAGAGATGTTGGGGAATTCCTCAAATCACATGCAGAGCCATGAACTGGAGTTAGCAAGGGAATGGACGCCAAAGGGGAAATTAACAAAGAGGGTGTTGGGCTTCAAAGAGACAGATTTTAGCATCAAAGAATTAAGGAAGAGCCCTTAGCATAATGCATAAAGTGATCCTTTCCATAACTGCACTTCGAAAGGCAAAAATTAATTGAAAGATGCCTTATGGTGCCATCGTAAAATTGTAGGAGAAAATTTACACCCAAACACATCAGTTCTTAATTACTTATTTTGCACATAGCAGAAACTATAACCCACATTTTATTTTCTCAAGCACATATTTTCATAATTTGTAGTATAATTTTTCATGTTTTTCACTGTTTACCATAAAATTGCAGAATGTATTTTTAGTATTTTTAGTGGCCCTTTTCCTCTTCTTACCATGCTTTGTGATGAAGAGCTTTTGTATTTTATTTAGAGATGGGGACTGTTATAATTTGAAGTTTACTGCGACTTATGCATGAGGCCCTATGTCAGGAGCAGAGGCCTGACTTATGTTTCGGTTCCCCTCTCAGCTTACTGTGTGACTTTGGCAAAGTTGATTAACGTCTTTATATTTCCATTTGCAAGTCTGCAAGAATCAGGATAACAGTCCCTGCCTTCCTTTTACTCCATACGGGTCTCAGTGAACAATATTATGATCCTTATGAAGTAAATGGTGGTCTTCAGAGAGAGGATGGTGCCACTACCTGATCAATTCCTGATTCCTCATGCTACAGGAATGGAAAACTTCAGACAGTAGATGCTCTAAATATGATTTCTATTTAGCTTTGATATCCTTAGAATAAATGAACTCTAAGGTTCCTTTCTGGACTGAAATCCTGTATGTCTTCACAGCAGATTTGTCTTCCTGATTATGGTTTAATCAGAGTAACTTTATAATTCCATTTCCTAAGCACACTTCCACTGATGGAGTGAGAAGTGCAGGGGATGTTGGGCTGTTTAGGAAGGCTCTGCATGTTGGCGCTCACGGGTTCAGGAAATTCAAGGAAGTATTACCATTACCCTATCATTTCCTTCACCTGTAACATGCCCTGAGAAGCTAGAGAAGCCGAGCTTTTCTTCCTGTTTTACAGCTATGGAAATTGAGACGCCCACAGACTCTGAAATCAATGAAACCATCCACTCACTCCAGCTTAAATCTGCCTGCTTCTCTGGATCTCCAATTTTCCCCATCTAATTCTACTGCCTCCTTTGCAAAATTGCAGGAAGAGACGCCAAAACCAGCCAGAGTCCTGACCAGTGACCCACAGCATTTTGGCACTGCACTGGAGAGCCCGGGAGGCACCACTGGGGCAGGGGCTCACTGCGGGGCAGAGAAAGGAGGTCAACCCCGGCCTTGGACAGCTCCTCCAGAGCTCTGCGCTGGACTCCACCCCAACACCGTGGTGCCAAGCCCTTTCCTCCTAATTGTTGTAGCCCTACAAGTATTCAGAGGAAAATGTCATCCAGCTGGTCTGGATTTCTCAGCGCGTGAGGGATCCAGAGAGTGTTTTGTAAGCCCTCTTGGATGACCATTCTGGGTCTCTGCTAGGAGTCAGTGGAGGCCCTTTTTAATCAATTGAAGGAAGTCCCATTTCACCAGCTGTCCCAGCCTGGAGGTGGAAGGGACTGCCTAGAGGAGGTGAAAGAGGGACACAGGGAAGGAAGAGCTCTGTGACAGAGCCAGAATGGGGCTCATTACAGCTCCCTCTACTATTGGACATTCTTCTCGTTGCAAGATTCATAGACCAAGAGTCATTCCTATGTATGGCAGAAGGGCCTCCACAGATTTGGGAAACTGAAGCAGAAGGAGGAGACTCACTGAGATGTGGCAAGCTGGAGTTGTGCTCTAGAACAAGGCACCGGCTGGCAGTTGATTGTCTGCCTATGGGTTGTTTCCCACGAGCTTCCGTCAGATAGACCTGGGTTCAGATTCTGGTTCTGTGTGACATTGGGAAGTTACTAAATTATCATGAAACAATTTTGCTCATCTGTTAAGCGGTGATAATTAATACCTCTCCAAAGCCTGGGAAGGTAGAATGAAAGCAGATATACAAAACACCCAGCACATTGACAGACAGGTGGTAGCTTCCTGAGTTAGGAAAATAAGTATCAAGAGGCAAATGTTTCGGGCACTATGGGGGACACCCCAAGTGATAAGACACATTTGGTGCTTCCAAGGACCCTGCACTGGAGTTATTAAGGAAAGGGGGAGTGGGTAGTGGGCAGGTGGTGTGCTTGGGGCGAGATGGCTAACACCATGTATCAGGAGACTTCACCTACAGAACAAGGCAGCTGGAGTGAAACAGACAAGGAGTATTCCAAATTTAAACAGGAGAGTTCACTACTCCTGGCTGGGCAGATCAGGGAGGACTCCTTCGAAGAGGCAGAAATGGACTCTCTCGTCCTGCCTGCTGCAGAAACCTCAAGTTGGTTATAGAGCGTCCCTGCTGAGTGCAGGTAGCGCTGGACTCCTCCAGGAACCGGTTGTTCATCTTCTGACACTTGCACACCTCTCTGGGGTGAAAAGGAGCAGAATGGATGGTGGCTTTGCTCAACTCTGCTAGAATCCAGGGGCTCTGGGAAGCCAGCCAGGTGAGCTCACTCTAGCCAGGCTAAGAGGAGGTTGAGGAAACCAAATCTGCTGCCCATGGTGCTGCTGACAATTGGGCCAGAAGTTAAGAATTTTCACCGAGTTCTCAGGTATCTGGGTCAAACTTCAAAGCAAGCCTACCTCAATATTTATCCTTTCCTGGAAATGCTTGTGAGCAAGGTTTGGGGCCCTTGTCCATTTGGAGGGGCAGTGGGGCCTGGGGATGCCAAATCAAGACGGTAACCAAGACAGTGGTCCCTGAGAGGAACGCTTTGCAGAAAGCAAATCCCCGTAGAAGGCAGTTCATTTTACCATGTGGTGTCTTCAAATGCATGAGTGTGTGTGTGACGGGGGAAGCGAGGGGAAAAGCAAGCAGTAATACCAAGCATAACATTGGAAAGTTTGTTTTCCACACAGCCCCTTTATCTTGTGTCAAATATATCTCCTGGGAAAAGAAAACATTTCTCCGGGCAATCCCCGGGGAACATTTTTTTCTTCCTTCATGTGATTTACGTTGAGGCTGCTGGGGGAACCCTGGGGTCCCACCGGGGAGTGTGCAGTGGTTCATGGCCTTGCAGGGGAGGTGGGGAGGCGAGAGAGGCAACCTCCACCCGGCCCTCCCAGACGCTCTGAGCCCAGCCAGCCTCTGTCCCATGTCTGCTCTGGAGTGGCCCCAGGAGGCCCACTGCCACACTGAATGTGAACATGTGAGAAGGGCCTCCTCATGAGCTACACCCATTATTTTGAAGGGCTCATCTCGGTAGAAAGGGCCTTGTTATGGTTTTAAAGTGCTGGGTTCAAGTCCTGGTCCTGTTACTTAATCACTGTTAAAAACTACCACTATAGTTTCCACAGCTATAAAATGGTATTGTTGAGAACAGTTCTGCCTGCCTCACATGGCTATTATGAGGATCAAATGAAGTGGGAGAGATAAATGTGTTTATCACATTAGAAAATGGATATGGGGCCAGGCATGGTGGCTCGCGCCTGTAATCCTAAAACTTTGGGAGGCCGAGGTGGGAGACTTGCTTGAGCCCAGGAGCTTGACCAGCCTGGGCAATGGCGCAAGACACAGTCTCTACAAAAATTTAAAAATTAGCTGGACTTGGTGGCTCACGCCTGTAGTCCCAGCTACTGGGGAGGCTGAGGAGGGAGGATCTCTTGAGCCCTGGAGGTCGAGGTTTCAGTGAGTTGTGACCGCACCACTGCACTCCAGCCTGAGTGACAGAGTGAGACCCTGTCTATTAAAAAAGAAATGAGAGCAGCCTGGGCAACATAATGAAACCCTATCTCTACAAAAAGACAAAAAATTAGTGGGGCACGGTGGCATGCCCTTGTAGTCCCAGCTATGTGGGGGGCTAAGGTGAGAGGATCCCTTGAGCCCGGGAGGTTGAAGTTGCAGTGAGCAGAGATAGTGCCACTGCATTCCAGCCTGGAAAACAAAGCAACACCCTGTCTCAAAATAAATAAATAAGAATGAAAACATACACGGATATACACTACTATTAGACAGATAGTGTCAAGGAAGGACTTTGGGCTTGGAGTCAGTTGATCTAAAGTCCCAGCCATACCACAGGGTGACCATGGGCCAGTCATTTTAACTGAGTCTCATCTTCTTCACCTGAAAAACGGGGATGATACTGTTCATCCCACCTCACTCGGGTACAAAGAGGAGTAAACAGAGCCATGACTATGTTAGTGCTTGTATGGTAGGCTGCTATACAATGTATATAAGCTAATTACTACTATAAATTATTTTTAGAGTTGAACCAGCTCAGAAGACAGAGGGGAACTTGTGAAGAAATATTTCCTGACCTTCAACTCAGCCACTTGCATCCCAGGACTTTCCCTGTTGCTTGCCATCTTGAGAACCTTCTTGCTTTGAATGAAATAATTTGATCATGGATATGAGCCCTTACTCCCAAATTTGTAAATATTGGAAATCCCTAATTATAGGGAAACAAGTATAAGTTAATTTATAGTATTTTTATAGCAAAGTCTTAATTGCCCACGAAATATGCATTTTTCCCTTTTTGCTTTGAATGAAATAATTTGATCATGGATATAAGCCCTTACTCTCAGATTTGTCAATACTGGAAATCCCTAATTATAGCAAAAAAAAAGTATAAGTTAATTTATAGTATTTTTGTAGCAAAGTCTTAATTGACCACCAAATATCCATTTTCCCTTCTTCCTTACTAACAGAATCCTATTTGAGTATGGGAGTGGCAGTGGGCTCAAGCAAAACAAATGCCATTTCCCACCCTCATCTGCAAATAGGGCAGGTGACATGGCCAACTTTGGACCAGTGAGATGTGAGTAGAATTTCTTGGTTAGGCTTGAGGAAAGTTCCTACAGAGGAGGGACTAACTGAGCTGGCAGATGCCTAGGGCTTCTACTCTTCTTAATGTTGGGAATGCAAAAGTGGTGGCTGGAGTTCCAATACCCATTTTGTGACCATGAGAGAATATATCAAGGCTAGTGAAGCAGAATGGCAAAGGTGCCTGATTATATTAATGATGTTATTGAATTGCCAATGTGACCTTAGACTGTCTATCGCTAGGCTCCTTTATCTAAGAAAAAATAAACCTATTTATTCAAGTTGATTTTTTCCCAAGATATCTATTACAATGAAATGCAATTTCTAACTGGATACAATCTTACTCTATACTATCATCTTTATATGTTAAGTCCACATGATTATTATCTTAGGGGCTAAGTGCATTTTACCAATAATGACTCTCTTAATCCTGCAAGATAGTTCCTAGAACACAAGAGTTACCAATAGGCAAGCTGACGCCTAAGGAATAGTGTGAGCTGAAGAAAGTCAAAAGAAAGCATGTGTTTTAATTTCTGGGTCAACTCTACATTCTCAACCAAAGCAAACACCTTTATAAATCCTCCTAGGAATATTTTTTGAGTGGGGCAAGGCTACGAGGCACTACAATTACCACTTTGCAGTCTGAAACAGTAAATCAGAGCAACTAGGTTTCTAGATTAGATCTTGCCACTTTCTCAAGGAAGAAGATCACACCCAGAGAAAGGCCTAATAATCTGAAAGCCCTCAAATGTCTTCCCTTCTCATTAAGCAGCAGAGAGAGGAAGAGTGGAAAGAGAGACAGCAGAGAGGTGAGCAAGAAGCCAAGGAGCCCTGTGGAGTACTCAGCCAAACACACACTTTCACACACCCTGATTAAAGCCACACCCCACATTGCGCCAACAGTGCACACATACCTTTATCCTTCAAAGCTCTGTAAGACTGAGGCTGCATTGAGCCCAATGCCAGGATACTTGAATAAAAATGCAAAATCCTAGACCTCTGGGTGTCCAGAGGACATCAAATATTCCTCTGGAAACACCCAGAAGACTGGTGAATTTTTCTTTCTTAAAATAGGTATCTTTACATATCTAGAGTTTGGCATTATACCTTTAGAGCCTCAGTCCACATGGGAATACTAGACTTGTAATGGATCATTTATGGAATATGGCTCACTGTGATTTTAGTCTCTGAACAAACCCACTAAATGAATTGACAGAATTGAGTACAGTGGTGATATCATTGAAATATGGCCAGATAAAAAGAACAAAATAGCTTATATAATTATCAGTTAATTTTTCAAACTACCAGTCTTACTCAAAATGCTCAGTGTTGAAGCAAGAGTACTTTTCTGACTGCCCAAATCAAAACGTCTTAAAATATACATGGACATGCAGGTGTTGCCCTGTCTTTCTTCTCTTAATCCCTGCTGTCCTGATCTTCTGATGCTGCAAAATTTAGCCCTAAATTAAATTATGCTTTATATTGATCTCTAGTTTATGTGTGTTACTTGTGTCCCTCTCAATTTAACTGTAAACTGCTTAAATGTAAGGGATCCTAAGAAATATCCATTAAGTTACTTACAAGTGAAAAGTTTGACTTCTGCTTCCAGAAAGATGGAGCGTATGTACGTTTCTCTATTTCTACCACTAAGTGTAATGAAAAGACCTGGACATTATATATAAAACAAACATAAGAAGACTGACAGGTGGAGAGAAGAAAACAGACCTACTAGGGACCTCAGACCCCAGGAAAAACACAGTGATGAGTTCCCTGGGTTGTCATTATTATTATTATTTGCTTCATATATCCCAAACTTGGAGCTGAAGAACTTGACAACCCGGAAATGCCAGCAAACATAAGCAAAGCCCCAAGAAAAGCCTCTTCTCTAAAGCTAAAGAACCAGAATAGTAACTTTCTAACATATAGAAAACTTTTAGATAACCACTGTTCTACTCTAGCCAAAACGACAGAAAAAACTCTGGCCCCATCTCCACCCATACTAGCAAAGGCTGAGCGGGAAACCTAAACTTGCACTCTTGCAAGACTGTAACAAGGTGCTAGGAATGAAACAAGAGATACTACCACAGACCCTACAAACATCAAAAAGAACACTATGAACAACTTTACGCATACCAATTTGAAAACTTAAATGAAATGAACTACTTCCTTGAAAAGCATAAACTACCAAACTCATCCAAATTAAATACAAAATTTGGATAGCCCTGTAACTATTATAAGAATTTTATTCATAAATTTAGAATTCCCAAAAAGAATAATCAGGCCCACATGATTTCACTGGAGAGTTCTACAGAAAATTGCAAAAGAATGAACACTAAAATTCTATACAATATCTTCTAGAAAATAAAAGAGGCAGAAACACTTTTCAATCCATTTTATGAAGCTAGTATTATAACCTGATAGCAAAAACAAAGACAGTATTTTAATTTAATTTAATTTTATGTTCTGGGATACATGTGCAGGATGTGCAAGTTTGTTACATAGGTAAACATGTGCCATGGTCATTTGCTGCACCTATCAACCCATCACCTAGGTATTAAGCCCCACATGCATTAGCTATTTATCCTGATGCTCCCCTTCCCCATGACCTCTTCCCCGACAGGCCCCAGTGTGTCTTGTTCCCCTCCCTGTGTCCATGTGTTCTCATTGTTCAGCTCCACTTATAAGTAAGAACATGTGGTATTTGATTCTCTGTTCCTCTGTTAGTTTGCTGAGGATAATGGCTTCCAGCTCCATCCATGTCCCTGCAAAGAACATGATTTCATTCCTTTTTATGGGCTGCATAGTACTTCATGGTGTATATGTACCACATTTGCTTTATCAGTCTATCATTGATGGGCATTTGGGTTGACTCTATGTCTTTGCTATTGTGAATAGTGCTGCAATGAACATATGCATGCATGTATCTTTATAACAGAATGATTTATATTCATTTGGGTATATACCCAATAATGGGATTGCTGGGTCAAATGGTGTTTCTGCTTCTAGGTTGTTGAGGAACCGCCACACTATCTTCCACAATGGTTGAACTAATTTATATTCCCACCAACAGTGTAAAAGTTTCCTGTTTCTCCACAGCCTCGCCAGTGTCTGTTGTTTTGTGACTTTTTAATAATCACCACTCTGACTGGCATGAGATGGTGTCTCATTGTGGTTTTGATTTGCATATCTCTGATGATCAGTAATGTTGACCTTTTTAAAATGTTTTTTGGCAGCATAAATGTCTTCTGAGAAGTGTCTGTTCATGTCCTTTGCCCACTTTTCATTGGAGTCGTTTGTTTTTTTCCTGTAAATTTGTTTAAGTTCTTTGTGGATTCTGGATATTAGACCTTTGTTAGGTAGATAGATTGCAAAAATTTTCTCCCATTCTGTAGGTTGTCTGTTCACTCTGATGATAGTTTCTTTCACTGTGCAGAAGCTCCTCCATTTAATTAGATCCCATTTGTCAATTTTTGGTTTTGTTCCAATTGCTTTTGATGTTTCTGTCATGAAATCTTTGACTGTGCCTATGTCCTGAAAGGTATTGCCTAGATTTTCTTCTAGGGTTTTTATAGTTCTGTGTTTTACATGTAAGAGTTTAATCCATCTCGAGTTATTTTTTGTATAAGGTGTAAGGAAGGGGTGCAGTTTCAATTTTCTGCATATGGCTAGCCAGTTCCCACAGCACCATTTATTAAACAGGGAATCCTTTCCCCATTGCTTGCTTTTGTCAGGTTTTTTGAAGATCAGATGGTTGTAGATGTGTGGTCTTATTTCTGAGATCTCTATTTTGTTCCATTGGTCTATGTGTCTGTTTTTGTACCAATACCATGCTATTTTGGTTACTGTAGCCTTATAATATAGCTTGAAGTTGGATAGCGTGATGCCTCTAGCTTTGTTCTTTCTGATTAGAATTGTCTTGGCTATACAGGCCCTTTTTTGGTTCCATATGAATTTTTAAGGGTTTTGTTTGTTTGTTTGTTTTGTGTGTGTGTGTGTGTGTGTGTGTGTGTGTGTGTGTTTGAGACAGAGTCTTGCTCTGTTGCCCAGGCTGGAGTGCAGTGGCATGATCTCAGCCACTACAACCTCTGCCTCCCAGGTTCAAGTGATTCTCCTGCCCTAGCCTCCTGAGTAGCTGAGATTACAGCCGCCCACCATGCCTGGCTAATTTTTTTTTTTTTTTTGTATTTTTTGTAGAGACAGGGTTTCACCACGTTGGCCAGGCTGGTCTCAAACTCCTGACCTCAAGTGATCCGCCCACCTCAGCCTCCCAAAACGCTGGAATTACAGGCATCCACTACTGCACTTGGCTTAAGCATTTTTTTTCTAATTCTGTGAATAATGTCAATGGTAGTTTAATGGGAATAGCACTGAATCTATAAATTACTTTGGGCAATATGGCCATTTTCACAATATTTATTCTTCCTATCCATGAGCATGGAATGTTTTTCCATTTGTTTGTGTCCTCTCTTATTTCCTCGAGCAGTGGTTTGTAGTTCTCCTTGAAGAGGTCCTTCACTTCCCTTGTTAGCTGTATTCCTAAGTATGTTATTCTCTTTGTGGCAATTGTGAATGGGAGTTCATTCATAATTTGGCTCTCTGCTTGTCTGTTGTTGGTGTATAGTAATGCTTATGATTTTTGTACATTGGTTTTGTATCCTGAGACTTTGCTGAAGTTGCTTATCAGCTTAAGGAGTTTTGGGTTGGGATGATGGGGTTTTCTAGATATAGGATCGCATCATCTGCAAACAGAGAAAATTTGACTTTCTCTCTTCCTATGTGAATACCCTTTATTTCTTTTTCTTGCCTGATTGCCCTGGCCAGAACTTCTATTCTATGTTGAATAGGAGTGGCAAAAACAGTATTTTAAAAAACCATAAAAAACTAGACAAATATCCTTAATGATTTTTTAAACACACAATTTAAACAAAATATTAGCAAAAATAATTCAGCAATATATATAAAAAATTATATATCATTACCAACTGGGGTATATTCTAGAGATGCAATGACTCAATACTTAAAAATCAGTCAATCCACAATATTAACAAGTAAATGAAGAACAATCACATGATCAAATCAATCAATGTAGAAAACGCATTTGACAAAACTCAATAGCCATTTATGTTAAAAACTCAGAAAAAAATAAGAAAAGGAAACTTCCTCAATTTGATAAAGAGCATCTACAAATAGCCTACAGCTAACACTATACTTAATGGTGAAAAACTGAATGTTTCTTCCCTAAGATCAAAAACAAGGCAAGGATGTCCACTCTCACTGCCCTTTTTCAATATAGTGCTAGAAGTTCTAGCCAGTGCAATGAGGCAAGAAAAGGAAATAAAAGACATGTTGGAAGGAAAGATATAAAACTGTCCTGATGACACAATTGTCTGTCTATAGCTAAAACCACAAGTAATCTACAAAAAATTCTAAACTAATAGTAGAGTTTATAAGATAAACATATTAAATCAATTATATTTCTAAATAATAGCAACAAACATGTGGACATCAGAAATTAAAAATGCAAAATGGTAAAAATACCATTTACATTTGCTTTAAAAAACCCAAGTACTTAGGTATAAGTCTAACAAAATATGTAGAAGACTTCTGTGCCAAAAACTACAAAATGTTTATGAAAGAAATCAAGGAAGACCTAAGTAAATGGAGAGGCATACCATGTTCATGAGCTAGAGGATTCAATACAGTAAAGATATTCTTCCCAAATTGATATACAGGTTTAACAAAATTCCTACAAAAATCCCAGCAGAATTTTTGGTAGATATACACAAGATTATTCTAAAATGTATATGAAAGGCAAAGGAACTAGAATAGCTAAAACAATTTTGAAAAAGAAGAATGAAGTGGAAGGAATCAGTTTATCCAATTTCAAGACTTATATAGCTAAGGTAATTAAGACTGTATGTTATTGGCAAAAAGAGAGACATAGAGATCAATAAAGCAGAATGAAGAACCAAGAAATAAAAGATTTTCCAACTGCTTTTTGACAAAGGTGCAAAAGCAATGCAATGGAGGAAAGACAGCATTTTCAAAGGCGCTGGAGTAAGTGGGTATTTATAGACAGAAAAATGAACCTTGACTTATGTCTTATACCTTATACAAAATTAACTCAAAATCAATCACAAACTTTTATATAAATGCCTCAGAGGAAATCTTCATAATCTAGGGGGCTAGGAAAAATATTCTTTGACTTGACACCAAAAGTGTGATCCACAAAAGGAAAAATTGATAAATTAGATTTCATAAAAATTACAAATTTTTGATCCATGAAATACCCTATTAACACGATGAAAAGACAAGTTACAGACTGGGAGGAAATATTTGCATATGATGGATCTGAAAATCATCTAATATCTGGAATACATGTAAAAACTCTTTAAACTCAATAGTAAAAACAAATAATCCAAGCAGAAAATGCACAAAAAATATGAAGAGATATTTCATTGAAGCATAGGTACAGATGGCAAATAAGCACATGAATAGATGTTCAACATCATTAGCCATTAGGGAAATACAAATTGAGACCACGATGAAATATCATTATATACCTATCAGAGTGGCTAAAGTAAACAATAGTACAGAAGAGTTCCAAATAATTTATATAGCTACTTGCCTCTCAATGAGATGGAGCTTAACACCGGTGAGTTTGGGCTGTGCTAGGGACTTGCTTCCAAAGAGTAGAGTCTGAAAGAGAGGGCAAGCAAAAGGTAACTGGGTACTGGAGAGACCTGGCAAACATCCTTACCCAGGTGATCAGGTCAACACCATCAGTCATATCAACTGCATGTATGTATCTTTAATACAATGTGGTGGGCATGGCACTTCCTCTTTGTAGTAATCCTTCCAAAATTCATTACCTGACTCTAGTCATGAGAAAAACACCAAACAAACCCAACTGAGGGACATTCTATAAACTATCTGGCCAACGCTCCTCAAAAACGGTCGAGGTCATCAAAAATAAGGAAAGTATGACAAACAGTCACTCACAGACCAGAAAAGGCTAAGAAAACATGACAAGTAAAAGTAACGTGGTATCCTGGATGGGATCCTCAAACAGAAAAAGGACATTGGAGCAAAATAGTGAAATATGAATAAACTGTGAAGTTTAGTTAGTAATAATGTGCCAGTGCTGGTCCCATCATTGTGACGAAAGAACCATACAAATCTAAGATGTCAACAATAGGGGGAACTGGGTGAAGGCATCTTAGTTTGGACTGTTATAACAAAATATCATGGACTGGGTGGCCTAAACAACAGATATTTATTTCTCAAGGCTGGGAAGTCTGAGATCAGGGTGCCAGCATGGTTGTGTTCCTGGTGAGGGCTCTCTTCCCACCTTGCAGACAGCTGTCTCCTTGTTAAGTGCTCACACGGTGGAGAGGAAAACGGAGAGAAAGAGAGAGAGAGAGAGAGAGAGAGAGAGAGAGAGAGCAGCTGTCTCCTTGCTAAGTGCTCACACGGTGGAGAGGAAAACGGAGAGAAAGAGAGAGAGAGAGAGAGAGAGAGAGATCATTCTTCTGGTCTTATCTGAGGACTAATCCCGTCAAGAGGACCCCACCTTCATGATCTCATCTAAACCTAATTATCACCCAAAGACCCCATCACTAAATACCATCACACTGAGGGCTAGAGCTTCAACATATGAATTTGTAGAGGGGGACGTAATTCAATCTATAGCAAAAGGTATATGGAGCTCTCAGTATTATCTTTGCAACTTTTCTGTATATCTAAAACCATTTTAAATTTAAAGTCTGATTAAAAATAATTTATAAATAAAACAGGCCAGGCACAGTGGCTCATGCCTGTAATCCCAGTGCTCTGGGAGGCTGAGGCAGGTGGATCAGGAGGTCAGGAGATCGAGACCATCCTGGCTAACATAGTGAAATGCTGTCTCTACTAAAAATAAAAAATAAAAAAACTAGCAGGGCATGGTGGCGGGCACCTATAGTCCCAGCTACTCGGGAGGCTGAGGCAGGAGAATGGTGTGAACCCGGGAGCTTGCAGTGAGCCAAGATTGCGCCACTGCACTCCAGCCTGGATGACAAAGTGAGACTCCATCTCAAAATGATAATAATAATAAAATAAAAATTAAAAAATAAAAAATTTATAAACAAAACAATAACATCAAATGCTGGTGGTGAATATGCAGGGAAATTGGATCACTCATACATTTTTGGTGGAAATGTAAAATGGTACAACCACTCTAGAAAACAGTTTGGCAGTTAAAACAAAACAAAACAAGCAACTATTATATGACCCAGCAATTGAACTCCTGGATATTTATCTCAGAGAATTGAAAACTTATGTTCATGTGAAAATCTGTAGACTAATGTTTATAGCAGTTTTATTTATATCAGTCCAAAGCTAGAAATAACTAGTTTTTGTTTGGTTTGGTAGGTACTGTCTTGGTCTGGTTTTGCTCTCAGAGTAAGACTGATGTCCTTTAACAAGTGAATGGTTAAACAGACTGTGGTAATTTCCATACCATGGAATCCTATTCAGTGGCAATAAAAAGAAATCAACTATTGTCTCTAAAATGACCTAGATCAACTTCCAGAGAATTATGTTGAGTGAAAAAAGCCAATCCCAAAGTGTTACATATTGTATAATTCCATGTACTAACATTTTGAAGTGACAAAATTATAGAAGCAGAGAAGAGATCAGTGGTTGCCAGGGGTTAAAGATGGAGAGTTGAAGAAGGGAAGTGGATGTGGCTATAAAAAGACGACACTGTTGGGCATGGTGGCTCATGCCTATAATCCCAGCAATTTGGGATGCCAAGGTGGGAGGGTCGCTTGAGCCCAGGACTTCAAGACCAGCCTGGGCAACATAGCGAGACCCCATTTCTACAAGAAATTAAAAATTAGAGTCGGGTGCAGTGTCTCATGCCCATAATCCCAGCACTTTGGGAGGCTGAGGCAGGCGGATCACCTCAGCTCGGGAGGTCAAGACCAGCCCAGGCAACATGGCGAAACCCTATCTCTACTAAACATACAAAAAATTACTGGGCGTGGTGGTGTGCTCCTGTAATCCCAGCTACTCAGGAGGCTGAAGCAGGAGAATCACTTGAACCTGAGAGGCGGAGTTTGCATGAGCTGAGATCGCACCACTGCACTCCATCCTGGGCAACAAAGCGAGACTCTTTTAAAAAAAAAAAAATTAGCTGGGCATGGTGGCACGCACTTACAGACCCAGCTACTTGGGAAGCTGAGGTGGAGGATCACTTGAGCCTAGGAGGTGAAGGCTGCAGTGAGCTATGACTGCGCTACTGTACTTCAGCCCGGGCAACAGAGTGAGACGCTGTCTCAGAAAAATAAAATAAAAGGGCAACACAAAGGATCCTTATGGTCACAGAAATGTTCTGTTTGTTTTTAAAAATTGTTTATTTGTATTTGTATAAATTTATGGGGTACAAGTGTTATTTTGTTTCATTGACAGACTGCAAAGTGGTGATGTTTTGCATCTTTACTGTATCAATGTCAATATCCTGGTTGTAATATTCTACCGTAGTACTATTGTATTATAACGTTGAAAGATGTCACCACTCGGGGATACTAGGTAAGGGGTACTTAGGATTTCTCTGTATTATTTTTTACCATGGTACGTGAATCTACAATATTCTCAAAATAAAAAGTTTAACTTCAAAAAAAGTCAAAAGTCCCAAACTGAGACACTTTCAAAATTAGGCCACAGACTACATGGAAGGTCTCTTAGCAGTCAAAAGAAATCACTGAGATCTGAATACCTGCAGTGGCTCAAACCCTCTCAACTCCCGCTCCCCTCGCTCCACCAAATGCAAACAAAAACATTACATTAGGAACATTAGAAACCAGGAAATATTCACAGGAGTAAAAATGGACAGGCAACAAAAAAGAACGAAAGAGGCAGAAAGGGTGTGAAAAAAACAATAAGGTATTTGCCCTGAGAAACACTAAGTCTTCTCTGAAGCAATCACTCTGGGAGAATGGTCACTTATTCTGGGAGCTGCCATTGTTAAGAACAGTTTTGAAAGCTCTTCCAAATGAACCTTGGAGTCCACAGTGTATAAAAAGCTTGCAAACCTTCTGCCATCAGAAGTGAATTTCATTTTTCTGAAACCACTAAAAACGATGGGAGGCATTATGGTATACTGTGATGAGCGCAGCCTTTGGGGTCTGTGAGAACCAGGCTTAAGTGCAGTCTCGCTACTTAGTGACTGCATGACCCCAGGCATGTAACTTAATCTTTATCACTGTCGGTGCCACGATCTGTAGAGTAGAGCTAATTATGCCAATCTCTTAGGATTTGTGTAAGATTAAGTGTGATAATGGATATGAAGGCATCTAGTTTGGTGCCTGGCCCAGAGTCAAGTTTTACTAAACGCTTGCTTTTAAATATGGTTGAAGGACACAAGTTGATTTTCTTGTAAGACGCCTCAATGAAATCTGAAGGCCACCCAAAGAAGAGTTCAAAAATGTGCTGAGTTGCATCAATTAACTACTTTGGAATACACGGATAGTCTCCTAAGCTGTGTGAAGAACAAGTCACATTTTGTTTAAGAAGTTCTACTTCTGGGCCGGGTGTGGAGGCTCACGCCTGTAATCCCAGCACTTTGGGAGATAGAGGCAGGCGGAGCACAAGGTCAGGAGATCCAGACCATACTGGCTAACACGGTGAAACCCCGTCTCTACTAAAAGCACAAAAACAAAACTAGCTGGACATGGTGGCGGGCGCCTGTAGTCCCAGCTACTTGGGAGGCTGAGGCGAGAGAATGACGTGAACCCGGGAGGCGGAGCTTGCAGTGAGCTGAGATCTCACCACTGCACTCCAGCCTGGGCGACTGGGCGAGACTCACTCTCAAAAAAAAAAAAAAAAAAAAAAATGTTCTGGCATGTTTGTTATAAAACCGATTTTATTTCCTTAGCATCATATGTGATGGAGGGAATCATTTATTAAACAGGTGGTCAGCATCTTCTCTCTCCTCAGGCCCAAAAGGAATTGTATTTATGATGACACTCATGATTTACTTAAGGTAATCTAAATTGTGGGTCCCATAGATTTTGCTTTTGACAGATACATTTCTGACATTTTTCATACAAAACAGCTGAAATATGTGCTTTAAAAAACTTTGCCTTAAAAAATAGAACAATTAGAGCATTAAAAAGAATAATAACTGCAATTGGCTGACACCCATTCAATATATAAAAACTCATGAGTTGAGAGAACACATTTGCAATCCACATATCTGAAAAAGGACTTATATTTAGAATATACAACTCAACGCTAAGAACACAAACAGCCCAATAAAAGATGAACGAAAGACTTATGACTTCCAATCCAGCAGGTAAGAAGCCCAGAAGTCACCACTTCATCCTAACAAGTAAAAAGCCAAACAAAATGAAAAGTCAGCAACTCTTCTTAGGTCAGTAAGAGAAGTAAGGCCACAGGGCAAACTGTTGCGAACCAAAATAGAGAAAACAGACAGGTGACTTCACAGAATAGAAACCCACAAACAAAAACCTCTGCAGAAACCAGTGCTGGGGCAGGAAAACCTGAAATGGAATTGACCAATTGCTGGAGGCCCTATGTGGACAACTCTGAGAGCTGAAAACTCCAGGGGGACTCAGTTATAGGAGGAGCCCCCTACTTTCCCAAATTTTATCTCCAGGAGCTGGACTTGGTTCTCACAATGAATAGTGGAGAGAAATACCCTCCTGCTTTTGGCAGGGGGAGGGAGGAGGAACCATTCTGAAATACACCAGAGCACCTTAGTCTTCTTCACAAGGCCTGCCCTCAGGAGAAGCTGTTTAACCTGAGCCAAACACACTGGGGTTTTATCAGAGTCTAACTGACTTGGGGGAAAGGAAACACCCAACTTCAGCTCACTGTAGCCATCATGTCCCACCTAGGAGGAGAAAAGAACTAAGAAGCACTTGTGAAGAAGTTCACAGCCCAGAGGCACAGGCTCACTAAAAGACTGAGACCTAATCATGTGACTACAGAATGCTTCCCCTCCCTCCACATCTCACCATCACATACCAACGGCCTACTTACAGCAGTTCCTTTTGCCTGACACATCATGTCTGGCTATCAAGAAAAATTACAAAACATACTAAAAGGCAAATAACACCGTTTGAAGAGGAAGAGCAAGCATCACAACTAGATTTAGATATGGCAGGGATATTGGACTTATCAGACCAGGAATTTAAAGCAGCTGTGATTAATATGCTAAGGCCTCTCATGGGTAAAGTAGACAGCCTGCAAGAACAGATGGGCAATAGAAACAGAGATATGGAAATTCTAAGAAAGAACTAAAAAGAAATGCTAGAGATCAAAAACATCAGAACAGAAATGAAGAATGCCTTTGATAGGCTTACTGGAGACTGGACATAGCTGAGGAAAGAATCTCTGAGCTTGAGAATGTCTCAATAGAAACCTATAAAACTGAAAAGCAAACAGAAAAAAAGACTGGGAAGAAAAAAACAGAACAGAATATATAAGAACTGCAAGACAGCTATAAAAGGTATAACATACATGTAATGAGATTCTAGAAGAAAGAATATTTGAAACAATAATGACTAATAAATTTCTCAAATTAATATCAGATACCAAAATACGCCTCCAGGAAGCTCAGAAAACACCAACCAAGGTAAATGCCAAAAATAAACAAGCAAACAAAAAACAATCACACCTAAGTGTGTCATATTCAAACTTAAGATAATCAAAGGTAAAGAAAAAATCTTGAAAGAAAAGAGGGAAAAATGACTTATCTATAGAAGAGCAAAGATAAAAATTGCATCTGACTTCTCAGAAACCATGCAAGAAAGAAGAGAGTAGAGTAAAATATTTAAAGTGCCAAGAGAAAGAAACCCACCAATCTTAAATTCTGTACCCTGTGAAATTATCCTTCAAAAGTGAAGGAGAAATGAAGACTCTCAAACAAAAATTGAGATAACATGTTGCCAGTAGACCTGCCTTGCAAGAAATGCTAAAAGCAAAGGAAAATGATATAGGTCAGAAACTTGGATCTACATGAAGAAAGGAAGCACTCTTAAAAAGGATTAAGTAAAGGTAGAATAAAAACTTTTATTTATCTTATTCTTAATTGATCTAACAAATAACTTCATCATGATAACAGCCACAATAGCATTCGATTATATAAAATATATGTATATATACTATGTATAAAAGAAATGAACAACAGCAATAATACAAGAGGAGAGGGAGGAATTGGGAAAGTTTTCTTATTATAAGGTACTCACATACCTATGGAGCAGTATAGTGTTATTTCAAAGTGGACTTGGATTACTTATAAATGCATATTGCAAACTCTAGGGAAACCACTAAAAACAAAAGGAAAAAAGAAGTATGACTGATACATTAAGAAAGAAGAGAGAAGGAAATCATACAAAATGCTCTATTAAAACCACAAAAGGCAGAAAACAAGTGGGAGACAAAAATAAGAACAAAGAACAGGAAAACAAATAGAAAATAGTGATAAATATGGTAGATTTTAATCCAACTAGATCAATAATCACTTTGAACATCAGTGGTCTAAATGTACCATGTAAAAGACAGAACTTTAAATACAGATACACATATAGATTAGAAGCAAATGGATGGAAAAAGATATATCATGTTAACAGTAATCAAAGGAAAGCAGAGGTAGCTATATTTCAGACATAGCAGACATCAGGGCAAGAAAAGTTAACAGGGTTAAAGAGGGGCATTACATAGTGATAAAGGGATCAGTTCAAGAAATCATAACAATTCTTAAGATGTATGTGCCTAATAACAGAATATCAAAATGTGTGAGGTTTCTGTAGGCTATAGACTATTTCATTCAACAGTAGCAGAATGCACATTCTTCTCAAGCTCATATGGTATATTCATCAGAATAGATCACATTCTGAGCCATAAAACACCTTGACACATTTATAAGATAACAATCACACAATGTCTTGTTTCAGACTGTAATAAACTAGAAATCAATGACAGAAAGATAAATGAAAATTCCCAAATACTTGGAGATTAAAGAACACATATCCAAATAGCACGAGTTAAAGAGAAAATATCAAAAGAAATTTAACAATATTTTCAACTGAATTAAAATGAAAACACAACTTATGAAAAACTGTAGAATGTAGCAAAAGCAATGCTTAAAGGGAAATTTATAGCAGTGAATGCATATTTTAAAAAGAAAAACTAAACATAATCAAAGTTTTCAATGCAGTAAAGTAGAAAAAGAAATGCAAATTAAATCTGTAGTAAACAGAAAAAAGAAATAAAAAATTAGAGCAGAAATCGATAAAATATAAAAATGGAAATCAATCAAGATCAATGGAGCTAAAAACTGGTCCTTTGAAAAGATCAATAAAATGAATAAGCCTCCAGTCAGGCTAATTAAGAAAAAATAAAAGGGAAGACACAAATTACCAACATCAGAAATGAAAGAGGGGGCATCACTAAAGACTCCATGGAAATTAACAAGATAATGCAGGAAGATTATGAACAAATTTGATAGCCTAGATGAATGGATCATATCCTTGAAAGAAACAATCTGCCAAAACTCACCCAAGAAGAAATAGACCATTGAAATAGACCTGTATCTATTAAAGAAATGGAATCAATGAGTAACCTTCCAAAACAGAAAGTATGAGGCCAGCCCAGATGGTTTCATTGGTGAATTATAGCAAACATTTAGGGAAGAAATTATACAAATTCTCTACAATCTCTTTCAGAGGACAGGAGAAGAGGAAATACTTTGTATTCTTTGAGACCAGCACTACTCTGATACCCAAACCAGACAAAGACATTACAAGAGAAAACTACAGATCATGATCTCTTGTGAACATAGATGCAAAGACCCTCAACAAAATATTATTAAAGGGACAGGTGCAGTGGCTCACACCTGTCACGTCAGCACTTTGGGAAGCCGAGGCAGGTGGATTGCTCAAGCTCAGGAGTTCAAGACTAGCCCAGGCAACATGGTGAAAACCCCTCTCTACAAAAAAATACAAAAATTAGCAAAGCGTAGTGGTGCATGCCTGTAGTCCCAGCTACTTGGGAGGCTAAAGAGGGAGGATCGCTTGAGTCCAGAAGGTTGAGGCTGCAGTGAGCTAAGACTGTACCACGGCACTCCAGCCTGAGCGACAGAGTGAGACCCTGTCTCAAACACACACAGACATACACATACACGCACATACACAACCAAAATATTAGTAAATTGAATCCGACAATGTATAAAAAGAATTCTGTATCACGGCCAAGTAAGATTTATTCCAGGTATGCCAGGCTGGCTCAACATTTGAATATCAATTTATATAATCCATAATATCACCAGGCTAAATAAGAAAAATTACATGATCTTATCAATAGACATAGAAAGAGCATTTGACAAAATCCAACACTCGTTCATGATTAAAAAGAATAAAACTCTTGGCAAACAAGGCATAGAAGGGAATGTGCCCAACTTGATAAAGAATGTCTATCAAACCCCTACAACAAACATTATACTTAATGGTGAGAAACTAGAAGCATTCCTACTCAGATCAAAAAGAAGGCAAGGATGTCCCCTCTCATCGTCTTTTTCAACATTATACCAAAAGTCCTAGTTAATGCAATAAGAGAAGGAAAGGAAATAAAAGATTTACTGATTGTGAAGGAAGAAATAAAAATGTCTTTGTTTGCATCTGACATAATTGTCTATGTAGAAATCTAAAATAATTGACGAAAACTCCTGGGACTAATAAGTATTATAGCAAGGTTGTAGAACACAAGGGTAATATAAAAAAGTCAGCCACTTTCCTATATATTAGTAATGAACAAGTGGAATTTAAAATTAGAAACAATACCATTTACATTAGCATCTAAAAATTAAGTAGGTAGAAATCTAATAATATGTATACAAGATCTATATGAAGACAACTGGAAAACTCTAATGAAACAAATCAAAGAATTAAATAAATGGAAAATAGAAAGATATTCCATGTTTGTGGATAGGAGGATTCAATACTGTCAAGTTCTTCCCAATTTGATCTATTGATTTGATGCATCCCAGTCAAAATCTGAGCAAGCTATTTTGTGGATGGCAGAAAACTGATTCTAAAATTTATATGGTGAGGCAAAAGATACAAAATAGTTAACAATGTTAAAGGGGAAGAAGAGAGTCAGAGGATTGACACTAAGCCAACTTCAAGACTTCCTTCATATAAAGCTACAGTAATCAACACAGTGTAATATTGTCAAAGGAATAGACAAGTAGATCCATGGAACAGAATAGAGTCCCAAAATAGGCACATCAATAGAGTCAACTGATCTTTGACAAAGGGAAAAAGGCAATACAGTAAAGAAATGAGTCTTTTCAACAAATGATGTGGAATCACTACATTGAACATTTAAAAATATGAATCTGGACACAGAACTTACACTCTTCACAAAAATTAACTCAAAATGTATCACAGACTTAAATGCACAAGGCAGAACTATAAAACTTATGGAAGACAACATAGGAGAAAACTTAGATGACCAGCTCGGCAATGACTGTTTAGATAGGACGTTGACGGCATGAGCCTTGAAAGAAAGAACTCATAAGCTGGACCTCATTAAAATTAAAAATTTCTGCTCTGCAAAAGACACTGTCAAGAGAATGAAAAGGCAAGCCACAGACTGGGAGAAAATATTTGCAAAAGACATATCTGATAAAAGATTGTTATCCAAAACATACAAAGACTCATAACACCACGCTGTATACTTCAAATAAACACAATAAAATTGTTTTTTTAAATACAAAAGTTTTAAAACTAAACAATAAGAAGAGAAAAATATGATTAAAGTATTAAGGGGAAAAGACCTTAACAGACATCTGTGAAAAAAATACATACAGATGGCAAATAAGCATATGAAAAGATGTCCAGTATCATATATCGTCAGGGAAATGCAATTAAAACAAAAAATGAGATACCATTACACACATATTAGAATGACCAAAATCCAGAACACTGAAAAAAACAAATTCTGGTTATGATGTAGAGCAATGGAAATTCTCATTCACCGCTGGTGGGAATGCAAAATGATACAGTCACTTTGTAAGATAGTTTGGCAGTTTATTGTAAAACGAAACATACTCTTGCAGTATGATTGGCAACTGATTAGCAACGTCAAAACTCTTCAGTATTTACCCAAAGAAACTGAAAATTTGCGTCCACACAAAAACCTGCATACAGATGTTTATAGCAGCTTTATTCAAAACTGCCAAGACTTGGAAGCAACCAAGATGTCTTTCTGTCAGTGAATGGATAAATAAACCGTAGTACATCCAGACAATGAAATGTTATTCAGTGCTAAAAAGAAATGAACTGTCAAACTGTGAGAAGACATGGAGGAGCCTTAAGTGCATATTACTAAACGAAAGAAGCTAATCTGAAAAGGCTACATACTGTACAATTAATTCCAACTATATGATATTCTGGAAAAGGCAGAACTATGGAGGTAGCAAAAGACCAGTGGTCGCCAGGGGTAGTAGAGGAGAAAAGAATGAAAAGGCAGGCCACAGAGAATTTTTAGAAGATCTTAGGAAACTACTCTGTATAAAACTATATGGTAGATATAAGTCACATATTTGTCCAAACCCATAAAATGTACACCACCAAGATTGAACCCTACTATAAACTATGGTCTTTGGGGGATAATGATGTGCCAATGTAGGTTTATCAGTTGTAAGAAATTTATCACTTTGGTGGAGAATATTGATAATGGAAGAGGCTATGTGTGTGTGTGGGCAATGGGTTTATGGGATATCTCTGTTTCTTCCTCTCAATTTTGCCATGAACCTAAAATTCCTCCAGAAAATAAAGTGTATTAAAAATGAGCAAAAGATTTGAACAGGCACTTACAAAAGAAGATGTATGAACGGCCTATAAGTCCATGAAAGGATGCTGAAAGGTTTATTAATTATCAGGAAGAACAAACTAAAATCACAATGAGATACCATTTCACACCCTCTAGAGCAACTGATTAATAAACTTTAAAAGACCAACAAGACCAAGTGTTGCAAAGGTATAGAACAAGTGGAACTCTCATATATTGCTGGTAGGAAGACAAGGGTGCAACCACTTTGAAAAAGTTTAGTGATTACTCACAAATATCCATCTACCACACAATTCAAAATTCTATTCCTAAGTATTTACCCAAGAGAAATGAAAGCATTTGTTCCCATAAAGGCTAGTATACAAATGCTCATAGCAGTTTTATTTTTAATAGCCAAAAACTAACACCACCCTAAATATCTATTAACAGATGAACATATAAACAAGTTGGTGTATATTCATAAAATGGAATACTACTCAGTAATAAAAACTATTAATACAAGTAACATGAAGGAATCTCAAAAACATTATGCCATGTGAAAGAAGTCAGAAACAAAGAGTATTTACCGTGTAAGTCTACTTATAAGAAAGTCTAGAACAAGCAAACTAATCAATAGTGAAAGAAAGCAGACGTGTGATTGCCTGGGGATGAAAATGGAGGGAATGACTGTCTGCAAAGGGGTAAAAGAAAATCTTTGGGGTCATGGAAATGTTCTGTCTTGATTGTGGCAGTAGTTATATGGTAGGTTATACATTTGTCAAAATGTGTGCATTGTACTTTATGTAAATTATGCCCCAATAAGTTTGATTTAAAAATCCTGAATCCTTAATGATTCCTCAAAACAGAGCAACAAACAATGCTCATTGGACACCTTTGAAAATTGCTAGGGCATCAATGCATTATTCCAAAAATGAATAAAGAAACACTATTAAGCAATTATCCTACTTTTCCCAGGATATCCAATACAGTTATGCACCACATAACAATATGATGGTAGTCCCATAAGGTTATAGATTATGCTCTTTTGTTTTTGTTTTTGTTTCAGACAGAGCCTCTCTCTGTCACCCAGGCTGGAGTGCAGTGTTACGATCTCAGCTCACTGCAACCTCTGCCTCCTAGCAATCCTTCTGCCTCAGCCTCCCGAGTTGCTGGGACTACAGGTGTGCAACACCACCATGTTGGCCAGGCTGTTCCCGAGCTCCTGACCTCAAGTGATCCACCCACCTCAAAATTATGCCATATTTTTTACTATATCATTTCTATGCTTAGCTATGTTTACATATACAAATACTTACCATTGTTTTGTAACTGCCTACAGTATTCAGTATAGTAACATGCTATAAGTTTTGTAGCCTAAAAGGCTGGCCCATATGCCTAGGCATGTAGTATTTGCGCACTCTGTGATGTTCACACGATGAAATCACTTAACGACAACATTTTTCAGAACATATCTCTGTCATTAAGTGACACACGGCTGTAGTTCAAAGTTCTATTTTATAGAACGCTAATTAATATATGCAAAAGGAATGGCATTTTGCAATGTCTAATGAACTCGTGATGTCAATGGATGGTAAGACCACGAATTGAAAGGCTGATGGAAACATAGTAATGGATGAGTCCCTTAACTCACTGAATAAACTTCATATCACAAAGAATGGGACAACCAGGTATTATATGTCCCCTGATATGATGCACTATAGACTTGAAACTAATTTGGATCTTAGCTCTACAAATTTACAGTAAATAAAAGGAAAAAGACTTTAAGTGCACAAGAAAATAAATAATCTGACAAATACAAAGTTAGAGAAATCTTATAAGACAAGTGATCTAATTTTTTTTATTTGCCAAGATACATACAGAAGTATTTGGTGGAAAAATTGTGTGATGTCTGAAATTTGTTTTAAAAATCTCTAGTAAAATACATAAATAGGTAGACAAATAGATGAAACTATTTTAAAAATAACTGTTGAAACTAGGTGATGAGTATACTGTTCTCTTTCCTTTTATGTCCATTTACATGTTTCCATAATAAAATAAATTTAATAAAATATATTTAAGTACATTTAAAATTTAATATTTCTATTAACAAAAGTATGGTTTTCGGAGAAAACCTTCAATTTTCTGGGAAATCAACTTACTCCTTTGATGGTGCCAAACAAAATAGGTGTCCCTAGGTTGTTTCTTTTTCTAGTCTAATTTTATTTTATTCAGGTTAGTATGTGTGCATGACAGTCAAACAGTATTGCAAAGCTTATAATAAAATATCCTGCTATTTCCTGATTTTTCACTTTTAGACATTGCTTATTGATCCCTAATGCCACTGCCTATGAGTCTTTATCTTGAGCCAGGCAATTTCCTAAAAGAGGAATCTTTCTCTCTGGTTTAACCTCTTTGATCCTCTGCTAGAGTAAGGAAAAAAGCTGTGTCCTGGTCGCCTGGGTGGGGAGAAAGGGTTCTCCCATAATCTGTTAACAATCCCAGGTTTATAGTGCCACCTTTCAAGGCACTCGGTGCCTCCTACTCCTGGGCCTTAGGGGACTGGTTTCACATTAGTCCCTCTACCTTAAGTATCTATGAATTTCTCTGCTCTGCCAAGTCCGTTCCCATTCATTTATCAACTTTCCATTGACCACAATAATAATTTGTTCTTAACTTATTAAGTGCCTACAATGTGAAGAATATTATTCTAGGGGGCTGGGATGTATCAGTGAACAAAACAGGCAGTAAGCATAATACATAAGTACATAATGTGTGGTATTAGAGCAGGATAAGGTAATCGGAAGTGTGGGAGGGGTGTGTTGGGTTGTAATTTTAATGGGGTGGATGAGGTAGGTTCATTAAAAAGGACATTTGAGCAAAGGCCTGAGAGAAGTCAGGCAGTTAGCCATGCGGATATATGTAGGGATAGCCTCATCTAGCTGAAGTGTTTTGTCTGTATGGGCTCCTCTTTTTGTCCTCGTAGGATATATTTTTATTCTGTCCTATCTTGCTACTGGGGTTGAAGGCATGGATATCAATGTGTGCACTCAATTCACCACATTTAACTAGAATTGCCTCCTGCCAACCCCACCCTTCTCATGCTAATGTGTTTCCTGTCTTTCCCAAATTGCCTAACACCAGATGAATACATAGGAAGTCAATAAATAATATTGTTTATTGTTACATTAAATTAACAAATTATTAGTTTGAAATAGCTTTCAAAAACCTCTATTTTGCCACAAAATACTATTCAGCCTCCTAAGAGTTTCTTCCTTTTCTGCATCCTTTTGAAGTGCCACCCCACATGTGCTGTAAGCAACGAAATGAATGTGCATCTCATAGCAGACTGTGTCTTCTGTAGTGGATGGGAAACTGCTCTTTGTAGATGTTACCCACTCAGAGTAGGATCCTGTAAGAAATGATCAGTATCTCATCGACAACAATATAGTGTGCTCAGCGAAATTTGGCGGTGATGGAATGGTGCTGCATGGAATTGGGTGGTATAGTTACCCGACTCTGTGCACTTTTCAAAACCCCTAGAACTGAACTTCACTGTATGCAAATTGCAAAAAAATCAACCAAGATGTTTAGGGGGACCCAGAATGGAGTGCACACTTTGACAAATGAATCTAACTGTATTGCAAAATGTATGGCATAACCCCACTGAGGGGGAGTGTGGAAAAAAGAAGATGATCTAAGTAACTTTGGGAAATGGTGTTTTGACTGGAAACTATAAGGCTAATGACAAAAAGAACTATACAAAGACACTGTACTCTAGTTGGTAAGTCTGTTTCTCACAGAGGTCCAGGTTAACGATTCTGAAACTACTTTACATGATATCAGGGAAGAAGAAATAAGTAAATAAATTGTGAATAATGGGAGCCAGGTTTCTCTCTGTCAAAGAAAGAAGTGACAATGAAGCTGGAGGGGCCAGGAAGTGCCCCCTGGGTCCTGGATTAGAGTAGGAGAGATCAGTAAGAGCTCATCTTTATTTTAATATGTAACAGCTATGTAGATACAGAAATGAATAGGGATATGTCTTTATGGATGGGTTAGATTACAATACACAGATTTCCTAGTTCTGTCTGCACAGAGGACCCAGAAGCAGAGAAAGCCCAGCAGCAACAAACAGAACCAGCACTTGGATCTCCAGTGGTGCTAGGGAATACCATACTCCAATAAAAGAAAACCAACCAGGGCTCTGTGGAGAAATGGCTGATGCTAGGGCTGGGACAAGGAAAATACAAGAGCAGCCCCAAGTATCTTTTAGCATCTAGAAGTAAGGAAGTACTAAAACACACAGGAGAGAGAGAGAGAGAGAGAGAAGAAAAGACGGAGACACGTCAGAGGATACTGAAGCCATTCTGGAAGAACTCCCAATGGCCAAAGCTGAAACAATCTGAGGAAATAAATAAATAATTTGATTCTAATCCAAAAGATAAATATACATGAGTCCATACCATCCATAAAGAGTTGAATTGTGTCCTCAAAATTCATGTTCACTGGAACCTTGCAGTGGGACCTTACTTAGAAATAGCATCTTTACCAATGTAATTAGTTAAGGATCTTGATATGAAATCATCCTGGATTTAGGGGTGATCTTAAATCCGATGACCGGTGTTCTCATAAGAAGAGGAAAGGACCCAGAGACACAAACAGAGAAGAAGCCGGTGTGAACCTCAGGCAGAGACCAAGATGATGTGTCTACAAGCCAAGGTCCACCAAGGTTGCCAGCAACCATCAGAAGCCAGGAGAGAGGCATGGGACAGATTCTCCCTCAGAGCCCCCAGAGCAACCATCAGAAGCCAGGAGAGAGGCATGGGACAGATTCTCCCTCAGAGCCCCCAGAAGGAATTCACCCTGGCAACACCTTGATTTCAGACTTCCTTGATCCTAAATTATGAAAGAGTAACATTCTGTTGTTTTAAGCCACCCAGTTTGTGGCAATTTGTTACAACGGCCCTAGGAAACTGATACGAAGATATACACAAATCATTGAATAAATAAAAGGAGGAGAAGGGGAAAAGGGACGAATCTCCCTTAGAGAATAATTTCAAATATCTGTAGATAATCTCTCCTCCAGAACACGGAGCTTGATTCCTCTCCCTTTGAGTGTGGGCTGGACTTAGTAACTTACATCCAAAGAATAGAATATAGAAAGAGGAAAATGGTAACTTTACAGCAGAGAAACAAGGTCAACCTTACCAGTGCTTAAGTCATGCTGATAGCATGCATCCCGATAGGATTATTAAGAGGACTTCACCTCTGTGGTATTCTCTCCTAAAACTCATAACACCTAGTCTAATCCTGAGAAAAACATCAGAAAAACCCAAATTGACAGACATTCTACAAAATAACCAGTCACTACCTTTTAAAACTATTAAGGTTATAAAAAACTGAGAAGCTAACAGATCCCATGAGACCAAAGAGACATGATGACTAAATGAAACGTGGTATCCAGGATTGGATCCTGGAACAGAAAAGGGACAGTAGTGAGAACACTGGTGACACTCAGTAACTGTGGAGCTTAGTTAATCGTATTGTACCAATGTTAATTTCTACGTTTTGACAAAGGTACCATCGTTACGTAAGATGCTGACATGAGGGGAAGCTGGGTGAAAGATATACGGGAACTTTCTTTACTATCTTTGTAACATTTTGGTAAATCTAAAATTATTCCAAAATAAAAAGTAAAAAAAAAAAAAAAAAACCAAATGTGTGTAACAGATCCAGAAGCCAGTCAGCATTTTCTCAGCCTCTACTTTCCATCTCGTGGTTTTATTTCCTTTCTCTGAAATGGAAGAGAATCTTGAGTCAACCTCTGCACCTCCTCTCCTCCCCCTCAACCTCCTTCCCAAACTAACATATACATTTTAAAATTAGGAAAGTAAGTGAACAAATGAGTGAATGAATAAACAGACAGACAGACAGACAGACAGACAGCTTACAGTAGATTGGGGGCATCCAGCAGTTTGGGGAACAATTAGAAAGTGTAAATATTTAGCTCCACATCTTGTCCAACACAATGGTGACAGCCACACAAGGACAGTGTTTCAAAATGAAAGTTAAATATTTATTCTGGCTCCTCGGTCCCTCATCCACCAGGGAGCCTTGCACAGCTGGCTTTTGAATGGAGCCAAAGTTTCTCCTCTTGGCCTTCTGACTTCCCACTGCACATGTGCTATAGGTAAACAATCCACTGGCTTCCACTCCATCTGATTGGCACTCAAGGAGGAAAAGCACGGTCTGAGGACAGGGAGCACATCTAATCCACTCTTGCATATCCTCAGGAGGTTGCTGAGATGCACTAGATAAGGTATGTGAGCACCCTTTGTAAACCTGAAAACACTACGGCATTGTTGCTGTTACTTGCCCTGTGCCTTGGTTCTGTCTAGACTGTAATGCCCCCCATGCCAGTAGCCCAGCACACTTCCAGGGGAACTTCAGACGCATCTGCTAACACTTGTCAAGTTACCTGGATTTGATTTCTCACCCTCTGCAGGCCTTGGCTCTGTAGCTTGAACCACTTGATCCTTATGACTTTGGCCTCGCTCCTATATTCGTTCACTCATTCATTCAAAAAAAAATTCATTCAACCACATGGCAGCTCTATGGTAGGTATAGGAACACAGACATACATAAGCCATAATCCATAACTCTGAAGAGCACACATTACTCTTGGCCGCTTATTTGCTTTAGCTCTGACCCTCTTTGGGGCATCCTAGCTTCACTTGTCCTCCCTAACTCCAGGCTTGTCTCCTTCTCCCTTGCTTGGCTCACACAGAATACTTGACTAGTAGTCAGATTTCTCAGCTTGACTCTGGGATCCCTGACCTGTTGGGCCCTCCCTGGTGTTGTCATACTGAAGAGAAGACCCAGCAGTTCCAGTATCCACCTGCCTTGTTCGCTCCAGCCCTGGAGTTTCAGGTATCTAGACATCCACCTGTCTAGACATTAAGTTTCAAGAGTTGCTTGTTGCCTTTCTCCATCACCTATTGGTGCATTGTGTCCACCTATTGGAACATTCTACTGTTTCGTACTAGACAACTTCCCAACTGCCTGCCTGGACCCCAGCAGATCTTTGTACATATCCTTGAACACTTATTTGCTCTTCGGTTGAACTTCACAGCCGTGGTGCTGCCTTGCCCCCATCCGATCTTGCTGCAACTAAGACATGGGATTCTACTTCCAGATCAGAGATCCTCCATGGCTGCTGATAGGGGCTAGTTTTGGCTGTGGCTGGACAACATGTCCCATTGGCAAACGAAGGCCCTGCCCCAACTGGGTGATGCAAAACTCTTTAGCACCTTTAGGATTTTCCCCCTTGCCAAGAACTATGAAGAAGAGACATATTCTTGCCCAAGTCAGAACCAGTTCCCTAGGTTTTACCGAGCTATCAAAACCTAGTTTTTAAAACCAAAATGTCTCAATTTTGACTTTAACATCTGTATCTCCACTAAAATATTTCTCTTTTTTAAAGATGGGGGTACCCTAACTGGAACAGTTCTGCTTACCTAGAGGTTGGCACAAGTTTAGGGTATCTGCTGGCAGCATTGTTCAGGACACAGCTTTTCCTCTGGGGTGTAACACCTTGGTTACAGGTAGGTAGATCTTGATCTCCTCAGCTCTCAGGGCCAGTCACTTCAGCACCATGGCAGAGAACAGTTAGTTCTATTTACCATATGAATGTTTTCATTTTTCTTATGTATTCTATGATGAGAAAAAGGCAGAGAAGCACTCTTGTAGGAACAGGCATCATGACTATCTTCTTCGTTGCCCTGGATGAGACAATGTATTAGAATTCTGGGGTACATGCCAGAGGGAAGGAGAGGAGGTTGGGCTAGCCCAGCTGGAGAAAGGCCCAGGAGCCACATGAAGTAGACTGTCCTTCCCCGAAAGTTCCCAGAGGTGCTAAAATCAAGAGTGGGCAGAACTCAGGGGACTGTAAGATCAAGAAGGAAGTCCAGCTCTATCACCAAGTCAAGAGAGCTGGAGTAGGTGGTAGAAGTTGGGTTTCTAATCCTGAGTTTCTAGTCCACATGTGGAGGCCAGAAAGGGAGAGCAGGGGGAAGCTGGTGAGAGGAAAGGGAAAGGGAGTCTGTGCATACACCAGAAAGATGTTGCTGTCCCCATCTGACTTCCACCTAGCACCAGGAGACCTGATTGCAATCAAAGGGCCAGCGGAGGGTCAGAGAAATCTGCCACTGTCAGACCCTCTACTACTTGTGTCTGGAATTGGAATTGTCCTTTTCTTTCCCCTCCATCTCTTCAAGTCCCACTCATCCTTTGAAATCCAGCTCAAGACTGACTTCCCTGTGTAATATGCCACCTCCTCTGCACTCCTACCACCACGTTGATCCCACTATGCACTTTGGCATGTAATTGCTGAGGTACTGCATCACAGAGACTCAAGTGTGCTGGCCTTCGCCTTGTCTCTCACCTGGAAACAAGGTGCCTTGCCTTAGGCCCTTTCATAACCCTCCCAGCATCTAGCATGCTGCTGGGCTTAGTAAATCTTCATGAAATGAAGAAAGTAATAAAGTTATATTGATGTTCTCAATGGCCCAGATGGTTAATCAAACCTGGGTGTTGCCCATCTGGCTGCATGCAAATACGGTTTTTCTAACATGTGTCAGCTGGTAGAGGCCAAACCTACTACCAGTAGGACATGCATACCATATAGCTTTCCAATAGAAACAGTAAATTATGTTAGCCTGGTAGTTCTCAACCCTGGATTCCCACTGGGGTCATCTGAGGAGCTTTCAATAGTTCCATTCTGAGTTGATTGGCTCAGAATGAGGCCTGAACACCAGTGTGTTTTAAAAGCTTTCTGGACAATTCTTAGAGAGAGCCAAGGTTGAGAACTTTTTTTAATATTCATTTGTATTATTTTTCATATGCTTTTCATATTCTAGAGCCCAATCCCAACTGTTCCATCCACTCCAATGGCTAACCTGTGTTTTCTATCCTTTTGATATAATTTGATTTATTCATTGAGCATTTAGGCAGTGCATCATGTACCAGGCAGAAACAAAGAGAAGCATGGGGCTTATCCTCAAGAAATCCACTGTCAGTTTTATGGAAATAAGTAAACTTTGCTATCTAAACTCAGGAACTTAGTAAATTCAGATAAATGTTTGGATAATACCTTGCTATCTGAATTCTCACTATTTGCTACCTGAAATGTAGAAACCAAACACATTAAAATAATGGGACTCCCCTCTACACAAATTACACAAAGTTACCATCCAACCTGTTGCTACAGCTCTAGAACCAAATAGAATTGGATAGCACATTATTATAAGTGCCATGTAAGTAAATGAGTTGAGAATGAATAGGAAGATATGGCCACCTCGATAGAGAGGGGTCCTGGCCTCGGGGTCTTACAGCCCCCAACAATCAGGCCAGGTAAAAAGGAAGCTTTCCAGGCTAATGGTGTCATCAGACACCAGTGCCATATCTCTTTTTCTGGAGATGTTTTCTCTTCCCATTTCTGAGATTTTCGTGTCTCCCATAATGCCTAATACCATGAGAATCTACCTTGTCTGGTTCAGTGGAGGTCTGCAGATTGCCTGTGGGTAAAGAAATGCACGTAGGTGGTTCCTTCTGGTCAGAAAAACTTGGGGTATTGAAAAGGAAAAGTAGATAAAGAGCAGAGGGCAACACAAAAAACCAGAAGGAAAAGTAGATAAAGAGCAGAGGGCAACACAAAAAACCAAAGAGAAGGCTCAAAGTGAAAAGCCAGCAACGGGCCCTCTTGAATGCAGAAGTACTATTCTCCTGGTGCCATGCTCCACACCTCATCTATCACCACGGTCCCCTTCCTGGTGTACCTGGATGATTTCTACAATGCTCATTTGCACCACTACCTCCCCTACCTGCAGTCTTACCTTTGACTTATTATACACCTTTAGATATATCTAAGGTTGCTGCTGACCTGAATTTGCTCATCACTCACTCTCCTCTCTCCCTCAAAGGCTTACATGATGTAAGAAGAGGCTTCAGAAGTCATCTCCTTTGTGCCCTACCTTCATGCAATACCCAAAGATGAGCAACAAAAAGACTAGTCCTTCTGCTGGGAGATTCCCTGGAGAGAGACCCTCTAGTGTCCACCAGGCACTGATATCTCACCCTTTCTTCTCCTCTGATACTGCCTCCACATCCCTGTTATTTTAGTATGCCTGAATTTTCTGAGGCAAAGGATGGCTCTGTGCATACCTCACCTTGTCTTCTCTCGTTTCTCACCTCCCTCACGCTGCATATGTAAGAATGTTCTCTCTGAGTTAGATCCCTCAAATTATTTCCCAGGCCCTTCATCTGTTGGCCCACAAAGGAGGATCGATAAGAGTTCAAGAAAGCCGAAAGCCAAGAGCATTCCCCATGCTGGACTGAGGAAAGGTTGAAGCAGACCAGGCACAAACCCTTCAGCTCCTTGTCAGCAGCCTTTGATCTCTGTGGCAGCTAACATGAAAGTAGAATTTGGCCCTCCAACTGTACAGGATGAGACTTGACAAGAAAATCAGTTTCTCTGACAATTTCAAAAGGCCCGACACTTTCGTCACTTGGCACTTGGCCATGGGGAATGGTGCTGTGGACACATCTGTACCCCCCCCCAGAGAAACCATTTTCCCAGGAAGGACTGACAGTTCAAGTGCAGGCAAGTCCATGAGGAATGAAGGACAAGCTCTTCCCTGCCCTTCATTGAGGACAGGTGTTGCAGGAAGCAGGAGGATTTTCACTGGGTAGCTAAGGGAACTTCCTACCTGCCTGGGTTGAAAGGCACCAGGAGGGCTGTCCAGGGAATCTGGAGAAACTCTTTTCTCAAGATTAAAGAATAAGCATGTCTGCTGCTGGTTTGGAAAAGTTTAAGCCAAAGATGCTGTAGCAAACTGGCCTTTGTAGGATCTTTCCACATTTGCAAGCCTAAGTGTGACTCGGATGTGCTTTTTTCAGCTTACCTCTCTTGTTCTTCAATAAGCAAACCAAAATAAATTAGATTTGCCCTTTTATTACAGTTTCAACTTATCATTTGGCTTCTGAGCTACTCAAAGTTTAGATGCTTCTGAACTGAGCTGGATCCTGCTTTCCATTTTCTCAAATGGCCTTGGGAAAACTGGTAAAGTTGGCAGGACTTCCCCATGGTACCGTCACATCCTCACATTCCTTCCTAGCATCTCTTACATCCCCTCCACCTTCAAGCATCCTGGAGCTGCAGTATCTCGGTATGAATCCACCCTAAGGGTTCACAACTCACTAAGTGGCCTTCTTCTAAAATGTCAAGAGTATTTTAAAAGTGGGCCTCATTGGCAGACCATGTTTAATTCAAAAGAAAGGGCTATTTATGGAATAATCTCAATATCAGTCTTAGAAGGGGTCTCTGCCCTGGTCTGTTGAGAAACAGACTGTTAAAGAGAAATTAGAACCAGAATTAATCCCTTCAGAGGTATGTTATTTGGGGGGATTTTATTTTCCTGGAAGACATGTGCCCTGAACTTTGAGTAGGATCCAAAGCTGGTAAAAGTTTCCCCTCTTGGGTAAGTTCCCAAGGAAAGTAATGACAGACTGTAGATGTTTGGTAGACACAAAGACTGGGCTGCCTGTGGGTGTGAACTGATGCTTCTGAACTCCCCTGAAAACCACATAAATAATCAGCATTTGTCACAGCAGCAGCAACAGCACTCTCCACTACCACCACCACAACCACAGCATTGGCCAAGGGAGGTCTTTCTTAATTAAAGCAACTATCTTTCCTCACCATCAATGCAATTAGAATTTAATGAACCCAGGGCATTTCTTTTAAGGCCTCAAAATTATAGCTGATCTCAACACTCACGTGCTGGGTTGGAGGGAGAGGCATCACCCATTCTGAAAGCATGAGAAATGGAGGGCAATAGGAATTAAAGAGACGGAGTTGTGCTACACTGAAGAGAATCACCTGGAGATGACGGGGACTCAAGAATGACCAGAGGAAAGGTGACTGTTCCTTCTACGGACTCTGAAAGAATGTGGAAAATCCTCACTTCCCAGCATGAGGGTGGGAGGCACATTAATCAGTTAATATACAAGCATTTATGCAACGCCACCTTGTGCGAGGCACTGCATTAGATCTATAGAGGGCATGATAGGAAGACAGATAGATAAATAAGACACAGTAGACACAAGCCCTGATTTCAGTCTACTTCAAACTACAGTTCAGGTGTGCATGCTGAAATGATGACTAGAAGGCAAGAAGTTAATGTTTACGTAAAGAAAGTGGCAGGAGTTCTAACAAGCCATGCTGTTTTGGAAGACACAGAACCCAAGGAGGCGGCGAGGAAGCAGAAAGCCTTCCAAGAGAAAAAAAAAACCAGCACAGCACAGGCAGGAAAAGAACCTGGCCTGTTCTGGCATCAGTGAGCAATAAGTAGCAAACAAATGAGCCAGGGACTGTTTGGTAAATTTAAGTCATTAAATGCTTACAACAACCTTACAAAGTAGGTTATTACTATCACCCCTATTTTACAGATGGGAAAATTGAGGTACATAGAGATGAATTAACTTGCACAGATAGTAAGTGACAGCTGAGATTCAAACGCAGGTGGTCTCACTCCAGACCAGTCTGTCCAACAGAAATATTATGTGAGCTACAAATGCCAGCCACATGTGTAATTTTAAATATTCTAGTAGCCACATTAAAAAATAAAAAGTAAAAACAATTAAAATTGATTTTAATATTTTACTTAACCCAGTATTTCCAAAATAGGTATTTCATTCATTCTTTGAAATCCGGTGTGTTTTATACTTACAGCACATCCCAATTCAGACTAGCCACACTTTAAGTGCTCAGTAGCCACATGCAGCCAGTGGTTACCAAATTGGACAATGCAGCACCACACTACCGGCTGTGCCCTTAATCACTCAGCAAGGCAGTCTCCACAGTGGGTGGCCTGACCGCAGATGGTCACAGGGTGATGAGATTGGATAGGTAAGCTGAGGGCAGGTGGAGGAGAGTTCCTAATGGTGGGTGAAGGAGTAAATGGTTTCAAGAGACCACTTTTGACCTAACATAACAAATGCAGTGCCTTACACATAAGGGCTCAAGCCTGTACCCTTCTTGTGTGATCACTCATTGGTCCCCAAAAATTACTGTGAATTGCAGATTGTGGGAGGTAATGTGGTACAATAGAGGGAAGCCTTGGTGCTGCAGCTCAGCAGACAGGGGTGTGGGCCCACCCGCACCGCACACCAGTTGTGTGATCTTGGGGAAGTTATTTAATGTCTTCAAGCCTCAGATTCTACATCTACAGCTCTAAAATGGGACTCACCATGCTGATGTCACAGCACTGTTTTAAGGATTAAAGCAGATTAAATAGACTTCAAGCTCTTAGTACAGTGCCTCACATGTTATAAATGCTCAAGAAATGCTAGCGGTTATTATTATCAGGAGCTCCAAGTTACACGGTTACAAAGTTCCAAGTGGCCCAGTAGGCCAGGCTGTGGACTGCCGCCTGAGTCCCTACATAGTGCATTTCAATTTGGCCTCTTTCTATGGTGCCAGGTGAGGCCAGGTCAGACTGGGGAGTCGACTTGTGTAAGACACACAGAGACCTGGGGGTGGGGTGCTGGGAAGACCCAGAGGGCTGGCTCCGGGTCCTGTTGGCTGGAGGAAATCATGCGGGAGATGAACTGGAATGGACTCCTGAACATGGATTCTTACTCAGTTAAGGAAAGCTGTTTAAGATCCTTGGACCTGAGAGCTGAGAGGAGACTTGGAGATCACTTAGGGTATGTCAATTCTCCTTGATTAGCAAATTAAGGAACTAAAATCCAGTGAGATGAAGTAATTGCCATGGCCAGGCGCCTAGCTAGGAGCAGAGCCCATGCCTCAAGTCAGAAATCTCAATTTTTGTCTAGTGGTCCACACTTAATGAATCATGCCTGTGACTGCCTTGTTCTCATATCAGCCCTGGCTGCGGGTCAGAATTACGTGGAAAGCTTTGAAAATCCACAGATGTTGGGTTCCTCCACAAGAGATCCATATGGACATACTGCTTTCCACTGACTGTTTCCAAGAACCACCCTCCCATCACAAAACTCTCTAGCCCCTCTTCAAAATCTGGCTTTTACATATCTCTTCTGTGAGGTTTTCTGAGATAACCATGACAATAGTAATAGCAGTATTAATAACAGTAATAACCAATACTGTGAGGACTCACGATATGCCAGCCACTGGGCTAAGCATCTTGCATGGATCATCTGATTTAATCCTCACAAGAGCTACTGCATTTTTTAAAGCCTCATACAGAGGAAGAAATCAAGACTCAGGCAGTGGTAAGGGGTTTTTTGTCCAAGGTGAAACTGTTGCAGGTGGTGGAGCTAGGACCTGACCTGTCACTGGTCTGACTCCAGAGCTCATGCTCTTAACTCTGATTCTAGGTAATCACCATGTTAATGTTAACTTATTGGGATTTGCTTTGCGTATCAGTCTTATTCTTGCATATCTATCCATCCTTTGTTTTCAACTACACTGTAGGCTCACCAAATGCAGGGACACTTTCTTCTTCCTGGGGGTCTCTGCTCTTTGTCTAAGTCAGTGTGAGCTCGATGGGTTTATGGGCTAAGAGTAGGTCAGCAAAAGGGTAATCAAGGAACAGAGGCTTCTGTATCCCGGGGGAGGGGAGGCCTTTGGAAACCTTGTTCTCTATTCTAGTAGGTATTTTTGAAATACAGAAAAATCACAAAAATAGAAAGTTCATAAAATCATACAGTTGGAATGGACAATAGATGTCTAACTCCACTTTTATTTTATAATGGGGAAACTAAACTGAGGTCTTTGAAAAATAAGTGACCTGTGAAGGATCACATAGCTGACGCAGGGATAAAACTGGAGTCTGGGAAGTAAACACAAAAACTATCACCATCATGTAGTATCTTCTTAGTGTATGTCATAGTTTTTATACTCATTGTCTTTAGTTTACGTAACGAGGTGGACATTTAACCCATATTTTATTGATGAGGAAACTGAGGCACTGACAGGTAAATTAACTTGTCCTGGCTCACACAGATGGGAAGTGACGCCAGATCTTCTGTCTCCTGGGTCATTACGTAATATTTCTAGAATTTTTTGAGAATGAATTATGTGGTAGGTATTTTATGTGCATTTTAACAATCATCACAGAAACTCTCTGTGGCAAATAACATAGCCCCATTTTGAAAATGAAGGAATGAGGACAAGGTGAGGTGGCTCATGCCTGTAATCCCAGCATTTTGGGAGGCCGAGGAGGGCGGGTCACGAGGTCAGGAGATCGAGACCATCCTGGCTAACACGGTGAAATCCTATCTCTACTAAAAATACAAAAAAATAGCAGGGTGTGGTGGCAGATGCCTATAATCCCAGCTACTTGGGAGGCTGAGGCAGAAGAATCGCTTGAACCCAGGGGGTGGAGGTTGCAGTGCGCCGAGATCACACCATTGCACTCCAGCCTGGGTGACAGAGTGAAACTCCATCTCAAAAAAAAAAAACTGAAGGAACTTAGAAGAAATGGTAACTTGCTCAAGCTTGCTTAGCTAGTCAGCGGTGGAGCTGAAATTCAAACACATGTCTGTCTGACTCTATGTCTTAAACTCCTAGCTGCAACAATACAGTGCGCTGGATGACTGGGATCCTAAAAGGATAAGGCTTAGGGACGTTGTTAGACCTCACAGATATACATCATTTGCTTTGGCTTGTGATAATGAGAGAAGGGGTACGGTCCTGTCCATCATTCCAAGTCCCTTCTCCTAAATGCTGGTAGTGTTCTCTTTAGCAGCACGTCTCTGATGCCGACTGCAGCGCTGACAGTTTCCCGTAAAGCACACATCCCCTTGCATCAAGTCTGCAAACAGATGAAGCAGAAGGTCACACTTTCCAAGAACAAACTCCTTGGGTCTGAGAGCCAGCTGGAGATGTTTCAGTCCCAATTAGGTAATTTTGAGGGGGTAAGTTATAGCTTATACAAACAAGGAGTCCCAGCAAGGTTCTGCACACAGCCTTTTTAAAAAAGACCCCAAGAATCATCGTTATGAACATTGTTAACACTTTCTCCCATGCCTTTACTCTGTTGAGCTCTAAGTACTTCTCCAATATAATCTCATTAAGTGTCCCGATATACCACTGGCGTTCAAGGGAAGGAGAAGGCACTGAGCAGAATGGAACTGTGCTTCAGGTCAAAGGGGAAACTGGGGAAGGAATCTAAATCTAGTCCCAAAGCAGGAGTGGTGAGATCAACCCTAACTCCAGGGCACAAGTCACCCGAAGGTAAGCATCCAACTCTCCTCTGGAACTGAATACCCAGCAATTCCATTTCCTTCCATTAGAAAAAAAAAATTAAAAGAAGCATTAATAAAAAAGAAAAAGCAAGGAAAAGAAATAAGAAAGTTTCTATCTCTACCTTTTCATTTCTTAAAACTCCAGCCTTTTCTGTCTCATTCATTGTTCTGAAAAAAATTTTTCTTTTTTTACATTTTTCTACGTGTGCTTTTTTTTGTTACCTATTTCTCAGTGTAGGTAGTTTGGGCCCCTGTTCTTTTTAAAAATTTAACTCAGGTTCCTGTTTCTTTGGAATCTTTTTGTCTACTCCCTCCAAGTATCTCATCTCATCTCTTCCCTCTCTCTCTTTTTAATTGGAGTAGTTTCTTCAAGCGCTAAGAAAATTCACTCCCTTGTTTTTTCTTCACTCTTTCCCTTTCAGCTGCGTTCCTGAATTGCTAGCGCACCAATTCTGCTTTACTGACCACAATTGGTGCAGCTGGGATGGCGAAGGAGCAACTGAAAAGGAAATGCTAATCAGACCTTTGAACAGAGCATAGTAAAACACACACACACATACACACATAAAAAAGCGCTCTGATTTAAGGAGGAAAATCCCTTTTCTCACTATCCCACACAACGAGGATGGTTGTGTTTCCTCCAGTGACCTGCCCAGGCTAGGGAGAGCCATGGCATGGGTCATCTCCTCCACGGCCCCCTCTTTAATGGAGCAGTTTTAGACACAGCCCAAACATTCAGAGGGGAAAGTGCACACAGACTTGGAGGCACATCCCACCACATCAACGGCTGGGTAGAGGTTGCCACTGGAAATAGAAATGGGCATGGGGAGGAAGCCGTATGGTGAGAAATGGGGCGGTGGAGCCTCCTAGATTTTAGTAAGGGAGAGGAGTAACACAGAGAAGGCTCAGTCAGACCTTTGTCCTGAACCATATTTTTGCATAGGGTTTATTTTTTGTTTTATTTTTAAACCTGCGGGAGAGAAGAAGAGCAAGTGACGAGGCCATCGCTGATACTCAGTGTCCCGTCTGTGGCCTAATCAAAGGTGCTTTACTGGATTTCTTTGAGGATGTTATCCAACACTAGCCAGGGAACATAGCCAAGGAGTGGGTACAGCAATCAGAAGGCTGACGGAAACTGACAGAGAAAAAATGACAAAACTGGAGGAAGCTTGTTAGGAAAGGAAGAACCCCAGACTTGCGAGCATGAGTCCTACGTCGCTCTCGTAAAGCGTGAGACACACCACTTACTCTCTCTGGGCTTTGGCGTCCCCATCTATAAAAAGAGGTTTAAATTGATTAATCTCAGAGCGACACTCCAGCTATAACATTGATATTGTTGAACAGCAGAAAGAAAACCTTTCCCCTTTGTCTCTTTCGTTATAGATGATAGAAAATAATCATAAGGTAGAACGTATTTTAGTCACTGTCTTCACTGATTCCAAAAAGAACCACGTTGCAGAGAGAAAGAAAGTCCCGTTCATTTAAAATCAGACTCAACATCAAAGCAAGTTCTCATCACCATCCAACGCTTTCTCTTCTACAAAGCCCTGAGCAAGGCCCCTTTAAGGTTGGGTGTGTGTGCAAGAAACAGGCAAATTCACGTGAGCTCGGCTCCCGCGCAGCATCTGACACGGCAAGTGGTGGGGGTGGGGGCAAGGCGGGGGGAGAGGAGAGAAGGAGATGGGAATTTTCTAATGATCTTCTTTAGTTAATAGGCACAAGTTGTTAGCTTGATCTGAGAAGGCCTCTTTCCCCGTGTGCCAATTCCACCCCCTCCTTTTTGTAATGGGTTTAGTTCCCACAGCTAATGCACTGCGTAATGAGGCCGGAGGGAAGCGGAATGCTCTGGAGTAATGATATGGAGCCTCCTGGGCCCTGACAAAGGACAGAGAGAGCCCGGCTGGATGTTCTCAATGACAGGGTCCAGGCTCCTGATTTTCAGCCCTGGCGAGTCCAACTCTCCTGCCAGGGCTTGTGCTAGGCAGACAGTCACAGCACAGACCCCGGCAGAAAACCCCAAGGGGTCTTGGTACAGGACAAACCCCCATTAAGCCAAGTTTGTTTCTTTTTCTAAGCCCTGATCCAACCTTCCTCCCCCTTCCTCCTGGTCTTCCAGCCCTTGGTAGGGGCCTCTCACTTTCAGGATGGGGTACACTTTCCCCTGATAATCCACTCCCCATTGTGTAAGAAAGCATCCCTGCCCCATTCTGTCAACATCTACCAGGCTGCGGATGAGGACATCGTACCCTGTTGGGATCAGCATATGCCCAGTAGACAAGGGAGCCACGTGAAGAAGGTGCCCCTCATTCCGCTGTCACAGCCCTTTGCTCCAGGACAGTGTCACCCACTGCATTTTGTGTGGAGTCACCACCACATGGGCATTCCTCATTCCCGTGAGACCTGTGCTCTTCGACGGCTCCTTCTTCTTCTTTTCACCCGCTACGGCCCCCAGTTTTAATACACAACACAGACCTGGAGCTCATTCCACATGTACTGAGTTGAAATTACGTGAATGACAGATAACTGAGTCCTGAATATTGATGTCATTGGAAATAACCTGGGGATCACTATAGACTATTCACTAAAGCCATCAACCCAGGGGGCTCTTGGGACTCCTAAAGTGGGGGCTGGGGAATAGTAATGGTAAGATGTCAAAACAAAGAGAAAAACATTATCCCGTCATGGGACAAATCCAGTAGTCGCTTATCCACAAACAAAGAAACAAAAACTTAACGGCTGGAAAAATACAGCAAGAGACAACTGAATGATCAGGAGGAGGCTGGTGAGAGGGTCCCCGGTATAGTGCTTGCACCCTCGATGTACATCTTACGGTTTACAGAGCGCATAGAACATCGATTTAGTCTCCCTAACATCTATGGCAGTACCCCATGAAATGCAGGAATCACAGCAGGAATGTCTGACACATTCAGATAAGGAACCTGGGTTCCTAGAGGTTTGGTCATAAGGTGGCACAGCTAGTCAATGCTAGAAAAAGCGCCCCCAGCCCAGCACTGTTTTCACTATGCCCCAGATTAACAAGAATTCATCCATGTTACAGATAAGGCTGCAAACAGAGATAAGTAAAGTTTAGAAAGTCACGTAGCTTGTTCACAGCTTCCACAAACCCGTAACCCAGGGTAACCCTGAAAGCTTGGATGAGAAAAATGTAAGCCAAATAAAAAGCAGGCTTTTATTAGGTGAACAGTAAACCCGTGATGCTTATTGGATAACAGACACTCATGCAGTCCTATTGTGTGCCAAGCTCTGTTCTAGGTGCTTTGTTTCCCATGGGAATTCTATGAATTAGACATGGCCCCTGCCCTCAAGGGCCTACTTTAAGAGACAATACTGCCAAGAAATAGAAATATCTTTAAAGGCAATCGAAAAAATTCATATCTGATGGTCCAAATAGGTTAGTGAGGTAACATGGGCAGCTGGGGAGGGTTTCCAGGTCCTCGGGGGCTGATCGTGAGTCTGCATTTGGACACTTGACAATGATAGAATCCTGGACAGAGCCTCATGGCTGTGTTCCAATTCAAGGCACCATTTCTCCAACTCTCATGCCAAGTCACCAGGCGTCTTCAGGACTCTTCTCATCTCTTGGAAGGTCCTAAGATTCATGGCCCCTAACCTGCTCCATCGCTGTTAGCCTCATCCTGAGAGAGCTGTCCCAGGCTGAGTTATCCAGAGAAGAGTCTCTTTACATTAACTCTTCATTTTTTTCTGCATTTGGGCAGAAATATAGAACATACATTTCCAGCCATAGATCAGTATCACATACCATACGCATGGCCACCTTAGGGCCTTTATACATGCTTTTGCCTTCTGCCTGGAATCCATCCCCATCCCCATCCAATCCACCACGCCTCATAGCTCCTCCCCATTCAGATCTCTCCTCCGAGGGTCACCTACTTAGAGATATTCACCTTACCTACAATAGCTATTCCCTCAGATCATCTCCATCCGCTTGCCCTGTTTTTGTTTGTTGTTTGTTTTTTATAAATCCTACCATTACCTAAAAATGTTCTCTATTTCCTTGTTTGTTCATTGCCTCCTTTAGAACGTAATCTCCATTTATGGAAAGAATCTTGCTTTTATTGACCACTGTGTCTCTAGTTCCTAGTAAAGTGACCGGCACAAAGTAGGCCCTCAATTACTGTTTGTCCAATGAATGAATGAATGACGACAGAGTTCATGTTTCTCAGATTACTTGTTGTTGAACACCAAAGCCAATGCTAGATTCCAAAAGAACTTTTCCTTTCTTTTTCTTTTTATTCTTTTCATTCTTTTTTGAGACAGGGTCTCTGTCTGTTGTCCGGGCTGGAGTGCAGTGGTGCAATCATAGTTCACTGCAGCCTCGAACTCCTGTGCTCAAGCGATCCTCTAACCTCAGCCTCCCGAGCAGCTAGGACTACAGGTGTGTGCCATCACACCTGGGTAATCTTTATTTTTAATAGAGACAAGGTCTCACCATGTTGGCCCAGGCTGGTCTGGAACTCCTGGGCTCAAGCAATCCTCTGGCACCAGCCTCCCACAGTCCTGGGATTACAGGTGTGAGCCACGGCGCCTGGCCCTTCCCTCATTTCATGTAACATCTCTAGAGCAATTGCACTGACACTTTATTATCATCATTGCATTACCACTGATGTTATTATTTGTTAGTATCACAGTTCATATTTTTATAATTATCCATTAGACTAATATGATCTTAATAATTGAGTGCCTATAACATAACATGAGTGTGCTGGCATATAGCAATCACTTGATTAATATTTTTCAGTCACTCTCTTAATAGAGTCTCTATTAGCCAAGTACATCGTAATCATAATGGAAGGCAAATGACCATCCAGCAGGTCTCATTGGCCACACTGACAAGTTTTTGGGTAGAGGCTTTCACATCTATTTTCTCACTTATTCTCAACAGCCCCAAGAGGTAAGTATTCTTATCCGCCAAGGTCACAGTTAGTAATTGGTGTACTGATGCAGACTCAAGTCTGTTTGACTCCAAACCCCATGCTTTCCCCCCAGAATCGTACTACTGGACTAAAACTATCCTGCACTAGGAAAAGTTTTGCCTTCTCCATTACTCCAAGAATAAGCCCTGGTTTATTCACCTGTAAAATGAATGGACTGACTTGAGAGCCCCTTAAAGTACTTTGCAGTTCTAAGAGCTGTGATTATCTTTCTCCTCTGCTTGATGTGAGCAGATCCATTCTCGTGAGTCACCTGCCTGTCTCTGCAAGTTCAAATTTCTTTAAAAGACCCTCAGATGATAATCTGCCTGCTTATTTTGCACCCCCTTCCACTTCTCAGAGCATTTCCCTTCTCTGAGTAGGACCCAGGACCTCTCTCTCTGTACCTCACTTCCCTCCTTTCAGGAAAAGGCTCTCCCGGAAGGCCCTGCTCCCCTGATAGGCACCCCCTCATTAGAAACCAGTGACGTTCTCTTTCAGCTGGCCTCATCATGTTCTTCCTGGTTTCGCCCAGAGTCGCTGCCAAGACTTCCCACCTTGCCCATCTGGCAAACGTTTAACTCCTTTATGTTGGAGCTCAGTTATCAGAAGGAAAGTGAGACATGTTTCCACTGACAACCCCTAAGTCCACTGAGCAAAAGAAGCTGGACCAGCCTCTTCATCAGTTATCTGAGTAAGGGAAGAGGACTCAAGCCAGTCTACTAGAACTAGAGTCTATTTTCCCCAAACTCAAGCAGTCACTGGCAAAGTGATGCTCCCATGTGGTTTGGAAAAAAGGCTCTGCCCTTCTAAGCTGCAGGCACCAAAACAGTGTGGACTCACTGGTGGGGAGAACAGAGGGGGTTTATGATCCACTTAAAATATGTGTGTAAGGAAAGCAGGGATTCGACACCTGTTTCCCTTTCCACTGATATTTATGACAGCTGAGGAATCTTACCCTTCACAAAAGCCTCGGCTCCATGTCCAAACCTAGCTTTTTTTTTTCAATTTACACAAACATTTTCATAGAAAAGCATAAATCCCATCTTGTCGTGAGAAAGGACAGTTCCAACTCCTACTGGGGTGAGGAGCATATTTCTACAGGTCTTGACAGCTCAGCCCCAATCTCTGTTTTGAGAGCATGAGCCTGAGTGTGCAGCTATGTTCTTCTCCTCCAGATCTAGGGCAGGCAGTGGGCAACTTTCAGCAGTTCCTTATGAATGGAGGTCAAGACTATAGCACACAGTATACACACAAATAAGAGGTGGTATTGGAAGGAGAACCTGTCCCTCCTGCCTCTTTTCAGTGTCTCTTACTCCTAAAGTACTACTACCTTTCTCTTGGAAAGTGGATGGATATGATTAATCTATCAACAGATATTTGAGCACTCCTTGTTCCCCACCCACCCACCCCTGCCGTCAAGGGCCAGAGTCCTGCCAGGCATTCTGGGAACACTACAGGCGAGGTGTTCCCCTGCCCCTGAGAAGGTGACAGTCTTTATGGAGGAGGTCACCATTATGGAAGATAAGTGGTAAATTTCAGAGCTGAAGGTGCCCTTCAAGGTCATCTAATCTAAATCTCCTCATTGCATAAATGTGGAAACTGAGGCCTAGAGGAGCTAATTGGTGGCAGGCAAGGACTAAACCAGATCATCTAATTTCTGATCTAGTGTGCTTTTTGTTATGTCATTAAAATCACTATAAAAAATTATTTAGCACCTGTCTTTGGAATAAGATGCTAAACAAAGCACATTTAATAGACATGGTCCAGGCTGTTTGCCCAAAGCTTCATGTTCAGAACAGAGAAGTGATCCCATCACTGTAGCCAGCTCTATTAAAAAGGGCACTGCGGTAAGTGCACACACACTGAACCAGGGGAAAAATTACACAAACCATGTACTGCTTTTATCATAAAATTACATAAACCATTCTTGGTGGAATGACAGTTATAGTGAATCTGTAAGTTATGTCAGAAACTGGGAGGTGGATGAGTGTCTGTGGTTTGGCAGGATACAGGGCAAGAAAGTAGGCCTATAGAGGGAAACTGAATTAAGATGACAGATGTAGCACACACTCCAGCATCACCCTTTCACTCCCAAACCCCGGAAATGACAAACTTTAAAAGTCCATAAAATGCTGTGAAACAAAAAGTCTAAGGTGACTGTAGAATGACAAGTCTAGGAAGAACATTGCCAGAGGCCAGCTCATGCATCTTTTTACTTATTTATCTGGGAGACGGGTTCTCACTCTGTCACCCAGGCTGGAGTGCTGTGGCACATTCATGGCTTACTGCAAACTCTGCCCCCTGAGCTCAAGCAATCCTCCCACCTCAATCTACCAAGTAGCTGGGACTACAGGCACACACCACCATGCCTGGCTAATTTTTGTATTTTTGGGTGGAGACGGGGTTTCCCCATATTGCCCAGGCTGGTCTCAAACTCCTGAGCTCAAACGATCTGCCTGCCTTGGCCTCTTAAAGTGCTGGGATTACAGGCACGAGCCACCAAGCCCAGCTGCTCATGCATCTTTGAGGTAGGGCTTCACCCACGTGCACCTCCAAAAAGGCCTCTGAAAAGACTTGTCTGCATTTTCTTAAAATCTAGAGAGAAGAGAATTCTGCAGCCACCCAGGCAACACTTTCTAATCCTGCCCAAATCCTCATAGCTAGTAGCCCAAATTCATCTTGCTTCATCCAAAGGCCACTCTCATTTGCTGGGGTGGTAGTGGCAGGAGAAACCCAGCTGCACTTTGTCAGTACTGCACAACCCCTCCATCAAGTTGGACCGTATTAACTAATGGAATGCCCGCTGCAACCTCCTCACCCACCCTAGCCTTTTCTTCTACAGTTTTTTTGTTTTTTTTTTTTTTTGAGACAGAGTCTCGCTCTGTCGCCCAGGCTGGAGTGCAGTGGCACGATCTCGGCTCACTGCAAGCTCCGCCTCCTGGGTTCACGCCATTCTGCTGCCTCAGCCTCCCGAGTAGCTGGGACTACAGGCGCCTGCCACCACGCCCGGCTGATTTTTTGTATTTTTAGTAGAGACGGGGTTTCACCGTGTTAGCCAGGATGGTCCCGATCTCCTGACGTCATGATCCGCCCACCTCGGCCTCCCAAAGTGCTGGGATTACAGGCGTGAGCCATTCTTCTACAGTTTATAGAAAGCTGTAGCTTCCCAAACTTTATGATTCTCCCCAGAGCCCTTCTTCTGGTTTCACTTTCTAACATGCCCAGGAGCCTGGCACCCCACCCTCTTGCAACATGCTCTGCACCCTGAGAAGGCTTTTCTGATTGTCTCTGCAGTAAGGGTCATGAATTGGCCTCTCTCACCCAATTGCCCCGTGATTAAGCCACTAACTGTTAAGCACCGCAGTGTAATAAAGTCACCAGCTCATTTTATGGAAGATATTTTTCTCAAGAGTCCAAAGTGCCTTCTAAGTGTTATACTGCCCCATTACTTTACTGCATTAGAAGCCAAGAAGATGGTGTCTAAAACTTTAGCCAAAATTTCTGTGCCTGTCCTATTTTAGCTTTCCTTCCCCTCATTTGGTTCACTGAAATCCACTGAAGCCACCAGTATAACTTCTGCCTCTGGATCAGTGGTCAGTTCTCAATTACCAATATGTGGATCAGCTATTTTGTGGGTCTTCACTTGCTGTTGGCTATTGTGAGGTGCGATCTTACAGAAGACAGACCATTCCATGCACACAATAATGAGGAAAACAGACATTTGCACAGTTAAGAGCTATACATAGAAACTTAGAATGGCCCAGGTCTGGACAGCTGGTCAACCCCAGGGACCAGGTGATGTGTGGTGAGCTCCTTGTGCCTAAGGGGGAAGAAGCTCACCTGCCTCTTCCAAGAGCACTTGCTTCTAGGGGCCGCTCAGTATCCCTAACATGCTTAGCAGGATACTGCAAATGCTTGTTGATGAACAGGAATCATCAGTTAATCCATCTGCAGGCTCTAAACACCCACAAGGGATTTGAATTCACTACTGAAGCAGCAGCAAGGCAGCAGCTGTCACTCAGCACCTGCCACAGGGGAACTGGCCAGATTTCAGAAAGGGTCCTCCGAGGCCAAAGATGGCAGCAAGGAGAGATTCCAGTGGGATCAGGGGTGACAGCTGGAGTTGAAGGGGAAGATGCAGAGAGGAGCTTGAAGGGGAAAGGAGAAAGGGTGGGCAAAAAGCAAGTAACCGTGTATGAAAAGAGGAAGAAAGAGGCAAAATGGAAAAGGGGTGACCCTCAAACAAAGCCAGAGGGCACTAAGAGGAGTACTGGTAGGAAATCTCAGATCAGCTTTCCGAACGATACCTCCTTGCTACAATTTTGGCCACCAGAGGGCTCCTGTATTCCAAAAATATTATGGAAAATGCCAAATGTCTCCAATATTTTGCACTCCAAGCATACACATGTGAAATTAGCAATTTCTGTTTATGTGCAATAAATGATTGTCTTTGAAGACTTGGAGATTTAATTCTGATTTTGACACTGTGTCCCCAAGTAAACAGTATCCTGGACATCAACCTCTCTGCTCTGTTTCTCTATGTGCAAAAAAATGGAGAGGCTATCCGATATCTTGTTACAATTTACAGCCAGAATTAGGTGGGGGAGAAGTAGAGGCAGAAAATGGCTCTAGCAAGTAAGACTTAAGACTGCAGAGATATATATAGATCACCGCTTCTCTATGATCCTATGTATTAAGGATGACAAGACCTGTATCTTGGATGTTTGCACCATCCTTGCCCTGGTGAAACTCATATAGAGAAAAAAATAATGCACATGTGTTTGGTAAAAGGCTCAGGTTAATGTGCCAGTTCTGTCCATGTCTAACTACATGACCTTGGCTTAAACCCCTAACCTCATTAATTTCTTTTCTCCTCTATAAAATAAAAAGGGTTCTTATCTCACAGGTTGGACATGAGAATTGAATTCCATAATGTCTTTGAAGGGAGTTGGCACATGGTAAAAGCTCATTATTTATGCATTAACTCAAGTATGCCCTGCAAGTGAGATTGACATTACTAAGAATCCTAAGAATTGCAAAACTGGCACACACTGGGCATCCTCAGCATGAAAAGACTAAGAATGACATCACGTCTGCCTTCAAATATTTGAAGAGCTATCACATGGAAGAGGGATTAGAACTCTTCTATGTCATCCCAAGAAGTAGAAATGGGACCCATGGGTGGATTAGGGAATCAGATCAAGCCTGACAGAGAATTATACGAATTGCCTAACACATAAAGCTTTCCAAAAAAATGGGGTGAGGAGATCAAGTTAGCTCACATCTGGGGGTGTTCAAGGAGAAGCTGGTTGAGCAACGTCAGAGAAGTTGTAACGCCGATTCTTGCATCAGATGGGAGAGGCTAGATTTGATGACCCACTAGAACCTCCCCACCTCAGCAAATTCTATGGTTCCTCGTTCCAAGCAAAGGGAAAAAAGCCTTGTTATGTCTCGTAGGAGCTCATGTTGGTCAAAAGGATGGTCTTCCAGCCTGGCAGGTGTAAATGCGTACACTTCCCCCATGTCGTGCCCTCCCTGTGCATCTGGCCAGCCCTGATCATATCCCTGGCCATAGAGAATGGCCAGGGCCCAGACATTGGATAATAGCCAAGACAAGTGCTATTCACATCAAAGATGTTTGATCTTTGATCATACTCATTATTTGTGGAATGACTGATTGGTGTTCCTGACACAATAGTGGATGACCAAAGGAAGGTAGGGATGGAGGGCAAAGCTGTAAATAAGGAATGAATACATGATAAAGAAAGGGGTGGGCTGGGCGCGGTGGCTCACCTGTAATCCCAGCACTTTGAGAGGCCGAGGCGGGAGGATCACGAGGTCAGGAGATCGAGAACATCTTGGCTAACATGGTTGAAACTCCGTCTCTACTAAAAATACCAAAAAAAAAAAAAAATTAGTTGGGCGTGGTGGCGGGCGCCTGTAGTCCCAGCTACTTGGGAGGCTGAGGCAGGAGAATGTCTCAATGCAGAGCTTGCAGTGAGCCGAGATCACACCACTGCACTCCAGCCTGTGCAACAGAGTGAGACTCCATCTCAAAAAAAAAAAAAAAAAAAAAAAGAAAGGGGTGTAGGATGGGTACAATGGAGCACACGGTTGCCTCACTGTTCAAGCATCTTTAGATCCAGAGCTGTGTGACTTGGGGCACTTTCCTTCTGTCTCTTCCTCAATCTTATGCTGAGAGCAGTTCTTTCTCTCACAGCAAGGGAAGTCTGTCAAGAGGCAGAAGTCTAGACATAATGACTTTTGGATGTGCTTCCTCTGTATAGTGCCAGTGCAAAACGAGATTCCACTTAGACCTTCTCTCTAAAGAGGATATTCATAATTTTGCTAAGACAAAATGGGAAGAGAAAGAGAAGGCATTCCTAGCTGTCATGGAAGGAGGCTACCAGAAAAGAATCAGGGAAAGGAGAGTATCTCAGGAGTCAAAGCACGAGACTGCAATCTAAAGAAACTTCGTTTTGCAACTCAACTTGATTATTAACTAGATGTGCAATTATGAACAATACCCATGCTTCAATTTCTTTATCTGCAAAAGACAGTTAATAATGTCTCTTAAAGTTTGCTTAAAAGTGCTTGGCACAAAGTGGTATTCAGATCATGGCGCATTGCTCTTGTTGTTATGGATTAAGAACCAGTCAGGATCAAGGAAACTTGAACAGTTCCCACTCAGAAAAAGAACATGTACATGTATGGAGTCTGAAGAGAGATGTAGGTATGCTTGCCCTGAAGGTGCAACCATGAGACTGTGTCTGGAGTTATGTAAACTGAAGTGGTGTCTGGACCAAATGCATAGAGTCTGGTTTGGACCAAATGCATAGAGTCTGGTTTGGGTAAGGAAAGAGGAAGAGGACATGGATGTGTACAACATGTAACCAAATGTGCACAGTGTCAGTCACCTTAAAAAGAAACGAGTTGGACCATGCTGTATTGCTGCAAGAGAGCAACATTCTCCACATGGCTGGACTCAGGAAAGTAAATGGGCCCTTGTTGCATATAAGGCTGCCTGAGAAAAAGCAAACATTGACTCCCAGAAACAGTCTTAAAGTAATGGGCATGTCATAGGGCAGATGGTAGCCAGCTGTTCTCCAGTTTTTCTGAGACCAGCAGAATAGGAGATGTTCTATGACTGCATCGGGAGGGAATTCATTATCCCCAAAGGCTCCCCAACCCTCAGGTCTGTTAAGACCACTGATATTACTGACTGAGGGAGGTTATGAAGTAGCCTTCTTAAGTGCTTTAAATATAAGGCTATTATTCATGTTTTGGGGATGATGTCTCCCATCTTCACTAAACTGATGCCTGAATACCAGTCATGGGCTATGATATCCCAAAATGCTGGCTATAGGAATTGCAAATGTTTCACTGGAAAAATGGAAAACTAGCATCATTTTTAGTTCACAGGATCATGATTTGTACCACAGCCATGTGGATGCGTGGTAGAGACGGGAAGGAACCGAGTCCCAACTATTGATCCACAGCATCTGCACTGTTAGGCAACACGCCCTACCAATGAAGCAGGGTACCAAATACTTTAGTAGTCTCCTCCATTACTCTGCAGGGCAAATATAATCATCTTTCCTCTGCGGAGGAGGACTTGGAAGAGATCGGTTAACTCTTTTCAAAAGTTAAGCAATTTCCTTCTTGAGAGCTTGAAGTGGGACAGAATGCAAGTCACCTGTCCTGCCTGCAAGAACTTCTTGTCCCTCCCCCTCCAATCCATACCCCTCGATTCAGCATGAAGGGTCTGAATTCCAGTGGATTCAGACTTTTTTGTTACCAGGACCCACAATAATAAGTATATTTCATACCATGATTCAGAACATACACAATCACACACACACAAACACATTTCATGAACCAATACTTACAGCACACACAGATTTTCATATTTTTCTATTCCATTCTATTCTCATCCATTCTATTTTTCAAATGTCAGTCATGACCTGAATTTCCCTGTATAACCTGAAGTTTGAAAAACAATGTTCCTACCACTGATCTCTCCCACCTATTCAAAAGACTGTAGCTATTCTCCATTTCCTACAAAATAAAGTCCAAATTTCTTAAGAGGACAGATAAAACCATTTATAACTCTGCCTTCCAGCTCCAGTTCTGCCATCTTCACCTGAGCTCACAACACACCTGGCGACTGGCCTTTCCTAGGAGACGCAAGCCCCACTACACAGTCTCACTTTCTGCCTTGCTCAGGCCCTACCCACAGGCTAGATGCACTTCTCACTACAAGAAAAACTGCTCTTTCTCCTTAGAAATATCCCAGGTATCACCCCCTTCTGAAGACTACCCTGACCTGCCCAAGCAGAACTAAACTCTGCACCAGGTTTCCAGTCTAGGAACTCTTTTTTGTATAGTGCATAATGATCATCTGACCCTCCTGATGGTTTAGATGTCTTTCCCTATTTCTGAATTGGTAGGAATACATTTTTAAATCCTTTCCTTTATGATTGGCACCTGCCTTTTTCTTTCTCAATCTTCAGCCTATTCCCCCTCCCCATCTGCATACATCCCAGAGCCCCCCATACAACTGGAAGATCACAGAGAAGGAAAAAGGAGAATGGTCAAAGTTAGTTGTGGCAAACCAATCTGGTTCTCGTTTTTCTTCCTCCAAATTTGCAGTCCTGTTTCCAGGAGATCCAAGCTTGGCAAAGGCATAGCATGATTCATCTGAATCACAAGAAGTTGGAGAAGGCAAGTGAGGTGGAGAAACCAAGGCAGAGTGCGAAGAGTGGCTGCCTCAGGCTACAAAACCAGGGCAGGAACTGACAGTACAAACAGAATAAATAATACTGATTCACAGGCCAGAGAAACCTGTCGCCAAAAAATGCCCTGTTGCAATCTCAGCTGGTAGGCTGTGGATGGCCTGATTTACAACCAGTTTCAGAGTTTAATGAACTCTCAGGTCACCTTTATCTATATAAAAATAACAACAAAAAGACCCCTAGTGCTATGCAGTTTTCAAAGCAATTACTCACACATTATTCCATTTCATCGTGGAGTGTCAGAGTTGTAAGGGACTTTAAGAGGTCAATTAGCTTAATCCCTCATCCTGCTGCAGATGAAAAGGAGACTGAGAATAGGCAAGTGACTTGCCCAAGGTCACACCCCTGTGTTAGCAGCACAGTGCAATGCTCTTTTTTACCAAACCACACTTCTCACACACAGAAGTAGCCAGTGCTCCAATGGTCTCTTGATTCAGAGCGCTCTAAGAGTTTCACTCTGCCTGGATTTCAAAGCCCTTCAAAGGAGGGAGGGTGGTGCCTGCCTTATCTTTCAAAGATTCCCAAGCGCAGAGATTCTATGGCATCTCTCTGGTCAACTCTTTTTTTTTTTTTTTTTTTTTTTTTTAGACGGAGTCTCACTCTTGTTGCCCATGTTGGAGTGCAATGGTGCAACCTCGGCTCACTGCAACCTCCGCCTCCCAGGTTCAAACGATTCTCCTGCCTCAGCCTTCCGAGTAGCTGGGATTACAGGCAGTTGCCACCACGCCCGGCTAATGTTTTGTATTTTTAATAGAGACGGGGTTTCACCATGTTGGCCAAGCTGGTCTCGAACTCCTGACCTCAGGTGATCCACCCACCTCGGCCTCCCAAAGTGCTGGGATTACAGGAACGAGTCACCGCACCCAGCCTCCGGTCAACTCATAATTTGCTGCCACAGTCGGCTAATCTGGTCTTCACAGTATTGTATCCCCATTACCAAGAGTGCCTAAGCTATTAACCCACCAGTAACAGGTGCCAAATTGCCTCTTCTTCTGCACAAGATGTTCGTTTAAAATCAAATTGCACATAAACCCCTCCAGTCCCAACTCACTTCCCTCAGCCCTCGGCCTTTTTTGGTCTTCTTTCCCCTTGGTGCTCCCAATCCTGCCTACTGGGCGTCTCTAAGATGACGTTGGGAGGGGAAGCTGGGTGGCCTGGGGGAGCAGCTATGGAGTTGTGCAGGAGCAGGCGGGCAAGTCACAGGGCTTTATCCACCCCGCGCCCACAGGCCCCAGGAAGGGGTACCGCGATCGCCTGATGTCACTACACTCATGGACTCTTCCAGACCGGCTCTCTCATCTTACAGATGGGGAAACTGAGGCCGGGAGTGCAGAAGGGGCTTGCCCAAGCACGTTAGTAAGACTAAGCTGGGAGAACACGCCAAGTTTCCACACTCCCAGGCCAGCTCACTTCCTCTACTGTCCGCCTTCCCCTTCGCCCATGAGGAAACTGAAGCTTAGGGAGGTGGAGAGATGACCTAGAACCGCTCGGCTTCCCCAGGCCGGGTCCAGGAGCAGAAGCGCGGAGAGAGGGGAGAAAGGGAGGCCGGGACCGGGCACAACTCCAGGGGGCACTGCTCGCCCCGCGGTCTACGTGCCCCCCGGCCCTTTGTGCCCTGCTGAAGTTGGGGAGAGGGCGCAGGGAAGAAAGGGCAGGTGCCCTGACCCTCCAGAAAACCAGCCCCTCGGGGCCGCCCAGAGTCGGGGAGGCCTGGCCCCCGGCACTGCCCACGGCCTCTCCTCCGGGGAGACGGGGTCCGAATGCCTTTCCCCATTCAGCGGGATTATCCCTTTTGAATTGTTTAAAAAAAAAAAAAAAAAGCTGCAGCTAGCGAACCCTGCCTGACAACACCGAAGGAATTTTTCCCAGGGATCGGCCGAAAGCTGACTCACATTTAAAGGCTTGCCCGAAGTGGTCATGCCCCTCTGAGCAAATACCACAGGCATGCGAGCACGCGTCCGCGGCCTCCTGGCGGCGCGGCCTCCGGGCGCGGCCGGCGATTGGAGCAGCGCAGCGCCCCTTCTCCCCCGCGCAGCCAATCGCAGCGCCGCGCCTCTGGGTTGCTAGCCGGGCCGCCGGGCGCGGGGAGGCGCGGGCGGGGAGTTGTCCCTGCTCGTTTCCCGGCCCCGGGCGGGGGCGCGGCGGGCGGGCGGGAGGCTCAGGCAGTGGGTTTCGGCAAGTATGGCCCTGGAGGGAAAGCCAAGGAAAGGGCTGAGCCACCTACGCCGCAGGCCCTTTGAGCCCCGCGGTCCCCCTCCGGAATGTGCGCGGCGGCGAGAGGCGCTCGGCCTGGGCCCGGCTTGGAGGCGCATTGCTGCGCATCTTCCCCGGACCGCAGGAGCCTGGCCTGCGAGCCACCCTCGCCTGCCTCAAAACTCCGACGCCCGGCAGTCATCTCCTGGCCACTCCACCATTGCAGAAGGCAGCGGGGGGAGGGGGGCACGGGCTCATAAATCGCGGAAGAGCAGTCAGAGACCCTAGTTCACAGCTACATTACAACCAGATTAACGTGCGATCCTGGCCAAGGCTTCTCACAATTGTAGTTCTGGTGTTTTGGGGTTTTTTTCTCGTGTTTCAAATGAGAGGTTTGAGCAGGATCATTAGAGTCCTTGGCGCTAAGATTCAGGTTCTTGTAAGAACCGAGATCCAGTTCTTATACTTCAGCCCCAAACGATTTTCCACGCAGCGGCCCAAGTGCTTTTCTCAACATGTAAATGGCATCATGTCATTCCCCCACCTTAGTACCTCTGAGCATCTCTGTCCCTCTCCATCCAGCTTTATCCCAGTGGTCTTTCTGGGCTGCTTGAAATTACTGCCCCTCTCCCCCAGCTTTTTCCTGCCTCAGGCCTTTGCGCGTGCTGTTTCCTTCACTATCTCTTGGCCAATTCCTAACTCATCCTTCAGGTCTCCGCATAAATGGCATTTTACTAGTGAAGCCTTCCCTGTGCCCCAATCTGAATGAGGTCCCACTGCTACTCCCACGTGACACCCTGCGGTTTTCCATCATGCCTATGTTAAAAGCTGTAATTTTCTAATTTTATTTGCTTACTATCTCTTCCACTAGAAAGGACAGAGGCCACTTCTATTTTGTACCCCATCAGAACAGTTAAATTATCCCCAGGTAAGTAAAGAATTATCATACCCATTTAACAGATAAGGTGGTGGAAGTTGAGACAGGTTAGATAACTTACCTAGGTTCAAATAGCCAAAGGTGTTAGAACCTATGGGCTTCTACTTCTGTCAGGAAATTGGATTATAAAATAATAGGCCTTCCAAGAAATAGCAAATAAATTGCTAGAACAGATGGCTTTAGCACTTTAGATGCTGTGGTTTTGCCCCTGCCCTTCAGGACTCTTTCCATACCAATGAAAGTTCTATTCCTTTATTCATTCAACAAATATTTATGGTGTATCTATTATAAGCTAAGCAGCACAATCGTAAACAAGAGATTTCCTTTCCAGAATCTACAGAACACTAGCTACACAGTACAGCCTTTTCTACCATGGAGCAGTATCCAAACTGTCCATTTAGTTAAGAATTTTGGTCATCTTTTCTGATATTTTGTTTATTTTGGTGTCTGTTCTGATATGTGGTAGGCTTAGCCTACCAGATACATGTATATATAGATGTATACCTACCATATGTGTGTGAATATATGTATATACGCACACATCCTTTTTTTTTTTTTTTTTTTTGAGACAGGGTCTCACTGTTGCCCATGCCCAGGCTGGAGTGGTGGTCACAATCATGGCTCACTGCAGCCTTGAGCTCCCTGGACTCAAGTGATCCTCCCACCTCAGCCTCCCGAGTAGCTGGGACTACAGGTGCACCCCACCACACCTGGCTAATTTTTGTATTTTTTTCTAGACACAAGGTTTCGCCATATTGCCCAGGCTGATCTCGAACTCCTGGGCTCAAGTGATCCTCCCGCCTCAGCCTCCCACAGTGCTGGGATTACAGGTGTGAGCCACCATGCCCAGCTGCCTGTATTTTTTATTGGACTAAAAAATGCATCCCAAAACTTGGTCAAAAAAATAAATTTCTTTTAAAATGTATACTGCTGTTAGGTGGGGCACAGTGGCTTAGGCTTGTAATCCCAGCACTTTGGGAGGCCGAGGCGGGCGGATCACCTGAGGTCGGGAGTTTGAGACCAGCCTGACCAACATGAAGAAACACCGTCTCTACTAAAAATACAAAATTACCAGGCATGGTGGCGCATTCCTGTAATCCCAGCTACTCGGGAGGTTGAGGCAGGAGAATCACTTGAACCTGGGAGGCAGAGGCTGTGGTGAGCCGAGATCATGCCACTGCACTCCAGCCTGGGCAACAAGAGCAAAACTCCCTCTAAAAAAATAAATAAATAAATAAATAAAATTTATACTGCTGTTTCTTTGAATTACCAATGTGATCTGGGTGCCAGTCATAGTTATCTCTAAAGGAAGATGCTAAGGCAGGGAAGCTTTACGCATGGCAAGAAACTTTTCTAGGTATCATCCCCTCAGCTGTGATTCAGAAGCTAGCCTGCCTTCACCCCTACGGGTCCTAGGTATTCCCTCCCATTCCCTCTTGCCCCTCTAGCAAGTCACTGTCCTTCCAAGCCTCATGCTCCTCATCTGGCCTGAATGCTTTCTAGCAGTGAAGAATGTATGAAGTGAAGAATTCCCTCACTTATTCAGCAAATATTTACTGGTCATCTGCTGTGCACTAGGCACCTTTCCAGTACTGGGACTATAATGGGAACAAAACTTGTGGTTGCTGTCCTCAAAAAGCTTACTCTCCAATAAGGAAAAGGCTGGTGTAACCATCAGTCCACCCAATTAAACAACCACCAATCTAGCAATCACACATTCACACATAATCATGCACTGAACTGAGTGATGGGTGAGTGCATTCGTGTGCTAAAGCCTTGTGGCAGGAGGGATCCTGCATTCAAGGAACCAGAGAAAGCCACCCACGCCGGAGAGAGACAGGAGGAAAGGAAAAGAGGAGGCAAACCAATCATGCAGAGCTCCGGAGAACATGAGGACTTTGGTATAGTTCCAAAGAGCAATGGGAATCCACTGGAAGGTTTTAAGATGAGGATTTCAAGTTCTAGTTTTTACTCTAGAAATATCATTAGCTGAGGCATGGGGCACGAATTAGGTGGGGAGAGGGTGAGGAAGAGTGGAAGTGAGAAGACAAGTTCAGAGATCAGAGGTGGTGGAAAACTGGATTATAGTGATGATAGTGGGGAAGAGCAAGTCATCAGATTGAAGAGAATTCATCCATACTGAACTGTCTTCAAAGCTCAGTTTTCTCATCCCTGACACATTTTCTCCCAGTAAAACGTGCATACCACATTGTAAACTCCAGCTTTTTCCAAGTCTACCAACGCTTGGCCTGGTCTGTGCTTGCTGTGCTTGCTCTCCTTCATTCTGGAATACTGGCAGAGTGGACGTGGATGCGGATCCACTGAACTGTAGGTCTCCTACATGTGTCTGTATCTTCCTGCCTTCTCTCCCTTCCAGTGACTCAACCCACCATCTCTGTCCTTACCTCCTTGGGCCATCTTTTGGAGCATGTCCTGGCTTTTCCGTGGGACTGGTCCCTGTGGCTCCCCATGTGGTTCCACAGTGGAGGTTCAGAGCCTACAGTATGGACTCTGTGGGCAAAGCCTGCAGTGTGGACTCTGGGCAAAGCTGGTGGGGAGGGTGTGGCCAGCGTGAGGCCCCATTTCATTTCAGTCCTGTCCATCACTGCTTGCAGGCCCTGGGCCAATCTTGCCCCCCTCCTGCATATTGTTCCATGTGAGCCCTGGAAATGTCACTGGCCTGTTTCACTTTCAGTTTCCTGGTACAAACACACACCCACGCGTGCACACACACACCCCCACCCATGTGGCTGCCTCAGGCTGTGGTGCAGCGGGGATGCATCACCTGCTCCTTCAGGTCACCCATGTGGGAAATGAGCCTTGTATAACTGAGAAATGTGTGCTTCTCAATATTTTGCAAAGCTGCCCACCCTTACAAAATCCAGTTTTTTCATTGAACTCCTCTACTGAACTCTGAGGGAGGGTGTCTCCACCTAAAAAGGGAGTGCTGTGGGTACCTCTGAGCCATGAATCCAGTCTGGCTGGCTCTCCACAGTAGGAATCACAGTGACTCCCCACTGTGCTGGCTGAGGGACAGTTAGCTTCACACCAGGGAAAAGTCCCTGGTCTCCTGGCCTGCCTCCTATGGCCCCTGGCAGTCCTTGGTCCCAAGAGAGCTTGGCGGAAAGGATGCGAAGAGCTCCAGGCACCCAGTCATCCCTCTGGGAACCTCCACTCCTGAAGTGTGTGCAGGAGAAAGAAGGGGGTGCATCCCCTTTTCTATAAAAGACACTGTTTGTTTAAAGTTCTGAGACCCACTCAGCGGCCGCTCGCCAAAACACAAGAGAAAGTAGGGTCTCTGAGGGGCACATCTCTTTGCTATCCACCGGTTCATAGTGCAATTAGCAGAATGGCCTGGCCCTTCCCACAGTCTCCATTCATTCTTTCTTTCCTTTATTCATTTACCAGAATAATGAGTTACCCAAGAGCAGGGACCATATCGTATTCATCTGTGTATTCCCATCACTTAGCACTGGGCCTGGCACCAGAGAGACGCTTCAGTGAATGAATTCATTCAATACCCATTCGCCAAGTGCTGTGCAAGATCCTGGAGGGTACAAAACAAGTGTGGGACACAAATCCTTGCCTTCCAGGAACTTACAATCTAGGCGTGGGCACTCAGTTGTGCAACAGTGATTTATTGAGCTTTAACTTCGGGCCAGGGCAGCAGTAGGCGCCGCTGAGAAAAGATGAATGAACAAGTCCCCAAACCAAAAATAAGCAGCCCACTCCTCCAAAATAAACACCCACTCCCAGCATTAAGTTTAAATTACAATCACTCAGGGCTCAGGACTTTCTTGTTGGCAGCAGCTGTTGGCTTCATAGCTTTGACCATTCTGCCACCTCTCTGGGATCCCACAGCCCATCTTTGAGTGTCTGTTTTCAGTTCAAGACAGCTAGCTCATGCCAGCACTGGCAGAGGTGAGTCCCCAACTGCACACAGGCACCTACTGGTATAGGTCTGGCAGATTTGAGTTCGGATAGAGTTGCCATCACTTCCTCGCTGTCTGGAGCTGCACGCGTTAATATGCCATTCAGAGCCCCAGTTTCTTCATCTACAAAGATAACAACAAACATCCATAAAGCATTGACGCCGTGCCAGGCTCTGCTTTGACGTATTCAGTCCTCCCAGGAAGAGCAAAATTAAACCCAGGGAAGCGGCTCTCAGTGAGACCCCCTTGAACCCAACCCTGGCTTCAGTCTGGCTCCCGGGTCTCAAGCCCTTCCTTCAAGGCCTCTCGCTCACATGCCAGTAGCACAAAAGCGGAGCACACCTCCTGGCTTCCCTGCTCTTACGGAAACACACATCTTTCTGTCTGTTTCTCCAGGCCTTGACCTTAAGCCCAGGCCTGAGAGTCCAGGCACGTCCTGACTCTCCTCCCCGCTGGGCTGCCACTCAGAGAAGTTTCCCTGAACTCCCCCTCCTCTTTCCTGGGCACGCAGCCTCGGGTCAGCGGTCAGCGGTCAGGTCCTCTGACCGGTCTCTCAGCGCTCCCCTTTCCTAGTCCTGCCCCAGCAGCCTTTCAACCTCAATCGACTCCTGCTGTTCTCTCATCTCCAGTCTCTCTCTCAGTTTCCTTTGCCCCTTTCATCCCTGCCCCCAACTCGGCTCCCACATCCTGCCCTGGGGCCCTCTCCCTGGCCCCAAGAAGTCTGTCTCAGTATTGTTCTCCACTTCCAACATTAGCATTCCCAAAACCCACATTTGCATTTTGATGGCTCCTGTCCCAGCTAGACGGGGGTACAGTTTGATGCATATATATTTTGGAGAGGAGAGCTTTCCCCTGCACAGTGTCTAATTTTCCACTTTGATTTGATTTCTTTGGTTCTGGCCTGATGTATTCTGGGCCAAGGCAGACTTTAGCCAGCACCTTTAGGCTATGCTGCGGGTTATAAGATAACGGAAAGGCTTCGCTTCATGGGAGCTCAAGGGAACAGAAGTCTCACTTCCCACGCCTCCCAATCCTGCTCGGAACATCAAAGCTTCCTGCAAGCTCGCATCTGCAACCAGTGCTCTCCCCTCCCAGGCTCAAGGGCCTTGGCCTGGAGCATTCCCCAGCACAGCTGCAAAGGCCGGAGATTGGGGCTCTCTGTGGTCACCCCTGGCTCGGACGTCCACCTGAGTTATGGACAATCTCGGGCCTTGATTCTAGGATAAGCCACCAGAAGTAAGCAAGAAGGATGGGTGGGGTAACGAGGCCACCTTAGCCAATTGCCCCACATTTTCCCACGTATAGGATTTCACTCTGCTTTATGGGATGGAGAAAGTGCCAAGGGGCGAGACTGCATTCTCATCTAGGGCCTGGGGTTGGGGCTTTCAGTTTTTATATGCCTCCGGGTTGCTGGTGTTTAGCCAGACTCAGAACGGCTAAGTGCCAGGCAACAGAAAGGAACCTCCTGCCAGGTCTCCAGGGGTTTCAGGGCCACTTTGACAGAGGTTTAGGGTATTGCGATTTGCATGGCAGGATTTCGTAGTGTTTCATCCCAACTTCAGAGTGATTTACAATGCCTATTCCATTGAGAAGCTCTCAGCATTCATTTGCACCTACAACTGAATTCTTCTCCTTTTTTTTTTTCCGATGGAGTTTGGCTCTTGTCGCCCAGGCTGGAGTGCAATGGCGTGATCTCAGCTCACCGCAACCTCCGCCTCCCAGGTTCAAGCGATTCTCCTGCCTCAGCCTCCTGAATAGCTGGGATTACAGGCACGCGCCACCACACCGGGCTAATTTTATATTTTTAGTAGAAATGGGGTTTCTCCATGTTGGTCAGGCTGGTCTCAAACTCCCCACCTCAGGTGATCCTCCCTCCGTGTCCTCCCAAAGTGCTGGGATTACAGGCGTGAGCCACCACGCCTGACCCGACTGAGTTCTTTCAGGCAAGTCCCTAAATAACATCTTATACATATGGCATGCCCATAGATACTGCAGCACTGTGGTGTGCAGAATCAGAGGCAGGCAGTTGCAAAGGGCCAGGATAGAGACTGTGGAGGCTCTGACCGCAGGGAGGCAGTGGGTCAGACTGACAAAACAAGTGGCGAAGGAGACACAAGAAAATCGCAATTCCTCCTTCTCAGTCAGCATTTAACTAACACTGCTTGAAAGAGTTCTGTATTCCTGGTGCTGTGCTAATGACTGGGATGGATGCAAAAATTAATAAAAGCTGGTCAGCCCAAATCTCAAGGAATTTATGTTCTAGTGAGGAATAAATAATTGCATGAGTTTTTTTGCTTTTTTTGTTTGTTTGTTTGTTTGTTTTGAGATGGAGTTTCGCCCTTATTGCCCAGACTGGAGTGCAATGGCACAATCTCGGCTCACCGCAACCTCCGCCTCCCAGGTTCAAGTGATTCTCCTGCCTCAGCCTCCCTAGTAGCTGGGATTACAGGCATGTACCACCCTGCCTGGCTAATTTTATATTTTTAGTAGAGATGGGGTTTCTCTATGTCTGTCAAACTGGTCTTGAAGTCCCGACCTCAGGTGATCCGCCTGCCTCGGCCTCCCAAAGTGCTGGGATTACAGGCATGAGCCGCCGTGCCCGGCCGCATCATAGTATTTATAATTACTGCCTACTATCACTTGCTCGTTTTCATGTGCGTCCGTGTGAAGAGACCACCAAACAGGCTTTGTGTGAGCAACATGGCTGTGTATTTCACCTGGGTGCAGGCGGGCTGAGTCCGAAAAGAGAGTCCGCGAAGGGAGATAAGGGTGGGGCCGTTTTATAGGATTCGGGTAGGTAAAGGAAAATTACAGTCAAAGGGGGTTTGTTCTCTGGCGGGCAGGAGTGGGGGGTCGCAAGGTGCTCAGTGGGGGTGCTTTTTGAGCCAGGATGAGCCGGGAAAAGGACTTTCACAAGGTAATGTCATCAGTTAAGGCAAGGACCGGCCATTTACACTTCTTTTGTGGTGGAATGTCATCAGTTAAGGTGGGGCAGGGCATATTCACTTTTGTGATTCTTCAGTTACTTCAGGCCATCTGGGCGTGTACGTGCAAGTCACAGGGGATGCGATGGCTTGGCTTGGGCTCAGAGGCCTGACATTCCTGCCTTCTTATATTAATAAGAAAAATAAAACAAAATAGTGTTGAAGTGTTGGGGCAGCGAACATTTTTGGGGGGTGGTATGGAGAGAGAATGGGCGATGTTTCTCAGGGCTGCTTCAAGCGGGATTAGGGGCGGCGTGGGAACCTAGAGTGGGAGAGATTAAGCTGAAGGGAGGTCTTGTGGTAAGGGGTGAGATTGTGGGGATGTTAGAAGAAACATTTGTCATATAGAATGATTGGTGATGGCCTGGATACGGTTTTGTATGAATTGAAAAACTAAATGGAATAACAGAAGGAGAAAAACAGGTATAAAAGGTCTAAGAATTGGGACGACTCAGGATGTCTGATTAGAGAGTGCCTAAGGAGATTCAGCATAGTCCTGCCAGCAAAGATGATTTATTTACTTCAAGAGTTAAGAGTGGCAGTTTGGGGATAGCACCAGGAGATATCAGCTGTGATGGCTTGGAAAAACAGTGTAAACTGGCAGTGTAAACAAGAGCAGGGCATGTATGAGTAGTTGAGAACGGTGAATAGGAGTATGACCAGACAGAAAATAGTAGGGATGACAATTTTTTTTTTTCTTTGAGGCACAGTCTAAGTTGGTCTGGTGTCTGGAATGAGACTGGGGCCTAATAAAAAGGAGCGTCTATACAGGAGCTTAAATGGGCTGTACCCTGTAGCATTCTGAGGATAGGCCTGAATTCTGAGAAGGGAAAGTGGTAAAAGTATTGTCCAGTCCTTTTTAAGTTGGTGGCTGAGCTTGGTGAGGTGTGTTTTTAAAAGACCTTTAGTCCATTCTACTTTTCTTGAAGACGGAGGACCGTAAGGGATATAAAGCTTTCACTGAATACTAAGAGCCTGAAAAACTGCTTGGCTGATTTGACTAATAAAGGCTCGTCTGTTATCAGACTGTATTGAGGTGGGAAGGCTAAACTGAGGAATTATGTCTGACAGAATGGAAGAAATGACTGCGGTGGCCTTCTCAGACCCTGCAGGAAAGGCCTCTACCTATTTTGAGGGCCTCTAAAAGTATTAAAGCAGCGGCAGCCACTGCACGCAGACATGAGGGCTAGGCTAAAACAGTAAGGTCAAGTTGTTTGGACAGAAAGGCTACAGGGTGTGGTCCTGGCTCTTGTGTGAGAATTCTGACTGAGCTAACCATGCCTAGGAAGGAAAGGAGTTGTTTTGTAGAAGGTGCTTGGGTTTGAGAGATCAGTCGGACACGATTGGCAGGGAGAGCACGTGTGCTTTTATGAGAATTATGCCGAGATAGGTAACAGATGAAAAAGAAATTTGGGCTTGATTCAAGTAATGGGGGCTGTCTGTGAAGCTTTGCGGCTGTACAGCCTAGGTAATTTGCTGAGCTTGATGGGTGTCAGGGTCAGTCCAAGTGAAAGCGAAGAGAGGCTGGGATGACGGGTGCAAAGGAATAGTAAAGAAAGCATGTTTGAGATCCAGAACAGAATAATGGGTTGTAGAGGCAGGTATTGAGGATAGGAGAGTATATGGGTTTGGCACCATGGGGTGGATAGGCAACAAAACAATGTGGTTGATAAGGCGCAGATCCTGAACTAACTTGTAAGGCTTGTCTGGTTTTAGGACAGGTAAAATGGGGGAATTGTAAGGAGAGTTTGTAGGCTTTAAAACGCCATGCTGTAGCACGCGAGTGATAACAGGCTTTAATCTTTTTAAAGCATGCTGCGGGATGGGATATTGGCACTTTAAGTTGAGTGGGGTAAGAGTGATTAGGTTTTAATGAGATGGTAAGGGGTGCATGATCGGTCGCCAAGGAGGGAGTAGAGGTATCTTATACTTGTGGGTTAAGGTGGGGGGATACAAGAGGAGGACGCAAAGGAGGCTTTGGATTGGGAGGAAGGGCGGCAATGAGATACAGCTGTAGTCCAGGAATAGTCAGGGAAGCAGATAATTTAGTTAAAGTGTCTCAGCCTAATAAGGGAACTGGGCAGGTGGGGATAACTAAAAAGGAGTGCTTAAAAGAGTATTGTCTAAGTTGGCACCAGAGTTGGGGAGTTTTAAGAGGTTTAGAAGCCTGGCCGTCAATACCCACAACAGTTATGGAGGCAAGGGAAACAGGCCCTTGAAAAGAGGGTAATGTGGAGGCTACTCAGCCTCCGTATTGATTAAGAAGGGGACGGGCTTACCTTCCACTGTGAGAGTTACCCGAAGCTCAGCGTCGGTGATGGTCTAGGGGGCTTCTGAGGCGATCGGGCAGCGTCAGTCTTCAGCCGCTAAGCCGAGAAGATCTGGGAAGGAGTCAGTCAGAGAGCCTTGGGCCAGAGTTCCAGGGGCTCTGGGAGTGGCTGCCAGGTGAGTCGAACAGTCCGATTTCCAGTGGGGTCCCGCACAGATGGGACGCGGCTTAGGAGGAATCCCGGGCTGCGGGCATTCCTTGGCCCAGTGGCCAGATTTCCGGCACGTGTAGCAAGCTCCTGGGGGAGGAGGTTCTGGGGGAACACCTGGCCGCTGCGGTTCAGGCGTTTGGAAGTTCTTGTGTGCTGGAGATGTGGCTGGGGTTTGTCTCACAGTGGAGGCAAGGAATTGCAACTTTTTTCTATTATGGTACACCTTGAAGGCGAGGTTAATTAAATCCTGTTGTGGGGTTTGAGGGCCGGAATTTAATTTTTGGAGTTTTATTTAATGTTGGGAGCAGATTGGGTAATAAAATGTATTTTGAGAATAAGACGGCCTTTTGACCTTTTAGGGTCTAGGGCTGTAAAGTGTCTCAGGGTTGCTGCCGAACGAGCCATGAACTGGGCTGGATTTTTATATTTGATGAAAAAGAGCCTAAACGCTTCTGATTTGGGATAAAGAGAAAGGAGCATTAACCTTGACTATGCCTTTAGCTCCAGCCACCTTTTTAAGAGTAAATTGCTGGGCAGGTGGGGGAGGGCTAGTCACGGAACGAAACTGTAAGCCGGACCAGGTGTGAGGAGGGGAGGTGATAAAAGGATTATAGGGTGGAGGAGCAGAGGCTGAGGAAGAATTGGGACCTAGCTCGGCCTGGCGAGGAGCAGCCTGGGAGGAAGGGAGAGGTCAGGTGGGTCTGTAGAAAAGGAAGATTAGAAAGATTCAGCGACGCTTGGGGTTGGTACTGAGGGGACAGGCGGGAGGGAAAGAAGGAAGATTTGGGACGAGTTGCACTGGGCACAGAGACTAGGACGGGACTGATGTGTAAAAGAATGCCTGGACGTCAGGCACCTCAGATCGTTTGCCTATTTTATGACAAGAATTATTTAGATTTTGCAGGATGGAAAAATTCAAAGTGCCATTTTCTGGCTATTTGGAACTACTGTCGAGTTTGTATTGGGGTCAAGCGGCATTGCAGAAGAAAATAAGGCATTTAGGTTTTAGGTCAGGTGTGAGTTGAAGAGGTTTTAAGTTTTTGAGAACACAGGCTAAGGGAGAAGAAGGAGGAATGGAAGGTGGAAGCTTACCCATAGTGAAGGAGGCAAGCCCAGAGAAGAGTAGAGACACGGAGAAGGGGTGGGGGGTTCTTGCCCTCCAGAAAAGCAGAGAAGGAGTTGGGGCACGGAAATAAGGGATTGGGGCACAGAGATAAGAGGTCAGGGTGCGGAAATAAGGGATTGGGGCACAGAGATAAGAGGTTGGGGTGCGGAAATAAGCTATTGGGGGCTTCTTGCCCCCTAGGAAAGCGGGACTTGCCGCTAAGGGTGAAGGAGAAGGGGTTGAGGGGTACTTGCCCCTCTCCCAGAAAAGCAGAGAAGGGGTAGAGACAAGGAGAGAAGGGGTTGAGCTACTTGCCCCTACCCCAGAAAAGCGGGACTTGCCGCTGAGGTTGAAGGACCAAGGCAGGCGTCCCTGCGTGGTCTGACACCCTTGAAACGTGGGTGTATAATCAGAGAGGCGTCCCTGCACTGATTAAACACCAAGGGAAGGCTGCCTTCCCAGTCCGTGACTGGCGCCGGAGTTTTGGGTCCACGGATAAAACGTGTCTCCTTTGTCTCTACCAGAAAATGAAAGGAATTGAAATTAAGAGAAGGGAGAGATTGAAGAGTGGAAAGGAGAAAGTGGTTGAGGGACAGTGAGAGAGGTTGGAGAAGAGAGTAAGAAGAGGCCGCTTACCTGATTTAAAATTGGTGAGATGTTCCTTGGGCTGGTCGGTCTGAGGACCTGAGATCATAGGTGGATCTTTCTCACGGAGCAAAGAACAGGAGTACAGGGGATTGATCTCCCAAGGGAGGTCCCCCAATCCGAGTCACAGCACCAAATTTCATGCGCGTCTGTGTGAAGAGACCAACAAACAGGCTTCGTGTGAGCAACATGGCTGTGTATTTCACCTGGGTGCAGGCGGGCTGAGTCCGAAAAGAGAGTCAGCGAAGGGAGATAAGGGTGGGGCCGTTTTATAGGATTCGGGTAGGTAAAGGAAAATTACAGTCAAAGGGGGTTTGTTCTCTGGCGGGCAGGAGTGGGGGTCGCAAGGTGCTCGGTGGGGGTGCTTTTTGAGCCAGGATGAGCCGGGAAAAGGACTTTCACAAGGTAATGTCATCAGTTAAGGCAAGGACCGACCATTTATACTTCTTTTGTGGTGGAATGTCATCAGTTAAGGTGGGGCAGGGCATATTCACTTCTTTTGTGATTCTTCAGTTACTTCAGGCCATCTGGGCGTATACGTGCAAGTCACAGGGGATGCGATGGCTTGGCTTGGGCTCAGAGGCCTGTCACTCGTGTAGGGTGCTTTTACATGTATTACTTCAAACTTTCCCAGCAAGCTTATATCCTTTTGCCCGTTTTACAGATGGTAGAAAAAGGCTCACATTAAAGAGCCTGTGGTCACACTGTTAGAAAGTTGCTGAGCCAGAATTCAAACCCATTCCAACTTCACTACTTAAGCTCCTGACCTGGCACCACACTGCAAGGTGAGACCAAACTCTAATACCCAAGGACATGAAACAACAAAGTGCTATGGCAGTTCAGGTAGGAAGAGCCCACATCTGGCCATGGGAATCAAGACTGGATCCATAAAAGACACCTGTTTTAACAGTATCCTGAAGGGGCAGGGGCAGAAGTCTGAAGAGGGCATGGGGCACAAAAGCACTGACATGCACTGGGGAAATAGTGAGTGGCCCTGGGGTATAGGGTCTGAGAAGAGGAGAGGACAGGTTGGCACCAGAATGTAGAGAGCTGTGCCTGTATCTAGGCACAACTCTATAGGCATTAGGGGACCACTGAAGATATTTTGAGTATGGTCGTCCTGTAAGAAAAGAGATATTTAGGAAGAGAAATCAAGATGACACATGTAAGGTAACCTGGAATAGGAAGAAACTAAAATGACAGAGGAGATTCAAGCCATTAAAATGGTCCACACGGCTGGGCTGGGCACGTTGGGACCAACCCCACAACCAGGCTGTTCTCTTGACCCTGGGTCTTTGTCCGCAAAGCACTTTGGGAGGCCAAGGCAGGCAGATCATTTGAGGTCAGGAGTTCAAGACCAGCCTGGCCAACGTGCTGAAACCCCGTCTCTACTAAAAATACAAAAAATTAGCCAGGTGTGATGGCGCATGCCTGTAGTCCCAGCTACTCAGGAGGCTGAGGCAGGAGAATTGCTGAAACTCGGGCAGTAGAGGTTGCAGTGAGCTGAGGTCGCGCCACTGCACTCCAGCCTGGGCGACAGAGCAAGACTCTGTATCAAAAAATAAAAAAATAAAATAAAATGGTTCAAGCAAGGGGCAAAGAGATACTGAACAAAGTAGCCTGAGAATGGCAAGGTGGTTTTAGGTATCTGAAGTTACTGGAGATGGAAATGGGGATCTGGAGCATGGAGTGAGGTGGGAGCTGCAGATACAGGCTTGGAAATTGCAAGTAAAAAGATGATGAAGAAAGCCCTAGGAATGGATTCAATGGGTAGCAGAAGAAAAGAGAGGTGGGGATCCAATCTAGACTCAAGGGGAAAAGGGGGAAGGCAAGAAACAAAGCAGGCAGAAAAGACACAACGGGACAGGTAAGGGGAGAAGCAGCTTGGGACACCGAGTGAGAAGAAAAATTCCCAAGTGGCTGACAGTGTTAAATATGTCTTCTCCTGATGGAGTCCTTGCTGGACCAAACTTGAGGCAGGTTCCCGAACGTTCTTCAAGGCCCATCTGTGCACTTCCTTGTAAAATCTAATTTTAGCAAGAGCCTTGCAAAGTCAGTTTAGCAAGAACCTCCCCACCACCCCACCCTTCAATATCTGATTAGGCTCCTCCTCCTCCACCAGGCCCCAGGTGACATCTCATCACCCTGGCCCATCTTCAGTGTGAATCCTGCTAAGTTGTTCAGCTGGAATCCCCTTATGTTTCCTCTTAGTAATTTTCCACCACTGACCCCCACCCTGCTCCTTGGCTATACATTGCTGCATCAGAATTGAGCCCAACCTCTCCCCGCTCCCTGCCCACTGCAAAATTCCATTGCCATGGTCCCTACCCCTGTCTCGATGGTCCTGAATAAAGTTTTCATAAGTGTCATTGAATAATTTTTTAACAAGCCTCCCTACCTGAGTCACACCCACCAGGTTAGGTATGACTCCCAGACTCTCACCTGGCCTTGTACTCTTTGAGTTTCAGTGGCCTGTTTTGTAAAAGGGGGATGATAGTGCCATGCCGCGTCATTGCTGTGTGAAACCGCACATCGTAGGTACTCAATAAATGGTAGCTCCTGATGTTATTGTTTATTTACATTATTCTTCCCCAAGTTTAGGAACTTCTTGAGATCAGGGACCAGGTCTTTGGATCCATTTGACAACTACCACGTTATAGTCATTCTAAATGTGTTCCAAATGCTGAGAAAATGGAATGAATGAAGATTTCCTGTTTCTATCTGGGCTGCTGCCGTGGCTGTTTTGCCATGTTGGTGTTTTATTACTGTTAGGTATTGGTCAAGATAGAGCTCTGGAGGCTCTGAATAGCAGGACTTTCTGGTTCTGTTTCCATTTCTCTCTACAGAATATCAACCTACCACTTTGATTTATGGACAGCGGACAAAGACCCAGGGTCAAGAGAGCTGCCTGGTTGTGGGGTTGGTCCCAGGGCCAGGTTCATGGTAGGGGAGTAGAGACTTGGAGTGGATAACTGGATTTTCTCAGACAAGGTGGAGGGAAGGACTTGCTGCTTTCTAGACTTCAAATCTCAGTCAGAGAGGGCTGAGTGGGAGAGGCTTGGAGAAGCAACAGAAGGCATGCCCATATGGGTACCTACCCACGGCCCTCTAAAGAAGGGGGGAGGTGAGAAGGCAGAGATTGAGCAGGACCGAGGCCTTCGGGTGTCTTGGCCCCACCCTGAATCTGCATCCAAGATGCCTTTTTTCTCAGCCTTGAAGCAAGGATAGAACAGTCCATTCCAGGGGTTTCAGAAGGATTCCTTCCCTCTCATCAGCATATCTTGGCATGTCCTTGCCGAAGCTGGTTCAGGCAATCTTTGCCCTGGAAGCCATCTGTTAAAATCCTGTCTAGTATGATGGGATTTTTTTTTCCTTCTGTTTGTTTGGGTGAGGGGTAAGAGGGGAGGAGGAGTTGTGAAGGGCACAGAAGTGTTTGAAAGCCCAGCCTCCCTCCTCTGTCTGGGCTGCTCCAGGCTTTGATAATTCCAGGGGCTGAGATAGCTACTAGACTATCAGGCCCGCCTGCCCTGAGCTGGCGGCTGGGGCTTTCATCTGTTTATGGCCAAGGACAGCAACATGGAGGCCAGTCCCCAGGCTGGCTAATGAGTAATCAGAAGCCTTGTCTGTACAAGGTCTTGGGACATGCCCTGGGGTGACCTTCAGGTCGCTGGGAGAGGCCTCATTCATCCTGAAGCCTGGGGCCAAGGCCAGGGGGCCGTTTCCTCTTTGTCACCTCTGCTACGGCCACCCACTGGAGTCACATTGTGTCCCCCGACCCCCACCTTCGCCTAAATGGCCTGTTGGCTTATTTAGGAAAGTTATTCCAAAGGCCTTCCTCTTCCATTCTGCCTTGGTTACAAAGAAGCGAGCTGTGGTGCATGCAATCCCTGCTTCCATTTCACCCACCAAGCTGCAGTCTCTCTAGCTGCCCCCTTCCTCTCCCAACCCTGAGAGTTCGTACAATCCCCCTCCAGGGATGATGAAGAAGCCTTTGAAAGGAGCACACCATAGTGAACGGTTACAACATCCTTATCTTCCTGCCTTGGATCAGATAACTTCATTCCTAACTCTGTAAAGGCCTTGAATGGTTGCCCCTGGTCCATAGGCAGGGGTCCGTGCTCTTAGAGAGACGTCCAGCAGATGAGCATAGGTCGTTGATTCCTCCTCTTCTTCCTTCAGCAGAGTTCACGTGCCTGCTTTGTGTGGGAATCTATTAGGGTGTGTCTGCTTCTTGCTTGCAGCTATGGGGCCCTGGTACAGTTACCTAAACTCTCTGAGTCTCCACGTTTTCCCCTCTGTACAAAAAGGCCCATAGCACTACCTCATAGGGCTTGAGAGGAACTCCAACAAGATGCAGATAGCAAGTGCTAGACAATGAAGGGGCATTAATTCTGTGTTTTGGGGCCACCTGTGTGTCCACCTCCCCATCACTAACTCTGCTCTCCCCACCAGAATACACTCAGTAGCATGAAGTATTTGGACAATGTTTTCCAAGTGAATGAATGAATAAATGAATAAATACATTGCTAATGGCAGCAAATATATGTGGACATCTGTTCTCTGAGAATAAATCAATTCAATGATTATGGAATTTCACAGCGTTGTAAGCAGTTGAACGAGGCACATGCAAACCATCCCCTGAAACAAATGGAATTAAACCTAAAAATGTATCAAGACTTTCCCTTTTTGTGTGTTACAGTTTTTAGGGAGATTAATATTTGAGAATAAGCTATGGCCATTGACAAAACTTAACTTTTAATTTTTTTGTAGAGATGGGGTCTTGCCTAGTTTGCCCAGGCTGGACTCAAGCTCCTGGGCTCAAGGGATTCTTCCATCTGGGCCTCTCAAAGTGCTGGGATTATAGGCATGAGCCACCACACCCAGACTTTTATTTTGTCGCATCTATAATAGATGTTCAATAAATTTCTATGGAATGGAGAAATGGATGAATGATTGGGAAAAATTAACTATCAGCAATGGGAATAATGTTTATTAGAACTTCTGGGGGTTCGGATACTTCTTAGGGATGTGGGTAGCAGCTTGCTGTGTGGTCTTTGCTATGCCTCTCACCTTGTCTGCCTCTGCCTCTGCCCCTTACCCCTCCATCTGAGTCATAGGGCAACATAATCCTCTATCTCTGTGTCTTCTTACAGGAGCACAAGAAGGCAAGTACAACTAGAGAAATAGGCCTTCTGGCAATCTCCTAAGACAGTCTCATATAAACATGATCACACATCTTCCCAGGGCCTTTAGAGTCAGCAGAGTAAGGGGGAGAAAGAGAGAGGAGGAGGGAAAAAAATTAACTGGATAAGTCACCCCAGGGCAGTGAGGCCCAAGAAAGCACCTTTATCTCCACTCCTGCTATGCTTCATTGACTTCATTCTTGTCCTGTCTCCAGGACTCCTTTACTGCAGTTAGGCTTTCTCCTAGGGGCTGGGCCTGGCAACACAGAGAAGAAGCAGGTGAAACATTAGTGGATTAACTTGTGAAGCTATCCCCACCCCACCCCCAACTCCCCAACCCTTGCCACTTTAAAGCAAAAACTGCATTCAGGAAAATCTGACAGTTTCGTTGGAATAAGTGGAGGGAGAAAGCGGCTGGCAGGGCCCTGGGCCAGTTCAGCCTACCAGTGTTGTTTCTCTGCTGGGAGTCAGAACTTCGAGATGGATCCTGCAAAGAGTTCCAGGAGTGCTCCGTGGCTGGCTCTGGAGCTTGGAGTAGCTGCATGGAGATGGCAGAAGCTCAAAGCCACTTCCTCCAGGAAGCCTTCTGTGATTCCTCCAGCCAGCTACTCCTCTCCCAAGTCCTATAGAGCTTTCTTGTGCCTCATGGAGCACTGAATACCTTGTCTTTCATATTCCCATGATTGTATAGGTCTTTTCTCTCTTATAGTCTGGGAGCTGCTAAAGGGAACTATCTTGATCTGACTAATCTTGGTCCCTTGAGTGCCCAGCAGTGCCAGTCCTGCAGGAGGCACTTATAAAATAATTGTTGACTCAATGAACTGGACTCTCACCTCTCCAAGTTGCATCCTCCCCTTTGTTTCTTCTTCTTCTTCTTCTGCTTCTTCTTCTTCTGCTTCTTCTTCTGCTTCTTCTGCTTCTTCTTCTTCTTCTTTTTCTGCTGCTGCTGCTTCTTCTTCTTCGACAGGGTCTTTCTTTGTCACCCAGGCTGGAGTGCAGTGGCTCAATCTTGGCTCACCGCAGCCTCAACCTCCCAGGCTCAAGTGATCCTCCCACTTCAGCTACCTGCCAAGTAGCTGGGACTACAGCCATGTGCCACCGCACCCAGCTAATTTCTGTATTTTTTATAGAGATGGGTTTTCACCATGTGCCCAGGCTGGTCTCGAACTCCTGGACTCAAGGGATCTGCCCACCTTGGCCTCCCAAAGTGCTGGGATTACCAGCATGAGCCATTGTGCCTGGCCCTCCTCTTTGTACCTTCTAAGGTTAAGGAGGAAGGATACCAGGAAGATGGAGCTGAGGTTACAGCTCTTCAAATGTGTGTTTTGGTGGAGATGGTACCTGCTAAGCAGGCCGCTTGTGTGTGAAATCTCAGGTTTGGTGAGAGCTCTGTGCCCTTAGGGGAGGGAAGTCCGGGAAGTCAAACAACCAGAGGAGCATTGATCTGAGTGGAATTCAGGTGGGTGGCCATGCTTGGGTCCCAATTTCTGGTTTCTTGGCCTGTGTTCTTTGCAAAGTCATTCTGCCTTGCTTTATGAAATACTAGCTTGAATGAAACTGCTTTTCACAGCTCAATTAGTGACTTCAGAGTGAGGCCCTTATTTAACTTTAAAGAAGCAGTCTAGTAAGGTGGATAGCATCACAGGTTCTAGAACCTGAATTCAGCAAAGTCATCACTAAATAGGCATGGAAATTTAACCAAGTTAGTTAACCTCTCTGTGCTTATACAAAGAAGGATAATAACAGAACCTACCTCACAGAATAGTGAGGATTGAAGGACTTAACACATGTAAGGCCCTTAGAATTGTGCCTGGCATTGCTCACTGTTTGATGAAGAAAGCATCAGAATCCTTCAGTTCAGAACCATAGGCTTTCTATCCAAAGTACTGGGGTATTGGCTCCCCACGACCCATGTTGATATCCTATTAATCAAGTCACTTTTTCTGGCTCTTCATTGAATGCAAATTGCACAAGAAATCTACCTTCTACCACTATTATTAACCTCCAGCCTGTATCTCCTGTGACTCCTGGCCCTGACTGGGTCAAAACAGATAGGCTCAGCTGGGGGAAAAGACTGGCTCTATTCAGTCCAAGCACGCCTTGACCTGGGTCAAGCTAGACAAACACCTGACTTCCGGTGAGGAAAGGTTATAACATTCCTGAGGCTTGAGTGGGCTCCGCTGTGTGTTGGAAACAGTCTGTTCCACTCACTGCCTAAAACCACTCATCAGCTGACCGGAGTCTTCCCAGCAAACTTCCCACGGTACCCACCTCTGTTGGAGGAGCTCTAGGGCTGTGGTGCACAAACTCTCAAGCCTGAAGTTCAGTCACATACCTGGCTGTGTTAAACTTCAGGTCTGGTTATATAATACCTTCCTGCTAGAGAATGGGTGAAGGAAAGGGAGCTCAAAGCTCTCGGGCAGGTTGAGAGAATGGTCGGGGCTGTTTGCAGAACTCTTCTTAAAATGTATGGCCAGGCGCGGTGGCTCACGACTGCAATCCCAGCATTTTGGGAGGCTGAGGCAGGCAGATCACAAGGTCAGGAGATTGAGACCATCCTGGCTAACACAGTGAAACCCTGTCTCTACTAAAAATACAAAAAAATTAGCTGGGCGTGGTGGTGGGTGCCTGTAATCCCAGCTACTTGGGAGGCTGAGGCAGGAGAATCGCTTGAAACTGGAAGCCGGAGGTTGCAGTGAGCCGAGATTGCACCACTGCACTCTAGCCTGGGCAATAAGAGCAAAACTCCGTCTCAAAAAAAAAAAAAAAAAAATTAGCCGGGCTTGGTCGTGGGCACCTTTAGTCCCAGCTACTTGGGAGGCTGAGGCAGGAGAATGGCGTGAATCCGGGAGGCGGAGCTTGCAGTGAGTCAAGATTGCGCCACTGCACTCCAGCCTGGGCGACAGAGTGAGACTCTGTCTAAAAAAAAAAAAAAAAAAAAAAAAAAAGTATATAGTTGGCTGGGCACAGTGGCTCACGCTTGTAATCACAGCACTTTGGGAGGCTGAGGCAGGTGGATCATGAGGTCGGGAGATCAAGACCATCCTGGCTAACACGGTGAAACCCGGTCTCTACTAAAAATACAAAAATTAGCCAGGCGTGGTGGCAGGCGCCTGTAGTTCCAGCTACTCAGGAGGCTGAGGCAGCACAATCGCTTGAACTTGGAAGGTGGAGGTTGCAGTGAGCCGAGATCGTGCCATTGCACTCCAGCCTGCCTGGGTGACAGAGCGAGACTCTGTCTCAAAAAAAAAAAAAAAAAAAAAAAAAAAAGTGTATATAGTTTAGGGGTGGATGCATAGAGCTGTTTCAGAAGGAAATCCAATGGAGCTGTTGATAAAGCTATTGATAAAATTGAATGCCAGATAGCAAGATAGCCAAGTTCTGATAGAAGTTAAGCACTTATTTTATTCAAAGCATGCGTTTGGCATTTGTGCATTACCTTCACCACAATCCTGTGAGGTACAATGAGGAAACTGAGGCTCAGGCAGGTTGATGTGCTTACTACCATCATACAGTTTGTAAGTGGAAGAGTTTTGAACCCGTCTCCCAGCTCCTGTCCAGTGCTTACTCTGCTATTCACATCTCTTTATCCTGTAAGCGACCCTGGAGCTCATTCTTGCCAGCCTCTGGCCAAGTGAGTTTTGTAGAACATTAACCTAATGCGGTACCTCCTAAAAAAGGGTTCTGTGTCGGCCAAGCCCCCACTGGAGATTCAGAATGCACATTAGAGGCTCTGAGATGTCCTGCACCAGCCGCCTTAACCACAGAGTGCTGTTTTCTTACAACAACCATCAACCTCCTTAGCAACCGTCCTTTGGAACATGTCTTGGGAAATATTGATCTAGTCTTATTCACTCAATTATTGATGAGGACATTGAAGCACAAAGTGTTGAAATTACCTGCCTGAAGGCAACCAGTGAGTTAGTGGCAGAGCAGGGATCTGATCTAGGGTTCCCGTCTCTCAGCCAGAGTTTTTTCTGTACAGCTGACAACATTTATTAATATTGTTTGTTGTTGTTGTTTTTGTTGTCGTTTTGAGATTCAGTCTCACTCTGTCGCCCAGGCTGGAGTGCAGTGGCACAATCTCGGCTCACTGCAACCTCTGCCTCCCAGGTTCAGGTGATTCTCCTGCCTCAGCCTCCTGAGTAGCTGGGATTGCAGATACCTGCCACCACGCCTGGCTAATTTTTGTGTTTTTAGTAGAGACGGGGTTTTGCCATTTTGACCAGGCTTGTCCCAGACTCCTGACCTTAAGTGATCCGCCTGCCTCAGCCTCCCAAAGTGCTGGGATTACAGGCATGAGCCACCACGCCTGGCCGACCACATTTATTAACATTGTATAGACCCAGTGCGGGCCAATCCACAGTAATGAAAAGACATAATTTTACCTGTAGAGAAGGCTGGAGACTCCACAAGTTCTTATGGCCTCTGACCTTATGAACAGGTCTCAGAAACATTTACGGTCAACCTGTCAGCAAAAACACATCAAGGGCAACTGGATGCACAGCTGCTGAAGAGGGGTGAGATCAAAGGAAGAGTTAGGAGTTGGGCTGGAGGATTCTAGGAGGGATTTCTGAAAGGTTTAAGCGTGGAGGCAGATTTTGAGAGACCAAGTCAGCTTTTGAAGGAAAATAATTACATGTCAAATGTGAGAATTTTACTTTGTTCATATAGGAAAATGATTTGATCCATCTCCTGATGTTGTCGTAGGAATATTGGACAGATGTGGCTCCGACAGTTTGTAAAGATTAGCTGACTCTTCAAGTACCTTTATGTCTTACCTCCAGATGTGCTAACTGAATATTTTCCATGGACCTCCGTGAGCTATCATGACTTTCCTGGCTCCAATGTGAGGCATTAAGGATTCAGGGGCTATAGAAGTACACTTAGAATGAGAAAGATCTGTGAGTCCTGGCTCTGTGATTTCAGGTCCTTCAGTTTAACTTTCTGGGCCTTAGGTTTCTCAATGGAAAAAGAGAGGATTAGACCCAAAGGTAGGTCTACTGACAGGCAGTATCAGAGTCACCTGGTTAATTAAAAGGATAGGTTCCAGCCAGGCACAGTGGCTCAGGCCTGTAATTCCAGCACTTTGGGACTCCAAGGCAGGTGGATTGCCTGAGTTCAGGAGTTCAAGACCAGCCTGGGCAACTTGGCAAAACCCCATCTTTACTAAAAATACAAAAATTAGCCAGACATGGTGATGCATGCCTGTAGGCCTAGCTACTTGGGTGACTGGGTAGGTAGGAGGATCACCTGAGCCTGAGAGGTTGAGGCTGCAGTGAGCTGCAATGGGAATGCACTCCAGCCTGGGCAACAGAGTGAGACCCTGTCTCAAAAAAGGAAAAAAAAAATGGATAGGTTCCTGTGCCTTCCCAAGACCTACAGAAGCAGAATTTCTAGGAACCTATGATGTTAACAAGGGCACTGAATTTTCTGAGTTAGGCTTAGGAGTCATTGGACTAGCTTGTTTTTGAGCCCCTTTCAGTTCTCAAATGAGTTGTTTAAGCTTACTGAATGTCGGTATTCTTGTCATAAAATAAAACTATTAATACTCATTTTAATACCTACAAGAATTATATCAACATATTGAGGACTTTGTAAACTCTAAAGCCACTTAAAATTGCATATTACTTTTCTAACAGAAATAATTTTGATGTGTAAAGACTCACTTTATCAGGAAAATATATAAAGTTTGCATTCACATCAGTGGGATTTTTCTACACAGTATCGCATAAAACCTTAAAATTGAGCTGTTCCCAGCCGGGTGCAGTGGCTCATGCCTGTAATCCCAGCACTTTGGGAGGCCGAGGTGGGTGGATCATGAGGTCAGGAGTTCAAGACCAGCCTGGCCAAGATGGTGAAACCCTGTCTCTACTAAAAATACAAAAATTAGCCGGATATGATGGTGGGCACCTGTAATCCCAGCTACTCTGGAGGCTGAGGCAGAGAATTGCTTGAACTCAGGAAGCGGAGGTTGCAGTGAGCCGAGATCGCACCACTGCACTCCAGCCTGGGTGACAGAGTGAGATTCCGTCTCAAAAAAAAAAAAAAAAATTGAGCTGTTCCCAAGTGCAACTATAAAACAGAATGCTTTTGGCTGGGTGCGGTGGCTCATGCCTGTAATCCCAGCATTTTGGGAGGCCAAGGTGGGTGGATCATCTGAGGTCAGGAGTTCAAGACCAGCCTGGCCAACATGGTGAAACCCATCTCTACTGAAAATACAAACAATTAGCCGGGTGTGGTGGCGCGTGCCTGTAATCCCAGCTACTCGGGAGGCTAAGGTAGGAGAATCACTTGAACTAGGGAAGCAGAGGTTGCAGTGAGCCGAGATCATGTCACTGCACTCCAACCTGAACAACAGAGATTCCATCTCAAAACAAAACAAACACAAGAATGCTTTTTCTTGGTAATATTGTTTAACCTTTTCACACTTTTCCTGCTTCCGTGTCTCTTACTTTTCCAGGTTACCCAGAGGAAAAGGTGTTAAAATGGTTTACACAATGTCAGCACTCCTCAAAGTGTGTCCTATGGAATATTAACAAATGTTAGGGGGAAAAGTTTCTATATCAAATATGTTTTGGAAATGCTCTGCCAACCAGGTTTTATTAAGAATTATAAGAGCTTTTACTATGCTGATATGAACGGTGGATCTCCAAGAAGGCAAAAAGTGTAATTAGCATGGCTGAACAGATTTGATCAGGGAGCACTTTTACGGACAGCCGTCTCTCAAGACTAGGGAAATTTTACATTTATGTTCTGTCCAGTTCACGGCTTATTCCTCCTAGGAGTCCTGCATTTTCAAATTAGGATAGCTGGGAAGGCAAGGCTCAGTTCTAAAGCCATGGTTCTAAAATCTAGCTGTGTGTCACCTGGGCAGCTTTTAATAAATATGAATCCCTGGGTTCCACCCAAGGCTGACTCAGTGGGTTTGATGCAACCAGCCCCAGATCATCTTTGGACCTGTGATTGGGAGCCCTCCAAGGAGTGAATCACTTCAGGTATCTAAGTGGGAGGAATTCTTTTGGCTGAAGCGGGTAGAGAGGGGGCAAGTGTGGTCCTCCAGCATTCCTGAACTTATACCGGGGTCAGGGTATGAGCTGGCTCTCCTGAGGCTGGACCCACCCTGAAGGAAGAGGAGACGACTCTAAACTTCTTTAAACACACTTGAGAGTGGTTCTTGGGGGATCTGGAGCTTTGAATCGTGGTTCACATTTGAACATAGCTTCGCTGTGTGTCCATGGACCACTCTGGTGACCTTCACTTTTCTCCTTGCAAATTGGTAGTACTCATATACGCCCCTGGGCCCTTCATTAGAAACACAGTAAAAACAAACAAGGCAATAGACAGGGCTACATTTTTGGCTTTTGCAAAGACAATTGTTAGTGATGATATTATGATTATTGTTTGGGACTTCTATTACAAATTAGCATTTGAGTAACAGACACAACCATTTCCTGTTCTTCAGAGAGAGAATCTTTGAGCTACCTGATACAGTCTAAAATACATAATGAATCAACATTATATATATATATATATTTTTTAATTAAGCAAAGTATTTATGAAACAACTAGGCTGCAGAGGGCAAGATGGAGCAGAGACCTGAGGCAACTGTCCTGATCAATCAGGCCAGGCATTACCCGATTTGGGGTGGGGATTATCTGGAAAATTACCTCAGCTGTCCATTTCATTTTCAGTGCTTTCTCAATGAACCATTGTTATAAACGTTTTTTAGTATCTTGAACCTGTCATTGAGATTGGGGTTTTGGCAGTTCATAGACTCGGAGTGGAGAAATAATTCCATTTTTTTCTCAGTGCATGACGTCCACTGGATTAAACGAATTGGAGGAAGACAATGCCTCTCTCAAAGAAAACAAAACAGGTGGCCGGGCATGGTGGCTCACGCCTGTAATCCCAGCACTTTAGGAGGCCGAGGCGGGTGGATCACCTGAGGTCAAGAATTCGAGACCAGCTCGGCCAACATGGCAAAACCCCACCTCTACTAAAAATACAAAAAATTATTCAGGCGTGGTGGTGCACGCCTATAGTCCCAGCTACTCGGGAGCCTGAGGCAGGAGAATCGCTTGAGCCCAGGAGGCAGAGGTTGCAGTGAGCCATGATCTCGCAACTGCACTCCAGCCTGGGCCACAGAGTGAGACTCCATCTCAAAAAAAAAAAAAAAAAGAAAACAAAACAAAACAGGTTATGAAATCACTATTTACTAAATGCCCATGATGTAAGAAGTACCAAACTAGCTCCTTTTGTAAGTGTTATTTCATTCATTCCTCGGAATAACTTTGGAAGATACTAGTTTAAAATAGGAAAGGAAGTGAGACCTGGAGATGTAAACAAACCTGCCCCGGGAGGACAGTTAGTAAGTAGAAGAGTCAGGATTTGAATGTGAGGCTTTTTCCATTGTGTGCTGCTACTTTAATTTCTAGCTCTTTCCTTCTAGAATATGAATCTTTTAAACGTAGAAATCTTGGCTGGGCGTGGTGGCTCACACCTGTAATCCCAGCACTTTGGGAGCCTCAGGCAGGTGGACTGCCTGAGCTCAGGAGTTTGAGACCAGCCTGGGCAACATGGTGAAGCCCCATCTCTATGAAAAAAGCAAAACTTAGCCGGATGTGGTGGTGCCACCTGTGGTCCCAGCTACTCAGGAGGCTGAGGTGAGAAGATCCTTTGAGCCTGGGAGGTTGAGGTTGCAGTGAGCCAATATTGCACCACTGCACTCTAGCCTGAGTGAAAAAAGGAGACCCCATCTTTTAAACAAATAAATAAATACATGAATAAATACATAAACTTATAAATCTCAGGGGAAGAATAATATCTATTCCCCATTCCTGTTTCATATGGAGACAATACAAGACAGGAAGTTCTTAATTAAGGTCTAACTGTGCGAGAAGAGCAGAACCCGGGCATGCTAATGCTAACCATTAATGATCTCTTTCACCTTATTTTCCTAAAACCAAAAGAGAGGCTCAATCATACCAGGTTCCATAGCAGGCAGTTTCTCTGCAGAGTCTGGCAAGATCCTAACTGGTATAGAAGTAAGAATGTCCTCAAGCAAATTCACTTTTCCACATCTGATATTGCCTGTCTGGAAAGAAGGGTTGTTCGGTCCTTCTCCAGCCTGGGATAATGTCTCCAAAGCCAGCTGGGAGCATTCCCATGAAGCCTGGTCCCTGGAGATTATTTTGCAAGAGCTCAGTCCTCTGTGGTTCTCTGCCACTGCCCGGGAAAGGCTTCCTCCCCAGCCACTGGACTGTTGCCTGCTTATTCTCCTCACCAGGGCTGTCTCTCCCAGGACCCCTTTGTTTGGGGTGTGCAGAGGATGGTGAAAGAGAGAACGCAATTAGAGTAGAGTAAGGATTGCAGTGAACCCGTTGTTAGAGGATTCTTTGAGGAGAGAAAGGAAGAGGGAAAAAACTGTCTATATCTGGTGCAAAGAGTGTGCCATCAAAACCATTTCTTGGCTGGGCGTGGTGGCTCACGCCTGTAATCCCAGCACTTTGGGAGGCCAAGGTGGACAGATCACGAGGTCAGGAGATCAAGACCACCCTGGCTAACACGGTGAAACCCCGCCTCTACTAAAAATACAAAAAAAAAAAAAATTAGCCAGGTGTGGTGGCGGGTGCCTGCAGTCCCAGCTACATGGGAGGCTGAGGCAGGAGAATGGCGTGAACCTGGGAGGCAGAGCTTGCAGTGAGCCGAGATCGTGCCACTGTGCTCCAGCCTGGGCAACAGTGTGAGACTCCATCTCAAAAAAACAAAACAAAACAAAACCAAAAAAACCATTTCTCCAGACCCATCACCTTGTAGGGAAAAGAGGACCCTTCACGCACACCCATGGGTGGCTGTGTGGATGGGAACCAGGAAGACACACTCCAAATTGGCAATGGTGTTGCCTTTGGGGAGAAGAGTGGGGAGCAGGACATGGGGAAAGGATAGAAGACTTCAGGCCTGTGGTAGAATATTTCATTTTTAAAGAAAAGCATTTTCAGGAAGAAGAAGAAGAAGAAAAGGAGAAGGAGGAGGAGGAGGGGAACGGTGACTCTGCTTGATAATGAAGAAGGTTAACTCTCCTTAAAGGTTAAACCTCTGACTCTGGACTTTTCAGAAAAAAGGAGAATTCAACATTGCAGATCCAGCACTAGTGCTGGACTTGGCAGTGGTCCCAGTGTCCCCTTTAGGGAGGTTGTATTAGCTGTGCGAGAATATATAGACGGAATGGGAAATTGTACCCCGTCCTCATAGTTGGGCCTTAACAGCCTCACCTGTGAAATGGCAATAAGAATAATTTACTTGTCTGAAGACAGGAGGTGGTCATCTTGTTTGTGGAAGGGAGAATTCATCTGAAGGGTAGATACCTGGAGAGCTTCCATATACCCCATTGAATAGGTACCACCCTGTTCCCCAGAAGGGCATCTTAGGTAGGATAGTGTCCCTCTTGTCTTATGGGGCCATCAACCCTGAATAGAACCCAGGCACCCTGCCTTCCAGCCCAAGGTAGTCCTGCAGCTGGCATATCCTAGCCTCCCCACGGTACTACACCCTATGTGTACAAGACGTTTCAAAGCTGGAACCATCACCCCACAGTCTGTGGGATGTTCAGAGGCCCCAGCACCCTGGGAGAGGAGGCAGGCAAACTGCCAGGCCAAATACCTTTCCCGAGGCCCTGTGGAGGAGAAAACATTAGTGGGAGGGCAGGCCCCACTCAGATAGGCAGCATTAGAGAGCTGGAGGGGCCGGGCCAGATTCAAGACGATAACAGGAAAGTCTGCACACAGCTACCAGCCCAGACAGGGATTGGCTTGCCTGGAAGCCCAGGGCCCCCAAGAATGGGTGCAGTCACATGGTTTGCCTCTCATGGTCCCAAGCTACCTGCCAGGTGGCAGGAGCCTGTGGTGCTATGTGGGGGCGGTTGGCTAGTCCAGGAGGTGCTGTTCTTGCCCTGAGAGGATGATGGTGCCCTGAAAGGCAAGATGGCACCAGGGAGGCCTGCTACAGGTCCTTGTGCTGTGGCTGGAATGAGCACACTGGAGCCCAGTGCCACTGGGCACAGATTTCTTATCTACAGGTTCCTGAGGTTGCTTTTGGCCAGGACTCCCATGCCTCTCTTTATCCTGGCATTCATCAGCGCAGTGAGAGGGATGGCCTCTGCTCCTGACTCAGACCCAGCTGAGCCTCCTCAAGAGAGAGTCGGGACCACTGTGTGTCATTCCTGTCTGGGCTTTATTTGCTGTGTGTGGTGGGAAAGTCATCTGACCCTGCCATACCTTAGAGTTCCCCAGACCTATCTAAGCTCTTTATCTATGAGAAGCAAAGGTAGACAGAGATATTCTGCCTACCCTGACCATTGAGGAAAAAGGAAACTCATCCCTCAGAGATGGAAAATTAACCATTCAGGGCAAAAAGTCAGGTCAGGTCTGCCAGTTGCCCCTAATATCTGTTATCGCTCTCTTCCTTAGAAACAGAATCCTGGGCTGGGCACGGTGGCTCATGCCTGTAATCCCAGCACTTTGGGAGGCCAAGGCGGGCGGATCACGAGGTCAGGAGATTGAGACCATCCTGGCTAACACAGTGAAACCCCATCTCTACTAAAAATACAAAAAAATTAGCCGGGCATGGTGGCGGGCGTTTGTAGTCCCAGCTACTTGGGAGACTGAGGCAGGAGAATGGCATGAACCCGGGAGGCAGAGCTTACAGTGAGTGGAGATCGCGCCACTGCACTGCAGCCTGGGTGACAGAGTGAGATTCCATCTCAAAAAAAAAAAAAAAAAGAAAGAAAGAAACAGAATCTCAAATTTCAGGATTTACAACCTAAGCAGAATAAAGGCGACATTTATTAGCCTCCACTGTGGCCAGTGGAATTTAGGGGAAGTGTTGTGGTTATGTTCTAGGAAACATCCTTAAAGGGAAGAGGTAGGTCCTTCACTACTTCCTTGTTTCTGCTGGTGGGCTGCTAGCATGAAAGGTGGAGCTCAACCAGCCATACTGATCCATGAGGTAGGGGACAAGTGCTGAGAATAGCAGGCCAGATAGAAGGATATGGGGCCCTGATGACCTTTGGGAGCTTCCCTGGTATCCCCCATGCTATCTTCTTCAGAATTTTTCTATGAGATGAAGAAATAAATTTCCATCTTGTTTAAGACCATGAATTTTGAGTTTCTGTCACTTGTAGCCAAAGCTAAAACTAGTTCTTACAAGTAGACAGTTTGTGGTGCATATAGAAGGAAATAGTCCATTCTAGAGATATGCTAGATTAGGCAAAACTTTGATTTGTGTGGAAGAAAAGATCAAGTAATCTTGGAAGAGTAGATCTCTTGCCTAAGGTTCAAAGATAGTTTCTAGAATCCTAAGGTCTCAAAAAGGGATCTCTTATTAGCCAGGTATGGTTGTGTGCACCCGTAGTTCCAGCTACTGGGGAAGCTGAGGTGGGAGGATCACTTGAGCCCAGGAGTTCAAGGCAGCAGTGAGCGATGATCATGCCACTGCACTCCAGCCTGGGCAACAGAGTGAGACCTCAACTTTTAAAATGAAAAATAAAATAAAAGGTCTCTGTTTGTATTGACTGAAAAATAGAATAAATACCTGTTTGGGGAAGTCACTGCCCACAAGCAACTGCTTGGGTGGCATTAACCCCCATGCCTCACCTAGGATAATAAGGAATGACTGAAAGTTTGGCTAGGCTATGGTAGGGAGGGGAGGCTTACAGTACAGCTGGGTATAAAATGGCCCCTTCAGGTGATGAAGGCATGCATAAGATCCCTTTAAGGAGTGAAAGGAGAGGGTGGGTGGAAATAGTCCAGGTAATGAAGACACACACAGTCCATTGCATTATTGACATTTATTCATTTACCCTAATTTATTAAGCAGCTATTATGTTCAAGGCAAAAGAGGATGAAAAGATGATCAGACATAGACTCTGTTCTTAAGTAGCTTATAAGGTCTAGTAGGGAATGTAAGGTGATGTTTAGCTGTGAACATGAAGTTTGTATAAGGTGTTATGGGTCTGCAGAGGGAGAAGAGCTCCCTACCAGGTGTGTTTTGTGGAGCAGGTGGCCTCTGTGGTCTTGCAGGATGGGAAAGAGTCAGACATGCAGGACTGTTGGGGACAGAAAAGCCTTCTTCAGGTTTGCTCTTTCTCCAAACCCATTGTAAGATGTCCCCATCTTTGCAGTGTGATGACTAACCACCCCCTCCCAAGAATATGGATATTAGAGGTGTTGGCTATAGGCAAGAGTGTATTCTGTAGGAAATCCAGGTGTTTTGAGGGATGTTTTAATCGTCTAAAGCTAAAGGAAGAAGACAAGGTAAGCACTCAGTTTCTGAGTTAGAGACAGACTTAGATTTCAGTTGGTACTGCAACATCTTAGCTCAGTTCCTTGAGTGCCTTGGAGTTGAAGGCTCAAAACCTCAACTGAGAATGCTCAGCCAGCTGTGGTCATGCCCTGGCAGAGGACATAGAAGTCATAGGTAGGTGATGTCAGGGAGACAAGGGGAGAGCTTGGATTGGCATACACCTTCTGGTCATGTCCACTTCCTCTGAGCTCCATGATTCTATTTCCAGAGACTTAGAAGAATGTCACGGTGCAAGAGGTTGCTGTAAGCTTAGTGACATGGAAAACATCACAGAGCAAATGAAAGTGAGTGGCGGTGGAGTAGGTTGGTGATCATCAGAAACTGGTGGTCAAGCTCTCGGGGACACTGGAGTCAAACTATGAGGAGGGCCCTGCCACCCTGGGCTTCGTGGTAAATAGATGTGTTGACTAGTGAAGGCATGGTTTTCCATTATTTCAGTTTTTCTTTTCCTTTGAGGACAACGCAATGTAGACCCGCGATGATTCGCTACCACCATGACTGCAATGCATATTTAAATACCAAGGTCATAACCATGCCAAGAGGAGCAAGAGTTCCTTCTTTGTTTTTAATTTATGGGTAAATTAGAGGCAGAGATATGGGGTGGGGGTAATCAGTAAGGAAAGCAGAAATGCTTTTGCCTCCCTTTGCACGAATAATGAGAGGAAAAAAACACAAGACCACAATTTGTGAGATATTTGTTTCTTTGGAGAAGAGCATGTCTGGGGGTGGGAGGGTGAGGGAACGTTTCACTGTTCTTTGAGACCTTTGCCTGGAAACAGGAAGTTTGTTTGGCCCACTTTACCTGCTCAGACCATTTGCTATCTACCTCCAGGCACAATCTGCTGTTTGTAATATCACAGTCAGTTGCTGTGGAGACAGTGACGTGAGCACATCAGCCTTCTGGCTGTAGGAAAGGAACAGTCTGCTGAGAGGGGGCCCCAGGTACAAATAAATACATTCCAAAGCAACAGGTGAGCTTCAGAGGAGCCAGCTCTCTGGTTTCTACTGAAATGTTTCTAGCATTAAACAAACATTGGAGGAAACACAAACATCTGTCTGGAAGCGAAGCCTGGAGCTCGTGAATTCCAGGGCTGGCTGTGGCCCCTGCCTCTGATTTCCTGTGTGGGCCAGGACAATTGGCTTCTTCTCTCTGTGTCTTAGGTGAGCTGGCTCTCCTTCCTGGCTCCTACCCTTAACCCTGGCCACATGGTGGGATTAGGAGGGCAGATGCAATTGGAAAGTAGGAGGAAGTGTCTCATTCCACGGTGGCACCAGGCAGAAGTGGGCAGGAGAGATGTTTACCCTGCCAGGCCTCATAAAGTCATCTTTCTCAGCAAACCACCATTTATTAACCCCTTCTCTTCTCCAGTCACTCAGCTACACTAATGCACGAGAATGCTCAGACGACATGGTATCTCTTAGGATGATCTATATCTTAAGGGCAAATGCAGCCATTGCTGAAGAATTGGGTAGGTGAAATCATTCATTGAACCTGTGCATTTGGTTTCACCATGTTTTCACGTGTTTCTAGATAGCTAGGTTCAGCTAATGTACAACAGGACATGCCCTGTTAGCTTGCTAATAGCTGGGATTAATGTGGAGATTCAGTGTTTCCTGCAAGCCCAAAGCATTGATAGCCTATTCCAAATTTTCAACCCTCTTCTTGGTATATAGAGCTTGATATACCAACATTAATATCTTGGTTTATATTGAAAGCCAAATTTGCATCTAGCCTATGCTCACCTTTAATCCATTATCAAGCACTAGCATTGCTTTGCACATAATAGATGTTCAATAGCTACTTAATGACTCAATGAATTAATTAATGTTACAATTCAGAAGCTGGTTGCAACACTGTATGTGCGCGTGTGCCTGTCATCATTCTAACACTTGAGAGCTAGGAGGGACCTTAGAATCCTTTGCTTTAGCACCTTATTCAACACAAGGTGAACCTGAGGCTCAGGGAGAAGGGGCTTGCCCCAAGCTACAGTACAGTCAGAACAGGACTCTGAGACCACTCAGTTTGATGCTTTTTCTTCATTCCTTTCTGCACCCCTCTCCACCCCTCATAACCAACCGTTCCCTTTTCCTCATGCTCCAGTGGAGAGTCCAAGCAACGTTCCTGAAATCATGAGGAGCTCTGCCAGGCGCCTCAGCCTGCACAGAGACAGCTCTGCACTGCCTTTCTCTAGGAGCCAGATCCAACGAGGCTCTTCAAAGGGGCTGGAGGCCCACGGTGGCAGCTGGGCCCTTCCTTCACTCAACACTACTCAACCTCGCTGGGACTATTTGGAGTCAGAAGTCCTATGTTTGAGTTTCCACCCAGTGAAGTACCAGCTACAAAACCTTGGCCAAACCACTTCACTTCCCTGGGTCTCAGTTTCCTTGTCTGTAAAAGAACAGTAATAAATCCTGCCTTGTGTGTATTCTAGATGGTTGAGGATCAAGCAAGAAAAGATGCATATGAAAACTTTAAGCTATGAAATGTAATATACCAAGGTATTGACAATATAACAATAATTATTATTTTCAGTAATTTCTTGCCTGGGAGGAGTGATATACCCAGTCAACTGTGTCTCACAGTGTTTCTAAAATATCTTCAGGACAGAGATTTGTACCAGCCACAGACAGTGGTAGCGACCACACCTACGTTTAGAGTGGCTTCCTGCCGCAGGGTACACCTGTCCTTCCACCTCTTTCAGGTCAACGATAAGCCAGTGCTCTCAGCAGTAATCCTTGGCTCCCAATAATTACTGTTTGTGAAGACCCATCTAACACCAGGGAGAGGAGAGGTGTGTTCATTACTGCGGAGGAGGAGGGCAGTAGATGACACTTACTTCGTACCCTCTACTCCTTTGCATAACTTCTTCTGGACTCAGCGTATGTAGGGTTGTAGTTATTTGCAGTGTTGGAGTAAAATGAACCCTAAACACCAAACAGCTCCTGATCTGTACCTCTGAAAAGTGAGACTGATGGCTTCTCCTTTTTCTTCTCTTCCTTTCAGCTCTGTGACAGCATGGGCTCACCTCTAGCGAGCGCCTTCCTACTGACAGTGCTTGGCGGCGATCTGGTGTGCCTGTGGGGGCCTCCCACTTTAAAGGCCTTTCCCAGGTCCTCCAAACTGAACTTTGTGTCCTTGCTATGTGAAACATGGAAATCTTATTTATTTCCAAAAGCAACCTATACTCATTCCTAGAAATAGAAAGGATGGACCCAGGAGAACTGGCTCTGACATAAGTGAGTTGTGTCAACGTGGGGAGGTCACTTAACCTGTGTTTGCAACAATTTCTCTTTAAAATGGGGAGCACCATGCCCTGGCCTACATTACCATCCAGCCTGAGGTTTTAGTGAGATGCTGGGCATGGAAGCACTTTGCAAGGAGTTACACTAAGATAGTGGATGATTTTTATTTGAATACTGCAGCGATCCTCCCTTTCCTTCTGACACCTCTTCATGCCCTCATTCCATTCCATTCTACACTCTACCCACTTAGGTCTAATCTGACTTTACATATACCTGACTTTCTGGAATTCATTTGGTCTTAGTGGGCCACCATTTGCATTCTGCGAGACACCATGTGGCTCCTCAATCTGTTGACATGTGCCCTTCAAGCACACGGAGGCACTCAACATGGGCACCTAGCAGTCCATGTGGGCTGTGCACACACAACATCTGGTTTGGAAGCGGTGAACTGGTGAATTTAATTGTCCTATGCATCAGATTGAGTAACCGAAATCCAGAAGAACTCAAGGGTGAAGGACTTTCCCAAGGTCTATGGAGCACCAGTTTACTGCTCTAGAGCAGAAAGTCATATTTCCCAGAGTTTTTGATGAAAGGAATTCAGGGCAACAACATCTGGTGCTGATTTGAACGTGGTAGGTTGGGTACAAGGAGCTGCAGGGGGATGAGAAATCGTCTATGGCAAGAATCAGCACAGGTAATTTTCAGGCTGACTTGTTTCTCCCTCACTGAGCCACACTGGCTTGACAGCTGCTTCTTTGTACCCTGAAATATTTGAGCAGCCTGCAGTCACGGCCCTTTGCATGTCCCTGCCTGCTTTCGCCACTCGGGAAGAACTCAGGTCTTGCAGAGGCTACCCCTGATTCCCATGATTAGATGTGGACCCTGTAGGAGACAGAGGGGTGGGTCAGAGGCCCTGAGAGAGAAGAAGGAAGGAGGTTGGTATCTTCTTTTCCCTGAAAACAGTCCCCACAATTTCTGAGTGTTATTAAGAAGGTATTGATGTAGAATTCAAGTTCATTCCAGCACACAGTGGGTTTACCAAGTTGGCCAAGGGGGCTTTGTGGTCAATGACTATGACCTCAACTGCCCATCACTGAACTATATGTACAGGTCCTTCTGTCTTGATGAAACAATAGGAAGAAGCTAATTTGGGAAAGAAAGAATAGAGAGGTGTGTGGGTGTGTGAGTGTGTGCGCATGTTCTTTTATTAATTGATAATACATTAATTGTTTAGATTTTTAAAATCAAACACACACACACACACACACACACACACACACACACACACACACACACACACACACACACACGCTCCCGCTCTCTTTTATTAATTGATAAAGGCACCACTGCCCTCTACTGGCAACAATATCATCTTTCCAGTGTTAGAAATGCCTGGATGGAGCCTTCATTGCTTCAGATAAAAAAATTTTGAATACTTATTGCAAATACTTTTTCAAACAATTTGCAAATAAAGTGTATTTCATATTTATTCATTCATTCAACAAGTACTAACTGAAATGAGTAAGATGCGTATGCCCTGGTCTTGAGAAGTTACTATCTATCTAAAGAGTGGACAGGAATGCTAATTTAATGAGTACAATTGATTTCACCATGTCCAGGGTTAATACCCAAGTTGCAAGCCCCCTGAACCACAGAGCACAGCTTCTGACCCACTGCCCTGCACCCTTGATTGGGATGCTCAGAAACACAGCTAGAGACCTCTTTCTCACTGTCAAGGAGCATCTGCACTGGAATAACTTTCATGGAATCATGGGTCCAGAAGGTCAGACAAAATTCACATAAATCAGAGTGTGAGATTCCAAGGCCAGATGGGAAACCCATTCTCACAAGTCTTCAAGACTACTGTAATTCTTCAGGTTAGAGAAGCCTGTTTCTTCCAGCTCTCGCCTCAGGCACACATCCTTCGGATTCTTGGAAACAGTGATGTAGCATTCCCCTTTGCCTAGCCTCCTTCATATTATTTTCAAGTTTGTTCATATTGGGGTTACTCCAGGCAATTTAAACAGGCATGATTCCATTCAAACCTTCTGATGCTGGTTTTCTTTTTATTTATTTATTTTTTTTTTTTGAGACGGAGTCTCGCTCTGTCGCCCAGGCTGGAGTGCAGTGGCATGATCTCGGCTCACTGCAAGCTCTGCCTCCCGGGTTCATGCCATTCTCCTGCCTCAGCCTCCCGAGTAGCTGGGACTACAGGCGCCCGCCACCACGCCTGGCTGATTTTTTGTATTTTTAGTAGAGACGGGGAGTCACCGTGTTAGCCAGGATGGTCCCGATCTCCTGACCACATGATCCGCCCTCCTCGGCCTCCCAAAGCGCTGGGATTACAGACGTGAGCCACCGTGCCCGGCCTGAGTTTTCTTCTTGTGCTATTCTTTAATCAAATTAGGCAAAGTATGAATCCTTTCTCCACCAACATTGTTTTGGACTAGGTAATGCAATTTATATGGTACAAAAATCGAAACAATAAAGAAGTTTAAAGTTAATGTCAATCCTCCATGTCAGCCTTCTCTACCCTTTTCCATCTCCCCTCTGCCAGAGGTAATCGTTGTTAAATTGCCCCATGTATTCTCTTGGTATTTCTTTATGCAAATATGGACACATGCAAATGAACATTATTGTTGTTCTTCCCCTTTAGGCGAAAAGGAAGCATGCTATACACACCATTTTGAGCCTTTCCCCCACCACATAGCAGTATACATTGGATAATTTTCCATATCAATATATTTTTAAAGTTCCTCATTCTTTTTATAGCTGTTAATATTCCATCATGTGATAATATTGTGGTTTATTTAACCAGCCTTCTATGGATAGAAACTAGGTTTGTTTAGAATAAGTACTCTTGAGCTTATATTAGTAAAATATTTTTGCTCTCTCCTTCTCAGTTTTAGCCACCTTCTAATACTGTTTAAAATAGTGTTATGGGGCCAGGTGCAGTGGCTCATGCCTGTAATCCCAGCACTTTGGGAGGTCAAGGAGGGAGACTTGCTTGAGCCCAGGAGTTTGACACCAGCCTGGGTAGTATAGTGGGACCCTGTCTCTACTAAAAAATTAGCTAAGTATGGTCATGCCTGCCTGTAGTGCCAGCTATTCAGGAGGCTGAGGTGGGAGGATCACTTGAGCCCGGGAAGTGGAGGTTGCAATGAGCCAAGATTGTAGCATTGTACTCCAGCTTGGGTGACACAGCAAGACCCTATCTCAAAAAAAAAAAAAAAAAAATATATATATATATATATATAGTGTTACTGAACCATTGGAGGTTTATCTGCCTGATACCTACCACAGCAATTCTTGGGGACTCACTCTTGAGGGTCAGCTGCACACAAAAGAGCTCTGAATGCCCTCAGGATAGCAGAATGCAGGATGGAGGGCAGGGACAGAGCATTGGATCTTAGAACAAGATCTGTTCAGACTCTGGGAACTGACATGACAAGAAGAGCTTTTACTCCAGAACTTCTCGGAGAGGAATGATGAGACTTTCTGGGAGGACGGATCAAAACAATGACCCTGACATTAAACTAGAAATTACCTACGTGTAATTGAAGCTGCACCACTCTTAGAGGGGCACACAAACCTAAGAAGTGAAGGACCAAAGGAAATGAAGATTGAAAGAGACATCAGGCAGTGGGCTAAAAAGAAACATAACAGACCCACATGTCCCTTTCCAAAGCTGTGCCATACCATTCCAGCCCTGTCCTCATCCTCTGTACACAAAGTCAAGAAAGCTGGGTGATTCCCTCAATTCCGAGGACCAAGGCAGTTATACTGGTGGTTTGCGGCCAAAGCAACAAACACCAGTGGTAGACTGACTTTTCTAAAGAAGTTGTGATGACGGGTGGACTCACCTTGCACCTGTGCAGCATTTCTTGCTATAGGCAATCTCCAGCCTACCCAGGCAAGAGCAAAACAAGACGGTCAAAGAAGTGAGGGTCTCCACAGGGACTGTGCCACATCTACGATCACAGAAGACAGCGTTTCCAGTTATCTATTTATGTGTAGCAAAGCACTCCAAAATTTAGTGGCTTAAAATAACAATAATTTATGATTTTCCATGATTCTCTGGGTCAGGAATTCGGGCAGGACTCAGCCAGGCAGTTCTGAGCATAACCTATTATCTGGGGTCATTCACTTGCCTGCATTCCACTAGTGCCTGGGCTGGGTTGAAAACCCAAGAATATTTTATTCATGTGTCTGATGCCTTGGTGCTCCTCCATGTGGCCTCTCCACGTGGCCACCTTGGGTTTCCTCACAGCGTTGTGGGCTTAAGCGAGCTGGACTCCTCACATCCCAGCTGGCTTCCAAAGAGAGAGGAAGCAGAAGCTACCAATCCTCTGAAGACCTGGGCTTGGAAATTCCAAAAAGTTACTTTTGCCAAATTCTATGGGTCCAAGCAAGTCACAGGCTAGCTCAGAATCAGAGGAGGGGAAATAGACTCTGTCTCCTTGTCTCAATTGGAGAAGCATATACAAGTACAGGGAGGTGAAGAATGATTGGGATGCCACCTTTGGAGACTTGCTGCCACACACAGTGCACTGACAATTGCAGGTAGAAGATGCCTGCAGAATTGGGAACATTTTCAGCAAGCCCCATGATCTGTCGGTGTCTCTATAATTGGGTTTTTATTTGCATATTGGTGATTGAAGTGTTCAAAAAGCTTTTTCTCTCCACCAGAAAAACCTCTCGTTTTAATGACCACACAAAGGCAAGGGAAGCCCTGAGCATGCTGCAGGCTGTAGCAAGAGAGGGGAGGGACCCTCGTTAGAAGGAGAAGTGGCTGGTTTTGGAAATATGGGTGGGACCATTGCAGATCTGGGGACACATGTCCTCTCAGAGGTGTGCCAACCTGCCTTTGAGACCAAGCTCAGAAGTTGCAGTTTTTCCTCATCCATGGTGAGCATTCCTATTAGTTCCAACATTCTTCTGTAGTAAACCCAGAGTTGGACTTGGAACCTGAGTAGACAATGCAAATAGATCCAAATTGGCCCATGACATGAAATATATTTACTAATACAGGATATCCACTCTAAAAGACATCAAGGAGGCACAAAAGTCCCATGCCGAGAGAGAAGTCGGTAACTACGCCTGTGACCGGGAGAGGCCGGACTTGCTCTCCTTCGCCTAGGTTTGCACTCAGAGCAAGAGAGAATATAAGAGAGGGGAAGAGAGAAAGGTACCGTCCTGACAGGTACTTTCCTGGCTATCACAGAAAGAACAAGCCTTTCATGGTTTATTGGGAACCAAGCTCAGGTGTCCCTGGAGGCAGAGCTACGTGGACCCAGCAGGCAGAAGAGAAAAGAGCCCTGAACGGGAAGTGTGAGACCTGTGTTCTATTTTGAGCTTTGCCCCAACTGTTAAGAGGACTGACCATTTAACAAGGGGGAGCTGGTGAGATGACTGGACACTTTGAAGTGACACCGGGACCCAAGGGTTCTCAAGTTCATTATTTGTGAAGAAATGGAGCTTGTTTCTGTGATCTTTCTCTGCTCTGAAATACTACAGTCATATAACTAGATGCCCTTGGGAGGTCTTTCCTGGATCAACAGATGGAGGACTTTTCAAAGCAGACGAAGTGAATGTGATCACTCACACCTCTGCTTCGGACACAGTGAAGCCAAGATGGAGAAGAAAGAAAACTTGGCCAAAGCTATACTTGTGCAGTAGCTGAGGAGACGAGTTAGAATTAAAGAGTTCCCTAGGTGGGCAAGATAGCTTAGAGTTGTTTGCTTGTTTGTTTGCTTTGTTTTTTGTTTTTAAAATTTGCCTTTTATAGACAAGAGTCAGAAAGGAGGTCAAGAGACATCTAGCTTCACAGTTCTCTGCCAGGGATCCGGGTGTCCATACTCTGGCTCTCACTACTGGCTCTCCTGACAAAAAGAGCCCGTTTCATTATTGGATGGGCTTTGGGAATGCCCATTCAAATCCACTTCCATCCTTCATCTTCCTCCTCTCGGCCCCCCACCCGCCCGTCTCTTTAGCCTTGCACCTTGTGTTACTGCCTCTGTCACACATTGTCAACGTCCCAGCGATGACGAATTCCACACCCCCCTTCCCTACCCCCCAACCCCACAGTTGCCTGATTAGGGTTCTGGAATAAGATTCAAAATCCTCAAAGAGGTTAATCAGAACCTCCAAATCCCTGAAAAAGTGGAAAACCCAAGCTGATTTGGGCCCTTGAACAAATCCAGATGGAGCGGCATCCTCCTGAATGAAACAGATTGTGCGAGAGGGAGTGAGAAAACTCGAAAGATGAGAAGGAGAGACAAAGAAAGAAAAAGGCGAAAAAAAGATATCAAGAGGGAGCTGTTCAGAACCCAAAGACTTGAAAGACGGAGGCGTCTTACTCCTGCGCAGCTTGGGCCACCGCTGAGAGGCCAGGGGTGAAGGGGCCCTGTGAATGGGGGCCCAGGCGGCCTCTGCTTTCCCTGAGAAAGCACTGAAGGCTCAGTGGTGTGGGAAGACAACACGGCCCAGCTGTGGGGGAGCCTCCGAGGGCTGTGACATTGACGCTGTCGCCAAGGCCTGCTGGGGCAGGGACAGGCATCCCGACACGGTCTCCTCAGCGGGGCCTCGGCAGCCTGGCCCCACAGCAGCCTGGGCCCCCGCCCCAGCCGCGTAGCCCTGCTCCAAATTTCACACCATGTCTAATCCAATCACCGGCAGATTGCAAACTCTCTGCCTACCTCCCAGATCGAGAATTCTTGGCCGGCTGGAGCGATAGGCCCCTTCCCAGCCCAGCCGGCTGTCCTGCTCATCCATGTAAACCATTCTGCAACTCTCCCCCTGCCCCCACCTCCCCTTCTGGGCCCACCGACTTAATCCTGTTTGCCCGGTCTGTCAATTTAAACAGCTTTAAATATGCCTCACCAGGTCCGGGTGGCAGAACCCTGATGCTTAAAAACAGAGGCCTTGCATCAAAGGGGGTTGGGGTAACGGGGACCGTAAAGGTGTCATTCAAAAACACAAAAACTACCCTTTGTTAAAAAACAAAAAGAAGCAATCCCAATGAATCATGCACACGTAAAGAAAAAAACATCACCACCCAACAAAATGCAGTTCCCTGTAATAAGCTCAAAACCAGCTCCAAGGTGGAGCTATGTTGGTGGTGTGGTGGGCACGGCCATAGCTCAGCATATAGGAAGGGCTTTTCCATATGATTAAAGTCAAGTTGACCCATCCATCTGGGGGAACACTCCCGCTCTCCTTCAAAGTCAAAAGGTTTGGGCTGGATGGCTTTGATAATTCTCTAGCTGAGCCCTGGAGAGGGCTGAAGGCAGGGTGTGTTGCATAGAGACAGATTCAGATGCTCTGACACAGAATCCAGCTCTGGGCTGAGGCTCTGGACCCAACGTTTACAGTGAGTGATGGAGAATGAGCCCCAGCCCAGTGCTCCTCAAACTTAATGCACAAATGAATCACTTGGTGATCTTGACAAAAATGCAGAATCTGATTCAGTGGGTCTGCAGTGGGGCCCGAGATTCTGCATTTCTACTGAGCTCCCAGGTTAGGCTCATGCACCTGTCCCATGGGCCGCATTTTGAATGGCAAGAGTTTAGGTAGAACAGAGTGCCTTCAGCCTTGGACTCAGTTGTCTTGGTTTCCGTTTCTATTCCTTCCTCTGATGCCCTTCCAGCCCCCATCTTTTCTATTCCCTTCTCCATGAGGAACAAGACAAGAGAAACTAGTCTTGCACTAAAGCAGTGACGTCTAGATCATATCTCAGAAAGGTATTCTTCCAGTCTGTGACATGTTCATGGAGTTGCCAATCACCAAAAAAGTGTGAGTAAGTAGGGGCTGCTTCTGGGGAGGGCAGACAGCCAAGGGTGTCTTCACAGAGGAGTAAATGAAAACTCAGCTGAAGGCAGGGGAATGGATGACATGTTTCTTGAGGGAGCCCTCCCAACCCAAGATTCTGTTATCCTAAGTCAGATCCTTGGCTTTGATAAGGGAAAGGAATTTGTCCTTCCTCTGTCTGGTCAGGAGAGTGACCAGAGCCCGGGCTAGGAACTGGTATCTCTCTGTAGAGGACTTTGGTTACAAGCAAAGCAGTGGGTCTTGAGAAATACGGGGCAGAAAGGCTCATTTGCACTGGTTTTCTAAGGTTTGTTTTGACTTCTAGAAAGAGGGGCAGTCCCACTGCTTCACAATTGCTAGAAAACAGAGACTTCTAACCACAGTGGCATTTAGCTTGTCTCAGCACATTCCCACCTCGTACATCTTTCCCAAACCCACCCAATCCTCCATGTCATCATCTCCACAAAAGGGACAAGGCCAGCTCAGCCCAATCTGATTGCACATTCTCTACTTTGAGTACTCCCCCCAGAAGATGGAAGGCAGGGTTTGGACATGAATCATAGGGGCCCTGAGTACAACTTGCAATGCTGGGGGGAAAACAAAAAAGCAGGACAGTTTCTAGGAAGAACCAGGTAGCCAATGCACCAGGAAGACAAGAAAGTGAGCTCTGGCAGAACAGCATGCTGGGGAGGTGGCCTCGACCACAGCTTGGCTCAAGGCAGCAGCCACAGTGGGGCATCTGAGTAATGGCGGCTGAGTGGCAGTGGATGGGTGCAGGGAGGATTGCTGGAAGAGACAGGGAGGCTGGTGTGAGTGTATGTGTTATTAAAAGTAGAGTCTAAACTGAAACCACATAAGAGAGGCAACAAAGGGGAAGTAGAGCTCAGAGCACAGAGTTAAGAACTTTACCTCTTTACCTGGAGCTTTATCTCAACCACACACAGCCCTCCTCTCAAGGCAAGGGAAGTGCTAAGGGAGACTGTCACTCTCAGAGTCCTGCAAGTGCGTCTCATGCCTCACTTGTTCCGTCCTTTTAAGTCCTCACAAAGAGAGGCAATTGTTAATCCAGAGGGTAGCTGAGTGCTTGCAACCTCTCTGTCTCTCTCTCTTTCTCTCTCTTCAAGCATTTACTTAATACCCACTGTCTATTGGGCATTGTGCTAGAGTTGAGAGTAAGACTGAAGCTATGCTCCCTGTCCTTGAGAAGCAAAAAATTATTGACGGCAAAAAAATAGCTGCGTAGAAGATAATTTTATGTGCCTGGCTTATTCCACTTGACATAATGTCCTCTAGTTCCACACATGTTGTTGCAAATGACAGAATTTCATTCTTTTTTATGGCTCAGTAATACTCCATTGTACATACATAGCACGTTTTCTTTATCCATTCATCCATTTATGGATACTTAGGTTGATCCCATATCTTGGCTATTGTGAATAGTGCTACAAAAAACATGGGAATGCAGATATCTCTTCCTCATAAATATATACACCCATAATAATTAAAAAAAAAAATAATTTTAAAAATAGTTTTAAAAAATGAGATATTAAGCTAGGTGGTGGGCTCATGAGTATTCTTTAAGCTTTCTGTATATCTCACATACTTTATACTGAAAATGAAGTAAATTAAAGCACAGCAATGAGGACCCTCACAGGAAAATGTAGGAAAAGCAAGGAGGGTTTCGTGTAGACCCTGGGAGAGGAATGAGTAGCACTGGCGTGTCATTAATCAAGTGTGACCTGGCACCACTGGAAGCAAGCTGGCCATGATGATTCAGAGAGATCATCAACCGTGAGAAGACTAACAGAGGTTTCAGGTACTTACCTTTGCCGTTATTGTCTTTCAAAATTTATGTTTTCTTGTGTGTCACATGTAAGAAATCTTTGCTAAACACAAGACATCTAATATTTCCCCCTGGGATTTTTGTGATTTCTATATGTTTTATGGTTTTAGCTCTTACATTTTTGTAAATGGTGTGAAGTAAGGGTTGAATTTCTTCCCTCCTCCTCCTCCTCCTTCTTCTTTTTCTTTTTCATATAGTTAACAAAAATTTCCAGAATGATTCATTGAAACATTACTTTCCCCATTAAATTACCTTGACATTTTTGTCAAAAACCAACTGACCATACATGAGTGAGTCTACTCTTGGATTTCTATTTCAGTTCTATTATGGTCAGAGAATATACTTAGAGTATAGTTGGTATAACTTAAATCCTTCTAAATTTATTAAGACTTGGCCTATCTTAGTACATGTTGTGAGTGTACTTGAAAAGAATGTGTATTCTGCTGTTGTTGGGTGGAGTGTTCTATAAATATCAAGTATGTCAAGTTGGTTGATAGAGTTTTCCAAGTCTTCTATATACTTACTGATTATCTATTTCCTTGTTGTAACAATTATTGAGAAAGAATTGTTGAAATCCTAGACTATAACTGTGGATTTCTCTGATTTTCCTGCAGTTTAGTAAATTTTTGCTCCACCTATTTTGAAACTCTGTTATTAGGTGCATAAATATTTCTGACTGTCTTGAGGAATTGATATCTTTGCCATTAGTAAACTCCTGGAAATATTCTTCGCTCAGAATTCTACTTGGTCTGATAATAATATAGCTGCTTTGGCTTTCTTTTAATTCATTCCTACATCTATATCTATCTATATATTTGGAGAGAGAGAGAGAGAGAATTCTTATAAGCACCATATAATTAGGTCTTGCTTGGTTGCTACAGTCAGACAATCTCTGCCCTTTAATTGCTGTTCAGACCATTTACATTGAATGTGACTTTTTTTTGTGTGTGTGAGACAAAGTCTTGATATTTTGCCAGGCTGGAGTGCAGTGGTGCAATCTCGGCTTACTGCAACCTCTGCCTCCCAGCTTCAAGCAATTCCCCTGCCTCAGCCTCCCAAGTAGCTGGGACTACAGGCACCTGCCACCACACCTGGCTAATTTTTTGTATTTTAGGAGAGACGAGGTTCCACGATGTTGGCCAGGATGGTCTCGATCTCCTGACCTTGTGATCTGCCCACCTTGGCCTTCCAAAGTGCTGGGATTACAGGCGTGAGCCACCACGCCCCGCCAAATGTGACTATTGATGTATCATGGTACTATTATTTTTCTCTATGTCTTATCTGTTCTTTATTCTCTGTTTTCCTTTTTTTCTGCCTTATGAATTGAGAAGTTTTTACTTGAGCTTCCTTTAGGACTTATAGTAAAACATCTTTAACTTATCACAATATGCCTTCAAGTAATATACTATTTTACACAGTATAACAACCTTACAACAGCACCTTTCCACTCCCCTCTCCTGACCTTTGTGCCACGATTGTCATATATTTTACATCTACATTTGCAGTGTACTTCAAAATACATTGTCATAAGTCTATTTAAATAATCAATTATCTTTTGAAGTGATTTTTAATTTAAGAAAAATATTTTACCCGTCTCTCCCATACACATATTTACCATTTCTGGCTTTCTAATTTTTTTTGGATCCAAGATCCCATCTGGTATTATTTATTTTCCACCTGAAATACTTCCATTAATAGTTCCAGTGGTTCGAGTCTGTTAGTGATGAATTACTTTGAATTACTTCAGCTTTTATATGTTTGAAAAATTCTTTTTTTTGAGTCTCACTCTGTTGCCCAGGCTGGAGTGCAGTGGCACGATCTTGGCTCACCACAACCTCCACCTCCCAGGTTCAAGCGATTTTTCTGCCTCAGCCTCCCCAGTAGCTGGAAACGCAAAGCTGGGCGTGGTGGCTCAGGCCTGTAATCCTAGCACTTTGGGAGGCCGAGGTGTGCGGATCATGAGGTCAGGAGATCGAGACCATCCTGGCCAACATTTTGAAACCCCATCTCTACTAAAAATACAAAAAATTAACCGGGCATTGTGGCGGGAGCCTGTAGCCCCAGCTACTTGGGAAACTTAGGCAGGAGAATGGTGTGAACCCGGGAGGCGGAGCTTGCAGTGAGCCGAGATCGCGCCACTGCACTCCAGCCTGGGTGACATAGCGAGACTCTGTCTCAAAAAAAAAAAAAAAAAAAAAAAAAAAAAAAAAATATATATATATATATATATATATATATATATATATATATAAAATATATAATAATTCTTTTCAACTTTTATTTTAGAATGGGAGTACATGTGCAGGTTTGTTACAAAAGTATATTGTGTGATCTTGTGGTTTGGAATACAACAGAATCTGTCACTCAGGTTGTGAGCATAGTAACCAATGGGTAGTTTTAAAACTACCTATTCAAATAAAATTCCTTATTTTTCACTTTTTTTACTGAGACAAAACTCACATATTATAGATTAACTATTTTATAGTAAACAGTGCGGTGGCATTTAATATATTCACAAGGTTGTGCACTTTGTCTTTTTTTTTTTTTTGAGACAGAGTCTCACTCTGTTGCCCAGGCTGGAGTGCACTGGCATGATCTCGGCTCACTGCAAGCTCTGTCTTCCGAGTTCACACCATTTTCCTGCCTCAGCCTCCCAAGTAGCTGGGACTACAGGTGCCCACGACCACGCCTGGCTAATTTTTTTTTTTAATTTTTATTTTTAGTAGAGATGGGGTTTCACCATGTTAGCCAGGATGGTCTCGATCTCCTGACCTTGTGATCCGCCCGCCTCAGCCTCCCAAAGTGCTGGGATTACAGGTGTGAGCCACTGTGTCCGGCCTGACTTAATTTTTGAAAGATATGGCTGGGCACGGTGGCTCACACCTGTAATCCCAGCACTTTAGGAGGCCTAGGTGGGCAGATCACTTGAGGTCAGGAGTTCAAGGCCAGCCTGGCCAATGTGGTGAGACCCTGTCTCTACTAAAAATACAAAAAATTAGCCAGGTTAGGTGGCAGGCTCCTATAGTCCCAGCTACTCAGGAGGCTGAGGCATGAGGATTGCTTGAGCCCAGGAGGTGGAGGTTGCAGTGAGCCGAGATTGCACTACTGCACTGCAGCCTGGAAGACAGAGTAAGACTCCATCTCAAAATGAAAATAAAAATTAAAAAAAGGAAAGATGTTTTCATGGGGTAGAGATTTCTAGGTTGACTAATTTTTTCCTTTTAGTACTTAAAAAAATATTGTTCCGGCCGGGCACAGTGGCTCACGCCTGTAATCCCAGCACTTTAGGAGGCCGAGGCGGGTGGATCACGAGGTCAGGAGATTGAGACCATCCTAGCTAACATGGTGAAAGCCCGACTCTACTAAAAATACAAAAAAATTAGCCGGTCATGGTGGCGGGTGCCTGTAGTCCCAGCTACTTGGGAGGCTGAGGCAGGAGAATGGTATGAACCTGGGAAGTGGAGCTTCCAGTGAGCCGAGATTGCACCACTGCACTCCAGCCTGGGCAACAGAGTGACACTCCTCCTCAAAAAAAAAAAAAAAAAAAAAAAAAAAAAAAAAAAAAAAAAAAAAAAAAAAATTTGTTCCATTGTCTTTTGACTGGTATTGTTTTCAACAAGAAATCTACTGTCCCTTGTATATTTGTTCCTTTGTACATAATGGGACTTTTTTCTATGCCTACCTTTAAGATTTTCTCTTTATCATAAGTTTTAATTTTTGTGTGTGACAAGGTCTCACTCTGTCACCCAGGCTGAGTGCAGTGGCACAAATATAGATTACTGTAGCCTCAACCTTCCAGGCTCAAGAGATCCTCCTACTTCAGCCTCCTGAGGAGCTGGAAACACAGGTGTGTGTCATCACACCCAGCTAATTTTTTATTTTTTCGTAGAGCTGGGATCTTGTTGCCCAGGCTGGTCTCAAACTCCTGGACTCAAACAATCCTCCTGCCTTGGCCTCCCAAAATGCTGGGATTACAAACATGGGCCATTACACCTGGCCTATCATAGGTTTTAGGTAATTCCTATTTTTTACTTTACTTTTTTTGAGATGGAGTCTCACTCTGTTGCCCAGGCTGAAGTGCAGAGGCGCAATCTCTGCTCACTGCAAGCTCCACCTCCCAGGTTCACACCATTCTCCTGCCTCAGCCTCCCAAGTAGCTGGGACTACAGGCACCCACCACCACGCCCGGCTAATGTTTTTGTATTTTTAGTAGAGATAGGGTTTCACTGTGATAGCCAGGATGGTCTCGATCTCTTGACCTTGTGATCTGCCCGCCTTGGCCTCCCAAAGTGCTGGGATTACAGGTGTGAGCCACTGTGCCTGGCCGGTTTTAGGTAATTTCTTTATGATGTGTTTTTGTGTAATTTTATTCATGTTTCTTGTGCTTGAGGTTCTTTAAAGTTCTTGGAATTGTGGAGTTTTAACTTTGCCATATTTGGAAGCTTTTTATCTAATATTTCTGTAAATATACTTTTTGTTCCTTGCCCTTAGCGTTTTTAATTATATATATTAATATAAAGGCTGCCTGAAGTTGTCCTAGAGCTCACTATGCCCTTTTTATTTTTTTCAGTCTTTTCTTCTATTTCATTTTGGATAGTTGCTATTGCTATGACTTTATCCTTTTTTTTTTTTTTTCCTGAGATGGAGTTTTGCTCTTGGTGCCCAGGCTGGAGTGCAATGGTGCGATCTTGGCTTGCTGCAACCTCTGTCTCCTGGGTTCAAGTGATTCTTCTGCCTCAGCTTCCTGCGTAGCTGGGATTACAGGCATGCGCCACCATGACTGGCTAATTTTGTATTTTTAGTAGAGACGGGATTTCACCACGTTGATCAGGCCGGTCTTGAACACCTAACCTCAGGTGATCCTCCCGCCTCTGCCTCCCGAAGTGCTGGGATTATAGGCATGAGCCACCGCGCCTGTCTGACTTTATTCTTTTACAGTGTCTAATCTGATATTAATTCAATCCAGTGCATTTTTCATTACACGTATTATATTTTTCATCATTAGAAGTTCAATTTGAGTCCTTTTAAATTTTTCATATCTCTACTCAACATGGTCTTTTACTTCTTGAATGTATAGATTATAACTGTCTCATTGTCCTTATCTGTTAACTGTATCATCTGTATGATTTCTGGATCTCCTTCTATTGATCAATTTCTCTTCTTTATTAGTGTTACTTTTCTGTTATTTTTTGTTTGTTTGTTTTTTTGTTTTTTTTTATGGCTGGTAATTTTTTACTTAATGGCAGACATCAAGAATTTGACCTCATTGGGCACTAGCTAATTTTGTATTCCTAGAAATAATTTTAATCTTTGTCCTAAAGTTATGTTACTTGGAAACAGTTTGACCCCTTTGGGGCATTATTTTGAGCTTCATTAGGTAAAACCAGGAAGTCTTTACTTTAGGGGTATTTTTCTCCATTACTGATGCAACACTTTTGTGAGTACTCTACCCATTGCTCCATGAACTATGAAGTTTTCTGCTCTGGTGGGAATGGGATCATGAAATATTTGCAGCCCTGTGTGAGCATCAGGAGCATCATCTCCTTCTTTCCAGTTGATCTGGACAGTTTCCTCACACACATTCACTGATGGGTACCCAGCTGAAGACTTTTGGGGAGCCCTCTGCAGACCTCTGCTGCTCTCTCGGTGCAGTTCTCTTCTCTCTAGTGTGCTGATATTCTGCCCTGGGAACTCTAGCTCCATTGACCCTCCCAGATTCCCAGATTCACTTCCTCAACTTAGAGAGACTGCTGGGCTCTGCTTGGATTTCTCCTCCCTGTGCTGTACCCTCGAAACTCTTTCCAGGCAGGAACCTGGGAAACTCAACTTATTTGTTTTCCTTATCTTGTGGATCACTGTCCTGTGTTGCCTGATATCAAATGTCAGAAAACCATTGATTGATGTAAATATAGATATAGATATATACTTTTTTTTTTTTGTCCAGTGTGAGTGGGGAGGTAAATATGGTCCCTCCTACTGCATTTTGGCTAGAAGCAGAAGTCTTGCCTTACTTTTCTAGTCCTCAGCATTCTTATCTGTAAAATAAGATTGTTGGATTAGAAATCATTTATGAATTTCTATTTTTCCATGTCTTCCCTTCAAAACTGTTAGCCTTTCAATAGTTTTTTTTGTTTGTTTTTTGTTTTGTTTTGTTTTGTTTTTTTTGAGACGGAGTCTCGCTCTGTAGCCCAGGCTGGGGTGCAGTGGCACTATCTCGGCTCACTGCAAGCTCTGCCTTCCGGGTTCACGCCATTCTCCTGCCTCAGCCTCCTGAGTAGCTAGGACTACAGGTGCCCGCCACCACACCCAGCTAATTTTTTTTGTTGTTGTATTTTTAGTAGAGACAGGGTTTCACCGTGTTAGCCAGGATGGTCTCGATCTCCTGACCTCGTGATCCACCCGCCTTGGCCTCCCAAAGTGCTGGGATTACAGGCGTGAGCCACCGTGCCCGGCCGCCTTTCAATAGTTTTTTGAATAAATCACCAATCAGTAAAAGATTCTCAAAATGTGCTCTGCTCTATACTTACAAAAACCCATACTCTTCAACTAATCAGAAGATTTCTCAATAGTTCCTGGCTGCCATCCCCCAAGTCTCTATAGATCTTGCCACATGGTTGCTAGTCAGAAAAGGTCATATGTGAGTAAGATGTGTTATCCACCTGTAATCTAAAAGCCTATGAGTCAAAGGGTAACCTTCCTTGCCCCTTTCTCTCTTTCTCTCTTCCTCTCTCCTTTCCTCTCTTTCTCTGTTCCTTACATTTTTCCAACACATATTGAGTGGCTACTCAGTGTCTGATACTGTGCAGTCTCAGTGACGAGACCTCCCTGTTTCCTGGGGAAAGAGCAGCATCAAATATAACTTACGACACTATAGAAGTAATCTGAAGACTACCCGCTGTGAGCCTTGGCCTAACTAGCACTTAGGAGCAATGAATAGAAACTCTTATCTCCTTTTCATCGCCTTGTTTAGTCTTAACCTCCATGGGATAATCTATTTAAAAAGGCAAACGGTCTGCGGGACTAGGTATAAAAGGAAACAAGCAAACAAAGGCAAAGAGAAAAGAGCAGCAAAAAATTGCAGAAAGGTCTGATTTTAATTTACTTACTCTTGAAAACAAGTTTCGCTATTTTGTTCTCTGGAAAATGAGGACATTGCTCTTATTTTTCCCTTTAGAAAAAAAACCTGTTTAGATTATTAGAATTGTATCTTGCTAATTTTAAAATGCCATCCTCTTTGATGACCTGGAAGTGTGATGTGACTCTTCATGAGGCATTTCCCACCCTCTCTGCAACAGTGATGTATGAGTCAATTGTTCATACTTTTTTGCCCAGGTGGGGGAGAAGGAATTTATCCTTGTAGCTAGTTATTGGGCATGTTTTGAATTTGTGTATATGTAAATATGTGTGTGTATTTCAGCATACATTCTCCCCACCCCCACTGTGCAATTTTAATGGGACTGTTCTATGTCCACCCCTAGCTAACGGTGGGTACGTGAACTAAGCTAAGCCAATTAGATGATCTATTTTGACACTTAAGATCTTGAAGAGGCCAGGCACTGTGGCTCATGCCTGTAATCCCGGCACTTTGGGAGGCCGAAGTGGGTGGATCATGAGGTCAGGAGATCGAGACCACCCTGGCCAACACGGCAAAACCCCGTCTCTATTAAAAATACAAAAATTAGCTGGGTGCGGTGGTGGGCGCCTGTAGTCCCAGCTACTGGGAAGGCTGAGGCAGGAGAATTGCTTCAACCCGGGTGGTGGAGGTTGTTGCAGTGAGCCGAGATCACACCACTAAACTCCAGCCTGGCGACAGAGTGAAACTCCGTCTCAAAAATAAAAAATAAAAAAAAATAAAAACAAATTGGCCGGGCGTGGTGGCTCACGCTTGTAATCCCAGCACTTTGGGAGGCCGAGATGGGCGGATCACGAGGTCAGGAGATCGAGACCAGCCTGGCTAACACGGTGAAACCCCGTCTCTACTAAAAATACAAAAAATTAGCTGGGCGCGGTGGCGGGTGCCTGTAGTCCCAGCTACTCGGGAGGCTGAGGCAGGAGAATGGCGTGAACCTGGGAGGCAGAGCTTGCAGTGAGCCGAGATCGCGCCACTGCACTCCAGCCTGGGCGACAGAGCGAGACTCTGTCTCAAAAAAAAAAAAAGAAAAAAAAGAGGTGGTCCAGAAGGTGCTCTGATGCCAGTTCTGATCCCTCTTCTGTGTCCATGTCTAGTTCTGCAGCTTCGTATCCATTTATGATCTCTCTCTTATTTCATAAGTAGCTTAAGGGAGCCAGAATTGGTTTCTATGAGCTGCTACCAGGAGCAAAGATGAAACAGTCACCTCCAATATGGGGTACACAAATGATGTAATTCTCCTCCCCACCCCCAAACTCACAGAAAAAAACCACTGTGATGAATGCTGTGACGTACTGCCCAGACGTACTTCAGGATGAAGCATACATTCCTCCAGCTGCTGGACGTGTAGGTGGATGGGGGTACGTAGAGATCCGCTCCACTTCCCTCAGGACAGGATCACTCTCAGAAGCCATTTTGGCCCCAGAGCTCCTCTTGAGATCGTCTGAGGCTGTCATAACTATATTGCAGTTCAGCTTCGCATTTGCTCGTTTTACTTCCTCCACTCCCCAGTAATATTTTTTTCTGCAATAATTCCCCAGTAAACTTTCTGTAAACAAACCTCTGTCTCCTGAAGAACTGACCTAAGACACCCACTCAGGGCAGTAATCCATGAGAAGGGGCAGGGTCTGCTGCCACCTGTCTCTCGTCTGTGTGACTTGGGTTTTTGGCAAGCCTCAGACAAATTCAAAGAGATGCTTTCCTGGGAATTGATATCATTCATTTATTCAACAAATTTACTGAGTACCTGCTATGTACCAGGCACTGTTCTGAGTACTTGGGTTCTATCAATGAACACATCGATTTAAACATTTTTTTTAGGCCACACCAGTGGTTCACTCCTGTAATCTCTGCACTTTGGGAGGCCGAGGCAGGTGGATCACCTGAGGACAGGAGTTTGAGACCAGCCTGGCCGACATGGTGAAACCCCCACTCTACTAAAAATACAAAAAATTAGCCTTGTGTGGTGGAGGGTGCCTGTAATCCCAGCTACTCAGGAGGCTGAGGCAGGAGAATCACTTGAACCTGGGAGGCAGAGGTTGCAGTGAGCCGAGATTGTGCCGCTGCACTCCAGTCTGGGCAACAAGAGCAAAACTCCATCTCAAAAAAACAAACAAATATTTTTTAATCCCTGCCTTTGTGGGGTGTAAAGATGTTCTCATGGTGGGAGGCACAGTACTCCTTCAAAGGCAGTACTTCCTGTATTAAGCCTCTCATCTTCACCTTTCCAGAGGTAACGCTTCCCCTCAGGGATTCTTTATCATCATACAAATAGCTACCTAGTTTGTGTGCAAATACTTGTGTGGGGAGAGTTCCAGGTCCAAGCCAGGTACAGATTTCTCCATCTGCACCTGCTCAGGGCAGCTTGGTTTGTTTTTGTTTTTGTTTTTTAGACGGAGTCTCGCTTTGTTGCCCAGGCTGGAGTGCAGTGGCGTGATCTTGGCTCACTGCAACCTCTGCCTCCCGGGTTCAAGCAATTCTCTGCTTCAGCCTCCCAAGTAGCTGGGATTACAGGTGCCCACCACCACACCCTGCTAATTTTTGTATTTTTAGTAGATATGGGGTTTCACCATGTTGGCCAGGCTGGTCTTGAACTCCTGACCTCGTGATCTACTTGTCTTGCCCTCCCAAAGTGCTGGGATTACACGCATGAGCCACCACATGCCCAGCCAGCAGCTTGGTTTTATTTAATTGCTTGAAACTTTTACAGCTGCTTTCCTTCCCTTGGTTAAGATACCTTTCCCAGTGCTGCTCATTCCACTAACCTTCCAAATTGCATCAGATGGCTTCAGGCCTTACAGATCTTGCAGCTCCCAACCCCCATGTTTCTCCTGCTTCCTCAGGGCCTCTAATACCTTCTGAAAATCTCTCACATTCCCTCACCTGTGTTCTTCTTCTTCCCCATATCATTGAAAAGTACTGAGATCAAATGCTTGTACCTCTTTCCAGTTAAAACTTGCCAGTTTTAACTCATTTACGAAATAAAAATTTGCCTTTTAAGGTCTGATTTGCCTTTTGATTACTCCCACCATGTCCAGTTGTTGCTGTCACTACACAGTTTGGGAGGTAGTGGCCTATAATTTCAGGAGAACCTCTCTTTCTGAGGATATTTATTATTTTTCTTTCTTGTGTTTCAAAACAGGGTTGTGATAGGCTCCACAGGTCTGAGAAGTGCAGCTCTAACAGGTCTATAATGGCCATCCTCAGCCTGGGAACTTCTTTATTTTTGTCTTTTTAAAGCAATATGATTGCACTTGGTGGTTACAGTCATCCCCACTTCTGAAGAGCCAAGTATCATATCTAATGTGTAAGAAAATAGCCCGAACTTTGCAAGGGCAAAGCAGAGTAGTGGATTTGCTTGACTAAAGTTAAGAAGGTGAGTGGGGAAGTCAGGAGAGATGAGGATGGGAAAACAGATGGGGCATGCCAAATTGTGGTACAAAAGAAATTATACATGTTTTACTTTCTGCAACTAAAGGGATCTGCTTCATGGATTACCCAGGTTTCCCTGGCTCCTACCTGGCCATCGTACAATCAATTAGTACAGAAACTTGCCATGGACACAATTATAGACAATTCTTCCATCTCATTGTGAGCCCATTAAGGGCATGGACCATGGCACGTTTCAGCTTGGCCATGACAGATGTTTAATAGAAGGAGGAAAGGTCAAACCAAAGTCAATCTTCTTTGTTTCTTATGAGTTTCTCTAACAGGAGAAAACAAAGGTTCAGAATATCTGTAAGTTGCCTTACTCATTTTACCCATTCCTTTTCCTTCCACCTGCCTCTGCTATCGGCCCTCAAGAGTTGACCAAATACAGTAGCAGAGATGACAAAAGTCATATTGCTAGTTTGCAACTTAAAGGTCACAGTGTCTGAAAATTTAGAGGAAACCTAAAGTTCGACCAGCCGGCTTCCCCTCTTGTTTTAGATGAGCAGACTGAGGTCAGGGAGGTGAATGGTTAGTTGAAGGTCACATAGCTACATGGTGAGAGTTGGTGTTTGTAACTTCTTAACCAGGATCACCACCCTCTTTGTCACTTCACGACGTTGACTGTCTCTCAAAGGTTGGAGATCACAGAGCAAGCCTCACAGAAGCTGATGAGCTCTTCCTAGTGGTTTTTGTGCACTTAGGGTACCCTCAAAGAATGCTGATGTCTGCCCACAGAGTCTAGAGGCCTCAAGTTTTTCCTATAGGTGAAGATAACTTTAAAAAGTGGCCATACTGTTTGAGGTCTGCTTTTTAGTGCATCTTCTACAAAAATGTTCTTTATTAGGTTCACAGCACCCATTTAAATTACTCTCCCATTTCTACTTGTTTGAAATTAGATCAGAGTTCAAAATAATATAATACATGGGTAGTATTAAGTATCTTGGTACTTAACTTCAAAGTTGTTGAACAGTTCTGAATAACATTTTCACCTACTGGAGGGGTCTGCATTCTATTTTGAATAGCCAATCACTAGCTTTTCTATTCTATTGTGGTTGTTTATAAAAGTTAATGTGCAGTTGTTTTTTAAATTTCTCCCTTTAACTTTTTGAATTCTCTGCTCTGTATTTAGCTGCCATAAAGAAACTTCTTTAATGTTAGACAGAAAAACACATCCTGCTTATCTTGTTCGGTTAGCTCTTCGCTGGTCCCTGTATGTGTCTACATTGTAGAAAATGAAGTTAAGTCATGTCTTTGTTATGGATTTTCCCTGGAGAGGTTTCCCCTTGATTTTGCAACTAGTTAAGTTTCCTTTCACTGATTGCCAAGGATTGTTTTAAAACAAACAAGCAAACCAACTTCATCGGAAAAGCACAGTAAATATTAGCCAGCATCACTAATAACTAAACAATGGTATGTAAGTACAGTAAGCTTTAAAGAAACACAGAAGATGCACTGTTTCTCATAATAATAATGGCTAATACTTCCTGTGTGTCAGGCACTGTTTTAGGTGCTTTATACCTTTTTAATGAAATAATCTTTAGGAAAACTGTATTAGGTAGATTGTTTATTATGTCAAACTTATAGATCATGAAACTGAAGCAGAGTGAAGTGAAGCACGTTGGCTAAGGTCATGCTTTCGTTACCGGTGGGGCTTGGATTTGAACCTGGGCAGTCCGAATATGAGTATCACCCGTGACCCTTATCTCCAGTACCTTCTGCTGTACTGTACCAGCCCACTCCCAATCTACAAAACAGAGAAGCAATTAAGCCAGGTCATTAAGTAATTTGTTATACATAATAGTATACACAAGAATGCTTGGGTAACATTGAATTTTTCTTAACTTTGGAAATGACCTTATAGTACTATCTTTTGTGCAAAAGCTGCTGAGGACATAATTCTCGCTCAGGAGTCAGAAGACTTTTTCTGTCAATGGCTAGGTAGTAAATATTTTAGGCTTTGCTGGCCTTACGGTCTTGGTTGCACCAACTCAGCCACTCAGGGCAAAAGCAGTCGTGGGCAATAGGGAAACATGGGCATTGGACACTCAAATTTTACTTTCATATCATATTCATATGCCACAACATATACTTCCTCTTTTGATTTCAGAAAAAAAAAAAAAAAGTGAATTTTTTTTTTTTTTTTTGGCGACAGAGTCTTGCTCTGTCGCCCAGGCTGGAGGGCAGTGGTGCGATCTCGGCTCACTGCAACCTCCGCCTCCCAGGTTCAAGCAGTTCTCTGCCTCAGCCTCCCAAGTAGCTGGGACTACAGGTGCCTGGCACCAGGCCTGGCTAATTTTTGTATTTTTAGTAGAGATGGGGTTTCACCATCTTGGCCAGGTTGGTCTTGAACTCCTGACCTCGTAATCTACCCGCCTTGGCCTCCCAAAGTGCTGGGATTACAGGCGTGAGCCACCGTGCCCGGCCAATCATTTTTAGTTTATAGGCCATGCAAAAACAGGCAGCAGGCAGGATTAGGTCAATGGACCCGAGTTTGTTAAGCCCTGTTCTTGCTAGCTGATTCTTCCACCTCATCGTAAGCTCTCCAAGGCCTGGGACCATGTTAGAGTCAGCTTGGCACACTACAGACATTTAATAGAAGTTTGTTGAGTTGAAAGGAATTGAACTTAGAAAGGGGGAGGAGAAGGAAGGCACTTCAGAAACCCCATCCTGCTTCATGCTCAGACAGGAACTAAACTCAAACAAGCGTGGGACATTCCTTCTTCCCTGCATACCTCACTTGCTTTTTGTAATAGTTTTGTTCACTTTTGATTGCACTGGTACCTGGCTTATCCAGGTCTATAGCTCTCACTATCTCTGTATGGCAGGTTTCAGACTGCAATTTGTAGATAGAGATCTTGAACGAGAGAAGAAGAGGCTCCCAGCTTCCTCTGCTGGGCTCTGGGCCAAGCTGTCCCTGTGGCACTTCAAGAGAGACAGGGACCTTCCAGGGGATTTAGTGGTTCCTCATTTGGCTGAGTAGCAAATCAGAATGCTTCTTTCTGATTTCTGCTCCTGATAGCATGGCACACAGATCAAAGGAAGAAGTGCTCCCAATAATACTGAAACCTTCTGCCTCCAGCTGCACAAGAACTATTTGGAAAGTGTGTGACTCTAGAAGGTATGCAGCTTAGAGCAGAGTAGAGGGCACCTCACTGAGGTTTTCTAAAGATCTATGAATTTGAGACCCTTATGATTCTGGAGCAGGAGAAATTCCAGTTGTCCTATCATATAGGCAGGCTATGACCTCTGAAGCCTTTTCCTAGTTGGAGACTCAGTTACTAGAAACAAAACCCTCATCCTCATCTCCAGATGAATCTGAAGAGTTCTATAGCCAATAAGGGTTAGCCTGGCACAAAGGCAATTTCTGGCTGCTTTTAGAGTGCGGGCGCTTCCTCGTGGGTGCCTTTCTGTGTGCACCTGCAGTGCCGGCATTGGTCACCGCTGAGGAGCCACCAGCCTGGAGCTGGGTTTTGGCAGGACAGAGTAAAAAAAAAACCGGGTTTTTCAGTTTGGATGGGATATATTTCAACTGAGCACGAGAATCTTCCCCCCACCCACGTTCTCCAACATCATCTACTCTGAACAAAACCTCCGTAAGACTGCTTCGATAATATGATTTATCTCCTTTTTCTGTTCAGCTCTGCCTTTAAAAAGTGTTAAACTGGTTAAGAAGGGGATTTCCCCAGGAGCGTGGCATGAGTTCTTTCTCTCTTTGGGAGATGTGCTTCCAATTTTTTGCGTTCTTTGCTGAGATAATCAGCAGTTTTTGTGTTTTTTTTTTAAGATGGAGTCTTGCTGTGTCACCCAGGCCGGAGTGCAGTGGTACAATCTTGGCTCACTGCAACCTCCGCCTCCCAGGTGCAAGCGATTCTCCTGTCTCAACCTCCCATTCTTTCTACTCTTCCTTCCCATTTTTACTGTACTTGTCCCTGAGTCTAGAATTATGCACACACCAAGCAGGGTGTTGCCTAGTCTGGAGATCTGAAGGGATCCCTAAGGTTTTTCCTCAGAATTGCCTGATATTTTACTCTTAGTGACTCACTTCTTTGGGTTAAGCATGAATTCTTTATTATATTTTTAAAAAATCAAAACAAAACAAGAACAAACTTGGCAGGAGTGATGACTTGTCATGGGAACAGTAATTATCACAGGAAAAACCCAGGTTTCTTCCTGATATGTCACGAAGAGGTTCAAAGTAGATGGAATATAGTGTAGGGTCAAGAACACCAAAGTTCCAGGAGCTTCTAGTCAAGAAAGTGAACAATGGCTTCCCCTTCCACTTCAACCAAAACCCCTCACTCTTCACCACAGCCCACAAGGCCCCTCGTGATCTATTTCCTGCCAACCTCTCTCACTCCACCCTGGGTCATGCTCATTTCTTTCATGGTGCTTCAGCCAGAACATCTTTTATTTCTGCTTCTCAAACATATCAAGCTCCTTCCTGCCTCAGAACCTTTGCAGATGCTATTCCCTCTGTCCAGAATGCCCTTCTTCCAGATGCTTACATGGCGACTTCCTGTCATTCAGGCGTCCTTTGACATACCATTTCCTGACCACCCAATCTAAAATTGCCCACAGATATTCTCCATTACATTGCCTCAAATTGCCTCATTTTACTTTCATAGTGTTTACCACTCTCTGAAATCATCTTTTTTTTTTTTTAAAATGTGCTTCTTTCTTGTGATTGTCCTCTCATAAAATGGTAAACCCTATGAGAAAAGAATCTTCCCAATCTTAATTATTAAATAAATGAATCAAAGTAAGGGTCAGACCTTCCAGCAAGGATTAAAAGCAAAGAGATAGGAAGTTTAGGGGGAGGCGTAGCAGTGACCTGGAAGTCATAGACAGGTGTCCAGGTCATCTCTGGGAGCCTTAGAGGTTGGTGCTCCCTGGGAGGGGTGGTGGGTACATCTATGTAAGGTCTCTGAGAAGGCTTAGTCAATAGGACTCCTCTTTCCTACCCTGATTCAGATCCCTCAGATAAATAAGACAAAGGAGGCCGGGCGTGGTGGCTCACGCCTGTAGACCCAGCACTTTGGAAGGCCAAGGCGGGTGGATCACAAGGTCAGGAGATAGAGACCATGGTGAAACCCCATCTCTACTAAAAATACAAAAATTATCTGGGAGTGGTGGCTTGTGCCTGTAATCCCAGCTACTTGGGAGGCTGAGGCAGGAGAATCGCTTGAACCAGGGAGTCAGAGGTTGCAGTGAGCCAAGATCACACCACTGCACTCCAGCCTGGTGACAGAGCGAGACTCCATCTCAAAAAATAAAAAATAAAAATAAAAATCAGCTCATTCATTGCATCATCTGAGCACACCATCCCTTACAGTGATTCTCCCCATTATGTAACCTTACGGCACCATCGATCTCTTCCGCAGAATACGTGCCAAAGTTGTAATGGTGCATTTAGTTGTGTGATTCTTGTATTTACTTTAAAAAAAAAAAAAACCATTTATTATGGAAATTTTCAAACATTTGCAAAAGTAGGGTAAATAGTAAAAATAACTCCATGTGTCCATTGCCCAGTTTTAACAACTATCTACTCATGACTAATCTTATTGATTCATTGTCTTTTATAAATTTTCTAGACAGTGTTTTTTTTTTCTCACCACTTTGTCCCTGGCCTGACTCATATAAGGCACACATCCTTTGAAAGAATGACAGACTGAATGGATGAATGATATGCTGTGCATTACGCAAAAGGACAGCGCAGGCTGCCGAGAACATAGATGATGTGTTGGTTAGCTGGGGCTACCACAATAAAATACCATTGATTGGGTGGCTTATACAACAGACGTTTATTTCTCACAGTTTTGGAGCCTAGAAGTCCAAGATCAAGGTGCCAGCAGTGTCAGGGTCTGGTGAGGCTTCTCTCCTTGGGTTACAGGCAGCCAACTCCTCATTGTATCCTCACATGAAGGGTGGAGAGAAGGAGAAAGCTCGCTGGTGTCTCTTCCTTTAAGGGCACTAATCCTATCCTGAGGCCCCACCTTCATGACCTCATCTAAACCTAATCATCTCTCAAAGGTCCCATCTCCAAATACAATCACATTGGGAGTCAGGACTTCAACATACGAATTTTGGGGGATGCTATTCAGCTCATATCAGGTGAGCAGCGTCTAGCTTAGAGGGAGGATTCTGCACAAGTCCAGCTATTGCCAGCTTGCTTCCCACAGCTTTGTGAGGACAGAGGGGAGAGTACACAGGATGAAGAAGATGGGAGAGGTTGTGGGGGATCCACAAAGCCGGAAGAGGCAATGCAGACTTCCTTAGGTATCCTGGCTGGCAACAGCCCAGTTCGCCTACCTCACTTACTTGGGTTTATTTCAGCAGAATTTTTGCCTTGGCACTCATGGCCTAGAACAGCAATTCCCAAGGAACACTAGTCTAGAGTTCTCCTTCTTGAAAAAAGGAATCGGTGGTCCCTGTGTTTGGGAATGCTATTTACCCTCTTTTTAGGATATTAACTCTAATAACTCTCCCAGTTGTATGTGTTTTTTAAGTTATAATTTTGTCTAAGGCAATTCTTTCCAAGTTTATTTATCATGGATCCCGTTGCCACTAGCATAGATATCATTCACCCCATGGAGAACCAGTGTCTGCAGAATATGTTTGTGGCATATCATAAACACACTTTCCCCTTTACCGGCCGTTTCCAGAAAAGACAAAATTTAAATTTGTCCCTTTTCCTTTTTTTAAGCTTTTAAGAAATTATATAATTAACACATGATCAGTAGAGAAAAAAACAGAATGTAAAAATAGAATAAAAAAGAAAACCGCATTATGATTCCATGACACAGAAATAATACCCTTACCGTTTTCAGTGCTTCTCCTTCTGGACTTTTACAAATGCATAATTACTGTGCATGTTCCTCATAAGATATTTTTAAAAAGAATAATTGAGATTAATTACCACTGACAATGGCAAAACAGTCTTAAAAAGAGAATGCATTCCCTGACAAGAATGGGGTCCTGGCCGGGCGCGGTGGCTCACACCTGTACTCCCAGCACTTTGGGAGGCCAAGGTGGGCGGATCACGAGGTCAAGAGATCAAGACCATCCTGGCAAACACGGTGAAACCCCATCTCTACTAAAAATACAAAAATTAGCTGGGCGTGGTGGCGGGCACCTGTAGTCCCAGGTACTCAGGAGGCTGAGGCAGTAGAATCGCTTGAACCTGGGAGGTAGAGCTTGCAGTAAGCCAAGATCGCGCCACTGCACTCCAGCCTGGCGACAGAGTGAGACTCCGTCTCAAAAAAAAAAAAAAAAAAAAAAAATGGGGTCCTTCCTCAAGAATTCCAATGTGCCTTTTTCACCTTTTGTTTCTTTATTTTATTATGAGTACACTGCCATTGCTTTCCTCTGTTTACCTGACATTCCCCTGGACTGAAGTTAGTCCAATTTGACAGACAGAGAGCTAGTTCAAACACAGAACACAGGGCACTACACTTTTTTTTTTCTTTTTGAGACGGAGTCTCGCTCTGTGGCCAGGCTGGAGTGCAGTGGTGTGATCTCGGTTTACTGCAACTTCCACCTCCCGGGTTCAAGCCATTCTCTTGCCTTAGCCTCCTGAGTAGCTGGGATTACAGGCACCTGCCACAACACCCAGCTAACTTTTGTATTTTTAATAGATACAGGGTTTCACCATGTTGGCCAGAAATGGGTCTCAATCTCTTGACCTCCGATCTGCCTGCCTCGGCCTCCCAAAGTGCTGGGATTACAGACGTGAGTCACTGCACCAGCCGGCACTAAACTTTTAATAACAGTACCACGCAAGGAAAGAATGCAAGCTGCTTCACTTCTTGATATCAAGTGACTTGAAAAGTCCCTGAATAATCTTATAGATGAAGTCGGGCCATGGGGGAAAGGTGGGTGGGAGGAAGGGAGCTAGCAACCTGCCCTAACTATGGTTTTACTTACTCAAGATGAGACCAGGAGATTTAGAAATGAGCTTGAGCTTAGTCTCAAAGACTTGCCTTTGTAGCATGACTAAAACACAGCTCTCCATTCACATGTCCTGCTTTCCCTTCGAAGCTGGGTGACCCTGCCTTTTTGATTTTGCAATGTGTGCCATCTCCTCCCTTCTCTTTTCTGAAAATATTGCACAGCCAAATTTATTTGCATTTGAAATGAAAGGAATTTGGAAGAATTTTGAAAAGAATATCATGACACCTTTTTAATGAACTGGAAGCCTATTTTGAAAGTCTTAAGAATAGCTGGGGCATCTTTCTCTCAGACTTTACATGGTGGCCGATTGATCCCTGGTACCCGTTCTTCAGTCTCCCACAGTGATGTGCATAAACACCTTTGCCATGGCCTGCTGGTGGGCAGCGTGTACTGCCCTGCCCTGGGCTTTGGGTCTGGCATAGGACTTTCTTTGGACAACAATCTGTGAGAAGAAAGGACAAGAGCAAAATTTTCAATATGCTCAGCTGGCGGGTCTTGCCCTCTTGTGCACCCATCCTTTGCTCTGGGATGAATTTTCCCTGGGAAGCCTGTAGCCCCAGCAGGATGAGACATAGAGCAGACCAGAAACCAATCCATAGCTTGCAGCCAAGCCCAGCTGAGCCTACCCTGGGTCAGCCAACCCCTGGATGACCCACTGGTTGATACCTGAGCTAGGAGGAAATGCTTATAGTTGTATGCTGTTGAATGTTGGGGTGGCTGTTCTCATAGCACCATTGTGGTATGGCTAACTGATATGCATAGGATAGTCGCTATATATGGAAACTACGGGATGCTTGATAAAATGGGCAATTAATCAACATTAAACAGTAAACTCGTAGGAGATCTAGGTTGGTGGTAACATTAAGTCTTGCATTTTCCTGGGGCCCAATTGCAAATATTTGGACCCATTTTCTTCTAAGGGACAGTCCCATCCAGGAATAAGTGGATTGAAGAATGTGGATGCCATAACACTGGAAGCTGCCCACTCACCTGGTGTCCTGGGAATTTGCTCAGACTCTCTGTGTTGGTGAAGAAGCCCCACAGAGCACACCCTGATCAGCAGGCAAGCCAATGCAGGCTTTTCCGTGCAGGGGGATCTGCTGTGGCTCACCCACGGCCTCTAACAATTTGGGGAATCTAAAGCATGGGCTGCTTTTCTGGCGGCTCCAACCCGGCTGACACAGCCATCCGGCTAAGGAGATTAAGCAGGCTTTATTTACAGTAGCCTTCTAGTGACAGCAGCATCCACCACACCCAGGTAGAGCCTGGGAAGAATGAAAGTACATTCTTCTCTTGTCACTGGTGAATGCTGGGGCAAAGGCTACATCCACCACAGAGATAATCTAGACAGGTATCCGGGAGGCCTGCCTGGGGACTGTCCCGACACACTGCCAGTCAGCATCGTGGAAAGACTGACACCAGGGCAGGGCCTCAAGCATGATGGTGGTGAGTGCCCGGACAGGGTCTTATGTCCAGGAAGTCCGGCAGCACCTGCACAGGTTTAGCACAGGAAGGGGACGCAATGGCCATTTGCTGCATGAATGAATGGGGACAACCAATGCCTAGCCCCATTGCCTGTGTGTCCCATTGCTTCTCCAGTCTTCATTTCTGGAATAAAAAAAAAATTCAAAAATAATGAGTATTTTATAAACACGAGCATTAATAAAAATGGTTATTATGTTGATAAGCAAGAGCAATACAATACCTCTTAGATGTTGACTTTTCCCTCAAAGTGTTTGAGTGGTCAGAAATAATTTTTTTTTTCTTTTGAGACAGAGTCTCCTCTGTTGCCCAGGCTGGAGTGCAGTGGCACGATCTCGGCTCACTGCAAGCTCTGTCTCCCGGGTTCATACCATTCTCCTGCCCCAGCCTCCCGAGCAGCTGGGATTACAGGAGCCCGCCACTAATTTTTTTTTTTTTTTGTATTTTTAGTAGAGATGGGGTTTCACCGTGTTAGCCAGGATGGTCTCAATCTCCTGACCTCATGATCTGCCCACCTCAGCCTCCCAAAGTGCTGGGATTACAGGCGTGAGCCACCGCGCCCGGCCTAGAAAGAAATTATACTCCCTGTTCTCCCACCGCAAGCCTTGCACTTGGGTGTACACACCCATACACAGGTACGTGCACACACATCTGGAAAGATGGTACGAGATTGTGATAAGAACACAATCTCTGTAGTCAGACCCTTTGGGCTCAGGTCCCAGGTCTGCCATTTATGAACAGGATGACCTTGGACAAGTTACTTCACCTTTCTGAACTGCAATTTTCTTATAGGTAAGATGGGATGATAATAGCCCCCACCTCACAGAGCTTGTTGTGAGGATCAATGAGGATAATGTAAAGTGTCATAAAAAATGGAAAGGGGTACTGCTACCAATAGAGCAGCTGGGAGTTAGGTGAACATGAATATTTTGAGTTTGCTCTGCCCGGGAGTCAGTGAAGACAGGAAAAGAACATGTGTGCATTCCTACTCTGCACAGACAGGGATTGATGGATGATGCTGTCGCTGGAAATATTTCTGTAGAGTAAGTTGCTAAACTTTCAGAGAGAAACCAGTGGGAAGCCAGGGAAGATTTCCTTAAAAGAGATGATTCTGAAGAATACCCGAGATGCCTGAGGTCTCAGTGCTTATCCTCACTTTTTAAAAACCCAAATGCCTCAGTTATCTCTGACACCTTTAAAGATGCTAGTACTGTACTATATCATGACTTGTCTTTCTGATCTCTGTTGTATGATCTATGTGTGCTCTTGGATTTCTGCCCAGCCATGTCATTGTTGATGTCTGTACCCATCAGTTGTATAGCCAGTAGTTCTCTTTGTGAGGATTGCAGCCCCATGCCACAAGCAATTATAACAAATATCAAAACACTTTGAGTCATTATGCTCCTTAGGTCAAGGGGCTGGGTCAAACAGAGCCAAAGGACATTTTCAGGAGCCCTATTTCTTCAGCTGATTTCTCTTCTGTTCTCCCTAACTCCTTGTGTATTCCAGCCATAATTCCTGCTGAACTTGGCTTAATATTTTGATCTTAGTTTTCATCCTGGTGGCCCAAACCTATGAACCATTCTTTTTTCTTATGATATGGAGACTTAACACCTTTGTTGAACATTTTCACAGCAGCCTTTCAGGGTTGGCCACACCACTCAGCAGCACTCTGCTCGTTCTGGGGCAGCCTTCAGGACATGGTATACAGAACGGGAAGAAAACTGACATTCTAGTCTTCTTTATGCTACCAAGTAACTGTGTGACCTTGGGTGAGTTGCCTTACCACTCTCGCCCTCAATTTGTTCATCTGTTAAAATTCTGGGCTGGATCCACGCCTTCTTGCTCTAAAGTTCTGTGATTTATATGTTTTGCCACAGTGAATGGGAAAAAAAAATCCCTGACCTTTGAATTCCTCCAAGGTCCCATCCTTCCTGTGGCCTTCCTGTAGTCTGTTTCTTGTGAACTATTAAAGAGTTAATTTCTCGCTCGTGGTCAGCAGATAGGCTTTGCTTGTGGTCATGTAGGGATGCAGGCACCTTTCCTCTCATGGCTGTGCCTTCTCTAGGTCCAAAGGGGGAAAGAGATTGGGAATGAAACAGTATTGGTTTCTACGGGTCAGGCTGGAACAAAGTATACATGACTTTGCTCCCTTTCCATTGGCTGTGATTTAGTCACATGATGACCTCTCATGGCAAGGGAGGCTGGAAAATGAAATCTGATTGTCTGAAGGAAGAGGACATGGCCACGGGGAGCACCAGCAGTGTGGGAAACCTAGGCACAGCTTGCCTTGAGGCAGAGGCTGGCATGGATCGCCTCTGGGAAGCATACAGATCTCTTTCTGCACAGAGGTTCTCACATACCAGTTTAAGCCAGGGAGTCAGTTGACTGTAATGAAAAATATGTTCATTCAGCAAATAGTTGTTAACATCACATTTGCACCAGGAACTATGAATACACTAAAAATGAATAATTCATAGTCCGAGGCCTCAGGGAGCTCAGTCTAGCAGATGAGCTAAGACAAAAACAATTGTCATCTGCAGTAGTATGTACATACTATAATGCGTACATGTAACCAGTATAGGAGAGAGACAATGTATTATAGGATTTCTAGAATGGAGAATTATAGTGTTTGATGCATGCCTTGGAAAACAGGAAGGAGTCCTACAGAGGGATACATGATTGGGAAAGAGGTGAGCGGAGTTGGGGAGAGATGACAAGATGTAATGCCGTGGTGGAAGGATGAGAGTTAGCAGACCTGGAAGAGTTTAGACTGCGTTTGTTATAAAATGAGTGCCACTGACAGTCTTGAGCATTTGAGCCTGTGGGCTTTAGAGGAAAAAGTGATCTCTGGACACATATCATATTCTCCACCCTTGGCCCAGAGCCTTGCCCTGCAAAGGCTAACCTGGTTCTGGAAGGAACAGGAGAAAATTGTGGATGACTTAGACTCCTGGAAAATCAAACCAAACCCAGGTCCACAAAAGGGGCGGTGGTGGAGAGGGATGGAGAGGTACTACGGGTGATCTACGGACATCGCCTCTCCTGGAGACCCACACTTTGGGGAGAGTAAACATTCACTGACCTCTAGTGGTCAAAATGGCGCCCAAGCGGTCCCACAAGCCCGGCTGCAAATGATAGCTGTTGGGGAAGAAATTGCTTAGATTAAATCCTCGCTTCTTTCCAGACTTTCCTTTTTCAGCCTCCATGGGCTTTCCCCCTTCATCTAAATAAATCTCTCCACCACTCACCGTCCCAACAAGGGTGCCTGGCCCAAGCTGGGGCGCTTCAGGAATGAAGGAGACAAATGGTGCCCATCCCGTCTCAGTGTGGGCCACAGCCTGCTGGTGCTATTCTTGCTTCATGAAGCTTCCTGGCTGTCAGTGGATAGCAATGCATATATTAAAACTCGGTATCCTACTCAAGGTTAAATTTTATTAGATTGTGAAGTGGGGTCAAGTTTTCTAATAATAATCACTAATGCTTAAGGAGCACTATAAGCCAGATGCCATTCTAAGCACTTTATATTGATTGATTGATTGAGACAGAGTCTTACTCTATTGCCCAGGCTGGAGTGCAGTGGCACAATCATAGCTCACTACAGCCTCCAACTCCTGGGCTCAAACAATCCTCCCACCTCAGCCTCCCGTGTAGCCAAGACTACAGGCGCGCACCAACACGTCTGGCTAATTTTTCACAATTTTTGTAGAGATAGAGTATCCCTATGTTGTTCAGGCTGGTTTCAATTGATCCTCCTGCCTTGACCTCACAAAGAATTGGGATTATAGTTATGAGCCACCATAGCCGGTCCTCAGTACTTTACATATGTGTGTGTGTGTGTGTAGTAAATATATATATATATATATGTTTACTTCTTATAAAAACTCTTAGAAGTAGGCACTGTTGTCTTCTCTCATTTTAAAGATGAGGAAATTGAGGCATGAAGGGGTTAAGTAACCAGCTCAAGATCACAAAGCTAGGCGGTATAACTGCAGAGCTTGTGCTTTTAGTGCAGGATATCGTCCCAGGGCCATCTTGGACAAGCCATGCAACACTGACATTTCCAAGGACCCGAGCTTCAGATTCTTCATCTGCCATGTGAAGGGGCTGGACTAGGAGCAGAGGTTTCAGACTTTTCTTAGAGGTGGATCAAACATACACAACAGATAACAGGGCACTTGCTGGAGTTAAAGCCGGGACCCAATAACCCTACTCACTTTTCCTCTCCTCCCCAGCTGCTTTGGTTCTTAAACTCTTGGGAAACATCTCAGGACTCCAAGGAACTACTGGTACTTATTAGCATGTCTTGTATTTCAGGCATTGTATTAGGTGTTTTAGAAATATCACACACTTAATCCTCACAACCGTCTCATGAGGGAGCTGTTATTATGCTCATTTTACAGATGAGTAAACCAAAGCACAGAGAGAATGAAACAGCCCAAAGTCACAGAGCTAGCAAGCAGCAAAGCTGGAACGCGAAGGCCGGACCTTTTCACAGCCCCTCTGACAGCAAGAACTGTGCTGGAAATCAGTATATTGGAGTCTGGTTCCAAGCATACTCCTCAGTCACAGTGCCAGGGAAGGAGAAGGTGAAGATGATCCCTCCTGCTGGGAGTGGGGGAAGCTGAGTAGAGGTAAGCTTACAGCTGGTACCAGGACCCACTGGGGCAACCCTGGCCCAGCTCAGGCCACCTCAAGCACATAGCTAATCACCAGAGCCAGAGCCACCTCTGCCTTGCAGAAGGTGTAGGTCAAAGGAAACCGTCGTGATTTAAGCTTTTACTCTCAGCTTTCTTTCTAGTGTCTGGCACCCACACCTAGGAGGCAATAGAAGCAGAAGTGTGTGCCACCAGCCCAGACATGAGCCGCCTCTAGGAGGAAGCAGCAAGCCCTTGCTGGGCAGGGCTGTGGGCTGAGTCCACGTCACTCAGCCTCCTTGGTGGCTGCTTATCTCAAACTGGCAGTGAAGGAGAAATTGTTGGTTAGGGGCCCCTGGGAGGCTTTCTTTTTTGCAAGCATGTGTTTGTTCTCAAGTTTGTGGTGGTTGCTCTAAATCCAGAGTCTAGACAGAAAAATGATATCAACAGGTCCTCAGCGCCCTCTCCCAGTTTAAAAAAGACCTTTGAAGCACGGCATCTTGGTAAAAGAGAATCAGAAGGTCCGTGTTTTAGTCCTAGCTCTGCTCTTACTGGCTGTATGACCTTGGGTTAAGCTCATTCCCTCTCTGGACTTAGAGAGGGGAAGCGACTTACTAAGTTCACCCAGCAAGCTATGACACAGTAGCACTTAAAGCTCAGCCCCTGCTCCTTTCTCCGGCACCATGGAATGGATGGATTCGTTAAATCACCGGATTTATTCACAGAGTTAACAGACATTTACTAAGCTCTCCCTCTGTGCCAGGGACTGTGCTAGGAACCGGGAATCCTGTCATGAACAAACACACTCCAAACTGGAGGGGAAATCTGAAACCATCTAGTCCTTTGCACTCCATTTAAGGATGAAGAAAGTAAGGCCGAGAGGGGGAAGCAGAGTGACCTGCTCAAGGTCACAGAGAAGGTGACGTGGTGTACAACGACCTTGACGGCATGCTGACCATGAAGACAAACTGCAGAGATTGATGTGGTACATTTAGCTGAATTTTGTGACTGAGGGCTGTTAAAGAACGAGAAGAGAGGAGAGAAAGCCTTATTTGGAGGCCTAGAAGTCACAGACTGAGACGTCAATGCCAAATCTTTCATTTCCCACTGTGGCTTTTTGTTCTCTCTCTAGGAATAGCAAGAATTTTGTACATAGCTGGGAATGAAAGCGAGGAAAATGGTACCGGGATAAAGTTTGAGAAAACTATTTCCTTGTAAAGTCCGTGCTCCAACACTGGCCGTGTGCCAAACAGAGAAGTGCCCCTGCATGCTTTTCTGACCGTCTCAACTTGATGAATCTGAGGATGTATCCAAGGATGGCGGATCATGAGACTCACAGTCCAAAGGCGTGTCAGATCCCAGACTGCTTCGTGATCACAAGAAACACATTGCCAACTGAGTTTTGATGACACTTATTTTTCCTCCTGTGAAACCTGAGCATTCCAGTTAAAGACTGGAAGCATGCTAATTTTGTGTGAACTGAATTATGGGTTATTATAAAGCTCACCATTTCAAGTGAGTCTGAGTCTATTGTTAACCAGAATATCATTCGCTCATTTGTCTTTTCAGTAAGTTTTGATTTTAAATTTTATATCAGATTTTTTTAGTGTCTGACTTATTAAATATGACCATCGTTGAACATAAACTCTAAGATAAATCCAAAGAGGCAGGGAATAAAATTTGAATTCACTCTTTATGGGCTATATACATAGATACTGTCTTCATCATTTACTTACTCAGTCACCAGTGAAGAAACAAAAATAAATAAGAAAGGGTTCTTGTCTTTGAGGAATTTGCAGTCTAGTGGAGGAAACAGTTGCATGAAGAGAATATTTGAGTATAATGCAATGCATGCTCTTACAAAAATATACTGAAAGTGCAATGGTGAAGGCTATACTTTTAAGAAAAGATGAAGCACTTCCACTTTCCTATACCATAAGCCCCTACAAAAAGAGAATGTATTTCATGCCAGCTCATATAATGGAAACATAAGGCCCAGAGCAATTGTGCTCACTAAAGCAAGAATTAGGAGATCCACCGTCCTGAGCACTTTTCCACACAACCTCCAACAGCCCAGCCCGCTTCCCCTGAAAAGCCTGAGCTCAGACAGGCCAGTGCTCCTCCAGGACTTGGGCATCCCCTGAAGGTGATGGGCCTCAGCCCAGTGAACTGCTGGGACTGGCGGCTTCGGAGATCTCCTGGCTGGGAAAGAAGAGGGAGAGGATTGAGCCCCTGCTAAGTCACTCAATGACTTTTTCTTATCAGTATTTGTCCAGGTTCCTGGATGGAGGTCACCTGCCCTGAACACTAAACTCAGAGAGGTGAGGATGGTCTCTTGAAGGGCAAGAGTACTCAAAAAACTAGCAGAACTGGGAAACCAGAAAATTGGGGTGCAGAAGGAAATAGGGTGGAGAGAAGAGGGAGTCAGGCTAATGCGGGGAGTTTATAGTTTCTAGATCTAGTCAGATCCCACCTGGTGGAGGTGCAGACTTCACCAGCCTTACGTCCACCACGAGGGAGGAGCATGTGTCGGCCCTGAGCATTCATGTCCCAGCCAGACCACAGCTGAGTCTCAGGCTGAATCCATCTGTGGAGATTGGCCCCAGGGTGACCTTGGCCTCTTTCAAAACCTGTTCAGTCAGGCCAAGGATGGGAGGAATGGCAGAAGGCCAGATGGCAGGGGTTGAAGCTGGGGTGGGTGCCACGGCTGATGGGTTCAGGGCCCCTGGCTGGACTTCTGTCCTCATCCTTGTCAAACATTCCTGCTTGTGGCTGGCAGGAAGAAGTGGCGGCTGTGGAGAATTAGTAATGAGATACGGAGTCATTCACCTCCAGGTCACTAGTTCAAAACCAGGTCACCAGTGAGGCAAAGTTCCAACCAAGGGGGCAGGGTGGGGGTTTCATCTGAGTGGCTTGAAGGCAGATATTTGCCCTCCCGGAAGACAGCTCAGGCAGGTCAGCGGGGGCCACAGGGCAAGGAGCTCTGTCCCGCTGACATGAGATGCAGGTCTGGAGAGGCCTCCATGGCCTTCTGGCTCCATTCTCTCCAAGACCTCCCTCCTCTGCCCCCAGGCCAGGTCACACATTCAAGTCAAAAGAACCCAGGTAGGTAGCAGTTACTCAGATAATCTGGTGATAGCCCTGTTTACTTAGAAATTTCTGCTCTCTGAGGGCAGAGGCGGTATCTCTCTAGCACATATTTTATTATTATTTTTGGCCTTATCATTATCTAAATTTATTTATTTACTTGTTTGTTTACTTGTCTACCACCTGAACCCTACCACTATTATTACTTAAGCTCTTTAAAAATGGAGACCCCATGTACGCCTGCCACTTTTTAGGTGCTTAAGAATTACTAATTAAATGAATGAGTCCATAAAAAAAGAATGAATTCCTGGTGCCTGCCTCCCACTGTCTGGCAGACAGGATGTGCTCAAAGATATTTGCTGAATAAATAGATGAACAAATAAATGGATGGATCACGGAATGAAAGTTTTGAGAAATAATCAGTTTCCAGCACGCCAATGATAACATTTTTACAGATAGAGAATTAGGAAGTTTTTCTTTTCTTTTTTTTTTTTTTTTTTGAGACGGAGTTTCGCTCTTGTCACCCAGGCTGGAGTGCAATGGTGCGATCTCCGCTCACTACAACCTCCACCTCCCGGGTTCAAGCGATTCTCTTGCCTCAGCCTTCTGAATAGCTGGGATTACAGGCGCATGCCACCATGGCCGGCTAATTTTTGTATTTTTAGTAGAGACAGGGTTTCCCCATGTTGGCCAGGCCGGTCTTGAACTCCTGACCTCGTAATTCACCCGCCTCAGCCTCTCAAAGTGCTGGGATTACAGGCGCGAGCCACCGCACGTGGCCAGGAAGTTTTTCTTAACACCAACCTAAAGTCTCCAAACCCAAAGCAGAGTGCTTGGCTCACATTAGGTGCTTGGAAAATGTTTCTTGAGTGGATGAATGCTAAGTGGATGAGTAAATGGATGGATGGATGGACGGACGGATGGATGGATGGAGCAAACAAATAAGACTAGCATGCATGATGAAGCAAAACCCAAAACAAGTTATGAAAATTAATTTTTTTCCTCTTTATCCAAAATGATAGCCTTTTGGTTCCCTCTCTTCATAACTATAGATCTGGAATTTTCTCATGCATTCAGTTTCTACCTAGTTAAGTTTATTCAATCATTCATTCATTTGTTTAGCCAACACTTGCTGATATGGTTTGGCTGTGTCCCAATCCAAATCTCAACTTGAATTGATCTCCCAGAATTCCCATGTGTTGTGGGAGGGACCCAGGGGGAGGTAATGGAATCACGGGGGCCGGTCTTTCCTGTGCTATTCTCGTTATAGTTAATAAGTCTCACGAGATCTGAAAGCAAGGGTTTCTGCTTTTGCTTCTTCCTCATTTTTCTCTTTCCGCTGCCATGTAAGAAGTGCCTTTTGCCTCCCACTATCATTCTGAGGCCTTCCCACCCATGTGGAACTGTAAGTCCAACTAAACCTCTTTTTCTTCCCGGTCTCAGGTATGTCTTTATCAGTAGCGTGAAAACGGACTAATACACTCAGTGAGTGTGTTCAATGTGCCAGGTACATACAAGGGTGAGTGAGAGAGAGCCCAGCCCTGTGTCCAGAGGTGGAGTCAAGTTCACACTTGTGTCCATGCCAGTCACTATGCCACGGGTTACAACAACGAGTAAGGCAGCCTGGTGGTGTTTTGGTGGTGCTGTCTGCCTTAGATTACAAAAATCTACTCAGTTAGATATAGCAGCAGAACTTAGTCATGAATCAGGACTGACATGTAATCAAAATTGTAGATGGGCTGGGCATGGTGGCTCATGCCTGTAATCCCAGCACTTTGGGAGGCCAAGGCAGGTGGATCACTTGAGGTCAGGAGTGGAGACCAGCCTGGCCGACATGGTGAAACCCCATCTCTACTAAAAATATAGAAATTAGCTTGGCTTCATGGCCTATCCCTGTAATCCCAGCTACTCGTGAGGTTGAGGCACGAGAATCACTTGAACACAGGAGGCGGGGGCTGCAATGAGCCAAGATCGCACCTCTGCACTCCAGCCTGGGTGGGCAACAGAGCAAGACTCTGTCTCAAAATCAATCAATAAATAAGTTGTAGATGGACTGTTTTAAATCTCTTTTCCACGTATTGTGGCTCACCTAGCACCTCTGACAATTAGTGGCTACGTGGAGATTTTTAACAATAAGACTGCTTACGACACCCACAGAGGTCATAATTTCAAACTATACTTCTCTTGGCAAGAATCAAGTAGTCTCGCAATCCAAGAAGTTTGCTATAGCATTAATGAGTAACCACTATGTGCCAGGGATTGTGCTAAGGGTTGGGGATGGTACATAAAACCCTGTGTTGGCCTCTAGAAGATCTGAATCTAGTCGAAACATAAAAACAGAGACCGTGCAATGTAATAACGATCACAAACAAGGAATATTCAAATGCAATGGCAGCATAGGAGAGAACTTGATTGATTGTATTTTGGGAAGTTGGAGTGGGTTTTACAGACGAGTTAATATTTGAGGTTTGCTTTGGCCAGAGAATAAAAGTTTGTGAAAGGGAAAACAAAGACCCTTTGGGAGAAGGGCATGGCATAGCCTAAGTTTGACAGTTGTAGATGTATGAAAATTTGTAGAACCATGAGTTGTCTGTGTGACTAGAACGTAGCATGTGCAGAAGAGAGAGATGGAAATGGAACTGGAAACACAGGTATGAACCAGACTGTTTTCTTTTTTCTTTTTGGAGATGGAGTTTCGCTCTTGTTGCCCAGGATGGAGGGTAATGGCGCGATCTCGGCTTACCGCAACCTCTGCCTCCCGGGTTCAAGTGATTCTCCTGCCTCAGCCTCCTGAGTAGCTGGAATTACAGGCATGCACCACCACGCCTCGCTAATTTTTGTATTTTTGGTAGAGATGGGGTTTCTTCATGTTGGTCAGGCTGGTCTCGAACTCCCGACCACAGGTGATCCGCCCACCTTGGCCTCCCAAAGTGCTGGGATTACGGGCGTGAGCCACCACACCTGACTGTTTTCTAAAGGCAATGCTGAAGAGCTTAGTTGTAATGCCCAGGTAATAGGGGGTCATCAAATTAGGATTTTTGACCACTTACGTCAGGGGGTTAGGTCTCCATTTCCTACAATATGGCAGCTTAGATGACCTAACAACTCTCCTACAAATGCTGAACAAATGATAATGTACATTTTTCTAAATGCAAAGCTGAACTCACAAGAAAATAAGGAAGACCTCCTGGAGGGAAAACAAGCAAGAACTGAAAACAAGTGCCGTCAGTGAATGGAATGAGGTGAGGCAACTCAGGGTGTTGGGACAAGTACTGGGGGGATTAGGTTTTTAGGCATTTCTAATTGTACATTTAAAACGTGTAGAATGGGGCCGGGTGCAGTGGCTTACACCTGTAATCTCAGCACTTTGGGAGGCCAAGGCGGGCGGATCACGAGGTCAGGAGATCGAGACCATCCTGGCTAACACGGTGAAACCCCGTCTCTACTAAAAATACAAAAAAATTAGCCGGTCGTGGTTGCAGGTGCCTGTAGTCCCAGCTACTCAGGAGGCTGAGGCAGGAGAATGGCGTGAATCCGGGAGGTGGAGCTTGCAGTGAGCCGAGATCGCGCCACTGCACTCCAGCCTGGGTGACAGTGCGAGACTCTGTCTCAAAAAAAAAAAAAAAAAAAAATGTGTAGAATGGGTTTTTCAGATCCGCAGGAATATTGACTATGGGGCCTGTGCCTGTGCTGGGTGGAGAGTTGAAATTAGGCCTTCACGTAAAACCAGGAAAGATTTGTAAGGAAGGAAACACTCTACTCACCTACAGAGAAGAAGCTTTTGACTGTTGAGACTGAGCTATGAGTAGAAGGGAAAAAAATGTTCCTGAAATTTCATAACCATGTGACCAGCTTCCTGAGAGTCAGAGGTTTGCATTTACCTTACTTGAATGGTCTGGGAGTCCCTAAGTCAACAAAATAATGAGAAGTCCTCTTTGGTGGATGATACTACTGGGGCCCCAATAAGAATCATCCACAAAATGGACCTGGTAGGACTCAAGCTTAATGCATTTCTCTCAGAATTCTCACTGCCAAAGTGGTGAATTTTCAATTCTGAAGTTATAGTCAGAATTGAGTCTTACAATTATAGAATTGTGAGTTCTACAAGAGTAGTCTCAGCCGGGCATGGTGGCTGGCGCCTGTAATTCCAGCACTTTCAGAGGCCAAAGCAGGCAGATCCCTTGAGCTCAGGAGTTCGAAACTAGCCTTGGCAACAAGGTGAGAACCTGTCTCTACAAAAAATACAAACAATTAGCTGGATGTGGTGGTGTGCACCTGTAGTGACAGCTGCTTGGGAGGCCGAGGCAAGAGGATCACCTGAGCCTGGGGGCTTGAGCCTAGGTGACAGAGTAAGACACTGCCTCAAAAAAAAAAAAAAATAGTAGTCTCACAGAATAGTCTCATAACCTGCTGTCAGCAAACGTCAGCAGGTACAACAGGCAACAGGTGTAGACTACTAAGAATCAGAAAATAGAGCTATTGAAGAGAGACAATAGCTTAGTATTTTTTTTTAAAGTTAAAGATATATAAAGAAAAAATGGAAAAAATAAAAACCGTAAGACACTATGAATGAAACCCAGACAGATTTGAAAAACAAATAGAACTTAGAAGAAAAGTGTGGTAATTGATGAGGCTTACATATAACTGTAGTGAGAATATAAGAGCTGGAAGATTTGAGAAAACTGCCCAAAATACAACACGGAGACAAAAAGAGACAGAAAAGACAAAAGCAAGATTAAGAGACGTGAAGGACAGAATGAAGGTAAATGTATTACTAATAGAAATTTCAGGAGGAGAACATTAAGAGAATGAGGAGAGGAACTAATCAAAGAGAAAATGGCTAAGAATTTTCCAGAATCTATGAAAGAAATGAATCTTCAGGGCAGGAAATGAGTCCTGAGAAAAATCAATGAATGAAATCAGTACCAGGTCACATCACAGAGAAACTCTTAAAAACGCAAAATAAAGATATTTTTAAAACAACTAGAGAGATGTGTGGATTGCCTGTAAAGCAACTAACTGACTTTTCAAAAGCAATGATGGAAGCCAGAAGCCCATGGAATGATATTTTTAAAGCGTTGAGAGAAAATAACTGTCTGCCTTCATTTTTACCTCTTTTAACTGTCATTTTAAAATGAGGGGAAATAAAGATATTTTTACACAATGACCAGGAGAATTTACCATTCAAGGACCCTTGTGGGAAAAATATTCTAGACTATGGACTTCAGGATAGAAAAAATTGAACCCCAAGGGAGGTGAAGGCAAAAAGGAAGAACAATCAAGGAAGCTGATAAACAAGTAGGCAAAGTCAGAAATTCATCCACTGCTCAAAATCACCATAAGCCGGGCATGGTGGCTCACACCTGTAATCCCAGCACTTTGGGAGGCCAAGGAAGGCAGAGCTCTTGAGCCCAGGAGTTTAAGACCAGCCTGGGCACCATAGCAAGACCTCGTCTCTACTAAAAGTAAAATTAGCTGGGCACAGTGATGTACGCCTGTAGTCCCAGTTTCTTGAGAGTCTGAGGTGGGAGGATCAGCTGAGTCCAGGAGGTCGAGACTGCAGTGAGCCATGATCATGCCACTGCACTCCAACCTGGGTGACAAAGCAAGATCCTGTCTCAAAAAGAGAAAACAAAACAAAACACCCCCAAACAACTATAATGACAATAATAACAAAATTGGGGGGTGTAAATATAAGGTGGGCCAGGCACAGTGGCTCACGCCTGTAACCCAGCACTTTGGGAGGCTGAGGAGGGTGGATCATGAGGTCAGGAGATTGAGATCATCCTGGCCAACATGGTGAAACCCAATCTCTACTAAAAAAAAAAAAAAAAAATACAAAAATTAGCTGAGTGTGGTGGCACGTGCCTGTAATCCTAGCTACTTGGGAGGCTGAGGCAGGAGAATGGCTTGAACCCGGGAGACAGCGGTACAGTGAGCCGAGATTGTGCCACTGCACTCCAGCCTGGCAACAGAGCCAGGCTCTGTCTCAAAAAAAAAAAAAAGAAAAAGAAAAACAAACCAAACAAAAATAAGGTGGAACGATCTAAAACGCTGCATGGCGATAACACATGTGATGGGTTACAATGTCTAAATTCCGTCTATTATTTGTGAAGAGAGCAGTAACATTAACTTTAGACTTTAGGTCAAATGTGCTTGACAAAAGTTTAGGGCTCACCACTAAAACACTGGAAATAGAGTGTGTAATTTCCAAATTAATAGAGGGAAAAGGGGAAAATAAAGAAAACTTGATGAAACCGAAAGAAGGCAGGAAAGGAGGAAGAAAAGGCATTAGAAAGCATAGTAAATAGAAACTACAAAAAGAAATGGTGGAAATAAATCCAAATATATTAGGAAACAATAAATGTAAGTGAATTAGACTCACTAGTTAAAAAATGATTGCCAGGTTCAATTTTTTTTAATAAAAAGAAAACTTGCTTATGCTGTTTTAAAAATACATACCTAAGACAAAAGGACACAACAAAAAGGCTGAAAGCAAAAGGATAAAAAGAGATATACCAGGCAAGTAAGAGTCAAAACAAAGTGTAGCTATAATAACTGTAGCAGAAAAAAAGTCTGAGGCAAAAAGTGATCATTATATAATGATGAAAGGATCAATTTATAAGAAAGATATAACAAATGCAAATTGTATTTATCTATTATAGACTTTAAAAATGTATAAGACAAAATTTGAATGAATTACAAGGAGAAAATTTTGAATCTTTATAGGAGATTTAAAAACACACCTTTCTGGTATGTTCAAATCGCATAAAAATTGGCATGAATTTACAAGATTTGAATGACACAATGAACAAGATTGATCAATCTTGTATTCAACAATTGAAGACTGTACATTTTTCTCAAATGCACAAGAAATATTTGAAAAATTAACAAGTTACTAAACCACAAAGCAAGTCTTAACAAACACCAAAAAATAAATACCATATAGTTCACCTTCTCTGATCAAAATCTAATTAAGATAGACATGAACAACAACCAAAAAAGTGACTTTAAAAGAAAACAACACCAAATGTTTAGAATTTAAAACATTTCTAATTAACTCGTGGATCACAAAAAAAAGTATAATAGCAATAAATAAATATTCAGACAGAACAAAATTTAAAATCCTACATAAAACTGGAGGAATATAAGGTACAGAGAACAGTGGTTCTGAATAGGGGGACTTTTGCTGCTCAGGGGACATTTGGCAGGTCTAGGGGCATTTTTGGTTGTCACAACTACGGGCAGCTGTTACTACCATCTAGCAGGTAAAGGCCAGAAATGCTGCCATCCCTACAGTGCATAGGACAGCCCCCTACAATAAAGAATTATCGGCCGGGCGCGGTGGCTCACGCCTGTAATCCCAGCACTTTGGGAGGCCGAGATGGGCGGATCACGAGGTCAGGAGATCGAGACCATCCCAGCTAACACGGTGAAACCCCGTGTCTACTAAAAATACAAAAAAATTAGCCAGGCGTGGGGGCGGGCGCCTGTAGTCCCAGCTACTCGGGAGGCTGAGGCAGGAGAATGGTGTGAACCCGGGAGGCGGAGCTTGCAGTGAGCCGAGATGGCGCCCCTGCACTCCAGCCTGGGCGACAGAGCCAGACTCCGTCTCAAAAAAAAAAAAAAAAAAAAAAAAAAAGAATTATCTGGCCCCAAATGGTGACGGTGCGTAGGTTAAGAAACCTTGACTTAAAGAAAAAGTTATGATCCTAAATATTATATTAGAAAAGAAGAATGATAACTATGCCGGCGAGGTTGAGGATGGATTAGAAAAGGGAGCCCGTTGGCAGAGAAAATTAGTAGGCTATTGTAATAATTAAGACAATAATGAGGACGTAGCCTAAGGCTTTGGCAACAGAAATAGAGAAAGAAAAGAGATTCAGGGTAAAATGGACAAGATTTGGAGATAAATGAGGCAGAGAAACTAGTAAAAACAGAAATGGCTCAGTAGAGACACTCCAGGGTGGGAACAAACCACATAGCTTCACAGATGCATTAGTGTGCCACGGTAGACCACGGGGGCTGGTCCTGATGGGCACCCGCAAGCAGTGCGCCCCAGGGAACAGGGCATCAATGCGGTGTGGGCTCCTGCGGAGTCCAAGAGCCTGCCCGAACTGCAGCGGTGCCCCAGAGAAAAAAATGAGGTTAAGGCCGTGTCCAGGGAGGTGGGAAGATGCAGTGACGCGGGCTCTAGAGACAGGATGCAGTGAAGAGAGGGGAGGGCATTCTTTGTGAATTCTCAGGCACGAGATCACCTGAGGTGCGGGCGTGAATGGGCTTGGTCCCCAAATCCTTGCCTGGTTTACAGGGATACGATGCAAGTCACGGAAGAAGAGTTTCCAATTACACCATGGCGGAGAAGAAAGAAAGAAAATGACACAACCACACGTACCACAGCTCAGAGTTTCAAAGACCACGTTAAGGTGTGATTCAAACAGCCATTGTGCAGCTCAAGCACGTTCCAGACTCAAGTCTGTGTAAACAGAGTTATATTTACTAGCACAAGGCCTGAAATAGAAATCCCGCAGCAAGCTCCTCTCTCATTAACGGGGTCTCTTTCACACCCTAGGGGATACCCATGAGCGGGCTGTGTCAATTGTTAGTGCCAGAAACAGTGGCTGGTTGAGAATGCCTTTTCTTTCACATTTTACAGGGAAATTCACATGGAACCAGATTCAATAGTCTCGCGACATCCTTGTTAGAAACACTTAGATTTTTCTCTTTTTGGCAGTAGCTGGTCTCCATGAGTTGATGTTTGGTGTCAGAACAGCCTCAAACAGGTGGCTGAGGGAATTTGTAGGCTCGTTTAAAATCGTGCTTAAGATACTCACAAAAGCAACTTCTCTAGGCCGCTTTGAAGGTCCTGGGACATTTCTGATCTAAAGAGGTGTTTTGTGGTTTGTTTTGTTTTGTTTTGTTTTTTTCCTATCTAGATAAAAGATAATGTTAGTCAATGCAGCTGGCACTTTTTATTCATTTGTTTCCCATCAATCTCTGTCTTTCTGAAATAGACACAGATCTTTATTTGGTGTGTCAGTGTGTGGGAGAATGGCATGCAGACACAGGATAACAGGCACAGAGACAGTGCCTGGTCTATGTTCATGTGCTGTCCTCTGTTCAGTTGTCTCTCCTGTTCAACTGTCTCTGTGAACTAACAATATGTAGAACATCCCCTAAGTAAATGGTGGTGGTGGTCGTGAGGAGAAGAGAAAGCAGAGAGAAAGACCAAGCGATGTAGGGCAAGAGAGATTAAAGATAAAGAGAGGAAGAGACAGGGAGAATGGCAGGAAGGAGAGGAATGAGTGGGGCCATTTTCCACTGCTCTTAGCCGGCAGTTTCTGGGCTTTCAGTCTGCGTGTGGACAAGACATGTCCGTGTCTCTGAGAATGGATCTACCTGGTTTCCTGGGTCTGCTCCTATTTGGGGCCTTAGGGTTATGAGGGAGGAGTGGAAGGAAAAGGCGATGGCAGCTTTAGTTTCAATGGGTGCAGAGCTGGGATGGTGGAGGGAGGCTGATATCACTGCCCGCCTGGCACTGGGCACTTTTCTTACTCTACCAAGGGTCAGGAAGGGAAATTGGTGGGACTTGTACAGACTGGCTGAAATGTTTGTGGGCTGAAGTGATTGTTAGATTTCAACTTTAAGATGTTAGCCTATTTGAAAGTTTCTTTGCCTACAAAGATGAATTTCTTAGCACTCTTCCAGGAAAAACAAAGCTGTTACAATGAAAAATTTCTCTTTTATCTTGTGGAAGAATTCTTTATGAATACCTCCCTGTATATCATAGTACCTTATGTTTATTTAAGTTATTTTCACAGCTGCAATGTCGTCTGGTTCTGTAAGGAAGTTAAAGGTATACTGTATCTCTCTTTCTAGCCCTAGGACATAGGTATGCTTCCTTCTTTCTGATGATAAGAATTATGTAATTGGTCATTTCTTATTACTTTGGTTACCAGGAAGCTCAGAACCAAATTTGTAGCACAAACATCACTTATTCTATTTGTTCCTTGTGTTGATTTTTCCCTGGGTCTGTTTTTCATTTGTTTCAAAGTATACATTGCCATTCTATTCTGAGTTTAATAAGAAATTAATTGCATTCATTTAACAAATATTTATTTGTTACCGAAACACCAGGGGTTTGGTCTAGGTCCTGCTGCTTACTGCACAGAAAGCCAATAACTGAGACGATTATTGCCAAGGAAGAAGGCTTTTGTCGGGTGCTGCAGCCAAGGAGATGGGAGCTCAGTCTCAAATCCATCTCTCTGACCAATTAAAATTAGGGGTTTTTATAGCAGGGAAGAAATGTAACAATGTGTCAGAAAACAAGAATTAGGAAGGGGTAAGGAAACAAAATGGGGGACCTGGTGTCATTGTCTTGATGTAGTTCTTTGATCTGGTGAGTTTTAGTTCTTTGATACTTTGAGAGGCCTGGGGGTCCTTTCCTGAGGAAGGAACTCAGATAAAACAAATGCAAGTTTCAAGCTTTAAGATCAGAAGGGTCCATTTTTATGTTTATCCAAAAGAACTGTCTGTGGGGCTGCTAGGTTGGTTTCATACTGATTCCCTCATTCTCTATTCTTCTCGGTTTTATTTATCTCCACATCCCTCAATACCATCTAAGTTATATCTCTTATTTATTATTTATTGTATACCCTCTCACTTCCTACCACTGTCAATAGAAATTAAGCTCCAGGGATGCTGGGTGCGGTGGCTCACACCTGTAATCCCAGCACTTTGGGAGGCCGAGGTGGGTGGATCACAGGGTCAGGAGATTGAGACTAGCCTGGCAACATGGTGAAACCCCGTCTCTACTAAAAATACAAAATTTAGCCAGGCATGGTGGTGGGCGCCTGTAGTCCCAGCTACTCAGGAGGCTGAGGCAGGGAAATCGCTTGAACCCGGGAGGCAGAGGTTGCAGTGAGCTGAGATTGCACCACTGCACTACAGCCTGGGTAACAGAGTGAGGCTCTGTCTCAAAAGAAAGAAAGAAAGAAAGAAATTAATTTAGCTCCGTGAAGGTAAGGACTCCACTGCACTCCAGCCTGGGTGACAGAGCGAGGCTCTGTCTCAAAAGGAAGGAAGGAAGGAAGGAAGGAAGGAGGGAGGGAGGGAGGGAGGGAGGGAAGGAAGGAAGGAAGGAAGGAAGGAAGGAAGGAAGGAAGGAAGGAAGGAAGGAAAGAAAGAAATGTAGCTCCGTGAAGGCAAGGACTTTTTCTCTTTTTTGTTCCATACTGTATTTCCAGAGTCTAGAGCAGAGCCTAGCATACTGCATGCAAAATACCTGTCGAGTGAAGGAATTACCTATTGTATGTCAAGTTCTGTGCTAAAAGATGGGAATCAGAGATGCAACCTGTGCAGTCTCACAGGGCCTCAAACTCAGTCCCCTCACTTAGCTTCACGCGCTGCTGTCACTATCATGAAATTCTTAATATGTTTTGAACAAGGAGCCCCACACTTCCATTTTGCACTGGGCTCAACAAATTCTGTGGCCAGTCCTAATGGAAACAGGGTTATTACTTTCAAGGAGGTTTTGATCTACTTGGAAAGGAATTATTAAAAAAGATACATATCCAGTGGCTCATGCCTGTAATCCTAGCACTTTGGGAGGCCAAGGCAGGCGGATCAGTTGAGGTCAGGAGTTCGAGACCACCCTGGCCAATGTGACAAAACACTGTCTCTACTAATACAAAAATTAGCTGGGTGTGGTGGCAGGCGCCTGTAGTCCCAGCTACTCAAGGAGACTGAAGCACGAGAATCACTTGAACCTGGGAGGCAGAAGTTGAAGTGAACTAAGTTTGTGCCATTGCTCTCCAGCTTGGACGACAGAGTGAAACTGTGTCTCAAAAAGAAAAAATATATCTATTTACCCTAAATATTTATTTTAACACAAACGATGTATATGTATGTATTTATATCTACATATCTACATGAATCTTTTGATGCAGAGCCAATGCCTTTTTCTTTGTCATCTTTCTTGTTTAAACCACACCCTTAACGCATCATCTATGATTTCCTGTTTTCATTTCTTTAAAGTGGAGAGAGAAGTTGAAGACACACTTGAAAAGTAATCTGACTGCAGAATTCTTCTTTAGTTTTATAATCCACTGCACAGTCTTTCGCAATTGTCTTACCCATTCCTAAATAAGTAGCAAGTTTTGATGCCTCACCTTTGTCGAGTCTGTCCAAATTATTCAATTTAGTTCTCATACAAACGAATACCATTTGCATTCACATTTCATTGGCTTACGTAATATTTAATTCTATTATGTAAGTTACAAAGATGTGTACAACTTTCAAGTTGATGGAAACAAATACAAATGACTCTTGATAAACCAAAACTGAACAAGAAAGAAGCAGAAATATTCAGACATATTAAAGAGTGGCCTCCCAGCCACCAGCAATCAAGATAAGGCGGACATCAATCAGTATGCCTCACAGAGAGGTGGAAAATGCTGATGAATCTGGGAAGCTGCTTAAGTATAGATTGGTTAAGAGATGTTTTATGGTAATTAATGGTATGAGAGCAGATAACAGGAAGATTGAGCTAGGTCAAGGAAATCACAGAAGGCTTTCCCGAGGAAGTAATGGCTGAGATAAACTCCAAAAAAAATAAAAGATAGAAGTTTCCTGGGGGAAAGAAGAGGAGTATTCTAGGCTACAGGAATAACATGTACAAAGGGCCCGTGGAAGGGTGGAGACTCGGCATATTCAGAGACCTAAAAGAAGGTGAGAATAACTGGAACTACAGGATGAGAAGAATCATGGGGCATGATGAGCTAGGGGAGTCAGGAGGGAAAACCTGACAGGCCTTGTGGACCTGCTAAAGATTTTGAGTTTTATGATGGGAGCAAGGAAAGCTACTGTCTTAGTTCATTTTGTGTTGCTGTCACAGAATACCCGAGACAGGGTAATTTATAAAGAAAAGAGATTTATTTGGCTCATGGTTCTGCAGGATGGGAAGTTCAAGATTAGGCATCTGGTGAGGGCCTCAGGCTCTTTCAATTCATGGTGGACAGCAGAAGGGGAGCCAGCAAAGAAATCACATGGTGAGAGAGGAAGCAAGAGAGTGAAACCGAGGAAAATAGATTCGTTTTAACAACCTGCTGTCTTGGGAACTAATCGGCCTTGCCAGAGTGAGAATTTACTCACTACCATGAGAATGGCACCAAACCATTTATGAAAGATGCACCTCCATAGCCCCAAACACCTCCCACTAAGCCCCACCTCTCAACACTGTCACACTGGGGCTCAAATTTCAACATGATAGTTGATGGAGACAAACTCAAACTCAAGGGTGTTTGAATATCCAAACCATGGCAGCTACTAAAGATTTTGAGTAGGAGTATAACATTATCAGATTTGTGATTCCTAAAGAACACTCTGGCTACAATGTGGAGAACAGATTACAAGGGAACAAGGTGAATTTGGAAGAGCAGCCATGGTCCAGGTAAGAGATGCTGTTAGCTGGACAAGGGTTGTGAGGATAGAAATGAAGAGGATACTTAGAACTTGGTGATAGATTCAATCCTGCGAAAAGAGATGGTTAATCAAGAATGATATCTAGATATCTGGCTTGTAAAACTGGGTGGATGATGTCACTGTTGATTGAAATAGGAAACACTGGAAAATAACTACGTTTTAGGAGGAAAAGTCCTGAGGTTTTGGAAATTTCAAGTTCTAAGTGCTCTTGAACATGTAAGTGGAAGAGTCAGGTTGGATTTAATTATGTAGGTATGGCAAAAGGAGAAAAGGTATTGACTAAAGATAAAAATTTACAAACTGTCTTTAAATGATAGAAACAGAAGTAAGGATTAGATTACCTACAATGAGAATCCAGAATGAGAAGATAATTTCTTAACCGAGTCTGATATTTAATTGATGGATAGAGGAAAAAGAGGCTGTAAATGGGAGAGGGAAGTAGCAGGCAAAAAGGTTGGAAGAGAACTAGGAGGCATTGGGTAGTGAGAGTCATGGAAATAGAGCATTCCAAGAAGGAAAGTCTCCCGAGAGTTTAAGTAAAATAAGGGCTGTAAATATCCTTTGGAATTAGCGACATGGAAGTTACTCATGACTTCAGTGAACGCTGTTTCCTGGAGTGATGCAATGGTAGTCAAACTGGAGTGGGTTGATTACAGAGTGGGGGAAAAAGGAGATGGAGCTCTGCAGATCCTTTCCCAGAGGAAAAAGGAAATAGATCTATTCTCTCTCTCTCTAATATATGTGCACTTCCTTATCTCTCCAGAAAGGACTTTCTGTATGACTTTCAGCAAGATATGTAATTTCTCTGAACCTCTTTTCTTAACAATAAAATAGGGATTTGTGAGTGCACGAGTATACAGACACAAATATGGAGATATATGTCTCCATATGTGAACATATATATATCTCTATCTGCCTATTATCTATCTGCATATATATGTATGTGTATGTGTGTATACACACACACACACAAATCCCTATCTTATTGTTGAGAAAACAAGTTCAGAAAAATTATACGATTTGATGAAAGTCATTTTTAAAACCTGTAGCCAGGCGATGACCATAGACCAGTCTTTCTGACTTGTCACAGGCAGCTCAGTACGGGGAAAAAGGGGTTGAATTAAAGAGCTCTGGAAAATCACTCATCTCCTCTGAGCCTTGGTTTCTTTAGCTTTGCTTCACTTGTTGTGAAAATTGCAGGAGATAACCATGTAAAGAACCTGACACTGGTAGCATTCAGGGAATGTTAGTTTCCACGTCCTCCTTCCCTCCTAACTTCCTTCTCTCCTTTTCCCCTTAATCCAAGAAGAGAGGAATAAAATGAAGGGAGAGAGAGGATATGGATATTAATTTTGAGAAAGGCTATGAGGGGAAAATCAGGCTAAAATCAGTTGGAGAGATGTAGGTTAGGTGAAACAAACAGCGTATTGGCTATCAGGGAACTGAGTGAATAGAATGGTGCATCAAGGAGAACTAGAAACTCTTTCCCTGGAAGTCTTTCAACTAAGGCAATCATTCCTTTTAGGGTACTTCAAGCCCTTTGTTCAGTGCCATTGTCTCTGGCTTTCAGAGGGGGTGATACATTAACAAGTCTGAGAACTTTGTAAGCAATTCTGAAATAAACTCTTCATTAGCATTTCAGAGGAACATCTAAATGCCACCACTAAAGTGCAGGCTTCCATGGCCTCCTCAAAGCACATTGGGCAGATTCTTGTAATGCCAGGTCATTAAGCTGAGTTTCCAAGGGTGACTGAGTGGGAATGAGGCCGCTCCCAACCATGTGCCCCACCTCTTCATTCTGTCAGGAGGAGAGTGCAGAAAATGCAGGTTATCCCAGGCACCAATGCCCAGTTGGCCTCTGCCTCAGCCCAAAGATGTTAAACCAATTTAGATGGCTAGAGTTGGCAAGGGCATTAACTTTTTCCAAGCTATTTTTCAGGCATCCTGTTATTTCTCTAGGAGCCCAGTTAAAGAAGAGAACAGTTTCTTGTCAGCCTGACCCAGCATATGTGTAGATTTATCTAAAGGTTGGGACTGAGGTGAGGGTGGAGGGTGAACGACTCTCAGATACTGCCCAACACAAGGGGCATAAAATTTGCAATTCTGTAGATTACATGTGGGTTCTTCTACGCAGTTGAGTTTTGTGGGCTTTTTTGTTTGTTTGTTTCCCATGAACCAGCCCCAGAAGTTGCAAATGCCATTCTACGTGCTTGAAGAAACTATTTCCAAATAATTCACTCAGCATCACGGTGCTGGCCAGTAGGTCTATGTCCTGCTACTATAGTTAGGGGAGGGTGTGTGTGTGTATGTTGGGGGGCACAGATCTGGAAGAAAAATAAAGCCAACTGGATATAGTCAGAATAAATTTGAGAGTGGAAGAGTTGTATGGCTGATCACACTCAGCTTGTGGAAAAGGTTAAATAAATAACCTTGAGATCTGAATAAAACAGAGGAAGCTCAAACCTCCCATCGTTTCAGGGGGGTTTCTACAATTCATGGACTTAGCTGTCTTCCAGGGTCCCCGTCTTCAAATAGCTGTTTTCTGTCTACCCTACACAAACACTTAGGTTAAAAGCATGTAATCCTTTTTTCCCCCAAAGATTGAATACTCAACCGTAGCATCTCTTTCCTTGGTGAGTTTTAGGCATCATCAAGTTTTCTTGGTGATGTTTTAGGTTCAACATTTGGTTTATAATTTAAATATCACCATCAAAAGATAATCTAGTGCGCTTACAAGCAGATAATGCTCAGCCTTCTTTTCTCATACAAGATTAGAGTTTAAAAACATCTTAGAGAATGTAGAACAATCTGAGCATCAAAATAAAAAAATACTAAAGGAATATAACCCATTAATAACTCCACATTAATATAAATAGATAAATACTTTAGGGAGAAGGAATAACACTTTTTTTTGCCATGGAAAGTCAACTAATAAATGTAGAAGAAATGATGAAATTAGAAAATTACCATTTGGCAACCATCATAATAATAATTGGATTAGGCAGGAAACATCAATAGATCATAAAACTTTGAGGCATGCTTTTATATCATCTGAAAGTGTCTTCCCATAAGTCACTTGCTTACAATGGGGGAAAATGTCACTTTACAATGGGGAAACCTGGCAGACAACTTCTCAACTGAGCAATCAAAGTTACCATCACCAATAATGAGATATTCCTTGACTGTTGATATGAAGCACTAAGGAGAACATATCATTTCTTGAGGTGTTCCTGACAAAAACGTGTAATCTAAAATCACCAGGAAGTATAAGACAATGCCAACTTAAAGGACATTATACAAAAGAAGTGGGTTGAATTCCAAAAATATCTATGGCATAAAACACAAAGTTGGACTGGGCAACTGTTCCAGATTAAAGGAGACTAAATTAAAGACAGGATAAATTAATGTAATATGAACCTGGATTTTCTTTTGCAGTAAAGGACAGTATTGGGGCAACTGGTGAAATCTTTATAAAGTCTGTAGTTAAGACAGTAGTATTGTTATTGATGCTCATTTCCTAATTTTTTTTTTTCCTTAAGACGAAGTCTCGCTCTGTCGCCCAGGCTGGAGTGCAGTGACGCGATCTCTGCTCACTGCAAGCTCCGCCTCCCAGGTTCACACCATTCTCCTGCCTCAGCCTCCTGAGTAGCTGGGACTACAGGCGCCCGCCATCACTCCTGGCTAATTTTTTGTATTTTTAGTAGAGACGGGGTTTCACTGTGTTAGCCAGGATGGTCTCGATCTCCTGACCTCGTGATCTGCCCGCCTTGGCCTCCCAAAGCGCTGGGATTACAGGTGTGAGCCACCGTGCCCAGCCTAATTTCCTAATTTCTATAATTGTATTATGGTGATATTAAAGAATGCCTTTTTTTGTTTGTTTGTTTTTTGTTTCTTTTTTTTGGAGACACGGTTTCGCTCTCGTTGCCCAGGCTGGAGTATAATGGTACAATCTTGGCTCACTGCAACCTCCACCTCTCAGGTTTAAGTGATTCTCCTGCCTCAGCCTCCTGAGTAGCTGGGATTATAGGCGCCCACCACCATGCCCAGCTAATTTTTTTATTTTTAGTAGAGACGGGATTTTGCCATGTTGGCCAGGCTGGTCTTGAACTCCTGACTTCAGGTGATCCACTTGCCTTGGTCTCCCAAAATGTTGGGATTACAGGCGTGAGCCACTGCGCCTGGCCAAGAATGCCTTGTTTTTAAGAAAGGAAGGACACTCTGAACTGTGTAGGGTTGAAGGAGTGTCATGTTTGGAGTTTGCTCTCACACAGTTCATACACACACACAGAGAGAAAGAAAAGGATAAAGCAAAGAGGATGAAAAGTTAACCATGAATTTTTTGTACTAGGGTTTGTTCGTTTGTTTGAGACAGGGTCTTGCTCTGTTGCCCAGGCTGGAGTGCAGTGGCACAATCACAGCTCATTGCAGCCTCAACCTCCTGGGCTCAAGCAATCCTCCTGTCTCAACCACCCAAGTCAGCGGGACTGCAAGTGTGCACCACTACAGCCAGCTAATTTTTGTATTTTTTGTAGACATGGAGCTTCATCATTTGCCCAAGCTGGTCTTGAACTCCTGGGCTCAAGCCATCCTCTCACCTCGGCCTCCCAAAGTGCTGGGATTATAGGAACCACCATGCCCAGCCAGAAGAACTCTGGCCTGGCAACTTTTTTGTATGTCTGAAATTACATCTTAAAAAAATTTAAAGGAGGTCTTAGAGATCTGCTGTCAAATTTTCTTATTCTATAATACAGATCACTCTTTTTTTTGTTGTTGAGATGGAGTCTCACTCTGTTGCCCAGGCTGAAGTGCAGTGGTGCGATCTCGGCTCACTGCAGACTCTGCCTCCTGGGTTCATGCCATTCTCCTGCCTCAGCCTCCCAAGTAGCTGGGACTACAGGCATCCGCCACCATGCCCGGCTAATTTTTTGTATTTTTTAGTAGAGACAGGGTTTCTTGCAACTATATTCAAGGATGACAGCTTACAGGAGATTCAGAAAAGAGCTTCAGAAATGATCAAATTAATAGATCATAAAATTTTAGGAGCAAGATAACAAAATTACTTAGTTCAGAGTAGAGAAGACTGAGAAGTCTTTAAGGATATGAATGAACTTATTAACCACCAAAGCACTGCTGCTCCAGAATCCAGTATTGTTTTGAGGTTTCCTCAACAGACATGTAAGCAAGACATTTCTGACCAGAATTGGTGGTCAGATCCTGGCCCAGGTTGATAAAGCAACTAAGAGTAAGATGATTGTCTGAATGATTAGTTACATCTTTGCTTAGAAGTAGGGATACAGAGAAACCACTTTTAGAGTGGTGGTTCTCAATTTTCCTGAAACAGGATTTCCTGCAGGATGGACTAATCCCATTCACTGGTTGGAAGAGTACAAAAGGCCTTCCAGCCAGCAAATAGCTGCCCATGATCCTGTCTGCCTGTCTGATACTCCACTCCCTTTAAACTTTTCTCTGGATGGACCTTTTGAAGGCTCTGGGGAGATGGGATACGCGACAAGTAAATTTTGATGGGTAAGGAACAGAGAAGGTTCTGAGTCAGGACAATATTGAGAATGGTGGGCAGGGGAACTGTGGGCATTGGGTGTCCAGTATAATAATAAAGCTAACAGCCGTGTCCCAGAAAGAAAGCTGGCAGAACCAAGGAACCACGGATGTGATGGCTTGTCTGTGAATCCTCAGAGCCTGTGGGGCAGAGTCCTTGCTGAGCTGCCACTAAGTCATAATTCCATGGCTCAGTTGACACCGATCAAAGCCACCTTCTTTGTCATTCTTAAGCACTTCTTGTCCTTTTGTGGGCATTTCTTTACAACAGAATCTAAAATAAATCCTTTTCCAGTTTGCAACCAACCATTTTGGTTTCTATCCTTTTATCGCTGCATTTCTATACAAGAAACATTCCTTGTGTGACTGCTAGATGTCAGAACCCATGGTTATGAAGATAAGTAGTGCACTGCTGAGCTGGAGGGACTTCCAGCACTGTGCGGCAAGGCCATAATGGAGGTGTGAGCTGGGTGCTATGGAAGCACAAAGATGAAAAATTGACTTTGGCCTTGAAAACTAGGAGAGCATCACAAAGGAGACATTTGAGATGGGTTTTGAAGGATGAGTAAGAGTTTGACAGGCAGTGAAGGAAAGAGTGGGGACAAGGATTATTAGGTAGAGGAAATCATATATGCAAAATACAGATGCTCTAAACAACGTTATTTGTTCTAAAACTACTGTCTCAAAGTACTATATCAAAGGCTAATGTAAAAGCATAAAGAGAGAATATTTGCTGAGCACTTGCTAAGTACCAGGCACTAAGCTAAGTGCTTTAAGTTTATTAACTCAACTGATGATCACAATGGTCATGTGAGTTTTATTATCACCATTTTACAAAGGAGGAAACTGAGGTACAGGGATGTTCACATATGCGAAAGATTGGTCTAAGGATGGGAAGACGTAGCACAACAGGAGGCTGGAGATTTTAGATTGTGAAGGGCTGTTTGTGTCATGCTAAGGAGTTTGTATCATGTCCCTTGGACCAGGGTTTCTCCAGCTCCGTTCCGGGTAGGGGCCCAGGGGTCCTTTGGAGATGCCTCAGGGGCACCTGCTTGCATCAAGTGGTTGGTGGATCATGCTATGAGCTATTATTATTTTATTTAATGGGTTGCTGTTTTATTTAATGGGTTGCTCATTTGGGAACATTGTACTCCTTTCAAAGGAATGTCAAAAAAGCACTCCTTTTGGCCATGGAGAAGGATTACACAGTTTTAGACAGGAGAATAAAATGATTGTACTTTTTTATGTAGTTCAGTGTGGAACATGGATTAGATGGGGGGACACTGAGGACAGTGAATTTACTTCCTTTTCAAGAAAGAAAATGCCATGGTGTTTAGAACGTAAGAAGCTCCACTTAGATATTTGTCAACGATTCTTACTGCCTCAAACTTCCAGGTAGCCTTCTAGGACTTTTACAATCTAGGCTTCATAACTTTGATAGATTTAAAAAATACATATGTAAGAGGGTGGATATGCATCTCTGTGTCACTTGGGACTGGGATAATTTGTGTATGTAAGTTGCCCATGAAAACGAGGACTTGTACTTCTTTAAATACAGTGACATTTCTCTTACTCAGAATTACTTACTGTACAACTTCAACAGCCTAGGAACAGGAAGGCTTCAGAGCAGTCAAAATAAACATCATACTACTCATGCACTAAAACTCATGAAGCTTACTCAGGGCCCATTTGTTCTCGGTTTTCTTCTTCAGATTTAGCTCCTTTTGGCTTTTATTATTTTTAATTAACACATAATAATTGTACATATTTATGGGGTACAGAGTGATATTTTGATACATATGTATACAAATGTGTAATGATCAAATCAGGTTAATTAGCATATTCATCACCTCAAACATTTATCATTTCCTTGTGTTGTATCAAGCTAATTTTTATAGATGTTTGTTTTTTCCTGTGTTAAAGGATTTATGCCTCCACAGAACTGGTTCCTTGACCGAGAGTCAAATCCAGGCTGCAGCAGTACCCATTTATGAGTCCTAGCACAAATTCTTATAAATGATAATGCTTTATAAGCTGCTTTTGCATATATTATCTAACTTTAATCTTCACTCACTGTAATTTTTCAGTACTTCCTTACTTTCTGGCAATACAAGATGTTCCAGATTCATTTTGTAAATTTTCTGACCTAGTCCTAGAATCAGATATTTCTTCAAGGAGTCTGGGTTTTTGTTTGTCTGTTTGTTTGTTTGTTTTTTAATTGAAGAATGGTGTTAGAAATCAAGATCTGGGTGCTAGGTGTGCTCATTGCTATTGGAGACCCATTGGTTCTATGCCATTTCAGCTGGCATATCAAGGAAATGTATGTGTGTTCACTAACCTGTGGGTGTACAAGTCTATACGTATTTCTATGTGTAAACATCTATGTACGTAAATTCATACCAATGTCTTCAATTCAAAACCATTACCACATGGTTAATTTTAGCCTCCTCCCCTAGCAAACCTGTAATTCCCTAGTCCAGTAGTAAAAATCTGGCTACCACCACCTACCATCCATTTACTTAATTGTTCATTTCCAGTATACATGTATGGTAGTGTAGTGTCAGGCTGTGTACTCATATCCCCACGGGAAACAACCTACCAGGGAGAGTTCGGTGTTTATGTATCATTTCTTTTGACTGTAGTCTTACAGATTCTATTCATTTCCAAAGTTGTTTAGGTCAGCTCTTTTCCCAACTCCCACAGTGAGGTTGTTTTATGTATTTATGATAGAGTTAGATTGCTTCATCACCTTTATCATTCCATTCTGATGTTTCTCAACCTCTTAAATGATTTTTTTAAAATTTGTATGCATTAAGATTCATTCTTTGTGCTGAAAAGTGCAATGAATTTTGAATTTTGACAAATAGTATCCAACGTTACAGAATCATGCTGAATAGGTTCACTAAAAAATTTCTTGTACTTCACCTATTCAACCCTTCCTCTTGTCTCATGAGCCCTTGTCAGCCACTGATTTTTTTTTTTTTTACTCTGTTGCCCAAGCTGGAGTGCAGTGCCACAATCTCTGCTCATTGCAACCTCTGCCTCCCGGGTTCAGGCAATTCTCTGCCTCAGCCCCCCAGGTAGCTGGGATTACAGGCGTCCGCCACCATGCCCGGCTAATTTTTGTATTTTTAGTGGAGATGGGGTTTCACCATGTTGCCCAGGCTGATCTCGAACTCCTGACCTTGTGATCCACCTGCCTCAGCGTCCCAAAGTGCTGGGATTACACATGTGAGCCACTGTGCCCGGCCAGCCACTGATTTTTAAAACCATTGCTGTAGTTTTGCCTTTTAAGACTGGCTTCTTTCATTTATCAATATGCATTTAAGTTTCATCCATGTATTTTTGCCACTTTTTGTTCCATTTTTTAAATCACTGATGAGTATTTCACTGCTTGGATGTGCCTATTTTGTTTAATCCATTCACTTATTAAAGGACATCTTGGTACTTTCAGTTTTTGGTGGTTATAAATCAAACTGTTGTAAATATTTGTGTGCAACTTTGTGTGGACATAAATTTCAAATCCAGTTGCATAAATACCCAGCAGCACAAATGGTACAGGCACTTTTGAAGACAGTTTGGCAGTTTCTTAAACTGCCTTCAAAAGTGCCTGTACCACTTTGCATTTCCGCCACCAATGAATGAAACTTCCTGTTACTCCACATCCTCATCAACAATTTATATTGTCAGATTTGTGGATGTTGCAGATTGAAGCCGGTGTGTGGTGATATCTCATTATTGCTTTCATTTGCAATTTTCTAGCGACAAATGATGTTGAGCATTTTTTCGTATACTTATTTGCCATCTCTATGTCGTCCTTGATGAGGTATCTGTTCAAATTTTCCGTCTATTTTTAATTGAGTAATTGGGTTTTTTTACTGTTGCGTTTAAGAGGTTTTTTTTTTTTTTTTGCATATTTTGAATACAAGTCATTTATCAGTTATGTGTTTTGAAGATATATTCTCCCACTCTGTGGTTTGTCTTGATTCTCTCAAAAGTGTCTTTTTAGAGCAGAAGTTTTTTAATCTTAGTAAAGTCCAGCTTATCAATTTTTTTCAAAGGTGATTCTTTTGATCTCGGCTCACTGCAAGCTCCGCCTCCCAGGGTTCACGCCATTCTCCTGCCTCAGCCTCCCGAGTAGCTGGGACTACAGGCGCCCGCCCCCACGCCCGGCTAATTTTTTTGTATTTTTAGTAGAGACGGGGTTTCACCGTGTTAGCCAAGATGGCCTTCATCTCCTGACCTCGTGATACCCCCGCCTCGGCCTCCCAAAATGCTGGGATTACAGGCGTGAGCCACCTCGCCCGGCCAGCTAGAACTTTTCAACTTGTATGGCTGAAACTCTATACCCATTGGACATCAACTCCCTACCCATTGGACAGTCCCCTCTGCCCACTCTGGGTAATCACCATACTACTTTCTGCTTCTATGAGTTTGACTATTTTAGATACTCATATAAGTGGGATCATGTAAGATTTGTCCTTACATCACAGGCTTATTTCACTTAAAATAATGTCCTTAAGATTCAGACATGTTATAGCATATAATGGGATTTTCTTCTTTTTTAAGACTTAATAATATTCCATTGCATGTACATATCACATTTTGCTTATCTATTCATCCATTGATAGACATTTAGATTGTTCCCGCCCCTTGGCTGTTGTGAATTATGCTGCTATGCACATCAGAATGCAAATATCTACTCAAGACTCTGCTTTCAGTTCTTTGTGATAAATATCTATATGTGAGATCACTAGATCTTATGGTAATTCTATTTGTGATTTTTTTTGAGGAAACCTCAGTACTGTTTTCCATAACGGCTACATGATTTTCAGTTCTCACCAACAGTGCGCAAGGGTTCCAATATCCTCCTCAATCATCATCTCCATATCCTCATCAGTGCTTACTCTTTCCTGGTTTTTTGATCGTAGCCATCCTAATGGATGTGGGTGATATTTCATTGTCGTTTTGATTTGCATTTCCCTTGTCATTAGTGATGTCAAACAACTTTTAATATACCTGTTGACCATTTGTATGTCTTCTTTGGAGAAATGACTATTAAGTCCTCTGCCTATGTTTTCGTTTGTTTGTTTGTTTGTTTGTTTGTTTGTTTGTTTGTTTTGAGACGGAGTCTCACTCTGTCCTCCAGGCTGGAGTGCAGTGGCGTGCTCTCGGCTCACTGCAAGCTCTGCCTCCTGGGTACACACCATTCTCCCACCTCAGCCTCTCGAGTAGCTGGGACTACAGGCACCCACCACGACGCCCGGCTAATTTTTTTGTGCTTTTAATAGAGATGGGGTTTCACCGTATTAGCCAGGATGGTCTTGATCTCCTGACCTCGTGATCTGCCCCCCTCGGCCTCCCAAAGTGCTGGGATTGCAGGCGTGAGCCCACCTCACCCGGCCCTTTGCCTGTGTTTTAATAGGTTGTTTATTTTGTTTATTTTTTTCTCTTTTGGGTATAGAGTTGTAGACGTCTTATATTTTTAAAATATTAATCTCTTACTATATATATAATTTGCAAATATTTTATCCTGTTCTTTGTGTTCCCTTTTCATTCTGTGACTGTTTTCTTTGCTGACAGGAGTGTTTTGGTTTGCTGTAGTCCCACTTGTCAATTTTCGCTCTTGTTGCCGTGCTTTTGGTTTCCTATTCATTGCCTTTTGTGGTTTCAATTGAGCATTTTACCTGATTCCGTTTTATTCTTCTTCTTCGCTCAGTTTCTGATGAGAAGTTGGAGGTAATTCTTATGTTTGTTCCTCTATAGATAAGGTGCATTTTCCTCTGGCCTCTCTCAAGACTTTTTCTTACTTTTGAATTTTCTGCAGTTTCAATACAATATGTCTAAATATAGTTGGTTTTTGTTTTATGGTTTTTTGTTTTTGTATTTATCCTGCTTGTGTTCTCTGAGCTTCTTAGATCTGTGGATCTGTGGTTTAATGTCTGACCAAACACAAATTTGTGGAAATGTTCAGTCATTGTTGCTTCAAATATTTATTCTGTTCATTTCTTTCTTTTACTTCTGATATCCCCATTATATGAATGTTACACCTTTTGTAGTCGTCCCACAATTTGTGGAGTTTTCTCTTTTTTTCCCCAGTCTATTTTGTGTGTGTGTTTTCATTTTGAAAGTTTCTATTGACATATTCTCAAGCTCAGGGAATTTGTTCCTTAGCTGTGTCCATTCTACTAATGAACCCATCAAAGACATTTTTTTTTTTCAAATCTCTAGCTTATTTATTTTATTTATTTATTTTTTTGAGACGGAGTCTCGCTCTGTCACCCAGGCTGGAGTGCAGTGGCGCGATCTTGGCTCACTGCAAGCTCTGCCTTCCGGGTTCACGCCATTCCCCCGCCTCAGCCTTCCGAGTAGCTGGGACTACAGGCGCCCACAACCATGCCCAGCTAATTTTTTGTATTTTTAGTAGAGATGGGGTTTCACCGTGTTAGCCAGGATGGTCTCTATCTCCTGACCTCGTGATCCCCCCTCCTCGGCCTCCCAAAGTGCTGGGATTACAGGCGTGAGCCACTGCACCCAGCCATCTCTAGCTAATTTTTTTTTATCTCTAGTGTTTTTTAACTCTAACCTTTTTTTTGCTTTTTTCTTAGAATTTCCATCTCTGCTTACACTGCTCATCTTTTCCTTACACGCTGTCTACTTGATTTACTAGAGCTCTTACCACATTAATCATGATAGCTGTTTTAAATTCCCAGTTCGATAATTCCAACATCCCTGTTGTATCTGAGTCTGGTTCTAATGCTTTTTCTGTCTCTTCAAATTGTGATTTTTGCCTTTTAATATGTCTTGTAATTTTCTTGATAGCTGGACATACTGGATAGAAGGAACTGCTGTAAATAGGCCGTTAGTGTGTGGTGGCAAGGCATGAGAGGAGAGTAAACATTCTATAGTCCTCTGGAGCAGGTCTCAATCTCTTAGTGAACCTGTGCCCCTGGGCTGTGAACCTCACAAGTGCATCTCAGTCCCCACACCCTGCCCTTGGGTGGGACAGAATGACTCTGGGGGCTGGAGTTTGGTATATTTCCCTTTCCCCAGTTTAGCTAGGTTCTGGTAAAACTCCAACATTTTAGGCTCTTTTAGAACAGTTTCTCTTGAGGGGAGACAGAGTACTCTGGTGTATTTCAGAATGGTTCTTTTCGCTCTTTACCTGCTAGGAATACAAGGGGACTTTCCTCTGATACTCACTGTAAGAACCTGGTGGAGCTCCTGCAGTAAAACTCACAAAAATGTGGTTACCCCTCTATGACTGGGTCTCACCGGAGTGTTTAACTCTCAAACTTGTCCACACTGAGCCTGCAGTAATTTGTCAGTTACAGTTCAGTTTTCCAAGGCGGGCGTTGCTTCCTGCAGTGGTTTCTGTGAGTAGGTTCCGGCTCCAGTTAGGTTGTAACTCTCTGTATTCACCTGTCTGTCTCTCCAATTTTGGGGGCAGCAGTTTACCCTGTGATTTCACATGCCTGATAGTTTTAAGGAGAATTATTGATTTTTTCAGTTTGTTCATCTTTTTACTTATTAGGACAGAGAGGCAACTTCCAAACCCCTTACATACCGGTCTGGAAACTTGAAGTCTGTAATAACTTTTTCATCAGTCTGGCTCACATCCTCCTTTGACCTTCAGAGTAGTCCTTAAGCAAGTCATTGCTATTTCTGCCACAGTGTTAGGTAGCAGCTGAAATGTAAGTATCGCATAGCCACAGTCTACGGAGTTCACCAGATCGCTCATCAGCTTTCCTGGAGGAAATTATCTTAGATCAGTGGTAATTCTCAATTGGGGACACTCTGCCCTCTAGGGAACATTTGGAAATGTCTGGAGACATTTTTAGTTGTTACAGCTGAGGAAGGTACGACTGGCATCTAGCAGGTAGAGGATGCTACTAACCATCTTACACGGCACAGGAAAACCCTCCACAACCAAGAATTATCCTGTCCAAAATGTCAATAACTCTGAGATTAAAAATCCCTGTCCTAGACAAACCCTGAGGTTTTCTTCTCCTACTCCCACCCCACCCCTCATCTTCACTTCCACCAATGTTGAGCCAACTCAATGCCTTCAGTGCAATTTTACAACTTTGAAATCCAACTTTTCTCTTGATTATTTTTCGGTCTCATCACCATAATCAGCATGCCAACACTTTCCTGAGTATCTACTGCCCACCAGGCAGCATGCTTGTTACCTCGTTATCTTGCTTCATTCATTCTCGTCAAGTATTAATTGAGCCCTTACTAGGTGCCAGGTAAACCACTGAGGGAATATGAGGGAAAGATGGCTGTCCCTGTTTTTATAGATGAGGGAGCTGAAGCTCACAGAGGTTAAGAGAAGTGTCCCAAATCACACAGCTCATAACTGGCTTGGCCCGCCGGACTTTGAGGTCACAGGTCTTTATAGTATGCCAAGCTAGTGCTGCACATGCTGAGAGAAGCCACCATAACTCTTCTGTCTTCTGGGATTCGTGGGTGCCCAGATGCTCTGTCTAATTGAGGCTAGCACTAAGTGTTTGCCAAAGTTGGGAAAACCAGGGCAGGATTGAGGAGGTGACACCATCAGGGCAGGGAGAGGAACAGAACCCCAATGTTCCAAGTCCCCACCCAGGTGCTCTGCAGGCCTCCCAGAGAGTGTGAATGGGTTTTGATGGGGATAATAGTCTCTCCAAATACACTCACTGCTAGTCTTTCCTATTGAGCAATTCAGCTTTCAAATGCTCGGTACATTAGACCAAAGGATGGGTGTTTTGTCTTCTTTTTTCCCTGCCTTTTTCTTTTTTAGGGAAAGCAATTTGCTCCTTTCTGATTTAGAATGAGATCTGGCAAGTAAGTGCTTGTTCTCCCTCCTTCCCTTGTTCCCCCACTCCCTCCCCACCCTTCAGTTAAAAAAAAAATCTTGGGGGGAGAGAGGGGGAATAAGAACACAGGATCCATGCTAAGCAAAACTATTTGCATAAGCTGTACACTTGGTCCTTAGAGCTTGAGCTGATCTAACCTATGACAAATTCCTCTGTCTCGGCTACCTGCCAGCTGCGTTTTCATCGGGGCTGGCAAGACAACTGAAGTCTACATTCTGTACTAATTAACGACCTTCAGGGGAGAAGACCACCAATTGCAATGCCAGCACACTTCGCTTGTTAAAGGGGACAGGGGGCCTTGTTGGACAAGGCCCAGGCTTTTTTCTTTGGGTGGTGGGCGGGTAAGCAGGCCAGGAAGGGTGAGGGGTGGGCTGGGGGTGGGGGGGGCGGGGTGCAGTAAACAGACCAGAAAGACAAACTCCAAGTTGTAGTAAGAGTTGGGAAGGCATCTGCACATGCCAGAACATTGTAGTGAACCCTGGGCTTCTGCAAGGTAACTCCACAGCAAGCAGAAAGGGGCCTGGGGGAGAGGGGCTCTCTTTTGGGGAAAGGAGTTCTGCTGACCTGAGAGCTGCAGGTGGAGCCCGCACTATCATGGGTAGCCTTGTTTAAAAACATCAGGGCTGCCTTATCTGGCTGGCTTCATGGTGGGAAGTGCCCTGGGGCCTGCCAGCCACACCCGCAGCACAGATAGTCATCAGCCTTGGTGGCATCACCTTCATCTGGTGAAAAGATCAGAGATTTGTTGTTACAAGCCACACAAGGAGGAAAAACCTCTGCTCTCCGGGATTCTGCTGATTTCATTTTTCTCTATTCTTGGGGGATGAGAGGAGGGATGGTGAGAGGACACTCTTAAAGAACATTTGGGGCCGGGGAAGAATCCTTCATGATCTCGCCCTATAACCTGGCCGCTCATCTTGCATTCTGCTGCACGCTGCCCGGCCTTTGGCCATGTTATGTGAACTCCTGGAGCCATCCTTCTTTCTTCTTTACCTGGATGGAGAGGGCCTCCACCTACAACACATTAGGACCTGAAGGGACCCTCAGCTCTCATTTCACCAAGCCTCCTGGATCAAGGACTAACTTCTTAGACACTAACCCCAGGTGGACGGTGACACCATAAGCTTTTAAAGAATGGAAGGGGATGCCCCAGTGTCCTCTTCTTCCTAGTTGCATGTTGCATGATGTTTGGAGCCTCTCTGTGAAAAGGATGTGGGCAAAGTGCTCTTGGCTAATGCTCCTTTTTCCAGGACCTCCTGCCCACCTGCTTAGCAGTGCCCTTTTTCCTGAAGAAGAAGCTGAGCTCTCTCTCTTCCATCACCCACTTGCCACCCCAGTCACCAAAGCCTCTCCCTTGAAACGAGTGAGTTCCTTTCTTGCAGGCACATCCATGTGGACCATGAGGAATAAAAGGGGGGCCAATTGTCCTTTCCCCCAGGAGGAGCCTGGAGTAGAAAGATGGGGTGCCCCTCTGCTCACCCCTTGCTTCTGCAGCCTGCCCCCCCAGCCCTGTATCACCAGCCCTATGCTTCATTAAGGGAGCACAATGTGTCCCCGTGGTCGCCTGCCAGCCGGGATGTCCTGTGTGACAGCAGATGCAAAGAGAATGAACAGGCGGCTGAAAAGGCTGGAGACAAAAAGAGCACATTGTCCAGAGCTCTGAAAGGGCTGCCTGAGAGGGGACATATGCATCTGAAAAAAATACCCCAGTGAGTCTCCCCCCCGCCAGCCTCAGCCCGCCCTCACCCAAACCTTCAACTGATACTGCACAATGATGTCTCCAAGCCAGGCAGGGCCAGGCCAGCTCCAGGCTGACAGCAGGCATGGGGCGAGTGAGTGAGTGTGGAGGGAAGGGTCCCAGGCACAGGTTCCCTCAAGGAAAATTCACCACCCCTGTAACCTGTCTGCTCTTGAATCATTGAAGACTGTCATGGAATCACAGCGTCACCTAATCACAGAAGACTGGAGCTGGGAGCGTCTACAGAAATCACTGGCTTAAACTCTTCATTTGACAGGTGAAAAGGGTAGATGACTCACAGCAGTGGACAGTAGACGCAGAGGCTGCCTGGGCACCCAGATCTCCCACTTCCTGATCTAGTTTGGGTGCCACAGCTACACATCCAGAGGATGAAGATGGAATTTCCAAAAGAGATAGGTGTCCTCTCTGGACCTCTCCTTGCTTCTTTGTCAGGGGATGGGGCCAAAACCCAACCTGGAAAGTGATTGTGTCATACCCATAAGAATCCCAGGGCTTGGTTGGATTTCTGAGGCTGGGGGTCCAAGAAATGGGAGAGGAAGGAAAAGCTAGCTTGCAAATGAGCTGTTATTTTGTGAAAGATGACTTCATAGTTTAGCAAAAGGGGTTCACAGGTCAAATATAAGACTCTAAGTTCTCTGCTCTGCTTTGTGAACTTGGGCAATTCACGAAACTACCGTAAACCTCAGCTTCAACACTGGAAATTCAGGACTAATTCGTCCTAATGCCAATGCCAATATGCTTATCAATACCAATTCTGGTGTCAACACTAATGCTAGCAATATCTTCCCTGTCTCTCCCAGAAAGCCTCTTGAGGATCTAATACATTACTATGGGTAAAAGCTCTTTGGAGTCCACAGAGCACTGTAGAAACCAGAATATTACTTTCAACGTTAAAAAGCGTGGGGGAAGCTGTCATTGCCTGTGGCCCTAATCCTTTGTAGGATATTTTCTAAACCAGGAAATGCTTCTTGACTTTGGCTTTTTGGACGAGGGGAGGAGGACTTGATGGGAGTCAAGATTCTTTTTAAAATCAGTTGTAAATTTGAAAAGACCTCTTTTTAAACATAATGAGCAAAGGGGCTTTCTAGAAAGCAAACTCTCCTAGGCAAGGAAGGAATCTGTGGGATCACCCTCCCTTTAATCTGTCTCCAGTGAATTTTCTGACATGAGAAAGTTCCCCCTCCACCTGGGGCCACTTCCTCTTTTCTCCTCAGCCCCTCCCAAGGTATCCTTAAGTGGACCCCACAGACTCAGACAGCATCTCCCCGGGAAATGAGCTCACCGGCTGTGTGCGAGCAGATGTGGGGAAGTCTGTGTGGTCTCTCACAACAGCTGTTCAAAATTCTTTTCCCCTGAAAGTTTCCATTCTGTATATGGGGAGGTGGGCAGGGGGGAGGGCAGGCAGACAGGCGAGGAAAGAATGTGAGCTCTCCACCCTGTTTTGGAGCTGTTTTGTTTCTTTGAGATCTCAATGTTTCAGAGACATTGTACATGCTGGAAGATGTCATAAATGAGTTTATTTTGTTCCAGATGTATGACACCAGGATCTCCGATTCGGATTATTCACATTGTGTTGCCATGACAACACACACACATACACATGCACACACATGCTAGTGTCCCAAACTGTGCCTGGCCCTGGAGAGGAAACAAGGGGACTAAGAGAAATACTTTTTCTTTCAAAGGAATTTCCCATTATGAAGTCAAATAACATATTTCCAAACCAGTTAGAAGCCTGGTCTATGCCATACTGCCCAGAACCCAGAGCAGAGGGATTGCCCTTTGGACTGGGGTGGTCAGAAGAGGCTTTGTGGAAGAGGTGGGACTTGAGCTGCCTAGGGAGGAGGAACAACTTGGGCAGAAAGGCAAGAGGCATCCTCAACAAGGTGGGAAGGGTGAACACGATTGGGGAAGTGGGGACAAGCTGGTTCTTTTCATCCACATGCACCCTACACATATCCAGATGTCTACTTAATCATTCCTGGAACCGAGAAGGCCAATGGAGAGCCAACGGGTCTATGCTCCATCTCTGAACTAGGATTGTGACATCATCCTTTCTCGCTTGTAAAATTTATTCAAGAAAAGGGTTCCAGAATCTTCAGTAGGTTGTTCTGGAGTTTTATGTTATTGACAGATCTTCTGTCATATTTACTTTTGATCCCTTTGGCAGCCTGGTGTTCACAACCTAAAAGCAGATCTTAAACTTATGGAACCCAAGACCCCAAAGAGTTACTATAGGCTGAAAGGGCCTCACTCAGCAAACACTATTGAACACCTACTGTGTGCCAGGCTACGTCAGGCTGTAGGAATTCAGACGTAAATTAGGGCGCTCCTGCCTTCAAGATGCAGTGTGGCAAATAATTAGGCATAATTTCAGAAAGTCGATGATAAAATGTAGGCCAAAAACTACACAAGAAAAAGTTACTCTGCTTGGAGGTTGGGGATGTTAAGAAAGGTCTGACAAAGGAGGTTATATTTGTGCTGGGTTTTGAAGGATGAATAGGGGTTTGCCAGGTAGACAAGGGAGAAAATGGCATTCTGGGTGCAGGAGTCAGTAGGTGCAACTGGGTGAAGAGATGGATAAGGATCCTCTTCTTTCCTCTGGGAACTTGCTCTCACACTTAACATGTAGTCAATTAGCATACACCAAAAGAATAATTAATAAATGCAGAAATCACCTAGCACTTCACAGGGAATATGAAGACCTTCTAGGTGGACCCAAGACAGAATACCTGAGACTAATACCAAATGTGTGGGTTTCTAGCAGTGTGCCCAGGATATTGAGGGCACTGGATCATTCCATTATTCATAGACCACCCTGAGCAAAGGGACACCAAGCTGAGCTCATAGATGCTTTAGCTATTTCCATGAAAGCCAGACACCAAGAGGAGGGAATGCAGGTTTGATGTGATGAAAAAGAGTCACATCTGTCTACGTGTGTCCCTTGATCTGTTCTCAAGTGTTTTGGTTATAGCATCTAAGTTTGTTTTCTCAACCTCACTGGGCTGAAGAGCAATACTATATGATGGTATTTGTTATTGCAATAGGAATAGTAATGATGGAAACTTACTAAACTCTGTTCAGAACACTTTGCATTTATGAGCTCACTTAATCCTCACAATTCTGTGAGGTAAGAGCGATGAAAGACAAGGACACTGAAGAGTCGGGTCAAGCAACCTGCCCGGGCCCGGGACACACAGCTGCTGATTACAGAGGCTGGAGTTGAACCTGGGCAGTGCCGTTGCAGAGCCTCTCTGTCTTCTTCCAAGGATGAAGGGCAAATCAGAACTCTTCCTCTACCGTCTTTATGCCCATTTACTGAGTTTCTTATAATAAAGATTATTGTTATTATTATAACCACCTTTCAGTGTTTCTATCTTACCCTCACATCTTCACTTTTCCCCTAATCTCAAGATAGAGTGGAGGGGAAGAAGGGGTACAGAAAACATAGACATTGGAGCTAGGATAGAGTAGTAAGGATCCCATATTATTTGGTGAGTTTTTAAATATTCTTTTTTCTCAACTCTTATTTTAGAATCAGGGGGTACATGTGCAGGTTTGTTACAAAAGTATATTTCATGATGCTGAGGTCTGGAATATGAATGAAACCACCACCCAGGTACTGAGCATAGTACCCAGTAGCTAGGTTTTCAGCCCTTGCCCCTCTCATTCTCTCCCACCTCTAGTAGTCCTCAGTGTCTGTTGTTACCATGTTTATGTCTATGAGTACCCAGTGATTGGCTCCCTCTTATAAGTGAGAACATGCAATATTTGGTTTTCTGTTTCTGTGTTAACTTGCTTCGGATAATGGCCTCCAGCCGTATCCTTGTTGCAGCAAGGGACATTAATTTCATCCTCTTTTATCGCCGCATAGCATTCCATGATCTATATGTACCACATCACATTTTCTTTATCCAATCCACTGTTGATGGGCACCTTGGGTTGACGCCTTATCTTTGGTATCGTGAATAGTGCTGCCATGAACATGTGTACACATGTGTCTTTTTGGTAGAATGATTTGTTTTCCTTTGGGTATATACCCAGTAATGAGATTACTGGGTTGAATGGGAGTGCCACTCTTAGTTCTTTGAGAAATCTCCGTTGTTTGATGATTTGAAAGGGATCCTAGGCATCTTCATCTCCTACATGGTCTTTTTCTTTTACTGGGGGGAATACAAGCTCCCCTTTGATCTCTGCTTCACCCCCCAAAACCCTAACAGAAAGACATCTCATTATGTAGATGAACATCTGAGGCACAGGGACAAAAATTCATGTACTGCTCATCGGACCCTGAGAACATGAGGGCAAGACAGGACAGGGACCACTATCATATAGTCCAGGCTTCCACATGGCTTGTGTGAGTAGTCCAGACCAAACCGGAGGGAGGCAGCCATGGGGCGGGCATGGCTCCATGCCCCAGTTCTGAACCACAGCAGACTGCACAGACCCATTAGGGTGTGCTTCCCCACCACATCTGAATGCTCCTCAGAAGATGTTTCATTTGAGTATTTCAGGCAGTTAACCACCTCATAACCTGATTTGTCCCATGACGTGACACCCCTTTGACACCCCTGGAGCAGCCATTGGCTGTTTGAAGGGGGACCAGAAGGATCTTCTTCAGTTCTCACCTTGATCTAGAACCAATGTCCTGTCTCCAAGGAGAACTGGATATTTTCTCACTGTAAGGTTGTTGAGCTAACTATTGTTTCTTCCCTGTGACCAGAACAGGAAGAGCAAAAATCTGAGCAATACTCCCACATTAATTTGAATAACCTTTTATTATTTGCCAGATCCTATGTTAAAAAGTCTTACCTATCCCAAAAGCTGCTGCTTAGGGTTGTGCAGGGTGTATTTAGACTACAATGTGAATGGCACCCCATAGGGTTGGGCAGTACACAACCGGCACAACTGTCCCTCAAGGCCTTCATTATCACTGCCCTCAGGCAGCTCGGTCTGGTTGGAGAAATGGTATCCAAACAACCACAAGTCCGTCTCATCAGCCTGATCACTGAGACACATCCAAAGAGCATAGAGAAGGAGGAAACCAGGACTTATTTTTTTGGGAACTGGGTAAGATTTCACAGCACGAATGTCCTTAAAGCTAAGCACTGAACAATGAATAGGAGTTCTCCAAGCAGAGCAGAAAGAAGGGGCATTCTAGGGGGAGGGACCAGAATGTGGAAAACCATAAGTGCAAGAGGACAGTTCATGGGTGGGGAAGTGGGGTGGTGGGGAAGGGTGGGGTGTAGAGAGGGGGTGGGGCTGGTGAAAGTCAGCTCACCGTCTTCTCAACCACACTGGTAATGCCTAGGTGGCTGCAGTTCAGTCAGGCCCCTCCCAAGAATCCTCTTGTCCGTGTCACTCAGGGCTGTCTGGGAAGGAAAAGTCCCCAGAGACAAGCATGTCCAATGCAGAAAGGAGATGAAGAGATTTATTTTTTTTAAGGCAAAAACCCCAAGCCTCAGCCCCACAGTACATCAGTGTGTAGAAGTGAGAGCAACAATTCACTGCCTGTTTGCACGGGCCAGGGCAGGGAGGCTTTCTGGGAGTGAGGTGAGAGCAAGGCTGTTCCCAGAGGCTCCAGTCTCTATTTGTGCAGACAGCATGGAATCCTTTCAAGCCATGACCATGTGGCATCCGCTGTTTCCCTCCAGGAAAATCCATGACATGTGAGGAATGGGCTGGCTTGGTCTGCCAGACGTGGGGGCTCCTTGCCCACTGGGTCGGGCAGTCCACTCAAGAGACCACAGAGGTACCAAGGATCTTTCAGCGCAGTCTCAAGCTGAATGTAAAGACAATCTCCAGGGTGAAGAGAGGGAAGGGAGAGAGGGTTTGCAGAGAGCACTCCTTTCTCAAGAAAGCACTCCAAAGACAAACCCGCCTCTAAGCCAGATAGGTCCCCAGAGCACTAGGCTACAGAGAGAAGAGCCCAGCAAATCTGGCTAGAGTTCTTATTTCTCCTACAGCCTTGGGGGAAAAGTACACAAAGTACCGGTAACCTCGAGCCACGGGGCAAACCCTGGCTGGCCATCAGGGCCAGCACTCTCTTGTCAAAACTAGATGTCAGGTACATGTCACTGTTCCAGAAGCTTCAGTCACTATCCTTTGCCTGCGAGCAGAATCCACCGTCCTCACCGTGGCTTATTAAAATCTGTCCCTCGCTCCCTCCATATTGGCATGGTTCATCTGCCAGCACCACGGCCGCCCCCGTGGCTGCTCACCCTTGCTGGAGCTCGCCACACCCTCAGTGCTGTGCTTCCAGCCTGCGAAGCCCTTCCCTCCCTTCTCCATCTATTGAAAAGGCAGCTACCCACCCAGAGCTGACTTGCACACTGCCCCTTCTTGCACCAGTAAGGTGTGATCTCTTTTCCTCTCCCTCCACATGCCTGCACTGTGTTGTCTGAACCTTGTTTTACTCTAAAATAAGAAGCAAATCTATATAATACAATGATGGGGGAGTTAGGTATCTTTCACTGGAGTTCAAGCTCTGCAAGGGCAGTAACCAATCGCCCATGGTGGCTTGTACAGTACCCCAAGTGTTATTGTGTGCCTGTTGGACAAAGGGAAGGAGGAGGGACCGGACCAGGTGGGAGTAGAATAAAAGGAGGGAGGAAGAGAGGGAGGGAAGGAGGAAGGAGGAAGTCATATGGTTTTTTGAAAACAACTGTGTTTAATGAGGTGATTTCTTATTCTTGAAGGTGGACCTTACAAATACTGCCTTCTGATGTGGATATAATAAACTCTGTCTGAAAGGGAAACCCTGAAAGCCAGATGCTTTTACAAAGATATCTACATGTGAGGTGGCATTATGTATTTGAATACAAGAACAATATGAGATACTTTTAATAAAGTTTGTCTTTATTTTTTTCCCAATAAAGATTTCTCAAGCATGTACCCTGTGACAGTCACTTCACTAAAAATCAGAAACTCAAACATGGAACTGGATGCTAGTTCTGTCCTCAAGAAGCTCAGAGTCTTTCAGAAAAAGAGGAGCCGTGAGACAAATTACCAAGTGCAAGCTCAGAAGCCTTGCGTTTGTGGTGAGAGATGAAGAGGGAGTTTGTAAAGATGTGAAAGCAGGGTCTTTCTCCTTGAAGTTCTGGGGAGGAATTGTAAATCTGTTTGTCTATTGCCAAAGAATACTTGCCTTGGAAACTAGAGAGAGCCTCAGATTCAGTCTCAGTGATAAAGTGCTTCTAAACTGGGTCAGGGACAAAAACAAAGGACAGACGATACCATAAATAATGAACTTATGGGGCAGAAAGTGTCAGCTCAAGTATTTAGAGGCTCTCTACAAGGAAAAGGAAACTAGGAATGTAATGATTTCATGAGAGGTTTTGGAAGCCTTCAAAATCAATAAATCAATTAATTATTTAGTTCAGTACTTTTCTCTCTTACTAGCATATTATGATTTCCCCAACTTCATCTCTCCCTGGTCATATCTGTCCTCTACAATATTCCAAGGTTGATCTTTCTGGGATAATATTTTGATCTTGTTACTCTCCTTTTAAGAATAAAGGTAAAATTTAAATGGTCATTTGAGGTCATTTTAACTGTATTCTGTGTTTTAAGAAGCCCTCCAACTGATTCTGATGCATAGTAAGTTTTGGGAATTAATCACTATATGGCTTATCTCTTCCACAAAAGAAGTATATTCTCCCAGGACAAGAGTCTTCCCTAATGCACCCCTGTAGCCCCTCAGCTCAGTGGCTAAGCACATGGCAGGTGTTCAAGAAATTATGGAAAGGTAAGATGCATCTTCTGAGCAGAGGCTGCTTGTCAAGTGGAAGGCTGGGTGCTGTGAGGAATAGAGGAGAATTAGATGAATTACTGTGCATTAGTTTAGATTCTACTGGAGGCGACAAAACCAAGACATACAGCAAGTGAGAATAACTAAGTGCTGATCCATAGCGTGCAGTAACAACGCAACACAAGCACAGAAGAGGAAAAGAGGTGCTGGGGGGTTTAATTGTAGGTCCTTATATGACTGAACCCTTCCTTCGTGGGTGCTTGATCTATTTCTTATCTGCTCAGGAATAAGCAACCAGCAAACTAGAGGTTAATAATGATGATGATGATGATGATGATGATGATGATGATGATGACGACAATCTACTGCTGTTTATGATAATACTAGCTAATATTTACTGAGGTTCCGCTACACGTTGGGAACTAGTCTGAGCACTTTATATATTAACTTATTTAATCCTCATGACAACCCAATGATAGAGAATTGTAGGCAGAGATTGGAGGCAGGGAAATCAGTTCAGGAGTTATTCCAATATGTTAGTTAACCCAATGAGATAATTATTAACCGATTTTACATAGTTGAAATTGAGACACAGAGAAATTAGATAGGTATGACTACTCTGAAGTGGCAGAGTCAGGTTTGAACCCCTCTTTGCACTAAGGGGGCTGAGAAAAGAGAGCTAGGGCCCTGTCTCCTTGATGGGATCTGCAAAGTGCAGAATATGGGATTTTAGATCAAACAGGGACATTCTTGGTGCCTTCAGCAATATCCTTCTTTCTGGATGCCTGCTGCTCCTTATCTGGCCCTCCATGAGCTTTTAGGCTTGTGATTAGCTTGCTTTCTCACCTACCTGGGAGAGTTCTCTTTCTCTTTATCCACTTATCTTTATTTAACATGCTTCCACCACCCTCCCGCCACACAGAAATCTCAGAGGCCCCTTGGAGTGGTTTACTAGCATCTCATCGCCCTCTTCCCTGACCCTGGCTTGGATGGTCTCTCCTATAATACTGAGGATCGTTGAGGTTTGTCCTCCACCCTTGAACATTCTTTTTATTTTCTCCTTCACCCTAGAAGGCATGAAACACGCAGATCATACCGCTCTTCTTAAGGCTAGATTTTAAAACCAGATGCACAGAGTTACAGTTCAGTGTGATCCCACGGGACTCATGCTTTCAGGGACTCACAACAACGAAATTGTGTACCGTCTCTGACTTACTGTGTGACCTTGGGGCCAGCCACTTGCCCTCTCTGTGTCTCAGTCCCCTGCAGTGGGATCATAATATCTACCGCCAAGCAGTGCGCAGAGCATGAATGAATTATTATCCCGAACGCCCTCTGAGCTTCTGGGACAAAGGTGCTATGTTAATACACAGTATCCCTCTTCTTCTTCTTCTCATTAGTATTATTCAAACCCAGATGGCATTATTATTGTTGTTGATTGACAGCCCCGCATAGCCCCATTCACGGGTGTCAGAGAGCCAGGCGGTAGTTAACACAAGCAAAAACCATGTTTAAAACAAAGCCCAAGGAACACTCCAATAGTGTGTGCCTTGGGTTGCTATTAAAGCCAGAGCAGCTGCGGTGGCAACACGGAGGGACAGGGCAAGGAAATGCATCCCAGAGCACAAAGAGGGGAAAGTGGGTCTTGACACTGATCATATAATCGTGCTGGGCTTTTATAGACACTGGGAGGCCTCAAACAGAATAAATGCTTGAACTTTATCCACGGTTTACAGGCAGCGGCTGTAAAGGTCTTTGTTGCTGTTGCTGCCATGTTAATGACCCAGCTTGGGGCGCTGCCGCCGCCGCCGGCCGCTTCTTCCAAAGAAAACAAATCAAAGTGAGTAACTCGATGTCCGGCAATGAGTTTTCCATTATATAAAAATAAGTATAAATCTTTCGCAGTTGGGCAGCCACACTGCGATGTCGGAGGCTGGTGAAGGGGTCAAGGTAGCTAGACACTTTGAACCTCTGAACCAGCACATCAGAAAGGGGCCCCTTCTCTTTGTTAATTGCAAAATAAACAGATAAAAATAAACCGTGGTGCTCCGGCTCTGGGGATGGTATTTGCACCAAAGGAGAGGGGATCAGGAGGCAGCTGGGGAGGGAGAAGGGGGGCCCTTGATCCTGTTCTCCATTAGCTTTTCCAGTCTGCCCACACTGATAAAACTCCGTGAGTCATTGACCCTCAACAAGCAGAGACAGAGACATTAATCTTCAGCTACAAGGTATGCCTTGCAACCTTAGAGGAGATCAGTCAAAGCAGTATCTCGGGTAGATGCAATTTAGTGCCTTGGAGGTTTTAAAAAATGAGTATCCATAAATTCTCTGATTGTCTTAACAGAGCTTGAGAGTCCTTGGGAGTGTTAGGAAATGACAAAGTGGAGGCAGCACATGTTTGGTGGGGGGTTTGGACAAATGGATGAATAATAGCATGAGGTCTTAAGACATGGAAAAATGCATGAATTGGGCGGTTGGGGTACGGATGGGTGGACATGTGAGATAAGTCAAGGTGGGAGTGGAAGAAGAAAGTGAGGACACTGGAGTAAGAAAAAAGACTGGGCGCTTGTTCCTGGTCTTGGGTGATGATTTAGGGATGCATTCAGGGTTGTGTTTGGAACAAAGTTAGCATCAAGGGAGGAAGCTAGACATCCAGAGGTCCAGGAGGGGAGGTCCAGCAGGAGAGGCCCTGCAGATGATTCCTGAGTGGTGTCAGTTGTAGGCTCTGAGGACCCTACCCCTTCCCACCCCCATTTCTCCTTCAGATGCAGCAAAAAAAAAAAAAAAAAAAAAAACCAAAAAAACAAAAAACCGCAAAGAAACAAACAAACAAACAAAACCCAATATTCTGCTTGGATGTGGAGATTTTTCCCACTGAAATGGAAGTTACTACCCCCAGCAAAAGTAAACGTTCCCTCTACCCAAACACTTTGTTTTCTTCTTTATATTTTCTCATACTTTTCCTCCTCATCAGACCTCTTTCCTTCGCTGGATCTCTTGTGACTGCCTCTTCTTGGCCACCAAGTGAGCATTCATTCATCCATTCATTCACTTGACCAACATTACATAACTCCTCTTACATCTACATTCTAGAAACCAAACAAGGCATTCTAGATGCTAATAATTAGGGCCTCTGTCCTGGAGCAGTTCTCTTCCTAGTGCCAGAGACAGAAAAATGGGTGTCGAGATAAGTGCTGAGACAGAAGTGAGCCCAGGTGTGGCTGGGTCAGCTTTGGTGAGAGAAAGGGATGAGAGTGGGAGTAAGAGCTTGTCGGGGTGTGTGTGTTGGTGGGGTGGGGCAGCAGGGAAGGACTGCAGGAGAAAGAGAGTGGTTGAGAGGAAACATGGAAACTAAATGGGAATTAGACAAAGAAGAAGAGGGAAGGATCTGATAAAAAGAGGAAATACCATGGCCAAAGGCACAGAAGTTGGATTGATGAAAGAGAAAGGACAGAGAGAAAGCCAGAGCAAAAGCAAACAGGTGAGGAAGCAAGGCCAGCTCTGGGAGGGATGAGCTGCCTAGAGAGGGGGAGCAGAGAGAGAGAGAGAGATGAGGCTAGGAGGGAAGAAACGTACCACCATTATGAGGGCAGACTTGACCCGAAGGCACAGGGATCTACCTGTACCTGGGTTTAAACTTGGGGGTGGGTCAGGAGCAAGGTCAAACTAAAGAGAGGCCACTTGGGCTATGGAACAAAGAACAGATTGGTGGATCAGGGCGGTGGGGCATGGGGTGGGAGGACCAGCTGGATCAGAGGCCATTGCCCTCTCTAGTGCAAGAGAAAACATAGCCTGAGCTAAGCTGGAAGGGAGCGAAGGAGACAGAAACAACTATCTAAAAAGGTAGGATCATGTAAAGAGGTGGTGTGGAAAGAGCAAGAAGAGGAAGTTGTGGAGAATTCCAGCAGGTCTCATTAACTCCATCCTCTCGACTCACTCTTTCCACAGCCCTTTTCCGTGAAGCATCCTTCAAACTCTTCTCCTTCAGCCCCTGTCCCTTTGTATCTCTGCTTTCATTCAAGTCTTCCCCATACCTTCCTCTCACAACCACATGCCTCATTGCATTTCCTCTCTGATATCCTAAAACTTATTCTCCTCCAAATCTCTGTTTCATCTTCATTCTGTCCTTCATCTAATTCCATGTCTTCTTCCAGCTTGACACCACATGGGAGTTGGGGCACGTTTCTTGAGGCAGAGGAAGAACTGGCCCTACACTCTTGCAAGGGCTGCTTGGGAGAAAGAGTTGAAGAATTGAAGCTGGATGAGGGAGATTTGGGCTGGGAAAGAGAGAAACCTAGACAGATTAGATCAAGTGTGGATTTATGGCAGAAATAAAATGAAGTTGATATTGTTTCTTCACTGAAATAGTCAGTTGAGAAAAGACTTAATGGGACCCTGGAGAGTTGCACATTCCGTAGTCCTAAATGTGTTTTTTTTTTTTTTTTTTTTTTTTTTTAATGGGAGAGAATCTAATTCCTAAGAGGGCAAGAGGGAAGCTGCTCTTCCTCCTACTCCTTCGTGGCCACCACATCCTCCCCAGGGAGCTGGAGAACAGACTTCTGATTCCAAAACATTCTGAAAAGCCAAATGGAGGCGTCTAGGAAAATAGGAGGATTCATTTGTATGGTTTCTCTGTTAGTGAGTCCAGGATAATCTATTAATCATATGCTAGATGCTGTGCTTGGCTATTTCACATACATTTCACCTCCTCCAATCCTCACAGTAGCCTTGTGAGGTAGTTATCATGACCACGTCCACCTTGGGGATGAGAAAGCAGGGCCTTGTGGTGATTAAGAAACTTGCCTGGGCTCACCGTCTAGGTCTGCATGAGCCCTCGGCTCCTGGCCTTTCCCATTTTGCCGTGCATGTCTTCCACTGTCGAGGTAGCAGTGTTTTAAAATAAAACTGGGCCGGGCCCAGTGGCTGACCCCTGTAATCCCAGCACTTTGGGAGGCCAAGGCAGGCAGATCACTTGAGGTCAGGAGTTTGAGACCAGCCTGGCCAACATGGTGAAACTCCGTCTGTATTAAAAATACAAAAATTAGCCAGGTGTGGTGGTAGGTGCCTGTAATCCCAGCTACTCAAGAGGCTGAAGCAGGAGACTCTCTTGAACCCTGGAGGTGGAGTTTTCAGTGAGCCGAGATCACGCCACTGCGCTGCAGCCTGGGTGAAAGTGTGAGACTCCGTCTTACAATAAATAAATAAATAAAAGCTCATGTTAGCCTAACATAAATTTAATCTCACATTTTTTCCCTCTCTTTTTAAAAATATTTCTTGTTAGAAATAGATTTAATTCTCTGGATCTTGCCCTCAAACAGCAAGTTCAAAATATTTCCCAGAGAATTTTGATACTTTTCTCTGGAGAAAACATTTGGTGTCCTGAAACGTTGTTTGTTTGTTTATTTGTTTTTGAAGACAGCATCATTAACTTCTTTCTATAACCCTATCTGTTAGCCCTTTACCAAGACAGCTCCTCTGGGGAACCCATCTTCGGGAGGATATATTCGAATTATTTTCTGGGACCTTTGGAAGGGGCAGAAGTTTTAGAGAAAATTGCTTACCCTCTGCCTTGATGGGACCAGAGTGGGCCTGGTGGGCTATAGCTGGAGATGTATATGGGCAGGGGTGTCTAAAGTGGGGGTGCAGAAGGCAAGGGGTGAGTGAGTTGCTGCTGTAACAGAGACCCGAAAATATGGAAGTGGCTTTGGGACTGTGGTGGGCAGATGCCAGAAGGTCCTTGAGAAGAGTATTTAGTAAAAATCTATCAAGTATCTCATAGAGACTGTTAGCAGAAGACTGATGTCCCTCAAGAAGGCTGTTTGTCAAGGATTAAAGAAAAGTGAGGAAATCAGAGAAAAGAGCCTCCATGAAAAGGCAGAAAGTTTAGCAAGACTCTTGCCTGCCGTATTAGTCTGTTTTCATGCTGCTGATAAGGACATACCTGAGACTGGGTAATTTATAAAGAAAAGAGTTTAATTGACTCACAGTTCCACATGGCTGGGGGTGCCTCACAATCATGGCAGGAGACGAAGGAAGGGATATCTTACATGGCAACTAGCAAAGAGAGAATGAGAGCTCAGTGAAAGGGGTTCCCCTTAAAAAACCATCAGATCTCGTGAGCCTTATTCACTACCACAAGAACTGTATGGGGGAAACTGCCCCTGTGATTCAATTATCTCCCACTGGGACCCTCCCACAACACTTGGGAATTATGGGAGCTACAATTCAAGATGAGATTTGGGTGGGGACACAGCCAAATCACATCACCTGCGGTAACATGGAAAACAGATGTATCTAATGGACAGGTTGCTCTAGCTAAGGAAATTTCCAGGCAGTGTTAAAGACGCCCCTGGCTTTGTCTTTATGCTTATATTAAAATTGGAGGGGACAGGGATAAGCTCAAGGAAAAAAAAATTCATTCAATATGAAAGAGGCAGAATTTGCTGAGTTGGAAAATCACCTGCCTCTCCAGAAAGAAGCAGTGTTTAATAAGGAAATTACTCTGTGCAAAAATAAAATTTCAGGAATGGTCAGGAGAACATGATCTAAAGAGGGAATTAAGAATGTGACCATAGGCAGGGCGTGATGGCTCATGCCTGTAATCCCAGCACTTTGGGAGGCTGAGGTGGGCAGATCACTTGAGGCCAGGAGTTGGAGACCAGCCTGGCCAACATGATGAAACCCCGTCTCTACTGAAAATACAAAAATTAGCTGGGCGTGGTGGTGCAGGCCTGTAATCCCAACTACTCGGAAGGCTGAGGCACGAGAATTGCTTGAATCCAGGAGGTGGAGATTGCAGTAAGCCGAGATGGCACCACTGCACTCCAGCCTGGGTGGCAGAGCAAGACTGTCTCATAAAAAAAAAAGAAAAGAAAAAGAAAAAATGAATGTGACCATAACAAAAAATGAATGTGACCATAATATCCTTTGTTAAAATCTTGGAAAGACTTAAGGCAATGCCTTGGAGAACTCTTTAGTCAAAACAAAAATAACACCACCAACAGAAACCCAGGGCTTTTAGGATTCCTTGGCAGCTTCAATAGAAGCTCAGGGTAGAGTGTGGCTTACCTTGAAGAGATGTGTGGGATGTCCCCTCCCTTGTGAACCTTATTGTCATTTGTGCCATTAAGAAAAACCTCACAAACTTTTTAAATGATGACACACAACCCAATAAGATTCACAGGAGACTCCCAAAGGTTTTAAGACAATTTTACAAGAAGAAACACCATCAGCTTGGACTAAAAGAGGCAGAGAAAGTACAGAGTAAAAATAAAAAGGCTTTGGATTCCCAAACTTTTATAGGCTGAGAATAGTCTGAGAAATACACTCAGTTGCAAATGTAAACAATCTTTTACAGAAAAAGAAGGATGACACAGAGGGAAAAACCAAGAGCCACTGGGAATAATTCCCAGGGCTTGATCTCTAATCAAGGAGCTGACCACATGTGCCCTGCCAGATCTCAGAAGTGCTGTAGGCTGGTAACTCCTCTATGCCTTCTGTTTCCCCCTTTCTGAATGGGAGAGTCTATAGCTGTGATCCTATGCCTGTCCCATTACTGTATATTGGGTGTGTGGATGTGTGGGGTAGAGGCTCGGGGGAACAGAAGACTTCTTTCCTTAATTCACAGGTTTTCAGATAGAGAGGAAGTGCATTTGAGGGATGCTGTCTATCTCTCTATAGGATCCCCAGTATGCTGTCCTTGGGACTTTGCACACGCTGTTCCCTCTGCCTGGAGTTGTCTTGCTTCGTTTCTCTGCCTGGTTAATTCCTGTTCACTCTCTAAGACTCAGGTCAAAAACTGCCTCCTGCATGAAGCCGCCTCAATTTCATTTCATCAGCTAAAGTTGGCGGCTATGTTCTCTGTCTTTCTGTCATACTTACCACCCTGAACTGAAACGGTTTACATACTTGTCTGTCTCCCACTGCCCAGTCAGTTCAAAAGTGTCTTATCACTTTTATTTATTTTTAAATTTTTGCTTATACAAACTCATTGAAAATGAATACAGGTACTCAATAAATACCTGATGGTAAACAAATGAATGTATACATTTTTATATAGATAGTACAAAAACCTTCAGAGGGGAGAGTGAATTAAGAAAATCTGGCCGGGCATGGTGGCTCAAGCCTGTAATCCCAGCACTTTGGGAGGCCGAGATGGGCGGATCATGAGGTCAGGAGATCGAGACCATCCTGGCTAACACTGTGAAACCCCGTCTCTACTAAAAATACAAAAAATTAGCTGGGCGTGGTGGCGGACGCCTGTAGTCCCAGCTACTCAGGAGCCTGAGGCAGGAGAATGGAGTGAATCTGGGAGGCGGAGCTTGCAGTGAGCCGAGATTGCACCACTGCACTTCAGCCTGGGCGACAGAGCGAGACTCCGTTTTTTTGTTTGTTTGTTTGTTTTTTGGTGTTTGGGAAATCCAGATGTATTTGTCTAGTGAAAAGAGAACACGGAAAAGAAACAGCTTCATTTCTTTCGAGGAGGACTGGGCACTTTTTTCTCCGTGATATATAATTAGTGACCTTAGCACTAAGTCTCTTCAGCATTTAAGGACATATTACAGAACATGCCGAGGAAACCAGTGATTTCTGAGAACCTGAACATCAAATTCCTAGAGACCATCTCAGACCTCACCTTTTCTGTTGAGAGAAATTCGCCTAGAAACCCATGATAAGCTCTATGAGACCACAGACTCTCTTCCTTTGTCACTGCTGGCACAGAGAATGCACTAAAAAAAAATGGTTGATTATTGGCATATGGTAAGGAGGAGAAAGGGAGGGGAGAAGAGTAGGGGATATTCTGGATTTTATAAGGGTATTTAATGAGTTTCTCTTTTAATTAACAGTGTGTTTATAGAGTGGGAGTAATATTGTGAGGAAGCTTTTATAGCACAAGGACAGCAGTCTGCAATGGCCGTGTCCCTCAGACCTTTCTACAGAAGGCCTCCTACATCTGGACATGACTCTGTTCTCCCCCAGTCCTTAGTAAGGATCACCCCTGAGATAGCATGAGACAGACGCCCGAGCCTCCTGCTGTCATGAAAAACTCCCATCTGAATGACAGCAAACGAGAGTCCAGACCTCCTGCTGTCATGAAAAACTCCCACCTGAATGCCAGCAAACCAGAGTCCTGATCTCCTGCTGTCATGAAAAACTCCCACCTGAATGTCAGCAAACCAGAGTCCTGAGGAGAGATGATTCACATTGGGCCCAAAAGAAGATTAATTGAAATGATTGATGTTTCTGTTCTTTTTCGGTTTCTCTTTGTGAGAATCTCATAGTCAGGCCTAAAATGATGACAAATGTGCACATTCCAGACTAAAAGATGTGTTTTGTTTTGTTTTGTTTTGTTTGGAGATAGGGCCTTGCTCTGTTGCCCAGGCTGGAGGGCAGTGGCACGATCACGGCTCACTGCAGCTCCAAACTCCTGGGCTCAAAAGATCTTCCCACTTCAGCCTCTGAGTATCTGGGGCTACAAGTGCAGACCACCACAACTGGCTAAGTTTTTGTTTTTTGCTATTTTTTAGAGATGGGGGTCTTGCTATGTTGCCCTGTCTGGTCTTGAATTCCTGGTTTCAAGAGATCCTCCTACCTCAGCCTTCTGAGTGGCTGGGATTACAGGCACGAGCTTGTAAAATGTGTTTTAAAAGGTTAAGTCTTCTTCTACCCAAAGCCCCCTTAAGCATTAAGTAGTACTAGAGTAGTTTTGTGAAAATCAGCAAAGGGTACTCTTTCCTTCAGGGGGACACAGTTCTGTGTCAGGGTGTGCGGCTTGGTGAGTAGAGTGCATACTGACCACCTCACTCACTTCCTAGGCTTCAAGTCCTGTGTAGAGAACAATCTACACCAGGGATGTCCAATCTTTTGGCTTCCCTGGGTCACAGAAGAAGAATTGTCTTGGGCCACACATAAAATACACTAATGATAGCTGATCGATAGCTGATGGGCCACATTCAAAGCTGTCCTGGGTTGCATGTGGCCTGTGGGCTGTGGGTTGAACAAGCTTGATTTACACAATTGTAGATAACAGTCCTTTTGTCCGGGGGTCTGGCATTTCACCATTTGGATCTCATTCCATATGATTGGATGGAAATATAATATTATTCCCTATTTCACCAAGTGCAAGCACTCCTGGTTATTGAGTACACATCCAGCTCCCACCAGGCATCAGCACATTGCTCTTTACCACATGACAGCTATCAGACATCAAGCAAAGAGGGAGACAGATGGAGGGGAGGCCTGGCAGAGTGGTGGCATGGCCCCACGAGGGCAGGCTGGCAGGTTTAGCTAGAGGGTGACAGGATGACACAGGGCAGATAAGGATGCTCAAAGTAGAGGGGAAGAGTAAACCTCACTTATTTGCCAGTTCTCCTCAGATCCAGCCTTAGGTATGGGGAAGGAAGCCCAGGCATCCAGCCTTCAGAGCATTAGGTTCACGGTGCCCATCCAATAAAGCACCTGACCTCTCAGGGGTATTTTTGCCTAACTGTCATGTTTCCTCCCCTGCCTGGGCCCTCAAGCTTCTGCACATGGGGTTTCTGGAACTCCCAGCCTGGTAGCAGGTGTCAAAGGGGAAGAGAGACGGAAAGGAGCAGAGGAAATATAAGAACAATGGCTGAAGACCAATAACCCAAATACTACTGAAAGGGTGCTCAGCTGGGAGCCTAACTTTGAAAATATTGCTGTGTTAGTCCATCTTCATAGTGCTATGAAGACCTACCTGAGACTGGGTAATTTATAAAGAAAAAGAAGTTAGTGGACTCACAGTTCCACATGGCTGGGGAGGCCTTACAATCCTGGCAGAAGGTGAAGGAGGAGCAAAGGCATGTCTTACATGGCAGCAGGCAAGAGAGCATGTGCAGGGGAACTGCCCCTTATAAGACCATCAGATCTTGTGAGACTTATTCACTTTCGCAAGAACAGCATGGGAAAAACCCACCCCCATGATTCAATTACCTCTTACTAGGTCCTTCCCATGACACATAGGGATTGTGGGAACTAAACTGCAATTCAAGATAAGATTTGAGTGGGGACACAGCCAAACCAAATCAGTTGTCTTCTTAAACTTGAGAGAACTATAATGTGTGAAAGTTGTGTGGGCTCCAGGTCAAAAGTTAAGCCACAATCCTGACTGGAGACATGGTATGGATTTAACCTGTGGTGGGAAGGGGGATACACCATATGTGGACTGGAGTGGTCATTTTGTTGTTGGGGTTATTTGTACGGTGGCCCTAGTATAGATGTCAAGGACACCCTCCACCCTGTGCTGACTCCCACCTAGTAGAACAGGGTCAAGGAAGGGGAAAGGATAAGGGATTTACTACTTGATAATATCTGAAAATGGACGTTCAGTGGTTTGTTCATAAGACATTTTCTGCTGCTGTCAAAAATATCTTAGTTATATTCTTTTTGCATTCTGCATATCAAATTGTCCTTGAGATCAAAATGGTCCTGACAAGATGGAAAGATGAGCATCCTGTACCTCTGATGATGGCCTCTCTTTCTGTTCCCGCAGCAAGACATAAGGGACTGGGACCTGCACATCTTTACTCTCCCACTCTTAAGCTTTGCCCTCACAAATTCTGCCCACCCTTGCGTCAACATCATTATCTTAGGATTTACTTATTATATACGTACACTAATTTTAAATACTTAATATATTTTAGCTCTGTGTTTAACATTTCTTGTCACCAGTGTGCATAAGCTATGCCCATAGATGCCTCAACAGGCCCCAGGCCCCAGGCAAAGGTCTTTTTTTTTTTTTTTTTTTTTTTACACGGAGTCTCACTCTGTTGCCCAGGCTGGAGTACAGTGGTGCAGTCTCGGCTCACTGCAAGCTCTGCCTCCCGGGTTCATGCCATTCTCCTGCCTCAGCCTCCCGAGTAGCTGGGACTACAGGCACCCGCCACCACGCCCGGCTAATTTTTTGTATTTTTAGTAGAGATGGGGTTTCACCATGTTAGCCAGGATGGTCTCAATCTCCTGACCTTGTGATCTGCCCGCCTCGGCCTCCCAAAGTGCTGGGATTACAGGCGTGAGACACTGCGCCCGGCCTTTTTTTTTTTTTTTTTTAACTTGAACAAGCTAAAAGAGTTAGATCAGCAGGAAAAAAACATTGAAGAAATGATAGTAACAGAGATACCAAAATAAACTAGACAAAGAGAAAGTTAAAAAAGACAAAAAGCCTGGTGAGGAAGAGTTTAGTTATTATTTTCCAGGAAGGCAATGAAAGGCACAGACTGCATATCCAAAACCCAGTGGACTGTATAAGACAATATCCTCCAGGGCCCAGTGAAGCGTAATAGCTCCGAGACAGCTACTGATAATTCAAATGACAAAAGCCATAGCATGAAATACAGGCCTTGGGCAGCAGCATCTAAAAATAGGAGGTCCTCAGGCATCTCGGGCAAGATGGCCACACTTCTGTTGGCGGTGGTCACTCCCCATCTACATTCCCATAACATGGGCACATGCGGGTACTACACCCACACTGCTACCTTGTGGAGTTCTGTTTCTTCCCCTGGGGCACTGGTTCTTACAAGGGGACATAGATTGCTCAGCAACTCTGTTACTAGCACTGTCCTCATTAATATTTGCATCTCTGGATGTATGCTGCTCCACGTAGGAACCACTGCACACGTGGCTGTCGAGCACTTGATAGGTGGTGAGTCCAAGTTAAGCTGCGCTGTGAGTGAAAAACACACAACAGATTTTGAAGATGCAGTATTAAAAAAATAAAACATCTCATTCATTTTTGTATTGATTACATGTCGAAATGATACAAATATTTAATTTCGCCCATTTCTCTTTAATGGCTTTCATGTGTCCACTAGAAACTTTAAAGTTACATAGGTGGCTGGCATCTATTTCTATTGAACAAAGGTGGTCTAGAATTTGGTACAGTACCTAGCTCATCGTAGATGCTCATAGTGTGACTGGAAATGAAATGAAATGCAATGTACCACAATTAGTGTCTAGGAGTTGTCATTGATAACATTTTCTTCAGATAATATTTCTTTTTTTTTTTTTTTTTTTTTTTTTTTGAGACGGAGTCTCGCCCTGTTGCCCAGGCTGGAGTGCAGTGGCGCGATCTCGGCTCACTGCAAGCTCAGCCTCCCGGGTTCACGCCATTCCCCGGGTTCACGCCATTCCCCGGCCTCAGCCTCCGAGTAGCTGGGACTACAGCCACCTGCCACCACGCCCGGCTAATTTTTTTTTTTTTTTTTTTTTTTTTTTTTGTATTTTTAGTAGAGACGGGGTTTCACCGTGTTAGCCAGGACGGTCTCAATCTCCTGACCTCGTGATCCGCCTGCCTTGGCCTCCCAAAGTGCTGGGATTACAGGCGTGAGCCACCGCGCCCGGCCTTCTTCAGGTAATATTTCCTTCTCTTAGTGGCGATTTTTTTGTTCTCCCTTTCAAACATTCGTAGTTGCTTAACATAAAAGATCAAGATAGTAAACCAAAGGGCACTTCCAGATACTATTTCTGTAAATAAAAAATCTCTGTGTCCCTCTGTGTTATCCCCTTCTCCAGGATGTAGCAGTCTCTTGAGCACAGTGAGATGGCTCACCATACGGGGAGAAGCGGCAAGCTATCAACTTTGGATCTTTTCTGGAGACACTGAAATTGGTTCCAAATTCTAAATTGTCTAAACTCTAAATTCTTTTCGAGGTCATACAATGGATTCAAAGTCTATATCCATAAGAAATACTGCATCAATCAGAGCACATAACTAAAAATTATGTGTTAAATGTGGTTAAATTAAATAAAGCTTTGAGCTTGAATTAGGAATGTGGGGGAAAATGGAGATTTGGAGAAGAATTTCAGGCTTTTGTTTGCTGAATCACTAGGGAGAAGCAACGTCACATACGTTACATTTCAGGTTTTCAGAAAACTGTGACGACTATTGGAATCAGAGAGCAAAGTTGGAAGTTAAACACAGTGATAACTTCATATTCATTTTCTAGTTCTCTTACCCACATTTTCCACATATAACTTTTATCCAACACATTCCCTGTGTGGGAGAGAGTGAGCCCCATCACGTTGATCCCTGGACCAGGTGGGACTGGGCTAGTGGGGAAGGAGATGGGGGAAGGGGTCTGGGGAGGAGTGGGTGTAGACAGGCGCCAGGAGAAGACTGTGGTTTTAGGGTATTTGTTTGTTTGTTTAATTAGTTGTTAGACTGGATTTAGTTTCTCTCCCCAGAAAAGATACAGATTTGAGATGAATTTTAGATGTTTTTAGAACAGAAATTCTACTCAGTTGAATTTCTGTTTTTGCCATAGCCATGCAATCGAGCTGGAGGAAATGAAAGCACAAGTAACTCCCACCAGAATGAAAACCTTTTTGTTTCTTCCATGTCACAGAGCCTTCATTCTGTTTCTGAGGAAGAAATAGTATCCTGAAGGATTCCAGAAAAGTTGGACAATTAGACAAATATTTTTGCTCACACAGCATGCCATTTGGTACCAAAATTACATCCTCTTTGTAAAAAAAGGAACAAAAAACGTAACCCTTCTCCTGAGATAGAATTATAATTGATAGAAAGATAGAACTGAGTTGTTATAACTGTAAAGCATTTACACATATTAGAGCTTTTTCCATCGTATTTTTACTTTGCTCGAAAGATAACGGGCCGGGTGTGGTGGCTCATGCCTGTAATCCCAGCACTTTGGGAGGCCGAGGCAGGTGGATCACGAGGTCAGGAGTTCGAGACCATCCTGCCTAACACAGTGAAACCCCGTCTCTACTAAAAATACAAAAAAATTAGCCGGGCGTGGTGGCGGGCTCCTGTAGTCCCAGCTACTCGGGAGGCTGAGGCAGGAGAATGGTGTGAACCCGGGAGACGGAGCTTGCAGTGAGCCAAGATTGCGCCACTGCACTCCAGCCTGGGCGAAAGAGCAAGACTCCCGTCTCAAAAAAAAAAAAAAAAGAAAGATAACAACTCGTGCTAACATCCTCCTCCACTCTTTTTTGAAGAATGCCATGAAATTGAGGAAGGAAATGAGACTGTCTCATGTTGCCTTAAGAGTTGTAAAAACCACACTTTTACAAAAGGTGTATTGGAGTATGTCAATTGTCTTCTGCACAGAGTTAGCTTAATGGTAGTTATATAAGGCAAACTTCAGGATAAAAATTTGTCCGCTGCCTTCTCTTTATTTCTAAGTGCAGTGGATAAATATAGCACATTCATGTTGCCCAAAGCAGACACTTAGATAAACAGCAATTGTTATGGACATAACAATATGGCAATAAACCACATGTACTATATGCTTACTTTATCTTGCACATCATATGAATCATTCATTCATTTACTCAGTACGTGTGTACTGAGTGCATACTTTGTGCCAGGCCCTTTGCTAACTTCCAAGAATATGAATATGGAAAAGACAGTGTCTGTCTTCAGGAAGCTCTCAGCCTACCTGGAGGAGATTATAAGTACTAAAATTCACAATTCGATGACATTAAGTAGTATATAGAAATAGAATATAGAGGAATACAGAGAGCACTACATAAAGGTATGTAACAATACCAGCTGCACAGAGAAGGAAGAAGTAACTTAATCTGTGGGATCTGGAGCCAACTTCCCAGTTGAAATGAGTTTTCATGAAGGTCTTGAAGATGAAAGGTGTGGCAGGAGGGCTGTTCTGGATATGAACGTGCCCCAAAGAATAAAAGCACGTGCTGTGTTCAGGAAACAGGAGGCAATTTGATGTGAGTGAAGTGCGGGGTGCCTAGCAGTGGGAGTGGGAAGCGGATCTGAATTGTGAAAGATCTTGCATGCCAGCTTAAGCTTATATTTAATTTTTAGATAAAATTATATGAAATGGACCTCCGGTCAAACGGGCTCCCCTTAATTTCACACTTCTTCACATTCCCTGTGTTCTAAGTAAAAGACCATGAAAGACAAAGTATAGACAAGGAAAAAACAAACCTAATAAAATATACCCAAACATGGCCGGGCGCGGTGGTTCACGCCTATAGTCCCAGCACTTTGGGAGGCCAAGGTGGGTGGATCATGAAGTCAGGAGTTCAAGACCAGCCTGACCAGTATGGTGAAACCCTGTCTCTACTAAAAATACAAAACTTAGCAGGGCGCAGTGGCTCACGCCTGCAGTCCCAGCACTTTGGGAGGCCGAGGCGGGGGGATCATGAGGTCAGGAGATCGAGACCATCCTGGCTAACACGGTGAAACCCCGTCTCTACTAAAAATACAAAAATTAGCTGGACGTGGTGGCGGGTGCCTGTAGTCTCAGCTACTCGGGAGTCTGAGGCAGAAGAATCACGTGAACCTGGGCAGCAGAGGTTGCAGTGAGCCGAGATCGCGCCACTGCCCTCAAGCCTGGGTGACAGAGTGATACTCTGTCTAAAATAATAATAATAATAATAATAAAAATACCCAAACTTGAAACCAAGAAGAAAGCATCTTTATGGATGACTGCAAGCATGAGGGGGGTAAAGCCGTGGGCTTGCAGGGCTCTGGACCCCAAACCAGGCAGCGATGGGAAGGAGTGTGGCTTGGATAGGATAATAGAAACTAAGTGTCTACTCAAGAAACGATAGAACCAGGCTAACTGCTGAAAGCCAGGCGTTCTCAGAAGCTGTGGAACTACAGCGATCCAAGACCCGGCCTTCTAAACAGGAACTGATTAGAAATTTAAAGCTGATATGAAGCCAGCTGATTCAAAGCCAGCTCTGTGACTGGCTCTGTAATATTCTCAATATCACTGTGGGCCAGGAGCCCCAGAAAACTATCTTGAGACTCAGCTGTGGACCAAGAGTACAGCGTGCTGGGTGAAAGCATCTGCAAAACTTCTCAACTGGGTACAAGAAAAAGCAGAACAAGTGAAACAAAACAAAATGCCTTCCATTCAAAATAAGCCTGCAGACTTTCCAAAATATATGTAGAAAATAAGCGCTAAGAAAAACAGTCAAGAAAGTCAATAGTTCACTCCAGTTGAGAATAATTTTATGAAACAGTATGTCAAGGACTTAAACGGTAAATTGAACAGTAAGACTTGAACAGTAACACTTAAGGTGACTAAAGACGTGGAAAAGGAATTAGATGCCTTAAAAGTGAACAAATATTGGGAAACAAAACAGGGAGAAATGGAACAACACAGTATATCAATTACCTTCGGCTGCATCACAAACCACCCCCACAACTTAGTCACTTAAAAAACCAACCTGCATTATTTCTTATGATTCTGTGAGTTTTCTGGACAGTTCTTCTGATGCAAGCTGGCTTGGCTGGAGCTCAGTGGTCTAGGATGGCCACACTTGCACGTCTGGGGACTTAGCTCAGATCATTCAGACAGCTAGGGTCTTTCTTTTTGTGATTCTTTAGGAGGCTAACCTAGGCTTGCTTCCGTGTGATAGCAGGGTTTCCTGCAGCCAAAAAAGGGCAAACTCCAATGCACAAGAACTTCTCAAGCCTCTGTTGAATTATATATTTGCCAATGGCCACTGCTCAAAACAAGTCACATAGACAAGACCAGATTTGAGGCTGCAGAGGTATACCCCACTTATTGATAGTCAGAGTGTCAAAGTCACATTGCAAAGGGGCATATATGAAGGGATGGGGCAAATTTGGGGCAAACCACCACATGTAGACAGGGAAAGCAATCAACTGAAAATTTTTGAACTTAAAAATATATTCTGGAAATAAGAAAGCCAATATTTACGATAATCTCTAGACTAGGCACAGTTTAAGAGATAATTGGTAAATTGAGAGTACTGACAAATTTACCCAGATCTAGTACAAAGAGACAAAGAAATATAAAATTCAAAAGAGCAGAATAGTTATGAGCCCTGCAGGACAGACTGAGAGACTCCAACACATCTCTAATTTGAGTACCAGAGAAAGGAAAAGAGACTGGAAGAAATGAGAGAAGTCATTATTTGAAAAGATTGTAGCTTAGAATTTTCCAGAGTTAGAGAAAAATATGAGAACTCAGATCAAAAGTGCACTTTGATGCAGGTCCACATCACAATGAAACTGCAGAGCATCATTAATAAAAGGAAAAGCTGCCAGTGGGGAAAAATAGATTACTTAAAAAAGATTAACACTTAGACTGAAGTTACATCTTACATTTTTCTATGAAAAATTTAAGGTGTAATAGAATAGAAACCAAGAAGGTAATTGAACCCGAGAAGATAATGAAGCCATACCTACAAACTGCTGAGGGAAATTTCTATCTAGCTAATTCTCATTCAGCAATGAGGGATGGGCCAGGTGCTGTGGCTCTCACCTGTAATCCTAGCACTTTGGGAGGCCGAGGCGGGTGGATCACGAGGTCAGGAGTTCAAGACCAGCCTGGTCAAGATGGTGAAACCCCATTTCTACTAAAAATACAAAAATTAGGCAGGCTTGGTGGCGGGCACCTGTAATCCCAGCTACTTGGGAGGCTGAGGCAGAGAATTGCCTAAAGCCAGGAGGCGGAGGCTGCAGTGAGCTGAGATTGTGCCACTGCACTCCAGCCTGCGTGACAGAGCCAGACTCCATAAAAAAAAAAAAAAGGAATGAGGTGTGAAGTTAAAATTAAAGAAAATAGTAATAAAACAGAGGAGGGAAGACTTTAACAGATACAGAATATGTATGACCACCAAGAAGAGAATAACATTACCAAAAAAGTTTAGATTTGTTCATACAAATAAGTGTATAACTGTTAAATATTTAAAGATAGGGATAATCTTTTTTTTTTTTTTTTTGAGGTGGAGTCTCGCTCTGTCACCCAGGCTGGAGTGCAGTAGTGCAATCTCAGCTCACTGCAAGCTCCACCTCCCGGGTTCACACCATTCTCCTGCCTCAGCCTCCCGAGTAGCTGGGACTACAGGTGCCCACCACAACGCCCGGCCAATTTTTTGTATTTTTAGTAGAGACGGGGTTTCACCGTGGTCTCGATCTCCTGACCTCATGATCTGCCCGCCTTGGCCTCCCAAAGTGCTGGGATTATAGGCGTGAGCCACCGCGCCCGGCCCTAATATAGGGATAATCATTTAATGAGTAGAAGTGCACAATATAGATTTCAATCCAGGCAGAGAAAAACGTAATTATAAAAACTTTATCACTCCAAAAGCGCAGAGGAAAACAGGGAGAAAAAAGTAGCAAAGAAAAACATAATAAACAGAAAAAATAAAAGAAGATAATGTAGTCAGTCCTCCATATCCACAGCTTCCACATCTTTGGATTCAACCAACGTGAGATTAAACATTTTTTTTAGTTAAAAAGAAGAATACAGCAATAAAAATAACACAAATTTAAAACATACAGTATAGTAAATCTTTACATAGCATTTACATTGTATTAGGTATTATGAGTAATCTGGAGATGGTTTAAAGTATACAGGAGGATGTGCATGGATTACATGCAAACACTATGCCATTTTATATAAGGAACTTGAGCATCTGTGGATTCTGGCACCCACAGGGAGTCCTGGAACCAATCCCCTGTGGATACCAAGGAATGACTGTAATAACTCACAATACTTGCCAGTGGATTAAAGCCAACCACTAAAAGCAGAGATTATGAAAATGAATGAAAGAGAAAGACCCAACAATATGCAATTGAGAAGAAAGACACACAAAACAATATCAGTCTGAAGGTTTGAAATTGAAGGGTGAGAAAAAAAAGATCATGTAAATTCCAAATGAATGTTGAGCAGCAAGATTAATATATGACAAGATAAAATTTGTTGCAAAAAGAACAAATAGAGAAAAAGATAGATACTATACAATAATAAAATGAATCATTCTCCAAGATGATGTAGCAATCATGACCTTGCATGCACCTAACAACATAGTTTTAAGTTATATAAAAGGCCAAAACAGATCATTTTATACACATAGTAGATTTTTAATATTCTTCTAACAGCAAATGAGAAATCTAACAAAAAAAACTCTGTAAGAATATTCGAAGAAAATATCTATAAATTTATCTGTTTTATATAGAACTCTGTACCCAATAAAAATTATAAATTTTTCTTCTTAGAAAATTTACAAAATTGGCCATATTGTGAAGACTTTAGCAATTTTCAAAGAATTTATATTATGCATATTTGTATCAATATGCAATTAAATTAGACATCTGCAAGCAAAGAGGAGAGGTGTTTTTTTGTTTCTGTTTTTGTTTTGAGACAGTCTCACTCTGTCACCCAGGCAGGATTACAGTTCACTGCAATCTCTGCCTCCTGGGTTCAAGTGATTCTTGTGCCTCAGCCTCCCAAGTAGCTGGGATTACAGGCATGTGCCACAGTGCCTGGCTGAGAGTTTTTTTTTAAAGAAGTTAAAAAAAAATAAAAAAACTGCATGTTTGGAAATTTAAAAATATCTTTCTAGTTAACTTTTAGATTCAACAGGAAATAATAATGAAAAGTTGAAAATATTCTAAACGAAGTGAAAATAAAATAATCACAAAAAATGTGTGATGCAGTAAGGTAGTATTAAAAGATGTGATTAGAACCTAAAATTTATCTGTAAAATAAAAGAAAGATAAAAAGGAAATGAGTTTGCAGTCAATTCAAGAAGGGAGAAAATAAACAAACAAACCAGAAGGTGCCACAAAGGGTAGAAAAAAGGAAATAATAAAGGTAAAGTAAAAATCAATAAATTAAGAAAAAATTACAAAAAGTTCATATAGTTAAAATTTGAGTTTTTGAATGAAAGAAAAATTTCTAGTGAGGCAAATCAAGGAAAATGACACAAATAAATAAAATATTAAGAACAAAAAAGGGAACAGAAACAAAACACATTAGAATAGAGATTAAACAAACCATAAGAGAAAATGGAAAAATTTATGCAAATAAATTTGAAAATTCAGAATAAAAGATTAAGGTTTCTTTTGCAAGGATACAGGAAGAATAGATACTGGGATGAAATTAGCAATCTTGGCCACACCTTCTAGTCCTACTTTATTGAGTTTTTTAAAATCATAATTTGATAAATTATAAATTGAATGTGCTTTCTTTATCTTTCGAGGAAAGTGTATGTTTTCCCACCTGAAGGTGGGAAACGATTAGGATGGTGGAACAACATGGTAATAGGATTCTGGATCTCTGAGACTGCAGCACACTAATTGTGTCCTGAACTGAATACCTCTGGATATCTTGGGCATGAAAAATAAGTTTCCATCTTGTATAATCTACTGCTATTCAGTCTTTTTATGTTGCCTGCAACCAAGCCTAATCCTAACTGATACACAAACACTTTAACAGAGACTATTTATAAAAATATATTACAAAACCACTCATAATGTCAAAGTACTATGAATGGTGCCCCCTAGAGTTGTGCTATGGAAAGGTCCTGAAAGCTGAAACTTGATAATTATTCCTATCAGAGTCAGGAGGAAACAGCTGCTTACCATATCTACTCCTTTTCAATATTGTATCTGAAGTATAAGTTAATGTAATAAGGCAAGAAAAATACATAATATAAGAATTTAAAAGCAGAAAGAAAGCTGTTCTTATTTTCAGATGATATAATAGTCCGTAGGACACTTTATAAACTATTAGAATTAATGAGTGATCACTAAGCTGGATATAAGACCAACAAACAAATCAATAGCCTACTTAATCACCAGTAATAGACAATTAGAAATGTAATCTTCAAAAATGTCATATTTGCAAAAATGTGTAGGATGCCTGTGAAGAAAATAATAAAATTTTATTGAAGGAAATAGAACAAGACATGGTATATTAATTAAGGTGTTTTTACATGCAAGTAACATATATCCAACAGGAAGTGTCTTGAAGTAATATTTATTACTTCACATTACATGAAGCCCAGCATGGGCAGGTTCAGGGTTGCTTAATCCTGCAACTCAAGGATGTCATCAAACACTCAGGATCTTTCCATCTTTCTGCTGAAGCATCTCCAACAAGGCTTTTATCTCAGGTTTGTCCTCTCCCAGTTTCAGGATTGATGTCATAGTTAGAGTCTATGTGTAAAGACCTCTTCACATGACTCTATTCCAGAGGAAGTAAAAGAAGTATCTCTTTGCACATCTATTTTTTTGTTATCAAACTTTTCCCATAAACCTTTATCTCATGTCCCCCAGGATTGAGTCATGAGGCCATGCCTATGGAAGAATAGGAAAATCTCTCATATTTTCAGTCTCTAATATGGGAAGCATTCTCTGTAGATAAGAAAGGAAGTGGAGTGGGCTAGTACTGATGAGTAGGCAACCAAGAGGTCCTGCCACATCCAAATAAATGGATGGGACGACTCAATATCATTAGGTTGTCAGCTGTCCTTCAATTTTAATATATTAATCAAGTGTAATTACAATCAAAATCAAAATACTTTTTTTATGGAACTGGAAATGCTCATATTAAAATTAATGTAACAGAACAAAGGTTCAAAAACAATTTTGGAGGAAAAGAAGTGGAGGCAGCTGTCCGACTAGAGAGCAAAACATTTTATAAAGCCATGATAATTAGATGGCATGACTGTGGCACAGAAGCCACAAACTAACAGAAGACGAAAGAGAGTCCAGACACAAGCCCATACATATATGGAAATCTGAGATATGAGAGATGGCATGTTTTCACTTTTGAGATTGTGGTTCCACAAACAACAACAAAATTCATGGCTTCTTTGATGAAAATGAAAGTCTCACGCACCCTCAAAATAATGTGCTCTCCTAAAAGTGTCGAGAATTATAGTATTGCCTATATATAGCTCTGGTAAGCAAAACAAACGTATTCATGAACAAATTGCTTTGATTTTTCTTTTCAAATAATTATTGTATTGCTTCTATATGCTATAAGTCGTACTTCACTTCCTCCCAAGATTCTGAAATGTGCACCACTCTTGGATCCGCAGTCCCTCCCAAATGGGTTGGCATCTCTGTGCCAAGCAACAAGAAGCCTAAGAGGAACTCAAAACAGGGGGCTGGCATGATCGGATGTGCATTTTAGAAAGATCACTGGGCGGTGGGAGGATGGGATACAAAAGAAAAATAACATGCCCTTAAACCCTTGTCCTAAAGTGTTTAAATTGTAGCCGAAGAGACACCAAATACAGAGTGTAAAGGACAAAGAACCTTCACAGCCCATCAAAGAGTGCACTAGGAACTCACACAGAGAACAGCAGCATTGCATCCTGGGAAGTGGCAAGGAACTAGAGGTGGATGGCTGGGTTTTGTCACTCCAGCACTTTGGGCCTCAATTTTCTCAACTTTAATAGTGGGATGATGTCAATATCTACTTCCCAAAGCTGTTACAAGAATTAAACTATAAGTTCTATCTGCAAAGTGCTTTGCTGACTGTAAAAAACTACCTAGATATGAGCCAAGGCCAAGTACACAGACGTGTGTTCTAGTTCTGAGCTACAGTGCTTACTCTAGCAGTGAGATTAATGTCATTGACTTCTTTGCTCCTTACCTGACTTGGATTTCTACATGTGAGCAAGGTCAAAGGAAGGCAGTTTGATAACTCAGAAAGAATCACCAAATCTTCTGATTGGAAGGCATCTTTGAGGTTATTATTTCAGTCTCCCACTCCATGTAGGAATCCTCTCTACAAGTTCCTGACCCAGGTGGTTGTCTTATCTCCGCTTGCACCTTGCTGTCATGGAGATGTTACTCCCTCACAAAGCAGCTCAGCCTGTCTGTGGACAGTGGGCATTGTTAGAAATAGAGCTGAAATCAGACTCCCTTCAGCCTCTGTCCACTTGTCTTAGTTCAGCCCTCTGGAACAACACAAAACTAATTCACTCCCTTTCTCATTTGACAGCTTTTCAAGGGTTTGAAGACAGCTATCAGAGTTGTCTATGTGTGCCCTTCTCTGGAATAAACGTTCCCGGTTTTCTGAACTGCCCCTCTCAGGTCGTGGTTTCTAAGATGCTTCACTAGTCCAGTTATCCTCCCTGGACTGATCACTGCTTTGTCAGTATCCCCTTTTAAAATCTAGTGCCACCTTCCTGCCACCACATCTAAGTGGAAACAGCCTAAATGTCCAAGAGCAAGTCAATTCAAACAAATTATGGCATATCTACACAATAGTATGTTGTATAACTATTAAAACTGGGTTTCAAAGAATATGTAAGTTGAGGAAATAATTCAGGACATAATGTTAGTTTTTTAATGTAGAATATAAACACTACCTAACCCACATTTTTAGTACTTCCATGTGCCTCATGGAACACAAGTCTCCAGAAGAGACTTGAAGGACATATACCAAAATGATAACAGTAGTGATCTCCAAATGATGAGAGCTAATTTTCGTTTTCTTCTTCATACATTTCTGTACTTCTAAGTTTTCTACTATGAATATATTTTGCTTTCGTGATTTACAAAATACAAAGACCACAAAGTTGAATGTGAAGAAGAAACATGGTACCAGGAATAAGCCCTCATGCTCTGAGGCAGATGGGCCAATGGCACCCTCATCACCCTTGCTCTGCCTGTTACAATTCCCCTTATGCTACCTGGCAAACACTAGTTGTTTTGTAGCCATGTCAGAATTTTTTGGCTCATGTTGGGCTTTTTGTTAACTACAATCTTCAAGACTTTTTCCCATTAACTATTGTCAATAATTTGAATAACTGAGTTTTTTTTTTTTTAATCAATATGAAGAACTTGCATTTTCTCCATTAAATTCCATCATGCTTATTTTGGCTCCTTGTTCAGGCAAACCACCATATCCTGTTTCTGTCATGCGGCATATTACTTAGACTTCTTCATTTTGTGTCAACTCATATTTATATGTTGGCATCTCTTTCATGTCATTGAAAGGATTTTCACAGAACCGGGCACCAAACAAGGACTAGCGGCATCTTGTGCTACACCTCTCTCTGAGTTGACTTGGCCCCGCCTGTCCAGTGCTTTTTGGATACAATGGTTTGCCTAGCTGTGCCTTCACCAAGCCATAGATCACCCAGGCCCTATCCATTCATTGTACCATAAAATGTGTTGTCGGAAGCCCTGTTGAAAGATTCACTACCTCTGGGACAATCTTGAGAGTTTTGGTAATCTTTCAAAAAAGAAAAAAATGTGAAGTGATGTTAGTATGACATGGTTTGTTCTACATAACCTGTGCTGGCTTCTTGAGATTACCACTTCCTTTTCAAAGCGATTGTAATCTAACTCCTTAATAATGCAGCTTACAGTTTGCTGGGGATCAAAGTTAAACTCAACAGTGCAAAGTTCCCCAAACCTACATATTTCCCCTTTTGACAACTCGGACAGTTGCCCATCACTAATCTTCTGGCATCACTCCTGAGATTCCTGAAAGATTACTGACAATCATTCTATGATTAAATCTACAAATTCTTTCAGTCCCCAGGGATGGAATTTGTCAGGGCCTGGAGATCTAAGCTTATTTAGAGAGCCCAGGTATTCATTTTCTAAAGAGCTTCATAACTAGGGCTGCAATTGCTTCTTTGCAGTGTTTATATTGTTCTTTCCAGTTTGAAGATCATTCTGAGAGATAGAGATGATGGAAGCTAAGTAGGAGTTGCATAATTCTGCTTTGTATCTGTCATCTGCTAGCATTACACCATCTGCCCCAAGCACAGGATCTGGCCCTTCCCTATTCTTCCTGCTCAGAATATACTTGCACAAAGCTCTTTTTGCTGTTCCTGAGCATTTTTTGCAAGTCTCAGCTCATTCTGAGCCCCAGCCTTGCTAACACTATGGCTACAAGCCTGTGACACTCTTTGCTTTTCTTCTCCGGTGATGTGCCCTGCTTAGTGCTTTTGTAAAGGCTCTTTGAAAACCTGAGAGTGCTGGAGGGCTTCCCCTGCTGGCTCGGGGTCTTCCCTTTGCTTCCTAGTCAGGATCACTGGAGACTGTATTGCCAGAATTTAATTTTGGAAAGAATGTTGCTTTAATGCTTCTTCTGTCCTCTCATTCTTTGAAAACAAAACAACAAAACAAAACAAAATAGTACAACAACAACAACCACCACAAAAATCACAGCTGCAAATGAGGTCTGATTAGAAACCAGTACAGTGTATTTAGGCTCATCATGGTAAAAAAAAATCTGACAAATGATAAAAAGCGTTGCTTAGTTTGCTTTAAATAAGAATGTGGAGGAACTGTTTTTTCTAGTTCATTGTGCAATGAGAAAAAAGGGAGGGAGCAGAGATCCAAAAAACAAGGACAATTAATATTGAGTAGCAACTACGTTCTTTCATTTAATCTTCATGTCAGTCCTGGAAGCACTGTCCTGATTTAGAGATGGAGAAAAATGAAGCTTAAGTTAAGTGACTTAGAGTAACTTTGTAAACCAGTGGGTAGAACCAAGGGTCAAACTCAGGCAGTGTGATTGGACTGCTCATGTGCTTTTTCCTACATTACGGGTATAGGTAAGCAGCTCACAAAACCATTCCACCCAAAGATGTGTTTTTTGGACCCTATGGCATTTAAAAAAATGTTTAGATTTATTGCCGACATTTATAACTTAGGAGATTTTACGTTCACTTCTAGAATCCTAGCTACTTTTGAGAACCTCTGGCCCTACATTTCCCCCATGGAAACCATTGGCCAAGTGGAGTAGTGGCGATCTGCCCTCTCCAGGTTGCCCCAATCCCCACCTTCCCCCTCATTTATATTCCCCGCTTGGTCCTGTTAGATGTTTGAGTTTGCACTGCCTTAGGCTATGCTGATACTCCATTGTTTTTCCTGGTTTCTGAGAGAAAGCCTTCTGCCATATGGAAAAGAAGGGAGCAAAGGTTATGAAAATCAAAGATATGTCTCTTGCACTCAATTCGGCCTTATTATTCCCCTGGAAAGGGCCTCCCAGAATCTTAAGAGGTTCCGAAAAAGAGTGTGCTTGTTTCACTCAGCTTGTCCCAGGATCCTCCATTCCCAATAATGGACTCCCTTTTGCACTGTGTTTCTTAAACCACAGAGTCTAACAAGAACATCATTCAACTTTTTAAAGCCTGTATGTATGGGCAAGAGAGCCTGTTCATATGACCTTCTAAATAGGACTCTTGGGCACGATCAGAATGTCTGGCTAAGCCTGCCTTCGTGGTTAGACACCACTAACAGACCATTGAAAATATGCACGTCGTAGATCATAGAGTGGACAGAACCTAGGCTGAGGATCAGGAAATCTGTTTTTTCATCTTGGTTCTGGTGTTAGAGGGATACCCAGTGCATAGAACATCACAGAAACACAGACCTCAAGGGGTAAGTCCAGAATGGGGGCTGGTAGTTAGAATGAAGACTATAGAGGGAATCTGAATATCATTTTGAAGGGAGAGATCCATCCATTCATTCAGTCACTCTGTGAATATGTATTTATTATGCACACACTACATGTCGGACACAGTTTAGGCAATGAGAATTCAGAATTGAACCAGACAGACAAAAATCCCTGCCATCATGGAACTTACATTTCAGTAAGGAGAGATAGACAAGTGAAAAAACCAAGTAAGTAAATATCTTTGGTCAACTGGTAATAAGACTGTGGGAAAAATCAAGCAGGGTAACTGATGGTTATGAAACTTTGAGGCTGGGAGAGGGGGGTATTTAAAGAAGGTAATCAAGGCCTCTTCACAGGGAAAGTGAAATTTCAATTCAGGCCTGAAGGAAGTAAGAAAGCAAGCCATGGGGATTTTTTGAAGAAAAGCATTCCAGGTGAAGGGAAGAACAAGTGCATAGACCCCGAGGTGGACTGTGCCCGGCATGTTTTAGGGCGAGCAGAGGCCAGGATGGCTGGAGCAGAGTATGCAAAAGAGACAGCCATTAGACATGGAGTCTGACAGGTGACAAGCGCCCATACTGTGGAGGGACTTGCAGGACATCGTGTTGAATACTGATTTTTGCTCTTATTATCCTGGGAGGCAGGGAAGTGACATGATCAAGCTTATAGTTGAACAGGATAACACTGAGAATTCTGTTGAGAATAGTATGTAGGCAGCTAGGGCAGAAGCGGGAGAGCAGTTAGGGGGCTGTCACATAGTGGCTGGGCTAGGGAGTAGCCTTGGAAACAGCAGAACATGGTTCTATTCTGCACATAATTTGAAGGTAAAGTGAACAGGATTTGCAGAGGCATCAAAAGAGAGAGAGCACATGTGAGAGGAAGCTCTAAGGGTTTAAGCTTGAGCAACCAGACCCATGGCCATTAACCGAGCTGGGAAAGGCTGTGGAAGGAGCAGGTTTGGCATCCAGACCAGGAGTTCTGTTTTTTGATACATTCGGATACCGATTAAACATTCAAATAGAGATTGTGAATAGGCAATTGGGCATGTGCATGTGTAATTATAAACATGGGCATCAAAACCATATTGATTATGTTTAAAACTCATAGACCGAATGAGATCACCAAAGAAGAGAGTAGAATTAGAAAAAAGAAGAGATCGGAGTACTGGGCTCTGGGCATTCTAACATTACAAGGTGGGGACCTGAGATGGAATCAGCAAGGAAACTGGAAAGGAGTATCCAGGAAAGCTGGAGGAAAACCTGGGGGGGAAGTCTTCTCAGAGGCCAAGTGAGGAAAATGTATTCCAGAAGAATGGAGAGATCAACTGTGCCATGTGTTACCTGAGGTGTCCAGGATGATGAGGACTTAGAAATGACCATAGGATGTCATGGTGAAGAGATGATTGGTGACCTTGATAAGAACAGTTTTGGCGCTGGTGGTTTGTGCATCGGAGAGAGAGTAGGAGGGCCTGGGTGCTGTGAAGTCCTAATTAGAATGACTCCAACAGAGGATGTGGGAGAAGAGAGGTCTGACATGGTGAGCAAGAACAACTATTTAGAGGAGTTTTGCTGTGTAGAGAAGGAGAGAAACGGGAGGAAGTGGGGTTAAGAGCGGTGTCCTGTGTGTGTGTGCGTGCGTGCATGTGTAAGATGGGAGCAGGTCTGAAGGCTCATGGGATTCATCCCGTATAGAGAGGAGAGCTGATGATTCAGAAGAGAGGGGAGAATGCTAGGATAGTGGTGGGATCTGGGGCGCACATGGACAGGGTGGTCTTTGTCAGGAAGAGAGCTACCTCATCCATGGTAATGGTATAAAAGCGAGACACAGAGTGACTGGTAAGTCGATTGACAGAAGCCGATAGCAATAGCTGGTCTCCTCAACAAGCCAAAAATGGGGTGTGGCAGGATAGAACTCAAAGGGCCAGGTCCAAAGGCTCATGGAGCTTTTGGTTGGTAAGGAGTGTATTTATCCCTCCTTGTAACTGAATCCGAAAGACATCAAGTGGAGGAATGCTTTAAACCATGAGACAGGGCCAGGTGCAGTGGCTCACACCTATAATCCCAGCATTCTGGGAGGCGGAGGTGGGAGGATAGCTTGAGCTTAGGAATTCGAGACCATCCTGGGCAACATCTTGAGACTCCATCTCTACAAAATATTAAAAAAATTAGCCAGGTATGGTGGCACATGCCTGTGGTACCAGCTACTTGGGAGGCTGAGATGGGAGGATCGCCTGACCCTGGGAGATCCAAACTGTAGTGAGCTATGATTGAGCCACTGTACTCCAGCCTGGGGGCAGAGTAAGACCTTGTCTCAAAAATAAATAAATAAATAAATAAATAAATAAACAAACCATGAGACAGAGTACACCTGAGAGTCACAGTTAGGAGCAAAGACTGGGAGTTGCCATCAGGGCTGAAGGCTAAAATCATGAGACTGGATGAGCCTATTGAGAATGAGGAGAGCGCAGGCCAAGGAGTGAGACTTGCAGGACACCGACACTCAGGGACTTAGGGAGCAGTGAGAGAGAGAAAGAGAGAGAGAGAGAGAGAGAGAGAGAGGGAGAGAGAGAGAGAGAGTGAGAGAGAGTGAGAGTATGTGTCAGGGTGGAGCAGGAAGCAGCAAAGGCAGAAATAGGGCATTGCTTTGCTAGTTCATAGCCTACTTTCTTCCCTAAAGAAGGGAATACAACTGAGCATGCAAGAGAGGACCAGATGTAGACAATTTCCTGAAGGAAGGAGACATCAGCTGGGCCACCTGCTTCAGGGAGGCCTGGGAAGAGGGGAGGCTTGGAAATATCACCAGATTTGGGAAGAAGGTCACTGGCTATTGAGGGAGCAGGTACAGAAGAGGAGTTTGGGCAGATGCCCAATTGCAGGGGCTTAAGATGTGATTAAAGGAAATGGAGACAGGAGGAGGGTGTGAGGCCATACCCATTGAAATAGTGCTCCTATGGAATGAAAGAAAAACATACGGAGGCTCTAAGGACCAAGCACACAATCTTACGGGAGTTCTAGCATGACATCAGAAGGACTCATGGAGTGGACGAGATCACGGAGAGAAAGGGCCAAGAGACTCTGGAGGTGATGGTGCACCCACGTGGTTCTCAAGATTGTCTGTCTAGGTTTTCCTTGTAGCTCAGCTGGAAGCTTCACATGGCAGGTGGAAGGACATTTCCAGACCCTTCATTACTGCCATAGCTTTTGGAAAGATTGAATACAACAAGGGACAGGGAAGTGTGATGTATTGTGTCCTAAAAACCCCTCAGAAAAGACAATTTGAAGCAGAACATATAAATGATATCTTGTGTTACTTTCCTCATTCCCTTTCTTATTTACTTTTCCCACATGCCTCTAAGTCTGGATGCAATTGTGTGTCTCTAGGAGGTGTTCTAACAGGCTTCTAGTCACCATGAGAAATCTTAGAGTCTCCTCTTGGAGCTGATGACTTCGGGTCTAGACCCTGAAACATAATATTCTACTATTCACAGTAGAATGAAATGGCTTCAAGTCCCTGCATGTCCCATGTATTACATATTTAGTATGTAATACTTACAAGAAATGTGACCCTGGACAAGGGGCGAGGCTTCCCTGGGCCTGGGTTTTCTCAGGTAGAAGGAGAGCATGGTCGTACCTCTGCTGCCCAGCCTCTCGGGGAGCAGGCTTTCTTCCCGAGCGATGCAGCAGGAGAGCAAGGAGGAAAGGAGGTGACAAGGCAGAGCAGAAGAGGAGAAACTGGGTGGGGAAGCCAGAGTCCAGGCGATGGACTGGCCTGGGATTTGTAACTGGACGGAGGCTGAGGTGGGTTGAGGGTCTGGGGCTCAGGCATGGCAGGGATAAGGGTGGCTTCACAGGAAGGACTTCCCAGGGCAAGTGCTTTCCTTGACTCAAAGTGACGAGCTTTGACAGGGCTTTGGGAAAAGGGGGAGATGTGGCTTAGGTGATATGCTTTCTGGATGACTGTCGATCACGAGGGAGCTAAGGTGCAGGAGTTTACGTTCCCGGGCCTGATGATGGGGACAGCCCAGCACGTGGCCGGGCAGTTTCTTCACACACTTTTAGTTTTGCTTTCTTGTAAAGAGTTCCAGTGTTATCATTATGTTTAGCAGTTATAAACACTCCCGTTTATTACAAGCTTACTAAACACCAGCTTTACATATATTTGCGTGGGAAATTTGTACTTATCACCCCCAACCAAGCCTATGAAAGCACCGTACAAACACTGCTTTGTAAGCCTTGGACTGACTTGTCAGTTTGCAGCTTTGCTTATAATGGTACACGGTTTGGCCTTTCAACTCCTGACTTTTTCTTGGTGATTGAAGACTAGAGGTAGTGACCACAAAGGAAGCTAGAGCCTCTTCTCATGTGTGTGAGGAGGACTCTGGAATAGGAAGAAGGGTGTCTGTGAGTGCTGGACTGGGCATGCCGCCCAGGAAATAAGATCCTCACTTTGTCCTGCATTTCTCCTTTGGTATCAGCCCCTGGCCACAGTGGAGACACAAATCACTATTGTAGCACCTGTCATCCCACGGAGTGTGATCTGTTTATTTGATTGTCTCTCCCTTAAGATGGCATGTGACCTTTTTGTGAGCAAGGTCTCTCTCTCTCTCTCTCTCTCTGTCTCTCTCTCTCTCTCTCTCTCTCTATATATATATATATATATATATATATTTTTTTTTTTTTTTTTCTTGAAGCAGAATCTTGCTCTGTCCCCCAGGCTGGAGTGCAGTGGCACAATCTCAGCTCACTGCAAGCTCCGCCTCCCGGGTTCACGCCATTCTGCCTCAGCCTCCCAAGTAATTGGGACTACAGGCACCCACCACCACACCCAGCTAAATTTTTTTTTTTTGTATTTCTAGTAGAGATGGGGTTTCACCGTGTTTGCCAGGATGGTCTCGATCTCCTGACCTCGTGATCCACCCACCTCGGCCTCCCAAAGTGCTGGGATTATATGCGTAAGCCACCGTGCCTGGCCTATATATCTTTTATATAACTCCACGTCCCTAATGCCCATGTTCTCAACAGGGTTTGGTACACAGTAGATGCTCAGCAGCACATGTTGAACAATTGAATGACTTCTTGTCTCTGCTTTGTTTCTGGCATGCTTTGTGAGCTTGTGCACTGTTGATTTTTGGAAAGGCATTATTTTTCCTATGTTACAATCTTATCACAAGTCTTTTCTCACAGCTATTTTACTATTAGGACAATGGTGTGATTCTACGGTGTTAACTGACTTATTGCAACTTATAATTTACTAGGAACAAGCATTTCACAGTGTTGGGGGTCAGGGAGGCCAATCCTCCCTTTCCACGCGCTCACATATTTAAACAATCCATGTCTGCTGGGATGTATATCTGGTATGATATCGAACACACAAAAATAGTTTCTCTATTATTAAAAACTGTAACTATGCCACTTTTTAGATAAAATGTAAACCTGGCCTCCAACCCAAAGATTTAGGCTGTCTTGGCCAATATAGGGAAAGTTAGATTAGGATAGGGTTGGCATCGATGAGTTCAATTAGTAATTGTGTGTATTCTGCAACTTTTCTCAAATCCCTTATCTATGGTGACAGGGGAGGAAAGTGAGCTAGTTTAAGAACTTCATTATCAATTGTATAATAAATCCTTTTATTCAGATAAAGGATTATTATACGTTTTAAAATAACATGCTTTCTAGTATTAAGCTACCTGAGCAATGGCTCACCTTTCTGTTACTCCTAAATTGAAAGAGAAACTACCATGTATTACATAGTTACCCAAATGCTCTGATCAGAAAAATTATATATAATGGCTTCAAATTCATTCAGTATTTCTCCATGTTTATTAAGCATCCCCAGAACAGTACTCAATGTGGGAAAGGCAAGGAGAGCTGGGAGAGAGGACCCCCCAAGACATGCAGATCAATAACAATACAATTCAACATTTCCACACCCAGATGTCACAGATAATATTATTTTTTAGTATCAGATGATCTGCACTGAATGCATTAGAAATTTAGAGAAAGGAGGGCCGGGTGCAGTGGCTCACGCCTGTAATCCCAGCACTTTGGGAGGCCGAGGCGGGCAGATCATGAGGTCAGGAGATCGAGACCATCCTGGCTAACAAGGTGAAACCCCGTCTCTGCTAAAAATACAAAAAAATAGCCAGGCGTGGTGGCGTGCGCCTGTAGTCCCAGCTACTTGGGAGGCTGATGCAGGAGAATGGCAGGAACCTGGGAGGCAGAGCTTGCAGTGAGCCGAGACTGCGCCACTGCACTGCAGCCTGGGTGAAAGTGTGAGACTCTGTCTTACAATAAATAAATAAGTAAAAGCTCATGTTAGCCTAACATAAATTTAATCTCACACTCCAGCCTGGGGGACAGAGCGAGACTCTGTCACAAAGAAATTTAAAAAAAGAAAAAGAAAGAAAGAAATTTAGAGAAAGGAGTGTATCATGATGTGGAGTAGTTAGGAAACACTTCCCAAAAGAGAATTGGTAAGTAAACGGGGCTTTAAAGGAGGGGTAGAATCTGACTGAGAGACGTGGCCGGGAGATATTCTACTTTAGGGAAGTAACCTTAGCAGAAGGACTGGGAGGGACATGCACGTGCATATTCAGAAAGAGTGGCTGAGTCCATCTGCATGGAGAGCAGGTTTGAACCTGGGAGAAGTAGGAGATAAAATTGGACTAAAAAGTGGGGACCAAGAGTGTTGCACCCTGAGCGTCACACTGAGGTATCGGAATTCTAAGCCAAAATGCATTTCAAAATAAAAAAAGGGTAGGACACATTTTATTCAGGGGAAACTAAAAGCCAGGATAAATGAGAAAACTTAGTAAGAAAATGTCAGATTACTTGAGACATAGAACATAGGCCGTTAGACCTTGAAGGGACCTTCAACTTCATCTGATACAAATGCTTTCTTTCACAGATGGGGATATTTAGGCTAAAACAAAATCAAAACCTGCCCACGCTCACTCAGCTAGTAAATGGCAAAGCCAGAGCTAGAAACGAGTGTGGTGTTCTTTTCACCCCCCTTAATAAATTCAAATCTCCAGACTTAGACAAATCACGTCCCAGGTTACTCAAAGAACTCCCAGAACCATTGTCAATAATCCTTGAAAAAGCATGGAGAATAGGAGAACTGTTAACAGACAAGAGAAGGACAGAGTTGTCCCCATTTTCAAAAAGGGGGAAAGGGGCATATTATAAAAACTATAAGCCAGTCAGCTTGACAATTATCCCTGGCAGAATTCTAGAACAGAATTTTAAAAGGCTATTTACTCCACAAACATTATTATAATAATAGAAAGAAGGGGGAAATAACCCACAATTTCACCACTTTAACCCATCAACTGAACAGATTATTAAATAGACTCTTTGTAAGTCTTTAGAAAAGCAGAGATCACTCAGAGCCAACCCCAAACCTCAGAAACAAAACATGTCTTCATTTATTCCTTTTTTGATAAGGATATTAGATTGGTAGAAAGAAGAGGCATCAAAACCATACTTTCTTTCAGCATGGCCTTTGACAAGAACTTTTATAATTACCTTGCCATAAGACATGAACTGGCTGATAGCCAGTGGGTGCAACCATGGCTAGGGTAGGAATTATACCTACATGGTGCTGATTAGTTCGTAGACCAGCCTGAGGGAAACTATGGTGGCGAGTCATGCAGATTCTGTCTTTTAAATTTCCCTAACAGTAATATTTTTATCTGCCTTAGAGGACATGCTTGTCAGATATTCCTATGACATGGACAAGGAGGGATAGTTGATTTGAAGGATGATGGGCTAATACTAATAATAGTAACAATAAACACTTATTGAGAACTTACTTCGTGCCATGAATTGTGCTAAATATACTTTTTGCACGAAATCATCACATATAAATTGTACCACCCTATGAGAAAAGTAGCAATATTATCTGCATTTTAGAGATAAGAAAGCTGATGTTTTAAGAGATCAAGTCAACTGCCCAAGATGACATAGCTTATGAGGGAGGAACAAACTTTTGGATCCAGGTATGTCTGGCACCAGAGTCTGAATGAAATTACTCTAAGTAATTTTAACAGCCCACAGCTATGAACTGAAATCCTCATGGTATCACAGGGCGTAACGTCTGCATTTTAATTCTAAACGTCAACTGTTTATGTAAGGGCGGGTAGATTTTGCTACATCCACATTAGTGGCTTGGGAGTTTTAGTTGACCGGGGGCTTTAAAGGGAAAACGGTGTGACATAACTGTGCAGAAAATTAACCAAATTTCAGCTGCATTCATAGAAGCATACTACTTAAATCCAGGCAACTAACATAGGCCCACTGGCTGTGAGATCAGAACACACTTTAAGATAAATCAAAGAAAGATATCCAAGATAGAGCTAGAAAAGATGTCATATGAAAAATTACTGCAGAAACGGATGCTGTTTTTGACTGAGAAGGCCCAAATCATCACAAATTTGAGGAGCAGTCATATTACAAAAGAAGGTTATACTGCATTCCTCTAAAAGGAAGAATGGAGATATATGAGCACAAATTATAAAGAGCCATGCTTTGGCTTAATCTAAAGAAGACTATTCTAACCTTAGAACCGTCTAGAGATAGAATGGGCTGCTTCTCCTGAGTGGTCAGTTTGCTGTTACTACAAGATTCTAAACAGACTGGCCAACCACTTGTTCATGTGGAGGAGATTATTGTGGGGGTTAGGAGGAAGACAGATAATAAGTTCCTTTCCCAATAAATTCTCACTTTGGGAGGATGAGGCAGGTGGATCGCTTGAGCCCAGGAGATTGATACTAGCTTGGGTAACACAATGATACCCCATCTCTGCAAAAAATAAAAAATTAGCTGGGCATGGTGATGCACACCTATAGTCCCAGCTACTCGGGAGGCTAAGGCAGGAGGATCACTTGAACACAGACGTTGAGGCTGCAGTGAGCCATGCCACTGCACTCCAGCCTTGGTGATACAACCATACTCTGTCTCAAAAACAAAACAAAACAAAACAAAAGAACAACAACAAAAAAACAACACTAAAACTCAACTTAGGTGTTAGCTTAACAGAACTTGTTTGGTGGTTATAGTTCAAATTGTGAATTATTCCTCAATTGCTTCATCAAATAATCCTCAAATAAGTGCAAACAAGTTAAAACAATCTGCTCTATTATGAAGTAGAAGAGCTCATTTAATTTTAAATGAGGCTGGGCACGGTGCTTTACACCTGTAATCCCAGCACTATGGGAGGCCAGGAGTTTGAGACCGGCCTGGGTAACATAGTGAGACCTTGTCTCTAAGAAAAAAAAAAAAAAAAGATAATTTTATTAAGGCAACTGAATTCATATCAGAATTATTCAACTGGTAAAGACCCCATCCCATATCAGAGTAAGAATTTAAGACATCACTTTTGATGATAGTGTTCAACTAAGTCCCCTGACCACTTATCTCTGGTTTTGACCCTGCGTAGTTAAGGGATTTAGAGTTCTTTTTAAATACTTTATTCCTAAGGATACATTGTACTACTTTAATTCAGTCCTGACCATTTGGTTGATTTAGGGTAAAGCAGCTCAATTAGATTATTGCTACTCCAGAAAGCTGTTCTAAAATGTGCTCAACAAAAGCTGGTCTTGTCCAGAAACAAAATAATTCTCTGGCTTATTAGAACTTTTGTGCTCATGGATTGTTTTGCTTTGTGTTTTGTTTTGTTTCATTTGGTTTTGTTTTAATCAGAAACGTTCTTGCCTGTGTCCCAGCGCCATCTTGTGTTAGAAATGAGCATATTTTCCAATTAGGTGGAAAAAATCCATTTTGGGCGATCTGTGAGGGACCACTACTCCTTTCTGCACCCTAGAATATCTGGATTGGAAGAAACCCCAAAGGTCAAATGTCATCTAGGCAAGACTTCCCCAAGATGCCTGCCAGAGGTAGAGGTTTTTAGTCTAGTCCCCAGAATATGCGTAAATCCAGGAGGCTAGAGCTGGAAGAAATTCTCCTAGAACAAATGAAAATGAAATAGTTGGATGAGAGAGATCAGAAGCAGTTTTTCCTTTCTATTTCCTTTTAGTTTCACTTTCATAGATCTCCTGGTATGTTCAGAAAAGCAAAGACATGTGACTGGAGACCTACGGAAATGCTCTGCCGTAGCTTCGGGAGCAGGAAAGGATCTGAAATGATGACATAAGAAAACGCATAAATACCCTACAATGAAGGGTAGAAGTTAATTTTTTTCAGAGCAATGCTTTTCAATAAGTGGCTGCCAGGCAGATCTTGTTCAACCCTATGTCATAATAAGACTTGTCTTAAAATCATTCCATATTTAATGTATTGGGCTTTGAAGAGAAGGATATATTTCTCTTCCAATTTTAGGATTATTTAAGATTTGAGTTAATGTTAAGAACCTTCTATCGAATAAAAATACTCTAAGTGTGATGCGAGCATTATCCCAAATCCTGAATGTAGATGGAGGGTTTTGGATTTGTTCATAGCTAACATCCCTTTCCTGCTCTGAGAGTTTCTTACTCTGTGATTTGGGGCCACGCACAAGGTCAACAGCAAGTGCCTTTGTGTCAAGTTATCCTGGCCCAAAGGGCGCAGGGGTTGGCAGGGTAAGAGTCTCCTTGTCGTTTAGCTGCACAGTTGACTCAAAGCGAGTGATCTGCACCAGATTTCTAATCACTCATGATTCTCAGCTGCTTCTTGCCTCTTGTGTCCTTTGGATGGTTTGTAAATTCACTTCATAGTCTCCCTCAGTAGATGAAAAATTCCACAAAGACAGGGACTGTATCTTTTGCTTCCTACATCTCTGGGCATCTTGGTGCTGATGAATCTGAGCCCAGAATCTGATTTGTGTCAGTATGACACCAAATCATGGACTTTGAGAGATGGCAGCAACCTTGGAGATCACCTGGTTCAATCATCTCATTTTTTAGTTGGGAAACTGAGGCCCCAAAATGGGATGTTATGCACAATATCACATAATATAGCGGTACTGAGCTTGGATCAGTTCCTGAGTCTCCTGTTTTAGCCACTGACAGTGTATCTCAATCTCTCTGTCTCCACAACTGGCAGAGGACATACACTGTTCCCACTCCAGCTTAAAGCAGCTAACCACACACAAGAACCTACTTCAAACCCAGGAGGTGGAGGTTGCAGTGAGCCGAGATCACGCCATTGCACTCCAGCCTGGGTGACAGAGGGAGGCTCTGTCTCAAAAATTTTTAAAAAGCCCTATGTAAGTGAATATTGCCTTCTGCTTCATAATATACACATTTGCTTTAACATTAAAAATAATGTTAGAAGCTGGGAGCGGTGGCTCACGCCTCTAATCCCAGCACTTTGGGAGGCTGAGGCGGGTGGATCACGAGATCAGGAGATCGAAGCCATCCTGGCTAACACAGTGAAACCCCGTCTCTACTAAAAATACAAAAAAGTTAGCCAGGCATGGTGGCGGGTGCCTGTAGTCCCAGCTACTCGGGAGGCTGAGGCAGAAGAATGGCGTGAACCCGGGAGGTGGAGGTTGCAGTGAGCCGAGCCGAGATCGGGCCACTGCACTCCAGCCTGGGCGACAGAGCGAGACTCCATCTCAAAAAAAGAAAAAAAAAAAAAGTTAGATTTTTTTTTTCTAATAAGGAAAATTGGTACTGAAGATCTAATGGTAAAGAGTCATTTATTTTCCTTGGCATACTGCTGTAATCCCTGGAGTTAAAACAAAGTTGTAATGTTGGATGGAGTGCTTGGGGTTCTGGAATGGTGATCCTCTTTCTGAGTATGGTTCTGTGCCCCCTGAAGGTATGTGAGGGAGGACGGAAGTCAGGCAGGGAGGTCAACAGGGGAGGTAAAAGCCAAGATCTTGACATTTACAAAAATTATGTAATTGTTTTAACAGCTTTGTTGAGGTGTAATTCACGTATAACTCATCCATTTAAAGTTCAATGGCTTTACATTTCAATGGTTTTCAGCATAAAAGTGCTGTGTCTTGAGAAAACAGGACAGAGATCTTGAGAAGCTGGAGCTGGTGATGGTTGTGTTAAAACACACCCCTCCACACAGTGCCTTTTGGAGTATAAGAAATAGTGACACCTAGCTTTTAACTCAGTGTATGCCCTGTCCTGCCTCTTAGTTATCTGTAGGGCGTTATTAAACCAGAGAAGCACCACCCCTACTCCCTCACAAACTGAACTGAAGTTCTATCCATAGACATTTGCTTTATTTGCTGGGCAGAAATAATGGACTTCAGGGATAAACTAGCAGAAAATAGCGGCTCATGAATTGGTAGGGGAAAGGAACAAAGGGCCAGGAAAGGTCATGAGTGATAAAGCAGTGAGCCACGCTGCTTTTTTTTTTTTTTAAGAGAAACATAAATTTATCCTAGGGAGTACACTGGAATCCAATCGAGGTTAAGTAATCAGAACTGGAATCAGAAGTAGATGGCTTAAAACCACATTGAGAGATGGCATGAGGCAGCAACTAGGAGCGTGGGCTCTAAATCCACGCACCAAGGCTCCAGTGCTTGACCTTGGACAGGCTAACTGATCTCTTTGTGTCTCAGATCCCTTAGAGGTAAAATGAGGGTAATAAGAGTAGCTACTTCCGTGGGGTGCTTGTGCGAATTATATTTGTTAACAGAGCTTATAACAGCGTCAGGCACATACTAACTGCCTGACGTTGTTATAAGTGTCACTTATAACACTGCTTACTAAATGTAAGTATTTGTTAATTATTATACCACGCCCTGTTCAATCTGCATATCATCCTCCCACTCCTAATTTTCCAAACACACATAGACACACGTAGACACACACACACACACACACACACACACTCTCTCTCTCTCTCTCTCTCTCTCTCTCTCTCCCCTCACTCTTCCTTAGCATGTGAGGCATATTGCTGCTTGGGAAGCTTGTACCAGCTGCTCCCTCTGCATGGAATACCTTTTGTCTAGATATCTATTACTTTTACTTCCTTACCTCCTCCAAGTTTTTCCTTAAATGTTCTCTTCTCAACGAGGGGCATCCTGAGTACTCCCAACATTCCTTATCCTGATCTATGTTTTTTTCTATAGTTCTTATCACCTTAGAACACACTATACGATGTACTTATTTATTATCTATTATTGTCTATCTCCACATGTCCCTACCCCAAGGCCTGCCCACCCACTAGCATGTAAATCCCATAAAGGCAGAGGCTTTTAAAATCTATTTTGTTCCCTGATCTATTCAAGAGGCTACAGACAGTGCCTGGAACGTGGAGGGTGCTTGCTAAATATTTATTGAATGAAGAATTGAAGGCTAATTCATATTAGATAATCTGTTGTAATTTCTTGACACCCCTGGGTGTGCTCATTAGAAACAGGCTAAACCCTCACATGTCTGGAGTGACCTAAGTCCAGGCAGTATACCTTTTGGCTGCCCTTTCCACCACCCGAGGCTTTTACTTACCTCCTTCTCTCCTAATTTTAAAAATTATTTCTTATGGAAGTCTTTTCCTGTTTTCTGTTCTGAACCTCAAAGCTTCTCACGCTCTTTTTTAAGTCATTTCTGTTGTCCCTTTCTGGATCATTCCTATTAAGTCCTTTTTTTTTTTTACAACGTGATGACCAAAACCCTAATGTGGCATTCCTGGAAGGAAAGCCCCAGCCAGGAATGTCACAGCTCCAGAGTCTTTTCAGAATTCTCCATCCTCTAATTAGGATGGCCACACATCTCAGCTGCTGCTTTTGACTGCCGCTGTGAGCTGAATGCTGATGTCCATCATTGTGCGTAGATAATTTCCCGGAGCAGCGAAAACTAATAATCAGTGGTATTCTCAATAGAGCCTTTCCATTTAGTGTGGGTGAGTTATTTAGCACTTCATTTTTTTTTAGGTTGAATTTAATTCCTTGTCATGTTTCCTAATTAGGAAGATTTGTGAGATTCATTTTGATTTTTTGAAAAATTCCTTTCCAGGAATGCTTATCTCGGCTTCGGTGAATGTTTCATCTGCTTATTTCACCTCTTAATTCCTGCTGGGGTTGTTAACGTGTCAGACTTCAACAGCAGGGCTGATTCTGGGGCTGCCTCATTGTTGGCTCTTTTTCAGACGGAGGCTGGGTCTTTATATTCAAGGCGGATGGGCACAAATGCAGCTTTCTCTCCCCTTCCTCCCTCACCCTCTCCTGGCCCCCTTGGCTTTCCTTTTGCGCCTTCTTCCTTTCTGTCGAATCCAGCCTGTCTCCCATATCCTTTCCTACAGCTCCCCAAATTCTGGTTGTAAATGTGACCTTTATGGATAAAAACAGTTATGATAATAACAGTAAAATGATAGGTAATACTGTATCCTGCATCTCACCACTTACTCCGTTCTCTTTCCTCCTTCTATTGTCTTAGAAGAGATTGATTTTTTTTCTCGCAAATTCACCTTGCTGCTCTCTTCATCCATCTACCTGTTTTCTCCGTCTGATGATTTTCATTTCCCCTTGGGAATTTCCTCCTAACTCTCTCAGCATTTGAAAATCTAACAAACTTCATGGGGTTCCAGGGAGGGCTGCCATCACTCATGATTCCTGGGCCGGGTTTAGCATGGCTTAAGACATTTCCACCCAGAACACATGTAGAAAATATGAAAGATAAAGTAAAATGTTTAGTTTTCCTGAGAAAACTGGTGACCCTGGTCAGTATGCATAGTTTCTACTGCAGTGGCTCTTTGCCTGGAACTATGAAGCAGAAGGAACTATGATGATACATACCCTGCGTTAGGCTACGTATCAGGGGAAATTGCAGGCCTTGCACACAGAGAGTACAGTCATCTCTTGATATCCATGGGGAGTTGCTTCCAGAACCTTCCTCGGATACCAAAATCCTGGGATGCTCAAGTCCCTGATATACAATGATGCATATAACTAACACATATTTGCATATAACCTACACATATCTTCCTGTATACTTTAAATTACCTAACAACAGTACAGATGCTACGTAAACAGTTGTTATACTGTATTGTTCAGGGAATAATGACAAGAAAAAAAATGTCCATGGTCAGTACAGACACAACCATCTATTTTTTTCTCAATATTTCTGATCCATGGTTGGTTGAATGCATGATTGTGTAACCCATGGGTATGGAGAACCAACTATACAATGGTATTCCCCCAGCCCCAATTTCACTTCCTGCGATTTCAGTTTTCCGCTGTCAACCATCACCTGAAAATATTAAGATTCAAGAGATAAATAATTCATGTTTAAAATTGCATGCCATTCTGAGTAGCATAATGAAATCTCATGCCATTCCCTTCCCGTTTTCCCCAAGATGTGAATCCTCCCTTTAGTCACTATTTCCATGGTGTCTGCAGGCGCACCTTCTTTTATTTATTGCACTTTGCTTTATCATGTTTCACAGATGTTGCTTTTTTTTTTCTTTTCCTTTTTCTTTTTTTTTTTTTTTTAACAAACTGAAAGTTTGTGGCACCCTGCTCAAGCAAGTCTATCAGTTCCGATTTTCTAACAGCATGTGCTCTCTTTATGTTTCTGTGTCACATTTTGGTAATGCTCACAATAATCCAAATTTTTCATTATCATTCTATCTGTCATGGTAATCTGGGATCAGTGATTTTTGGTGCTACTATTAGAATTGTTTCAAGATGTTATGAACCGCACTCATATAAGATAGCAAACTTAACTGATAAATGTGTGTGTTCTGACTGCTCCATCAACCAGCCCTTTCCCTGTGTCTCTCCCTCTCCTCGGGCCTCCTTATTCCCTGAGACACAACAATATTGAAAGTAGGCCAATTAATAACCCTACAATGGCCTCTAAGTGTTTAAGCAAAGGGAAGAACACACGTCTCTCACTTTAAATCAAAACTAGAAATGATTAAGCTTAGTGAGGAAAGTGTGTCAAAAGCCAAGATAGGCCAACATCTAGGTCTGTTGTACCAAACAGCCAAGTTGTGAATGCAAAGGGAAAATTCTTAAAAGTGCTACTCCAGTAAACACACAATGATAAGAAAGTGAAAAAAACTGTATTGCTGCTATGGAGAAAGTTTCAGTGGTCTGGATAGAAGATCAAACCAGCCACAACACAGCCTAATCCAGAGCAAGGCCCTAACTCTCTTCAATTCTATGAAGGCTGAGAGAAGTGAAGAAGCTGCAGAAGAGGCTTGAAGCTATCAGAGGTTGGTTAATGAGGTTTAAGAAAGAAGAGATCTCCATGCGCCGGGCGCAGTGGCTCATGCCTGCAATGCCAGCACTTTGGGGGGCTGAGGTGAGTGGATCACGAGGTCAGGAGATCAAGACCATCCTGGCCAACACGGTGAAACCCTGTCTCTACTAAAAAAATACAAAAAAATTAGCTGGGTATGGTGGTGGGCACCTGTAGTCCCAGCTACTCGGGAGGCTGAGGCAGGAGGATGGTGTAGACCCGGGAGGCAGAGCTTGCAGTGAGCCGAGATGGTGCCACTGCACTCCAACCTGGGTGACAGAGTGAGACTCTGTCTCAAAACAGAAAAAAAAAAAAAGAAAGAAGCCATCTCCATAACATAAAAGTGCAAGGTGAAGCAACAGGGCTGGTGGAGAAGCTGCAGCATGTGATCCAAAAGATCTAGTTGAAATTATTGATGAAGGTGGCTCCACTGAACAACGGATTTTCAGTGTAAGCAAAACAGCCTTCTATTGGAAGAACATGCCATCTAGCACTTTCATAGCTAGAGAGTAAAAGTCAATGCCTGGCCTCAAAGCTTCAAAGAAAAAGCTGACTCTCTTTTTAGGAGCAAATGCAGCTGATGACTAAGTTGAAGGCAATGTTCATTTACCATTTCTGAAAACCTTAGAGCCCTTAAGAATGATGTTAAATCTACTCTGTCTGTGCTCTCGAAATGGAACAACAAAGCCTAGATGACAGCACCTCTGTTGACAGCATGGTTTATTGAATATTTTTAGCCCATTGTTGAGATCTACTCACCAGAAAAAAAGATTTATTTCAAAATATTATTGCTCATTAACAATGTGCCTGGTTACCCAAGAGCACAGATAAGGATGTACAAGGAAATTAATGTTGTTTTCATGCCTGCTAACACACCATCCATTCTGTAGCCCATAGATCAAGGAGTTATTTTGACTGTCAAGTCTTATTATTTAAGGAATACATTTTGTAAAGGTATAGCTGCCATATATAGTGATTCCTTTGATGGATTTGAACAAATAATTTGAAAACCTTTTGTATATAATTTACCATTGAAAATAATATTAAGAATATTCATGATTCATGGGAGAAGATTAAAATGCCAACATTAACAGGAGTTTGAAAGAAGTTGATTGCAGTCCTTATGGAAGACTTTGAGGGATTTAAGACTTCAGTGGAGGGCAGTCACTACAGATGTGATGGAAATAGCAAGAGAACTAGAATTAGAAATGGAGCCTGAAGATGTGACTGAATTGCTGCAATCTCATGATGAAACTTGAACCAATGAGGAGTTGCTTCTTACGGATGAGCAAAGAAAGTTTCCTGAGATAGAATCTACTTCTGCCGATCATGCTGTGAACATTGCTGAAATGTCAGCATAGGACTGAAAATATTTCACAAACTCAGTTGATATAGCAGCAACAGAGTTTGAGAGGAGAGGATTGAGTTCAATTTTGAAAGATGTTCTACTGTGGGTAAAATGCTATCAAACCAAATCACATGCTACAGAGAAATCTTTCAAGAAAGAAAGAGTCAGTTGATGGTGGCAAACTTTGCTGTTGTCTTATTTTAAGAAATTACTGTAGCCACCCCAGCCTTCAGCAACCACCATCCTGATCAGTTAGCAGCCATCAAGATCAAGGCAAGAAACTCCACCAGCAAAAAGATTATCACTTGCTGAAGGCTCAGATGATTGTTAGCATTTTTTTTTTGAGAAGGAGTCTCACTCTGTTGCCCAGGCTGGAGTGCAGTGGCGTGATCTTGGCTCACTGCAACCTTCGCCTCCCAGGTTCAAGTGATTCTTGTGCCTCAGCCTCTCAAGTAGCTAGGATTACAGGTGCCTGCCACCACGCCTGGCTAGTTTTTGTATTTTTAGTAGAGATGGAGTTTCACCATATTGGCCAGGCTGGTCTCGAACTCCTGACCTCAGGTGATCTGCCCACCTTGGCCTCCCAAAGTGCTGGGATTACAGGCGTGAGCCACCAGGTCCAGCCGATTGTTAGCATTTTTTAGCAATAAAGTATTTTTAAATTAAGGTATGAGCATTTTTTATAGACATAATGGTATTGCACACTTACTGGACTATAGTATAGTATAAACATAAGATTTATATGCATCGGGAAAGCAAAAAATTTATATGACTTGGTTTATAATAATATTTGGTTTATTCTGATAGTCTGGAAGTGGACTGGAAATATCTCTGAGCTATGCCTGCCCATTAGTTTCTTGGTAGCTGTCTTGGTTATCAGGTTGGAAAAAAAAGTGTATACTAAGTTTGGTACTTTCTGTGGTTTCATGCAGCCACTGAGGGTCTTGGAATGTATCCCCTGCAGATAAGGGGGAACTGCCATCATCTGCTAAAGACCACAAGAGTTTGGGCTACAGTGATGGAGCTCACTCTTGAGTAAGTTATGGGAGAGTTCGGTAAAGTTGTTTTCTGTGAGGATATTTTAGGAAGTCCTAGATCTATTATGTTGCCTCAGCAAGATAAGAGGTGTCTCATTGGGTATAAGCCCAAATACCTGAAAGGGCCTAGGAAGGTAATTTAAACGAGACTGACAGCCCATTCCCAGTCTAAAGGAGTCAACATGGCTTCAGTCAGTTGTTGACATATGGGAATACAGTGTGAAAGCAAAACTGGAGGCCCATATTATTAAATTTGAAATTTCCCAGTTTTAAAATAGTGGCCATTTATTTAAAAAAAGTTTAAATACTTTGTGTGTGCTAAATAATCATTAAGGACGCTTCCAATACTTGCTGTTTAACTCAGTGGTCCTAAAGCAGTAAAAATAAGCAAAAAAATCACTAAAATTCGTATAGCCGTTTTCACTTCCCTTCATGTTACTTAGGTATAGAGCAGTATATTTTAAGGAATTGTTCACTCAATATGTACTCAAACCAGTTGTGTTCTCTCCATCCCACTCTCCTACCACCAGCTCAGGCAACTCCACATCTTCAAGAAAACAAAGTATAGCTCCAGCCTCACAAAAGATTGAGGACCTGGCTCTAACCTTTCTAGTTAAACCTGCTTTGTAAAAATTCGCTTCCAACTTCAAGGAAGAGCTAGTTCCTAAATTACTTAAACTGCTACTGTTCATTCTTCAAGGCTAGCATTACTCTGATACCAAAACTTGTTACAGACAAGCACAAAAATCAGTAACAATGGACCAATTTTATTAATTATAAATACATTTTAATCCTAAATAAAAGATTAACAAATCAAACCCAGCATGGCTTTCATTTGATCAAAAAATAATAGAACATGACAAAGCAGAGTTTATTTCAGAAATGTAAGAATGTGTTGAACACTAGGAAATCAATGAGCATAATTCATTATATAAAAGAGTCAGAGTAAAAAACAAATATAGTGATAGAGGCTAAGAGACAGTTGGTAAAATTTTGCACTCTTTCCTGATTTAACAGCATGTAGTAAAACAGGATAGAAGAAAATTTCTTTAAAGATGATAGTGTATTTTCAGAACACCAACTAGCAGGCGCAGTGGCTCACGTCTGTAATCCCAGCACTTTGGGAGGCTGAGGCGGGTGGATCACCTGAGGTCAGGAGTTCGAGACCAACCTGGCCAACATGGTGAAACTCCATCTCTTCTAAAAATACAAAATTAGCCAGGCATGATGGCATGTGCCTGTAGTCCCAGCTACCCGGGAGGCTGAGGCAGGAGAATTGCTGGAACCCAGGAGGCAGAGGTGGCAGTAAGTCCAGATTGTGCCACTGTATTCCAGCCTGGGCGACACAGCGAGACTCCAGCTCAAAAAAAAAAAAAAAGAATACCAACTAGCACTAGCACCAAATGGGCACATGCTTGCCTTACTGCATTAAAGCTGGATATCCATTATCTTGTCCTGTAGTCTTAAACATTTTTCTGATGTTTTGACCAATGCAATAGGAAGAAAGAAACGCATTATTTGCAGGTGATAATGATTGTCTGTGTACAAATTCATAGAGATGAGCTGTCAAGCTATTAGAACTAACAAGACATTTTTTCATAGTGTGGTAGGATACAAGGTAAATAAACAAAAGTCAATAGCTTTCCTAAATTACAGCAATAAGAAATATCTCACTTACAAAAAAACTATAAAATATCTAGGAACAAACTTCCCAAGGATTATGCAAACCTATGTGATTTTTTTTTTTTTTTTACAGATGCTGATGCAGATCTGAAAAAAAATTGTTAATGCATCTAAAGATACAGAAAACAAGTATTTCTGAATGGAAAGACCCATGATATTGAAAATTTTGAAAAAGAAGAGAATTAGGAGAGGTTCCTTTATGAAAAGGCAAATATATTAAATATGTAATGATTATAACTGTGGCATATTTTAGGAATAAGCAGATAATTAATAGAGGAGAATGTTCAGAAACAGATATATACGTGTATGTATACCTATGTATATGTATATGCAAATTTAGGTTGTAATTAACAGTGGCACTTCAAAGTAGTGAGGAAAGAATATTCACTAAATGACATGGGGGCAACTGGTCAACCATTTGGCAAAAATAATCTCTTAGTAAACTATTTTATTTCCAGGAATTAATTCCAAGAAGTAAATGGACAAATGTGAAGAAATGCCTGTTGAAGGATTTTTTTGGGATAGTGAAAAATAGAAAACCACTCAAACGTCTATTCAGTAGATTATTTCAAATGTGTGTGTCTATTTGTGTGTACGTAGTATACGCATAAGTTATGGAATGCCATGAGTCTACTTTAAAATATGGCCGGGTGCAAGATGGCTCACACCTGTAATCCCAGCACTTTGGGAGGCCAAGGCAGGTGGATCACCTGGGGTCAGGAGTTCGAGACTGGCCTGGCCAACATGGCGAAAACCTGTCTCTACTAAAAATACAAAAATTCGCGGGACGTGGTGGCGCACATCTGTAATCCCAGCTACTCAGGAGCCTGAGGCACGGGAATCGCTTGAACTCGGGAGGCGGAGGTTGCAGTGAGCCAAAATGGCGCCACTGCGCTCCAGCCTGGGCGACAGAGCGAGGTTCTGCCTAAATAAATAAATAAAATGATGAAACAGATTTAAACTTAATGGAATGGAAGGATAGCCACATAATCTTTAAAGTGAAAAAAAAATCAGGTTCTAAATCTATAGGTATTCTTTGATTACATTTTTTTCAATGTGTAGAGGCATAGAAAAGTCCAGAAGGATCTATAATGAGCTGTTTAATTTTCATTTCCTATGGGGTAGATCCTTTGTTGCATGGAAGATTATTTCACTCTGTTAGCTCTCTTTACATCAGTAGGAATACATCCTCATGGTTTTAAACATCTTGAGGGAGCTTTCCTGACACTCTACTCTAGGTAAATATGCTCGCATAGCACTCTCTATTCACCATATTACCTATAAATCATATTGCACTTTTTAACTTTTCTAAACTACTTTTTGCTTTCTTTTCTAGATTATAAAATCTTGAGGGCAGGGATAGTATGTAAAGGTTCCCTTGTGAGCAAATAACCGTCACTTATTGAACTCTGTGTGCCAAATACTGTGCTAAATGCTTTCAATAATCTCACTCATAGGGAGATATTACTACCATCTCCATTTTGAGGATGAAGATATTGAAAGATTATGAAGTTTCTCCCAAATGCCATTGCCAGGCCTGTGTGACTCTTGGTCGTTACACGGTGATCAATAAAAATTTGTTTCATAGGAAAGAAATACAGCCAGCCGTGGCTTTAAGATCACTGGGTGATACAGTTGGACCAGAAACCCTTTAAACTCCTTCGTCAGACACAGACTCGCAAGCCCCGCCCAGGACGACCGCCCGCGCGCGTATGGATAAGCGTGCAGGGGCGGGGCGAGCTTGTAGGAGTGGGGCGGAGACAGATCTGACTGGCCAACGTCGGGCGGAAGTCGGGAGGTTGGGTGGTCTGTAAACGCTGGCTTGTGACAGGGAGGGGGAGGAGGAAGGCCTTCGTAAAGGTTGCATCTCCGTCCCTTCGCTCCCGGGGACCCGCGGGAAAAAAAAAAATCCAACACCCAGGCCCCGCGGCTAGCCCCTTCCCACAGGCTCTCTCCGCTCGATTTTGTCACCGTTATGTGGGAAGCGAATCCAGTGAGTAGCCGGGCGGGACGGGGCGGGCCCAGGGGGCGGGGTTGATGAGAGAGGGGCGGGAGGGGGTCACCGGAACTGCTTCCCCGCGCTCGCTTCAGTCTGGGTGTTGAGTTCCGGGACCGGAGTTCCCGGGCCTTTTGGCTTCTGTAGTCTGTACCTTTTTAAGCAGTGGAAGTGCCTGGGTGGATTCTCCAATGCTTTATTGTTTTCTTGTTACAATTATTTATTTTACTTCCCGTGATGTTTCAGCCTCATCCCTTCACCATTTGTTGTTGTTGTTGTTTTTGAGACGGAGTCTCGCACTGTTGTCCAGGCTGGAGTGCAGTGGCGTGATCTCGGCCCACCGCAACCTCCGTCTCCCGGGTTAAAGCGATTGTCGTGCCTCAGCCTCCCGACTGCCTTCACTGTTTTTTGAAACTTTGTGTTTTGCTTTCTAATTGGAGTAACTGGCCTTGGAACCTGTAGTCAGTCATTTGCCTCAGGTTTACCTGCCAGTCCCACCAGTCTAAAGCAAGGGAATTGGGACCCCCTTGTCTTGAATGGGCCTAAGAGGAGCCATCAGTTCTCCTTTTCCCTTCTTGGTGGACAGTCGTTTAAAACTTGGAGTATGGACTGTATGTTCTTAGATGTTTTCGTTCGGTGGACAAAGTGATCTGGAGCATTTCAACTGCAAGTCTGCCTTCTTCCTTGGCTGACTCTGGTATTTTCATTATGACTTCATGTGTCTTTGTCTACTTTGCTTTTATACATTTATTTATTTAAAGTGCAACGTAGGGGCCGAAAACTTTAGTACCTTTCCTCACCACCCATTGTAAGGATCACAGCCACCACTCCTTAAAACAGAAGATAGGTTAACAAGGTAAAAGCAGAGCAAATCTAATCAAAGTTTTACACCACCAGGCACTTCAGAGACCAGGGAGATCTCTATTTTTATGCGTAGGACCCATGAAGAATAGACAACTGTGTAAAAATGTGACTGGACAAAGGATATACTCTAATGTTAATAAACTGAGGAAGGAAGCCCAGCAAGGTCTGTTTGTTCAGATTCTTCTTGGCCTCTCTGTGTATCATTTCTTCCTCCTACGGAGGAGGAAGGTCCCTTCTGGAATGAGGGTCTTAGCGACCTACTATCAGGCAAGGTAGATTAGAGAATTTCTTTATGGCCAGTTCCTATAGACAATGGCAGGGAAAGCTTAATAGTTCCAGTTTTTATGGCTTGCTTTGTAGGAGAGGGATCCTAGTTTCTATCACTCACCTTGGGGAAGAATTCTGGTTTCTGTGACTCACTTCTGGGACGAAAGATGGGCAGGAGACAGAAGGGCAGGAGATCAGAGGGAGAGACTGCTTCCGAGGCTGCTTCTGAGGCCTTCCAATCTCTTTTAGTTCAAAGTATTCAGCATGCCAAAGTGTCATACTTCGGGGTAGTATTTTCTGAGCCCCAACACAACCCTCAGAGAGTGGGATCTATTTGCCAAGAGTATTCTTCTGTTGTTATGGTTGAAACTGCCTGGTAAGGTGGCAGATGTATGGTATTTAAAACTTAGGAGTTGACTGGAAAAATGGTAGAATCACATTTCAGCAAGTTGTTGGACTAAATACAGTCGTGCGCCTCCTAACAATGGGGATATGTTCTGAGAAGTTCATTGCTGGGTGATTTTTTTCATTGTGCCAACGTCATAGAGTGTACTTTCATAAGCCTGCTACACACCTAAGGCTATATGGAATAGCCTATTGCTCTTAACCTAGAAATCTGTACAGCATAGTATTGTACTGAATACTGTAGGCATTCGTAACACAATGGAAAGTATTTATGTATCTAAACATAGAAAAGATACAGTAAAATAAAGTGTTAACAATCTTTGGGACCACTTGTATATGCGATCCATGGTTGACTGAAAGCTTTTATGCAATGCATAATTGTGTATGAAACATAAGAAACTACTCCTATGCTGAGATAACTGCATAAATTTACTTTAATAACCCCTAATTTCCATATTTGCAATAATTTCCTATAATCAGTATTCTTCCCCTCTCATTTCTGGAATATATTTCCAGATAAGTTAGAAAGTTTATCAGTACATTTCCCTATGTTTTTAAGTTAAGTTTTTATCCAGTAGAAACTAGTCTGTTGGTCTGGATTTGGTAGTTGCACATTATGGTTCCTTCTTGTGCATCATATAACAATAGTCATCATCTTAGTATTTTCGATTCATACGTATAATACTCTCTTCAAGCTGCATTAGAGGAAAGTAATTACTTGTATTTGATTTTAGCAAAAATAATTTAGAATAATGAGAATGTGCTCTCTGCTTATATATTCAGTTTCACTATCTGTCATCAACAACCTTCATTTTGTATTTATATCTTTATGTAGCTATTATTCCCTTTTTGTTATCAGTCCTTCTTAATTTTTCCATAACAAACCCTTTAGCCACCCAAGTATATGTCTTACTCAAGGTTTTAAATCTTTCACTATATTGTAAGATCCACAAGGACAGGGGTTTTTCTCTGTTATTTTTCCTATAGTATCTTCAACTAGAGAACAGAACCTGACACATAGTAGGCACTCAATAAATATTTGTTGAATTCATGATGGTGGTTGTACCAGCAAGGACTAAAGATAATTCTTTGCTCCTACTATGAATTTTCCCTCCTGCGTCACACATACATCAGAATTTGCTGTTGGATTATTTGTGTGTTTGTGAGAATTATAAAGGCATTAATGAATGTCTTATATACTTGATTTGTTATATCATTATCTCATTTCTTTGTAAGCAATGGGTTTTCTTTGAAATCACCTGTGTGATTTTGCTAATTTCAGCAGAGCAGGCTGACTTTTGTTAAAAGTGGGGAATCCTCCACAGATCATCTCACATTCTTCTTTTGCCACCCAAATAAGACATATTTGTCTTACTGCTACTGTATTTTATTACTACTAATAGTTTTTCTTCCTATAAGCATATGAATGATATCAGTAAGCGCAATTTGGTTTTAAAAATCAACATTCTACGTGTGGGTTTCTCTAGTAATTTGTTAGTTTATTTTAGTTTCGCTTTCCTGGTTTCACTTACCACAATTTCACTTACCAGAAGTCAGCTGCGGTCTGAAAATATGAAATGGAAAATTCCAGAAATGAACAATTAATAACTTTTAAGTTGCATACTGTACTGTGTAGTGTGATAAAATCTCATGCCATTGTGCTCCATCCTGCCTGGGGCCACGAATCATCCCTTTGTCCAGCATATCCACACTGCATATACTCTACCTGCCTGCTGGTCATATAATAACATGTAATGTCACTCACTTATTTATTGAGCACCTGTTATAAGCTAGTTAGTGCGAAGTCCCAGGGTTTACAGTGGTGAACAGAACAGACTAGGCTCCAGCCTTTATGGGTTTGCAGTCTGGTGCAGGCAGGCAGATATTAAACAAATAATTATGCAAATACATTTAATTTAAATTGTGATAAAAAGATATGAAAGAAAAAGAGTACTATGACAGTGTAGGGGGAGCTAATACTAGACTGGGCAATCAGGAAAGGCCACCCTGTGAAAGTAACTTTTATAGAGATCTGAAGGATTGAGCAAGCGTTAGCCAGGTAAAGGTTGGCTGGAAGGTGGGGAGAGCTGTTCAGACAGCAGAGATAGTGTGAGCAAAGATCCTGAGAAAGAAAGGAGCTTGGTGCTTGAGAAAAAGAGAGAAGCCTATGTGGCTGGGACACAGTGCACCAGAAGACAAGCCCAGGAGGTAGGAACCAGGCCATGCATGGATTTGAGGCACATGTTTAGGATTTTGAACTTTATCCTTAGAGGAGTGGTAACACATTGAAGGAAGTGTCATGAACATATTTATGTTTTTAAAAAGATTACTCTGGCTGATGTGTGGAAAATGAGTTTATGTATTAGAAAATATGGTAGACGTAATAATGGCCTCCTAAAGATATCCACATATTAATACCCAGAATCTGTAAATATGTTGTTACATGGCAAAAGGGAGGTAATTAGCTAATCAGCTGACCTTAAGATAAAGAGATTACCTTGGATTATCCAGGGGGGCCCCAAAGTAATCGCAAGGGTCCTTAAAAGTAGAACATGGGGACAAAAGACATGGAGTGACTATGGAAGAATGGTCAAAGAGATACAACATGGCTGACTTTGGAGATGAAGGAAGGAGGTCACAAGCCAAGGTATGTGGGTAGCTTCTAGAAGCTTGAAAAACCACGGAAATAGATTCTCTCATACAACCTTTAGAAGGGAATCAAACTCACCTTGATTTTAGCCCATTGAGATGCATGTAAGATTTCTTCAGAAATGTAAGAAAATAAATTAGTGTTGTTTTTAAGCCACTGCGTTTGTGGTAATTTGTTCTAGCAGCAAAAGAAAATACTGAGGGGGATAAGGGGCTGTAGGAAGACTAATTAGGAGGTTATAGTGTAGTCCAGGGTAGAGACGAAGGTGACTTGGACTATGTGGGGAAAGTATGAAGTCACCTATGAAGGTGACTACTAAGTGGGGAGAGAGGAGATCAATTCAAGCTGCATCTTAGATGATGACTTAGCTTTCTGGCATGGGCAGCCAGGAATAAGATGTTTTCACTGAGCCATATGGAAGATAACAGGAGTTTGGTTCTGGACTCACTATGTTTAATGTGCCTATGAAGCATCAGGTAGTAAAGTTTGGAAGGCAGTTGGTTAGGGAGGTAAGTCTGGAGCTCAGAGAAGAAGGCTGGGCTGGAAATTGAAATTTGAGCCTCAGTGTCTATAGGTAGTCTGTCACCCAAGCTGGAGTGCAGTGGCATGATCTCGGCTAACTGCAACCTCTGCCTCCTGGGTTCAAGTGATTCTTGTGCCTCAGCCTCCTGAGTAGCTAGAACTACACATGTGCACCACTACACCTGGCTAATTTTTGTATTTTAGTAGAGACAGGGTTTCACTGTGTTGGCCAGGCTGGTCTTAAGCTCCTGGACTCAAGTGATCCACCCGCCTAGGCCTCCCAAAGTGGTGGGATTACAGTCGTGAACCACCGTGCCTGGCCCCCAATAAAACAGTATTTTAGAAATTAATGTTTTTATTATCATTGAGAAGGATGATTTTTTTTTTGCAGCTTCTTACAAAGTACTTATATCTAATTTGATAATAGTTTGAGATGTAGGTTAGACCACATTTTGATTACTCTGTATGTCTACTAAATTAGGAAATGTTGTGCCACAATTATAGATTGTCAGGAATTGCAACTTGTGTTTGCTGGCGCTGTCAGATGTTTAGGAATATCAAGGTCAAATACAGACTGAAAAATTATCGGAAGATTTCTCCCTGAAGATTATATCTTGTGCTCTTTCAGTTGCGTTATTGAGAAGCCTGTAATATTAGGGTGAATGTTTCAACCAGCCTGAATGTTTGGAAGATAGTAACAAATGGATTCTTAAGTCATTTTTTGACTTCTTCAGTATCTGGAAAGTATTTTCCCATGTTTTGTTTTAACATTTAGTCATGTTCTTTATACACACAATAGTGTAATCAGTCTCACTCTAAGAAGTGAAGAAAACCATCAGGTTTTGGGAAGGAATCACATCCTAGCAATTGAGCCATTTGCAACATAGCTTGGTGACTTTGAAAAATATGGTATTTTATTCTCAGCATTAAAAATCAGGGTATTTTGGCCCTGAAGTAGTAGGTTCACGCTATTTAAAATTCTAGATATATCTCTGCTATACTCCACTTAAGCAGGCCTCTAGAAAACATAGAATTACTTTTTGGTATTGTCAGCATTATGAAGAATTTTTTTGTTTTTTAAAATCTCATCCCTCATTTCAGAAACTTGTCAGCACCTTTTTTCCTTGACAGCCAGCAAACTTGCGTGGGAAGAATAATCTTGCAAACGCTGCCATTTCCTTCTGCAACATCTGAGAGCGCATACTCTGAATAGTCAATATTTGATGATGTTTAATTTCCATTATTTCCTTCAACACTCAGTTATAATCAGGAGGCATATTGTTGACTCCTGTTTCATATAAAGAATCTTTTAGTAACATAACAGTGTATGTTTTTGCTATTTGTATACTTCATGCTCTGTCAATTTTGAATGTGTGGCACCTTTTTCAACTTATGTCATAGCTCACAAAAGTATCATTGTCTAAATAAAAACTGTCTTCCCTGTACTATAAGTTTTCACTGATATGTAGAACAAAAAGTTGTTGAGTACTTTTACCTTATATACTGTATATGTGTCAAGGACTGATTTATATTTTCTCCACAGGTAGTTTGTCCAATTGTAAAACAAAATATATGCTAAAGCACTCAACATGACAGTAATTGCTCTTCTATATTGTGTTGCATGATAATATAGCATGATAATATATGACATCCAGTAGAATCATTTAATAAAGAATTTTGGTCAATAGCTTGTTTCTTCTCAGGCATTAAATTTGAATTGACTAGCTTCTCAGCAGTATCAAGAATTTTTACCTGTTTTAGCTGAGGAATGCGTCTTTTCTCTTGGTTTCTTCTTTGTCCTTATTAACAAAGCAAATGGACTTTGTGCTTTGTGTGAAAAATAATCTGAAAGTTTACTTGAGTTTTATAGTACTATATTTAAGTAAATGCTAACTATGGCTGATATGAATGTATCAACAGAGAGTGAATATAATGGGATATTATAGTGAATGGTAACTTTAAAGAAAATAAAGTGATTTTCGTACAAATTATTAATCTTACATTTCAACTTTTCAAAATGTATGTAGACAAATTTATTTCATTACTTTGCCCCTGAAAATGCCTGTGAAATATCTCATAATCCCTGAGGACCGTCTTTTGAAGATTCTGAGAGAAAACAAGAAGGGCTAGGACTGAGCCATGAGAAACTCTAAAAGTTACAAGCTGAGGAGAAGTCAAAGTGCAAAGGAGACTGAGAATTTATGGACAAAAAAATAAGATGATCTGGAGAGTGTCATGTCATAGAAACCAAGAGAAGAGTTATTCAGGACAGAGGATAAACTGTGAAATGTTACCGTGAGATAAGTAAGATGAGGACTGAAAAGAGCATAGGATTTAGTAATGTGAAGCTCATTAGACATCCTAGGAAGTGTCTTTTGTTTGTTTGTTTGTTTTTAAGTGATGATGGGTAGGAAAGATTGGATCAGAAGCTAGAAAAGTTAAATTGGAGTGGGTGTTAGCATAGAAACTGAAGAAATAAACATAGTGTGTAGACAAAGAGTTACAGTTAATAAGCCACCAAAGGAGACAAGATGAAATCCTAAAAGCACTCAATCTGAAAGAAGATAGAAAAAAAAGAGAACAAAGAACAGGTGGGACCAAAAAAAAAAAAGCAAATAACAAGACGTAAACTTAAAGCTAACCATATCAATAATCATACTACATGTAAATGGATCAAACACCCCAATTAAAATACAGAGATTTTCAGATTGGATTAAAAAAACAAGACCCAAGTATAAGTTGTCTGTAAGAAATACAATTTGAATATAAAGACATGAATAGAATAAAACTAAATAGAGAAAGATACACAGTGCTAACACTAATGAAGAGAAAGTGTGAGTGGTTTATTGTTGTTAAGGTAGATTTCAGAGATAATGATATTATCAAGGATAAAGAATGTCATTTCTTAATGATAAAGAGATCAGTTAACCAGAAACAATCCTAGATATTTTAGACATCCAATATTAGAGCTTTAAAATACATGAAACAAAATTAATAGAATAGCAATAAGAAATAGAAAGATACCCAGTTAACTGGAGATTTCAGTAGTTTTCTCCAAATAATTGATGGAATGAGCAGATAGAAAATGAGCAACAGTATAACAAACTTGAACACCACTGTCAACTAACTTGATCTGCTTGGCATTTATGGAACAATTCACCCATCAACAGCTGAATACATGGGTTTTATTTTTTTCCAACTACATAGAGAACGTGTAAAAATATATGCCATATTCTGGCCCATAAAACATATCTCAGTACATTTGAAAGAATTGAAGTCAAGCAAGATGTACTTTCTGACCTAAATGGAATTAAGTTAGAAACCAGTAACAGAAAGATTGTAAAATTCCCAAACATTTGGTAAATAAATAACACTTTAAGGTAACCCATGGATTAAAGAAATGAAAAGAGAAAATAGAAAGTATGAAAACAACATATCAAATTTGTAGGATGGTGCCAAAGCAGTACTTAGAGGGAAATTTGTAGCTAAATTAATGGCTGTATTGGAAAAGAAGAAATGTTACAAATCAATAATCACAGCTTTCTAAGAAACTGGAAAAAGAAGAAGTTAAACAGGAGCAAGGAAATAAAGGTTAGAGTGGAAATCACTACAACAGAAAACAACAGTGAAGATCAATGATACTGAAAGCTAGTTCTTTGAGAACATCAAGACTATTAATAAATTTCTAGCCCAGCAGATCAGGAGAAAAAGAAGACACAAATTACCAATATTAAGAATGAGAGAGGTAACATCACTACATATTCTAAAGACATTAAAAGGATAATAAAGGAATGTTATGAACAACTTTATATCAAGCAGTATGACAACTTAGATCAAATAGACATATTCCTAGAGAGATACAAACTGCTAAAGCTCACTGAAGAAACAGATAACACAAATAGTCCAACATCTGTTAAATAATTTGAATTTGCAGAAAAAAATCATTCTAAAAGAAAATTCTAGGTCCAGATGGTTTCAGTGGTGAATTCTACCAAATATTTAAGGAAGAAATAATACTAATTAACACAGTTTTAGAAAATGGAAGAGGAGGTAATACTTCACAACTCATTTCATAAGGCTGTCAGACCCTTATTTCAAAACCCATCATAGAAAACTACAGACCAATATCCTGCATGAACATACATGCACAATTTTAAACAGAATTTTAGCAACTCAAATCTAACATATATAAAAGGATTAATACATCATGACCTACTGATGTTTATTCCAAGAATGCAAGGTTTAATATTTGAACAGCCATCAATGTAATTCACCAGGTAAACAAACTAAAATGAAAAACTATGTGGTGATTCCAGTACATGCAGAAAAAGCCTTTGACAAAATCGAATATCGATTCCTGATTAAAATTCTCAGCAGCCTAGGAATAGAAAGGAACTTGCTCAACCTGATGGACGGTATGTGGAAGGGGGTTAACGCAACAGGCTGGGGTTGTTGAAACCTTGCCCATTCTTAAGCTTGTTTCCATGACTGTCCTTTGCTCACCTCCAGGGAACTAAGCTCTTGAAATTTTTTGTCTTAATAGTGTATTTGCATGCCCGAGTCTTTGAGCCGTGCTATACCAGTTTGTCCAGATTGTTTATACTAGCAATGCAGTTTACGGTGAAGACCTGCCTTCCCTCTGGGAATCTGGAGCTTCAGTAACAGGTCAGTCACACAGGTGCTGTTATGTTTACATGACTGATACCCAGTAAAAGCCCTGTACACTTTGGCTCAAATGAACTTCCTTGGTTGGTAACACTTTGCACATATTGTCACACATAGTTGGGAGAATGAAGTGTGTCCCATGTGACTGCACCGGGAAGGGACGCTTGGAACCTTGTATGTGGTTTCTTCTAGACTTCACCCCATGTGCGTTTCCCCTTTGCTGATTTTACTCTATGTTCTTTCACTGTAATAAAGTGTAACCATGAGTAGAGCAACTTTTGAGTCTTGTGAGTCCTAGGAAATCATCAACCCTGAGGGTTGTCTTAGGGACCCCTGACACAAAGGGCATCTTCAGAATGCCTTTATCTAACAACTTAATGGTGAAAGACTGACTACTTTCTCCCTAAGATCAAGAACAAGGCAATGATGTCCATTCTTTATTCAGTATTCTACTAGAGGTTCTAAGGAAAAAGGCAAGAAAGGAAAAAAGAGGCATCTAAATCTTAGAAGCAAGAAGTAAAGCTGTCTTTATTCAGATGACATGATGCCTATGTAAAAATCTAATGGAATCTTTAAAAAGCTCTTAGAACTAATAAATGAGTTTCATAAGGTTGCTAGATATGGAATTCATATACAAAAATCAATGTATCTCTATACAGTAGCAACATATAATCAGAAATTGACTTTTAAAATGCAATTCCACTTACAGTACTATCAAAAATATGAAATAAGCCTGAAAGTAGCATAAAAGATTTGCAAGATCTGTACATTGAAACCTACAAAACATTCTTGAAAAAATTAAGACCTAAATAAGTCGAAAGATATAATTTATTCATGGGTTGGAATACTCAATATTGTTAAGATGCCAATTTTCTCCAGACAGATTGATAATTCAATGCAATCCCAGGAAAAGAAATCAAAGGAACTAGAATAGCCAAAGCAATTCTGAAAAAGAAGAACAAGTTTGGAGAGCAAATGCTACCTGATTTAATGATTCAATGTGAAGCAACAATAATCAAAACAGTGTAGTATTGGCATCAAGTTAGGGAAGTTAATTAATGGAATGGAATAGAATAAAAAATAGGGCCACAAACAAATGATTTTTTAAAAGGTACGATTCAGTGGGAAAAGGACAGTTGTTTTAACTAATGATGCTGAAACAATTGGATACCCATATGCAGAAAAATGAACGTCACTCCATACTTTGCTATACTATAAAAATTATATATATAGTATATAAAATATACTAATAAAATATATAGTATAGAAAAATTTATAAACTATAAAATTTACTAAAAATGGATCATAGACCTAAATGCAGAATCTAAGACTACAAATTTCCAGGTGAAAAAAATAGAAAAAAAAATACATATATTTATTTTTTTGAGACAGAGTCATGCTTGGTTGCCTAGGCTGTAGTGCAGTGGTGTGATCATAGCTCATTGTAACATTGAACTCCTGGGCTCAAGCAATCCTCTTGCCTGTCTCCCAAGTAGCTGGGACTACAGGTGCATGCTACCATGCCCAGCTAATTTTTAAATTTTTTGTAGAGATGGGGTTTTGCTATGTTCCCCAGGCTAGTCTCAAACTACTGACTTCAAGTGATCTAGTCTAAAACTCCTGGTCTCAATCTTCTGGGTGCAGCCTCCCAAAGTGCTGTGATTACAGGGATGAGCCACTATGCCTGGCTGAGAAAAATCTTTTTCAAATCTTAAAATTTGTATTTCTCTAATGACTAATCATGTTGAACATCTTTTCATGTATTTTCCATCTGCTTGTTTTTTTGGTGTGGTTTCTGCCAGCATTGGTTAGGTACGGAGTCTCGCTCCATCAACCAGGTTGGAGTGCAGTGGTGCTATCTCATCCTACTGCAAGCTCTGCCTCCTGGGTTCACGCCATTCTCCTGTCTCAGCCTCCCGAGTAGCTGGGACTATAGGCACCCTCCACCACGCCTGGCTAATTTTTTTGTATTTTTGGTAGAGACGGGGTTTCACCGTGTTAGCCAGGATGGTCTCAATCTCCTGACCTCGTGATCCGCCCGCCTCGGCCTCCCAAAGTACTGGGATTACAGGCGTGAGCCACCACGCCTGGCCACAAAGATTCTTTTTAGCTACAATGCCAGGACTATGATCGATGAAAAAAAAAAGTGATAAAACAGACTTTATCAAAATTAAAAACTTCTGCTGTTGAAAACATGCTTCTAGGAGAATGAAAAGATAAGCCACAGACGGGAGAAAGTATTTAAAAAGCATATATCTGATAAATGACTTGTACATAGAATATATTAAGAACTCTGAAATCTCAAGAGAAGGAACTCAATTTTTTAAAGTGAGCTAAAGATATGAATAGACACTGCACCAAAGAAGATAAGCAGATGGAAAATAACAACATGAAAAGATGTTCAACATCATTATTCTTTAGGGAAATGGAAAATAGAACCACAATACTGCCCATCTATCAGATTGGCAAATATTAAGAAAAGCCTTAATGCCATTTATGAGGACTTTGCCTTCATGATCTAATCACCTCCCAAAGGCCCCATTTTCATATCACATTAGGAGTTAGAATTTCAACATAATAATTTGGCAAGGACACAAACGTTTAGTCTATAACATTCTGGCCCTGGCCCTTCCCTCCACGAAAAATTTGTGTCTTCGTTGCATGCAAATTACATTCATTTTATCCCAATCACCCCAGAGTCTTAACTGATACCAGCATCAACTTTAAAGTCCAACATCTCATCTAAATATTATCTAAATCAGATGCAGTTGAGCCCAAGGTATGATTCATCCTGAGGCAAATTCTCCTCCAGCTGTGACCCTGTGAAACCAAATATGTGCTTCCAAAATGCAATGGTGGTCTGAGTTTGGTGGCTTGTGCCTGTAATCCCAGCTACCTGGCAGGCTGAGGTGGGAGGATCACTTGAGGCCAGGAGTTGAAGACCAGCCTGAGCAACATGGCAAGACTGTCTCTGAAAAAATTGAAAAATTAATTGGCCAGACGTGGTGTCATGTGCTTGTAGTCCCAGCTCCTCAGGAAGCTGAAGCACAAGGATCACTTGATACTAGGAGTTCGAGGTTGCAGTGAGCTATGATGTGTCACTGCACTTTAGCCTGGACAAGACTAAAGTGCAAGACAACAGAGCAAGACCCTGTCTCTAAAAAAATTAAAAAGTTAAAAAATATAGTGGTGTGCTAGTCATAGGGTAGACATTCCATTCTGAAAGGGAGAAAAAGGAAGGAAGAAAGGGGTGACAGGTCCCGAGCAAGTTCCATGAAATCTTAAGGCTACAAAATGAATGATTGGCTTGATGCTCTGCCTTCCAGAGAAGTGGAAGTGCTGCCTTCTGGACCCTCTGATGGGGTTGGTCACAATCCCTGGGCTTTGAGAGGTCCAGCCCTCATGAGCCATCTGGCCTATTGAAAGCAAGGCAGTGGTCCCTTCTTTTGTTGAACCAAGGAAGCATCCCGGATGATCTCTGAATTGCTTTTAGGGTCCTTCCTTGTCTTAAAGAAGAGCACACATTTGCAGCTGAATTGCTCTATGGTCCCATCCTGAAAAATCCAAGAAGTCTACCAACCCTCCTTCATTTCTTCCCATCTACTATTTTTTCATTTCAAATTGGCAGTTGTCCTGCTGGGGCGGTCCACATCCATACTAATCTTATCAAATGATCATTTGACCACAACCTTAGTGTTGTCCTCTGAACAGACTTTCTCATTCTTTTCAATATGGGTAGGTTGAGAATTTTCTGCATCTTTAAGTACTGGTTCTTTTTTGCTTAATAATTCTGTCTTTAAGTCATTCTCTCTTCTTGCGTTCTATTTAAGCAGTCAGGAGGACCCAGGCCACTCCTTCAGCAAATTGTTTAGAGGTTTCCTCAGCCAAATATCCAATTTCATCACTTGCAAATGCATGTTATCTTTATAACTGTTACATCTTTATGTTGGAGTAACCCTTTTATCATGATAAAATGACCCTACTTTTTATAGTAACACTTTTTGGTTTGAAGTCTATTTTGCCTGGCATTAGTATAGCCACTCCAGCTTTTTTATGACTGTTGTTTGCATGGTATTTTTTATTTATCCTTCTACTTTCCACCTATTTGTATCTTTGAATCTAAAGTGTATTTCTGTGGACAGCATATAGCTGGATTTCAAAAAAATCTAATCTGAAAAATCTACGTTTTGATTGGATTAGTTTACTCACATTTAATACTATTATTTAATTGCATGTTATATTATTATTTACATCTGCCTTTTTTTTTTTTTTTTTTAGCAGAGTCTCACTCTGTCACCCAGGCTGGAGGGCAGTGGTGCAATCTCAGCTCACTGCAACCTCTGCCTCCTGGTTCAAGTGATTCCCCTGCCTCAGCCTCCCAAGTAGCTGGGACTACAGGCGTGTGCCACCACGCCTGGCTAATTTTTTGTATTTTAGTAGAGACAGGGTTTCACCGTGTTGGTCAAGTTGGTCTCGATCTCCTGACCTTGTGATCCACTCGCCTCGGCCTCGCAAAGTGCTAGGATTACAGACGTGAGCCACTGCACCGGCCTACATCTGCCATTTTACTTTTTGTTTTCTATTTAATTATTTTCAAATGTTGGAATATTCACATCTATATAATAATGTATCTTGGAGATAGTACCCAAGTCTAAACATGAATTTATTTGTTTCATATATGCCTTTTACACACAGTTCAAAGGTAATTTTATATAATATTTTTCTTTTTTTTTTTTTTGAGATGGAGTCTTGCTCTGTCGCCCAGGCTCGAGTGCAATGACATGATCTCGGCTCACTGTGACCCCCCACCTCCTGGGTTCAAATGATCCTCCTGCCTCAGCCTCCCAAGTAACTGGGATTACAGGCGCCTACCACCACACCTGGCTAATTTTTGTATTTTTTTTTTTAAATAGAGATGGAGTTTCACCATGTTGGCCAGGCTGGTCTTGAACTCCTGACCTCAAGTGATCCACACACCTGGGCCTCCCAGGGTGCTGGGATTACAGGCGTGAGCCACCGCACCCAGCCTGAATATTCATACATAAATTCTTAACAGTAAAAGGTATGACATACATTTAATACAGTGAAAAAATAATGTGTTCAGGATAACTAAGCAGTGCAATAGCATCACCAAAATACCTTTATCAGATGTTAAACAACAGCAACAGCAAACAGTGGCAAGCTTTGTCTCCACCTATGATGCTGTGTTTTGATTAAAATGCTCCTATACACTGTATTTTTTGACTTTAGGTAAAACATCAGAAGCGATTGAGGGACCAAGTAGTGGCTCCTATAGGGGCGAGGAAGCATTTTGCTGGATGGCTTTTAAAAATGTTTCCTTTAGAGTCATCTACCTTATTAACAATGGTTTTTGTCTTAGAAATCTTTCTTTGATGTTATAAATTGACATGAATTCTTGTTTGGTATGAATGCACACTGCTCCAGACCTTTAGTAATCTCATCACATGTTTTCATCATGTTGTCTACAGCCACTTTCTCTGCATGGTTAATGTTATCTTTATCACTGTTATCAAATCACCTTGATTCAGAACCATTTTAATTATTTTACCATTGATACTGAATGAACAACTGGAGCCTCATTATCAATATTAGAAACATCTTTGATATTCACTTCTTCCAGCTTACTGATAGACTCTGGAGGTACATTTTTTGCATATGTCAGGAGGTTATATATCTTTTTTGTTTTCCCTTGGATGATATACAGAGTCCTTCGAAATCACCAATTGTTCATCATCAACACTGAACATAGTCTTAGGCCAGGTTGTGTCAGGCACGACTATGTCTTCAGTCATTGTTTTCCGAGTGTTGGCAACTGCATTTGTGGCATCCTCCATGCTAAACTACTTTTGAAAACTTTCTACACCCTTATCTCTGTTCACTGTTGCTAGCATGCTATTCAAGAATATATTTTTATATTTACCCTTTATTGATCTAAGGATATCCTGGTCACATGCCTTAATTAATGAAGTCACATTTCGGGGAAAGTACATGTTATAAACATTATTTTTTATGGGAATTTCAGCTGGAGGATGAGCAGAACAGTTGTCAAGGAATAACAAAATCTTACAGTCTAGCTTCACTGCAGTAAGCATGAGCCGCTAGTACAAAATGTTTGTGAAACTAGTCAGAAAAGAGGTTTCTGGTGATACATGCCTTTTCTTTTCCTTTTTTTTTTTTAGCATAATAATGGACTGGTAAGAAATTTACTCCTTGAATACAGTGAGGACGTGAGGTTTTCCCTGTCAAAGCAAGTTTACACTTATATGTGTATTAGCACATCCCAGCACAGTTATTCTGTCTTTGGCATCCTTAATTCCTGTAAAGGCTGTCTCAGCAGCTGTAATTGGTGTCTTTCTAGGATAATAATGTCAAAACAGTGATGTTTCATTGGCATTATAGACTTGTTCTAGTGTCAGATGTTTATCAGCAATGACCTTGGCAAACTCATCAATGAATTTCTCTGTTGCTTCATGATCACCGTGTTTTATCCCTACATGTCTTTAAAAATTTAATGCTGTATCTTTTTTTTATTATTATTATTATACTTTAAGTTCCAGGGTACATGTGCACAACGTACAGGTTTGTTTCATATGTATACATGTGCCATGTTGGTTTGCTGCCCCCATTAACTCGTCATTTACATTAGGTATTTCTCCTAATGCTATCCTTCCCCCAGCCCCCCACCCCCCGACAGGCCCTGGTGTGTGATGTTCCCTGCCCTGTGTCCAGGTGTTTTCATTGTTCAATCCCACTTATGAGTGAGAACGTGCGGTGTTTGGTTTTCTGTCCTTGCAATAGTTTGCTCAGAATGATGGTTTCCAGCTTCATCCATATCCCTGCAAAGGACTTGAACTCATCCTTTTTTATGGCTGCATAGTATTCCGTGGTGTATGTGTGCCACATTTTCTTAATCCAGTCTATCATTGATGGACATTTGGGTTGGTTCCAAGTCTTTGCTATTGTGAATAGTGCCACAGTAAACGTATGTGTGCATGTGTCTTTATAGTAGCATGATTTATAATCCTTTGGGTATATACCCAGTAATGAAATCACTGGGTCAAATAGTATTTCTAGTTCTAGATCCTTGAGGAATCACCACAGTGTCTTCCATCTTCCACAATGGTTGAACTAGTTTACACTCCCACCAATAGTGTAAAAGTGTTCCTGTTTCTCCACATCCTCTCCAGCACCTGTTGTTTCCTGACTTTTTAATGATTGCCATTCTAACTGGTGTGAGATGGTATCTCATTGTGGTTTTGTTTTGGATTTCTCTGATGACCAGTGATGATGAGCATTTTTTCATGTGTCTATTGGCTGCATAAATGTCTCCTTTTGAAAAGTGTCTATTCATATCCTTTGCCCACTTTTGGATGGGGTTGTTTGATTTTTTTCTTGTAAATTTGTTTGAGTTCTTTGTAGATTCTGGATATTCACCCTTTGTCAGATGGGTAGATTGCAAAAATTTTTTCCCATTCTGTAGGTTGCCTGTTCACTCTGATGGTAGTTTCTTGTGCTGTGCAGAAACTCTTTAATTAGATCCCATTTGTCTATTTTGGCTTTTGTTGCCACTGCTTTTGGTGTTTTAGTCATGAAGTCCTTGCCCATGCCTATGTCCTGAATGGTATTACCTAGGTTTTCTTCTAGAGTTTTTATGGTTTTAGGTCTAACATTTAAGTCTTGAATCCATCTTGAAAATTAATTTTTATATAAGGTGTAAGGAAGGGATCCAGTTTCAGCTTTCTAGCCAGTTTTCCCAGCACCATTTATTAAATAGGGAATCCTTTCCCCATTTCTTGTTTTTGTCAGGTTTGTCAAAGATCAGGTGGTTGTAGATGTGTGGTGTTATTTCTGAGGCCTCTGTTCTGTTCCGTTCCATTGGTCTATATCTCTGTTTTGGTACCAGTACCATGCTGTTTTGGTTACTGTAGCCTTTTAGTATAGTTTGAAATCAGGTAGCATGATGCCTCTAGCTTTGTTCCTTTTTGCTTAGGATTGTCTTGGCAATGTGGGCTCTTTTTTGGTTCCATATGAACTTTAAAGTAGTTTTTTCCAATTCTGTGAAGAATGTCATTGGTAGCTTGATGGGGATGGCATTGAATCTATAAATTACCTTGGGCAGTATGGCCATTTTCACGATATTGATTCTTCCTATCCATGAGCATGGAATGTTCTTCCATTCGTTTGTGTCCTCTTTTATTTCGTTGAGCAGTGCTTTGTAGTTCTCCTTGAAGAGGTCCTTCACATCCCTTGTAAGTTGGATTCCTAGGTATTTTATTCTCTTTGTAGCAATTGTGAATGGGAGTTCACTCATGATTTGGCTCTCTGTTATTGGTGTGTAGGAATGCTTGTGATTTTTGCACATTGATTTTGTATCCTGAGACTTTGCTGAAGTTGCTTATCAGCTTAAGGAGATTTTGGGCTGAGACGATGGGATTTTCTAAATGTACAATCATGTCATCTGCAAACAGGGACAATTTGACTTCCTCTTTTCCTAATTGGATACCCTTTATTTTTTTCTCTTGCCTGATTGCCCTGGCCAGAACTTTCAACACTATGTTGAATAGGAGTGGTGAGAGAGGGCATCCCTGTGTTGTGCCAGTTTTCAAAGGGAATGCTTCCAGTTTTTGCTCATTCAGTTTGATATTGGCTGTGGGTTTGTGATAAATAGCTCTTATTATTTTGAGTTATGTTCCATCAATACCTAGTTTATTGAGAGTTTTTAGCATGAAGCGTTGTTGAATTTTGTTGAAGGCCTTTTCTGCATCTATTGAGATAATCATGTGGTTTTTGTGTTTGGTTCTGTTTATGTGATGGATTACGTTTATTGATTTGCATATGTTGAACCAGCCTTGCATCCCAGGGATGAAGCCAACTTGATGGTGGTGGATAAGCTTTTTGATGTGCTACTGGATTCGGTTTGCCAGTATTTTATTGAGGATTTTTGCGTTGATGTTCATCAGGGATATTGGTCTAAAATTCTCTTTTTTTTTGTTGTTTCTCTGCCAGGCTTTGGTATCAGGGTGATGCTGGCCTCATAAAATGAGTTAGGGGGGATTCCCTTTTTTTCTGTTGATTGGAATAGTTTCAGAAGGAATGGTACCAGCTCCTCTTTGTACCTCTAGTAGAATTCAGGACTGTCTGGTCCTGGACTTTTTTTGGTTGGTAGGCTATTAATTATTGCCTGAATTTCAGATCCTGTTACTGGTCTATTCAGGGATTCAACCTCTTCCTGGTTTAGTCTTGGGAGGGTGTATATGTCCAGGAATTTATCTATTTCTTCTAGATTTTCTAGTTTATTTGCGTAGAGGTGTTCATAGTATTCTCTGATGGTAGTTTGTATTTCTGTGGGATCAGTGGTGATATCCCCTTTATCATTTTTTATTGTGTCTATTTGATTCTTCTCTCTTTTCTTCTTTGTTCGTCTTGCTAGCGGTCTATCAATTTTGTTGATCTTTTCAAAAACCAGCTCCTGGAGTCATTTGTTTTTTTGAAGAGTTTTTTGTGCCTCTATCTCCTTCGGTTCTGCTCTGATCTTAGTTATTTCTTGCCTTCTGCTAGCTTTTGAATTTGTTTGCTCTTGCTTCTGTAGTTCTTTTAATTGTGATGTTAGGGTGTCGATTTTAGATCTTTCCTGCTTTCTCTTGTGGGCATTTAGTGCTGTAAATTTCCCTCTACACACTACTTTAAATGTGTCCCAGAGATTCTGGTACGTTGTATCTTTGTTCTCATTGGTTTCAAAGAACATCTTTATTTCTACCTTCATTTAGTTATTTACCTAGTAGTCATTTAGGAGCAGATTGTTCAGTTTCCATGCAGTTGTGTGGTTTTGAGTGAGTTTCTTAATCCTGAGTTCTAATTTGATTACACTGTGGTCTGAGAGACAGTTTGTTATGATTTCTGTTCTTTTACGTTTGCTGAGGAATGCTTTATTTCCAACTATGTGGTCAATTTTGGAATAAGTACAATGTGATGCTGAGAAGAATGTGTATTCTGTTGATTTAGGGTGGAGAGTTCTGTAGATGTCTATTAGGTCTGCTTGGTGCAGAGCTGAGTGCAAGTCCTGGATATCCTTGTTAACTTTCTGTCTCGTTGATCTATCTAATATTGACAGTGGGGTGTTAAAGTCTCCCATTGTTATTGTGTGGGAATCTAAGTCTCTTTGTAGGTCTCTAAGGACTTGCTTTATGAATCTGGGTGCTCCTATATTGGGTGCATATATATTTAGGATAGTTAGCTCTCCTTGTTGAATTGATCCCTTTACCATTATGTAATGGCCATCTTTGTCTCTTTTGATCTTTGTTGGTTTAAAGTCTGTTTTATCAGAGACTAGGATTGCAACCCCTGCTCTTTTTTGCTTTCCATTTGCTTGGTAGATCTTCCTCCATCCCTTTATTTGGAGCCTGTGTGTGTCTCTGCACGTGAGATGGGTCTCCTGAATGCAGCACACTGATGGGTCTTGACTCTTTATCCAATTTGCCAGTCTGTGTCTTTTAATTGGGGTATTTAGCTCATTTATATTTAAGGTTAATATTGTTATGTGTGAATCGGATTCTGTCATTATGATGTTAGTTGGTTATTTTGCCCATTAGTTGATGCAGTTTCTTCCTAGCATCGATGGTCTTTACAGTTTGGCATGTTTTTGCAGTGGCTGGTACGGGTTGTTCCTTTCCATGTTTAGTGCTTCCTTCAGGAGCTCTTGTAAGGCAGGCCTGGTGATGACAAAAATCTCTCAGCATTTGCTTATCTGTAAAGGATTTTATTTCTCCTTCACTTATGAAGCTTAGTTTGGCTGGATATGAAATTCTGGGTTGAAAATTCTTTTCTTTAAGAATGCTGAATATTGGCCCCCACCCTCTTCTGGCTTGTAGAGTTTCTGCCGAGAGATCCACTGTTAGTCTGATGGGCTTCCCTTTGTGGGTAACCTGACCTTTCTCTCTGGCTGCCCTTAACATTTTTTTCCTTCATTTCAACCTTGGTGAATCTGGCAATTATGTATCTTGGGGTTGCTCGTCTCAAGGAGTATCTTTGTGGTGTTCTCTGTATTTCCTGAATTTGAATGTTGGCCTGCCTTGCTAGGTTGGGGAAGTTCTCCTGGATAATATCCTGAAGAGTGTTTCTAGCTTGGTTCCATTCGCCCCGTCACTTTCAGGTACACCAATCAAACATAGATTTGGTCTTTTCACATAGTCCCAAATTTTTTGGAGGCTTTGTTCATTTCTTTTTACTCTTTTTTCTTTAAACTTCTTGCTTCATTTCATTCATTTGATCTTCAGTCACTGATACCCTTTCTTCCACTTGATTGAATCAGCTACTGAAGCTTGTGCATGCGTCACATAGTTCTTGTGCCATGGTTTTCAGCTCCATCAGGTCATTTAAGGTCTTCTCTTACACTGTTTGTTCTAGTTAGCCATTCGTCTAATCTTTTTTCAAGGTTTTTAGCTTCCTTGCGATGGGTTCAAACATCTTCCTTTAGCTCGGAGAAGTTTGTTATTACCAACCTTCTGAAGCCAACTTCTGTCAACTCGTCAAAGTCATTCTCCATCCAGCTTTGTTCCGTTGCTTGCAAGGAGCTGCGTTCCTTTGGAGGAGAAGAGGTGCTCTGGTTTTTAGAATTTTCAGCTTTTCTGCTCTGGTTTTTCCCCATCTTTGTGGTTTTATCTACCTTTGGTCTTTGATGACGGTGACCTATAGATGGGGTTTTGGTGTGAATATCCTTTTTGTTGGTGTTGATGCTATTCCTTTCTGTTTGTTAGTTTTCCTTCTAACAGTCAGGTTCCTCTGCTGCACGTCTGTTGGAGTTTGCTGGAGGTCCACTCCAGAACCTGTTTGCCTGGGTATCCCAGCGGAGGCTGCAGAACAGCAAATATTGCAGAACAGCAAATATTGCTGCCTGATCCTTCCTCAGGAAGCTTCGTCTCAGAGGGGCATCCGACTGTATGAGGTGTCAGTCGGCCCCTACTGGGAGGTGTCTCCCAGTTAAGCTACACGGGGGTCAGGGACCCACTTGAGGAGGCAGTCTGTCCATTCTTGGAGCTCAAACACTGTGCTGGGAGAACCACTGCTCTCTTCTGAGCTGTCAGACACGGACATTTAAGTCTGCAGAAGTTTCTGCTGCCTTTTGTTCAGCTATGCCCTGCCCCCAGAGGTGGAGTCTACAGAGGTAGGCAGGCCTCATTGAGTTGCGGTGGGCTCCACCCAGTTCAAGCTTCCTGGCCACTTTGTTTACCTACTCAAGCCTCAGCAATGGTGGAAACCCCTCCCCAAGCCAGGCTGCTGCCTTGCAGTTTGATCTCGGACTGCTGCGCTAGCAGTGAGCAAGGCTCTGTGGGCATGGGACCCGCTGAGCCAGGTGCGGGATATAATCTCCTGGTGTGCCATTTGCTAAGACTGTTGGTAAAGGGCAGTATTTGGGTAGCAGTGTCCCAGTTTTCCTGGTACAATCTGTCACGGCTTCCCTTGGCTAGGAAAGGGAAATCCCCCAATCCCTTGTGCTTCCTGGGTGAGGCGATGCCCTGCCCTTCTTCGGCTTGCCCTCTGTGGGCTGCACCCGCTGCCCAACCAGTCCCAATGACATGAACCAGGTACCTCAGTTGGAAATGCAGAAATCACCTGTCTTCTGTGTCAGTCACGCTGGGAGCTGTGGACCAGAGCTGTTCCTATTTGGCCATCTTGGAATGGACCCCCAATGCTGTATCTTTTCTTAAATTTCTGTAACATGCCTGTTGAGTATTCAGTATTCTTTTCAATTTTCAGTTCATCATGATCTTTGATTATTTCATGATCAGCATACTATTAAGTGGCATGGATTCTCTGTGATGCTGATGGACTATCCTTTCAATACATGAACAAGATTTTGTTTTTAGCTTTATGTAGGATTTTTCCATTTTTATTAACTTCTGTTCATTACTTTCAACATAGAACTTTCATAGTTGGTCCTTCTCTTTCTTCAGATCATATATATAGTGGTCATTTCAACACCATACTCTTCTGTAAGATATTTCAGACTTAACATTGCTGTCCAGTTGCTATAACAGCTTGACTTTCTGTTTTGTAGATAAATATAAATGCTTTCCTTTTTTTCTTATCACTGTTATCCACAGTGATATCTGCAGGCCTTTCTGACCTTGTCAACAGTATCTTTATACTGCAGAGCAGAGAATAAGAAAAAAACACAGTAATGCACATAGATATTGGCCTCTTGTGGGGCATTGTGAGGAACCTGCCATTGGCGTATCCAGCCTGTACATATACCATTTTATTACCCTTTGTGGACATGCTTGCGTGGGGGAATCTGGACATGTGAGGAAAATATATATTACAGCTGAAAGGGCCTGGGAAAGTCTTTTTTCCCTTGAATAAACTGTATATTATACTCTCTCATTTTGACTGTGACCCATCACATGAAGTCAGGAGTAGAATTTTCCACTTGTGGCCTTATGTAAAGTCTCAAAAAGTTTTGGATTTTGGAGGAATTCTGATTTCAGATTTTTGGATTAGGGGTGTTCGAACTGATATAATTATGCTATATATATTATGTCTATATATGTTACCAACCCAACTATACATTTTTATTATTACTTTACATAATTATATGTCTTTTAAGGAAGCTGATAGAAAAAAGGGGAGAACAAGTATGTAGCATCTATATTTAATTTATTACATATACCATCTTATTTACTGTGATTCTTCTTGTGGATTTGAGTTACCATATGGTGTTATTTCCTTCTCCAATATAGCTTTGTTCCCACCTGCCTTCTTGATGCTGCTATTGTATATTTAACAGTTCTGTATATTATAGGCATAATGATATGTATTTAATTAAATACATATTTAAAATTAAATACATATTTAAAAAGTTGATACATAATCGATATACATATTTTCAGGACATGTGATAATTTAATAAATTCACATAAAATTTACATATGAAATCAGGGTAATAGGATATCTATCACCTTAAATACTTGTCTTCTTTATGCTAGAAACCATTCAAACTATTCCCTTCTAGCTATTTTGAAATGTACAATAGATTATTGTAAACTACAGTCACCCTACTGATCTATTGAACACTAGGTCTTATCACTTCTAGGTCTTATTTCTTATATCTAACTGTATATTTATACCCATTAATCAACCTCTTTTAATCAGTCTCTCCCCCTGCCCTTCCCAGCCTCTGGTAACCACCAATCTACTTTGTCTCTTCATGAGTTCCACTTATTTAGCTCCTACATATGAATGAGAACAGGTGATATTTGTCTTTCCGTGCTTGGCTTATTTTACTTGACATAACGAATTCTCATTTCATCCATGTTGCTGCCAATGTCATGACTCCATTCTTTTTTACAGCTCGATAATCCATTGTGTATATAAACCACATTTTCTTTATCCATTCATCCATGGATGGATACTTAGGTTGATTCCCTATCTTGGCTATTATGTATCATTCTGCAATAAACATGGGAGTGCAGATATCCCTTCAGTGTACTGATTTTTTTTCTTTTAGGTATATACTCAGTCGTGGAGTTGCTGGATAATATGGTAGTTCTATTTTTTTTTGAGGTACCTCCATAATTTTCCATGGTGACTGTTCTTATTTACATTCCCACCAACAGTGAACGAGGGTTCCATTTTCTCCACATCCTTGCTAGCATTCGTTATTCTTTGTCTTTTTATAAAAGCTATTTTAACTGAGGTGAGATGATGTCTCATTGTGGTTTTGGTTTGCATTTCTCTGAAAATTAGTGATTTTGAGCATTTTCTCATATACCTGTTGGCAATTTGTATGTCTTTTGAGAAATATCTATTCAGGTCTTTTGCCCATTTTTAAATTGGATTATTTGTGTTTTTTTTTTTCTTTTGCTGTTGAATTGTTTGAGCTCCTTATATATTATTATTATGAATCCATTGTCACATTGATAGTTTGCACATATTTTCTCCCATTCTGTGACTTGTTTCTTCACTTTGTTGATTGTTTCCTTTGTTGTGTAGACTCTTTTTAGTTTGATGTAATTCCAGTGATCCATTTTTGCTTTGGTTGCAGTGCTTTTGAGGTCTCACACAAAAAATCTTGCCCAGACCAATGTTCTTATTTCCCCAGTGTTTTCTTCTAGTAGTTTCATAGTTTCAGATCTTAGATTTAAGTCTTTAATTCATTTTGATTTGATTTTTTAATGTGGTTAGAGATAGTGGTATAGTTTTATTCTTCTGCGAATTAGATAGTCTTTATTCAGTTTTCCCAGCACCATTTATTGAAGAGACTGTTCCCATTCTATGTTCGTGGTGACTTTGTTGAAATGAGTTAGCTGTAAATGTGTGGATTTATATCTGGGTTCTCTATTCTGTTCCATTGGTCTATGTGTCTTTTTATGCAAGTATCGTGCTGATTTGATTACTATAGCTTTGTAGTATATTTTGAAGTCAGGTAATGTGAGGCCTCTAGCCTTATTTTTGCTCAAGATTGCTTTGGCTATTCAGGGTCTTTTGTGGTTCTATATAAATTTTAGGATTTTTTGCGTTTGTTTATTTCTGTGAAGAATGTCATGGTATTTTGATAGGGATTATGTTGAACCTGTAAATTGCTTTGGGCAGTATTGTCATTTTAACAATATTAATTGTTTCAATTCATGAGCATGGAATATCTTTCCATTTTTATGTCTTTAATTTCTTTCATAAGCATTTTATAGTTTTTCCTGTATAGATCTTTCATTTTAGTTAAATTGACTCGTATGTATTTTATATTCTTTGTAGCTATTGTAAATTGAATTGCTTTCTTGATTTCTTTTTTAGATTGTTTGCTCTTGGCATGTATAAATGCTACTAATTTTTGTATGTTGATTTTGTAACCTGCAGTTTTACTGAATTTATCAGTTCTAATAATTTTTGGTGGAGTTTTTAGGTTTCTTTAAGAATAGGATTATGTCTTCTGTCAACAAAGGAAATTTAACTTCTTTCTCTCCAATTTGGTTGCCATTTATTTCTCTTTCTTGCCTAACTCTTGCCAGGACTTCCAATATCATGTTGAGTAACAGTAGTGAAACTGGACATCTTTGTCTTGTTCAAGATCTTAGAAGAAAGGCTTTTAATTTTTTCCCATTTAGTGTGATACTAGCTGTGGGTTTGTCATCTGGCCTTTATTATTTTGAGATACGTTTCTTCTATATCCAGTTTGTTGAGGGTTTTTATTATAAGAAGATGTTGAATTTTATCAAATGCTTTTAAAGCATCTATTAAAATGATTATATGGTTTTTCTTCTTGGTTCTCTGTTGTTGTGATCTGTCATGTTGATTGATTTGCATATGTTGAACCATCCTTGCATCCTTGGGATGTGAATCCCACTTGATCATGGTGAATGATTTTTTTAATGTGTTGTTGAATTCAGTTTTCTAGTATTTTATTGAGGATTTTTGCATCTATGTACATGGGTGATATTGGCCTATGGTTTTCTTTGTTTGTTGTGTCCTTATTGGGTTTTGATATCAGGATAATGCTGTCTCGTAGAATTGAGTTTGAAGTATTTCCTCCTTTTCAATTTTTTTGAAGAGTTTAAGTAGAATTAGCATTAGTTCTTTAAATGTTTGGTAGAATTCAGCAGTGAAGCCATCAGGTCCTGAGCTTTTCTTTGATGGGAGACATAATTACAGCTTCAATCTTGTTACTTATTGTTGGTTTGCTTAGGTTTAATTTTCTTTATTTTTCCTCTTCTTTTCTTTCTCTTCTTCTGTTTTCTTTTTCTTTCTTCCTACAGGATCTCTCTCTGTTGACCAGGCTGGAGTGCAGTGGTGCAGTCATAGCTCACTGTAGCTTTAACTGCCAGAGCTCAGGTGATACTCCCACCTCAGCCTCCCAAGTATTTGGGACCACAGGCACGTGCCCAGCTAATTTTTAAATTTTGTGCAGAGACAGAGTTTTGCTATGTTGCCTAGACTGGTCTTGAACTCCTGGCCATAAATGATCCTCCTACCTCAGCCTCCCAAAGTGCTGGGATTATAGGCATGAGCCACTGCACCCATCCTATTCAAGTTTTCTATTTCTTTTTTCTTTTCTTTTTTTTTTTTTTTAAGACGGAGTCTCGCTCTGTTGCCCAGGCTGGAGTGCAGTGGCGCAATCTTGGCTCACTGCAAGCTCTGCCTCCTGGGTTCACGCCATTTTCCTGATTCAGCCTCCCGAGTAGCTGGGACTACAGGCGCCTGCCACCACACCTGGCTAATTTTTTTGTATTTTTAGTAGAGACGGGGTTTCACCGTGTTAGCCAGGATGGTCTCGATCTCCTGACCTCACGATCCACCCACCTTGGCCTCCCAAAGTGCTGGGATTACAGGCATGAGCTACTGCGCCCAATCCAAGTTTTCTATTTCTTTATGATTTAATCATAGTAGATTCTATATGTCCAGGAATTTATCCATTTCTTCTAAGTTTTCCAATTTGTTGGCATGTTGTCCATAATAGTCTCTAATAATTCTTTGTATTTCTTGTGGTCTCAGTTGTCACCTTTTTCATTTCTGATTTTATTTGGATGTTCTCTGTTTTTCTTTTTTTTTTTAAATATATGCACACAGTTTTATATATAATGCAGCATCACACCATGTAGGGCATTTACTCTTATTTTATACATTCAGATATGTTTGAAACACTTCTTAAGGCTACAAAACAGAACATAGAAAAATAAACAGGAATATATTCAACACTTACAAAAAGTGATATGATAAAGAATATAAAGTACTAGTTTCCTTTTAACACTTCAAAAGATACGTATATATACTTTTTTTACAAGTAACATCACAAATGATCACATCTTCACATGCTCTTAAAGTATTATTTGTACTCAGTGTAAGGCTATTATCGTTTTTCATACACAAAATTTTCAGCTCTGTAACACAATGCAATTTTTAATCCATTCAAGTAAGTTCAACCCCAAAGTTGCTGCTTCCCAGCATTAAGACATGCACCCACTCCTCTTCTAAGATTTTCTAAAACTTGTATTTCGGGGAGAAAGACCTCTTTTAAAAAATAATCCCAATTAGTGGGAGAGTAAATGGCTGACACTAGTAGCAAAACCTTAGTTATTTGAAAATAACATATTGGAAATGAGACATTATTAGGATTCTAAACAAAAACAATAGCATTTAGACATAAAGTAGGAAGCAAAACACAGTACACAGAAATAGTGTAGCCAAATACGTATTCTCTTCAGCTACACTAGAGTGGACCTTGCTTAGTATCCTTAAGTAAAAGACAAAACATTTACCTCATCTAAAAATGAAGGGTAAAACAAAAGAGGCCAAAATAAATATTGCTAGTTTCTAGGATGGCTGAATGTTTTCTAAACCAGAAATGGTTAGAAAGGAACTTTATTGCACCAAGTCAATCATAAGCAAGTTTGCAGTTCACAGGCATTTTAATTCAACCTTGAGTCACAAAGGAAACAACACACTGCAAGAATACAGTCTGCATTAAATAAGATATATCGGCATTGTGGTCTGGGAAACCTACTCTTGCCAGGACAAGGCAGGGTCTGAGCTTAGGTCTGCCATGAAAATGAATTTGTGGGTTATCAGTAAACAGTATGAGGACTACACAGATGCCAGCATCCTGCTGCCAAGGAGACATGGGGCAAGAGTTGAAGATTTATTTGAGAGGAAATGAAGAGACATACACAACACCAAAGGGAAAAGGGGGCTGGAATAAAGTTCAGCCAAAGCACCTAACACAAAAAACAGGTGAGCTTTGGTCAGTCTGTTCTTCAAAATATGTATGATCATAATATGGTGAAGTTTCATAATTTCCAACTCAAAAATGCAAATGATCCTCAGTTCTATACTTTTGCCTCTATTCTCTTATAAAGAAATATGTCAACATACAGTATGACATAAACAGTTAAAATGAAGGACAAAAGCTTGCTTAGCCTTAGTTTGACCTCAGCATAAGGCAAAATCCCGTGGACTAATTAATACATTTAAAAACAAACTTAAAGGATAAAAGCGAAACCAACCTTCATGCAAAGATTAATTTTAAAACTATCAAAAGTCAGTTCTTTTATTCCGGAGGTCACTGAGAAAAGTACCATCTGCTAAAATTCTCTTTCAAGCACTTCTTCCATCATATCCTAGAGGTGAGATATGGGAAACAGAAAGCAAATCAGTGTTTCCTTCAGGAGCTATATATTCTGTTACTCAATTGAGGTAAGACAAAGTGACAATGAAGATATGAATAGTATTTCCTTCCAATTTTTAAACATTTTCAGAAGCTGAGATAAAACCCCAGTCAATAAAATGCAGCAACAACTTATTTTGGACTCCTGAGATCAAACACATTGAACTTTCAAATCTGGTGTTTCTATCAAAATGTGATTTTCATTAAAATCAGGTAAGCTAGTCCTACAAAAAAAAGCATAAGCTGAAAGTGGAGGACCCTCTATCTTCTCATTCCTTAACTGAGCCACCAGTGTTAAGAAAGAAATGGCTTAAGCGGTACCTTCAACAACTATTCTAGTTTAGAAGGTGACAACAAATTCCTTTCAATAGATTCTCTCAAAAAATGTTTTCCACACAACCATCCCAGTCTTTACAATTTTTTACCTAGCACCATCATAATAAAATGTTATCTTTCAAAGTGCTCTCTAAAATCCTGTTACATTATCTAAATGCTAATCACTACTCAAATCAGCAGTTACACGGACGTTAGGTAATTAAAACAGCACAGAGGTAAATAACCATTATTACAGTACAGTGGCGATTCACTGAGCCCAGCTGGCATCCAAACATTCCCATAGGTTATCAGAGAACCCAGAAAACTCATCTGTTTCAGTTTGTCAAATTCAAGTGAATTGTATTTTCTTAAGTAATTTGCTTTACAAAAAAAGAAAGTCACCGCATCTGGTTTTGGCTAGGTGTATTACACATGGTATGCAAAGAGAAATTACTACTATGTTATTTGCATAGCACTCAAACTTCCTGATCAGAAGATAATCTCAACATAATAAAAGAGTGGATTTTCACATTGGTATGTACAAATAAGGAATATAAGCTACAGTTATTTTTACAAAATAACACAGATGAATGAATACTGTGTTAATTCAGAGTTCAATCTCCAAATGAGGACAGAGTACAACATGCAAAGGGAACCTCTAGTGAATACTGCAAAGACTGGAAGAAAGCAGAATGGAAGATGTTACCTACCTAAGGGTAACAAGCTATAAAATACAAAGCAAAACCATTTTCTAGCAGCATCCTCTAGAAAAGAACTAGAAGTCACAATCATATTATCTTCTATACGATAGTTCCAGCCCTGACAAGGAGAACATGCAAGTGTAAAGTGAAAGTGATACATAACCAATGGTGCAAGGGGAAAAAAAATACACACACAGTAACTCTAGAAACCTGTCAAGCTAAAAATTTTTAACATTTCTTCTCACAAAATATTTAGAATCTGTCAGTGCATTAGTGTTAAAGTGGCATTTAGAAAACTTCTGCAGTTCTGACTGATGCAGATTATTTTCAAAATGCGTAGCATCTACATTTCTTTCGAGTAGGCACCATGATATTTACACCAGTGCTAAGAATTCTTGGTGGAAACAGCCATTTCATTGGATTTCCTACTATACTTCTGTGCAATCTCAACAAATACCAAAATTCAAAAATATACCTTATGAATATTAAAAGAACTATATACAACATTGCTAAGACACAGTTAATAGGCTGCCTTATGTGAATATTAAAGAGAAGACATTATTCAAGTTTGACAGATATCGAGATGAAAGGCCTTTGGGTTGGAAGCATTTTAAAAGACAACAGTGTTTTAGGCTGAGAATTGTCTGAGCCCAGTTTATGACTAAGGCATTGCATAATAAAATAGACATTTCTATTTGGTGCAACGTTATGTTTGGAATCTATAGTGTGTCAAATGGTGTATTTTCTTGTCACTTTAGTAAGCACTATAAAGCACACATTTCCAACATTTGAAATCAGACTTATAAACTTATAAGGAAAAAGCCAAACACTAAATCTATAATGTTTTATATTAAGCTGCTTATAAAAATACTTTAACAAACATCTGCTTTTTACGAGGACAGTCACTTGATAGATAAACAGATTCTGAATGAAGAAAACCGGCAATGCCAGGAATTAACCTGCCCCCTTGAACTCATGTCCACAATGTCTTGTCGAGTATGGGAGGGAAGGTAAGGAGGCTGGGGAGAGGAAAGAGTTCCAACTGGGGTTTTTACTTTATTGTAGTTTTTTAAAGCCTTCAGAAACATTCCACCTAAGAGTTTCTGTTAGAAAATACTTCGGCAACAACCGTCAAGCGTGCTGTCCCCTATGGCCATCTCCCATCCCTGATCTCCTCCTATCTCCCCTAAATGGTCGCCCTCTGACATTTCGATGGTACTGATAACCTTCATCCCGACTTCTGCTTGGCTGTCCTTTCCAGGACTCCTCACTTCTCACATGTTGATATCCGCCCCTACCAGAATAGCCCCAATCACTTTTGTACTTCCTGCTCCCATAAGTTTGATTATAGAACTGCTTGGATCTACCACTTCTCAAAATATGACACTTCATTTTCATTTTCTGAACTCTCTTCTTTTGGTCTTTGCACTCTGCTATCCACAGAGTTGGCCCCAGGGCTGACCACATCAGCAGCAGTCTTAGGATCTTTTACTTTTTCTGTTTTTTCTTTCAGACTTTGAATGGTCCTTTTAGGTTCAAGTTCAACAGGCACAATTTCTCTCTCTCTCTGTTTAGAATCTGAGTGGGAGGGTGAGCCTTTCCCTCTGCTACAGGAGGGATGGAAGCCAATGCCATATCTGCCTTTCGTGTCTGGGAAGATTGCTCTGTCCGGCCTTCGTCTGGCTTACTGCTCACACTTGCTTCAGGGAGAGAATGTACATGTTCACTCCTGGCTGCTGGAAACTCATCTACTGTGGAAACTGAACCACAATCTTTAGACAGATCCAGATTTTCCAGAGACAGATCCAATTCTCCTTTCTCATCAGAGGGCAGGACAATATTCTGCCTCATTACTGGATTTTCTATGAATCCCTGAAAAGGGTACCCATGCCAAACATGAGGAAAGAAAGGAGGTGCAATAGGAACTGGGCCTAAGAATGGATTGGGTCCAAAAGATGGCTGGGGGAACATATTCTTGCCACTCAGTGACTCTTCATAATCAGCATGCAGAAGCTGCCCAGGGGTCTCAGATTCAAGATCAGCCTGGTAAGACAATTGTCCGTGACTTTCAGACACCTGAGATGGAGGGATAACCAGAGGTGAAGAAAATGTCGGCGGTCCAATCACTGGCTGTAGCATTTGACCATTAACACTAGCCTCAGTCTGCATAGGAAAGTGGGCATCAGTACAGGTACAATCACTTTAATTCTGGGCGGCAGGAGCCTCTTTGAACCAGGGATTATGAAGATAAACAGGGACAGGGACCTTTGGGTACATCCTGCAGGCTGCCAGGTAGGCCTGGTGCAGAGGGTACAGGTAAGAATGTGGGGCCCACACAGGACAACTGTATGCCTTCACACCAAGATTGAAGAAGAATCGAAGAATATTCTTATCTTTAGGTAGGTCCTCCCCAGTCTGACACAGTGAAGAAGGTGGTACAATGGCTCGATCTCCCTTTTCATTACAAGGAAACCCAGGATAGAGTGGGTCTTGATAAAGGCTCAATGTCTGAGGCAAAGGCATCAAGGGCTGGTTAACTGCCTGTATTGACACAGGAACTGGAGAGGGTGTTAAATGAGTTTGGGATACAGCAGAATCAGGTCCAGGGGTCAAAGTCTGTGTCACTGACCGACCAGGAATTGGAGCAGGGACACCTGTTGGTCCAAAAGTTGTAGGTTCACTTGGCCAGGCTGGCACAGTGGCTGGTAAAGAAGGCACTGCAGGAGTTAGATGTACCTCTGGAGAAACTAGAAGGGGAGCTGGATTTGACAAAGACACATGTTCTGCTGGCTTTTGTTCTGCAGGAGAAGGGCACTCTAACTTCTTTGACTTTGATGGTGATGAAACTGTTGCATATTTATCATCAGTAATATTCTCCAATATGCTTGGTTCGGGTCTTTTATCCAACTATGTCCATGAATAGAGTCTTTGTCTTTTCGTTCTTCTGTATCCATTCTCCGCCTGCTTCCTTTTCTATCACTTACGTGTGATGATTTTCTCTGGACACATGGATTGCTACTCTGAGAAGTAGCAATAGTTAGATTCTCGACTTGTGTGATCAGAATCCTCAACTCTTTCACGATCAGGTTTTCTTATGATCTGTGAAGGTGTCCGGCTAAGATTTTTGTGCTCACTGGAGAATTTCTGAGACTGTGACCCTGAAGAATGACTAGAGAACTCACGTTGTCTTACTCCTGAAGGATGCTGCAGTCGAGGAGGTAGTGCTAATGGGGCTTTTATTGGCTTGCTTGGATTCTTTGGCCCTCTGTAATCCATATCAGAATGGAAATTTTGTCCAGAAGTGGAAGGTTTTTTCATCTTCTTCCCTGACACTGTGTTCCAGCTTTCTGGGGGAGGTGCCTTGAGGTTCTTTGATGTGTACTTTCCCAGTTCTTCAACCAAAACTGGTCCATTCTCAGAATGAACTCCTTGAACGTCTGCATTCAAAAATTTTCCATTGTGATCCAACCTAACTTGACATTTGTCTCCAACTTCATATTGTAAGCCAGCAGCAATGGAATAATCACGTTTTTGCTGAGCTTGTTTAGACTCCAGCCAAATTTCATATTCCACATTTCTATAGACTGCAGGATTGAGTGACTTAAGAACCTTTCTAGCCAAAGGCAGGCTAGTAGAGTTCCCATTGTTCTTCAGCTGCTCGTTGCCTGACAAAGGTTTAAATCCATTCACATCAGCAGCAGCAACAGCAGTTTTACTCTTGCAGCTGTCATCCTCTGAATCTGATATTTCACTGTTGTCTTCATCAGCTACTTCCAACGTGTCTAGTTCCATCACAATTTTACTAACATCAGTTTTAAATACCTTCTCATACAGCAATTCATAAAGGAGAGACTGACACATAGCAGAGCTTTCTTTATACTTTACGGGATACACAATATCATAATGATTTCCATTTGAAAAACACAGTAACACCTTTTCAGGAAAATTATTTTCAGTTACTTGTGAAGGAGAAACATTAGGTTCCAGATTAGTTATAAAATCTTTCCTGTACATAAGAGAAAGGGCACTTATTTCCATTTGTCCTACCCATTCCTGTGGATTTTCCAAGCGCTTTAAATATCCTTCAAATGATCCTCCTATAATCGCTTCAAATTTCTCTCTGTTCTCTCGAAGACAGTGAATACAGGCCATTCTGACTTCAACATGGCGAGACTGAGAGTGCAATACCTGCTCCGCCACGGCCCGGAACAGGCACGACCCGTCCTTGGCGACCAGTTTCCGATACAAGCCCAGTTTCCGCAGATAGGCGTCCATGGGCGTCGCGTCCTCGCGGGGCCCCGCGCCGCCCTGGTCCTCGCCGTCGGGGACGCCGACGGCCGCCTCCATGTTGCTGGTCCTGCTGCAGGCCAGGCGCGAGGGCTAGCCCCACATGGCCAGGCCGCCGGCTGCTCGACGCCCCGGCCTGGGGTAGGCGGCGGCTCGGGCTGGGGCTCGGGCTCCGCGAGCGGCGGCAGGCGGCAGGCGGCGGCGGCGGCCCGAGGCAGCGGTCCGCGCTCTCCGGGCGCGTAGGGGAGCCCTGCCTAATGCATGGCTGTCCGTACGCGGCCGCCTCCTCGGAGCGAACACGCGCCCACGACAAACGGGGGGAGCGGGATTAAGGAAAACCCCGAGAGTGAGTAGTCACTTCCCGACGGCCTCGCTGCCCGACTCAGGACCCAGGCCGGGGGTCGCCGCCCCCACAAGTTTCCTCGTCTGTACCGGTGTGAAGCGAGAAAAGCCCCGCCCCAGGCGCGCACGCCGGGCCGGCTCAGGTGAAGCGGGGCCTGCGTCCCCCGCGCGCTCCCCACGCCGGGAGCCGAGGAAACCAAAAAAGAAAGACGCGGCCTTTCGTTTCCCCACCACGCTGGAGGGCGCCGGAGGGGCGGGGAGCGGGTGGGGGCTCCCCCTGGATCTTCTCTTTTTTTCTTAGCCTTGCTAAGACTAAGAATTGTCCATTTTTGTTTATCTTTTGAAAAATGTGGCTTTTTGCACCATTGATCTTTTATATTGCTTTTTAAGTCTCAATTTTATTTATTTATGCTCTGGTATTTATTATTTCCTTCTGTTAATTTTGGATTTGGTTTATTTTTGCTTTTCTAGTTCCTTAAGGTCTGCATTGTTAGATTGTTGTTTTCTTTTTTTAGAAGTGTACTTTTTTGATACAGCTGTTTATTGCTATAAACTTCTCTTTTAGTACTGCTTTTGTTGTATCCCATAGATTTTGGTATTTTGTATCTCCACTTTCATTTGCTTTAAGAGATTTTAAATTTCCTTCTTAATTTCTTCATTGGCTAGTTGGTCATTTTGGAGCATGTTGTTTAATTTCCATGTTTTTGTGTAGTTTCCAAAGTTCCTCCTTTCTTTGGTTTCTAGTTTCATTGTGGTCAGAAAAGATAAGTGATACGATTTCTGCTTTTTTGAAATTGTTGAGACTTTTTGTGGCCTAAGATATGGCCTATTCTGAAGAATATTTCATGTGTTGATGAAAAGAATGTGTATTCTCCAGCAATTGAGTGAAATGTTCTGTAAATGACAGGCCTATTTGATCTAGTATGTAGTTTAAATCTGATGTGTTTTTTGTTTTTGTTGTTGTTGTTGTTGATTTTCTGGCTGGAAGTCCCTTTTTATTATTTTTTTAAGTTTCTTACTTTTGCTGTATTGCAGTCTACCCCTCACTTTAAGTCTATTAATGTTTGTTTTATATACTTAAGATCTTGGGTGTTGAGTGCATAGATATTTATAATTATGTCCACTTGCTTCGTTGACCCCATTATCATTATTTATTGACCTTCTTTATCTCTTTTTACAGGACTTGTTCATAGTCTATTTTATCTCTTTATAAATATAGCTACTCTTTGCTCTTCTTTGTTTTCCAATTGCGTGGAACATCTTTATGCCTTCACTTTCATCCTCATGTGTGTCTTTATAGGTGAGGTCGGTTTCTTGTAGGTAGTATATATTTGGATCTTGGTTTTTTTTTTTCTTCGCCATTCAGCCACTCTGTGCTCTTTAATTCGAGAAGCGAGTCCATTTGCATTCAGGGTTATTATTTATAAAGTCGTCCTTACTAGTTCATTTTGTTGCTTATTTTCTGGTTGTTTTGTAACTGCTCTCTTCCTTTCTTACATCTTCCTTTCTGGTTAAGTGATTTTCTCTGGTCGTATGTTTTAACTCATTAGTTTTTATTTTTAGTGGGTCTATTATAGGTTTTTGCATTATGGTTACCGCAAGACTTACAAACACATCTTGTAGATTCAACAAGTTGTACTATAGAGAGATTAGAGATCTTTGTAATTTAGCTGTTGAGTATCTTTTTTTACCCACTAGGCCTGCCTCCTTTTAAGCACTAGATGGTGCCTTACGCTCAGGTTTTTCTCAGCTCTAGTAAATAATTAGGACACTGCCCATGCTGAGTGGGAGAGGTACCAGAGAGGTTATCCTGGCAGTGCGGGAAGGCTGACTTGGAGTTTGTGCCTGGGAAACCTGTGGAGTGAAGCTCCTACAATGTGGTGTTGCTGAATAGCCACTCTGATTTGGTGTCGTCTCCTTTGATTGAGTTACAGAGCAGTTTCCAGGGTTAGGGATTGTAGTCCTACTTGACTCCTTTGTCTCTGGCTGTTTTCAGGGATAGTTCTCCCTTCAGGTACTCCCAGTGCTTCCTGTAGATTGAGGTAGGGACAGGTCTTCTGTCAGGGAACCCAAGATGGTGGGAAAGCTGGTTGGCCACCTTAATCTCACTTTTTCCAGTGTAGAAATCATGAATCAGGGGAAAGTTTTCTGTATGCTTGATGCTGGGCTGATTTTGTGGTGAGGCATCGTGGGTGAGGAAATCCAATTCCGTTACTGTCTGCTCAGAGTTTTTTCATTCCTCTGTGTCCCTGGGAACTGTCTCTCCCTACATAATATTTGCATTCTGGGATATTGCTGGCGATAATCTTGGTGCTGTGTATTTGTTTTTGGTTTTCTGTGGGGGCAGGGAGCAAAGCCAGCTTTCTTCTGTGCCACCATCTTGGAACTGGCAGTTCATGTATTGGTTTATGTAGTTACTTGTAAATCAGTCAAGAGAGGAAAGGAGAAATCAGCAATTATACCTTTTACCAGCGCTCTTTTCTTTTTTATCCCCCATGGATTATTACGAATGCCTAGTATCATTTCAGCCTGATAAACTTCCTTTATTATTTCTTGTAAAGCAAGTTTGCTAGCAGTGAATTCTCTCAGTTTTTGTAATTGTGGCAATATCTTTATTTCACCTTCATTTTTGAAAGATAGTTTTGCTAGTATAAGATTCTTGGTTGATAGGCGCTTTTTTTTTGTTTGTTTTTTACTTTATGTATTTTGAGAATGATGTCTCCTAACTTTTGGCCTCTAGGGTTTCTGATGAGAAAAGTCAGCTGTTAATCTCATTAGGATTCTCTTATATGTGATCAGTTGTTTTTCTCTTGCTGATTTTAAGATTTTCTGTTTGTCTTTGGCTTTCGAAATTTTGACTTTGATGTGTCTGCATTTGGATCTCTGTGTTTTTCCCTTTTGGAATTTATTGAGCTTCTTGGATGTGTAGATTTATATCTATACACACACATATATATGTGTGTGAGTGTGTGTATATATATATATGTGTGTGTGTATATATATATAAAATTTACAAATTTGGATAGTTTTACTTTCTTTAAAGTTTTTCCTGTGCCTTTTTCTCTCTCCTCCGCTTCTGATACTGTAGTTATTTATATGTTGGTGCACTTAATGGTATCCCACATTTCTCTAATGCTCTGTTTATTTTTCTGCAATTTTTTCTTTCCTTTCTTGCATTTCATCTGTTACATAATGTCTATTAATTTATGTTCAAGTTTGCTGATATTTTCTTGTTCACAAATCTACCACTGAGCCTTTCTAGAGTGTTTCATTTTACTTACTATACTTTTCAACTCCAGAATTTCCATTTGATTATCTTAAATTATTTCTCTCTTTATTGATATTATTTATTTGATGAGACATTGTCATCATAATTTCCCTTAACCTGTTAAGCAAAGTTTCATTTATGTCTTTGAGCATATTTGTAATAATTGCTTTGAAGTGTTTGTTTGCCCAGTCTACCACCTGTGCCTCATCTAGAGGCAGCTTCTTTTGGTTTTCTATGTGTATTGATCACATCTTTATGAAGTTTTTTTATGTCTCATAATTTTTTTGTTGAGAACTGGATATTTTAAGTAACATAGCAACTCTGGATACTGATCCCTATTGTGGTTGTTTGTTTGGTTATTGGTTTATGTGTATATAACAGTGATATAGCTGAACAAATTCTGTAAAGTCCATTTTCCTCACAGTGTGTAGCTTCTGATATCCCAGCTCAGACTTTTCCCCTCTTAACCTGACTACTTATGTGGCATTTCTGGATTGGCATAGACTATGTACTGGTCACAGGTTGTGCTTACATTCCCTGAGGTAGGTAGATTTTTACCCTTAAGTGTTAAATGTGTGTGTGGCTTGGTGGCTGCTATTATAGTTCAGGGAGTTTACATTTTTTTTTGTCCTGCATTTAGCCAGGTGCTAGAAGCTTGGAAGTTAGTTCCTGAGAGGGCCCAACCTTGAGCATGTACACAGTGTTCCAGACTGTCAGGGATGACAGTGCTGTTTCATTTAACCCTGGCTTCATAGGAATTACCCCTGGGTCAGAGTAGCTTCTGTTACGTCGTGTTTGGCCAGAGGTGGTGATTCAGACCCTTGTGCCAATGAAGTTTCTCCGCTCTGTCAGTGGGTACGTGTATAGCTTAGAGAACGTTTTCAAGACTGCCCCACGTTCTGCCCTGATCATTCCTGGGTGTACACAGCCTAGTGTTTTTATACTGCCTTTCTGACTCCTCTCTGATCTAAGAGGGCTCTTCTTGGCTGTCTCTGGTTCTCTGCATTAAACTTCTGCTTGCTCTGCCTTTCTGCTTATATTGGAGCTCCTAGCCTTTCTTAATTGTTTTTCATTAATATTTCCACTGTTTTCTTTCTTTCTTTTTTTTTTTTTTTTTGAGATGGAGTGTCGCTCTTGTCGCCCAGGCTGGAGTGCAATGGTGTGATCTTGGCTCACTGAAACCTTTGCCTCCTGGGTTCAATCAGTTCTCTTCTCTCGGCCTCCTGAGTAGCTGGAACTACAGGTGCACGCCACCACACCTGGCTAATGTTTTGTATTTTTTGTAGAGTTGGGGTTTCACCATGTTGGCCAGGCTGGTCTCAAACTCCTGGCCTCAGGTGATCTGCCCATCTTGGCCTCCCAAAGTGCTGGGATCACAGGCATGAACCACCACACCCGGCCCACTGTTTTTGATAATGCCCTTAGGCATGGGGTTCTGCTCTCTGTTCCAAATAAAGTCAGTCCTCTCAGATGGAAATGTAGAGCTCTTTGTCCTTATGGCTCGTCTTTACCCCTGAGCAAAGTCTCCATGCCACTGCTCCTGGGGCTGAAGGTGAGAGTCTTTTTTCCCCAGAGTAACACTCCATTCTTAGAGTGGGCAGTGGAGTGCTGGTAGCAGCCCTTGGTCTTCTTAGCTGACTGCTCCTGGCACAAAACCTCTACTCTGGGAGGAAGTTGGGGCGGTGGCAGTCAGGGCCCAGTATTTGCAGCCTGCTGTACCTGGAATAGAAATTCTACCTTTTGAATGGGGGCTGTGTAGGGAAAGAGAGACGGGTCCTCTGTGTCACCTCTCCAGAACAGAGCTTCTACACCTCTGGGCTGAAGGAGAGGAGAAACACCAGCAGCCTGCCCTTCCCGGGGTAAAACTAGCCACAGACTGGAAGCCTGAGGGAGAGGGAGCCCTCTGCCTGTCTTTTGGGTACATATACCGCAGGTAGAGGCTTCATAATACAGACCTGGTAGGATGTGGGGAATGGTGCAGTTTGTAACTCAAACGCCACAGACTCTGACTTGTTCTGAGATTGAGTACATTTTCTTGAATGAATGTTTCTCCACTTTTTGTATGCCCTTAGTACAGTTTCCAGAGACTTTAAATGTTTGTTTTTTAAAAAAATTTTCAGCAGTTTTTAATTTTTAATTAATTAATTTTTGTGAGGCAGGGTTCTGCCGTGTCAAGCTGGAGTGCAGTGGCGTGATGTTAGCTCACTGCAGCCTCAAACTCCTAGGCTCAAGTAATCCTTCCATCTCAGCCTCTCAAGGGGCTAGGACTATAAGCATGCATCAGCATGCCTGAGTAATTTTTATTTTATTTTTTTGTAGAGATGGAGTCTCACTGTGTTGCCAGGCTTGCCTCAAACTCCTGGCCTCATGCAAACCTCCCTTCTCAGCCTCACCAAAGCCCTGGGATAACAGGTGTGAGCTACCACGCCCGGCCTACTAGTTTTTAAAATGTAGTTTTGCCAGTTCCACTGAGCTCCTTATTCTGTCATTCTGGAAGTTCTCGTTCATTTTTAAGCTTTTAAGATCAGGTTTGAGATCTTCTTTATATGTAGAGGCAAGGAAGTTGTTATTACCAAATATGATTTCCTGAAGATACTATACTCATGCTAACAAAATAAATTATACTTTGTTGTAGTAAACTAAAATTTATATCAGAAAACTTGAAACCAGTCTGGAAGGCAGCCTTATTTTCCTTATATAGACCAGGATTTTGACTTTAAACTCATTTTCCACACAGCTTTTCAATTTGATGATTCAGACTGACTGTTCCCAGGCTCTGTAAATAAAGATTCTCTTTGTAACAGATAACATTACGGACAGGCTCTACCAGCATACCCATTGCCCTTGAAACTTTACAAAATGCTTTGCCGCTTTGTACTAGCTTTTTCTTCTTCCCAGCCTGCTTCTAATTACAAACAGGAAAATCAGACAGGATATGGCATTGTGACTGAACAAGTTCATTCATCTAACATTATTAAATACCTGCTTCATAACCGATAACTGGTGAATATTCTTTTTATTACCTATAAATGTGTCCTAGCCTAGAGCCATTCTTACTATGGTTGCGATATTTTAAAGTTATTAATTTAAATTTGACTTAACTCTTTGAGCATAATTATGCAAAATAGTCATTTCTTTGGAGAGAAAACTTACTGTAGAAAATGGAAATGTTTAATCTTATAAAATGCATCTTTTTAAAGAAACCCAGAGCATCTGTGAAGCAAAGCAATTAAACTAAATGTTAGCAACATAGGAGAGGAGAAATAACTGTCCATGTGTGAAAAGGAGACAGTGGGGCTTGGTAACTTAGGGGAAGAAGTGATGTTCAGGAGGCCTTAGGTGTTGCTTTAATATTCTCTGTACTGCTAGCTGTGAATCTAGACAAAAAATTGTATTATTCTCTGCTTCGGTTTTTTTCCTGACTTTAATTGGAAAATAATCACTTATCTCTCCTGCACATTGGATTGTGGACGAAAAAAATAGTGTAATTTGATAAGGAATTGTATAAGATTTGAAGTGCTTTAGGAATGTTCAATACAATGGTACCTGTCCCACCCAAAGCGATTTATAACAGAAAGCTCTGAAAGGATGTTGCTGAAACACTTTCATTTATAACCTGGCCTAAAGCGAAGTCTTAGGTAAGGTGTTTTATAGCGGAGCACACATGTTATATGTATGCTGTATAAAGGGAACTTTCCTATTTTCTATTCTCTTTTCTAATAGAGAAAAGATAGAACTCGTAAGGCAAATATTTTTCTTAACTATTAGCTCCAATCTCATTCTTCCAAATTTTTCTGGTTATTTTCAGAAGAAAAACTAAATTTAGGTCACACTTTCTTTCCTTCTCTCTTTCTCACAGTTAAATGGCCCAATGAAATGAACATTAATAAAAAAAAGCAGTAGGAATTGTGAATAGTTTACTGGACAGTTTGGTCTTAAACTTTAAATCATTGTCTTTATTATGTGGTTAAAATATATAAGGTAAATAGTGGGTCCTAAACCAGAAGGCTTTGATCCTAGGGTGTTCTATTTTTCATTTCTTAGAAGCCAACCAAATTTAAAACATGAAGAAAAAAATGGGAAATAATCATAAAGCATTGCTTGAGTTTCCAAACATATATAAAAAATAACAAACCCCCTTCATTGAGGTCAGGCACTGTTATAAATGAACTTGTCTCGTTCATTTATAACATTGTCTCATTCATTTATAACAACATCCCAATGAGGAAGGAGTCTATCATTTTTCATTTTGTGAAGAGCCAACTGTGGCCTAGACAAGGCAATTGAAACTTATTCCAGGTTGCTACAGCTTCTAAAAATAGGATGGACATTTTAAATGATGAAATTAAAAGGCAAATATTTTCTAAATTACCCAGTAGTACATATTCTTTGTTAAAAAAATCAATGATACAGGAAATCAAATTTTTAACAAATCATCAATAACTCTATATGTTTTTATGTGTGTATAATTATACACACACAAACAGAGTGAGAGAGAGAGAGAGATCTGAAAGATATGCAGTGAAATTATAGCATTGGCTAACCCTGGAGAAGAAAAGTGAGAAGGTACCAGGAATGGAAGTGATGGTTAAAAAAGTCTTTAGCTTTATTTTGAAAGTTCTGATTTTTTGCAAGAAGAATATTTTTTATGTAGTAGTTGTATAAACTTAATAATTTAAAAACCCTCAAAGAATGAGGACAGGAAGCCAAATTCCAGATTGAGTTTAATTTTCTTTGACCAGCCTCTTTGTCTCCTTTCTAGAGACTTCTTCATTACAATACCCAACCAAGAATGTTTAAAACTTTTCAAAGATAATGCATATGTGAGTTAATTGGTATAGCTAAAATTATGAAATCATTGATAATGAAGTATAAGACAGTATATGACGGCGGCTAAGTGCGTAGACCCTGAAGCCAGGATGTTGGGTTTGAATCTTGACTTCCTTGTTGTATGACCTCTCTATGCCTTAGTTTCCTCATTTATAAATTTGGGGTACTGATAGTACCTGTCTCTAGGTTGTTGTGAGACCTAAATGAATTTTCATCTGTGTAGTCCTTAGAACAGTAGCTGGCACGTAGTAAGTAATATAAAGGTTACTATTATTGTTATTGTATCCTGACACTTAGAAAAACTGGTGGTAGATTGTTATATATACATCCAGACTTTTTTCTATATATGTGTGTAAACATTTACATACACTTACACAGATACAGGCACGTTCACAGGAGTAAGTATATTTTTATTAAAATTGGATTATACTATTTCTATTTTTTTGTAATCTTTTACACTCAACACCATATAAATATCTTTCTATGCCATTAAATGAAATGACTGTTTAAAATAAAAATTAGATGCATTTGATCTTAACCAGCGTGATAGCATGGGTCCTTTTGACCAAATACATGAGCATAAGATAAAATTGAAAATGCTTGGGGCTATGCTGAAACCTGAAGTGCTTATTGATGTTGATATAGCTTACTTAAATGGTTGAATAGACACTGGCATATTCTACCTAAGATTATTATTACTTGCCTAAATTGTTAAGCAATGATGTCCAACATTTTTAATGTTTATCTTCAGAGCCAATATGAAAGATAGAAAGCTGTTTTTAAAGTGTCATGGGAGGAAAGACACTTGAATACCACTCTTTGTAAAGAAGTAAAATGATCTGTAAAAAGTATACTTGTTATTAATAGAATTATTTCTTCCTCCACCTCCTTCTGGCTTTTCAGGAGATGTTTCACAAAGCAGAAGAATTATTTTCTAAAACAACAAACAATGAAGTGGATGACATGGACACGTCAGATACCCAGTGGGGCTGGTTTTACTTGGCAGAATGTGGGAAGTGGCACATGTTTCAGGTACCTCCTTTCCTTTAATTTAGCAGAAGTGTTTTCGATTCACTTAGCATCACCTTGCTGATGTATGTAAAATGAGTATAAATATAGAACTTGAAGTCAAAGCTTAAGGAAATAAAATTGTTTAACTAAAAGAAAAGTTAGAAATTCTTCCAGTGCTTTTCCTTTTCTTTTCCCCAAGTTTTCACACTCATTTATTTAGAAGAAACAATAGAGGGTGAATGTGACTGAGAGTTGCATGGTGTCAGTACATCTGAGCAACTCCAAGTTTGGTTTGGTGGACAAAGAGAAAGGGAAGAACAAATCCGTATTAAACACTTCTGTATGCCAGGTATTATGTTAGGTGTTGTACATTGATTTTCTCCCTTATCCTCACAGTAACTTGGAAGCAGATGTTAACATTCTGTCTTACAGTCAAGGAAAGTGAAACTCACAAAAGTTGACATAATTTGTCAAGGGTCACACAGCTAGTTAAACTGAGATTTGAATCCGCACTCAAAACCTGTAGTCTTTTTTTTACTCTACTAAACTATATAAAGAAGATTTAACTTGAGCCACTTAGAAAGTATAATTATTGGAATAATCTGTAAAAATTGTAATTATCTGGAAAAATAACTATATTTCTATATATATCTGTTATTGAAGGGGACTATAACCAGTTGTCTCTTCACTGGAGATCCTTAAACCATTTTCAATATGCTGGCTTAGTTGTGATTCTCCCTGTGTGTTGGGAACTAGAACAGGTGATTAGTAAGTTTCCCTCGCCCCTCCATTCCCTGTCTCTATGACCACAGTACCACCTCTGTGGCCAAGTCATTAATGTGAACAGCTGGTAAATGAAACTTTCTGGTTTGTCTTAAAGCCGGATACCAACAGTCAGTGTTCAGTTAGCAGTGAAGATATCGAAAAAAGCTTCAAAACAAACCCTTGTGGCTCCATTTCTTTTACTACTTCCAAATTCAGCTACAAGATAGACTTTGCAGGTATGTTTTTTTCCCTAATAGTTGTGTGTTTTTAGTATATTGATATGATAAAATCTACAGCTCTGAAGGTCAGGATTAGTTGATATATTTGCAAACAGTGAAGTATATCTTTTTTGTTATATACAAAAATACCTCTATAAAAATTCAAGTTTTAAAATCTTGAGCAACATTGCCTTTTATAAAAGGTGTGTTTATATGTTTGTATATATTAATGTATGTGAAGATTGTCTTATATATTAAGTGCATTTAATACTTGTCTTCTAAGGAACACAAAACACCGTATCAGTTGTTTTATTCATCCCATCAGTCTTTTGAAATAGATAAGAACATTTAAGAACATTTTTACTTTTTTTTTTTTTTTTTTTGAGACGTCTCACTGTGTTGCCCAGGCTGGTGTGCAGTGGCATGATCTCGGCTCACTGCAGCCTCCGCCTCCCGGGTTCAAGCAATTCTCTGCCTCAGCCTCCCGAGTAGCTGGGATTACAGGCACCCGCCCCCACACCCGGCTAATTTTTTTGTATTTTTAGTAGAGACAGCGTTTCATCATGTTGACAAGGCTGGTCTTGAACTCCTGACCTCCTGATCCACCCGCCTCCACCTCCCAAAGTGCTGGGATTACAGGCGTGAGCCACCTTGCCTGGCCAGAACTTTTTTACTTTAAGGATCAAACAGATGTTAAGTGAGAAAGTCATAGGTAGCTGGCAATAGTTTCAAGAACAACTTTTAGCTGAGTGATCTTTCTCTCGATGTCTTTGTCAGAAAACAATTTCTTTAATGGACATTGCCTTCTGTCATTTTCTGATTGATTTGGCTCTTCCACAGATTAGCCAGATAATCTGGAAATCAGCCCCACTTTGGATTTCATCTGTGTTATATGGGCATGTTTTGGGGTATCCCATGAAAAACCTGATGAACTGAGCTCCTCAAGTTTCAGGCTGTTAGTTTCAGCTATTTATTGCTTAGAGGCAAACAAGACCTGGATGGGAGGCTTTCTTAATAAAAGTACATTTTGTTTGCTACACAGCTTGGTCCTTTAGCTGTTCTTTCTCAATTCCTGTGAGTAGTGTCTTTATGACAGTGTTAGTAGTGTATTGTGGCTGGGTAGGGTGGTGAAACGTTAGGAAATCCCCTTGGATGAACCAAGGCCCAGAAACAGTGAAGGGGATTTGTCCAGTAAGGGATTGATGGAACCAAATATGCAATAATTATTATCCCACCAAAGTTGTTTTTCTTGCTTTTTTTTTTAATTATCAAGAGTTAAAAACCATTAGATCCTTGCTCGTGACAAGCCATTTTTTTTTTAATGCCATTAGGCAAATAAGCAGGATTTAAGAGGCCCTGACATTTGTCCCTCTGTTGCAGTCTAGGCAGAAGGTATCTGGTAGGCATTTTTAGTCATGTGTACAAGTATTTTTGAGGAAGAACTGAAACCGAATGATATGCACAGACACCAGACCTCATGTAGAGGATGAACTGTATCAAAGCATTTGATAGGTAATTCAGCAAGCCACATGTTTCTGAAAGAATATTTTTTAGTAGACTACACTTTTTGGAAACTTGCTCTCAGAAAAAAGAGTTTATTAAAAATATCATTATTAAGGAATGGGAGTTACATATACTAATAACTGGAGTTCCCCAACCCTCTGTGTAATGATCCTGTTTCAGAGGCATGGATATTAGCATTTCACATGTACTCTTTGCAGTTATCAGCTCCAACCATTCTGCCACTAGCCAACTCAGGTTTTCTCTATAAAAATGGTGAAAAGTAAACTAAAAAATGAGATGGTCCAAGAAGATGGCATCACAGGTCTTGCTCCACATGCTGAGATGATCTTGCTTTTTCCCTGAACAGTGGTAAATCCAGTATGTGTAGAGTCTAGGAGAACACAGAAAGGACAGAACACACTTTATACTAGCCTTAGCCTGGGTGGGTAAACATAATCATTTTGAAATGGAATGATGTCAATTAGATGAGATAAACTGGCTAGAATCTTACATTAAGAATCACTACTTAACTTTGAGGAATGAAGAAATGGACCTGGTAAATATTGGTATGACTGAGGCATGGATGAAAGCAGAAAATGATACCTTTAAGTACTTAGTCTCTTATCACTAGAATCTTTTTATGTAAGTTTGTACTGGGTCTAGCCAGGTTTTCTATTTTTTAGGTTTAGTTATATAATTAAAGAGAAATCAGGAAATGTAGAAATTTTTGAAATTCTGTGAGTTGTACAAGTTTTATAATCATTTCCAAAATTTTTGGAGAGATGAAAGTACATTTTTCTTCTTAATAAACCAACCACATTTAATACTGTAATTTCTCTCTTTCTAGTACTCTTAGCTTTCCTAAGTTTAGAACTCTCCTAGTTTAGTGTCTGTTTAACCTAAGTGTGATACAGAAGGGGAATAGACCGTGCATACTGAGCAGTGGATGAAATGAGCATCTTTATGTGTGAGCTTACGTCAAGCAATGAAGCTGTGCTTCCTTGAATAACACCTCCACAACGTGGTACATAGCTAGCTGCATGGTAAAGTACCCATAATACACTATGCTTGCCAGCTACTCCCGAAGCTCCATGATTCCTGATCATCGCGTAGCGTGGCTATTAATCTTCATGACACTTTATAGTACAGTGTACTTTTATGACTTATCTAATATCTTGTCTTTGTATACAGAAATGAAGCAAATGAATCTCACCACTGGAAAGCAGCGCTTAATAAAAAGAGCCCCCTTTTCTATCAGTGCTTTCAGGTATGGTAAAGAGAATAGGGGTGGAAAGAGTGGGTTTTTTTTTTCTTACTATTGGACAGAAAAACAAATAGACTGGAAATATTTTGGTAGGTCATTTAATAATATTGATCTTTTAAATATCAAATCTTGGGCCAGGCGCAGTGGCTCACACCTGTAATCCCAGCACTTTGGGAGGCCGAGGCGGCCTGATCACGAGTCAGGAGATCGAGACCATCTTGGCTAACACACGGTGAATCCCCGTCTCTACTAAAAATACAAAAAAAATTAGCTGGATGTGGTGGCAGGTGCCTGTGGTCCCAGCTACTCGGGAGGCTGAGTCAGGAGAATGGTGTGAACCCGTGAGGCGGAGCTTGAAGTGAGCCGAGATGGCACCACTGCGCCACTCCAACCTGGGCGACAGAGTGAGACTCCATCTCAAAAAAATAAACTAATTAATTAAAAAAATATCAAATCTCTCATTTGTTGACAAAATAGCAACATTATTATTTACTCTAAGTGCTTCCTTTCATGTTATCCTTTTCCTTCTTGTATATTTACATTTTTTAATTCTTTAGAACAGTTTGCAGTTACAAAATGCCTTATGGTCTCTGCTCTAAACTCATAAAATAACTCACTGAGGTAAGTTTAAATTGTTAACTTGGACGTACTCTCTCAGAGCCATACAATTACTGGGGCCGTAAGAATTAGGTAGTTGTTCACTTTGTTTCCACCTACATTGATCTCCATTGGTCAACTCCTAGAAGTAATTTCAAATTTGTAGAGACTAAGGGAGCCATAGGGAAGATGGTAGAACAGTGGACAACAGTATTGCTTTCTGTTCCCTGGAACTTGGTTACAAATTTTCTTTTTTGCTTGCTCTGGCCATAAGAAGTCTGAAAAAGGAGGTATAAATGTCAGAAGACAATACATATTTATTATTCATGTGAATGAATGGACTTGAAGGAAAAAATCTTAAAGCATGTCTCCTATTTTCTAAAATGACTCTTCAAGCAAGTATTGAAATTCTTTTTTGTTCAAATAATTTAAAATGAAACTGGAAAAAAAAAAAGGTAGCATGTTAATTGCAGGGAATGCCTATTTGCTCCTTCCAAGGAGATTTTTGAAAGGATTAAAGAAAGAAATATTTTAAGTTTCTGTCAGTTTGTTTCTCAAGACTTTTGGTTTTATTTTAGCATTTATTTTGGTTTTATTTTAGCATCACGATATAAAAGTTATTCCAAGTACTTATAAAATGAATGCTCTAGTACTTCTGTGGAATATAGAGAATAGTATTTCCTTACTAGCTACGTCATATCCACATTCTTTAGTACAAATAATATAATAAAAGAATTACTTATCTTCAGAAAGTATTTAATCTGGGAGAAAAATGAAAAATGAGACATAATAATGGAAGATGTTATTGTAATTGTACATTGTATCTGCTGTGCTTTGGTGGAGACAAGAAACACTGTGATGGGATCAAACACTTTGTTCTGTCACAGACTGTACAAACCATAGAACAAAGACAGCACAAGGAGAGAACTAAGCAGAATGGAGGACAATAAGCAAGATAATAATAAAAGGAGAGGACTGTTTAGGTAAGATACAATAGGGTGTTGAAGGTCAGTAGGTGCTGATATAGAAATATTTATTTACTGTGGGAATACATTGAGCATTTATCACATGCAAGGTAGGTAATACATGCTTCCTGTTGGCAAGGAGTTCTTTAAGGCTGTTGACTACATAAAAACTAAAAAAATTTTTTGGTCATAGCTAAAAGATACTTTAGGCCAAGTGTGTTTTAGGCATTTTTTTCCCTCACAGAAAATTGGGGAAATATTTTTATTCATTGTTGTAGTTGAAGGGATATTCTCCATATTATATGAAGTACTTTTAGGACTCTCTAAATAGAAGATCAACATGGGCAAACAATTTGAACAGTTCATACAACCTCACTCATAATAGGAGAAAAACAAATTAATACCAGACTAATTTTTACTACCAGATTGACTAAAATTCAAAAGTTTGATCACACACCTTTTTGGAGTGGTTGTGGGAAAACAGATGATTTCTATATTTCTGGTGAGAATGTCAGTAGGTACATTCAAAGACAGCATTTGGTTGGTGTCTGTTAAAATCATGAAAAAATATATTCTTTGACTCAGAAATTCTGTTTCAAATATGTTATTTTACAGATAAACAAGTGGACATGTAACATGACAGATGAACAAATGTGTTCCTGTAGCATTTTTTTTTTTTTTTTGAGACAGAGTCTTACTCTGTTGCCCAGGCTGGAGTGCAGTGGTGCCATCTTGGCTCACTGCAGCCTCCGCCTCCCAGGTTCAAGTGATTCTCCTGTCTCAGCCTCCCGAGTAGCTGAGATTACAGCCGCACGCCACCATGCCTGGCTACTTTTTTGTATTTTAGTAGAGATGGGGTTTCACTCTGTTGCCCAGGCTGGTCTCGAACTCCTAAGCTCAGGCAATCCATCTGCCTCTGCCTCCCAAAGTGTTGGGATTATAGGCATGAGCCACCGCGCCCAGCCAGCTTTCTTAATGCAGTAGCAAAAAGTTGGAGGCAAGCTAAATATTATTATGGTGTATCCACATGGCGGAGTTCTGTGCGTCTGTAAAATAGAATGCATTCATTCATTCATCCAGTACTTACTGAGTGTGTACTATGTGCCAGGCTCTGTCGTAAGCACTAGGAATAATGATGCTCTCTATGCACTGTTACAGAAAGATCTCTAAGAAGCTATGAAGTAAAAACCAAAAAAACAGGTGCAATAAATGTATGCTTTATGCTACCATCTGTGTGAGCAAAAAGCTTGGCTTGTATTAACCTAAAGAAGCTCTGGAAGAATACCCAAGAAACTAATTACCAGGAGATGGGGCAAAAAGTGAGACTTGGACATACCAGGGACTGGAGTGGGAGGAAAACTTCTCACTGTATATTTCTTCACACATATTAATTTTTAAATCACCTATTTGATTTTTTTCATTAAAATAAGTTTGAAAAAAGTAAACTAAAGATCGGTTTGAAATTTATTAATTTATTTAGTAACCTCCAATCACTGGAGGCGATTGGTGTGTCATGTTCAGCCTTTTGCTATTAAATCCCTCAACATCACTGTTTTTCTGTATTCACATCGGGTGGCTTGAACATGTCTGATAGTTTTTAAGATTTACTGACTGACTGTGCTAATAACCCTTAAAGGTAGTGGACTGTTGGAGAGAATAGTGGGCAATTAACAGAGAAGGGTTTAGGTTTGAGTTAGAACTTGGAGAACATCGAATGAATGGTTGAGGAGTTTTGATTTTATTCAATAGACAATATAAATACGAGTTTCAGCCTTTTGTTTTCATCAGGAGCTTGATTTTGTTTTTAATTTCTTTGCCTAAAATCTTCTTTACATTTTAAAGAAATTTTGGAAATTTCAAAAAAAACAAGACAGAACTAAGCAACTGTTTTTGAAATTTTTATGATATATAGGGTTGGATATTTTCCATCAAAAGTTCACTATTGAACACCTAAAAAGTAGCACACATAGACAGTCAATAATTTTTTTTTTTTTTTTTTTGAGACGGAGTCTCGCCCTGTCGCCCAGGCTGGAGTGCAGTGGCGCAATCTCGGCTCACTGCAAGCTCCGCCTCCCGGGTTCACGCCATTCTCCTGCCTCAGCCTCCCGAGTAGCTGGGACTACAGGCGCCCGCCCCCACGCCTGGCTAATTTTTTTGTATTTTTAGTAGAGACGGGGTTTCACCGTGTTAGCCAGGATGGTCTCGATCTCCTGACCTCGTGATCCGCTCGCCTCGGCCTCCCAAAGTGCTGGGATTACAGGCGTGAGCCACCGCGCCCGGCCGACAGTCAATAATTTTTAAATGAAGAAACGGAAGGCTGTATTTAATTGCATTTGTCACAATACCCTGAAAATGAAAATTAAGCTTTGAAGAAGGGCTAAGTTCTTGACAGTAATTGTAATCGGCTTCTGATATTTTGTTTTCTCTTTTGCTGTTTCAAGTTACATCTGTGAAAACGAGGCCATCCCTATGCCACCACACTGGGAGAATGTGAATACTCAAGTACCATATCAGGTAAGAGCAGAATTGACTGAATATACCCATGAAAGAAACCGGAAATGACTGCAGTAAATCTATGCAAATTTATTTTTCCAGCTTATTCCTCTGCACAATCAAACACATGAATATAATGAAGTTGCTAATCTCTTTGGGAAGACGATGGATCGCAACCGAATTAAAAGAATTCAGAGAATTCAAAACCTAGATTTGTGGGAGTTCTTTTGCAGGTGAGATGATTTCTAATCTGAAACTTCTCCTTTCCACTATGTCTTTTATGGTTAAAACATAAATATTGAATTGTATTAATTTTCAGTGGTGTAGACATGCTGTTTTTCTCTTGCCGTATTTTGACCTGGTCTCAAGGCTCTTCAGCATTCTCAGGGAGTGAAAGAGGTGCTCTGTAAACTTTGCTTGTAGCATTGCAATGTGAGAAGCTCCTTCCTTTCAAGGTTTAGAGCTATGCATCTTGGCTGAAATCAGCATTACAGAGGAGTGTCAGAGCTGTTTAGCTTTGTTGATATGACTTCCTTGGCTAAGCCTTTTATTAGAAGTCTCTGCAAACACTGTTTTGTTTTTAAATCATACTATCTTGCCAATAGTCTTTTGTCTGTTTTATTTTAAAGAACACTTTAAAACATACCTTCAAATTTCCTGCTTAGCCTAAAGTTTATTTTGTAGATTTAAAATCTCAATTCCTTACTGGATTTAAGTGGGAAATGACCCATTAAGTTGGGTGACTTAACCAAAGTAAAGTCCATTACAGAAAACTTTAAGCTATTAAAGGTATTATCCAAATTAGCCTGTTCTGCCATATTTTTTATGACATGTAAAAAATTAAAATAAGCGGTTCTCTGAAATATTTTCAATTAACATTTGTAGATGAGATTTGGTGTCTAATATTTTTAAATATGTAAGCTGACTTTTAACTTTTTATTCAGAGAAATTGCAAATAAACACAAAAGTAGAGTCTAATATAATGAACCTCATGTATCCGTCATCCTGATTCAACACCTATCAAGATTTACCACACATAAACTATCTCCTTTTTTGTTATTATTGTTGTTGCTGAAGTATTTTTAAGCAAATCCCAGACCATAACTCATTTCATTTCTATATACCTGAGAATTAGGCTGACTTTTGTTTGGTAATGATACATGGAATTCTTTCATGGTTCTGACTAGTTAATATGGCCTGCGTACATTTCAGGTTTTATTCTCATAATAGTTTATGGTAATAAGGGGCTTTCAGCTTGTGTTCTTTATAGTCTTGGGTCTATTGGCCAAACCAACTTTTATTTCTGACAATAACTGAGTTTAACTGAGTTTAGACAGTTTAATTTAGTTCTTGTTTAGATGATTCTTTTATAGAGGAAGACAGAAGCCTCTGCCTCCTTTGACTTTATTCTCTCAGTGAATAAAGTAAGTTTTTCTGAAATAGTCTGATGAAAATTTAATTCATTATTCTTCATCAGCCCTCTGAAGTGGAGATCAAATTGGTCTCCCCCATAACTTGAGTCCCCAGTTAAATCATAGTGGTAAAAATGTACCAGTGACTCCCTAGAACATTTTATACTAAGAATTCCAATGGGAACAGTTTTACTCTGGTGATGCCCTTCACGGTTTTATGTAATGACATAAATTACATAATGACATAGAAATCTGTGATGGTAAGTGAACCTGCCACCTGCCATGACAGTACAAAATACTGAGTCTCATTATAAGGGCAGCGTGTCATTTTGACATCATCCTGAAGAACTAAAATAACTTTGTCTGTCTCACTGTCACATAACCTATGACTCACCATATAGGTAGTCAGGCCCACGTGAGTCCATCCAGCAATAGTTTTCAAATTGCCTAGGCCTCTCTTACTTTCCCCACTTCTTCTAACAAAAATGTCTTAGTACCTACTTTATGACAAGCACTGTTCTGGGCACTTGGGATATAATGGTACAGAGAACCATAGCTTGGAGAGCCAGACCATTGTAACACAGAAATGTAGGGGTCAGCACAGGGAGTCATGGGAGCACAAAGTGAGGGGACCCATCCACCTTTGCCAACAAAAGTAGGGGATGTGGAGTGGAGTGGGTAGAATTAGGGAGCCCCAGACACCAGTTGGATAGGAGAAGGGCATCTCAGGCATCAGGGGCAGTAAGAACCAAAGTCTGGATATAAGAGGGAGCGCAGAAAATTGAAGCAGCTTCAGATTGAACAGAAATTAGGTAGAATGGTGAGAGAGGAGGCTAGAATGGTATCAAGAGGCAGAGCATGCAGGAGTTTGTAGTAGCACCACTGGGGTGGTTGTGTGATCGTCTTTAGTAGCCTTAGTTGAGTTGGATTGAACCAGAGTGGAAGTCAGAGAGTTAGCGGGGGCTAGACCACGTGGGGCCTTATAAGCTAAACTAAGAGGTTTGGATTTTTTCCTGGGACAGTAGAATGCCATTGTAGAACTTTAAGCAAGAGAGTGATGGATCTGATCTGCATTTTAGAAAAATAATTAGGCTGTGTGGTGGAGAAGGGATTTAAAGCAGTGGTTCTCAACTGGGAGTGATTTTACCTGCTGGGGGACATTTGGTAATGACTGGAGTCATTTTTGATTGTTAATATGGCAGGGTGGGGGTGCTCCTGGCATCTACTGGATAGAAGCCAGGATGCTAAACATCCTACAATGCATGACACAACAAAGAAGAAGCCTTTCACAACAAAGAAGTGTCCAACACAAAATCTCAGTAATTGAAATCCCAGTTCATAGCAGAGAGACCAGTTTAGGAAATTGTTTCAGTAATTAAACTGAGACACGTTGGGTTGCCTGACCCAAAGTGGTATCTGCTGTGTTGGAGCAAAGAAGAGAGTTTTGAGGTATTAAGATTATAGAATGGTAGGGCTTGGCGCCTCACTTATTGTATGCGATGGAGTGAATAAGGGAGATGAGAAAGATAACTCCCAAGTTTTTGGCTTGTTTTACTTGACTAAGGGAATATCAGTAGGGACATCTTTAGGGATGATGGAAAGGGAGTATTAGTTGATATACAGCAGTTGACATATGGGTCAGGAGTTGAGAAGAGTGGTGTAGACTAGAGACAAAGGTTTTGGAGTTGTTAGAAAATGTGGGGTAATAGAAACTATAGGAATGAAGAAGATGACCAGGGAGCGTATGTACATTAAGAAAAGAAGAGGGCCAAGGGTCAAATTCTGGAAGGGATGAACAGAGGAAGAGAAAACCCAAGGAGGAAACTGACAACCACAGAAAGCGGGAGAAAACCAATAGAAGATGTAATCACAGAAGCTGGAGGGAGAATGTGGTTTACACAAGTAGGTGCCATCTGTACGATTACATACTGAAAAGATGTCAAGTAAGATAAATTTGAAAAGTTCCTTTGCATTTTTCAATAAGAAGGCCATTGGTAACTTAGATGAAGGCAAGGTTGGTAGACATCATATTGTGTATACAGCAAATGTTGACAACTTTTTCAAGAAGCTTGGCAGTGAGGAGGATGAGAGATGTGAGAAGACAGCTAATGTGGGATTATTGTTATGTTATGTTTTTAAAATTTAATCATGGGAGAGAACTGAACATTGTAATTGGAAAGGACCTATGGAGAAGGAGAATTTAAAAGACTTAGAGAAAGAGTGGAAGGGCAGTTGATGGATTCTAGCTCCTGAAGAAGTGTGGTGAGATGAAATTCTGAGAACATATGTCAGAAAGGAGATAGAGAAGGGTGGTCCAGTTATGTTTACAGATAAGTAGAGGTAGAGGACGAAAAGAGGAGTTAGGTTAAGGAGTTCTTTTCTGATACCTTCCGTTTCTTTTGTGAAGGAAGAAGGGAGGTCACCTACAGCGAATGAAGTGTAGGGAGGTGTTGATAAGAGGGAAAGAAAAGGGGAAAGAGGAGATTTGAAATGGCTACTGTGGAAAATGGGGTAGAACGAGCTGTCTTGGGAACCACAGGATTTCTGTCAGCGTTGAGGGCTTAGCTAAAGTATGTGAATTTATAGGGCAAACCATGTTATGTAATGTACTTCAGCAGTACAAATGTAAGGGCAGATAGTGGAAATGGTTGGATTGATCCAGAGCTGGGAAGTATAAGGCAGCAAGGAAATAAGAGCATCTTGTTAATAATGTGAATTTAGATCAGAGATTCTCAAAGCTAGTTGCAGGTCAGAATCGCCAGTGGAATTTACTAGCAAGTAGAGATACCTGTCACCCGCCACAGATCTACTGAATCAGAACCTCTGGGTTCTGACATTTTTACCTTAAAAAATTCCATAAGTGGCTCTGATGTTCAGCAGGATGACAGGTGTTCTAAATCTAGGCAAATTTATTTTAATCCAGAGCATGAAAGTATTCTTGCTCCAGTGCAGAGCATGTGGCATACACACTTTAGCCAGTTTGGCACTCTAGTCCCTAAGAGGTGGATAATTTTGAGACATCTTTGAGAAGTGGGTGCGACAGTACTTTCAGTAAGTTCGGGAATGATTGTGGATCTGGGCAAAGGTGGGCAGGGTTGTGAAGAACTTAGTGTAGTTCTGTGACTTTCCTTGCAGATGTAACTAAAGTTCATGAGGCCCTGGAAATCACCTTTAGCCTTTCTGGAACACCAAGGTCATAGTCTGTGAATGTCCGCATTTCGTGGCTGCCTTAGTAGTGGGAGTAGTGGGCACTAGAACAAACTGTGCTGTGGGGATACAAAGCTTTAACCACCATGCCCCTGCCCTCTGCCTTCAACTGGTATATATGCACCATCTAATCTAGTAAGTAAGCGTTGTTTTCCATGCCTGCCTATGCCCATACTCCATGCCCTTTAACCCACAGTTTATTTATAATATCTAAGAGAAACTCCAGTGAATTTTCAAACCGAGATTCAATCGAATTTGTGCCCGAAAAGTAGTGATAAATGAATTTTTTTTTTTTTGAGACAGAATCTCTTTCTGACACCCAAGCTGGAGTGCAGTGGCGCGATCTCAGCTCACTGCAAGTTCCGCCTCCGGGGTTCATGCCATTCTCCTGCCTCAGCCTCCTGAGTAGCTGGGACTACAGGCGCCCGCCACCACGCCTGGCTAATTTTTTGTATTTTTAGTAGAGACAGGGTTTCACCATGTTAGCTAGGATGGTCTGGATCTTCTGACCTCGTGATCCGCCCACCTCAGCCTCCCAAAGTGCTGGAATTACAGGCGTGAGCCTCTGCGCCTGGCCTTCTTTTTGAGATGGAGTCTTGCTCTGTTCCCCAGGCTGCAGTGCGGTGGCACAATCTCAGCTCATTACAACCTCCGCCTCCTGGATTCAAGTAATTCTCCTGCCTCAGCCTCCCAAGTAGCTGGGATTACAGGTGTGTGCCACCACACCCAGCTAATTTTTGTATCTTTTAGTAGAGACAGAATTTCCTTAGAGTGGATTCTAGTCATTGCAGATCATGAAGCACAACATTGACAAGTTTGACATTACAGACCATGAAGCCTGGCATTATGTATGATACTAATGTTTCTTTGAGAAAACCAGTATGGATTCACTAATGCCAAACTAACTAATAGGATTACCATAGTGGTAGATGGATAGGCCCCTTAGACAGTCTAGCTTGGTTTCTCACTTTATAGTGGTTGAGAAAGTTTCTTTTCAGGAAGACAAGATGGAGAAATATGTGCTGGTGGGTATTTCAAAGAGAAAAACTAGTAGACAAAAAGTCTTACGCAAAGAGTAACTCGAAAGGCATGCATGCTCTCTTCTTGGATCCTTCAAAATTTTTATCAGAAATGGATGAAAATGTAGAGGGCTTGCTTATCACACTTGTGAGGGATTCAAAACTAGAAGGGGTAGCTTATTTGTTGAGTGAGTGAATCAGCAGTCAGAAAGACCTTGGAAGATTGAAACAGTGGGTAAAAACAAGTATTATCTTCTTTTTTTAATTTAAAAAACTTTTTTCGTTTGTTTTTATAAAGGGAACAAATGCGCCTTGTTTAAAAAAAGTGAGAACATAAAGTTCTGAAAAAGGAAGTTCTTAGTGAAAGCATGCTGACTTTTTGTAAAGTAAACATTTGCTAAATGCACGACCTTCTGATGTCATGCTTAATGGTCTGAAAAGACTGTCACAAATAGATCAAAGCATATACATTTAAATTTTGATACATACTGCCAAGTGACTCTTGAGAAAGACCGTATGCGTTTTCATCTCTGTCACCATTTAAATGCAGGTATCCATTCCCAAACATATTCAACGAGCTGCCTATCATTTACAGAACTCAGTCTGAGATACGGATATTTTACTGTTATTTAATTTTTACTTTTTAAATTACTATATCAAGTAAAGCTTAACTGAAATCTATTGCATTCAGTTTATAAATCAGTTGCACAGATTTAGCAAGCTAAGAGAGGTCTGGTTTGGAAAAGTCCTGGGAGTTTTAACCGACTACACACTTGATTATGGATGCAGTTTGCTGCCCTGTTACCAAAATACATTCAGTGGTGTCGGTGGAGTCAGTGCTGTCTGATGATATCTGGACTGTTGCTATTTCATGCCAACATTTATAAACTAGAAAGTATCCAGCAGATTCTTGTTAACTAAAGACTGTTGGGATAAAGAAAGACCTAGAAGCTATGCTGTGTCAGGAGTGGTTGAAGGAATGGTGTATATTTAACCAAGAAAAGAAAGCCTAGGTAGGTGTTCAAATTTGCAATGTTGTTTTGTGTAAGAGTGATTTGAGTTGTTAATGTTCATAAGAGAATAACTAAGACCAATCAATAGAAGTAACAGAAGGCAGATTTGGTTTGGCATTGAGATGGATGTACTTTCCAACTATTACAGCTGATCACAAATAAATTGTGCTGTTTTGCAAAGTGAGCACGTGATGCTGTGAGTACTTGACACTGGATGAATTGAAGCAGGCATTAAAGAGCTATCAGAAGCCGGGGGAGGGGATTCTTTTTAATTTTTAAAATATGATTTTTATGAAATGTTTCAAGAATGAAAATGCAGCAAATAGTTTGCAGACTCCCATGTATCTACCAATCAGATTTAACATTTTGATACTTGTCACATTTCCTTCCTCTTCACACAGATACAGGTGAAGTGTTTACTCCATCCCTGTCCTACTCTCCTTCTTTCCTCCTGAGATTGGTATGGTGCCTTATTGTTTGTATTTTGTATTTTTTACTACCTGTGTATGTATACCTACATAATACACAGTATTATTTTGAGTTCTCTATCTCTTTTTGCAAAATTCTTTTTACATTCAATATTATTTTTTAAGATTTACTATGTTAATGCACATAGATCTACTTCATTACTTTTAACTTTTATATGTAAATACATGACTATATTCATTTCTCTGTGAAATAATTTTAGGCTGTTTTCAGTTTTTGTTTTCTGTTACAATCAGTCCTACATTAAATATGCTTTTATGTGTTAGGATAGATTTATCCTTGGGAAGAGGATTAAACTGGATGGCTTAATGTCCCTCCCAACCCTATGGTGCAAAATTTAGTCAACTGAACCAACATTTTCTAGTTTCTGAGGATAAAAAGCATATGACATGATCCCTGCTCAAGGAATTCACTGTCTAAAGTCTCTGCAAACTTTGTATTACTTGTTTGTTGTCTCATTTTTAGGCATCTATAAAGGTTAGCTGGTTTAGACAATCAATTACCTTTATGATATTGGGGCATAGCATGGGATAACTATAGTTTTTGGCATAATTTTCAACCTTAAGTTTCAGTGTTAACTAATAATTTTTGATGAGATGATTTATGTGTCCAAGAACATTTGAAATTATTTCTTTTCTAGACTTGCTTTGTCCACTTGTTATTTATATTAAAGTATTTCCTGTTTTACGCTTTCTATTGAACCTTGCTCATTAAGATTAATAAATGCTACTTATGGTATATTTCTGTGTGCTTTTGTGTCTGTGTATATTGTGTTTTTAGGAAAAAGGCTCAGCTCAAGAAAAAAAGAGGTGTGCCTCAGATTAATGAACAAATGCTGTTTCATGGTACCAGCAGTGAATTTGTGGAAGCAATCTGCATTCATAACTTTGATTGGAGAATAAATGGTATACATGGTGCTGTCTTTGGAAAAGGTAATTATCAGAATTCCAGGTCCAATTTGAGCCCCAGGAGAGAGTTTCCTCTTTTTAGAGGAATATAAATATAAATATGAACTGCTTTATGGCAAATATATAGAGAATGATAAAACAAATGGATTATAATTGCATTGTGTACGAGAATAGATACTAGTGTTTTTGTTTTATTTTGTTTTTAAGAAAATCATAGGTAAGAATATTAGTGAGCAATAAGGAATAGTGGGGGAAAACTTCACGTTATTTATAATGTTGTGAAAATCCAAGTTTTTCAATTTATGTCTGGTACTCAGGCAAATTAAGGAGAGAGGTGAGGGGAAAAGGTATGGGATGTACATTTAATTTTCTGGTCCTTACTTTGTACCTTGCTTCCAGCAAGAGAACTGACTACTGTTTAGGATCAGGATATGCTGCATTTTGAAAATGTAAATTAATTTAAAAAATAACTACTAAAAAGGCCATTCCACTTATTTAACTGTAAGGAGGTCAGAAGGTGTTACATAAATCCCATCAGTGTTAGGTAAATATGAGACTTTGCAATTCATTTCCACATTTTTTTAGAGTAAGAATGCCCTTAATGATGTCTATCTCTTGTGTCTACCATTTCAGAAGAGTTGGCTGCTTTATCGAGTTTTCATGTGTAGGCAGTGAGCCAGTAAAATCATTTTTGTTTTGGAATGCTCAGATATGAATAGCATTATACTCTCTCAGAAATCTTTTCATGGATATGGGATTCTATTGTTTCCAGAAATATTACTGAATTGTTATCCCATATCATAGAAATACGGTTTCTTGGGGTTTAAAAGAATCCCTGTAGGCCATCGGTTTCCACTGTGCTCTCTAGAGCTTTGCTGGATGTTGACAAGGGAACAGGGTGAGGAAGTGGTGAAAGGAAATAGAAACGGGAGGGAGGGCCAAGCAGTAAAACTCAGGGCCGGGCATGGTGGCTCACGCCTGTAATCCCAGCAGTTTGGGAGGTCGAGGCAGGTGGATCACCTGAGGTCAAGAGTTCAAGATCAGCCTGGCCAACATGGTGAAACCCTGTCTCTACTAAAAAAATATAAAAATTAGTTGGGTGTGGTGGCACGCGCCTGTAATCCCAGCTACTCAGGAGGCTGAGGGAGGAGAATCGCTTGAACCTGGGAGGCGGAGGTTGCAGTGAGCTGAGATCGCGCCACTGCACTCCAGCTTGGGAGACAGAGCAAGACTCTGTCTCAAAAAAACAGAACAAAACAAAACTCAGGTCCAACCACACTTTTAATCATTAAACCAGTTTTATCTGTTTTATTAATTGTTTTCTTTGTAAGATTTATTTTAAAAACAGAAGTCTGATAGCTATATTTTGGTGGGGGCAGGGGATGGTGTTGGTGGTGAGGACTGGTCTGTACCAACAAATCTATTCCTATGGCAGTCTATACTACAGCTGTCCATAACAGATGGATTTCTATTCTTCTCTTAAAGATCTGCAGATGAGGAAATTCCACATCTATTTTTATTATACAATTCTATGCATCTATTCTCCTGACAAAATGTTTTTGCTTGTTTTTAATATATTCTTCGGAGTAATCTTGGCTTTTCTTGGTCCTCTTTGTTTAAGGAACCTATTTTGCTAGAGATGCTGCTTATTCCAGTCGTTTCTGCAAAGATGACATAAAGCATGGGAACACATTCCAAATTCATGGTGTCAGCTTGCAACAGCGGCATCTGTTTAGAACATATAAATCTATGTTTCTTGCTCGAGTGCTAATTGGAGATTACATAAACGGAGACTCCAAATACATGCGACCTCCTTCCAAAGACGGGAGCTATGTGAATTTATATGACAGCTGTGTGGATGATACCTGGAACCCAAAGATCTTTGTGGTTTTTGATGCCAACCAAATCTATCCTGAGTACTTGATAGACTTTCATTGATTTCACTTCCAAATCTCGGTGGTCAAGGAAGCTTTATTCTTTTTTGCAGGAAGGTTTGCTCTTCAGTCATCTAGCCACTAAATGTTAATTATCTGATACTTTTGAAACAGATATGAAAAAAAGTGGCCTCCATATAAAAAGACATACTGACTTCAAGGTTGGTTTTTGTTGTTTTGTTTTTGCCTGTTTCTTGTAGTCTTGTTTGTTAAAAGTTGATATCATTGATGTTTTAACACATAGGGGTGAAAGATACCATTCAAAATGGAATCAGCTGAGTCTCAACTAATGTGGTCATTGAGATCTTTAAAGTTTACGTGTGTGTTATCAGGATAAATGATTTTAGTTTAAATAGACTTATTCGTATAAATGTTGAAAAAAAATACAGACATAAATGTGTCCCTTTAGAGGAATTGATCCTTTGTAAATTGAATTCAGGTAGTAGTATCATCCACCAATCCATCTGTTGCTTTGTTGGTCTTCTGAAGGGGGGATTTAAAACTCTGAAACAGTCTGAGCACCTTGAGAGAAATCAGAAACAAGACAATTATTTGCAGTGCTGTCAAACAAGCCAGAAGGAGAAAATCAAGGTAGAATGCCCCACTTTCCAGTTGCCTTAGGATAGCAGGCTGCAGCCTCAGACTTGATCCTGTCATTCTCCTCTGTCTCCCACATCTGAATTGATAATTGCTGCAAAATGTCATTAGCCTACACTTCATCCATCAGGGCTCTTGGATTCTTACACCACGACTTGCTGTGCAAGGTGTTTATTGCATCTTCAAAGTGAAACTTTAAATTATTATTCAAACATTTATTTTCCTTTTGTTTTAAAAAGAGTCCCTACAATGATCACTTCTAAGATTTTTTTTTACCTTCCCCTCTGCAGCACACACAGCTATTCAACAATGATTTCTAAAATTCATATTTCAAATTTGTATCTCTCCATTTTGAAACATTATAGAAAGCATGGGATGCTTGAGACAAATCTGGTTTCTCCTTTGAAGTAGCTGTTGACAACCTACTCTCTTGAAAAGTTAGATATAATTCTTAATCATGTTTAGTGGAAATTTGTTTACCTGTTCCATCTGTTTTGCTGTTTCATTGTAAGGAAGATGAGAAGTGTTGGAACAGCTTCCCTCCCCTAAAGGTATTCTAGCAGAGGCGAGACAGCAACTTGGCGGGCATGTTGCATAGGAGTTAAGTACCAGATGGGGAATTGCCCATGTGATGGTGAAGAGTCTCTCACATTGATTTTCTTCCTTTTCTCCTCTTCTCTCCTCCTTCTCTTCTCTCCTCTTTCTCTTCTCTTCTTTCTCTTCTCTTCTGTCTTCCTCTTCCTCTTCTCTTCCTCTCCTCTTCCTCTTTCTCTCTCTTCCTTTTTCTCTTCCTCTTTCTCTTTCTCTTTCTCTTCTCTTCTCTCTCTCTTCCTTCCTTCTTTCTTTCCTTCCTTCCTTCCTTCCTTCCTTCCTTCCTTCCTTCTTTCCCTCCCTCCCTCCCTCCCTCCTCCCTTTTTCTTTTTCTTTCTTTTTTTTTGGTTTGGCAGAGTCTTGCTCTGTTGCCCAGGCTGCAGTGCAGTGGTGTGATCTCGGCTCACTGCAACCTCCACCTCCCGGGTTCAAGCAATTCTCTTGCCTCAGCTTCTCCAGTTACTGGGACTACAGGTGCATACCACCATGCCCGGCTAATTTTTGTATTTTTAGTAGAGGCGGGGTTTTGTCATGTTGGCCAGGCTGATCTCAAACTCCTGACCTCAGGTGATCCGCCTGCCTCAGCCTTCCAAAGTGCTGAGATTACAGGCATGAGCCGCTGTACCCGGCCTGATTTTCTATGATTCTGCCTTTAAAAGACAGCACGTATACCAAGCCTTTTTCAGAAAGCTTTTCTCTTAACTCCTTCTAATGCTGAATTTTCTCTCTATTATCCTCACCCAATTTTGGCTGAGAGTTAGTGTACACAATTTAACTTCTTAGAAAAATTCCAGTGTCTATGCTTATATTGCTCACTTGAATCATTTGAATTAGAAAGGGATCTACAAATAATAAAAGCAAAGAGTGCAGACAGATTAGGGATAGTAATTCTTAAAGTGCCATCTATCCCAGATTTCCGTTATAGACCAGCATATGTGTAATTGTGCAGTGGGAGGTAAGTAGTACCCAGGACATTGCATGTACAATACTTTGAAACAAAGTGGCAACAAAGATTTCCTGGCTCAGGTATGCACCCCAGCTGCTGGTTTAGATGAAGTGCTGAGAATATTTAGAAAAAGCGCTTTAAAAAGCATCTAGAGATTATCATGAAAATAATTGGAGACAAAGTCACTAGGCTGCTTTGTGAGAGGCAGCATACCATGGCTCTAAACCCGTTCACAAAAAACAATGTTAGAGACATTAGGAATTCAGGTTTTGAAAATCTTTTTTTCGATTTATTTGTAATTTACATACCAAAAAACCACATTAAAATAGTCCTCCCTTCAACATGGCTATCTTTTTTCAAGTTTTATATGCATAGCTCTCTCAGCACTTGAATGGAAAAACTGTTACAGCATTTGGGAGTTGTTTTTCTTTTAGACTTTGCAGATCTTATCTCAAGGTGACTAGGAACCCAGAGCTAAGTATCTGTGAGGCAATCTCTGCGAACGCTGAACTTACCTAGTTGGTTTCTATGAAATATGTAGAATGCACTGCAGTAGCCATTGTAAGAAGGTACTATACCGGTTTTTTGGGGCTTGTTGTTGTTGTTTGGTCTGAGAATGTACTGCCAACCCCTCTTTTATAAGAGAGAACTGATTTTGATACATATTTTAAAATATGATAGTACAGAGTTAATGGATGTTAAAATTTTATTTCTTTGTTTTGGTAAGTAGATTAAATCGAGAATCATATAATCAGTACATTTGAGAATTATATAACCAGTATATAATAATACTGGACACAACCATTTGCCATCTTTTCCTGTTATCATCCCATAGAGTGGGTGGGGAGAATGAATAGACATAAACCTAGAATAATGATAAATGGTTTTTAAAACTCTATATTGAATACATTCCAGCTGATAATGACTTTTCTTTTTCACCTTGGTGATATCAGCCTCAGGGTAAAAAAAAAAGTTTCATAAATCTTTTAGTTATAAACAGGAAAGTTTTATATTAGTGTGTCATTTCATTTCTAGACTGTTGATGGTGATGATGATAAAGAATTTGGAGCCAATTTTGATATATGAATGTATTGCTTTTACATGTGATGATTAAAGCTCTCCATTAGCAGTTCTTGGTTGTCTGTGTATATCATATATTTGTTTCTGTGACTTATGTATCTCATCTCCACCTTGTATTATTTAAACCTAAGTTTTCAGCTCAATCTTAGTGGACCCAAGGAGTTTGTTGCCTGTAACTCATATGTACCCCACTTGCGGATGGGGGAAGTCTCTTGTTCTTAGTTTGAATCATCATGAGCAATAGCTAATCAAATAACCTATGGGAAAAATCATTTACTGTGTGCTATTATAAAAAAAAATCCCCAAACAGGCCAAGAGTTGGCATCTGCAGCATTTTTTATTCTTGGTGTGCTCCCCTGGCTCAGCGGAACAGCTCTGTAGGGTGTGTCTGCCTTCATCCAAGGAGTATCCTTCCTACAGCCCATCTAACCTCCAGCCACTCGCACTGTGTCTACCATCATTCCTGTTGAACTGAGTTAAACATTCCGTTCAACCTTTGGCAAGAAAGGATGGTATCAAAGGCTCTCCTCAGGTTAGAACTGAGAGAAATGAGGGGCAGAATGATTGACTCATTGTGATAAAAATTCAATTGAGCTTTGATTGTTGATCTAGAAGAGCCACATCCTTCCAAATTCTGTTCCCTAGCCATTCGAGTGTTTGTGATTACCTCCCAAATTGCTAGGAATAACACGAGAAACAATCTTATGGTGATCCTAGTTGTGTCGCCTCCAGATTTTCCACTCTCCTTAAGGATTATTTGTTTATTTTAAAATATTTTCTTTTGCTTAAAACAACGAGACAGTCAATTTCTAGATGAAATTATACACTCTGTACTTGTAAAAGAGATAAAAGGTAATGAAAAATAGCACGGAAAGGAAAAAAAAGACCCTTGTCAAAAATTAGTGTTGATTAGAAACTTTAACAAAGTGATTTTAGTTATTTTTATCCCTTTGCACTCTATGCAGGAAGAGTTTTGGTGATACGAGATAGTCTGCCACACTTTCTTATGAATCATTTCATAATGTTACTTGGGGCAACACAGATGGAAGAAATGAACATTTCAAAGAACTATGAAATACATAATTATTTGCGGGCTGCCTGATTAGTGTGAGTAATATATGCCGGGAGAGGTGAGCCCTGAATATCCAGGAGAGAAGTTGAAAGTTCATGTTTTAACCTTGACTTTTTAGCAGTGGTAGTTTACTTCTCATGTCTTCAGAAACTCTAGGATGGAAGGTGGTTTGGGGACTTACATCTCTCTCTTTCCTCCTGTCTCCTTCCTATATTGAGCTCTACTTGATCCATCTCAGGTAAAAGGATGTCTCAGTTATTTCTAAACCCAAACAGTAAATTCCTTGTAACTGATCTGAGTCTCCTGCTGTAAGATTTTGTAACCCATTTTCTCAGCTTTAATTGCTTGGCTTCCATTTGTCAGCACTACAGGCCAAGCACCTGGCTATTTGAATTCTCTCACCGTGTGGCTGCGTATCTAAGAATTTAGACACTGTCTTACTTATTTTTAAGTGGCTTTTCATAAGATTGGAGCATAGGTTTTATGCCAAAGACATTTGTGTTTTCTGCAGCTTCTTAGCATTGCTGGACCCTCTACCAAGAGGTTATACGGTAAGCTGATTCTGATTCTGTGGCTTATGCTGACTTCATGATTGTAAACCAACTTAAGGAGAGTCACCATCCAGAATTTAATGAAATCATCTTTGCAATATTGATTATACATCCAGACTGCACTTGTGTTTTCCTTTTTAAAAATACCTTTTCCTGAAGGGCTCATTATGCTTTAATGTCTCCTAGATAACATGTGGAAGCTGTAGGCATTATAAGCCCACGTTTGATGAACAGTCTCAGAGAATCAGCGTGCAAGCTCATTTCCTCCACTTTATTCCTATAAGAAGAAGATCAAGCCTCAACTTGGGAGCCAGCTGATCTGAATTTTATTCCTGGCTTTGCTGTCTGATTCAGTGTGACCTTGGATAACTCACCAGAGAGGGAAGGTTCACTTTTCAGAAGGTGAAGTTTATGATAGACCAATCAGACTCTCGTTGAGAGAAAAAGACCTGACGGAGCACAGCTAGATTTTCCTAGGCAACATCTGACCTGACTGAAGATGATTTTTGAGTTTGGGTCGGGAAAATACAATAGCAGGGATCATGATGCATTGAGAAGAAGCAAGGGCTTGCAGTAGGAAGGAAAAAGAATGGACCTGGTTGTCCATGAAACTCTGCCACTAATTAGTTTCCCCACTCCCTTTCTAGTTCACAGCTCTGAATTCTTGTGGCGTGCCAGGGACTGAACAAGTCAGACATGGCCTCTGCTCTCATGGAACTTAAAGTCTAGCAGGGAAGACATAATGAACTGTAATGACAAGAGTGATGAACTTTCCTGAAGGGGAAGTTCAGGCCACTGTGAGGCTCTGACAGAGGGATTTCACCTGTCCTCAGGAATTAGGGAAGGCTTTCCTGGGGAGTGACATTTGAATGTGAAGATAGAAAGATAAGTAGATGTTAATTAAGGGAAGGAGGATTTTATGTCCCCCAGCCACACCCATCTGTGCCATATCAGGCTTTGGAGAGATGAGAAAAACCAGATAGGGGTAGAAGCAAAGTTGGAACATTGTTTTTATCATTAAAACAAAGATGACAGAATCAAAACCATTCAAATTGTGTTGCCCCAAACCCCTGCGCCTGGTCCTGGGGTCAGCCTTAAGGGAACCAGGACCCAGCAGTAAGGGGTATGTGGAGAAGGGATTGTGAAGATTTTATACAGTTTAAGGGAATCAAGAAGCTTGTTGGGTAAAGGAGTTCCTTCTTGGCCCCCATGCCTTTGCTTATGCCTTTTTGCCTCTCCCTAGAACACACAGTCATATTCCTCCCTCTTGAAAACTCTATTTGAAGCATGGGCTCTGGAGTCAGACGTCCACGTTGATTCCTGGCGCCACCCTTTACCACCTGTTTCACTTGAGCAGGTTGCTTAAGCTCTCTGTGCTGCTGTTTCCTCATCTATAAAGTGGTGATAATAATAGTGTCTACCCTAGAGGGTTGTTGTGAGAACTGGATGAAGTAATACTTGTGAAGTGTTTGGGATGATGCCCGGCACGAAGCCTCAGTAAATGCTGGTGGGTATTAATACGTAAGGCCCCTCGTCTTTCAAGAAGTCTTCTATACCTAATACAACCCTCACAAGCTAGGATTCATACAGTATTTATAGTGTACTTGGAAGTAGGGACATAACTTTTTTTTTTCTTAGCATTTACTTGGTCAGTGCCCTTTGGCCAAAGACCACCAGGAGCAACCCTGTAAGTTAAACAAATTAGGTTTATTACTCATGGCAGCCAGAGAGCACACACACCCTGAGGAACTATGGGGTGTCCCGGTAGGAGGGTGCAAGAAAAGCTTTTGTAGGGTTTGGGCTTTGGGGATATGGGGAAGGGTCTGAGGAGTTAGGATTTCACTCTAATTGGATGCCGTCAGAAAGCAGGGGCAATTCTATGATTTGGCATGTTCATAAATCTTATCTATAGAGAGGGAAGTCTAGCTGAGGATAAGCTGTAATTAGCAAAGCAGAAGCAGTTGCTCATCTGGCTGAGAGAAGTGGTTGGTATTCTGTGGGTGGCACAGTGACCTTATTTTTGTCTGTTCTTAGACACAATTATGAAATGACCTTGTTTTGTCTCATTTTATTGTGGTCTCAGAATAACCTTGTCAGAGGTTGGTTTTCTGTGAGATAGTTTAGGTTCATCAGAATAACATGCCTTAGCTGTGAGTACCAGGCCAGTTTCTAAATGTCAGAGGCTGTTCTTTTTGTTCTCAACTTGTCTAACTTTTGTTTGGGCTACTTTTCTTCCTCCTGGGAAATTGTAAGAGAATGTATTTACTCATTCAACAAACCAGCAAGTGGGTACCTGTACTCCATACCAGGCACGATCCTAAACACAGGACACAGTAGTGAAATCTCTGCCTTCAAGGTTCTCCAAGTCTTGGATAAGAAGTCTTGGATAAAATTGTGTTTCAGTTAACCGTTTTGCTAGTTTAAATGCCTTCTTCAGCTTTCCCACAAGTATTCCAGCTTGTACTGGATACTTTCAATGATTAGGAAATACTACATGCTGTAGACAATTCTGAATGCTAGAAAATTGGTTCTTACCTTGATCTATAATTTCTTTTTCTTTTCTTTTCTTTCTTTTTTTTTTTTTTTTTTTGTGAAACGGAGTCTCGCTCTGTCACCCAGGCTGGAGTGCAGTGGTGCGATCTCGGCTCACTGCAACCTTCGCCTCCTGGGTTCACGCCATTCTCCTGCCTCAGCCTCCTGAGTAGCTGGGACTACAGGCGCCTGTCACCACCTGGCTAATTTTTTTGTATTTTTAGTAGAGACGGGGTTTCACCGTGTTAGCCAGGATGGTCTCTATCTCCTGACCTCATGGTCCGCCCACCTTGGCCTCCCAAAGTGCTGGGATTACAGGCTTGAGCCACCGCGCCCGGCCTTGATCTATAATTTCTTTCCTCGTATATTCCACTGCTTGGGTCTATATCTATACATTAAAGACACTCAGAACGAGTTCCCTGCATGTTCTCTAGCTGTTTACGTAGTTGACCCACGGGCAATGTAGGTGAACTCTGGATTTTCATGATTCCTTGCTGTGCTGACTGCTCTTACATTCTTCTCAAAAGAATATTTTAGTTTAACAAATAATTTAATGTTGATTCCATTTTCCACATGGATTTAGTGTTTAGGCCTGTTTTGTCCGACTGAAGGACAGACTACATTATCAGGGCTTTTCTAATGAAAGTGTATGTAGGCAGTTAGGTGCTACTGCGTGTGAGAACAGCAGACGCTAGGTGGCAGCATCTTGCTTCGGAACTGGCACAACAAACTGGGCGCTGAGTTCATAGCTGCATTTTAGAGAGCAGGGTCAAAGGACCTTCCAGAAGTTATCTAGTCCCTGCCACCAGGTGGGACAACCCCTGGTCAAATCCACCGACATAGGTATTTATCCCGTTTATAGTAACTGCTAGGAAAAGGACACATCTTCCCAATAGGAACCTAGTCTATTATTTTAGAATTTTGCCTGGTGAAAATTCTTCCTAAATAACCGTGCCACATACTGTCATCTAATCTGTTTTCCTTCTTTCTTCAGGTGAAGTCGCATTAATTTAAGTTAATTTAGAAAAAGATCGTTGGCCATTTTCTGAGGCCGTGCGCAGAAAGACTGTTACCAGTGAGTTCCCTGTCAACCTTACTCCTTCAGCTCACCCATCCACCCATCCCTCACCTTGCCAGAAAGATTCTGAATCCCCTAACGTGCTTCTGGCTGTACTCCCCAGCTTCTTATTTACCTCTGGCACTACCTCCTGGCTGTGTTCTCCATCATGCTTGAGTTATGGAGCCCCCAAGTTTTGTCTTCCTTGGGGGTTCGGGTTAAGAACTCGGGTTCTTAACATTGTAAAGTTAACACCTCAGAACACAATATGCCCTCTGAGATATGATATTCTATGCTCTTTTTAAAAAAATGTGTGTCAGAAAAGATGGGCCATAAACTTAGCTTCAAATTGAAACAGGGGGCGTATCAACTCCAGATGTTTCTGAAGTCCTTCTCTCAAAGTCTTAGGACTTGAAATGGTATACCACAAATATTTTAAAGGTATAATTTTTATACTCTTCCTACAAAATTGAGGTGAGGCCAATTTGTGACTGTGGAAGACAGGAAGAACTGAATGCCTGCGATCACGTTTCCATGTCAGAACCAGGCAGAGACCCCAGGCAGTGTGATTCCCAGTCTAGTGATCTATCTTCCAGTGTAATCGTGTTGTGCTGCCGCCATATATGCAAGATCTTGGCACTGATATTGTTCATTTAAAGAATTTTTGTAGCAGGAGAGTAGTATTGTGAAAGGTGTGTGTCAGGATTTTGTGTTTGAAAAGCAATGTGTTCTAATAAAACACAGGTTTTAGAGTCAGGTGATCCTGGCAACAGACCCAGATTTGCTGCTTTCTAGCCGTGTAGCCTTGCAGAAGTTGACCGGCTTCTCAGAACTGCTCTTTCCTCACAGTTTAATGCTGTTGTGAGAATTACCTGAGGCTGTGTGAGTATATGGAGCACTTAGCACAGTGTCTGACATATGCTAGTTGCTCAAGACTTAGATACAATAATCACTGCTGGCTGCCGTGTTCCAGGAGAAGGGCCTCTGTGGGGCCATGAGTAAACCCCTGCTAGTCTGGGAGAAGTCACACTGCAGTGGCATGGTGTCAGATCTCACCCTATCCTTCGCCTCTCAAGAAACATAAGTAAGGAACTTGGCATGCAGGGGAGAAAAAACAAGCCACAGAAAGGCCAGGCAACATAAATGAGAACAAATCTGTGATTTTGAGTTATTAATGTCCATTTCCCTTGGCTTCCAGGCATATCTGTTTCTCATCCATTCCAGAAAACCGTTAGTGGGCCAGGGGGCCAGACAGGTTTATGGATAAGGATAGTATGATTTTGTATATCTCTTATACTTTTCATTGCCAACTTCAACAGAAGCAGCAATAGTCACCTGATACTTTTATAATATCTAGATGGTCATAGATTTAGTGTATATTTTCAAACTCAAGGAAAATAAAATATATCACCATTTTGGACTAATGACAGGGAAAATGGTTCAGAAGTTGATGACAATACTGGTGGCGGGTGCTGCAATAAAATTGGATAAATTTGAAATACTTTGGATAGAAATAATGAAAACAAAGGAAACATTCATTATCCATTAATTCACTCTCATTTCTGGAAGGAAGGAAGAAAGAGGAAGAAAGTCTTAGTTTTGTTATTATGTGGTTGCAGGTGTTAAAACTACCAAACAAATCTTAAAATTAGAAGTTTCAAATTGTTGCTTTGGTCATTAAATATTTATTTACTATCCACTATGTGCCAGCAGTTATATGCCAGGCCCTGTGCTGGATTAACATCCAAGATGAACAAGGTGTGGTCCTTACCTTCCAGAAGCTCTTGGCCTACTGAGGAGATAGTTATGTAATCAAACAAATAATTCCATGTGCTAAGTGCTGGTCAGAGACATGAATTCCCTATCATGGGAAATGCAGAAAGCCAAGGGATCAGCTATTCCTGGAGAGTAGGGTAGGTGTAACCTAAGGGTAATAAGGCAACGTTTTACCTGAATCTTGTAGGAAAATAGCGTGTGACAGAAGTGAAAAAGGACAATCCAATCCCTACAAATCACGGACCAGTGTGTAGAGCCAGGAAAGGGCCCTGCGTGTCTGAAGCGTGTGCAGCAGCAACACATGGTCGTGTGGGGAAAGCAGGGAGTGGGAATGGAACAGAATAATTTGGGGAGACAAAAAAAATGTTAAGCATGGTTGGAAAGGGATTTGTATTTTAAGTTAAGGAGTTTGGGTTTTGTTTGAGGAACTGACCAGAGTTTTTAAGAAGTTGGGGCACAGTTTGTAAGACTGGGTACGCAGAGATGTCATTAGTGGAGATTAACAATGTGGAAGACAGAACGTCGTTGGAGAGTGTGGTGGGCACTGCTCCTTTTTCCTGGAACAGCAGTGGTAGCCTGTTGTTCTCCCCTGCTTCAACTTGTACATGTGAACCTAAGAAGAGCTGCTTTCTACCCCTGCCCCTGTTCCCACCTTTTAGAATACAAGACGCTATCTCCTTATCTATAGTGATTGTTCTTGGGGTGGATACCAGATGCAAGCTGGTTCAGTCATAGTGTCTTGTACTCTACGCTGGTCCACAGTGTTTGGCCTAAGTAGGGGTGCATGACCCAGTCTGACCCCTTCCCTGGTATTTTTGAATTTTGAATTGTCACTAAGGGAAATCTGGTGATGGATCTGGGAAGTTGCAACTCCAGTGATGCTAGTGGTTTTGTCTTTCATGGGCGTAAGAAGCTGGTATTCAGTAGGGAAAAGTGAAACTAACACAGAGAGAAGCAAATATGAGAGATAGGAGAGTTCTGGTGGCCTTTTGGTTTCTGATTTCAAGCATCCTGAAGCTGGCTTAATTCCTGCCATGGTTTGGTTAACATAAGCCAATAAATTACTCTTTTTGCCTTTGCTGGCTAGTGTTTCTGACACATTAGTCCTGACTAATGACAACAGGAAGATAATTAACTCTGATTTTGATATATTACATTTGAAAAGACTTCTCTAGATGGCAAGGAGCTCAAGAGAAAAATCATGGCTAGAAATATAGATGTAAAAGCCACCTTTAGATAAGTGGTTGTTAAAGCTATAGAAGTGGCTTCTATAAAGCTATAGAAGTTCACCCAGGATAAGTGTGGAAAGTGTTGAGAGGCCAAGGATGGAACCTTGAAGAATGCTAATATCCAAGAATATGCAGAAGAGGAGGAAGCAGCTGTTTCTAACTCGTACCATTTCTGATGTTAGCCAGCCCTTCCAATCTTACAGCCCTCAGTGGGAAAAAGGTAGTCTATTAGAATTCATTATCGTGTCCCTAGCTTTGGGAGTTTTTTTTTTTTTTTTTAAACTGCTCTAGGCCACATCTGAAATCTGCCTCATATAGCTCTCAGTCATTGGAGTAAATATAAGCTTCCCCAACATATTCCTTCCTGTATTTAAAATCTAAGATCTTATAACCAAATGTCTTCTCTTCTTCAGTATTAAATCCCTCCCTTCTTTCAGCCATCCCTCGTCTGATAAATTGTCAAATTGTATTGATGTCTTTTAAATATCTCTCCATGTTGCTTATGAAGGGTGAAATCTGAAACAGATACTGTATTTGAGCTGTAATGTGACTATCACAGAGTACAGTGGAACTAATGTGTCTTCCTGATATTAACCTCATACTGGTTGCACTATTGAGGAATATTGCACTTGTCACTAACAAAAAAATCACAGATTTTTTTCTAAAAATTTCTAGAAGCCCAGAAAAATAGAATCTATAATTATATGATTGAAGTTTTGAGCCTAAACAAAGGCCTTTACATTTGTCCCTGTTAAATTATTTTTTATACAAAAGGATAATTACTGTAGCCTAACATGTGTGTAAATAATTAGAAGCAACATACCTGGCCAAAAATAAGGTAATATTAAATATAAACACAAGATGGAATATCATGTGTCTGTGAAAATTATCTTTGTGAAGAATATTTAGTGACATGAGAAAGTGCTTAGGGTATAATGTTAAGAAAGTTGCAGGGTTTAAACCATATGTAATAAATTGCAAAAGTCTTTTCACTGGGAAAGGGAGTGTGACTCAGACATAACAGAAGCAATGTCCCTGTTAAATTTTATCTTATTGGTATTAACCCGTTATCCCAGCTTCAAAAAAAATTTTTTATCTTAATTCTATTACCTAATTATTAGTCATTCCTCTCTCCTTTGTGCTGTCCAAAAATTGGTCTACCAAACAGGACATAAAAGTGTTTATACTATTGGGCAAGTATAGAGGTCTGCAGTAAATATCCAGGGATGCACTTGAATTTTGGGTTACAGTAACCATACCTGGATATATTATTTAATCACTAGATTACTCTTTAGCAGGATATTATTAGAAAATACATTCAGACTGAAAGGCTTCTTAAAAGATCATTTCATCCCATCTCCACACCTCTATTCAGATTTGGTATTATATTTTTTTAGGAAGAACATTGTCCTAGTTTGGGCCACTGTAACAGAATACCACAGACTGGGCAGCTTAAATGGAAAGTTATTTCTCACAGACCTGGAGGCTGGGAAGTCCCAAATCAAGGTGCCTGCAGATGTGATTACCTCCCAAAAGTTTCACCTCCAAATACTGTCACATGGGGGATAAGATTTCAACATAGGAATTTGGGGGCATTTAGCCTGTAACAAATGTTATTGCCCAAGATTCCCATCGGTTGCCAAAAGTCAAAAGTCCTGAATTCATTGTGTACCTTGGTATATGATTTTGACCAAGAAACTTAGCCAAGACTCTTGCTTTCCTTATCAGCAAAATGAGATTTGCTGTACATGAAGGTCCCCATGTCAGTCTGGTCTGAGGAGACAAGCTACAACACAAACAAAAATGGGATTTGCTGTATGTGAAGGTCGATTAGAACAAAGGCCTTTTTAATCTTAAAGGTTAAGTGCATGGAAAGAACCTCTGATGGAAATCAAGGAGTACTGACAGCACGATGTGGAAAATAAGAGAGAAAAGAAAAAAAGGAAGATGGAAATTCTGACAAGGAAATTAAGATGCATGTCCATGGATGTTTTTTGTTTTGATGATAGCAAAAGAGTGATATATTTGCATAACAATGTAAGTATTGTTTGTACTTAACAAAAATCTAGTTTCCTTTCATAGAGTTCTTAAAGGACAGAAAATATTTATCTGTCTGAACACCATTAGACAGGTAAATGATGAATGAGTTACCACTGAATACCTCTTGAAAGCTGATGTCTGTCAAATGTTGAACTTCTGGGAGAGAAGTATAACAAAATACAAGGAAGCTCAATGGTCAATATTTGCAAATAACAAAGTACTCCTTAGATTGGAAGTTACTACCTTAGCAATGGGCAATATTACCCCAACAATATTAAGTACTGTGTGGTTTAATATTACTACAATTTGAGGCATATTATCTAAATGATTTAAGATGTGATTAATTGTTTCCAGATTTTTACCCAGTGCTGTGGTTTGAATGTTTCTGTGCCCTCCAAAATTCACATGTTGGAAACTTCATCATCAATACAACAGTTGGGAGGTAGGACCTTTCGGAAGGTGTTTAGGATTAATACTGCTATAAAAAGCACTCTAGGTAGTGGGTTTGCTCTCTCCTGTTCTTCTACCTTCTGCTATGTGAGGACACAGCAAGAAGGCCCCTACCGGATGCTGGCACCTTGATCTTGGAATTTCCAGCTTCCAGAACTGTGAGAGAACTGTCAGGTTTGTTGTTGTTGTTGTTTGTTTTGTTTTGTTTTTAATAGCAGCACAAAACAGGCTAAGATACTCAGGATTTGTTTTAATCAGGTACGATAAGGTGACAGACACAGAGTTTGAAAGAAGTTTTCTTTCTTATACTTAAGAGAAGGATCCATGCCATGCCCTTGCAGGGCCACATGGGGGAAGTATCAGGGTCAGTCAGGAGGCAGAAGGAGGTGAGAGGGGAAAGCATGGCCCAGAGCATTTATTGTGGTTTTCCAGGGAAGTAATGGATGAGACAAGAAAGGCAAATATGAGGAAGTTTGGGGGTTGGATAGTAGTTCTGGTAATTTCAGCAGGCCCTGGATTATAAAGGTGGTCTCTGGTTGTTTGACACCTGGTCCTGGGGTGATTTAGGTCAGGGGAAATACTGGCTTGCTGTATGAGAGTTAGATAAAGTTGTGGTTGGAGATACGGCCTTTGGATTGTTTGGTGTGCGTATGAAAGACACCCTCAGCAGAGTCCTTTGCTGTCTAGGAATTAGCCGGCCCTGGGAGGGCCAGTCTGTCCCTGGCCAACAGAGCACTACAAAATTTAGAAAATAAAAAGTATGATTAATACATAAATAAGTGTATCTTTTTAAATAACTGACAAAATGAGATAAAATTAGTTAGGACTGAACTAAAATACAGTCTTTATTTCTCACTTTACTCCTCATTTTGCCGCCTGATTCTCCCTAAGAAGATCACTGTCTGGATAGGGCACAAATTTCTCTTGTCCTCTGCAACTGAAGTTTTGGGATGAACGCCTGTGGGTGACGGTAGTGATGTCGTGTTCCCAGGATGCATCATACTCTATTTACTGTCCTTGGGAGAAAATCACTGACTGCCTTGCAGCTGCCTACCCCAACATCTTGTCCATGGCCAAAGGCAACTTCACGGTCCTCTGTGTCACCACATTCCCACAGGAACCCATTTGCTGGGAAAATGAAATACAATGTCTGCATCTTTTGTTTTTTCAGTCAGCCCACAATGGATAATGAATCCAGACCTCAAGGGCAACTTAATGACAGTGTCCAACCCCTGAGAGGGTTATTATGCAGAAGTTGGGGGCCAGCTGCTCTCCATCTTCTTTGAGAACAGACAAGAGGAATTGGATTTAAACCATGGCACAAGATGTGTCAGTTAGACATTAGAAAGAATTGCCTGTCACAGTTTGAGGCATGGAATTGGTGACCAGGGACAGCTATGAAACTGCTTTTCTTGGGGACTTTTAATGAAGGAAAGACTGGCAGATGGATGAGGCAACCTGCCAGGGTAGGTGTGACATAGAAACTACCTTTTTGATCTCCCTCCAGGAGTACATGTGCTTGTCCTTAGAACCACTCTCTCATAAGTCTTAGCACAAGATGGGTTCGTACCTTATCTGCCCTACTAGACTCTAGCAATCTTTAGGCAATGACAATGTCTAGCATGGTGCCTTGCACACAATTGACGTTCAAGAAAGATTTTTTGCATGTGTGAGAATGAATTAAGATGATATTTGTCTTTGAAATACCTCAATTCCTCACCTTCCTCTTTTCCACCCTCTTTTTTATTCAGCACCCTTTCTATCCCAGGTGATCTCCAAAGTCTCTTCCAACTCAGAAATTTTAGTAGTCTGGGTTTACTTATGTTGTTAGTATACCATTTTTACCTTTCTTTAGAAAGATAGGTCTTATGAGTCACACACGAATGTTCCTTAATAACAGAATAATGATTTCTAATTATATACATTATTTCAATTAACACTGAAATAATGGACTGGTGTCCATCAGTGGACTGGGCGTCATCAACCGAAGTTTGCAAATAAGCAGTCTAAAGCTAAGATTGTGACCTGTCGAAGCTTAAATAGCAAAGAAGGATGTAAACTCACATCTGTCTGACCCCAAAGCCCAGCACCTAGACACAGTGGGTTTTCTTACTCAGGAAAATACAAAACTTAAAAAAGATTCTAAGGAGGAGAGCCCAAAGACATTAGTATCCAAAAAGAGAATAGCAAGCCCTGCTACTGGAATGAGTGAGACATAAATTGGGCTGTATGAGGAACTGAAAACCTCAGCTACATGTAAGATCAGCCCTGGCATCCCAGCTGCTTAGTCCTCCCTGCCTCGATCCCAACTACTGCTTAGTGCCTGCAAAACGCAGGCAGTTCCCCAGGTTGTCTGTTAGGGTGGGAGGTTGTCAGGTGCCAGAATCTATAGAGGCACTTAGGGCCCGGATATCTGAGCTTATGTTACTGCTCTGCAACCTGGGGACTCTAGCATTTCATCTACCTGAAGAGTTAATTTTCATCCCTCCCTTTCTGGCCTCTGAACCACTGGAAATAGGATCTCTCTGTCAACAGTGCCTTTGACTGTTTATTTTCCACTTCTCCAGTTGCATTTTGTTCTCAGCTTGGATCATTAACCCACGGTGTGGAAATTTTGATCAGACTTGGATCCTAGAGGACCAACGCTGTGGTGTATTTAGCTGCTATTTCAGTAATAGCAAATACTTAAACCTGTAAGACACTGCCTATAGGCTGTCTGCATTGAGTTGTTTTTCTACCAAATGTGTTCATCTGCCCAGACTCCTTTTAAAGAAAGTAGTAAATTCCCTCCCTGCAATTATAGTGTAATTCACTGGGAAAGTGTGGTTTAATTTGTGCATCATTTTCTTGGATCAAATGAATCACCCTAAAGCAATCTTCAGTTGAAGTTTTGTTATTACAAAGCCCGAGAAGATCGTCCAATTATCATTTAGAGTGGTTATCAGCCTGTTCTACAGTAGGAAGCTGAAAAGGAAATGCAGTTTTATTTTCAGTGGCCCTTATCTTGGTGTCCAACCACTGCCATCCTCCATGCTTAAAGAGGGCAGGAGGAGCTGGAACTTGGAACTGTCATTTTGAAAGGATGATAGACTCTAGGGATACATCCACTAGACTTTTTTTGTTTTTTGTTTTTGTTTTTTTTGAGATGGAGTCTCACTCTGTCGCCCAGGCTGGAGTGCATTGGTGCAATCTCGGCTCACTGCAAGCTCTGCTTTCTGGGCTCACACCATTCTCCTGCCTCAGCCTCCCGAGTAACTGGGACTACAGGTGCCTGCCACCATGCCCGGCTAATTTTTTGTATTTTTAGTAGAGATGGGGTTTCACCGTGTTAGCCAGGATGGTCTCGATCTCTTGACCTCGTGATCCGTCCAGCTCAGCCTCCCAAAGTGCTGGGATTACAGGCGTGAGCCACCACGCCCGGCCTACACCCACTAGACTTTTAAATTCTTTGAGGATGAGACCTATGCTAGACATTTGTATTCAAGGTAGCACGGCATAATGATTAGCAATATAGACTCTGAAGCCAGACAGCCTGAGTTTCAATCCTGCCTCGAGCACTAGCTGGCTGTGACCTCTCTGTACTTCAGTTTCCTTATCAGTAAAAGTACCTGTCTCTCAGAGCTGTTGTGATGGTGAAGTGAGTTAACCTATGTAGAGGGCACAGGACGCAGCCTGGGCTATAATAAGTACTGTATATCTAACTGTATAGTCTGGCACTGAGTAGGCTTAATAAATGTCTGCGAAGGAATAGCAGCATTCCATCATTCACCTGTAATAATCTCTTTGTGGTATCATCACTACTAGATCAAAAAGGTAGGGATAAATTTCTGGAGGAAAAAACGTTGTAGATAGTTGGAATGATTGACCAAGGAGGGAGTGAAATATTTTGGGGGAGGTTCTTATGAACATATTGACTCTCCTCAGTCAGGATTCCCATGTATAGTCCTGCATATTAACAAGGAGTTGGAGGCCTCTAGAGAGAAAATGGCACTGCAAATTCTTCAAACAAGAGAAAACAGTTGTCCTCTGCTCACATAGATCATACATCATAGCACGTAGATTTGCAGTGTGCCGGTCTATTTTGTAAATATGCCACCGAGTTCCAGTAGGGGCACAGCTAAGTTTCTGCTTATTTGTTGGCAGTGAGATTGACATATCCAGAGCTAAAGGATACGCAAAACCTTTCCAGTAGGTTTGCTAGCTTCACCCACTTCTAGGCAATCTTGCAGCTGAGTCTCCCAAGTATGATTCTTGGCCTCTGTTGCATTTTTACCTCCTGGTGCCTGCTTCTTACACCATCAGTGCCACCTCTCCCCATCCTTCTTTGTCCGCTTTTGTGACCCCCCCAAGCCTTTGGTTAAAGAATAATTCAGCCATTCACAAAACTTAGAAATCATAGAAAACATGAGTGTGATCCAGCAGAGGAGCGTTGTCTGGTTGTCTCGTAAACATTACAGATGTGGCAGATCCATTTGGCTTTACTATGTCTGTAATATATATGTGTGCATGTATACATGTGCACACACACACATCAAATTACACATCTATACGTTAAAAAAATATGGTGTTTGTACTCACATGGCCCTAAGCTATAAAATATCTTGCTTTTCCTGGTACTGAAGGCTTTCTGCTTCCTGTGTTCCTTCTACTTTTCCATAATTGTAATCTCAGAACATTCACATGACACCAAATGTTAGGTGTAGTTCAATGCCTAGAAGTCAGAGCAAGAAAAGGAGAGATTTGCCTCCATTTCATAGTTTCCTAGCATGAGAACATTTATATTGTCCCTTATTATACACAAGTCTTCCTTGCATTCCCCACTGTCTAGACTCCAAGATCTTCGGAGAGAGGTGCTGCTTCTCAAGTCTATCCCCACCTTCTCTAATAGTGCCCAGCACACAATTTGGTAGATGAAGTAGGAATGCTTATTTACTCGATTGTTTGTGTGTTTGTGTGTGTGTGTATGTGTTTTGTTTGCAAAGAGCAGAAAAAGGAGTTTATTGTAGGACTACATAAGAACTGGAACTGGAAAAAAAAAATCAGGATTTCAAAACCTGCCCGCTTTCTCTCCCTTTGAAACTATCTCACGTGACGAATTTTCTTATCTCTGCGTATCTGCCCTTCTTTCCTTTGGTACTCATTGATCCATTCCCTCCGTATTCCCCAACCTAAATTCTGACTGCTTAATGTAGAATCCTACTACATTTATTGGACAACATCCTTCTTGTTGGGCTGCCTCATGGGTTGAATCCCAGTCTATGATTGAGCTACCTTGGGTCAGATGCATATTCCAGTCTAATCAGTAACCACTCCTGCCTGAAAAGACTGCCTGGCCTTGCTACTTTGAAGGATGGGGGTTGGCGGGGAGCTGTGGGAAATGCAGTTAGAGGGATCAATAGATGATGCAAGAGCATTATAATTCATGGCAGAGTGTCCCTGAAAAAAACGGTGCTAGTACACTGTAGCAAAGAAACAAAAGGGCTACTAACTACTGGGTGATTGTTACCAAGCCCTTCACATATGTTAACTAATTTAACCTTTTTTTTTTTTTTTTTGGTGGGGGGCAGCGGGGGAGGTATGCGGAGTCTCACTCTGTCGCCCAGGCTGGAGTGCAATGGCGCGATCTCGGCTCACTGCAACCTCCACCTCCCAGGTTCACGCGGTTCTCCTTTCTCAGCCTCCTGAGTAGCTGGGATTACAGGCGCCTGCCATCATGCCCAGCTAATTTTTTGTATTTTTAGTAGAGACAGGGTTTCACCATGTTGGCCAGGCTGGTCTCGAACTCTTGTCCTCAGGTGATCCACCCACCTCAGCCTCCCAAAGTGATGGGATGACAGGCGTGAGCCACTGCGCCCGGCCTTAATTTAACCTTTTATGATGTAATACTAGTCTTGTCAGATTTCGCAAATAAGAATACAGGAAGGATACCCGTATAATATTTAGGATATACTTATATTAAGAAATTATTTGTGATTTTTCTGAAATTCAAACTTAACTGGGTATATTCTAGCCACTCTATCTCCATTTTACAGATGAGGACACTGAGGCAACTCCCCTCACCCCAGGGCACATAGCTAGGAAGTGGCAAAGCCAATCTGGCTGGAGTACCCTGTACTAGCCACTCTGCTACTCTGCTGCTTTTAAGTCTGTATTAATGGCAAGCACGCGCGCACGCGCACACACACAACTCCTTTATCCTTGCCATCGTCTTTCAAAGATAAGAATCAAAGACCAAAGCGTCCTTAGATGTTGTATCAGAGTTCAAGCAAGGGACAGAAATCACCGCAGAAATTTGGACAGGGAAAATTTAATATAAAGAATTGTTGACTATGTAAAGTTCTGTTAACTACTGAAAGGGGAAAAAGAACTCTAAGAAGCAGCAAGGCAGTTAACTGCAGAAAGTGGCTTCTACACCTAAGACTAAGGGAAAAATGAACAAGGAAGGAACTTACAAACTATTGGAAAAGGTCCCTGCAAGGCTGGATTCAGACCTCTGAGGAGAGTTCCTGGTTGTTACAGGAACATGCTGCCTGTAGTCCTGGTGCCAAGGAAACTTGCTGAAGGGTACCCGCTGTTAAACTGCATAGGGCAGCCTGCCACTGCTGTAAACCCTGACCGGGATAACCGCGTGCCGATCTGCCTGCCACTATATGGGAAAACAGAAAACTAGATGAAGAAGAAAAAGGCCTCTGTCTTCCAGCCATGCATTGTTCCTTCCACACTCCTTATTGTCAAAGCCTAACATGGAGCCAGCTGGCAAAGGAAAAGTGTGGCCTGTAGAGTTCAGCCCCAGTATTACAAAGCAGGATGAAGAAACTGGGATTGGAGCTGAAAGACAATAAATTAATAACTGATACAGATGGAAAGTACATTTTTCAACCCAAGGATAGAAAGAAGCCCCAAACATCATCACACAAAAGGAAGACAGATTGGCTGAGAGAGGCATTTACATTAAAAAAATAAAATACTGAAGGTTTACAGGGACACATCTCTTGGAGTAGAGCAGCCTACCTCCAAGGTATTGGATAAGCAAGACAAGGTGTTATAAAGCCTATTGTGTAAATATATACAGAAGACTGAGAGGTTTTCAACCGAATAAATGAATGCCTGGTACAGCGTTAATATAGCTGAGAAATTCATCCTGTAACAAGTTGAGTCAAAAAAAAAAAAGACAACAACCAGCCACAAAAGGATAAGTCACCCTTTATGGAGCCTCCTTAGTTATTACTTTCAAAAGGATAGTGATAAAACATTTACAATGTAAAATAGCATTTACCCCCTGAACTCTTGGCATTTCTGGAGCATCTAAGAGTGATGTTTTTCAGGCAAGTGCATTGATTCAATGAACTGTGAAGACCCCATTCACTGCCAGAGGGAATAATTCTAAGAGGACGATTAATAGAGACAGTTTCTTCAATGTAAAGAATACATCAGACATCAAGCCTGTTACTTTTCGTTGTGAGACAGTAGCCATTCTATATAGTCAGCAGTTACTTATTTTTCTATAGAACCCTGACTTTCCTGCCTTCATAGCAGCTTCTCTAATTGCAAAGTATCCTCTCTGATTTGCTCTTTAGACAATCAGGTCTGTCCTGCAAACTGCTGACTCTCAGCCTTGCTGGGCAAATTGAACACATCACTCTTTGGAATATTGATGTTGTCAAGGTTAGTTCAGGGGGCACTCTTCTTTTTATTGGAAGCATGTTTCACCCTCCTGCCTCCCCTATCAATGATGTCTCTTAGTATTTATGGAACACCTGCCCCCCACCCTGCACCTATTCTGCATTGATTGAATAAAAGCCCAGACCATTCTGTAGACATGAAAGTAACTCCTATCTACAGCCCAGAGCTTTGCATTCATCCTCTTACTTAAATTTGAGATCAGGGCTACATCTTACTCCTAAATATCTTAAATATCTTAGTATCTTTAGAGATTTTTAAATATCTTAGTATGCTTTAGATATTTTTATATTTCTACTACTTCCTTGAGAGTCCATACAGTAGAGTGATTAAAACCATGGGCCAGACTTCCTGCATTCAAATCCCCAGGTGATATGGTTTGGGTATTTGTCCCCTCCAAATCTCATGTTGAAATGTGATCCCCAGTGTTGGAGGTGGGGCCTGGTGGGAGGTGTTTGGGTCAGGGGAGTGGATTCCTCAAGAATGGCTTGGTGCCCGCCCCATGGTAATGAGTGAGTTTTCACTCTATCAGTTCATGTGAGAGCTAGTTGTTTAAAAGAGCCTGGCATCTCTCTTGCTTCCTCTCTTGCTGTATGACACACTGGCTCCCCTTTGCCTTCTGCCATGACTATAAGCTTCCATTTTGATGGGCTATAATGAGAATTAGTGTGCACATAAGAGACCTAGAATAGGATCAACTACTTTGGCAGTTGCCCTCTTGTGACACAGAATTAGAAGACATCGGACAACAGGCAGTATAGGACCTTGATCCCTTGAAAGACGAGAAACAAACTATGTGAGCCCTATGATTTTCTCACCTTACTGACTGGAGGCAGTTTATAGACTGCAGTGCAGGGCAAGGAAATCTAAAGGGAACCAAGAGACATTTGCAGGCTGGGATTTAGAAAGAGCGAGGAGGGAATTCTCTCTCAACAGTGGCCCTTTTACGGACCCAGCAAAACCTACAAATATCGAGTCCTGAAAGCTGACAGCAAGATTTTTGCTAGGACTCTTGATGATGGATGGTTTTATTTCAAAGAAAGGAAGATGTTAACACAAAGAGAAGTTTGCAGACAGGCATTTAGAAGGAGCTAGGAATGGAATTCTCTCACACCAGTGGGTCGTTTAGAGACCCATCAAAACCAACAAATATCTGGCCTGAAAGCTGACAATAAGCTTTGTGCCAGAATTCTACACACATGTGCACACGCGTGCACACACACACACTATTAGAACTAATAAATTTAATAAAGTTGCAGGATACAAAATCAGCAAACAAAAATCAGTTGCATCTTAGAAAAGTGAGCTTTTCTAAAAAGAAGCTAAGAAAACAACTTATTTATAAAAACATCAAAAAGAATAAAATACTTAGGAAAAAACTAAGGAAGTGAAATCATTATACACTGAAAACTAAAACACTGATGAATTAAAGGAGATACAAATAAATGGAAAGACATCATGTGTTCATGGATCAGAGGACTTAATATTGTTAAAATGTCCACACTACCCAAAGCAATGTACAGATTAAATACAATGCTTATCAAAATACCAGTGGCATTTTTTTTTACAAAAATATAACAACCCCCAAATTCACTTGGAGTTACAAAGTACCCTGAATAGCCAAAACAATCTTGAGAAAGAAAGTTGGGGGGCATCATACTTCTGGTTTCAAAATATATCACAAAGCTACATTAATTAGAACAGTATGCTATTGGCATAAAGACAGACATGTAGACTAATGAAACAGAATAGAGAGGCCAGCATAAACCCAAGCATATACAGTCAACTAATCTTTGACGGGTGCCAAGAATATACAATGGGGAAAGGATAGTCACTTCAACAAATGGTGTTGGGAAAACTGGATATCCACATGCAAGAAAATAAATTGGGCTGCTACCTTACACCATGCAAAAAAATCAACTCATAAAGGGATTAAAGACTTAAACATAAGACCTGAAACTTTATAGAAGAAAATATAGGGTGAAAGCTTTATGACATTGATCTTGGCAATGATTTCTTTCTTTTTTTATATATCTACTTTAAGTTCTGGGGTACATGTGCAGAATGTTCAGGTTTGTTACATAGGCATACACATGCCATGGTGGTTTTATGCACCCATCAGCTGTCATCTACATTAGGTATTTCTCCTAATGCTATCCCTCCCCTAGACCCCCACCCCGCAATGAGCGCCGGTGTGTGATGTTCCCCTCCCTGTGTCCATATGTTCTCATTGTTCAAGTCCCACTTATAAGTGAGAACATACGGTGTTTGGTTTTATGTTCTTGTGTTAGTTTGCTGAGAATGATGGTTTCCAGCATCATCCATGTCCCTGCAAAAGGACATAAACACATCCTTTTTTATGGCTGCATAGTATTCCATGATATATATGTGCCACATTTTCTTTATCCAGTCTATCATTGATGGGCATTTCAGTTGGTTCCAAGTCTTTGCTATTGTGAACAGTGCCACAATAAACATACATGTGCATGTGTCTTTATAGTAGAATGATTTATAATCCTTTGGGTATATACCCAGTAATGGGATTGCTGGGTCAAATGGTATTTCTAGTTCTAGATCCTTGAGGAATCGCCACACTGTCTTCCACAATGGTTGAACTAATTTACACTCCCACCAACAGTGTAAAAGCATTCCTATTTCTCCACATCCTCTCCAGCACCTGTTGTTTCCTGACTTTTTAATGATCACCATTCTAACTGGAGTGAGATGGTATGTCATTGTGGTTTTGATTTGCATTTCTCTAATGGCCAGTGATGATGAGCTTTTTTTTCATATGTTTGTTGGCTGCATAAATGTCTTCTTTTGAGAAGTGTCTGTTCATATCCTTTGCCCACTTTTTGATGAGGTTGTTTGTTTTTTTCTTGTAAATTTGTTTAAAGATTTGTTTTCTTGTAAAGTTCTTTGTAGATTCTGGAGGCATTGATGGAACATATCTCAAAATAATAAGAGCTATTTATGACAAACCCACAGCCAATATCATAATGAATGGGCAAAAACTGGAAGCACTTCCTTTGAAAACCGGCACAAGGCAAGGATGCCCTCTCTCACCACTCCTATTCAACATAGTACTGGAAGTTCTGGCCAGGGCAATCAGGCAAGAGAAAAAGTTAAAGGGTATTCAATTAGGAAAAGAGGAAGTCAAATTGTTTCTGTTTGCAGATGACATGATTGTATTTTAGAAAACCCCATGGTCTCAGCCCCAAACCTCCTTAAGCTGATTAGCAACTTCAGCAAAGTCTCAGGATACAAAATCAGTGTGCAAAAATCACAAGCATTCCTATACACCAATAACAGACAAAGAGCCAAATCATGAGTGAACTCCCATTCACAATTGCTACTAAGAGAATAAAATATCTAGGAATACAACTTACAAGGGATGTGAAGGACCTCTTCAAGGAGACCTATAAACCACTGCTCAAGGAAATAAGAGAGGACACAAACAGATGGAAAAACATTCCATGATCATGGATAGGAAGAATCAATATCATCAAAATGACCATACTGCCCAAAGTAATTTATAGATTCAATGCTATCCCGATTAAGCTACCATTGACTTTCTTCACAGAATTGGAAAAAACTACTTTAAATTTCATGTGGAACCAAAAAAGAGCCCACATAGCCAAGACAATCCTAAGCAAAAAGAACAAAGCTGGAGGCATCACGCTACCTGACTTCAAACTATAATGGTACTGGTACAGTACCATTGGAACAGTACCATTGGAACCAATGGAACAGAACAGAGGCCTCAGAAATAACGCCACACATCTACCACCATCTGATCTTTGACAAACCTGACAAAAACAAGCAATGGGGAAAGGATTCCCTATTTAATAAACGGTGTTGGGAAAACTGGCTAGCCATATGCAGAAAGCTGAAAATGGATCCCTTCCTTACACCTTATACAAAAATTTACTCAAGATGGATTAAAGACTTAAACGTAAGACCTAAAACCATAAAAACCCTAGAAGAAAACCTAGGCAATACCATTCAGGATATAGGCATGGGCAAAGACTTCATGACTAAAACACCAAAAGCAATGGCAACAAAAGCCAGAATAGACAAATCGGATCTGACTAAACTAAAGAGCTTCTGCACAGCAAAAGAAACTATCATCAGAGTGAATAGGCAACCTACAGAATGGGAGAAAATTTTTGCAATCTATCCATTTGGCAATGATTTCTTGAATATAGCATCAAAAGCACAGGCAATAAAAGCAAAAATAGGCAAGTTGGACTACATCAAACTAAAGAGCCTCTGTACAGCAAGGAAACAAAGTGAAAAGGCAGCCTATGAAATGGAAGAACATATTTGCAAATAATATATGTGATAAGTGGTTAATATCCAAAAATATAAGGAACTCCTTTAACTCACGAACAAAAAACAAATAACAAAATTTAGGCAAAGGAATTGAATGGAAATTTCTCGAAAATGACATACAAATGACCAACAAGTATATGAAAAGATGTTTAACATCACTAATCATCAGGGAAATGCAAATCAAAATCACAATGAGATATTACTTCACACTTGTTAGGATGACTGTTATCAAAAACAAAAAGATAAGTGTTGGTGAAGAAATGGAGACATTGGGATCCTTGTACACTATTGTTGGGAATGTAAAATAGTGCAGCCATTATGAAAACAGTATAGAGGTTCCTCAAAAAAATAAATATATAAATAACAAATGATCCAGCATTCCCACTTCTGGGTATTTACCAGAAGAGTTGAAATCTGGGTCTCAGATATATTAACACTCTCATGTTCAATAGCTAAGATGTGGCAACAACCTAAATGTCCTTTGACAGATGAGTGGATAAAGAAAATGTGCTATATACATACAATGAAATATTATTCAGCCATAAAAAAGGAGAACATCCTACCATATGTGACAATGTTAATGGACCTTGAAGAAATTATGCTAAGTGAAATGAAGCATAGTCACAGAAATACAACTACTACCTGATAATTCATATATAAAGTGTATAAAATAAATACATGGAAGCAGAGAGTAGAATAGTGGTTGCCAAGGGCTGGGGGAGGGGAAATGGCAAGTTGCTATTCAGTGAGCATAACGTTTCAGTCATGCAAGATGGTTAAGTTTGAAAGATCTTCACAACATTGTGTCTACAGTTAATATGGTATTGTGCATTTGAAATTGGTTAAGAGGGTAGATCTTATGTTAAGTGTTGTTACCTAAAAAAAAGTCTTTTTCAGATGATTAAAAATCAAAAAGAACCCATTGCCAGTAGACCTGCACTAAAATAAATATTTAAATTCCTCAAGCAAAAGGAAAGTGAGGAAAGTGATAGGAAATGGAAATCTGGATCTATAAAAAGAAGTGAAGAATGCCGAAGATGGAAAACATGGGGGCTAAAAAAGATATCTTTTCTCATATTTTAAAATGTCCTATAGGCCAGGCGTGGTGGCTTACGCCTGTAATGCCAGCACTTTGGGAGGCCAAGGCGGGCGGATTATGAGTTCAGGAGATCGAGACCATCCTGGCTAATACGGTGAAACCCCGTCTCTACTAAAAACACAAAAAAATTAGCCGGGCGTGGTAGCGGGCACCTGTAGTCTCAGCTACTCGGGAGGCTGAGGCAGGAGAATGGTGTGAACACGGGAGGCAGAGCTTGCAGTGAGCCGAGATTGCACCACTGTACTCCAGCCTGGGCCACAGAGTGACTCCCTCTCAAAAAAAAAAAAAAAAAAAAAAAAAAATTCGTATAAAGACTACTGACTGTTTAAAGCAAAAATAAAAACAATGTATCATGAAGTTTATAAAATATGTAGCAGTAAAATATATGACAGCAATAACACAGAGGACAGAAGGCATGGATGAAGGTATAGCGTTGTATGTTTCTTATGTTACAGAGGAAGAGGAACGATACTATGGGAAGGTAGACTGTGAAAAACTAAAGATAGATACTGTAAACCCTAGAGCAACTCCTTAAAAGAAAGAGAAATAATAATCCAATGACGGAAATAAAATGGAATTATAAAAAATATTCAATTAACTCAAAGGGAAAAGAGCAAAAACGGAGCAAAGAATAGATGGGACAAATAGAAGCTGGTAGTAAGATGGCAAATTTAAACTAAGGAACGCAGTTCAAAGCCAGAAATTGTAAGATTGGATTAAAAAAAGCAAGTCTCAACTATAAGCTATATTCAAGAAACTATATATACACACATATATATATGAAACCATGTATATACATATATATGTATATATGATTTATTGAGTGATACTGATAGGTTAAAAGTGGTGGAAAAAGAAATACCACACAAACACTTATTAAAAGAAAGCTAGAATGGCTATATTCATGTTAGACAATGTAGATTCAGAACCAGGACTATTTGCAGAGATAAAGAGGGACATTTTATAGTGATAAAGGGGTGAATTCATCAAGAAGACAAAAGAATGCAATACATGAAGCAATATTTGATAGAACTGAAAGGAGAAATAGGCAAGTACACAATTAGAGTTGGAAACCTCATTATTATTCTCCCCAATAACTGATGAATGAAATAGAAGACAACCATAGTGCAATAGAAGACTCAAAGAACACTATCAACCAGCATGACCTCATTGATATTTATAGAACATTCCATACAGTAAGAGCATAATACACATTTTATTCATGTCTACATAGAACATACGCCGAGATAGACCATATACCAGGCCATAAAATTAGTTGCAATACATTTAAAATATTTAAATCATACACAATATGTTCTTTGTCTACAACAGAAATAATAACATAAATATTTCCAGAAAATCCCCAAATATTTGGAAATTATCACACTGTTAAATAGCTCATGGTCAAAAACAAATAAAAATATATAAAAATACTTTGAATGGAATTAAAATGAAAATGCACATGTTAAAATCTGTGAGATGCAAGCCGGGCATGGTGATGAGTGTCTATATAGTCCTAGCTACTCAGGAGACTGAGGCAGGAAGATCACCCGGGCCCAGGAGTTTGAGTTCAGTCTGGGCAACATAGTGAGAATCTGCCCCCCACAAAAGTAAATAAATAAATAAATAAAAAATTTAAAAAAAAAAGTCATTTTAAGAGGCAGCTAAAATAGTGCTTACAGAAAAATTTGTTGCCTTGAATTATCATAATAGAAAATAAAAAATATTTTGGCCAGGTGTGGTGGCTGACGCCTGTAATCCCAGCACTTTGGGAGGCTGAAGCAGGTGGATCACCTGAGGCCAGGAGTTCGAGACCAGCCTGGCCAACATGGTGAAACCCTGTCTCTAGTAAAAACACAAAAAAATTAGCTGGGCATGGTGGCACACACGCCTGTAATCCCAGCTACTCGGGAGGCTGAGGCAGGAAAATTGCTTGAACCTGGGAGGCGGAGGCTGCAGTGAGCCGAGATCATGCCATTGTACTCCAGCCTGGGCAACAAGAGGAAAACTGTCTCAAAAAGAAAAAAAAGGAAAGAAAAAAATTTTAAGTTAATAATCTTATTTTTCACCTTACAAAACCACAAAAAGAAGAGCAAATTAAACCTGAAGTAAGCAGAAGGAAGGAAATAATAAAAGATAAGAGTATAAGCCAAAGATGCAGGAAACAGAAAAGCAGTACAGAAAAACCAATGAAACCAAGAGCAGATTTGCTAAATAAATCAATAATATTGATATGCCTCTAGGTAGCCTGATATGGTGAAGGGAGCGAAGACACGAATCACCAATATCAGGAGTGAAAAAGGGGATATCACTACAGATTCTACAGATGTTAAAAAAAATCAGGAAATATTATGAACAATTTTAGGCCAATAGATTTGACAAATAAAATGAAAAATTCCTTGAAAATCACAAACTAAAAAAGCCCAAACAAGAATACATAAACTGAAGAGCCCTATATCTATTTAAAATTTCAAATCTGGGCCAGGCGCAGTGGCTCACGCCTGTAATCCCAACACTTTGGGAGGCTGAAGTGGGCGGATCACTTAAGGTCAGGAGTTCAAGACCAGCCTGGCCAACATGGTGAAACTCTGTCTCTACTAAAAATACAAAATAAAATTAGCTGTTTGTGGTGGCAGTTGCTTATAATCCCAGCTACTCGGGAGGCTGAGGTAGGAGAATCACTTGAACCCGGGAGGTGGAGGTTTCAGTGAGCCGAGATGGTGCCATTGCACTCTAGCCTGGTGACAGAGCAAGACTCCATCTCATTAAAAAAAAAAAAAAAAAAAAAATCAAATCTTTAATTTAAAACCTACCAACAAACTTCAGACCCAAAAGACCACTGGTGAATTCTATCAAATTTTTAAGGAAGAAATAATACTGATTCTACATATGTTTTTATAAAGTAGAAGAGAAATGATGCTTTCTAACACATTTTATGAATCCAGCATTTTCCTAATACTCAAACCAAAGAGAATTATTACTGGAAATTTATCAGTGTCCTGTATCAGTCCATTCTCACAATGCTATAAAGAACTATCTGAGACTAGTAATTTATAAATAAAGGAGATTTAATTGGCTCATGGTTCTGCAGGCTGTACAGGAGGCATGTTTGGGGAGGCCTCAGGAAACTTACAGTCATGGTGGAAGGTGAAGGGGAAGCAGGCATATTTCACATGGCCAGCAGGAGTCAGAGAGAGAGAGAAGGAGGAGGTGCTACACACTTTCAAACAGCCAAATCTCGTGAGAACTCTATCACAAGACAGCCCTTGGGGGATGGTACTAAACCATTAGAAACCATCCCAATGATCCAGTTACCTCCCACCAGGCCCCACGTCCAACACTGGGGATCACAGTTCAATATGAGGTTTGAGTGGGGACACAGAGCCAAACCATATCAGTCCCTTATGATGATAGATGCAAAAATCATTGACAAAAATATTAGCAAATTAAACCCAGCAATATATAAAAGAATAAACTTCATGACAAAGTGGGGTTTATTTCAGGAGTGCAATATTAATTTAACTTTTGAAAATCAAGTAATGTAATTCACCACACTAATAGACAAAAAGACAAACTATATGATCATCTCAATAGATGAAGAAAAAGCATTAGAAAAAAAACTCATTCATGATAAAAACTCTTAGCCAACTTGGAACAGAGTGGAACTTTTCAAGCTCAATAAATGGAATCTTTGAGGAACCAACAACTAACATCATGCTTATTAGTGAAAACTGTATGCTTTCTCCTTACGATTGGAAAGAAAGCAAAGATGTCTGTTCCCTCCCCTTCTACTCAGCATTATACTGGAGGTTCTTGGCAATGCAGTAAAGAAAGAAAAGGAAATAATGGAAAGGAAGAAGTAAAATGGTCTTTACAGTCACCATGATCTCGTCTGTAGAAAATCTTAAAGGACCTACAAAAAAGTGAATAGAGTTTTTCAAGATTGCACAATATAAAGCCAATATACCAAAAAAAGCAATTGTATTTCAATATACCAGCAACAAATAATTAGAAATTTAAATAACGCAATATCATTTACAATAGTGTTCAACAACATGAAATACTTAGGAATAAGTTTACTAGCCTTAGCAATATGGTGAAAAATACAAAAACTACAAAAATTAGATGGATGTGGTGGCACGAGCTTGTAATCCCAGCTACCCGGGAGGCTGAGGTGAGAGGATCACTTGAGCCCAGGAAGCAGAGGTTGCAGTGAGCCAAGATCGCCACTACACTCCAGCCTAGATGAGACAGCAAGACTCTGTTTCAAAAAAATAAATAAAAGGAGTAAGTTTACCAAGATACATGTAAGACCTTTATGTGAAAAACTCTATGCTTATGAATCATAAGACTCAATATTGTTAAGATGTCAGTTGTCCTCAAATTGTTCTATAGAATCACATAATAAGCTGATTCTTACATTATATGGAAACTCAAAGTTCTTAGAACAGACAAGACAGTGTTGAAAAAGAAAATTTAGATGGGCTTATGCTACTTGTTTTCAAGACATATTAAAAACTACAGTAATGAAGACAATATCATATTGGAATAAAGATGGACAAGCAAATTGGAAATAGATTCTTACATATGGAGTCGATTTGGGTCAAAGGTGCCAGTTCAATGGGAGAAGTGATAGTCTTTTAAGCAAATAGTATTGGAACAATTGGATAGCCATATAGAAAAAAATGAACTTTAACCCTTATGTCACACTATTCATAAAAGAAAAAAAAAAAACACAGATGATATACCCAAACATAGAGCTAAAATTGTAAAACTCTAGAATAAACTTTTGGAGAAAAATTTTATGACCTTGGATTAGGCAAAGATTTCATGGATATGACACAAAAAGTACAAACCCAAAGTACTGATGAATTAAACTATTAAAATTAAAGATTTTTGCTCTTCAAAAGACAGTGCAAAAGAAAATAAAAATGCAGTTATAGCCCAGGTAAGGGGATTGGAAAAGTATGTATCTGATAAAGGACTTGTATCCAGAATATAAAAAGGACTCTTACAACTCAGTAAGAAAAATGACCTGATTTTTATTTATTTATTTATTTTGAGACGGAGTCTCTCACTGTCGCCTGGGCTGGAGTGCAGTGGCATGATCTCGGCTCACTGCAACTTCTGCCTCCCAGATTCAAGCAATTCTCCTGCCTTGGCCTCCTGAGTAGCTGGGATTACAGGCGCCTGCCACCATGCCCAACTAATTTTTTATATTTTTAGTAGAGACGGGATTTCACCATGTTGGCCAGACTGGTCTCGAACTCCTGACCTTGTGATTCACCCGCCTTGGCCTCCCAAAGTTCTGGGATTACAGGCATGAGCCACTGCGCCCAGCCAATATTTCTTAAATAAAGAAATAATAAATATTTTGTTCAATGTTATGGCCATGTTGGCCAGGCTGGTCTCGAACTCCTGACCTCGTGATTCACCCGTCTTGGCCTCCCAAAGTGCTGGGATTATAGGTGTGAGCCACCGCGCCCGGCCCAACCTGATGTTTTTAAGTGCAAATGATCTAAACAGATACTTAGTAAAGAAAATATACAAATGACAAATAAGCACACGAAAAGATGCTCAACATTATTTAGTTTTTAGGGAAACGCAAATTAAAGCTGCAGTGAGATGCCATTACATACCCACTGGAATGGCCAAAATTATAAAGACTGGCAGTACCAAGTGTTGACAATGATGTGGAGCAGCTGGAACTTTAATTCATTGCTGGGAGGAATGCAGATATGAAACAGCCACTTTGGAAAACAGTTTGGTAGTTTCTCATATAGTTGCTTTATGACTGAACAGTCCCATTCTTGCAGATTTACCCAACAGAAATGAAAATGTGTGTCTGCAGAATGACATGCCTGAGTTTTCTTAGCAGTTTTATTTATAATAGCTTCAAGCTGGAAACAACCGAAGTACCACAAACTAGTTAATGGATACATAATAATAAATATAATGGATATATTTATTCATTGGAATACTACTCATTCAATCATATTACAGCATGGGTGAATTCAGAAATATTATGCTAGGTAAAAGCAGACACAGAAGTGTATGTTTCCATTCGCATGAAATTCTAGAAGAGGCAAGACTATCATGATAAAAAGGAGATCAGTAGTGCCTGGAGTCATGGGTGAGAGGAGAGACTGATGGTAAAAGGGTACAAGAGACTTCTAGGGGGAATGAAAATCTACTATCTTGCTTTGTCGTGGTTACAAAGTGTAAACATTTGTCAAAACTCATCAAACTTCACTCTTAAAATGCAGAATGGATAAATAATGGAATATTGACAACAACAAAAAGGTACAAACTACTGATACATGTAACAATGTGAATAAATCTCACAGACATGTTGAGTGAATGAAGCCAGACACAAGAATACATACTCTTATTCTTCTGTTTATTTGAATTTCTAGAAGCAAAAAAAATTAATCTGCATTGAAAAAATCAGAGATATGGTTGCATCTGAAGCAGGAGTGGGGAGTATTGGCTGAGAAGAGGCCTGTGGTAATTTTCTGGGATGGTGGTAATATTCTTTATGTTGACTGGAGCGTGAGTTACACAGGTATATGCATTTGCCAAGACTCATTGAACTGTACACTCAAGATCTGTGAATTTCATTATGAAACCTGTGAATTTTCACTTAAGATCTGTGAATTTATACCTCAATAAAATTTTATTTAAAATTTAAAGAAATGCTTTCATATGCACCATTTTGTTTGTCACAGTAACTTGAGAGAGAGGAATGCAGCAAAAACTCTCCCTGTTCAGAAATTCAATGTTTGAGTCAATTATATGACTTGCCTGAGATCACACATCTGGGATAAGAATTCAGTCTTTTGCTCCTGTTCCACTCTTCTTTCTATTGAATGTACTATTTAGTGGTTTAAACTGAACCATGAACACAATATATGTGGTCTTTTGTAAATAAGTGAATGGAATGTGATGTTCTATAGTCAAAGCAAACCTGTATGTTTTCTGAAGCAGTGGGACCCAAATAAAAACAGGAACATAAAAATATCCTCTGCAGTGATATCTCACATGGGCATGGCACAGTGTTTATATTGCAATCCATATCCCATCATTTACACCACCCTGTGTTAAACTGTAAAGGAAAACCACTCAGTAACAGCAATTCTGGCTGACAACTTACAATTAATCAGCAGAGTTGTTGTACATGTGAGTTTGTTATGAAGTTCAGATAGATGTGAAGCTGTTTTGTCTGAGACATCAGTCACCCGTTACTGCAGGAGTGTTAGTGCACTCAGGGTCTTCTTCCTTTCTAATGGATGTTTCTCCTAAAAGTGCAGTCATAGTGGAAGCAGTTGATTTCCTCAAGCACAAAAGCATCATTTTATCATGGAAACACTATGATATGAAATAGCTAGAACCTCCTAGTAAGTTCATAACATCCAGTTGTATGAAGTCACAAATGTCAGGGCTTTACTGTCAAAGAGGAACGGCAGATTATACGTTCATTGATCAGATCACTCAGTGTTTTTTGGTTCTGATTTCTCCATAGAGTATTTGAGAAATAGCTTTTATTGTGAATTGATTTCTAGATATTGTTACTATTAATTGGCTTCTACAAAAGTTTAGTTTGGCTTAGGTAAGTTCCAGCTTTGCCTGGTCAGCGGTTTGTTTCTAGAAAATCTTCTGATGCATGAGTCCATTCCTGCACCTTTCTACCTCTAGATGGGGCTCTTCTCATTTCATCCTGATTTCACAGTCTCCAGAAATGCCAGGGAAGAAGATGGCACAGGTGCTAATTGTCATGCTTTCTTCTTTTTATGAAGGTTCTCACATGACAAATAGTCCCTTCCTTCCCTCCTTCCTTCCCTCCTTCCTTCCCTCTGTCCTTTCCCTCCCTCCCTCCTTCCCTCCCTCCATTCCTACAAATGTTACTATCTACTCTATGCTAGGCATTGGAAATGTAAAGGTAATAACGACATAGTCTTTCTTAAGTTACATCTAACAACACAAACAGATATGTACTCAGATAATCATAACACAATGTTGGAGTGCTATGATAAAGGGCAAGGAAGATGAACTTGCAAAGTTAAGTTAGGTCTAGATCATGAAGGGGTTTGTATATCATGCTAAGGGTTTGGACTTTCTTGAGAGGGCAATAGAGAACCTCGGAGTGCTTTAGGCAGGGAGGAGTCATGATCAGAGCTGGGTGTTGGAGACATCACTCTGGCCTCAATACGAAGGATGGATTAGAGCTGTGAAGACTAGAGCCTCCTTTGCCGACTCTCTGTTTTCCTGACCTCTTCTCTCCCTTTCTCTTCTCTTTCCTTTTCTAGCTATACCCCCTTGTGCTGCTATGAGAGGTGATGTCACCTAGTCCTGCTGCTTTAAACAGGATCTGTTGAGTGATGACTCCCAATTTTATATCTCCAGCCCAGACCTCCCCTCTGACCCACTGCATCCTATATTTAAAAGCCTTCTCAGTCTTCATTTGGCTGTCTAAAACTTGTTCTTTCCCTTGTCTTTTCCAGCATAGTAAGTGTCACCATCATCCATCCCTTTAGTTATCCAAACCACTCCCCATTAGACATCCTCTTCTTTCTTCATGCCCCACACCAATCCATCACATCTGGGCTGTCTCTAAAACATATCCTGACTCCATCCACTTCTCCTCATCTCCACTATTACCTTCACCCAAGCCAACATGATCTTTCATTTGCACTATTGGAGTAGCTTTCTAACTGTGATCCCTACTTTCCTTTTGACCATACACCAACCAGAGTGATTTCTTAAACATAACTTGGATTATATCACTCCCATGCTTACAGCCTATCAGTTAGTACCCATTGCACTTTAAAAAGTTCCCAACTCCAATCTGAGAACCAAAGGCTTCTCCATTATTTGGTCTACCCATCCTCACCTAGATCGCTCTCTCTTGCTCATTACACTCCAGCCTCATTGTTCTTTCAGTCCCTCCATCACTGTGCACTAATCCTTCCCTCTTCCTGGCATGCTCTGGGCAAGGCTGGATGCTTGCTTCTCCTCCTTCAGACCTCAGCTCCCTCCTCTAGAGCCAGCCTGTCTCTGTGGGCCCTCCGTGCTCAGTTACTCTTTCTCACATCACTCTGCTTATTTTCTTCCTAGAAAACATGACAATTTATAATCATCTTAGTTGTTTTATTTTCTGGCTCTCCTACTACAGTATAAGCCCCATGACTCTAGCAACTTCTCTCTCACTCACCACAGTGTCCTCAGAACCTGAAAGAGACCGTGGTACAAAATTCACGTCATGGATGACATAGTTCATGTAGGGGCTGTGATGGTAGTTCAAATGAGTGATTATGAGGGCTTCAGTGAAATGATGTCAGGATGGGAAGCAGAGGAGGTTTCCATGAACATGTAGAAGATTGAGTCAGTAGGACCTGGTGACTGAATGAGTGTGAGGATGAGGAAAAGCAGTAAAAGGTATTTCTTGGCTAGATGCATAAGCATGCCACTGATGTGATGCGACATTCAGGGAGAGGAGCAGGATAAAGCAAGGGGGAGTGCAAGAGCAGTGAGGCTAGGGAGAGTTAAGCATGACAATAACTTGATCTGTAGAGCTGGCTAGGGTTCTAAGAACACTTTGCAAGTAGAATTAGATTGTAGATATTTTCATTTGACATCTACGTTTTTGAAATTTAGGCATATTTTAAGACATTATTTCTGAGTCTAGTTGCTTTCTCTAATTCTATTTCCAATTCTCTGTTTCCTCTCTTACCTTTAGAAAAGTGTTTGATCTGATACAATCAAATAAAATGCCGTAAAGTCAATATCACGGTTTAATGGTCTGATCAAGATTTTGCATTTTCCCCATATTTCCAATATAAAGTTGTTTGAAACATTTAAAGTCTCCTGAACCACTTGACTTTTCACATCCTAAACATACTTTGAGCCCAGTTAGTGAAATTCACTGAATCAAAGAAATGGAGAGTATTAGAGGTGGATGGGCTTCAGAGGTATATTAGTCAGTTCCCACACTGCTATAAAGAATACCTGAGACTGGGTAATTTATAAGGAAAAGACGTTTAATTGACTCACAGTTCTGCTTGGCTGGGGGGCCTTAGGAAACTTACAATCATGGTGGAACGTGAAGAGGAAGCAGGCACCTTCTTCACAAGTCAGCAGGAGAGAGAGAGAGAGAGAGAGAGCAAAAGAGCAAGGAGGTGCCACACTTAAAACCATCAGCTTAAACCATCACACTTAAAAACCATCATGATAGTGAGAACTCCCTCACTATCACGAGAATAGCATAGGGGAAACTGCCCCCATGATCCAATCACCTCCTGCCAGGTCCCTCCCTCGACACATGGGGATTAGGATTCGAGATGAGATTTGGGTGGGAACACAGAGCCAAACCATATCAAGAGGTCATTTAGTTCAGCTGAGGAGAAGAAAAGTCCCAAGTTAAATATAGCTTGCCAAGTGGCTGAACTAGGAAAAGAACTCAAGGGATATTTCATCAAATCCATTGAGCAGCACTGAATTTGAACCTCAGCTCCTGATTGCAATGGAAGAAGTCTTCAGAACGCTGGTGGTATGTTTGTGCTGCTCTTTTCTCCACACATTAGTTCAGTTGACTTTTTTTTTTTTTTTTTGAGACGGAATCTCACTCTGTCACCCAGGCTGGTGCAGTGGCACGACCTCGGCTCACTGCAAGCTCTGCCTCCCGGGTTCATGCCATTCTCCTGCCTCAGCCTCCCAAGTAGCTGGGACTGCAGGTGCCCGCCACCATGCCCAGCTAAGTTTTTTTTTTGTGTGTATTTTTAGTAGAGATGGGGTTTCACTGTGTTAGCCAGGATGGTCTCGATCTCTGACCTCGAGATCCGCCTGCCACGGCCTCCCAAAGTGCTGGGATTACGGGCGTGAGCCACCGTGCCCGGCCCAGTTCATTTGACATTTCTGACTATCACAGGCAGCACCAAACCTCATCCTTTTCCATTGCAGAGCTGTTCCAACTGCTGCCTTTGGATTTATGGAGAAATGACTGCATTTAGCAAAATATGTCTGTTTTTTTTTAATGACAGTCTTAAGTCTGACTGATTATATTTATCCCCATCTCTGTGTTCTTCTTTCTGAAATACACACCTCTCTCTTCTTTTCTTTTCTGCTTCCATTGAAGGACTTTTGGCCCAAGTGGGTGTTTGTATTCATTGCACCAGCCAGCCCAAGTAGTCTAGGGAAGGAAAAGCTGATAAAGATTTTGCATATTTGTCAGCCTTCTCAAGGTCTTCCGACAGTCTGCCGGGGGCTTCATTGTTCCTTCATGGGGTATTACTTAAGAATCTTTGTCTATACAGCGGAGTAAGCAGTGATGAGACAGATCCTAATGCAGCACAGGTGCACACCCCCTGTTTGTCTATCGTTGTGCTAACAGCAGAACCAGCCCACCCAGTATTTAAAACACTAAGCAGAACCACCCATCTGAAGGGACCATGCATTGTACAAAAAGCTGTCCTCATTCTCTAAGCTTCCAAAGAAACTGCCTTCTAAGCAAGGCACGCCCTTGGCACCTCTGCAGGTGGACAGATCTTTCCCCCATAACCCATACATAGCTCTGGCCACCCAGGACACCAAAAGAGAGAGTTCATTTTCTGTTCACAGCCCCTAAACTTTAGTCTCAGGACAGAATGGGGCCCAAAGGTCATGCAGTACAACCATTTATATTCTTGTGATCACACTGGAAGGTTCTCCATGTGTAACTTATGGATCTTGCCAAGATAGAGCCTGAGTCTGTGTCCCTATTATTTAAATGCCTTTTGAGTCAAGGAAAGGTTAACACTGGCTGTCTGGAGATAAGTCCAAGTTATAACTGGCATTCAGTGTCTACATAATTTACTCCAGCATGTATTTATAGACTTATCTGCTTCTGCTTCTCAATCCAATTTCTGTATTTTAGCAAAATAATATTATTTTTCTCTCAAATTCACCTTGTGCGTTTCCATTTCTAAAAACTTCTTTCTCCAGGCACATGTTATTTCCTTCCATCTATATTTCTCACATTCCTGCAATCTGTCAATCAAAATTATATCCATCCCTAAGATCTGATTCAAATCACGCCTTCTCCAGAAAGGCTTTCCTGATCGTTCTAGCTAAAAGGCCTCTCTCCTTCCTCGAAACTCTGATATCTCAGTTTGTCTGTCTGTTATCACCTTACCTTATAGCTTAGTTATTGTATACTCACCTTCCCTACCTCCTGCTTTAGTTAGACTGTAAACTCTCTGAGGACAGGGTCATTCTTTTTAATCTCTGTATCCCCCACAGCCTCTAAGACAGCCTTTTGCACTTAATAGGAGCTCAACAAACATCTGTTGGGAAATGAATGAGAATCACATAATGAGTAGTTAAGGAAACATGAAATGAGTAGTTAAGGAATTTTAGAATCCTGAAAAACTCAGCTGGTGACTGGGTCCCGAGTAAAAGAGAAGAGCATGAGCAGGAAGTGAGCTGGTTTGATCCCTCTTTGGAGGCAGCCAGCTGCAGCCCCAAAGAAATCTATTTCGTTTAAAAAAACAAAAACAGCAAACAAAGTTGGCAGAGGAAGTGATGACGTCAACATTCCGTTTCTGCACAGATGTATCACTCAATTAAACTCAATAGCTCAAACACCAAATTACTACATCTTCACCCCTCATCCTCCACCTAGCTTTCTCAAAACACACACACTCATGCCTAGGGGACAGACAGCAAATATGTTTTAGAATTTTGGTAGGTATTCTTGGTAGGGCAGAAAGTGTCATCCAGAATTCTCTCCTCAGGTACTATATGCTGGGAAAATGGGGATAGCAATATGTGTGTGCAGTGTTTCAGTTCTTTTTTGGTAAAGGCCAAGATTGTAGATAAAAATTCATTTTAGTTGGATTTCTGCCATTACTGGTATCAAAAATAACTCCATTTTAGTGATGCTGAAAAGTACTGAGCAGGTGGCTGGAAACCTGGCACACTGTCCCAGAGATCCTGGCAGCAAACTCTGAGAGTGCACAGGGACATTGGATAGCTAGACAGGGCATGGCCCGAGCAGGGTTGGCTTTGACTGGGGCTACATGCAATCAGTGTAGGTCAGAAGGAAGGAGAGAAAATTTATGTCACAACAAGATGTCACCTACACAGTTGAGGAGCTGGTCATTGCATGTCCAGAGTTCACACCTCCATTGCTGAGTCAGTATTGAGAGTCAGGTTGCTTTGTTTTGTCTTGTTTTTGTGTGTTTTTTTTTGTTTTCACAGCCTTTTTGAGGTGTCATTTATATACCTTATACCCATTGCAAGTATACAACTTAATGATTTTTAATAAAGGTATAGAGTTGTATGACCATCATCACAATCCAGTTTTATTACATTGTCATAATCCTAAACATTTTATTAAGCTCATTTGCAGCCCAAACCAACTTCTACCCCACCTCCCCAGGATAATCATTAATCTGCTTTCTGTCTCTATAATTTGCCTCTTCTGGACACTTACTATAAACGAAATCATCTAATATATACTCTTTGCATCTCTCTTCCTTTTTTTTTTTTGAGACAGAGTTTCGCTCTGTCGCCCAGGCTGCAGTGCAGTGGCACGATCTCGGCTCACTGCAAGCCCCACCTCCTGGATTTACACCATTCTCCTGCCTCAGCCTCCAGAGTAGCTGGGACTGCAGGCGCCCGCCACCACGCCTGGCTAATTTTTTGGTATTTTTTTTTAGTAGAGACTGGGTTCACCGTGTTAGCCAGGATGGTCTTGATCTCATGACCTCGTGATCCGCCTGCCTCAGCCTCCCAAAGTGCTGAGATTACAGGCGTGAGCCACTGCGCCTGGCCTACATCTGTCTTTTTTAGGCATACTTTTTATTAGGTTCATTCATGTTGTAATATGTACCAGTATTTTACTCCTTCGTATTGCTGAGTAGTATTCCATTGAATGAGTATACCATATTGGGTTTATCCACTCACCAACTGGTAGACATTTGGATTTTTTCCAGGTTTTGGCTAGTACAAATAATGCTGCTATGCACATTCAATTATGAGTCATTGTATGGAGATGTTTTCATTTCTCTTGGATAGATTCCTCAGAGTGAAGCCACTGAGTCTTGGGTAAGTTTTTGTTTAACTTAAGAAAGAACCAAAGAATTTTCCAAAGTAGCTGTACCATTTTCATTTCTTCCAGGAACATGCAAGCATTCCAGTTTCTCCACACCCTCACTAATACTTAGTATTACCTGTCTTTGAATATAGCACTCTACTGAGCATATAAGAGTATCACATTATGTTTTTTTTTTTGAGATAGAGTCTCGTTCTGTCCCCCAGGCTGGAGTGCAGTGGTGCGATCTCAGCTCACTGCAAGCTCCGCCTCCCGGGCTCATGCCATTCTCCTGCCTTAGCCTCCCGAGTAGCTGGGACTACAGGCACCTGCCACCACACCCGGCTAATTTTTTGTATTTTTAGTAGAGACGGGGTTTCACCATGTTAGCCAGGATGGTCTCGATCTCCTGACCTCATGATCCACCTGCCTTGACCTCCCAAAGTGCTGGGATTACAGGCGTGAGCCACCGCGCCCAACCCACATTATGATTTTAGTTTGCATTTCCTTATGACTAATGATGCTGGGTGCCTTTTCATGTGTTTATTTGCTATTAATATGTCTTCTTTGGTGAAATATTTATTCAAGTCTTCTATCATTTTTTAATCAGTTGTAATTAAAATTACTATAATTACTGAATTGTAAAGCTACCTTTTATATTCTGGATACTAGACCTTTATTAGATATATGTTTTGCAAATATTTCATCCCAGTTTGTGCTGGTCTTTTAATTTTATTAGGGTTATTTTTTGAAGCACAAAGGTTTTTAAATTTAATAAGGTGCAATTTACCAATTGTTTCTTTTATGGATCCTTCTGGAGTCATAAAGATTTGCAGAAGATTTCTCAAAAATATTTTTCTCCTATATTTTCATTTAAAAGTTTTATAGTTGTAGCTCTTCTACTTAAGACTGTGACCCCTTTGAGTTTAAGGAGAATGTAAGAGAAGGGTCTAAGTTCATTTTATTTCATATAGATATCCCTACCCAAGCCCCTACTGTGGAACAGACTATCCTTTCCAAATCGAATTGTCTTGTCCTTCATTAAAAATCAATGGACCATAAATGTAAGCTTTTGTTTCTGGATTCTAAATTCCATTTAAAAAATCTGTATGCTTGTCTTTATGCCAATACCACATTGCCTTTATTACAGAATAAGTTTTGGGCATTGCAAATCATCCAACTTTTTTCGCCTTTTATAAAATTGTCTTGGCTATTCTAGGTCTTTTGCATTTTCGTATAAATTTTAGGATCAACTTGTCAATTTCTACCAGAAATCCTGATGGGATTCTACTATGTTGATTCTATGGATCAATTTAAGGAGAAGTGATATCTTAACAATGTTGCATCTTCCAGTCCAGAAACATTTCATCTTCATTTATAAAGATCTCAGTTTGGACTTAGTTTGCTATTCTTTTTCTTTTTCTAGTTTCCTATAGTGGAAACTTAGGTTGTTGGTTTTAGATCTTCTCCTTTTCTAATACATTCATTCAATGCTATAAATTTCTCTCTAAGCACTAGTTTCACTGCCTCCCACAAATTTTTATGTTTTATTTAATTTTCACTTAGTTCACACTATTTTTAAATTTCTATTGAACTTCTTTGGCCCATGTATTTTTTAGAAACATATTTTGAGATTTTCTAGCTGTCTTATGTTATTGATTCCTCATTTAACTCCATTGTGGTGAGAACATACTTTGAATGATTTCTATTCTTCTAAATTTGTTAAGGTTTGCTTAATGGCCTGGAATGTGGTCTATCTTGTTGAATGTTCATGTGAGCTTGATAGGAATGTGTACTTTACTTTTGTTGGATGAAACATTCTATAAATCTCTATTAGATCCAGTTGTTTAGTGCTGCTATCCGGTTCAACTCTATGCTTATTGATTTTCTGCCTGCTGAATCTATCAGTCAGTCACTGAAAGAGGATGTTGAAATCTCCAGCTATGTTAGTGGATTTGTCTGTTTCTCCTTGCAGTTCCATCAGTTTTTGCCTCACACATTTTGACTCTCTCTTGTTAGACGCATACGTGTCAAGTATGGTAGTCCTCTTTGAGAACTGGTCCCTTTACCACTATGTAATGCCCCTCTTTATCCCTGTCAATTTTTCTTGTTCTGAAGTCTGCTTTGTCTGAAATTAATATGGTTATTATAGATTTATTTTGAGTAATGTCATCATGGCATCTTTTCCTCCACCCCTTTAATTTATTCTATCTGTGTCTTTTTATTTAAAGTGAGTTTCTTATAAACAGCATTTAGTTCAGTCTTGTTTTTTAAATCCATTGTGACAATCTCTGTCTTTTGTTTACTTAGACCACACTTTTTTTTTTTTTTTCTGAGACGGAGTTTTGCTCTTGTTGCCCAGGCTGGAGTGCAATGGTGCGACCTTGGCTCATCGCAACCTCCGCCTCCCAGGCTCAAGTGATTCTCCTGCCTCAGCCTCCCGAGTAGCTGGGATTACAGGCGTGCACCACTACGCTTGGCTAATTTTGTATTTTTAGTAGAGACGAGGTTTCTCCATGTTGGTCAGGCTGGTCTCGAACTCCCGACCTTGGGTGATCTGCCCACCTCGGCCTCCCAAAGTGCTGGGATTACAGGTGTGCGCCACTACGCCCAGCTAATTTTGTGTTTTTAGTGGAGACGAGGGTTCTCCATGTTGGTCAGGCCGGTCTTGAACTCCCGACCTTGGGTGATCCGCCCACCTCGGCCTCCCAAAGTGCTGGGATTACAGGCATGTGCCATTACACCCGGCTAATTTTGTATTTTTAGTAGAGACGAGGTTTCTCCATGTTGGTGAGGCTGGTCTCGAACTCCCGACCTTGGGTGATCCACCCGCCTCGGCCTCCCAAAGTGCTGGGATTATAGGTGTGATCCACCACACTTGGCCTTGTTTCTTATTCTTAAGCCTGGCTTCCTAGGCTTCCCGGCCTAGAACACACATTTAAAGTGATTTTTGATATAGTTGGATTACTGTCTATCACACTTCTAACTATCTTCTTTTTTTTTGTACTTATTCTTTGTTTCCTTTTCAAATTTTCCCCTTTCCCCACCTTCTCTGAGTTTTATTGAGCATTTTGTACGATTCCATTTTCTTTCCTTTCTGCATATCAATTACATTGTAAAAAATATTGAGTGGTTGCCCTAGTGTGTATAATGTGTGTTTACAACTAATCTAAGTCCACTTTCAAATATTTATCTATAATTATATATTCTTAATTTCTCCCTCTTGTTCCTTATTGCATTGCTGTCACTCATTTATCTATATGTTATAATCACCTAATACATTGTTATTATTATTTCTTTGAACAAGTTATTATCCATTACATCAATTAAGAATAAGAATAGTAAAGGATTGTATTTTATTTTAATAATTCCTTCTTCAATACTTTTCCTATCATATTTCCTTCTCTCTAAAGAATTTCTTGGCCGGGCGTGGTGGCTCACACCTGTAATCCCAGCACTTTGGGAGGCCGAGGCGGGTGGATCATGAGGTCAGGAGATCGAGACCATCCTGGCTAACACAGTGAAACCCCGTCTCTACTAAAAATACAAAAAATTAGCCGGGAGCGGTGGCGGGCTCCTGTAGTCCCAGCTACTTGAGAGGCTGAGGCAGGAGAATGGCGTGAACCCAGGAGGCGGAGCTTGCAGTGAGCAGAGATCGCGCCACTGCACTCCAGCCTGGGCGACAGAGCCAGATGCTGTCTCAAAAAAAAAAAAAAAAAAAAAAAAAAGAATTTCTTTTAATATTTCTTGTAAGGCAGATCTACTGATGATGAGTTTTTCTCAGTTTTTGTTTGTCAGAGTTTTCTTAGTTTTTGTTTTTGTTTGTTTTGTTTATTGTGCCTTCACTTTTAAAGGATAATTTTGCTGAGTATAGAATTCTAGGTTAGAGGTTTTTCCTTTCAACACTTCAAATGTTTCACTTAACTCTCTGACGAGAAGTCTGTGACGGTTAATTTGATATGTTGACGGGGCCATAGGGTGTTCATATATTTTGTTAAACATTGTTCTGAGTGTGTCTGTGAGAGTGCTTCTGATGAGGTTAACATCTGAATCGGTAGACTGCGTAAAGCAGATTGCCCTCCCCAGTATGGGTGGACTTCATCCAATCCGTTGAAGGCCTAAATAGAACAAAGAGTTGGAGTAAGAGAATTCCCTCTCTCTGCCTGTCTTAGAGTTGGGACGTTTTTCTTCTACGGCCTTCAACCTTGGACTCAGGCTAGAAGTTATGCTATTGGCTCTCCTCGTTCTCAGTTCTTCAGACTCAGGCTGCAAGTGTACCATGAGCTCTCCTGGGTCTCCAGCTTGCTGATGGCAGATCTTGGGACTTAGCCTCCATAGTTGCATGAGTTAATTCCTTATCCTTCCCACCTCTCTCTCCCCACCCATACACACATATGTGTGTGTTTGTGTAAAGAGAGATGTGATGTGACGTGTGTGTGCGTGTGTATGCATGAGAGACAGAGAGAGAGATGTGTGTGTGTGTGAAAAAGAAAGAGAGAGAGAGGTGTGTGTGTGTGTGAAAAAGAAAGTGAGAGAGGTGTGTGTGTGTGTGAAAAAGAGAAAGAGTGAGAGGTGTGTGTGTGTGTGTGAAAAAGAGAGAGAAAGAGTGAGAGAGAGATGTGGTGGGGTGTGTGTGTGTGTGTGTGTGTGTGTGTGTGTGTGTGTGTGTGTATTCTATTGGTTCTGTTTCCCTGGAGAACCCAGACTAATAAAAAGTTCACTGTAATTTTTATCTCTGTTCCTCTATAGGCGAGATGTCCTCCCCTCACCTCCGCCCCTCATGGCTTCTTTCAGGATTTTCTTGGTCTTTGGTTTTCTGAAGTTTGAATATGATATGCCTAGTTGTAGATTTTTAAATTTTATCCTGATTGATGTTCTCTGAGCTTCCTGAAGTTTGGTTTCTATTATTAATTTTGGAAACTTCTCAGCGTTTGTTACTCAAATTTCTCCTGCTTCTTTCTCTCTTTCTTTTCCTTTTGATAGTCCCATTACACATATGTTTTACCTTTTGTGATCATCCCACAGTTCTTGGATATTCTGTTTTTTCTTTTTTTTTTTCCTCTTTGCATTTCAGTTTGGGAAGTTTCTACTGCCATATCTTCAGCCTCACTGACACTTTCCTCAGCTGTTTCCAGTCTACTGATGAGCCTGTCAAAGACATTATTTATTCTACAGTATATTTGATTTCTAGCACTTTCTTTCAATTATTTCTTAGAATTTCCACCTCTCTGCTCATGATCTATCTGTTCTTACATATTGTCTACTTTTTCCATTACAGCCCTTAATATATTAATCATAATTATTTTTAATTTTCTTACCTGATAATTCCATAGTCTGTGTTATATGTGAGTCTGGTTCTAATGCTTGTCTCCTCAGGTTGTTTTTTCTTGCCTTTTAGCATGCTTTGTAATTTTCTATTGAAAGCAGACATGGTGTATTGGGTAGTAGAAACTAAGATAAAGAGGCCGTTGTGTGAGGTTTTATGTTAATCTGGCTACAAGCTGGGCTATGTTTAATGTTTACCATAGCTGTAGGTGCCAGAGAGTTTAGTTACCTGCAGCATCCTTGCTTTCCTCCCTCTGTCCTGTTGTCATTGGGTTCCCATAAGAATCCCTTCTTTTCTTTTTTTTGAGTCAGAGTCTCACTCTGTCGCCCAGGCTGGAGTGCAGTGGCATGCTCTCGGCTCACTGCAAGCTCCGCCTCCCGGGTTCACGCCATTCTCCTGCCTCAGCCTCCCGAGTAGCTGGAACTACATGCACCTGCCACCATGCCCGGCTAATTTTTTATATTTTTAGTAGAGACGGGGTTTCACCGTGTTAGTCAGGATGGTCTCGATCTCCTGACCTCGTGATCCGCCCGCCTCGGCCTCCCAAAGTGCTGGGATTAGAGGCGTGAGACACCGCATCTGGCCAGAACCCTTTCTTAAATAGAACTTGTGTTTTTCAGGTCTTTCAGATGTAATCTGCTATACTAGAGCTCTGTTGATATAATAAGGTGTGATGGTTAATACCGAGTGTCAATTTTATTAGACTGAAGGACGAAAAGTATTGTTCCTGGGTGTGGCTGTGAGGGTGTTGCCAAAGGAGATTAACATTTGAGTCAGTGGACTAGTAGAGGCAGACCCACCCTCAATCTGGGTAGTTATCATCGAATCAGCTGCCAGCGTGGCTAGGATAAAAGCAGGGAGAGGAAGGTGTAAGGACTAGACTAGCTAAGTCTTCTGGCCTCCATCTTTCTCCCGTGCTGGATGCTTCCTGCCCTGGAACAGCGGACTCTAAATTCCTCAGCTTTTGGACTCTTGGACCTCCACCAGTGGTTTGCCAGGGGTTCTTGGGCCTTTGGCCACAAACTGAAGACTGCCCTGTCGCGTTCTCTATTTTTGAGGTTTTGGGATTCAGACTGGCTTCCTTGCTCCCTAGCTTCCAGACGGTCTATTGTGGGACTTCATCTTCTGATCTTGTGAGTCAATACTCCTTAATAAACTCCCTTTCATATATGCATCTATCCTATTAGTCCTGTCCCTCTAGAGAACCCTAATACAAAAGGTGTTGGTGAGGTGAAATGATCTATAATTTTATGATTAAATCTCAGGCTTATTTTATTTTAGTAGAACATATTTCTAATAACTGCTTTAAAAACTGTCTCCTAGACCCAACATCCAGGGACATTCAGAGACAATTTCAATTGACTCCTTTTTTTTTTTTTTTTCCTGAGTCTCTGGGCTATAACCTTCAGATGTTTTTTGTTTCGTTTTGTTTTTCCCTTCCTTCAAGTGAGACAGGAAAGCTAGAAGGAGCTGAAGTTGGCTAATCGTCCTTCTCTCAGGTAGATAAGGCTCTGGTAAAGTTGGTTCCCTCGGAGAGTAGGCCCTTGAAATGGAGAATGCTTTGGCATTTTAAATGGTTACTTTTCCCCTCACCCCTGCCTGAAACATAAGGGATTTTTTTGTTGGATATTCACTGTGAGAATCTGGTGAGGCTCCTGAAGGTAAAATCCATCAAAGTGTAGTGGGGGAAGCACACTAACACTGCATCTCCAGGAATTACTCTCTCAAGCAAATCCATACTCGACCCCCAGCAATCCATCAGAATTACTGTAAGTGTTTCTGTCCATTTACGGCTGTCGTGGCTTCTGCTTTACAAGAGCTGACCTAGGCTGTGGTTCTCTGTATTCACTTGTCTCTCTAGATTTCAGGGTGCTTCTTTGCCCTGCGATCTCAATTTTCTGATGGCTCTAAGAAAAGTTTGTTTTCCATTTGTGCAGCTTTTATCTTGTAAGAATGGAAGTGATAACTTCTAAGCTCTTCACATGTCATAGCTGAAACTGGAAGTCCTCCATCCTTTTACATTTAATTTTCTTTGTTTCTTTGAAGCTAAGCTGTGTTTCTTGTTTCTTTGAAGCTAAGCTATGTTTCTCGTAGACAGCATATACAAACATACAAAAATTTGGTCTTGTTCTTTTTTATCCAGTCTGAAAACCTGTTCCTTTTGAGTAGGGCATTTAGTCCATTTATATTTTGTGTAATTGTTGGTATGGATTGATATTTGTTATTTTTCTGTGTGTTTTCTATTTTTCTCATTTTTTTGTTATTATTCCTTTGCTCCTCTTTTATCTCCGTCTTTCATGTTAAATGAATATTTTTAGTGTAGCATTTTAATTCCTCTGTTGATTTTTCTGCTGTATTTTTGAGTTATATTCTTAGGTGTTTTAGGAATTACAATGTGCATCTCAACTTCTTGCAATCTAATTCAGAATAATACTACATTAATTCTAAAAATATTGCTGCAATATTTATTTCTTTTCCCTACCCTCCTTTGTTCCATCATTATCGTATCAATTTCTATGTGTGTTATATACCCAACAATACAGTGTTATAAGTTTTGCTTTATACAATTTTATGTCTTTTAAAGAAGAGAAAAAAATTGGAAAAACTATATTTATGGAGTCTTTTATATTTACCCACATATTTATAATTTCTGAACTGCTTCCTTTCTTTCTGTGGATTTGAGTATCTTATGGTGTTACTTTCTTTAAGCCTAAAGGACTTCCATTAGTATTTATCGTGAGGTACATTTGCTAGCAAAACATTGTCTCACTCTTTGGTTACCTGGGAATGTCTTTACTTTGCCTTCATTTGTGAAGGATAGTTTTGATGGATGTAAGTAATTTGTTGACAGATATTTTTCACCATTTCGAATATGTCATTTCACTGCCTTGTGACATCCATTGTTTTAGAATTGATTCATTCGTGTAATTTCTTTTGTTGATATTGTTTATTTATTGTTGTCATACTTTCCTTAAAATTTTAAACATGGTTTCCTGTAGTTCCTTGAACATATTTCTAATAACTGCTTTAAAAACTGTCTGCTAGACCCAACATCCAGGGACATTCAGAGACAATTTCAACTGACTCCTTTTTTTTTTTCCTGAATATGGTCATACCTTTGTGTTGCTTTGCCTGCCTTATCATTTTTTTGTTGAAAACTGGATATTTTACATAGTATATTGTAGCAACTTTGGATTTTAATTTTAATTTGAGTGTTGCTATTGTTATTGTTTTGTATGTTTATTTAATAACTTGTCTGGAAGAAATCTGTGAAGCTTGCCTCTGCAGCGTACATCTATGACTGTCTCTGCTACTGTTTTTCTTGTTTCTTATTCTTTTTTGTTTGTTTGTTTTTGAGACAGAGTCTTGCTCTGTTGTCCAGGCTGGAGTGCAGTGGTGTGATCTCGGCTCACTGCAACCTCTGCCTCCTGGGTTCAAATGATTCTCTTGCCTCAGCCTCCTGAGTAGCTGGGACTATAAGAGCATGCCATCACACCCCGCTAATTTTTTTTTTGGTATTTTTAGTAGAGACAGGGTTTCACTGTGTAAGCCAGGATGGTCTCAATCTCCTGACCTCATGATCCACCCGCCTCGGCCTCCCAAAATGCTGGGATTACAGGCGTGAGCCACCACTCCTGGCCTTGTTTCTTTTTTTTTTTTTTTGAGACCGAGTCTCACTTTATCGCCCAGGCTGGAGTGCTGTGGCATAATTTTGGTTCACTGCAACCTTCACCTCCTGGGTTCAAGCAGTTCTCCTGCCTCAACCTCCTGAGTAACTGGGATTACAAGTGCGCGCCACCACGCCTGGTTAATTTTTGTATTTTTAGTAGAGACGGGGTTTCACCATGTTGGTCAGGCTGGTCTCGAACTCCTGACCTCGTGATCCGCTCACCTCGGCCTCCCAAAGTGCTGGGATTACAGGCATGAGCCACCGTGCCCGGCCAGCTGGCCTTGTTTCTTATTCTTAAGCCTGGCTTCCTAGAGTTGCCCATGTGTCTGCCTAGATTAGCGTTCAGCCAAAGATTGGTCAGAGGTTATGCTCAAATATCTCGAGCCAGTGAGATTTCTACTTTCTGCTGGCAGATTTGTGAGTCAGCTGGAGAGTGCATCAAAATTTCAGGCATTTTCCCCCCAAGTCTGCCGAGGCTTCTCTTTTCCCCTGAGCCCTTGCATCTCCACTGTACATGGGGAAGACTCCACTGGCCAGGAATGTGTGGGTGGCTTAGGATGTTCCCGTTTCTGCAGCATATGCATACGACCTCTGTTTAACTCATAATATGGGGAGAGTTTACTAATCCCCTCATATCTGCTTCACCTCCTGGAACTCCCTGTTAAGTACCCAGCTAGTCACTAGCCCATTGCTTGCTCTGCAGTTTCAGGCCAGAAGAGCTTCTGGTCCTTTCTGATTACTTGCCTCTGAGATCATCGCTTAAATAATACTGCTTCAAGTCAAGGGAACCCCCTCTGGCAGTGACAAAAAAATGCTAGTTTGTAAGATCTGGCTTGCCCTCATTGAACTATCAAACAACAGCACTCTGGTGGCGGGGCAGGGGTGCAGGACTCATACAAATCACCACAGATTCACGCTGATGTTGCTGTAAGTTTAGTAGTTTTCACGAATATAAGCACTTCTCAGTTTGTTGCACGCCTCCAGTCATTTTTGGGAAATGAAATGGTTGTTTTTGACAGTTTTGAGTGGGGACTATAGTTGCTTTTTGAGGAAATAGATTATCGACCTCTTCACACTCTTATGCCAGAAGTTCTTCTCTGGACATCAGGTTTTTATGGTGTCTCTCCCCAGCTGGGAGAGGGGATGTGCAGGAGGGGAGGAGGTCTGGGCTGGAAGCTTTCCAATCTGGACTCAGCTGCAGCCAGTGGGCTCTTACCCTTTGCAGATCTCAGTTCCCTTAGCTGAAAATCAATGGGCGTTGGACAGGGTGACTTGCTGCATTTCCTTCCATCCTGAAAATATTCAGTTTCTAATGGAATTCAGAATTCAGCCAATGTCTTTACATAGGAGATCTAAAAAATTAATTGATCTCACCCTTTCCATGATCTTTGGTGTCATTGTTACATAAAATTGTGCCTCCAAGGAGGTCATATATGTATTTCATCTAAGAAGAGGCAATGGTGCTTTTGACTTCAGTAGAGAGAGGAGGATATTTTTTCCCTCCTTCCTTCCTTCTTCCTTCTCTTCTTGCTTGCTTCTTTTCTTTTCTTTTCCCTCCCCTCCCCTCCCCCTCCCTCCCTCCCTCCTTTCTATCTCTCTCTCTCTCTTTCTTTCTTTCTTTCTCTCTCTCTCTTTTTCTTTTCTTTCTTTCTTTTCAGAGACAGGGTCTTGCTCTGTTGCCTAGGTTGGAGTGCAGTGGCGTTATCATAGCTCACTACAGGTGTGTGCCACTGTATTAGTCCATTCTCACATGGTTATAAAGAACTACCTGAGACTGGGTAATTTATAAAGAAAAGAGATTTAGTTGGCTCATGGTTCCAGGAAGCATGTCTGGGGAGACCTCAGGAAATTTACAATCATGGCAGAAGGTGAAGGTGGAACAGGCACATCCTACATGGCTGGAGCTTGAGGAAGAGAGCAAAAAGGGAAGTGCTATACACGTTTCATTAGTCCCTTTTCATGCTGCTGATAAGACATACCCGAGACTGGGGAAAGAAAGAGGTTTAATTGGACTTACAGTTCCACATGGCTAGGGAGGCCTCAGAATCATGGTGGGGGGGGAAAGGCACTTCTTACATAGTGTGGCAGGAGAGAATGAGAGAGAAGCAAAAGCAGAAACTCCTGATAAACCCATCAGATCTTGTGAGACTTACTATCATGATAATAGCACAAGAAACACTGGCCCCCATGATTCAACTACCTCCCCCTGGGTCCCTCCCATAACACGTGGGAATTCTGGGAGATACAGTTCAAGTTGAGATTTGAGTGGGCACACAGCCAAACCATATCAACTTTTAAACAACCAGATCTTGTGAGAACTCACTCACTATCATGAGAATAGCAAGGGGGAAAATCCTTCCCCATGATCCAGTCACCTCCCACCAGGCTCCTCCTCCAACATTAGGGATTACAATTCGACATGAGATTTGGGTGGGGACACAAATCCAAACCATATCAGCCACCATGCCTGGCTAATTTTTTTTTAATTTATAATTTTTTGTAGAGATGGGGTGTCACTGTGTTGCCTAGGCTGGTGTCATTCTCTTTGCTTTGCTTTTCCCTCTTCCTCTCCTTCCTCCCTCCCTCCCTCCCTTCCTTTTTCCTTTCCTGACACTGTAAGCCTTGACTATGTACCAGGCACTGTACTAGTTGCTTTTTATGTGAATTATTTCATTTACGTCTCACAACAACCTCATCAGGTAGATCCTGTCCCTAACTACATTTTACAGATTAGGAAGCCGAAGAACAGATAAACTTCCTGACATGTTCAAAGCTGAGTAGTTATTTAGTCTCAACCTCTCAATCCCCTTCTACTCTGCAACACCAACTCTACACATAAATTAGACTTTTGGCATCATTGGTCATGTTTTTAAGAGAAGTGGTCCGGAATTGAGAGGTGGGGAGGCTCCTCTGGTTGAGAAACACCAGAGGTGTCTTTCTGCAGTAGGCAGCATGAAAGCTGGATCTGGCTTTAGACTTTAAACAGAGATGCATGGAGGGCCCTGCAGGCAGGGAAAGCAAAGCTGGTATGACACCATTGCTAGAAAGCAAATGCTGGGCTCTTTACAGCCTATTTGTGGGTGAATAGTGAGACATAAGCTTAGAAGGTGATATAGTTTGGCTGTGTCCCCACTCAAATCTCCTCTTGAATTGTAGCTCCCACAATTCCCATTTGTCATGGGAGGGACCTGGTGGGAGGTAATTGAATCATAGGGGTGGGTCTTTCCTGTGCTGTTCTTGTGATAGTGAATAAGTCTCACGAGATTTGATGGTTTGATAAAGGGGAGTTTCCCTGCCCAAGCTCTCTCTTGTCTGCCACCATATAAGACGTGCCTTTTGCCCTCCACCATGATTGTGAGGCCTCCCCAGCCACATGGAACTGTGAGTCCACTAAACCTCTTTTCGTTTATAAATTACCCAGTCTCAGGTAAGTCTTGATCAGCAGCATGAGAAGAGACTAATACAGAAGGGTTGTTTTATCAAAACAAAGCATCTCTCTAAAAATGGTGATGTTCCCTGACCAAATTTTGATGGTGGAGGAATTAGATTATTGGGAAGCACTCTGTAATGAAATGGCCAGGCACTTTTCTTTGTTTTCGCTGGCTTGTAGGAGCTGGTTGGCTCCACCAAACACTAGGCCTAGAACATTCTTGGGCTGACAGAACCCCCTCCTTCACCTTACTACATTTGTTATTTCCTTATTTATTATATTCACGGTCAAGATACTGTGGTTGGGTCTTGTGTGTATGCATGTGCACTCATGGGAAAGCAGAATTATGAGGGAAAAATATCTATACTTTCTAAGCAATTTATAACTGTAAAATAGTAGATACGAAACATTAATTTCATCATTCCCAGATGATTAGATAAATGATAATTCATTGTTAGGTCTTTAATTTATTTTTAGCTGAAGTAACCATGTGGCTTCTTTAGTGGATACCCTTGAACGTATGGTGGCTTTGATTTCTCTATTCCACAAAGAGGGGATTCAGAAATTCGTGACAGCAAAAACAATATCCCACATAAGGTGGCATCAGGTACTCTGTCTCTCAGAGGCCACTTGTGGGGCAGGGGGATGGAGTGAAATCCTCCATTCAGGGCCTGGAGTGGTCACCCACAAGCTTGTGGCTTACAGGTCAAGTCACCCTGAGCCATAGTTACCTCGTCAGTAATACATGGGATTGGCTCTATGACTTCCAGCTCTCTCAGGTCTGTACCTCTGCAGCTCCATCTGAATGACGAAGTCTATTGTTGGCTGCTGGATGGAGAGTAGAAAGTCACTGCTCATGTCTTACTTGTCCTGTTTTGGAAGGACTCCAGATTTGTAAATCCCTTAAAGGAAGTACATGATTTTCAGAAATATCTTCAGGGAGGCCCTGCATTCTAGCCTAATTTTTCAATTGCAGCTATAAGCATGTAGCCTGAATTGGCTCCTGCAATCTCATAGATGTCTCCTTCCCAAACATGCTCACAGAGGCAAAGGTTAGAAGATATGGATCCAGGGTGATTTCCCTCTGGTGTTTGCTGGCTCTGTAGAGCTGGCCAGCCCTCTGCTCTGGGCCGCTGTTTGATTTGGCCTTTGCTGGCGAAGCTCTGGGAGGTGGGGCAGATGCTGCCCTTCTGTATGCAGCCTGAGAAAGTCAACATTGAAAAATCTGTTTGGTTTTTGGCCTCCACCTGTTGGAAACTCTGTAATTGTTGCCATTCACAATAAGGAAGAAGGAACAATAGAGGGATTCCTGTATTAGAACAGTGAATGTTTTCATTGTTCCTCTAAGGGGACCAATAATAGGAACTGGGCTTAAGTTAGAGTTGAAAGCAGCAAGTGAACAAGAAAAAACAAAGAAGTTACAGATGACAGGAGGAAGGATGCCATAGAGCATCAAGGTGACTCTGGAAGAGGGTAGCACGCCTCATTGGAAGTGTCCCTGTGCCCTTCAAGCCAATTTTCTACTCCCCCGACCCCTGACACTGGCTCTTCCCTGCCCCACCCCAGAGGAGGCAGCAACTCACAGCACAAGCATCTAAATGTTACTTACCCCACCAATCAGCCCAGACCCTCCAGCCATTACCTATTTTCTTGGTTCATAGATGAAACAGGGACTATGATCTGGGAGCTCTGCATCCACTTTCCTCCCACCACCTTGCTCCCATCCTCACTCATCTTTACCTCCTCCCCCTGCTTCTGAGACTTCTGGGCTCCTCCTAAGCCCTTGTCCTCGCCAGTCCTTCCTGCCTCTTCTTATACCAGGGCCATTGACCCCTCCTCACTCTTCATCCTTTCTCTCTTCATCAGATTCTTAACCTCAGTCTACAAACCTCTTCCAGTCTCCTGCTTGGTTCTTCTGTTCCTCTCTCACACTCTTTGTCCCCTCTACTGACAGCCTCCTTGAGAGTGGTACCTCCTTACTTCTCCATTCCTCACTTCCATTTATTCCCAAACAATTGTGTTGGGGCTTCCAGCACTCATCCAAAAAAAAGAAAGAAAAGAGAACACAACCGAAAATACCCTGTTCTTGGGCCAATGGCCTTCAAACTGCCAATTCCAATTCTAGGCTTTGCCATATGTATTTACCTTTTGTATGTTCACTCAATTGTCATGACTTAGATGCTTATTATATGTCAGAATGCAGGCCAGGAGGACACCAGATACCCCTAATAAAACCCAAGTTTCCTTTGGATGAATAGCCCATTAGGTTTTGTCTGCCAATTGCTTTTCAGTGTGGATCACTTTATGTGCCCTTTTCTGGAAGTTGACTGGGTCTGGGCAGGCAGCAGAAAGTAGAGTCCACTGGCAGTCTGGTGATCGGGGACATGAGATCAGGGACATGAGTCCTGGGTTGGAGGACATGAGAACAGCTTAGGGCTCCAATGACACACATTTCCTGGTGTTGACATGACCTAGCAGTGGCCTCTTAGGGTGGCAGGGTTTGCAGCTGCTGTCTGGGGCTACAGGCCCTGGTGCTAAACCAAGGCCATCCTCCCACCAAGGAGCACAGTGGTAAGTCATTGGCAGCTGGGCAGGTTGCACAGCTGGGGAGGATGACCCAAGTGAGCTGAATACTGGCCAAGGTCCTGTTCTTCTTTCACGGCTACCCTGCTTCTGTCACAACCCCCATCGTACTGAACTGCAGTTGTCAACTCCCTGGCTGATTCCCTGTGAAACAGAGCTCCTAGGGAAGAGCCTAGGTCCAGACCAGCTGTACAACTTGAATGGTCCAGTGTAAAATACAACTTATATGGCCCCTTGTTCAAAAATTGTTAAGATTTCAAGAAGGTGGCAGGACAGCATTAAACTCTGTATGAAGCCCTTCTAAGTGAGTGGCCTATGTCAGGGGTCCCCAACCCCAGGCCACAAACCGGTAATGGGGTACTGGTCCGTGAACCCTATTGAGAACTGTGCATGTGAGGGATCTAGTTTGCACACTCCTTATGAGAATCTAACTAATGCCTGATGATCTGAGGTGGAACAGTTTTATCCTGAAACCATTCCCACCCCCCACTCCCACCCCTGGTCCATGGAAAAATTGTCTTCCACGAAACAGGTTCCTGGTTCCAAAAAGGTTGGGGACCTCTGGCCTATGTGACTTCATAGGTCATATGCCCAGGAAGCCAGCCTTGCCTCGGTCTTATTCGTCACCTAGAGAGAGCTCAATAAATCCTCATTGAATAAACGAGTTTGGGTTTCTCCTGCAACACTGAATCATGTAATCATGGGGAAAGAGGAGGTGGAGATCCTCATCCTTCCCATGGTCCAGGCTAGCTCCATAGCCTGGGGCCAATCAGTGAGTATCAACTGTGCCTCAGTTTCCTACATCCATACATTGGAAGAACCATCTTTTCCCTGTCGCTTTTCTGCCACGGGCCAAGAGTAAAAGAGGCACGAATGTACAAGCTGAACTTGCAGCAGTTAATGTGATGGCTCTGTGATTCTGAAGGGCACCATGAGGCGTGGTGTTCTGTTAAAGAAAACGCCAGCAAATTAGAGACATCCCCATAGAAGCCAGAAGATGTGGTTAATGTTTGCAACATGAAATGTCTAGGTGTTCTGAGGTGGGCTAAAGGACAGTTGCTTTTCTTCCCTATTAAATAGGTGGTTAGACTCAGACACAAGGGAACAGGAAGCAGAATGGCATCAGAGACAAAGATGACTGCATGGAGTTTGGTGAGAAACCATCCTCAAAGCAGCAATTTTTTGGATGAGTCTCAGCCTTTCTGAGCCTCTGTTATTCCAACTGTGAAGTGATACAATTAACAATAACAAAAATTTGATAAGAGCAAATACATTTGGCATTTTTAATGAACCTACTACTATTCTAAGCCCTTTAAAGATACACATTTATTTCGATTCATAGAACACCCCATGATGCAGGAGCTGTTACTATCCACATTGTACTGATGGAGAAAGTTCCAGTAACTTGCCAAGGACGTAGCTGGCAAGTTGGAGCACTGAGATTCAAACCCAGGGCTTTGGCCTCCAGAGTCTGTGCACTAACCACTGTAATACCTCTGAGACTGTAAGGGGCAAATGAATGACAACGCATTGATTTAGAAGTGAAAGGCGATCTAAACGTGCAAGTATTAACACTATTAAAAACAACAATAACAATGGTAGGTACCTCCGATGCCTCTGACCTTATCTCTCTGGTCACAGTTTTCTGCTCTGTAAAATGGGTGGGCAGGCTTTACACTGGATAATCTCTGAGGCCCCTTCCACTTCTCAGATTCTGATAATGAAATGTCCTTCTTTCCTCACATAAGGCTGAGAGAAGGTCAAGCCACCAGCTTGCAGACCTTGGGAGTTGACACAGGGAAGCATACCCAGGACAGAGCCAGAAAAGCCAAGGCACGCAGTAGGGACACACCAGAGGGCAGGCCTCAGAGCCCCTGACAGCCTTCTGAAACTCTGGCAGGGTGGAGGGAGGTTGTGGGCTAGTGGCTGGCTGGGCTGCAAGGAGAAGAAAGGACTCCACAGAGTAATTTATAACAGCTGCTCAGTAAGTGCTAATTTGTTTCTCTCCACCTTGGAATAGGACTTAGCGCGTGTGAGAGGGGGATGCTACTACATAAACCAGTACCAGAAAGATGGGCTTGCCAGGAAAGAACTGGGGCACTCTGCAGGGGCAGTGTCTGGGGAAGGGTTCTCCAAAAAGGTGACATTTCAGAGGGGCCTGGATGGATGAGTAGGATTTCAACAGGCAGAGATGAAAGGGGAGGGTGTTCCAGGCAAAAAGAAGAACTCCCAGCAGCCATGAAGAACAGCTGGTGTTTGGCAACAGCTAGTGTGTCCAGAGCGAAAGTGTTGTGTGTGTGTGAGGGAGAGAGGGTGAGGCTGGAAAATTAGGTTGTGGCCGGAGAGGGCAGGGTGGGCCTTGCCTTGTGCGCTAAGCTGAGGGGTTATCCTGCAGCCGGAGCACCTCGGGAGGCCTTTGAAGATTTACTCAGTGCTTTATTAACAAATACGTATTGGGTTTTTGGTGTTTTGTTTTGTTTTTAACGATTCATGCCCACAGTAGAATATATAGAAGAGTCAGAAAAGTATAAAGAATAAGGATCCCCTTTAGTTTCTGCTCCCAGAGGTAACAGCCGGAGTGACGCCGGGCTGCTGCCGGGTTTTCGGGGGTGCACTCCCAGACACCACCTCTCCAGTGAGCCAGCGAGGGCCGGACTGATGCCCCACCTTGGGAGCCTGAATCGGGGCAAGGGGCCTAGGGAGCAGCGGGACCCCGGAAGCCCGACCAGTCAGGCCGGCTAAGTCGGCAGCCGCCCCGCCCTCGCCACCCAGCCTCCCTGGCGGCCTCAGGTCGCGCCTGCAGGCCCGGACCCCACCGCTTGGCGCGCGCACGTCCCGGAGGGCGTCCAGGGGGCGCCGCTTCCCGTTCAGCTCCGCTGAGGGGCTGGTCCAGCCCGCGCGGCTCGGAGCGGAAAGAGTCGGGCGGAGCAGGCGGCTGCTTGACAGCTGAGAGCCGAGCGGGCGGCGCGGGCAGGTCCACGGGAAGCCTACACGCCCAAGGTAACGTGGAGGAAGGTTGAGGGTGGGCGGCCGGGGCGGCCGGGGGGCGGCGCTTCCTGCCTGCTCCTCCGGCTGCGAAGTGTGAGCGCGTGTCTGCCGCACATGGAACTCGCAGAGGGCCTGGATGGAGGCTGTGTGCCCTTGGGGGGGAACAGCTGGCTCCCCTGCCACCCCCAGGCCTGGCCTGGCCCTTGCTCCCCTCCCTGTCACTCGGTAACGGGACTGGAGGAGAGCCGAGAAGCACTAGGGTTTTGGTCAGGAAAGGACCTTAGGAACCCTCCAGCCTCATCCAGCCTCTTCATTTCACAGATGAGGAAACTGAGGCTCAGAATGGTAAAGTGACTTGCCCAAGGTCTCAAGTCTAAGAACCAAAACTCCTACCTTGCAGGTCAGTGCTACTAGGAGCCCTGGCCACGCAGGCAGCATCCACAACTGTTGCCATGCCGAGAAACAAAGAACCGAGACAGACAGTCAGAAAGACACAGAGAGAGAACCTCCCAGAGCAAAGGAAGGAGGTCAGGAAGTGGGCGGCTGCTGGGGCTTGGCTTCCGCCCTGGCCCCCGCGTGTGCTGGCCTGGCTGTGTGGCTCAGAGGCGTTGTGCTGACTCTGTCCGTGTGTGTGTGTGTCCGTGTGTGTGTGTGTCTGTGTGTGTGTGTCCGTGTGTGTGTGTGTGTGTCCGTGTGTGTGCGAGTGTGTGTCTGTGCACCCATGCATGCACGGGATGCAGCGAATGTACCCTGCCACGTGGGAAAGCCCTCTGAGTTCATTTATCTGTTTACACAGTGTGCTTAGGAACCTGCCCTGTTTGGCTCTGTGGAGGACACCAGGAGTCTCAAAGGAATTCGTTCTGTGTGACTCAAGAGGACAGAAAGAGCCAATCCGTGGGAGTCCCCAGGGTGGTCAGAGGGTCAGGAGGAAGAACCTAACTCATGAGGTGATGGGTTCCTTGTCTCTGGAAGAAAGCAGCATGTACCGAAGAGTCTTTTTATCAAGGATGTGGGCATAGGGATATGAAATCAGAGCAGTTTGCTCCACGTGGAATCAGCATTTTTGTTGAAGGGTCCAGAGTTCATGCCCCTTTTCAGGTGAAATGAATATGTACAACCTCATGGTTTAGTATTTGCCCATAAGAGCTACTTCATGCGCAGTTTTTAAGTGATAAGTGAGAGGCTTCAGGTATGGCTTCCGAGGTCCTGTCACCTCTCGGTTCTATAAGTGAGAGGCTTCAGGTACGGCTTCCGAGGTCCTGTCACCTCTCGGTTCTATACTATAAAGTGTGTAGAGGGAGTTTGGAGGAGGGAGGTTACTTCTGGAAGGAGTGACTCGCAGAGGGCGTCCTGGATGTGGCACTGAGGCCGGGCCTTGAATAGGAGGCTGGGTCTGGGCATCTTGGGGAAGGACGGCTGAGCAAAGCCGTGAAGGTGGGTTGTACCTGAGGAGCAAGGAGTAATGTAGTGGACAATCCGGTGAGGAGTGCTGCCTGGGAGAGATGGCAGAGGCTTGGAGTGTTACGAGTCTAGAAACTTCATTATTAAGCCTAGGGATATTTTGATGGTTTCTAAGAAGGGAAGTGTTGTTCCTGGAGCTGGGTTCAGAAGAACATGTCATCTGCACCTGGGTATGGGATGTACTGCAGTGGAGGAAGCTGTGGGAAGAGAACCTGGGAAGAAGCCCATTGCAGTCACCATGAGGGGTTGAACAGGGCTGGTGGGAATGGACAGGAAGGGGCTAAAAGGCTTGGGGGTAGGGGAAAAGTCATCTGCCATGTGCCAGGGCCTGTGGTAGGAGATTTTCATGTTTAATCTCATTTAATCCTCCTGACAACCTCATGAGGAGATTGCTATGATTGTTCCATATTGTAGAGGAGGAAACTGAGAGAGAGGTTAGGTGGTTTATCCAAGGTCATACAGAAAATAAGTGGTGGGATGGGGATTTTAACCCAGAGAACAATGGAGTAGATGCAATCTGGTAACTGAATAAATGTCAGGGACCAGAGCAGAAGAGACCAAGATGATGGCGATTTGGATTCCAGAGTTAGAGTGGCTGGTGATGCCACTGACAGAGATGGAACCCCAGGTGTGGGGGGTGATTGGAGATGCGTCACGCTGTGGTGAGCCTGCAGAAGGCAGGCCCCAGCACTGGGGCAGTGGCCGCAGTAGCCATCCATTCTGCCTTGGGGCTCCTTGTTGCAATGGTTTGCTGAACCTGTTGTGGGGAGGGAGGGTTGAATCTGCAGGCTGCCTGGGTACTGGCAATGCAGCTGAGAGAAGCTAGGGGAGAGCTAGTGAGGGATTCCTCAGGGACAGGCTAATCACCCACTGAGTTCACATCTCTCTCTTGCTTTTCTTCCACACAAAATAGTGTCTATTTTGTTGCAATGCACAGAGGACTCAGGCACTTGCCATGATACCTTAGGTGAGAATTAGTTCAGATTTTATATTTTCCAAGGCCCTGTTTCCCTCGTATGTTTCCCCTAGAGAAGAGCTAAAAGATGTAATTGCCAAATATTGCAGAATATTGCAGAATTCAGGATCTTAAGAGCAGGTCCACGGCCTCTTACAATGTCATAGAATCACGGTGTTCTAGAGACAAGTCTGCCCTATTTTACGGATGGAGAAACTGAGTCTTTGCGAAATCATGGTCCTTTGTCAGCTGTTAGTGAGTGGCAGAAATGGGTCCAGGCCCTTGGGCTCCAGAGGTTTTGCTTTCTGCACTGACACACATGGAGGCCGCTGTCTTGCAGAGGAGCCTCCAGGGTTTCCTGTAAAATAGCCCTGGGGGCCAGGCTTGGTGGCTCACACCTGTAATCCCAGCACTTTGGAAGCTGAGGCGGGTGGATCACCTGAGGTCAGAAGTTCGAGACCAGCCTGGCCAACGTGGCAAAACCTCATTTCTACTAAAAATACAGAAATTAGCTGGGCTTGGTGGCAGGCACCTGTAATCCCAGCTATTCAGGAGGCCAAGCAGGAGAATTGGTTGAACCCGGGAGGCGGTGTTTGCAGTGAGCTGAGATTGCGCCATTGCACTCCAGCCTGAGTGACAAGAGCGATACTCCGTCTCAAAAAATAAAAATAAAAAATAAAAAAAATAGCCCTGGGGACAGTTCTATAGACAGGTCTAGCATTCAATGGACCATTTCAAACTGGTACACTTTTTGTTCCTACCAACACAACACACACACACACACACACACACACACACACACACACACACACACAAAGAAACAGCAACAACAACAACAACAAAAACCAGCACATTGTTCCACTCATCCATCTATTGGTCATTTCTTTGCCTTTTCAAATCGCTTCCTTTCCTCTGAGAGAAATTTGATAAGGCACAGTTTAGTTAGAGCCATAAAGGGTTCCGTCCAAGTACAGGGTCAGGGGGAAGTCCCAATAAAGCCAGACGGTACCTGTGTGCACCAGCAGAATCCTAAGGCACGGACAGGGAAGCAGGAAAGGAGAGGATGGCTGTAAGGATCAAGGAAGGAGAAGAGACAAAGTGCAGAGAAGAAGGAAAAGAGGAAGAGCTGAGTTTGTGGAGCAGACAGCTCAGTGGCATGGGCAGAACCTACTTTGGGGACCTATATTTTGGGAACCTGGCTCCCCAGTACTCAGAGGCAGCATGAAGCAGGGAGATAACCAGGTGGACATGAAGAAGCCAAAGGGAGTCACTCTTATAATACATCATCCAACCTCGGGCACTGCCGGGAGTGAAAGGGGGAATATTCATAGCAATGCTGGGACCACAAGCATAGCCAGGATGTTCCAGGCAAACTGGTCACCTTCACAAGAGCAATGCAAAGAAAGTGCCAGGCATGGCCCAAGGGCTGTCCATGTATTCCCTTATGGAAGCCTCACTACAACCCAATTGGCTAGGCACTGCCATCATGCCCATTTTATAGAAAAGTTAACTGAGGAAGAGAGAGGCACAGTATCATGTCTATGGTCACACAGCCGATACACGGTAGAGGCAGGATTTGAACTCAGGCAGCTTGGCTATTTCAGAGCCTGCACTGTAAGCGTTATGCTCCATTGGCTCTCTACTCACCAACAGCATCCACACAAAGACACCCCCTTCCCCTCACAGGACTCAGGAGAGGGACCTTTGGGGTCTGTTTTCCCTCACAGCTGCTCCAACTGGTCAAGTTAGCATGACGTCATCCGGATGACATAAACAAATTTGCAGTCAGGCTGAGGTGAGGGGGAGGACAACCCTCAGTCAGGTTTGTCCTCTACAGGCTCCACACCTTGTACACAGTGCTGAGTCTTGGCCTCAGGTGTTGGAGTTCTCAGTCATCCTTGCCTTGTAACTGCTCTGCCCTTTCTCTGAAGGCTGAGTTAGATACAGGAAGGACCTCTTGAAGTTCAATATTAGGGACGGGTTCCTCTAGGACCTCATCTGCCTGGGGCAACTAGAGGGTGCCACCCTGTGATGACAAAGTTATCTCCAGGGCCTCTTCCAGCTTGAGGGCTATAGAATTTTCTTTTGTGACAGATTCTTCAGGAGACAGAGCATCCCCCTTGTCGGTGTGTTTTGGCTCCCAGCCCTGGCTTTCTCGGAATGCCAGCGGGACACTTTCTTCCCTTGTCTGTTTGTTGACACATCCTGGATGGGGCTGGCCAAGGGAGGCATTTATGGGGCAGCAGGCTCTATGGTGGGTGGAGTCTGACTCTGGGTGATGCTCCAGGTGTTTCTAGAAGATGCATGGAGGTAGGAGCAGGCAAGCTTCCCCTGTGGTTCAGATTCCAAGGGCCTCTGTCCCCACCCCATCTGTGCTGAAGATCCCTTATTCACACAATAGAGCTGCCCTGCCTGGGGGTGGAAAAATGTGAGGCTGGGCCTGAGAACTTGTGGGAAAGTGGAAACCGTGTTTTACCCAAGCAAGTCCCAGCAGTGAGGTTGGATAGGCTTAACACCCAGTCCTGTGCTCGTAGTGTACCCCTGAGCCTGTGGAACTCTGTGCCCTTCTGGGTGCACCCCTGAGCCTGTGGAACTCTGTGCCCTTCTGGGTGTACCCCTGAGCCTGTGGAACTCTGTGCCCTTCTGGGTGCACCCCTGAGCCTGTGGAGCTCTGTGCCCTTCTGGGTGTACCCCTGAGCCTGTGGAACTCTGTGCCCTTCTGGGTGCACCCCTGAGCCTGTGGAGCTCTGTGCCCTTCTGGGCTTAGTTAGAGGAAAGGTGAGAAGGGTGAGACGTAGCACACGTGCTACAGGTGCACCAGGACAAGCTGGAACCAGCGGGTGTGGCTGCCCTCCTCCCGGAACCTGCACTCGTGTTTCTGGCCAGACAGCTTCCTTTACTCTCTTTTAAACTCACAGCAGCACCAGGGGACGTGGGAGGTTGGCTACCATGACCCAATTACCAGTGCAGACAAGAGGAAAATCTTCTATTACCTGGGTGATTGGTTTATTTTCACTTTGTTTACTTTAGAGATTGCTCAGCATTGAGGTCCAGGATTTGTAGTCCATCAGAGTTCTCTTGGTAAATGGATGCAGCTTTGCCACATTGTCCGCTGCACATAACCACATACCTTCACCCACTGGGATAGAGGGTTGGATTGGTGCTGATGCGGGAGGGAGGCCAGCTTCCTGCAGCCCCACCTTGACCAAAGACGGAACTCCAGGGACTCTCTTTCCACTGCACCTCAAGGTTGATGCACAGAAACACACTGGGCATGGCTGAGAGTTTGGCATAAATGAACTCATCTTTGTAACCGTTTTATGAAATAGGCACTGTTATGATCATCCTCCCCATTTTACAGATGAGGAAGCCATCTTCCTCATCTGTTTCAAGAGGCTGAGTAACTTTTCCAGGGTCACACAGCTGATAAGAGGCCGAGCTGGGATTTGAACCCAGGCAGTCTGGCTCTAGGGCCAAGTCCTCAAGCGTTCCACAGCCTGCCGCCTCTGAATGCTTAGTGCAGAGTCTGGGTTCTACTCTAACCAGTCATATGTCTTTGGGATTAGCCTCTAAACCTGAGTTTCTCTTCTCTTCATTCAAGTGAGAATACAGGAGTTACCTGTTGATCCATGTCAGGTGAGTTAAGGGATGTGAGGAAGCACGTGGTCCACGCACATGTGATCCCATGGGTCATGGTGACATTACCTGTTTTGAGAGCTTGTGGTTGAGTTCCATGCTAAGGGTGTACTCCTCCCCTTGTTGGTCCTTCTCAACCAACTTGTTGAGATGTACTCCTCCCCTTGTTGGTCCTTCACAACTTGTTGTGCTTGTCTTGGATTGAAATTCTCCAGGAGGCAGAAGCAGAGTCTCTCACCTAATTAGCTTCCATGCATGCTAAGTCCCTGCTGTGCCAGCAAAGGGTCCTGCAGGGGGTCTGGTCTAAGAAGAGAGGGGTGGTCCCTGTAGTAGGCATGCATACTCCCTTTGAGGGGATGTCTTTGTTCTGGCAGACAGAACAAAATATCACAGACAACCGAAATTTATTTTCTCACAGTTCTGGAGGCTGGAAGTCTAACATCATGGTGCCAGTTTGGTGGGTGAAGGTTCTCTCCTTGGCTTGCAGAAAGCCACTTTCTTTTTGTGTCCTCACATGGCACAGAGAGGGAGAGAATGGGAGAGGAAGAAGGGAGAGGGAGGGTGGAGGAAGGGTGGGGAAGAGGGAGGAGAGAGAGATGGGGAGAGAGAGAGAGAGAGAGAGCTCTCTGGTGTCTCTTCATGATGGGCACTAATCCCATCATGAGGGCCCCACCCTCATGACCTCATCTAAACCTAATCACCTCCTAAAGTCCTCACCTCCAAATACCATCACATTGAGAGTTAGGGCTTCAACATATGAATTGTCGGGGGGACATAATTTAGCTCATAGCAGGAGATGATATGAAAAATAACCAATGATGTTAGTGTTTATAGGCAAGTAAGTAAAGTATATTTCTCATGGCTTTAGAGAGGAGGTAGGATTTGAGCTGCACCTAGAAGTACAGCCCAGGCTGGGAAGCATTTACAGCACAGGGCCCTGAGGCACAGGAACAGCCCTTCACCCCCTCGACAGGGCCATGCCCTTCTGAAGACATGAATGGGGTCAGGGAGGTCAGCGGGAGGGAGATGAGAGACACTGGCCAGAGAGACACCTCCTGCCTTCAGCCAGGTTTTGTTTTTCTGTAGGGAAGGAGATGGTTTGTCAAAGATACTATTTCTTTTTTCTTTTCTCTTCTCTTTTCTTTCTTTATTTTATTTTATTTTATTTTATTTTATTTTATTTTATTTTATTTTTTGAGACGAAGTTTTGTTCTTGTTGCCCAGGCTGGAGCGCAATGGCATGATCTTGGCTCACTGCAACCTACCTACACCTCCTGGGTTCAAGCGATTCTCCTGCCTCAGCCTCCCAAGTAGCTGGGATTACAGGCATGCACCACCATGCCTGGCTAATTTTTGTATTTTTAGTAGAGACGGGGTTTCTCCATCTTGGCCAGGATGGTCTCAAACTCCAGACCTCAAATGATCTGCCTGCCTTGGCCTCCCAAAGTGCTGAGATTACAGGTGTGAGCCACTGCACCTGGCCTAAAGCTACTATTTCTTAACCTGAGCAGGGCTGAAATTTTAGGGGCTTTCTTCCCAAGGCAGGTTTTGTGAGCAAGACAGCAGCAGCGCCACCATCCCCAGAGGAGGACACGGTGGGATTGAGGGAGGAGGAGTTCTTGGAAGTTCATTTCTGTGGGTAGTGTCATCTGAATCACGGTCAGAAATTGCCATTGGGGAGATACCATCAGGGATAACACATTGTTCAGCAGAAGAACCTCTAGATCTTTCAGTGGTGCCATGGCCTGCGGTAGCTTTTTGGTTTTCGGGTCTTCTGGGAGTTTGGATTGAACAGACACCCCGGATACAGATCATCCACAGGATGGAGATCTTGACTCACAGGGCCTTTGGTGTGGCATCTGGGTGCATGGACACAGCCTTCCCTACAGAATCCCACAGAGGGAAGGCCATCCAACTCTTCTTTATGTTATTTTTATTGGACTGTCTTCAGTGGGCAGAGAGTTGAGGTTTAGGGTTTTTTGTTTGTTTGTTTTTGGATCTTCACTGTTTCATTGTGATAAAATATACATAACATAAAATGTATCATTTTAACCATTTTAAGTATACTGCGCAGTGGCAGTAAGTATATTCACATTGTGAATTGTTTCCTCTTCTCAAACTGATGGGGTTGGAGAAGGTTTGGTTTTAACTGTGGCTCCAGGAAGTCATACAGTGATACCGTCTCAGTTCGCTCTCTGCACAATGGCCTCACCATCAGATGTCCTGTCGACTTGGGTAATCTTTCTGCTGCCATTTCTCTCTTATTCCTTTCTGTTTGTTTGGGTTTAAAAAAAAAATTATCTGCTTCAATCAAAAGCACTTCTGTGAGACTGCCCTCCTGTGGGCTAAGTACTTTGTACAGAACCTTGCATATTTCTCCCCAGGGTCCTGTAAGGTAGTATGATCACCCACCCTTTCCAGATGAGGAAAGTGAGCACCACAGATGTAAGTAACATACCCGAGGCAGTGTAATTTCAGAGCTGGGACTTGATTCTGGACTCTCTGATTCTTCCTGCTTCATCTAGACAGGGGTGTCATTGTACAGAGTCAAGCACAGCTTCCCTGTCTGGGCACATTAGTGTCTACTCGAGAAGGTTTCTAGCATCTGCACGGATCTGGGTTTGTATTATGTGAACCATGTTCCATTAGGATTCTTCACTGGGGCCTTTAGCCAAAAAGGATTCACTTAAAAATAGCTTCATTACATACCACAGATAAACTGCTAATGGAATTTACCAAACTGTTAAATTAAGCTTTTCAACTAATTACACACATACTATGAAAGTGTGAGTTTAGCTTTGACCGTGGATTCCTCCCAAGGCAGAGAATTGGTGCACGTTCTCTGGCTAGCAGGGGTTTGGTCACCATCTCAGCTCCTGTTCTTGGTCATGATCTGTTTTGCTTTCCTGTCCCCTCTTGGTATCTCACCACAGCTTGATTCTGCATTTACTCAGGACACAGTTTGTTCCTAGGCTGTGGTTGTCCTGGCCACAGATACTACAGAGTGTATTTGCTATTTCCCCAGCGAGCATTCTTTCTGGCATCTGACACATCTTCTGCGACGTGTCCTCTGGCACATTTCCTATTGCTCGTCATTACCCTCCCCATGGACTGCAAGCCCCTACTGTGTGTCTCAGAACTCAGATTTTTGGGTTGAACTTTCTTTAGGGCACAGGGTTCTGATGTGGCTTAACTCTGGGAATGAAGTCAGCTGGGGAAACAGCAAAGCATTCAACAAACTTCTGGGTGGGCTGCATGCTTCATAATAAGATAATTTGTCAAATGCCTGCCATGTGCCAGGCATTTTCTGATATAGGTCTTACCATGTCCTTTTTACAGTTGAGGAAACTGAGGCTCAGACAGGTTCAACAACTTGTGTGGGTTCACACCAGACACCTAGTCCCGGTATAGACACCTGCACCGTGGACACCTCCCCCAGGCTGTTGATCCCCCTGTGCCTGACTGGCTTCCTACAAAGGGCCGACCCCTTGGGTTGCAGGGTCTGCTTCATAACAGAGCTCTCTCCACACGCCTGTAAAATGGGAGGCAGAAGCCGCCGACGCCGTATCAGGTGAGCTGCCCCAGGCACAGGCCATCCAGAGATATAGGGATGGAAAAGGCCAGTTTAAAAGTCTGATATAGTACTTCGTTTTAAGGAATGCAGTTTTAGTACATTGAACTGCAGCTTGAAGTGGAACCAGAGACACAAAAAGGAACTGCCAGGTAAAATGAGTGTCAATGAAAAAAGAAAAGTTACTCAGCTTCCATTACGTAGTCACACATCGCAAACTAAACGTATTTTTAAAAAATGTACAAGCCCTATTTACAGAAGTTTGAAATAGAATGAAAAGTTCTAATTTGTACTCAATAGCAGTTAGATTGTAACACACACCACATCTGAATTTTCTGACACTTTAGGGGTTACATTGTAGTGATTTAGTGCCAATAAAACAAAAAACAAAATGGATTAATATGTACTTGTTGAACACCTACTGTATGAAGTGCTTTGTACTAGGAAAAAGAAAAAGGGACACAGTATTTCTTTTGACCAGACACAAGCGCAGAGAGAGCTGACCTCCCCAGATAGCATGTATAACTTTTGCCAAGGAGATGGGACAGAATGAATGTGCTCTGGAAAGAAACTGGGCCTTGGAGAGGGCTTAGCCAAGTAGGTGGGAACTGAGCTTTGTCTTCAAAGATGGTAGAATTCAGCAGGTAAGTGGTGACAGGAGGTCCTGGGAGGACTGTTCCATGAGTGTCCTTCTGTCCATCTTATAGACAGTGTCTGAGGGTCATTCTTATGGAAATTAAACCAGTGACGTTCTGGCCAGGCTGTAGAATGTGCCTACCAATATTTGTAAGGGTCACACTCTCCTCCTGCTGGCCTTCACTGACTAGTTCATAATCTAGAAGGAAGTGAGATTTCTCCCAGCAGGGAGCCAGGATTCAATTCTGGACTTTTTGATCCTTCCTCCTTCGTCTAGACGGGGATGTTGTCAAATAGAACCTAGCACAGCTGGCCCCGCCTCTGCATGTGCTCTGGAAGGTCTCTAGAATCACCACAGATTTGGGCATGTATGATGTGGACTATGTCCCATTAGGATGGAGATGGTATTCGGAACCCTGTAGAAGGTGCCAGAGAGCTATAGAGTGGAAGAAGATGGGACCACCCTCAGAGACTCACCCTCTCCTTATACAGTTATCCACCAGGAAAAGCCAACCAAAACCGAATGAGCAATGCCCAGATGGTAAGTCTTTTACCAACAGGCCCACTATTGAATTCTTTCATGCCTGCTGCCTGATTTCTTTTCAGTCCTGGTTATAGAGCCAAAGGCAGCTGTTCATGATTTGCCCATGTCCTAGGCCTGGGTAACGGTGGTTAGTCCAGCCCTCCCTGTCCTAACCTCAGATGTGCATTCAACCCCAGCAGCCACACAGCCTGTCTGCAACCTGTGAAATGGCTGGGCTGTCTCAGAGGTGCTTTGGAGAGAAATGTTAACTAGCAGAGTGACAGTCATGGGTGACTCTCTTGCCCTCACTGAGAGGACACATGTGCCCACTTCATTACTGCAGGCAGTTAGCCTGTGAACTCCAGGCTGATTGGGCCTAATTGGAGCTCTTGAGGATGTGTTTTCTTTTTGTGGACTAAGATGTAAGCCATGTCTCCTATCCTCCTGCCCTGTCCCATTCTGAATGCAAATGCCGATGTGATGTGACTCCTAATGCTGTTCCTTTAGGAACTGGTCCACAGAAGCTGGAAGCGGGCAGACAGGAAAGTCAGAAAGCTCAGGTGGGGAAGCCATGCTAGGCAGCAGCATTGGGTGTGAGGGAGGAAGAGCGTGTTTTATGTTCAGCTTCACCACTTGCTCTCTGTGGGCCTCAGTTGCCTCATCTATAAAAGAGCTGCCCTTCATGTTCCTTAGGGAATTTATAAGGATGGAATTAAACAGTGAAAATATGAAAGTCGTTTATGAACAGAAAGCCTTTTAAATGGGCGTTGCTTATTTTTGTGCAGCAAAGTATTTTCCATTCATTCATCAGTTTGGCTGAAATTAACCTTTGCTTCTTATATCATTATAATAGATCCATTTAGCCTTGGCTCAGTCATCAGTGTTTTTTATCAAACAGGTGAACTGCACAATTCAGTTAGGTGATTGAGGCTCAGCCGGTGCCCCATAGCCCAGAGCTCTCCGGCCTGTCACATCAAGACCCTCAGGAGGAAGTAGGAAGGGGTCCAGGCTGACTGGGACCCTCAGAAATCTGGGCTATGTTTCCAACCAAAATAGCATGGAGACCCCCCTGAAATAGAGTGGGAACTAAAGCCTACAGAAAGTGGAAAATGGAAAAATGAGGCTTTGTTACTTTTAAGAAAGTCATTCTGGGTGTGTCCTGCTATCTGGAGCTTCTGCCTTCCCTTTGCAAATATTTGCCTAGGGATGTAGAGGGTGGAGGCAACCATGGAGAAGAAAGGAAGAAGGAGGGTGGGTGTTCTTGAGGACATATGTGTGGTCAGACAGCTGTCAACTCAACTTGGTGTAAATTCAAGTCACTTCTCACTGAGAGCCCACCATATGCAAAGCTCTGCACTACAAGCTGGTACAATTATTATTTTCCTTAACTTAAAGGTGAGGAAACTGAGGCTTATAAAGTAGCTAAGCAACTTGCTCGAGGTCACATGGCTAGTAAGTGTAAAACCAGAATTCAAATCCAGGCACTTGACTGCAGAGCCCACTCAATAACCATAATGGGTTAAATTATGTACACGGAGATGATCTCTCTGTTGATGAAGGTGTTTGCAATTCACACAGCAACCCACAGACTCTGCTTTCAAATGTGTACAGCAATGCAGTAAGGTATTAGTACTGAGTATTATACACTTGGCCAAGCATATTAAATAAAATTATGACTGTGGAGGCACTTAATACATTGTAAAATGCTCTACAAATATGATATAATTATTGCCTCATAAATAAAATAAGAGGGGTTAAGTGGCTTGCCCAAGGACATGTAAGTTGCAAATGCCGAGTAAGGACGCCACCCCAGGACGTAGAACTTAGAACTTCAGGACCAGTGCTTTTTGTTTCCTTGACACCATCAAGGAAAGATTCACTCTGACTTTATCTGTTTCCCCGGAAGTGTTGCCAAATAAAAATTGGGCAGAGACCCTAAAGAATAAGCTAACTTTTCTTAGCTACCTTTTATTAACTTTGGCTTTCCTCTCCTTTTTCATTCCCTAATCAAACTGAGAGTAGGGTCATGGAAGAAGCTGGGGGGCTCTCCAGCATGGGGGTTGGGGTAGCAGAAGCTGCAGAGGGATCATTTTTGATCTCCAGGGATCTCCTAGTTGAAAGGAGAGCCCTGGGCAAGGATGTGAGGAAAGAGGATGAGCAGGATATGTCGTTTTGCAGTACGGATGGACCAGCATCTATTTTATAACCTCATAACACTGTGACCACAAATTATTTTAAAATTGTGAGTTCATCTAGAATCTGGGGTATATCCCTGGGGCTTGTGTCTATGCATGCAATAATTTTTTTTTTTTTTGAGACGGAGTCGCTCTGTCGCCAGGCTGGAGTGCTGTAGCGTGATCTCGGCTCACTGCAACCTCCAACTCCCTGGTTCAAGCGATTCTCCTGCCTCAGCCTCCTGAGTAGCTGGGATTACAGGTACGCACCACCATGTCCGGCTGATTTTTGTATTTTTAGTAGAAACGGGGTTTCACCATGTTGACCAGGCTGGTCTCAATCTCCTGACTTCATGATCCACCCGCCTCGGCCTCCCAAAGTGCTGGGATTACAGGCATGAGCCACCGTGCTCAGCCAGTATTTCTTAAATAAAGAGATCATAAATATTTTGTTCAAAATATCTTAGGCCTGATACTGGAAAGATGAAAATAACTGCTGAACACGAGTTCATATTTGTACAATTTGAAACAGTGCCAGAATTTTATCTTAGAACTGAAGCAAAGGGAGTCATTCGTTGTTGTTAGCAATGTCTTATTTTTAAAATGTATTCATTAATTTTAAAAGGGATAAGAAATTAACATTTACTTTACACCTTCCAGATACAGAAGCTATGCTGGGAGCATTCGTAGGTATTTGCTCATTTATTCCTCAAAAAAATGCTCATATAAGTGACACTGTTAGATGAATTTTTAAGATGAAGAAATCAAGACTCTGACAGATTAAGTAATTTGATTGAAGTTTCTCAGATAGCAAGAGATGGCAGCAAGATACCAGTATAAGCATGTCTGACTACCAATCTGTAACTTTTTCAACAACACACTGAGAAAATCCATTTTCAGCTTCTTTGTTTTTCATTTCTTCCTTAATCTCAGATCTTTCACCTAGATTCTGTCTTTTTCTGTTTGATGTCTATCTTTTAAAATTTTCATTTTCAGTGAGAGTCTCCATGTGGCCAACTCCCAGGTTTTTTTTTTGTCAGATAATGTCTTTATTTCTCTTGTTCTTAAAGGATATCTTTTTAAGTATAGAATTCTCAGAAGACAGTGACATGATTTTAGCATGTTGAAGGTATTTTACCACTGCCTTCTGTCTTGTTCATCACTGATGAGAAATAACCTGTTAATCCCTTGAAGGTAATTTCTCTTTTCTCTGTGCTGCTTTTAAGACACTCTCTTTGTCTTTGGTGGTCTAAAGCCTCACTGACATGTGTCTGCTTATGGATTTCTTTTTATTTATTCTTCTTGGGATTCTTGAATATGTGTCTTGGTATCTTTCATCACTTTAGAAAATTCTTAGTCATTACCTGTTTAAATATTCTTTTCCTTCTCCTTCTGAAACTCCAAACAGATGTATGTTAGACTCTTTTTCATGTCTCTTAAGTTCTCTTTCATATTTTCAGTGTCTTTGTCTTTTTGTGCTGCATTTTGGTTAATTTATTATTGACCCAGCTTCCAGTTTACTGTCTGTTTCTCAAACTGTATTTAATCTGCTCTTAAGTCTATCCACAGTTTGAAATTTCAATTATTTATTTTTTTATTTCTAAACATTCTCTTTGGTTCATTCTTCAAAACTTCTTGGTTATTCCTCATGACTTTTTGTCTCCTGCACATAATCTTCAAGCTTGGCTTTAATTTCTTTGAATACATTACAGTCATTTTTATGGTCAGTATCTGGATATATATTATCTAAAGAAGCCCCTGGCCCGTGAATTCCTTCCTTTCTTGTCAGTCCATCAGTGCTTTTGGAAATTAAAAAAAAATTTATATAAGACTTTTTAGTAGTTTCTAGTGGTAAGGTCCATCTAGGTACTTAGCCTGCCATAATGATGAAAATAGAAATCTAGCATGTTGTTGGAAAATTGACAAAATTAGGAGAGGGAAAACTGATCAGATGGAGATTGGCATTAGGAGCCTAGAATTGCCCACATGTACTGAATGCACTTTATGAATACCCTAAAGAGTGCATAGGGTGTTGTGATGAGAAGCCACTCGCCATGGGGCTTGGCCAGCCTGGCACCCCACCCCACAGGACATGACACCAGAAGGAGTGTCACCAAACAAGGTGAGGAGATTTTCAGGAGGCCTATTTAGAAGACATCATTTTATCGATGAGAGGCTCCTTTAGGAGAGGAAGGCTTGGTAGGACTTGTCCTCTAGTTCTGATCTGAGCCCTACAAAAGCCAGTAGGACTTGATGCCTTGGAATTCAAAGGATATGTGTTCTTCCATCCCAGTGGCCTTGTGGGAGTATCCAAGAATAGATGTAGATGGGACCACAGAGTCCATGCTGGCCTCAACTGCTCCTTCCCCCCACTTACTACATCCCATTGGCCACCCAGTCCTCTTGATTCCACCTCTAAATAGCTCTAGAATCTCTTTACCTGCACCTACTTCTGCTGCCATTGCCCTGGTCCAAGATGTTGCCATCTCTTGCCTGGGCTGTAGTGATTCCCCCAACCAGCCTCCATGTATCCACTCCATATCCCTCCTCTTCCAATTTCATTCCCCACAAGCAGCCAAAGTCATCTTTTTAAAAATGCAAATCAGATCATGTCTCTCCCAACCTTTTAGATTTTAACTTTAGTGATTTCCTCTGGCTTGTTGGGGTAATGTCCCAAATCTCTAACCTGCCCATCAAGTCCTACTCTTCAGCCTCATCTCCTACCACTCTCTTCCACATTAGGATTGTTCTAGCCACCCTGGTTTCCTTCCATTTCTTGAACACACAAAAAGCGTGTTCTACCTGAGGGTATTTATGCCCACTGTCCTCCCTCCTTAACAGGCTTCCCACCCACCTTTCCTTGGGTTGCTCCTATTCACCCCGTGGACCCAACAGAAATGTAATTTCCTTTCTCTCATCTTCTGTGTTGGTCTTGTTAATTTGGGCTCCCTATAGCAAGCCCTTTGTGTGTCTTCATGTCTTCATCAGAACACTTACCCCAGTTGTGATCCTGTAATCATTGTAATTTCTGTCCACTTTCTCCCCTGTCCACTACTTGGTAAGGGCTGAGTTCATCACCCTATCCCAGCACAAAGCACAAAGCCTGGCACATGATAGCTGTTGCTTATTGGAGAATGCATCTGTGAATGAATCTGGCTTCTGCTTCCATCCCTCCACTGGGACTGCTATTACTGAGTTCACCGGTGGCCTCCTCATTGATAAGTCCAGGGTTTCTTCTCTGGAATGTCTGACGTGTCTACAACATTTGAACCTGCTGTCAGCCTCTAGTTCGTTAAACGTTCTCCATCTTTTCTCATCTTTGGGTTTTGAGACAACATTATTTCCTTTGCTTCCTCTCTAAGCACTGCTTCTGAGCCTCCTTGGCTGACGTGTTCTGAGTGTCCCTTAAATGTTAGTGTCCTGCATGATTCCAGCCCTCAGTTTTTTTCTGCTCCCTCTGCACAGTCTGTGAGCAGCCTTCATTATGTCTGCAGCTTCAACCCTCATATATTTCAACTGGCGAATCCCACACCTACATGTCTAGCCCTGTCCCCACTCCTGCACACCAGATCTTTCTCTCACTGCATCCTAAATGCCTCCACTCCAATGTCCCATGGAAGCCTCAAGCTTAACATTTCCAAGTGGAACTAATTCTCTTCCTTGCCAAACTTGTCCTTCCTGTAGAATTTCCAATCTGGCTAAATAATGTCACCCATCTACCTAACCTCTGAAGCTAGATGTCATGGAGTCATCCTAGATACCTCTACCAGCTCAGTACCCATGTTCAGCTGTCATCACACTCTGTCTCTTGAATCTGTCCCTATCCCTCCTCTCTCTGCACTGCCACCGCCTTAGTGCAGCCCCTGCTGTACTTGTTGGGGTCATAGCATCAGCCTCTTACCTGGCCCCCCTCCTTCCATCTTCTTCCCCATCTAGTCTATTACTAGCACTCATGCCAGAGATCTTGTCACAGAGAACAAAGCCCAATCAAGCCACCTCCCTGCCTCACCCCATACCTTTCTCCCTCATGCCCATACAGTAAAGCCCACCCTCCTGATGGGCTTCTTCACAGCTTACTTGTCTTGCCCTCTGGCTTTTGCTTCTCTTTGCAGCATTCATGGTCCTCTGAGCATGCCATCCCTTCTCAGTACAGGCTTATAGTGTCAAGCAGGGTTCTCAAATATCAGAATCACAAGGAAGGCCTGCTGTGAAAACGTGGCATGCTGGGCCTCACCTGCGGAGGTTCTAACTCTGTGGGTCTGAGATGAGGCCCAAGATCTGAATTGGTAACAAGTTTCCAGGGGCTGCGGGGGCTTCTCTCCTGACGGCCACTGTGAGAACCACCAGTGTAGCCTATAAAGCATGTGAGCCTCGGAGCTCCACGGCCTGGGTCCAAGTCCTGCCTCTGCTACCCACTTCCTGTATCACTTAACCTCTCCATGCCTCAGTTTACTGATCCATAAAATGGGGCTAATCCTTGAACTACCTTACAGGCTTTGGAGGAGGATTAAATGGGTTAGTACCCAGAAAACTTTCAAACACTGCCTGGGTCATTGTGTCAGGAACTGTTAGTTGCCACCATTGTTGGTTGTTATTTTATTACTATTTACTTACTCAGTTGTGAATGTCTGCCTGCCTCTATTGCTTGCAGTTTTCTTGTCTCCCTTCAAGAATTCATTTCTTTTCTGAGGAGCATTTTGCTAACACTCTCCCAGCGCCAGGTCTCCCCGCACCCTTCTTTGTGCCCACACAGGCTTGCGTGCACCCTGTCCTAGGATTTGCCTCCCTGCACTCACCTCTTTTCCAGGAGTTGGGCTCACTTGCTCTATCTCCGCAGGGCTTCATTTTCTTCCAGCTTTATTGAGGTGTAACTGAAAGATAAAATTCTATAAATTTAAGGTGTACAACCTGATGATTTGATATATATGTGTATATTATGAAATGATAGCCCAATCAAGTTGGTTAACATAGAATTCAAAGAGAAAATTTTTTTTATAAAGTTAGTTAATACATTCATCACCCCACCTAGTTACCATTTTTGTGTATGTGGTAGGAGCATTTAAAATCTACCCTCTTAGCAAATTTCAAGTATACAATACAGTATTAAGTCATCATGCTGTACATTAGATCTCTAGAACTTACCCGCTTATCCACATTGTAACTGCAATTTTGTACCCTTGGACCAACATTTCCCCTCTCTCGCCACCTACAGCCCCTTGCAACCACCGTTCTGCCCTCTGTTTCTCTGAGTTCAATTGTTTTGGATTCCTCATATAAGTGACATCATAAATTTGCCTTTCTCTGTCTGGCTTACCTCACTTAGCATAATGCCCTCAAGGTTCGAGGTTCACCCCTGCTGTCGCAAATGGTAGGGTTTTCTTCTTTTTATGGATAAATTATATTCTATTATGTATATGCACACACACACACACACACACACATACACACACCTCACAGTTTCTTTATCCATTCGTCTGTTGATGGACACTTAGGTTGTTTCCATGTCTTGGTGATTGTGAATACTGCTGCTGTGAACACGGGAGTGCGGAGATGACTTTGAGCTACTGATCGTGTTTCCTTCGGACATATACCTAGAAGTGGGATTGTTGGATCATATGCTAGTTCTATTTTTAGTTTTTTGAGGAACTTCCATGCCATTTTCAGGGTTTAGTCCCTGACTTCAGTTTTGAGTCCCGGGAGCCCAGCAAAGTGTCTGGTACATCAGTGGGGGTAAAAAATGTTTCTTAATTAAATGATGGAATTGGCATATGTTGCAGAATTTATTGAAAATACAGGCCGGGTGGGGTGGCTCATACCTGTAATCCCAGCACTTTGGGAGGCTGAGGCGGGCAGATCACGAGGTCAGGAGATAGAGACCATCCTGGCTAACATGGTGAAACCCCGTCTCTACTAAAAATATTTTTTAAAAAAAATTAGCCGGGTGTGGTGGCGGGCGCCTGTAGTCCCAGCTACTCAGGAGGCTGAGGCAGGAGAATGGCGTGAACCCGAGAGGCAGAGCTTGCAGTGAGCCAAGATCATGCCACTGCACTCCAGCCTGGGCGACAGAGCGAGACTCCATCTCAAAAAAAAAAAAAAATAAGGCAAAATGTGTCCAGTCTAGGAAAAGGACTGAATACCAAGAAAAGGTGGAGAGAAAAGTGTGTGTGTGTGTGTGTGTGTGTGTGTGTGTGTGTGTGTCCTGAAAATTTGGGAATGTTGTGGTTAGGATAGTGGGATTGGATTCTAGAATGTGGTCTTGTGGTCTCAGGAACATCTCAGTGCACATCACCTCAGATAATCTTAGCTATGAGTAGCAAAAACCCACAACTCGATGGATTTAAACAAGGATATTTATCGCATGTGTAATAAGAAGTCTGGAGGAAGGGTGACATTGGTGTTGTCTGATCCAGTGGTCAACGATGTCATCAAGGGCCCGGATTCAGTCCTTCTGTTCTGCCTCAGGCTTCCTCCTCATGGTCACAAAGTGGCTGCAGAAGTTGCAGTCAACACATCAGATGGCACAGCATCCAGCAGAGGAAAAGAGCCAGGAAAACACTTCTCCGAGCACCCCTAGCAGGGCTCCTCTCACGTCTTAACAACCAGAGACGGAGTAGAGTCCACCCCAACCTACCCATTGGCAAGAAGCTTGCATTGTTTTGGCTGGATGAGGCCTCTGAGCTGGGGAGGAGGTCACTGTCCTGAGTGAACAGAAATGGAGTTCTGCTAGAAAGGAGGAAAGGATAAATGGATGCTGCTTCAGCAAGCCACAGTGTCTGCCTCAAAGCCCAACCCAGATAATCTAAAATGAATTGCTTGAAGTCAAAGTGAGGAACCCTTTCCTCTCTCTGTTCTACCCACAGGTCATGCCCTGACCACAGCTGCCCTTCAGGAGGCTGGCACGGAGCCACCTGGGGCCATTGGGCTGTTTGTCAAGGGTGGGGCAGCAGCAACTTGCCACTCTTCCTCCATGAGCCCAGCCAGAGCCTCCACTGGGCACTTAGCACAAGAAAAACCCTGCAGGAGCCGGATCCAGAGCGCTGGGATTCAGCAGGAGTGCCAGGAGAATTCAACACAGGTGTGCTGCCTCCTCTCCTGCCAGGTGTGTGGCTGCACAGGAGTCTTGCTGATGGTAAGAATCGGAGTTCCTGGATTCAGGGGGTACTGGGAGCAGCCGCCTGTGAGAAGGCTGGGCCAAACAAACAAATGTTCTGAATGAGGATAAGAAAACAGCATTTCTCCTGAGGGTCTCTGATTTTCTGTAGCCTGCCCCTGGCTTGAAAACTGTCAGCTTAGCAAAGTGGACTCTCAAACCACCTGGATCTCATGTTTTTTGCTTGTCAGATTCATTGATTGCTGCAGAATAGGCTCAACATCCCACAGGGTCTGCTTCTCTGACTGGGACAAAAGCGCTCATAAGAAACTGATGGGAGCGGCTTCACCAGGGGTGGCAGACAATTCTGGCCAGGAGTGGGTGTCCGCAGTGGGCAAGAAGTGTGGGCTCCATGCCAGGAGCAGTGGCGACAGCTTCTAGAAATTGTCTAGTAGCCTGACATCCTAAAGAATGTCCTGGAGAGCTGGAAAAGCGGTTCTTCCAGACACATGCAGGGAGCAGCGAAATGAGATGCAGTAGAAGGTTGAATCCAGCTGGGAGCACAGTGCAATTTAGTTAAGAGTGACTTCTGTGGCATCTGCTGGTCGTGGGTGAGGGCTGGGGGAAGATAATACTAATTTGGCCATTATTACACATGTCTTTCTTGAATCTTCAATCAGATTGTCAACTCCTTGAGGGTAGTAATGGAATATTTTATGTCTTTTGCATTCTTCACAAGGTCGGGTACTCAGCCATTGTTTATTGGTTGACTATTTGATGCATTCCGACACAATACACTTGACCGGGCCAGGTCCTGGGATCTTCATTCATAGGAGCAGTGTTGTCACCAGTATCTGTTGGGCACCTGCTGAGAAGGAGCAATGGCGGGTACTTTTGCCACCCGAGTTGGCCTGAGGTTGCTGAGTGTATGAGTTTCCTAGGGCTGCCTTAACAAAGTGCCACCAACTGGGTGATTAACAGAAATGTCAGGTCTCCCAGTTCTAGAGGCGAGAGGTCTGCAACCAAGGTATCAGCAGGGCCTGACCCCTCTGTGGTGTATAGGAGGCCCCTCCTTGCCTCGCCCTGGCTTCTGACGATTTGCCGGCCGACTGTGGTCTTCCTTGGCTTGCAGCTGCGTCACTCCAATCCCTGCCTTTATCATCACATGGCATTCTCCCTGTGTGTGTGTGTTTCCAAATTTTCCCATTTTTATAAGGACACCAGCCATATTAGGAACCGCCCTACTCCAGTATGACCTCATCTTAACTCATTACATCTTCAGCAACCCCGTTTCCAAAGAAGGTCACATTCTGAGGTACTAGGGGTTAGGACTTCAATGTGGAGATCACAGTTCAAGCTGCCACACTAAGTGAGCTCATTCACAGTGACAAGACTAGGGACATACAAAGGGCCGGGGTGAATATGAATGGTGTTCCATGGTGCTGCCTGAAAGTGACTGGCAGCAGTGTCAGCAGGGGAGCATGTCCTCTGTTCTCAGCATTCACTAGAGAGGTGTGCTGAGCTGGGGCCCAGCTGGACACATTGGATGCTGTGCTCCAGAGGAGGAACTGCACTCACCTATCGCTCTCCTTTGTATGGGACAAGTGGGACAGAGCCTTGATGGGGGGAACACACCACTGGGGTTCCAGGCAGCCTTAACTATCGAGGAATGGCAGGAAATTCTGTCTGCCCAGCACCTGGTGACCCTGGAGCTCCTCAGTTTCCCGGGAAGTTGAGTTTTGGAGCAGTCTCTTCCAGAGAGGCTGGGAGTGCATCACTTTCCCCCTGGAGGTGGCGGAGGCTGCTGGGCCCAACTAGCTCATTGCCAGGCAATCCAGAGAGAGTTCCAGACACCAGATACTGAACAACCTACTTGTCTCCACACCTAGTAAAGCTTGGATCCAATGCTGCCAACTTTTCTGCCTCTCCAGTTTTGGAGCCCTTAATGTGAAGGTGCAACCCAGAAGCCTGCAGGCTGTTCGTAGCCTGTAGATGTGTTTTCTTCCCAGTAGCTGGTGTATACAGTGTTTTTGTATTATTTTTCAAATAAGCAATACATTTGTGTGGTTCAAAAATTAAAGCGCTATAGAAAGGTATTCGGCGAAATCTTATCCCTGCCTCCATTGGCCAGTCCTGCCCTGCCCCTCCCTTGTAACCACTTTTATTAGTTTCCTATACAACCTTCCAGGATTTCTTTTTGCAGATAAAAGTCAGTACAAATATATATCTGCCTCATCCCTCTACTTCTTACATAATTATAACAGACTCTACACACTATTTTTAACCTTGCCTTTTTCACTCGATTTATCTTGGTGATCTTTCCCTCTCAGTATGTGGAGAGCTTCCTCATTCTTTTTTTACAGGGGCATAGTATCCCATTGTATGGATTTACCATAATTTAGCAATCCCCTACTGATGAACACAGGTTGTTTTTAGTCATTTGCTGTTAATATTACAAGAAACACTGCACGGAATAAACCTGCCATTTCATGTTGACCCTGAACGTGTGTAACATTTAAAAATTCTGAAAAATCTTTGAATAATCAACAGAACTGGAAACACTCAGTTCTAGTATGTGGACAACTGGTTGGGTTGGGTAGCAGCTGTCCTTTTAAAGAGACCTCCCTGCCCCGCTCTGGCATCTTCCCCACCACCTCTTGCTGACCCTCTTGCGTTCAGCCTGAGCGTTGACTGCCATCTAGCAACATTGTGCTGTTTCTCTCATAGAGTATTAAGGAGGAAGGGAAATCACTCATGTACTCATGTCTCTTCAAGGGGGAAACTGAAAACCAAGGAGGCTGTCTTTTTCCAGCAGAGGGAGGAGGGCAGACTTAATATGAAAGCGATTCTTCTTCATCGGCCCCTGCCCACTCGGCCCATTTCTGTTAATCTTCTGTATGCTTGAGATTGCAGCCCCTGCCTTGCCATGTCCAGGCTTTCATCTCGGGAGCTGAAAAGTGGAAGGGAAAGAACTCTGCTCTCTTCTTGCTTTTGTGCACTATCTGAGTAATTGCATGGAGACCAGCAATAAAAATGAAATACAAGACAGTCAGAAGTGTTGCTCCATTACATGGATTCTCTCAGCAGACCCCCCAAGGCAGTGGTAGCACTAGCTCACTTTTCCAGACAAGGAAACAGTAGCAGAGTGAAGTGGCTTCACCAAGACTCATAACTCGCACACAGAAGAACTAGGATCAGAACCCAGGTTTTTCTGTCACTAGAACCTGACATTTTAGCCAATCTATCATGCTGCTCCCAAAGTCTTTTTGTTTTTTCTTGAGACAGAGTCTCGCTCTGTCACCCAGGCTGGAATGCAGTGATGCAATCTTGGCTCACTGCAACCTCTGCCTCCCGGGTTCAGGTGATTCTTCTGCCTCAGCCTCCCAAGTAGCTGCGACTACAGGTGCACACCACCACATCCAGCTAACTTTTGTATTTTTAGTACAGATGGGGTTTCACTATATTGGCCAGGATGGTCTTGATCTCTTGACCTCATGACCTGCCTGCCTCGTCCTCCCAAAGTGCTGGAATTACATGCATGAGCCAGCTTACCCGGCCCCAAAGTCTTTTTAAATAAGGAGTGGTTTACAGTTAAGCCTCTCACCTTCTAAGTCTGTCATTACTGATGCTGTGGAGATGATAGTCGTGACAAAGATAAGAGCAGCTCTGAAAATGGGCCAGATGGCTACATACTGCAAAAAAGGTGGGTGACAATGCGTCTGTGGTCTCATAACTAACGTGACGGCTGTTCCTTGACAGCTTTTCCCATTTCATAGAGTGGAATTGGCTCCCCTGCCCTTTTGCTCTTTCAATCCAAGAACATGTATTGAGCACCTTCTGAATGCCAGGCACTGCGCTCGGTGTGAGTGACAAGCCTGGTGCCTGGAGGCTAGTTCAGGCAGGTCAACAGAAAGCTGCAGTGCCACCAGCTACATGTGGTATTGGTGACATGGATGCGTTGGGTTGTGTCCAGAATGTGACAAAAGAGACAAATACGCCATGGAGCAACCATGGACAACAAGGCGAGTGGCTTCCAGCTGTCTTGGGTCCTCGTCATTTTACACTACTTGATGAAGGAAGGAAGTGGGACCCAGAAGTGGTGGCTATGAGCTAAGGTATTGAGCCATCCTTCTGCCCGCAGCCCAGGATGAACATGACCACAACTGGCAGCTCTCTGGAGGCCACTCGGGGTTGAAAGGTGGGCCAAAGGAACCCTCCCTCCCTTTGCTGCTCCACCTCAGCTTTTCTCATTCCTGGCCATTTGTTTATCCTGTAAGCTGGGGGCTGGGGGTCTCCCAAAGTATCACTCATCCTGAGAGTTAGCATTCTTCCAGCGGGGCAAAATCCTCTTCCCTACTGAAGAAATTCTAAACCCAGCCAGCTGAAAGAGGAAGAGTGCAGGGGTGAGGGGAGGATGGGACCAAGAGGGCACATTCCACTTGATCTCTGAAGTCACACCTCAGCAACGGGACTTGCCCGCCAAGGCTTCTCGTCACCATGCTTTGTTGGATTTGTAATGTGCTGTTTATCTCTCTTCTCCCGCAAGTTTGCATGCAACAGCATCTGTCATCTCTGTGGTTATCTTAGAACAACTGGGGCTTTTGCTTTTTATTTATTCTTTCTCTGAGTGCAGTGCTAACCACAGCAGCCTACGGGCAGAGGGGTTGGGGAGGGAGTCAGTTGCTTTTCATTGAAGTGCTATGGTCTTCAGCTGCAGCTGGTGTGAGTGCTGAAACTGTGTGAAACAAAAGTGTTGAAACTCAGTCCCAAGTGACTTCTGGGGATCCGTTGCCTGTGTTTCCTATGGATGAGTAATTAGAAACGAGTGGTTTTCAGGTTGAAAAGGAGACTCCAGAGTCCTGATGGAATACAGACAGCAGGCACGTCTAGGGCCACAGACAGGTATGTGTGCTGCTCTGTGCTGGCAGCTGTGTGCAGATACAAAAGAAGTATCCCATACCCTCCTTGCCCTCAAGGAACTTAGTGACAGGAAGGAGAGCAAAATTTACAGTTGGCCTACCCTCTTGGGCCTGTTTCCTCATTACAGAAATGAATGAGGTTACACTTGATCAGTATTCCTTATTTTATTTTATTTTTTTTTTAGATTCAGGAGGTACACCTGCAAGTCTGTTACATGGAGATATTGCATAATGCCGAGGTTTGGGGTTCTAATTAACCCATCACCCAAATAACGAACATAGTATGCAATAGGTAGTTTTTCAGCCCTTGTTTGGCGAGTGTTTCTAATGGGGTCAGGCTGTCCCCTAGAGTAATGCCTCTCACACTTTCAAAGAAGTTAAGCCAAAAGCCCGGTATTTAGGAAATGGTTGTTTTAGGAAGAGAAGCCTAAATGGAATAAAGACAAAACCTCGAAATGACGAGATGATCTCCCTGCTTCATGCATTCTGTCTAGATCAGAGCATTTCCAAATATACACTGAACTGAAAAGGGCACAGTACAATATGCAGTGACCGCAAAGCAAGGAACCCATGCGCAGGTCTGTAACAGGAAATCTGAGACTTCATCCAGCCGATGTAGAATTAGATACTAGTTTAAATTAGCAGAGGCGCCTCAAACTTGTTTATAAAAGCTGTTTTAAAAATAATATTCTTATCACATATATTTATATTTGTAGTACAATGATAAGAAATCTCTTGCAAAAATTAGCTATCATGGTTACTTCTTTGGGGTTGCCTTTTGTTCTTCCTTCTTACTCTGATATTCTCCTTCAAGATTTACCCAACAACTTTTCCCAATCCATCCTCTTCTTCTCACCGCCCATACTATAAGGATGTCATTTTAAAAGCTTTTTTTTTTTTTTTTTTTTGAGACAGAGTCTCACTCTGTTGCCAGGCTGGAGTGCAGTGGTGCGATCTCAGGTCACTGCAACCTCTGCCTCCCGGGTTCAAGGAATTCTCCCACCTTAGCCTCCCGAGTAGCTGGGACTACAGGGTGTGCCACCACGCCCGGCTAATTTTTGTATTTTTAGTAGAGACGGGGTTTCACCATGTTGGCCAGGATGGTCTCAATCTCTTGACCTTGTGATCCACCCGCATTGGCCTCCCAAAGTGCTGGGATTGCAAGTGTGAGCCACCACGCCCAGCCACTTTTTTTTTTCTTTCTTTCTTTTCTTTCTTTTTTTTTTCTTTACTGCTAAAGACCGAATATATGCCTCAACACAGTGGGTGGGATTTCCAGACTGGAAACATGTTTTCTGTGACACTTTGTCACTATCCTGCCCCATATCACAGCGTAATAAATTATCATGACGCTACACTTATACGTAAGACTGAGCTCACGAGACAGGATCCTGTGCTTCCTTGTTTCCTCTGCTTGCACATTTGTAATTTGATTTGGCTTGTTATCTGTACCTCAGTGAAGGTTATTTCCTTCTTCCTGTTATCATATACGGCCAGGAAAGGGGGGTAACTCATTGTAACACTTCTTTATTCTATTGTCCTCCTATATCCCTCTGATCTTTTATTTCCTTGTACTTCTTATATGAAGTGGCTTCTATTTGTCTTCTGTTAAATCTAAACTTAACCATTATAGGTAGGTGGAAGTGTTGACTACTTCATTATGTGTTCCAGTGCAGGCATGCATGAGCACGTACATATTGACAGACATATTATTTTATTAAGAATCACATTTCTGTGCTCACTTTGGCAGCACGTATACTAAAATTGGAATGATACAAAGAAGATTAGCATGGCTCCTGCACAAGATGACATGCCAAGTGTGTGCTCGCTCTCTCTCTCTCTGTGTATATACGTATATATATAAAATATACATATAGTATGTATTTATATATATTAATCACATTTCCTTTTTATCCTTTTATTAAAATTAGGGCTACTTTATGCGTTTGGGTCGACCGACTTTTCTAGGAATTGTATTTCAGGTGGTAAAGATGGTGTTTCTAAATATTTGTTACAAAAATAGGGCATTGATTGGATAGGGTGGAGCACCACTGGGTTAAATGATCTCCAAGGTCTCTGACATTCTTTGTGCAACATTTACAAAACAATGGATGACAGCCTGATTCATGACTCAGTCAGAAAAAAAAAAATCCTGGAGGAGAAAGTGATCAGTGAAAGCTGGGATTCTTTACAATGTCTTCTTCAATGAAGTACTGTCCGGGAGATGTGGTGCTCCTTGCCCCTGCCCCACCATCCTGGCTGCGCTTGAGAAACTGGGGAATTGAAGAAAAGAAAATACTTATTTAATTTCCCATCCAGGATCATGTGAAAACAAATTTCTGGAGTGAGGCCCACGCATCTGGAGTGTTTAAAAATCTCCCCAGAGGATCTGATGTACTCTGAGGGTTGAGAATCAGTGCCTGCAGAGGGGCGAATGGTAAAAAGATAGGCCCATGTCCTAACTGCCAGAACTGGTGAATATGACCTTATTTGGAAAAAAGAGTCTTTGCAGATGTAATGAAGTGAGGGATCTTTAGATGAGATCATCCTGGGTTATCTGGGTGGGCCCTGAATTCAGTGGCAAGTGTCTTCATAAAGAGACACACAGAGGAGGGACATAGAGAGAAGAAGGCCAAATGAGGACAGAGGCAGAGCTGGAGTGATATAGCCTCAAGCCAAGGAACACCTGGAGGTACCAGAGCCGGAAGAAGCAAGGAGCAGATTCTCTGCAGGAGCCTTTAGAGGGGACACAGCGCCGCAGTCACCTTGATTTAGGACTTCTGGCCTCCAGAACTGTGAGAGAAGAAATCTGTTGTTTTAAGACACCTGGTTTTTGATAATTCATTGGCAACCCTTATAGATTAAAACCCTGCCTAACGGGTGGAGGAGATTTGGTGAGATGGAAGAGATGTGGGAGAGCCTTTCTCATATGGAAGCAAAGTGAGTGAAAGCAGGGAGGCCTGGCTGGAGGGAAAATGGGAGGCAGGACCACTATTATAGGACAGCGACTGTCCAGGGGGAGCGGGCACTGATTCTGTGGAGAACCAACCAGAGAATATTTCCTTTTTCTAGGAAAGATGAATTCCTCTCCATTCTTCTTCTCCATTCTCTCCTGTCCTATTTTGGAAAATAGTGCTTGCTGCGCCTCCTTAGACCAAAAGAGCCCAAGCAGCCCAGGAAGCGAGTTCACACTCCATTCCATAGCAGTGGGAACCAGTGAAGGGTGAGGTCGGATGTCTGAACACTTAGTGTTCTGTTGTCCATCAATGTAAGGGTCACTCCCTCCAGGGTGCACTCCACCCCTCCCCAACACCAGCAGTTCCACTTTACGATGGTGGCTTTATGAATCCCAGCAAAGCTATTTGTTTTGCAGCCCCAGACGGTCTGGGTGATATTGCTGACATCATTGGATGGCCCTGCCAATGTCTTAGAAGTCAGTCCTACCTGCAGATATCTAAACTAAGTCACATCACTTCTGACAAGCTTCTCCTAAGGGACCATTTTCTCCTATGCTTAGACCACCAAGCTGGAATGAGAGCAGCCAGCCTCAGAGCACACACAATGCCAGCTGTGCTTAGTTAATAACCAGCCAGCTATCTTGGGGAGGCGTCTCGCGGGGCACTGCATGATGAAGCGCAGATCCATGCCCTACTTTCTGCAAACTTAAGCAAGTGAAACTTTCATTAACAATGCCCATGAAAGCAGAGTCCTCGCTGACTTCTCTGGCTGGCTCAGCAGGAGCCTAGAGGGTGTGAGAGGGCTTGTGCAAGAACACACCAATCTCATTTCTGGATCTTGTGCGTGCATTTCCCAGGTGTTGTTTTGAACAGTGAACTCAGAAAGGGCCAATACTCTGGGAGCAGAGAGCTCACCCTGAGTATAATACGGCCTTAAGGGTAGAGAAAAGCAATTAAACGCCGCCTGACAAGAAGAATCTAGGGACTGTGATGCACTGAGCACTAGGGCCGGGTGCTGGGGGCCTGGATTGGAAGGAGACAGGAGGAAACAGATGGGAACAACTGATGCATGATTATTCTTAGTCTTTGATTGCCAGCTCTATTGGGGATTTGACGTTACCCATTGTCCTAGAAACGAAGGAAGGGCATAGGAGTGCCTTCATTTCATTTTCTGGAAATAAACATCTTTAAAGGAAGGAGATCTCTTCCTTCTATGGACACCGTCATATGACTGACACTGTAATGTCAGTGGCTACTGATTTAATGTTGAGAGAGAGACTGCAGAATGGTAAGCACAGGCCAAAATGCAGCTGTTGGCTCCAAGGAGCAGCTTTGGGATCCCCTGGATAAGAGGCCCTGGTGGAGGTCATTCCAGGCATCCTCCTGCCTACAAGAACCCCAGCATCCTTGCCTACTATGGGCTTGAGAGAGAAAGGCCTGGCCTCTTAACGTGAGATGTGGGGCTGAGGTTAGGGAGCAGGATGGAGGACCATGGCTGGAGTTGCTAAGTCTCACTGGGGCACTGAGCTGCCCCTAGGGACACCTAGGGGCATCCCTAGGCATCTCTCTGTGCCACTGAGTCAGAGACGTGTGAAAACGTTTCCAGTTGAGCAGTAGGGTATTTTGAATGCAAACACACACAGTTTCCAAACCCCCCACCACTGACCTCCTCTTATTTATTAGAAAATCCAAAAGAGTTTTCCAGGGTTGGCTGGAAGGGTGGATAAATCTGACACTAACTGGCCACCTGAACCATGGAGAGAAACAGTGTCCTCCAGAGAGCAAGCACCATTAGAGAAGCCCTATCATGGTGAGAAGGCCTAAGGCTGGTTGCGGTCCACACATAGCTCCAACCCAGAGAAAGGGAGCAGCCATGTGTCTGTGCTGCAGACATGGCATGCTACTCCATGCTCAGCACTCTAGTCAAGGCTGCAAGTATTACTGGGAACAAGACAGATAGTCCCCGGGCTCAAGGAGCTCGCAGTCCAGCAGGAGTAATAGATGTTCACTAGTTACACCAGGAATTGTTTAGTTACAATGGTCATAAATGCTAAGGAGGAGTACAAAGTTCCTGAGAACATACAGTTTTGGATGTAGTCTGAAGGATCTTAAAGATCATCTTGTCCAGCCCAATCAATCCACAGATAAGGAAACTGAGGCTCAGAGAGGGTAAGGAAATAGATGAAGAGTACCTATTTAGTCAGTGACTGAGATGGGATGAGAAAGCATTTCTGATTCCCAATTCTGTTTTTGTTTAGGCTAGGGAAATTGATTTACATTTGTAGTCAGAGCCAGTTGTATCAACATTTTCATGAAAGTGTCTGGGTCTAGGAATTTCATGAAAAAGCCAGTGGATGAGAGAGTGGAGGGGGACTATTCACAGCATGGTTAGGGGCTGTTTGCACAAATCCTACTTCTGGTAGCTATTCTAATAAGGCAAGGATGAGTCCCTGTTGGTACTGTGTGTCCTGTGCTGACATCAGAAATGATAAATGTGCCTGATGCAGGAGCCACGGAGTTCATCACCCCTCAGCTGTAAGTGCTACCTCCATACGGCCTCCCAGATGCCAGCCTCGCTCCACACTTCGTTCTCGAGTGGCTGTGCCATTCCAGGTCCCCACGGCCTCTCATGGGTCTAGTCTCCTTACTTCTTTCTGTTTGACTTTAGCACCCACACTGTCTTCAGACTGTATGACCTTAGGTGGGTTACCTAAACTTTCTGAACCTCATGTGTAAATGAATGTGGACAATGAGGGTTATAGGTAGGGTCAATTAAGACAATTAAGGCTCCCAGCATAGTGCCTGGTATATATTCCATATGAACTCCCTAAAATATGTCAGGTCCTGGAACCCTTGATGACTCCTTATAACCTGCAAAATAAGGAATAACCCTGTTAGAATCCAACACATCCAAGAAGATTTTGTTGACTCCTGTTATGTGCTAGTCATTGTGCTGGGTAGTATGGTTACAGAATGAATAAGCCATGATCCCTGACTTCAGGGAGCTAAAAATGTATGGGGGTAGACATGTACACAAGTCTAATCCAGTGTGATGGGTGATGCATCAGCAACAATCACAAAAGGCCATTGAAACACTGACAGTGAGCAACTGAGTCAATTTGGCATGACATTCAAGGCTTTCTAGCCCTCCTGTCCTATCTCTTACTCTGTCCTTGTGCCAGTGCACCCTGTTCCCTACTCACATTTTTCCAAACACGTGCTGGACGTCTTCCATCTCCCTTCCCCTCCCCACAGCCCTGGGGGTTAACATAAACACAGAGAATATAGGAAATACTAAAGAACATCATAAAAATCACCCATAAACCCAATAAACAAGATAACCACCATTGATATTGTGGTACATTTCCTTCTAGTCTTTTTTCAGTGTACATGTCTTTTCTTATTGCCCTTTTCTCATTCTGCCTTACATTTTAGTTTTTCACATGCATTTATCTCCACTAGACTATAAGCTATTTGAGGAGAAGAATAACGTTTCACTCACTTTTTTTTTTTTTTTTTGAGACATGATTGAGACTCTGTTGCCCAGACTGGAGTACAGTGGTGTGATCATGGCTCACTTACTGCAACCTCAAACTCCTAGGTTCAAGAGAGCCTCCCAAGTAGCTAGGACTACAGGCATGTACCACTGCACTTGGCTAGTTTTTTCTTTTGCTCTCTCTCTCTTTTTCTTTCTTTCCTTCTTTCTTTCTTTTCTTTCTTTCTTTTTTTTTTTTGTAGAGACGGGGTCTTGCTATGTTGCCCAGGCTGGTCTCAAATTCCTGGGCTCAAGCGACCCTCTTGCCTCAGCCTCCCAAAGTGCTGGGATTACAGGTGTGAGTCATCATGGCTGGCCTCACTTGCTTTTTACCCCGTTCCTAACACAGCATCTTTTACTAGGAGTCACTCTGTAAATGTTAGCTGAATAGAGCCGCTAGGTGAATTTGTTTGGCTTTGGAATTCTGCATGTAATCATTGTTGAGAAAGCAGCTTTGCTGTGCTGGTGCGTGCTGCTTATTTAAAACTCAGGCATTCTCATGAGCACTAGAAAGTGCTGGCCAGTCAACCACTCTGCTGAGTGGGTGAGGGAAGAGACTAAAAATCCATAATAATTCAACAAGTGGCTGAGCCACAGGCGGGTAATAAAGTGAGTTCTGCATCCTGCATGGGGTTGTGTTGGAAAGCAGCTCTGCCCACCATGATTCGACTTTGTCTTGCTTTAGAATGACACAGTTGATACTGGCAAATCTTTCTTTATCCCTTCTGATCAAAAATAATGTTGGCGTTTCACCTGGGTGGGAGTGGGTGAGATTTTCTTCTCTAAGAAGTCAGTTTTGGCTCTAAAATACTCTGGTTAGATTAAAATGTAAGAGGCTCTTGAGCGAGGATTGGAAGTGGGAATAACACAGGCTCTCTTCCAAAAAGCTCGGGGTAGGGAGGCTGGGACCAGGTCAGGAGGAGAATTCACTCAGCACGCCACAGGTCAATGCAAAGCAGAGCACACGAGAGAGAATGTTGTGAGGGATTAACACAGTAGAAAACGTTAGAGCATCAGGATCCCGTCGAGACCTGTGGCAGGCACAAGAGCCTGGCGGTGTATTAAGTACCCTCCATTTTTATTTGTTTCTTTTTTTCTTTTGCTTTCTTTCTTTCTTTCTTTCTTTCTTTCTTTCTTTCTTTCTTTCTTTCTTCCTCTCTCTCACTCCGTCCCTCCCCCCCTCCCCCTTCCTTCGTTTCTCTCTCTCTTTCTTTCCTTTTTCTTTCTTTCTTTCTTTTCTTTCTGTCTCTCTTTCTTTCCTTCTTTCTTTCTTTTTCTTTCTTTCTTTCTCTCTCTCTTTCTTTCTTTCCTTCCCTCTTTCTTTCTTTCTTTCTTTCTTTCTTTTTCTTTCTTCTTCTCTCTCCCTCCCTCCCTCCCCCTCCCTCCCGCCCTCCCTTCCTTTCTCTCTCTCTCTTTCTTTCTTTCTTTTCTTTTTCTTTCTTTCTTTCTTGAGATAGAGTTTCGCTATTCTTGCCTAGACTGCATTGCAATGGCACGATCTCAGCTCACTGCAACTTCTGCCTCCTGGGTTCAAGCGATTCTCCTGCCTCAGCTTCTTCAGTAACTGGGATTACAGGCGCCCGCCACCACGCCCAGCTAATTTTTTGTGTTTTTAGTAGAGATGGGGTTTCACCATGTTGGCCAGGCTGGTCTTGAACTCCTGACCTCAGTTGACCCACCTGCCTCAGCCTCCCAAAGTGCTGGGATTATAGGCGTGAGCCACTGTACCTGGCCACCTTCCATTTTTATAAAAAATGTAGGAAATTCATTGGTGTGGATGGCAGCAGGACAATGAAAGCAGATATAAGAGAGATAAGTCCATTCACAATCTGAGATTTTTATTTGGATATGGCAGGATTTTTGTTATTTAGATGTCTTTTTTCTTGAAAGAATATGGTATAGCAGAGGCTGTTTCTAGTATTAAATATCTCAGAGGGAATTTCATTACCAGATCAAGGAAAGAGTCTGCACGGTTTTGGCTTCTGATGAAAAGCATCTAAAACCAAGTTAAATCAAAGAGAACCCTTAAACAAATCATTGATTTGGGTGATGCAAAGAAACCTCAGTCAGAGAGCCTCTTTTGGAGCATGAAAGGAGGGGAACTATGCAGGGCTCAGCCTTTGAGACTACATTCCGGGATAGGATTTCCTATCTCTGCACACCATTAGAAAGAAATGAAATGGACAGGATCTGGTGATTTACCTACTATGGAGGAGGACAAGAGGAGCCCGAGGCCCAAGGAGGCCAAGTGACTTTCCTGAGGTTAGGACATCAGCGGTGACATGGGGGAATATGCTTTTTTTAAAAAAAATCCCAAGTCTGGTTTTCTTTCTGCACCTCTACATTGCCTGTGGGAGGTAAGGGATTCAGTAGAAAGAGCATGGGTTTGAGATGTGCTTGGTTGGAATCCAGCCTCCATTTCCTCATCTGCACATAACCGAGGCTGTGTTAATCATAACATCTGCTGTGTTAACTCCCCCAAAACATTCTCTCTTGGGTGCTCTACTTTGCTTTAACCTGTGGCCTCCTGAGCAAATTCCCCTCCTGACCTGGTCCCAGTCTCCCCACCCTGAAGTTTTTGGAAAGGAGCCTGTGTTATTCCTACTTTCAACCCTAACTCAAGGAGTCCAGGAGTTGTTCCTGTCTGCTCAAGTAGGACCTCCAGCTTCTTGTAAACTCTCCTCCAGCCTCACACACTCACTGGCTCACTCATCCATTCAGGTGCTTTTCTGGATGCCAGGGATACAGCTGTGAACCAAAGAGACACCTGCCTTCATGGAGCTTACACTCCAGACCAGCGCTGCACATCAGAAATGCAACATGAGCCACTTGTATAATTTTCCATTTTGGCCACATTGTTTTAAAAAAGTAAAAGAAACAGATGAAATTCATTGTAATAACATTTTGTTTAACCTAATACATGCAACATATAATCATTTCAGCATGCAGTCACTCTAAAAATTATTAACGAGATCTTTTACATTCCTTTCTTTTGAACTCAGTCTTTGAAATCTCTTTTGCTCTTACATCTCACTTTAGACTGTCCACAGTTCAAGTGCTCACCTTCATATGTGGCTTGTGGCTACTGTATTGGACAGTACAGGTCTATGGCTTGGGATCAAGACTCTGCCATCCCCCCAAGGCATGGAAACTGGGAGAAGAGCATCCCTGCAAGCCCGGCTGCTTGAGAGAGAATGCTGCCTGCTCCACAAAGGTGTCTTCACCCAGGGCCCTCGGTTCCACCCACTGGAGCATGCTGAGCTCATGCAAAAAGAGGAAGGATGCCCACGCCCCTGGGTCCTGACCTAGTCTGTGGGTTCAGGCGAGGGAACAACACTGTACTATCTTCCCTATGATGATAATAGTAATAATATAATTAGCACTTAAAGCACTAAGTATGGGTCATACCCTGTGCTAAGCACTTTCTGTGTGCTGTGTATCTTATCATCTTCACAAAAACTTTATGAGAGGTGCTGTTATCATCCATGTTTAACACAGGAGAAATTGGCTCAGAGAAGATAAATAACTTCCTGAGGATCACAGGTAGGAAGTGGCAGAGCTGGGACTTGAACCCAGGGCTGTCTAAAACCAAAGCCTAGTGTTCTTAAGACAGAGTGAGATCCATCTAGGGTCACATGGGAACTGAGCACAGGATCCTGAGCCTCATCTAAGGCTCTCTTCATCCATTCAAAGGCCACACCACCGAGTTGGAATGCTTTGGAGATGAAGGTGTCATTGAAGATGACTAAGTGTCACATGGAGGAGTATATGGGAGACATCTGGCATCCCCAGGCCCAGCCCTCCACAGCTGTCAACCAGGATCCATAACTGCTGGCATGTTCTTATTACAAATAAGATAGCGTAATCTTTGAAAGCCGTATAATAATGTAGGTGTATTACAAATAAGATAGTGACTCATAAATGAGAGGCATAAATGACAAAATCCTTTGTGTACTCTGAAGCACCATATAAAAGTGTGCTCTCATCATTTTATGGTTATTGCTGTTGTTATCGTTCAGTCGGTGGTGTGTCCAGGGAGCTTACCCTAGCCCGGATCGCAGTGGTAGGCCTGCAATATCAAGTGGCAGCTGAGAACATAACCTGACTTGAATGTTTTGTGGCCACTGGGTCCCAGCACTTGGAAGTATTTGAGTTGTGCGTATGGATATATGCAAGCATTTGCCGGCTTGCCCAGTGCTGAAATCAGTCTTCATGTTCAGCTTTGGTGGCCAGCAGCACTCCTGGCTCTTCAGAGCATTGTTAGAGAGACACTTAGAAACCAGCAGACATGATGGAGGGGGTACAGCCTCACTCTGAAGTCCCAGGATAGGCTAGAGGCCAGGAAGCCAGCCTCTAGCATCTGGAAGAGAAGGCCCATCGACTGCTGCGGGTTTCCTGGGCATTTCTCGTGACCTTGCTAAATGGGATTATCCTGAAGAGCATCCAAACCCTATTCACTCTCTAAGCCCAGTTTAAATCCCACTCGCTCCACAGAAGCCTTTCCTGACATGTCAGCTCCTGTCCTCTCCCCATCTAAAGTCCTGTGGTATCGAATGCCTGTGCCATCCACTTAGACACTGAAGTGTCCTGGCTTGTACAAAGCGTCTTCCAAAAGTTCATGGAAAATGCATATTATTAAAAAAAATACAAGAATTTCAAAATTGTTTTAGCACCAAAATAAACTCATACTAACTTGGTATAACATCTGAACAGGATCTAGTTTGAGTCACTAAGAAGGAAAAGACATCAGTTTGAAAAGAGCCCCTATCAAAGCAACACAAATTCTGCTAAAATTGAAGCAAAAACAAACAACAAATTTGTAGAGAAGCTTGGGCAGGAGAATTGTGAAATTATTGATGCTTTACAAGAAGTTCATGGGGACAATGCCCCCCAAAAATCAGCATTTACAAATGGACAGCTCATTTTAAGAAGGGATGAGATGGTATTGAAGATGAAGCCCATAGCAGCAGACCATCCACATCAATTTGCAAGGAAAAGATACATCTTGTTTGTGCCCTAACTAAAAAGGACCAGTGTTTAACAGAACTAACGATGGCCAACACCATAGACATCTCAACTGGTTTAGCTTACATAATATTGACTGAAACATTAAAACTGAGCAAACTTTCCACTCAGTGTTTGACAAAACCCTTGTGCCCAGATCAGCTGCAGACAAGAGCAGAGCTTTCAATGGAACTTTCAAACAAGTGGGATCAAGACCCTGAAGGACTTCTTTGAAGAACTGTAACAGGGGATGAAACAGGGCTTTTTCAGTATGATCCTGAAAACAAAGCACAATCAAACCAAGAGGTGGAAGTGGCCCAGTTAAAGCAAATGTGGACCAGTCAAGAGCAGAGGTCATGGCAATGGTCTTTTGGAATGCTCAAGGCATTTTGCTTGTTGACTTTCTGAAGAGCCAAAGAACAATAACATCTGCTTATTATGAGAGCATTTATTATGAGAAAGCCAAAGCATTAGAAGAAAAACACCTAAAAAGAAAAAAAAAAAAAGCCTGGGAGAGTGTCACCAGAGAGTCCTCCACCAGGATGATGCTCCCGCTCCTTCTTCTCTTCAGACAAGGGCAATTTCAAGAGAGGTTTGGTGGGAAATCATCAGGCATCCACTGTACAGTTCTGATTTTGCTCCTTCTGACTTCTTTTTGTTTTCTAATCTTAAATCTTTAAAGGGCACTCATTTTTCTTCAGTTAATAATGCAAAAAAGACTGCATTGACATGATTAAGTTCCCAGGACCCTCATTTCTTTAGGGATGGACTATATGGCTGTTGTCATTGCTTAAAAAAGTGTATCAAACATGATGGAACTTATGTTGGGAAATCAAGTTTATATTTGTAATTTTCATCTTTTAATTCCATTTTTATGAACTTTTTGAAGTCCCCTTTTATTGTTAGCTACATATTGTTGTCTGGTTTAACCTTTACTTTCACATTCCTGGCCTTCAGTGACCTCTCCCAGTGACAATCATATGTGGACTTGGGACATCTCTGATGACCTATCTGGTTGGTAAACTGTACCTTGTTTCAGGCTGGGTTTAAGGGAGCTGTTTCATTATTATAAGTACGTGTGATGTTCTTAACTAACTTTTCATGTGGCTTTGCAAGCTCTCTAGGCATCCAAAACATACACCCTTTGAGACTCAGGTTGGTCTCTTGTAATCTCAGCCTCCATCTTAGAATAGCTGTCTTACTTACCTTGGTTGTACTCAGTGACAGCATATTGCTGGGATATTGAGTGAAGGGCTAGTGCCACCGTCCAAATTAGCTCCCTCTCATACTAGCCACTCACAGAATACTCTTTACTTTCCTTGTACTGCAGTTACCATGATTTATATCATATATTCACTCATTTGTTAAAGCCTTTCCCCCAACCCACTGGGAGACCTATTTGCTTCTTCGCCATATCCCATGCACCCAGTGCCTGGAACCTGGTAGGGGGTCTGTAAAGACTAGATCAATAAATGCATGAATTAATTAGCATGGTCACTCTAGGAGATGGCAAGGTTTGGGACAAGAGAGTTCAGATCTGGGGCTCAGTGGCTTTCTGAATCCCTCAGCTGTAAAGAGAAGTAAGGTCTGCTACAGATGGGCAGTGGAATAATGGAAAATACATTGGCCTAGAAGTCAGGGACCTGAGGGTCAGGCATTCTACTGCATTTTCTATGTAACCTCGAGAAAGCCTTATAAGGGTTGAAGGAGATGTTTTTGTGAAATTGCTTTGTAAACCATAAAGTGATATGGTAAGATGTTGTTCATCACCCTAAGATCTGGCCCCTGTCTATTTGTCCAAATGTATTTCTTATTAATTTAATGTAGGTAGGCCAATCTTCTCATTAAAAAATATTTTTCTCTCCTTATTGCAAAATAATGCATTGTAGTAATAAAAATATCAGAAAATTCAGAAGAAAATAAAAATCATCTCTTAAGGTTACCATCTAGAAATAACACTGTTCATATCTTATTTATAGTCTAAACAATTTTTTTCTAAGTGAGTTTCTCAGGTGTCAGCAGTGGGGGCAAGACAGGGCAGCTTTCCTCTCCTGTTTTCCCACTGCACTGGCTTTGCTGAGGGCTGCTGCCTGGGAAAACACCAGAGAGTGAAGTCTCCCCATTTGTTTGCTTCCAGCATCCTGGTAGCAATGCCAGTGGAGCAGGGGACAGGGGTGCCAACAGGTGGCTTAGAGAGGGGGTTATCTTGCTCCAGCACTTTTCATTATCTAAAAGTGCTTATTTGGTCTGTGTATTTTTATTTGTCTCTGCCCACTGGAATATAAGCTCCACAAGGACAATACCTTGCTGGATTTGCCTGTTGCTGCCTTTGGCACCTAAAAAAAGTGCCTGCACAGAGTGAATATTCATTGAACAAATGAATGAACATGAGCGCTGTGTTACCTCATATAGAACAGGAAACAGCTGATGAATATTTGCCTCCCATGAATTGTGCATATGAGAGGCACAGAGGCCAGCCTCCTTGGTGATATACATCTGGACTTCAGGTCTAGCTGTGGTTTGAGCTTTGGCATTATACAATAGATAATCCCAATCCCCTTTTTGTAATCACTACTGCTCCCTTCAGTCATTTCAAGCATGCTCTCAGACCATGCTACGCAGCATGTGGCCAAAGCATTCTGTAAAATTGCTCTCCAGGTTCAGTCGTAACACTCCCAAACTGTCCTGTGCAAGGAAGCCCATCCTCTCCCTGTCCCTAAGCCTGTCCCTCCTCCATCGTTTTTCAGCTTTCCCTCCTTATGTAGCCCCTAGGCTTTCTTGTACATCCTACTGCATTTCCTTCTCAGGGAAGGCAGTGATTCTTGCCACAATGCTTACATCGCTATCTTCAAAGGTGAGCTCCTGTGGTGTAGACAGCGTCTGTGGATTGGGTGGAAAGAATTTCAAGAGCACTTGCTGAGAGCTGGAGCTCTGCTGGGGGCAGGGGGGCAGTGTCCAATTAACCCTGAGGCTACCCCCTTCTCATGCACAAGGGCCTGCTCCCATCAGGCTGGACATAATCTCTGGATTCAGGGTCACTAAGCAGACTTATCATCGCTATTCCTTCATCTTCCCTCCTCTTCTCCAAAACCTGGAAGAGGATGAATTAGGCCTGTTTTCTTCCAGAACACTGCAATGCGGTAGGAGCAATGTTTCCTCCCAAGTTTTTCCAAAATTGCTATAAAGCCACTTCTGTTGTAACCCTCAGTGGAAAATAAGGTGTGATTCATCTCTTGTGTGTTTCCTAGGTGGAATTCAAGTCACCAGTGGCCAAAGTACCCTCCAGGTGTGAAGAGTTGCAGGTCCTCCGAGGAGCCGGGAGCTGCAAGGTGAGTGAGCGAACAAAAGGCGACAGGTTGCAGAGTACTAGATCTGCCCCCACCCCAGACCCCAACTTCAGGCCCTGCCTTGTTAGCACTATTGTAGCTGTTTTTTAATATTCATGAGGATCAGCAGTGGGCCCTTAGATTTGAGAAACAATTCGTCAGCCTTCTTGAGGACAGTTTTAAAAATACTAGATGATGGAGGGTCTATTCCACCTTGTTGGAGTATCACTTAAGTTCATTTAAGGGAGGCCTCTGGGAGAGGGGGTTTTGTCACTTTGCCCAGCTCTTTTACATGTGGGCACGAGGGTCTGGAAGCCTCCAGAGAGGGTCTGCTAGCCCCTCTCTGCAAAGAGCTGCTCCTCAGCCACTGGTCACTCACAGAGCCAGTTCCACTGTGGAGCCTGTCCAATCCTGATTTCCCTGCTGTCCAGCCTCCCTTGGCAATGAGGAGGGTGTGTTTACTTTGGTGTACAGCATCACTGTTCACTTTCACATCTGCTGTCTCATTTCAGCCACTTCCCATGGGATAGTAATATAGTAATAGTTTGGATATTTGTCACTGCCCAAATCTCATGTTGAATTGTAATCCCTAGTTTTGGAGGTGGGCCTGGTGGGAGGTGATTGGATTATGGGGGTGAATCCTCATGAATGGCTTAGCACTATCCCTCATGGCTTGGTGCTGTACTTACCATAGTGAGTGAGTTCTCATGATATCTGGTCATTTAAAAGTGTGTGGTACCTCACCCCCAACTGTGTCTCTCTCTGTTGCTCCTGCTTTGCCATCTGACATGCAAGCTCCTGCTTCACCTTCTGCCATGAGTAAGAGCTCCCTGGGGCTTCCCCAGTAACCAAGCAGATGTTCGCACCATGCTTGCATAGCTTGCAGAACCATAAGCCAATTAAACTTCTTTTCTTCTTAAATTACCCAGTCTCGAGTATTTCTTTATAGCAATGCAAGAATGACCTAATACAGATAGGCAGGGAGGAAACTGTTATCCCCACTTTAAAAAAAAAAATGGCCAACTTCCCAAGGTCACAGGGTGGCAAAGTTCACACTTGAACTTTATTTTTGATGCCTGAACCTTTCTATGATACTATGGTTCTGCTAGCCTCTTGACAGATGGGGTTGAGACAGGATGAGAATAGGGAAGGCAGAGGGAATGAAGACTAGGGGTTTGATGGGGAAATAATTGGGAACTGTTGGCTAAGATACCAAGTGGGGTTATCTCTGCAGGCTAGATTCATTGTTGTCTTTGTTTTCCTCTCATTTTCAACCAGCCACTAAAATCCATGATAATAATATGCTATCCAAACTCATAGTGATTCATACAAGAAAGACTATGGTTTGGAGAAAATGTCAAAATTTAGCCCTTTGGATGGCCTTTTATTCCACCTCAGTATAGCATCTTGTATGTTAAACTCTAACTAATACTGAATTTGTTACCAAGTGCCACTGTAATAAATACCTAAAAATGTGGATGTGGCTGTGGAATGGGTAATAGACAGAGGCTGAAAGAATTTTGAGGTACATGCTAGAAAAAGCCTACATTGCCATGACCTGACTTTTAAAGGTGGTTCTGGTGAGGGCTCAGAAGAAGAGAAGAGCTGTAGAGAAGGCCTCAATCTTAAAGAAGATGTAAGTCATCCTGAACAGTACACTGGTGGGAATATGGATGATAAAAGCCATTCTGATGAGGTCTCGGATGAAAATGAAGAACATGTTATTAGACACTAGAGGAAAGGCCAGTCTTGTTATAAAGTGGCAAAGAACTTGGCTAAGTTGTGCTCACATCAGTGTTTTGTAGAAGGTAGAACCTGCAAGTGATGAAATTGGATATTTGACTGAGGAAATATCTAAGCAAAGTTTAAAGGAGTGGCCTAGTTTCTCTCGACTGCTTAAAGTAAAATTTGAGAGGAGGACTATGACTTAAGATGAAATTGCGAGTCAAAGGCAGAGAACTTAAAGACTTGGAACATTCTCAGCCTATCCCTTTAGAGATGGAACATCTGTCGTGCCCCTGTCCCATCATTGTTTTTGGAAGCACCTAACTTGTTTGATTTCACAGGTTCACAGCTGGTGAGGAATTTGTCTTAGAATGAATAATACCGAGTCTCAACCATATCTAATTTACATGATATTTACATGAGATTTTGGACTTTCTGCCTTTGAGTTTATGCTAGAACGAGTTGAGACTTTTGAGGCTGTTGGAATGGAACGAGTGTATTTTGCATGTGAGAAGGACATGAGTTGGGGAAATCAGGCTTGGAATGCTACGGACTGAATAACTGTGTCACTTTAAAACTCATTATGTTGAAACTTAACCTCCCAAGTGGATGATAGTAGGAAATGGGGCCTTTGAGGACTCTAATGGGATTAGTGCCCTAATAAAAGAGGACCTAGTAAACGTCCCATCTTTCTTTCTTTCTTTCTTTCTTTTTTTTTTTTTTGCGGTGGAGCCTCGCTCTGTCGCCAGGCTGGAGTGCAGTGGCACAATCTTGGCTCACTGCAACCTCCGCCTCCTGGGTTCAAGCGATTCTCCTGCCTCAGCCTCCCGAGTAGCTGGGATTACAGGCACGCATCACTATGCCCAGCTAATTTTTGTATTTTTAGTAGAGACGGGGTTTCACCATGTTGGCCAGGATGGTCTCCATCTCTTGACCTTGTGATCCACCCACCTTGGTCTCCCAAAGTGCTGCAATTATAGGCTTGAGCCACTGCGCCCGGCCAACTTCCCATCTTTCTTACCATGTGAGAACACTGTGAGAAGTTGCAATCTGCAACTCAGAAGAGGGCCCTCACCAGAACCCAACCATGCTGGCACCTGATCTCAGACTTCCAGCCTCCAGAACTGGGAGAAATAAATGTCTATTGTTTATAGGCCATCCAGTCTATGGTATTTTGTTATATTAGCTGGAATAGAGTGAGATATTAAATACTGGTAAGACTTAGCACAGACAAACAGAAAGGGCATGCCAGATGACTGAGCTATATATTTGAAGATGCTGAGGCACAAAAAAGCTGAGAGAACAGGAAATACTTTGGAAGGAAGTGAACGTGGTAGGAGAAGAGGGAGATGACTCCAAAGAAGTAGTAGTGGTCCTGTGTGTTTAAGATTGACACTGAAAACAACAGGGAGGCATGATCAGGTCTGCATTTTAGACAGGTCTTCCTAGCAGTGTTCTTAGGGCTTTGTTTAACTGTTTTCTGGAAAGCAGTTTAGTAATACACATTAGGAGCCTTTAATATGTGCATACAAAATGCCTCTGGTTCAATCATATTATATCTGGGAATGATAATAATAACAATCAGCTACCATGTAGTCCATATTGTATCAGGTATTTTCGATATGCTGGGTGCATTATTTTTGTTTAATCCTTACAACAATTCTGCAAGTAAGAATCATTAGCCTCATTGTACAGATAAAGAAACCAAGGTTTTATTTACTTTCTAATTTTTTTTCTTGAGACGGAGTCTCGCTCTGTCGCCCAGGCCAGAGTGCAGTGGCACAGTCTTGGCTCACTGCAACTTCCACCTCCCGGGTTCAAGCGATTCTCCTGCCTCAGCCTCCTGAGTAACTGGAATTACAGGCATGTGCCACCATGCCCGGCTAATTTTTTATTTTTAGTAGAGACGGAGTTTCACCATGTTGGCCAGGCTGGTTGTGAACTCCTGACCTCAAGTGATCCATCCACCTCAGCCTCCCAAAGTGCTGGGATTACAGGCGTGAGCCACTGCGCCCAGCCAGAAACTGAGGTTGTAAAGAGTCAGGCAGACTTAAGATTGAATTCATGAATTAGCTGTTTTCCTACAATAAATTACTTAACTTTTCTGAAACAGCTTCCTGTGGTGCTACTATAAAGAATAATGCAAAGCAGATTTAAAGAAAACCTCCTCTTTATTGGATTATCCACTCATTTGGATTATCTCTACCATAGCTGACTTTCATTTCCTTAAACATTTGAGAGAAGCTTCTGCTTCAAAAATTAAGTAAAATGAGTCAGAATTGTATGGTGTAGAAAATTACTGGAGAGTAGTTTTATTTTTGGGGACCGCTCTGAGAGTTGTTTGTGCCTACAGTTTTTATTGCACACACAAGTGGCTCTTCTCACCTCCTCTACCTCTGCTGTTTGTACGTTGTCCCCTGCTAGATTGTCAGTGCATTGTGAAAGACAATACAAATCTGTATCTCCCACATCAGCTGCCAGGTTCAGTGCCTTCCACGTAGCTGGAGAAATTGCAACCATTTTTCCAGAAAGAGTTGGAACATCATAATCCAAGAGAAAGAGAGGCTTTGAGAATAGAGTGCTAAGAGTTAAGGGCCTAGGAGCAGACACAGAAAACATAGATATTTAGGTCTGGAGACTTGAAGGTTTGGAACTGGGAGAATATATCGCATAGAAAATATACAAAATGTTGTCATTAATGTTGGGTCAAAAGAATTATCTTAGATTGGGCTCCCAGAAGCCAACCTTGAGAGGAAGAGTCATATTCAGGTGATTTATTAAGAAAATGCTGGCCGGGCATGATGGCTCACGCCTGTAATCCCAGCACTTTGGGAGGCCGAGGCCGGCGGATCACGAGGTCAGGAGAACGAGACCATCCTGGCTAACACGGTGAAACCCCGTCTCTACTAAAAAATACAAAAAATTAGCCGGGCGTGGTGGCGGGCACCTGTAGTCCCAGCTACTCGGGAGGCTGAGGCAGGAGAATGGCGCGAACCCGGGAGGCGGAGCTTGTAGTGAGCCGAGATGGCGCCACTGCACTCCAGCCTGGGCGACTGAGTGAGACTCCGTCTCAAAAAAAGAAAAGAAAAGAAAAGAAAATGCTTCCAGGGGAACCTGATAAGGGATGGGGAAGCAGGATGGGAGGTAGGAGAAAGCCACACATAGTGAGATCTCAGCAAAGTTCCAGCCTCTGTCCCCAGAAAAGTGTTCTAAAGTGTAAATCACAACTAGAGTTTGTCCCCTCTGGAGGCAGGAGGACCGGGCTTTCATAATTCCACGCCTGTCAGTCGTTGGATAAGGGCTCTTTAGAGGGGTGGGGGAAACTTCCAGGCACTTCTGGCTCTGTCCATGTGGACAAAGTGGGTCAATCAATAGCTCAAGGGTCCACCTTCTAAGAGTTACAGGTTCAGAAAGATAGAAGCGAAAGCACACGGATGCTGAGGGAGGGTCCACAAAAAGTATTCAAGGGTATCTGAATGGAGCATCGATAATACCACCTTGATAACGGATCTGCAGCCCCGACTTTGTCCAGATACATCACACTGATCTGCTTCTAAACTTCATCATCATATGCAACTTCCTTACCTGTAAAGTGGGGATAGTGTTACTTTACTTGCTTATATTACAGCATAATTGCAAAAACAAAACAAAAGGAGATCTGGTATATATAGAATTGTATAGACAACGATAAGAAAGGATGTTATACCAAGCCAGGTGTTATTATTACATCTCTCTCTTCCGGGCCCAGGGAATACATGAGCAATTTGTCCTCTTCAGGCACTTGTCTTGCAGGCATCAGCACTGACAGCCTTTGAAAAAAGCTTGTTCATGGGAAGAAAGCAGACACTTTTTTAATGTTGATAAATTTTGTAGCAGTTTCTTTAATATATACCAGACGCCTTGAAATACATCTAATTAACCACCAGATACCATGCTGTGGCTATGTTTGGCTTTGATGTTCTCATTGGCTTTAGCAAGGAAATATTGGAAAGCTAATCATAATAGGGCTTAGTTCTTATAAAATGCCTTTTATCTTCAAAGTGGTTTACAACCACTAATTATTGAAGGAATTAGGGTGAACAGCAACCATCTCACAGAGACCTCAAATCATTATCAAGGCTTTTAATGTATCTTATAATAGAGCAAGAGAAGTGTGAAGGGGGCTGTTTAATGATAGTTGTCCAGACCTGGAAGAGTATTTTACAGAGGTAGGAGACAGCTGTTCCCTGTCTCCCTTGAGACTAGAACAAGAAAATTGGACCTAATTTGAGGAGAAGGGATGCTGGATAGAGCATGGCAGAAGCTACAGCAGGCTGCAGAGTGGAAAGACTGCGCATTTCAAAGGCAGTCAAATGCACCTCCATCCACCTGCCCCTTTATATGGCTGGTGGGGCATATTCACCTTCTTGGTGGCCTGGGGTAGGGAAAATCACACCAGGAAATCCTGTCCAGCTGGGGGAGTCAAGGGTAGATTTTTGGACCTCTTGGTTGTTTCTCTTCATGTAATTTTGTTTTGTTTTGTTTTTCGTTCTTTTATTAGTTCATTTTATTATAATATAATCTGAGGTGGAGGAAGCCAATTTGATTTCAATGTAGTAATAATAGCTGACAGACTGGGTGTGGTGGCTCATGCCTGTAATCCCAGCACTTTGGGAGGCTGAGGCAGGTGGACCACTTGAGGTCAGGAGTTCAAGACCAGCCTGGCCAACGTGGTGAAACCCCGACTCTACTAAAAGTGATAAAAAAATTAGCTGGGCGTGGTGGCACACACCTGTAATCACAGCTACTTGGGAAACTGAGGCAGGAGACTTGCTTGAATCCAGGGGCCAGAGGTTGCCGTGAGCTGAGATCATGCCACTGCACTTCAGCCCGGGCAACAGAGTGAGACTCCGTCTCTAAATAAATAAGTAATAGCTGACACATGTAAGTTGCTACCCTGGCCCTTCATTTTACAGATGAGGAAAATGAAGTTCAGAGAGCTTAAGAAACTTGCCAGAGTCATACAGCTAACTCAGGCACTCTGGCCTTGGAATTTATGTTCTTATCCACCACAGCAGGAGGCCTATCAGAGAAGGGGTGGTATTTGTCCAAAGCCCCCTACTTCACTATGTGTCAAAGAAATAAATAACACTCTCCTATGGAACAGGGACAAGTCTCATTTCTGGCTGGGTTTGGCTCCTGTGCCAAGTGCTTTCCTCCTGCACGGGGGTGGAGAGAGCAGCCCTGTGAGACGCAGCTCAGCATCTCTGTTCCTCGCCATCAGGGTCCCTGCATCTGCCTTGTCTCCTGCCCCCACTCAAGGGCCTGCCCAGGTCATGGGGTGTATAGAAGAGGCACAGGCATGAAGAACTGGTGATCCCCCTGTGAAACCCCACGTTTCCCCCCAAGTACTAAGACATTTAATAATGGGTCCTGCCCTATACGTTTAGGGTTGAGGGGATACTTTCTAAAGAGGTATCAGCTACTATCACCTGTGCAAACAGTGCTAGGGATGCTGATTCCCTTTTCCAGAAACATCAGCCACTCAATCTCTTTCTTGGTGAGAGCTGATAGATTGTTGGTAGGTTGAAATTGGTCACAGTGGGAATATTGACACCACAGAGATAGGCAGATGCTACAAATTAGGGATGCCCCCTACACCAACCCAGAAAATTGATTGTTAAATATTGTAGTGTCTTTTTTTCTGACACCAAATGTGTATCCTATAAGTCAATTCAATTCCGACATTATCCAGTTAGTGCGGACCCCACAGTTTAAGGGGTCTGTTCCACAAGACGGCACTCACATCAGATACTAATCCCAAGTCCTCCTCCTCTCTGCAGTTTGAAGAGACCCACCTATCTCTTTGCCTTTATCAGGCATCGCCAGCTCCGAGTTAATCACTGGGGCTTCCAGGTACTGCTGTTTATGGAGGATCCCTCCCACTGAAGCCTGGGTGGTTAAAGAGATGTCAATGGATCCTGGAGATGCTTTTTGGCCTTTCAGTTTCCTAACTCTGTGCTGCAGGAGACATTCAAGGGAAATCTGGATGACTTAGCGGCTGCTTTCAGGTTTGCCACTGGTGTGGTGTGGAAGGAGATACCAGCTGTTCTCTAGATTAAGGGGAAAATTAGCTTAGAACCCTTAGGAGGGATTTAGGTTTGATCTACGAACTTTCTGATTGTAGCAGTTACTAAGCTGCTAGAATTACCTTGGATATCTGGGAAATCTTCCTGGATATATTTAAGGACTGGATAATTCCCATCTGTTTATAACGGCTTTTATGGAATCATTCTGGAGGGAGGAGAGTGGCCTGGAAACTCTCACAGAGTCAGGCAGATAAAAAGTATTTTCTCTTTTCTCCTTGTGGTGGTCTTTTCCCTTTGCCTTTAGAATATACTCCACCATTTCCTCCTTTATGGATGTGCTTACTGTCTGTTGGTCTAATGGCAAATCTCTGAGACAAAAAGCTATGTCTAGCCCTGAGATTAAGGCATCCTTGGGCTTCATCCAAATGGGAGACAGCCGAGCTCATGCAGGGCTTCCACTTTATTTGGAAATGAAAGTAGAAGCACTTCTGCTGTTTTGTTTTCCACTGGTCTTGAGAAAGCCACAGACGCTCAGCAAAGACTGCAGGTCTAGCCAGGGGACACAGGGTTAAGAGAGAAGAGGCTGAAGTCGTGTTAGATCAGTGGTCTTCACAAGGGGCTCTGCCTGCTTCTTTATTTGTAGGGTTTATTTAGCTCCCTCCACAAACAGACTGAAAGTTTTCACAGGGAAATTGCTTAATTTTCAGCCATTTCCTGCTTGCCAGAGTTGAATGTAAAAGACAGAATCAGGCTCCTGGGATAAGTACAATGGACTGGACTAGATTTGCAAGGCCTGGGAGACAGAAGAAGGTTCTGACCCAGACCCATTCTTCTTTTCTATTTTTTAATAGATGTGTTCAGCTATTGACATATAATAGACTGCATTATATGTAAAGTGTACCATTTGATCAGTTTTAATATACATTTGTATATGTGTATATGTGTGTGTGTATGAATAAATAAGTCCAGGAAACTATCATGGAATCATATATCATATTCATGAACTTAAGGTAGCAGACATATCCACACCCCCCAAAATTTCCTGTTGCCCCTTGGTAATCCCTCCTTCTCACTCCTGCCTACTGTCACTTCTTTTCTTCTAACAAATGTTTTCATTTTTTAGAGTTTTATATAAATGAAATGTGCCTTTCTTGTCTGGCTTCTGTCACTCACATGATTATTTTGAGATTTGTTCATTTTGGTGCTTTGGATCAACAGTTCATTCCCTTTAATTAAGAATGGCATTCCATAATTTGTCTATCCATTTACCTGTCAACGAACATTTGGGTCATTGTTTTTTGCTATTACAAATAAAAGTGCTATGAACAGTCATGTACAAGTCTTTGTATGTACACATGCTTTTCTTCTCTTGAGTAAATATTTAGGACTAGGATGGCTGGATTAAACACTTGTTTGACTTTCTAAGAAACTGTCAAATGTTTTCCAAAGGAATGGTACTGCTTTACATTTTTACTAGCAATATATGAGAGTTCCAGGTGCTCCACATCTTTGCCAAGAGTTGGTACAGTCAATCTTCATAATGTTAGCCATTCCAATAGGTGTGTAGTGGTATTTCATTGTGGTTTTCAGTTGCATGTCTCTTATAAGTAATGAGGGTGAATATCTTTTTATGTAGTTGTTTGATATCCCTATATCTTGTTTGGTGAAGTGCCTGTTCAAATGTTTTGCCCATTTTAAAAAGTGGGTTGTTTGTTTTCTTATTAATGAGTTTTGAAAGTTCTTTATGTGTTCTAGATAAAAACCCTGTATTAGATATGTGTTTTGTAAATACTTTTTCTCAGTCTGTGGCTTGCTTTTCATTCACTTAAATTGTATCTTTCAAAGAGCAGATGTTTCAAATTTTGATGAAGACCAATTTGTCGTATTTTTTTCAAATGAATTGCACTTTTGTTGTTATACCCAAGAAACTTTTGCCAAAGCTAAGGTCACAAAGATGTTTCCTTCTTGAAGTTTTATGTTTACAGGTTTTACATTTAGGTCCATGATACATTGTAGTTATTTTTTGTATATGGTACAAAGTGCGAATTAAAATTCTTTTTGCAGCTGGGTGCGGTGGCTCATGCCTGTAATCCCAGCACTTTGGGAGGCCAAGGTGGGCGGATCATGAAGTCAGGAGATCAAGACCATCCTGGCTATGGTGAAACCCCATCTCTACTAAAAATATAAAAAATTAGCTGGGCGTGGTGGCGGGCGCCTGTAGTCCCAGGTACTCGGGAGGCTGAGGCAGGAGAATGGCGTAACCTGGGAGGTGGAGCTTGCAGTAAGCCAGAGATCGCGCCACTGCACTCCAGCCTGAGCAAGACTCTGTCTCAAAACAAAAAACAAAAAAGCTGTTTTTGCAAATGGATATTCAATTGTTTCAGTATCATTTGTTGGAAAAATCTATGCTTTATCCTCTGAATTGCCTTGCATCTTTGCCAAAAAATCATTTATATACATGGGTCTATTTTTGGCTTCTCTGTTCTATATTCTGTTCCATTTATCTGTTTGTGTGTCTTTATGCCAGTAGCACTGTCTTGCCTACTATAGCTTTATAATAAGTCTTGAAATCAGGTAGTGTTTGTCTTCCAATTTTGTTCTTCTTTTTCAAAGTTGTTTTGGCTATTCTAGGTTTTTCTCATTTTTGTGTGAATTCTAAATCAGGTTATCAGTTTCTACAAATAAGCCTGGTGGGATTTTGACTGGAATTGAGATGAATCTATTGGACTTAGGAAGAAATGACATCTTAATAATATTGAGTCTCTCGATCCCATGAACATGGCATATCTCTCCATTTGTTTTAGGTCTTCTTTGTATTCTCATTGATATTTTATAGCTTTCAGTGTATAAGTATTAGACATCCTTTGTCAGATATATTCATATCTCATATTTTTATACAATTGCAAATGATATTTTTATTTCAATTTTAATTTTTTTTTGTTAGTATAGATAAATACAATTGATTATCATATACTGAGTGTGTGTCCTGCAACCTTGTCAAATTCACTTATTTTATAAGTAGCTTTTTGTGAATTTCATCAGATTTTTTTTATATAAGCACTCCTGCTGTCTGGGAATAAAGACAATTTAACTTTTTCCTTTCCAATCTGAATGTATTTTATTTCTTTTTCTTGCTCCATTGAGCTAGCTAAAATCTCCAACACAATGTTGAATAGAAGTGGTAAGAACAGATATTCTTGTCTTTTTCTTGACCCCAGGAGCAAAACATTTGGTCTTTCACCCTTAAGTATGATGTTAGCTGTTGTTTTCGTAGATGCCCATTTTCGTGTTGGGCCAGTTCCTTCCTATTCCTAGTTCTCTTAGTTTTTATCAGGAGTAGCTTTTGTCAGATGCGTTTTCTGTATCTATTGAGATGATCAAAAGGTTTATCTTTTAAAATTTGTTAATATGGTAAATTACATTATTGATTTTCAAATGTTAAACCATTCTTGCATTTCTCAGATAAACCCTGGTTGGTCAGGATTATCATCTTTTTATATGGTGTTGAACTCAATCTGTTACAATTTCCTGAAGAATGATTACATCTGTGTTCATAAGGGATATTGGCCTATTTTTTTTCTGTAATATCTTCATTCAGTTTTGGTATCAGGGTAATGCTAGCCTCATATAATATGTTAGGAAGTATTTCCTAGTCTTCAATTTTCTGAAAGAGTCGGTATAGAATTGGTATTACTTATTCTTTAAATATTTGATAGAATTCATCAATTTAGCTATGCGGACCTGAAGTTTTCTTGTGGGAAGATTTTTTGTTTAACTATCAGGTCAATTTCTTTGGCAGATATAGAATTATTCATGTAATCTATCTCTCCTTGAGTGAGCTGTGGTATTTAGTGTTTTTCAAGGAATCAGTTCATCTAATCTAAATTGTCAAGTTTGTTGGCATAAAGTTATTCATAATATTCTCTTATTAGCCTTTTAATGTCTATAGTATCTGTAATGATATCACCTCACATTGCTACTATTGTAATTTGTGTCTTGTCTCTTTATTAATCTTCTCAAAGAACCAGCTTTTAGTTTTGTTGATTTTCTCCATTGCTTTTCTGCTTTCTATTTCATTTTTTCTTCTCCGATCCTTATTATTTTTTTCTCCTTACGTTGGGTTTAATTTGTATTTATTTTTCTTGTTTCTCAAGGTAAAATCTGAGGTCATTGATTTGAGCCCTTTCTTCTTTCCAAGTATATATGATTAGCGCTATAAATTTTTTCCTTAGTACTGCTTTAGCAGTATCCCACAACATTTGATATATTGTGCTTTTTTTTTTCCATTTAGTTCAATATATTTTTTCATTTCCCCTTTCCTTTTTTTCTTTGGCCCATGAGTTGTTTAGAAGTGTGTTACTGTCTTTCCAAATACTTGGACATTTTCCAGAGGTCTCTCTGTTATTGGTTTCTAATGTAATTCCATTGTGGTCAGAGTACATACTTTGTACAAACTGAATTCTTTTAAATTTATTAAGACTCATTTTATGACCCAGAATATGGATTATCTTGGTCAGTATTCCATGTGTATTTGAAAAGTATATTTAGCTGTCATTGGGTGGAGTGTTCTATAAATGTCAATTAAGTCAAGATGGTTGATAGTATTCAAATCATCTGTATCCTTACGGATTTCTGTCTACTTGTTTTATAAATTATTGAGAGAGAAAGTTATTGAAATCTTTGGATATCATTGTGACTTTGCTATTTTTCCTTGGAGTTCAATCAGTTTGTGCTTTGTGTATTTTGAAGCTCTGCTATTAGACACATAAGTGTTTAGCATTATTATAGCATATTGATGGATTGACCTTTTATCAATACGAAATGACTTTTTAATTCCCGCTAATATCCTTCCTTCTGTAATCCATTTTGCCTGATATTAATATGCAGTATTCTCTTAACTAATGTTAATGTGTTATATCTTTTTCCAGCCTTTTACTTTTAACAGTTTGTGTCTTTATGTGTAAAGCACATTTCTTGTAGGCAGGATATAGTTGGGTTTCCTCAACATAGGTAGTCTACCAAGCTGTGCCTGTGTTTCCCCTCCCCGTGCCATGACCTAAAAACTCTTTAGATAATAAGACAGGGCACACTTGGGGTTCATTTTGTTTCTTTCCTATGTCTCAGGAACAGAGCTTGAACTAGAGTAAGATAAGTGAAGCCCCTATGACAAAAAAAATTTAAGGCAGAAATCACTGTCAGATGCACAATTTTGCAAGTGAAAGCCTCCTTAGATTTTTGTACCCTAAGCAGCTGACTCTTAGGAAGATACTAATTCTCAGGGTTGTGTAAGTGCAGGGTTAGCTCCTGAGAGTAGATGTCTTTTTAAATCCTGTTCGGTAGGGGCTTCACTCAGCTCAATATAGTCCTGCCCCTGCTTAAGGATCACCATCCTTCATTCCTGGTGTCTAGTGTCTTGAAAACCATTTTTAAAGTTATATTCTCTCTGGAATTTTGGTTATTTCAATTGGGAGGGTAAATCCAGCCTCTGATACTACATCTTTTCTGGAAACAGAAGTCTAGACTTACTCATTATAAGATAAAAATTCCACATATAGAGCTACCTGCCTGAAATAAAAATGCTTGCAGGCCCTCCTCTGAAGACTTCAGCAAAAGATTGATCTTCCTTCATGCAATGATCAGTGAGTACTACTATGTACCATATTCTAGGCTAGAAACTGGCGGTAAAATCGAATAAGACATGGTGCCTGTCTACTGGTTGCTCATAGCTGACTTCTCTAGAACTACTAGTTGATTCTTTCATGTCATGCATCACCTGTTGTTACCAGGTGGGCAGAGGTAGAGGGAAAGTGGTCTAGGGAAGTTAGAAAGCCAGCAAACATCAGATCTGGAACTAAGAAATCCTCTCTACTATTTCTCAGGCCCAGAGTGACTTGAGGGCTCACTTAAGGTCACACAGCTATTTAATAGTAGTTGATTACTACAGAGTCTATATAGGACTCAATCTAAAACATCTTCCCCAACTATCAGTCACCATTATTGAAATCCCACCATTAGGGACTCTCAGAGACTCATTCATTAAGGGCAGGGACCATGTCCTATTCACTATTTCACCTAACACTATTTCACAGTGTTAGCTCAGAGCTTGCTGCATGGTAATCAGTAGATGGAAATAAATGAATGGATGAATGAATGAATGAATTAAAGACGTTCCCGTTAAAATGATGAATATGCCTCTGGGAGGTGATTTAGATCAGTTGGGGATGAGTACACTGTTAAGAGCAAGCCCACAACTGGGTCTCAGGAAGGCAATGTGTATAGCAGAAGAGGTCTCTGACTGTGCTAGACCCTGATACAAATTAACCTCTCCAAAATTCAGTTTCCTCATCTGTATAATGGGAATCCTAATTATACTTACCATATGGGAGGATGTCAGGTTCAATAAGATGAAGTATGCTAGGGGCCTGGCAAGAGAAAGCACTCAAGGAATGACAGATATTATTAACCTCATCTCCTGGGAGCAGCAGGTGGGAGTAGGGTGGGGCCTCTTGGGTGCAGAGACCTTGCAGACAGAGTCCCGGCAAGGTACCAGGAAGACAACAGCCTGTTCTGCTCATGTGGTATATTTACAGAAGCTCACGTTACCACCATCATTATCCAAAAGCCCTTCCAAAGCCAGCACTTCATGCAGGCGGGCTGAACAATGCACATAAAAGCCATGGAGACACAGCCCTGCCCCCTCAGGCTTCCATCCAAGGCAGCTCCCTCTGGGGAAGACAGAATGAAAATGTTAAATCTGCTTAGGATTAGGTGATGGTCAGTTCACACACAGAGATGACGAGAAAGAACATTTCCTGAGGATGGGGCTGGTCAGATGGGTCAGTGTGGGAATTACATGTTCAGCCACACGGAGCAAAGGGTGTAGCCTGATCTGCAATGTCAAGGCCTTATTACATGAAGTTCATTCCTGAGGCCAGGAGCTCTTCCAGCTCTGGCCCACAGCTCTTGACAAATCTGGTTAAGTGGAAGATCATCACTGAAATCAACAGATTTTACATTGCTCTGGACATGGTATAGCTGAGCCTGAGGCCCAGGGCCTGGTAATCAGAGAAACCTGCCTGGTGATTCACTTCTTTTCCTCCTTTCTTACTCACATGGACACAGGAAATATGATCCAGAGCATCACATTCTCCAGCTCGCCACAAAATGCATGACAGTGCATATCTCTATTTTTAAACCCAAATGTCATCGTGTATTTAAAATGTGGACCTATTCTACTTCCAAAAAGTCTTCAGATGGAAAAAAAAATCCAAGGATGTTATTATTTCCTTTTATCCCATGAACTTAGTTTTGTATTAATAACATTTATAATTCATAACATTTTATGATGTGGCGATTTCACAGACTTACAGATGCTCAGAACTAGAAGGGACCTTAAAGACAAACAGGTCCAGTGTTCTCCTCATACAGATAAGGAAACTGAGGCCCAGACAGGTACCGACTTGTTCAAGGTCATATAAGCAGCAGTGGAGTCCAGAAGCCAGGTTTCCGTATGCCCTCTTCCACATCACATTGCAAGACACCCTCTGAAAACACTCCTTCAGGGTCTTTAAAAGTCTGATTGAAGTGTATGATTTGTGATTCGGTTTGGGCTGAAAACAGCCTTGGGTGTCACCAAACCAGGCCTGGCAAGTCCTCTACAACATGAAGCTCCTTGAGAATGGGGCACATTTTCTCCTACGTAAATAAACTGCAGAGCTCACAGCTGTGGCCGAGGTCTATGACATTGGGCAAGAGCTCACCAAGAACTTGTTGACTGTGAATGATGTAGGAGCAAGTGCATCCACCTGAGGAGAGCTTTCCACCCTCAGCAATGCTGAGGAGTCAGGACAGGGTGGGACTGAGATCATACAAGTTGTACAGGCTTGGATTTCAATCTCAGCTTTTGTAGTAATTTGCTGTGTGATATTGGGCAAGTCACGCAACCTCTCTGAGCCTCAGTTTTCACACTGCTAAAATGAAGATGATAATGGCTATGTCAGAGAGATGTGAGAATTACATGAAAAAAATGTATATAGAGGCCATGGCATGGTGTCTAAGTAAACGCTCTATAAATGGCAGCTGGTCTATCAGGATCTGTTTTGTTGTTGTTTGGTTGTTTAAATGGGAAGAAATTATTTTTGGGCTTCCCCTATTCCATCTCCTTTCAATCTGGAGATGTCTGTCTTCTTTCCGCACTCTTCCCTCCTCCCTTTGATGGGCTTGCTGATCTATTAGTGATCATGGAATATTTTCCCCTTGTCCTGAGCTTTTGCTAATTAAGAGGTAGTTGCTAAGAGATTCCTGGACACACTGGTGTATGGCTCTGTGCTTCCTTCTCATCCCCTCTTGTTCTTTTTCAGCCTCACTCCAACCCACCACACCCACTTCTCTCTCCCATTTTCTATGTTCAGGTTCTGAAAAAGACTTCAAGAAACTGACTAATCGCGATGGCTGCCCCTGACGGGAGGGTAGTCTCCAGACCCCAGAGACTTGGTCAGGGGTCTGGCCAGGGGCCAAAGGGGAGTGGAGCCTGCCTGCATCCCCTGGACAGCCTGGAGCAGAAGGAGACTCAGGAGCAAACGTCGGGCCAGCTAGTCATGCTGAGGAAGGCACAGGAGTTCTTTCAGACCTGTGATGCTGAAGGCAAGGGCTTCATCGCCAGGAAGGATATGCAGGTAAGTGGGGTCCCAGGTAGGCCTGCCCACTGAGAATGCCAGATGTCTTCCTGTCTTGGGTTAGAGCTTGCCCCGTGGGAGGTGACATCCTTAACAGAAAAGATGCCACCAGTTCTGTCTTGGAAGGAAGGATCTGCCCAAACTCTACTAGGAGCCGGACCTCCTGAGTTCATTCTATTTCTGGCCTTTACTTGCTGTCAGATTCCAGGGCTATTTCCTCTCTGCCTCAGTAGCTCTCCAGGATTGTGGGAAATGATAACAGTAACGTAAGGGACTTAAGTAAGACACGAGAAGAACCTTCTGAAACTAAAAGTAGAAAGGCATCAACTTGAGTTATAACAAAGTCGTTCCTGCTGTCTGTACCTTAGGAATAGGTACAGCCTCTCCCACAACATGAGAGGAAGGCATTTCTGAGGTCATTTTACCCATGTCTCGCCTTCAAACCCAAATACACTGCAATCTCCTGAAGAGATTCTCCAGAGAGATGGTATGCAGAGCATCAGTGCACACCATTGCCTAGTGCAGGGCCCGGCAGCCTTTTCATAAAGGTCCAGAGAATAAATATTTTCCACTTTGTGGACCTTACAGTCTCTATCACAACTACTCATCTCTGCTGTTGCAGCACAAAAGCATCCATAGGCAATATGTGAACAAATGAGGGTGCCGTGTTCCAATAAAACTTTATTTATGGACAAGGAAGTTTGAATTTTATATAATTTCCATGTGTCACCAAGTACTGTTATTCTTTTGATATTTCTTTTTGACCATTTAAAAATGTAAAAACCAGGCTTAACTCACTAGCCACACCAAAATAGGGGATTGCTGGTTTAGCCCAGGGGCAGAGTTTGCCCACTCCTGGTTTGATGCCTTTCTTTCTTTAGTTTCAAAAACTTCTCAGTGTCTGACTGAAGTCTCTTATGCTGCAGTCAAGATTTCACTTGAACATGGGTGAATAAAATACAGACTTCACTAGAGTACTTTGAAAGCAGCTCTTTTCCCCTGAGTCTTTGTGTCACTCACTCCATCAGAGTAGTTTTTGAAGGGACGCATCCCTGTGCTGTTGGAGGAAGCACAATGGCTAGGCTCTCTTTCTTTAAGTCTAGTTTTTCAGAATATACCAAAGTTGGGCAATGAAATGGGGACCCTCATTAGGCTCAGCCCCATCTCTGCTCATGCATGTGAGCTCCGAGGTGTGGAGGCTGTGAAAGGAGCTGTGTGACCCAAGGTGAAGTGTGGCAGTTCTTTCCCTGGCCCCATGTGGTGGTGTTCTTATGCTTCTCCTGGAGCTATTCCACTCTCTAACTGTTGCACAAATTGAGGGAAAAGACCTGGGGAACACCAGCTCAGCCCACAATTGAGCCCAACCTACCCTTCTTTGCAGTGATGACTCCCCCAGTAAGTTTCTGTCACCAAAACCCAGTCCTCAAAGGCTCACTCCATGTGGAAGGCCAGATTCAGTGTGTTTTGAGGAAACCTTTGACAAACCCCTGTCTGTGAACTTCATAATTGGCATTCACAGGTCTGCAGTAGCGGTGGTTGGTGTTAGTAGTTTCAAAATCAGGCTTAACTTTTGATTATTCCCTCTAGACAGAAAGAAAAGGAAATTCATGTTTATGGAGGTCAACTCTGGGCCACAAGTACTGTGCAACTCAGCACTCTTGCTGTATATAACCTAATTAACTCTCATTGAGCTCCACTCTTTAATGAAGGGATGAGGAGGCATGGAGAATTGAAACTAGGTATAAAGTTTTAAAGAAATCGCTTGTATTTGACTTGAAATATAGTCAGAAACATTAAGTCCCAGAAATACTGACTCAACCTTCCTCCCCAGTCCTCACTCCTGATCCAGGCAGGAGAACACCTGAATCAACAAGCCACCAAGCCGATAACTTGGCATCCACAGCATTTATTTCTGCTGTCTACTTAATTTTCTGAAGTTTTTCTGAACCTGTGGTCAGTGAAGCACTTGAAATGCTTAGTTCTTCAGGCTGGCAAGTGCTGTCAAGAGAGGGAACTGAGCGTGTCATTTAAGCACCATCTCTGGCTGCTTCGGCTGGCCACCTCTGAAGGAAGATGGGCTGGGGGAGATGCATGAAGAAGAAGAACAACAGGCTTCTCATGGTCAGCTGTGGCTCTCTGCAGAAAGTCCCCATGCCCCCCGGTTCTCCTGGAGCAGGTCCTCCAGGCATCTGTGTTGTTGGCTTGTCACTTCCACATGGGGCTGCGGTGTGCATACAGTCACCCCCTTTGGTTGGTGTCCAGCTTCCTGGGCCTGGCCACCACCGCCTTTTTTACTTTAGGCTCCCAGCACAGCCTCATGGGAACTGGAAGGGAAAGAACTCACATTTTTCATATACACACAAATTCAGAAAGCAGGAAAGGTCCTTGACAGCAGAGAGTGGTCTTCAAGGAAGGAGAGGCTGCAGGCCATGTGGGAGGGAGAACACAGGAGGCTGAGGAGCTAGTGGAGAAGCCAAGTGGGAAGAAAGTCACAGACAGCTTGCATTTGTTTTGAAAATGGAATGGGGTGCTGGCCAACATGGCCAACTAGACGCAGCCAGGTGGAACAGCTGCCACCAAAGGAACAAGATGACTGGTGCACTCCTAACAGATCTTCAGAGGGAAGACACTGAGAGTGGTTGGAGGGAAGACACAGAATCTGGGCTGAAAGGGGAGGAAGCTGGGAATCCTGCATGGGGCTACCATGCACGGGGACTCATTCCCAGCCCCCAACAACTCCAGGGGAATGGCTGAGTTGAACTGGCAATGAGCAACCCACTCTCTCCACGGGCCCCTGGAACCCAGCAGGAGGAGACCCCTCAACCACCATGGACACTCGATTTGGCAGGGAGAAGTGCTTAGAGAAGTAGAGGCGCCACGCCAGCTGATGCAGAGCCCAGAGGGTTTGATGTGGGAGCGTCTGTAGGAGAGCACAGCCAGATGCAAAGAACCCCAGTAAGATACTTCACAAGAAGATCATCCTCAAGACACATAATAATCAGATTCTCCAAGACTGAAATGAAAGAAAAAATGTTAAAGGTAGCTATGGAGAAAGGTCAGGTCACCTACAAAGGGAAGCCCATCAGACTAACAGCAGACTTCTCAGTAGAAACCCTACAAGCCAGAAGAGATTGGGGGCCAATATTCAACATACCGTAAGAGAAGAAATTCTAACCCAGAATTTCATATCCAGCCAAACTGAGCTTCATAAGCGGAGAAATAAGATCCTTTTTAGGCAAGCAAATGCTGAGGGAATTTGTTAGCACTGACCTGTTTTACAAGAAACCCATCTCCCTAGGCTCGACTTACTCCCACAGGAGACTTTAGTCCTAGAGGAACTGTCAGACCTGAACTCTGCAGGGCGGTCTTGTCCATCAGACAGGGCTGGTCTGACCTGAGCACCCCTTGGTCTGCTGGCCTCTCTGAGGGACCCAGCCTGGATGCGCTTGCTTGTGGAGCAGCCGCAGGTGTCCTGGGGGCCCGCATCATAGCTCCTGTGCTGGTAGACTTGTGGCTGACTGGCAGAGAGCTCCAGTAGGGCAGCCCGTAAGGCCATGTGCCAGCCTGCCTGCTCCCTCCTCACGTTGCAGCTTCCCCCAGGCCCACGGCAGCCCCCGCATTGCTTTGCCGGTGCATGTGTGTGCAGGCAGGTTTTGCCTTCCTTGCCCTGCCAGCACGCACGTGTGCATGCACCCTGTTCTGCCACTGCTGTGGCCAGAGTGCACTCTGCCTCCCTCTTCTGCTGGACCACCATTGCAGTTGGAGCGTTGGGGGGCACAGAGCCAGCCAGCCACACCCTCACCAGTGCCCCACTCTGATGCCAACACTGCCACAGAAGTGAAACTAGGCACAGAGAACAGCAAAACCTTTCCCTGCCCTGAGTGATCACCCATGACTGTGGTGATGGAGAGAGTGCACGTAGACTTGCACTAGCCAGTGCCTCACCCCCATGCTACCACCACCACCAGCACAACTATGCACACAGTTGCCCACAGGGGCCTCTGGCCCCCAAGCCATGCTGCCTTCATTACTGTACTGAACACCCACACAGAGGCAGGCACTCTAGCACCCACTGGCACCCTGCTGCAGCCAATAAGTGTGCACCCCACCATGCTGCTGCCACTGCTGCTGTTGGCACGTACAAAGAAGGACAGATCCCACTGCCACCACACTACAAAATGCTTTGGCTGGCTGACACCACCCACTGGAACATAGTGACCAATGGTCCAGAAGCACCTCACCCCCAACCCCACCCCCACCCCCAGCGTGGATTCCTAACCTTGAGGAGCCAGAGAAAAAAAACCAGGGCCTGATACAGGTCCCCTAGAGTTAGAGCACACAGTCCAGGAGTTGGGAGCTGAGCATTGGCCCCCTAAAATCTTCCAGAAATGAAGCCAGTCAGCTGAACCCACCTCATACCACAATCAAACCCTCCAGGTCATCGAATAGGATAAAAGGAAAAAAAAATCCAAAGGTCAGCAACTTCAAAGACTAAAGAAACATCAGCCCACAAAGATGAGAAAGGATCAGTGCAAGAACTCTGACAACTCAAAAAGCCAGAGTGCCTTCAATAGCACTACCTCTCCAGAAAGGGTTCTGAACTGGGCTGAGATGGCTGATGTGACAAAAAGAAAATTTGGCATATGAGTAGGAATGAGGATCATTGAGATGCAGGCATACATTGAAACCCAATCCAAGGAAGCTAAGAATCACAATAAAATGATATAGCAGCTGACAGACAAAATAGCCAGTATAGAAAACAATGTAACTGACCAGATAGATCTGAAAAACTACACTACAAGAATTTCATGATTCAATCACAAGTATTAATAGCAGAATAGACCAAACAGAGGAAGGAATCTCAGAGCTTGAAGACTGGCTTTCTGAAATAAGACAGTCAGACAAGAATAGAGAAAAAAGAATGAGAATCAATGAATAAAACCTCTGAGAAATATGGGATTATGTAAAGAGACAAAATCTATGACTTACTGGTGTCCCTGAAAGAGATAGGGAGAATGTAAGCACTTTGGAAACATATTTCAGGATATCATCCATGAGAACTTCCCCAACCTAGCTAGAGAGGCCAACATTCAAATTCAGGAAATGCAGAGAACCCCAGTAAGATACTTCACAAGAAGATCATCCTCAATCCTCAAAACACATAATAATCAGATTTTCCAAGATTGAAATGAAAGAAAAAATGTTAAAGGCAGCTATAAAGGTCAGGTCACCTACAAAGGGAAGCCCATCAGACTAACAGCAGACTTCTCGGTAGAAACCCTGCAAGCCAGAAGAGATTGGGGACCAGTATTCAACATACATAAATAAAAGAAACTTCAACCCAGAATTTCATATCCAGCCAAACTAAGCTTTGTAAGTGAAGGAGAATTAAGATACCTTTCAGACAAGCAAATCCTGAGGGAATTTGTTACCACTGACCTGCTTTACAAGAGCTCCTGAAGGAAGCACTAAATATGAAAGGAGAGACTGTTACCAGCCACTACAAAAACACACTTAAGTACGCAGACCAGTGAAACTATACAGCAACCACACAAACAAGTCTGCATAACCAGCTTACAACATGACAAGATCACATCCACATGTTAATAATAACCTTGAATATAAACAGGCTAAATGCCCCCAATTAAAAGGCAGAGAGTGACAAGCTGGATAAAGAACCAAGACCCATTGGTATGCTATCTTCAAGAGACCCATCTCACTTGCAGTGACACACATAGGCTCAAAATATAGGGATGGAGAAAAATCTAGCAGGCGAATGGAAAACAGAAAAAAAGCAGGGGTTGCAATCCTGATTTCAGACAAAACAGACTTTAAACCAAGAAAGACAAAGAAGGGCATTACATAATGGTAAAGGATTCAATTCAATAAGAAGACCTAACTATCTTCAATATATATGTACCCAACACAGGAGCACCCAGATTCATAAAGCAAGTTCTTAGAGACCTTCAAAGAGACTTAGACTCCCACACTATAATAGTGGAAGACTTCAACACCCCACTGACAGTATTAGACAGATCAATGAGGCAGAAAATTAACAAGGATATTCAGGACCTGAACCCAGCAATGGACCAAATGGACCTGATAGACATCTACAGAACTCTCCACCCCCAAACAACAGAACATACATTCTTCTCATCACCACATGGCACATACTCTTAATTTGGCCACATAATTGGACATAAAACACTCCTCAGCAAATACAAAAGAACTGAAATCATAACAACCACTCTGTCAGACCACAGCACAATCGGATTAGAAATGAAGACTAAGAAATTTACTAAAAACCATACAATTACATGGAAATTGAATAACCTGCTCATGAATGACTTTGGGGTAATTAAAGAAACTAAGACAGAAATCAAGAAATTCTTTGAAACTAATGAAAACAAAGATACAACATACCAGAATATCTGGGACACACCTAAGGCAGTGTTAAGAGGTAAATTTATAGCACTAAATGCTCACATTAAAAAGTTAGAAAGTTCTCAATTTAGCAACCTAATATCACAATTAAAAGAACTAGAGAACCAAGAGCAAACCAATCCTAAAGCTGGCAGAAGACAAGAAATAACCATAATCAGAGCTGAACTCAAGGAGATTGGAACACGAAAAACCATTAGAAAGATCAATGAATCCAGGAGGTTTTTTCTTTTTTTGAAAAAAAAAGTTAATAAAATAGATAGATCATTAGAAAAACTAATAAAGAAGAAAAGAGAGAAGCTCCAAATAAACACAATTAGTAATGGCAAAGGCAATATTACTACTGACTACACAAAAATACAAATAACCATCAAAGAATATTATGGACACCTCTATGCACACAAATTAGAAAATCTAGAAGAAGTTGATAAATTCCTGGACATATACACCCTTCCAAGACTGAGCCAGGAAGAAATTGAATCCCTGAACAGACAAATTATGAGCTCTGAAACTGAATCAGTAATAAATAGCCTACCAACCAAAAAAAAAAAGAAAAGCTGGTACCATTCCTACCGAAACTATTAAAAAAAATTGAGGAGGAGAGATTCCTCTCTAACTCACTCTATGAGGCCAGCATCATCCTGATATCAAAACCTGGCAGAGACACAACAAAAAAAGAAAACTTCAGGCCAATATCCTTGATGAACATTGATGCAAAATTCCTCAACAAAATACTGGCAAACCAAATCCAACAGCACACCAAAAAGCTTACTCACCATGATCAAGTAAGCTTTATCCCTGGGATGCAAGGTTGGTTCAACATACACAAATCAATAAATGTAATTCATCACATAAACAAAACTAAAGGCAAAACCACATGATTATCTCAATAGATGCAGAAAAGACTTTTGATAAGATTCAACAGCACCTCATGTTAAAAACTCTCAACAAACTAGGTATTGAAGGAACATACCTCAAAATAATAAGAGCCATCTATGGCAAACCAACAGCCAACATCATACTGAATGGTCAAAAGCTGGAAGCATTCCCCTTGAAAACCAGCACAAGACAAGGATGCCCTCTCTCACCACTCCTATTCAACATACTATAGGAAGTCCTGGCTAGAGCAATCAGGCAAAAGAAAGAAATAAAGCACATCCATTTAGGAAGAGAGGAAGTCAAGCTATCCCTGTTTGCAGAAGACATGATTCTACATCTAAAAAACCCCATAGTCTCAGCCCAAAAGCTCCCTAAGCTGATAAACAACTTCAACAAAGTCTCAGTACTTTGTACAAAATCATTAGCATTCCTATACACCAACAACAGCCAAACCAAGAGCCAAATCAGGAAGATATTCCCATTCACAATTGCCACAAAAACAATAAAATACAGCTAAGGAATACAGCTAGGAATACAGCTAACCAGGAAGGTGAAAGATCTGTATAAGGAGAACTAAAAACACTGCTCAGAGAAATCAGAGATGACACAAACAAAGGGAAAAACATTCTATGCTCATGCATCAGAAGAATCAGTATCACTAAAATGGCCATACTGCCTAAAGCGATTTATACATTCAATGCCATTCATGTCAAACTACCAAGGACATTATTCACAGAACTAGAAAAAACTATTTTAAAATTCATATGGAACCAAAAGAGCTCAAATAGCCAAGACAATCCTAAGCAGAAAGAACAAAGCTGGAGGCATAACATTACCCAACTTCAAACTATACGACAGGGCTATAGTAACCAAAACAGCATGGTACTGACACAAAAACAGACACATAGACAAATGGAACAGAATAGAGAGCCCAGAAATAAGGCTGCACACCCACAACCATCTGATCTTTGACAAAGCTAACAAAAACAAGCAATGGGGAAAGGACTCCCTATTCAATAAATGGTGCTGGGATAACTGGCTAGTCATATGCAGAATATATCAAAACTGGACCCCTTCCTTACAATATACAAAACAAAACTCAAAATGGATTACAGACTTAAATGTAAAGCCCAAAACTATAAAAACCCTGGAAGACAACTTAGGCAATACAATTCTGGACATAAGAGTGGGCAAGGATTTCATGAGGAAGATGCCAAAAGCAATTGTAACAAAAGCAAAAATTGACAAATGGAATCTAATTAAACTAAAGAGCTTCTGCACAGCAAAAGAAACTATCAACAGAGTAAACAGACAACCTACAGAATGGGAGAAAAGTTTTGCAAACTATGCACTGACAAAGGTCTAATATACAGCATCTACAAGGAACTTACACAAATTTATAAGAAAGAAACAAGCAATCCCATAAAAAAGTGGGCAAAAGACATGAATAGAAACTTTTCAAAAGAAGACATACATGTGTCCAACAAGCATATGAAAAAAAGGTCATCACTGATCACTAGAGAAACGCAAATCAAAACCACAATGAGATACCATCTCACACTAGTCAGAATGGCTATTACTAAAAAGCCAAAAAATAACAGGTGCTGGCAAGGTTGCAGAGATAAAGGAACACTTACACACTGTTGGTGGGAGTGTAAATTCGTTCAACCATTGTGGAAAGCAGTGTGCAATTCCTCAAAAACCTAGAAACAGAACTACCATGGACCCAGCAATCCCATTACTGGGTATATACCCAAAGGAATAGAAATCATTCTGACACAAAGACACATGTATGTGTCCATTGTAGCACCATTCACAGGAGCAAAGACATGGAATCAACCTAAATGCCCATCAATGGTAGACTGGATAAAGAAAATCTGATACATATACACCATGGAATACTATGCAGCCATAAAAAGAACAAGATCATATCTTTTGCAGCAACTTGGATGGAGCTGGAGGCCATTATCCATAGCAAACTAATTCAGGAACAGAAAATCAAATACCACATGTTCCTACTTATAAGTGGGAGCTAAAGGATGAGAACACATGGACACATGGTGGAGGGGGACAACACACACTGGGGCTGGTTGGACAGTGGAGGATGGAAGAAGGGAGAGGATCCGGAAAAATAACTAATGGGTACTAGTCTTAATACCTGGGTGATGAAATAATATGTACAACAAACCCCCATGACACAAGTTTACCTATATAACAAACCTGCACATATATCCTTGAACTTAAAAGTTAAAAAAAAAAAAAAAGAAAATGGGATGAGAGGAGCAAGCCCCTCCTCCAGGGCTGTTTTTCTTCTTTCTTCTTATTAAAAATGGATTGTGAGATTGGCTTTACAATTGTCAAGGGGTGGGGAGACTGCCATGTGATCGGAGCCCACCAGTAAGTAGCCAGCTCACCCAGATAGAGCAGGGACCACAGGGAGAAAGGGCAGGGTGCTTAAGCTGTTTTTAATCAGGGTCCCTGAGAAACCTGGAGAAACCCAGGATGAGCCCAATGTGTGCTACACTCAAGCTAGGAGCACAAGCTGCCCTCTGCTCGGGCATGTGAAATGCATGTGTTCTGCTCTAGGGGTAGCAGATGATGGACGTTGACCTGCATGAACCAAGTTTAGAGAGTCCTCAGCCTCCCTTATGACTCCTCAGGTGTCACACTGTCCTTCTTGAGGAATCTCTCTGGGTTTCCTGGGGATCTCTCCAGACAGAATTGGGGTAGATGTTGCTTTGCAGGGTTAGGTCTGGTGCAATACCCTAGAAGCTTCACGGGGGGCTGAGTCAGTCCTGCCTCAGAGGAAAGGACAGAGAGGAAAAGGCTACAGAGAGCATGAAGAGACTCCATCAGCTGGGAGAGGGAGAGGGAGAGAGGATGGGCAGGAGATCTCTCTGAGAAAACCTAGAGCCTCAAAAGCCCTGTTTCCCTGATTTTTTGGAGGAGTAAAAGGATTGTCTACCAACACCAAGCACCTGCCTCCCCAACACTGCCCAGAATTCTTGGCTATGCCAAACTTAAGACTCATTTAGGAGTTGGCAAACTAACCAAATCTGGGCCACTACCTGTTTTTGTAAGTAAAGTTTTCTTGGAACACAGATGTGCTCATTCTTTTATGTGTTTTCCGTGGCTACTTTCACACTGCAGTGGCAGAGGGAAGTAGATGTGACAAAGACCGAATGGTCCACAAAACCTAGAATATGCACTCCCTGGCTGTTTTCAGAAAAAGCCAGCTATCTCCTGATTTAGGTTAACTAGAAAACTTTAAAAGATTTTTATAGTAAATTAACTTGGGTTTTAATCCTCAATCTGCAACTTGCTAGTAATACGAATTTGTGTCTCTTAACCCCTCTAGGCTACAGTTTCTCAGCTGTGAATTATTTATAGCTACCTCCCAGCATTAAAAGATAATTGAATGAGCTTAAGCATGTAGCACACTCAGCCCTGAGACTGGGACCTGGAAATCCCTGGAAATGCACTGTGTATGTGCCACATCTTAGCCCAGTACCTGATGTCCTCTGCATTGTGATTGTGTTTAATTGTGGTAAGATACAGATAACACACAATTTACCATTGTAACCATTTTTTATGTGTGCAGTTCAGTGACATTAAGTACATTCACTTTCTTCTGCAACCACCATTATCATTTATCTCCAGAACTCTTTTTATCATGCAAAACAGAAACTCTGTACCCGTAAAACAATGTCCTCATTTCGCCCACTCCCAGCCCCTGGCAACCAGCATTCTATTTTCTGTCTCTCTGAATTGGACTACTCAAGGTATCGTATATAGGTGGACTTATATAATATTTGTCCTTTTGAGACTGGCTTATTTCACTTAGTATAATGTCCTCAAGGTTCATCTGTATCGTAGCATGTGTCAGAATATTTTTAAAGGCTGAATAATATTCCATTGTATGTATATACCACATTTTGTTTCTCCATTCCTTTGTCAGTAGATACTTGGGTAGCTTCCGCCTGTTGGCTATATGTGAATAATGCTGATATGGACATGGATGGGCAAATATCTGTTCAAGACCTTGCTTTTTATTCTTTGGTGTGTATACCCAGAAGTGGAATTGCTGGATTATAGGATAATTCTATTTTGTAAATTTTTTGAGGAGACACCATACCATTTTATACAATAGCTGCACCATCACATTGTAATTTTAAGGTGCAAGTTGTCTGTCCTGTCTTAGAGAAAAGAAACGGGCATTTCTGCTGAAAAGGGAACCTTCCACTCGTATCCAGCTGCTGTTATTCTTTGTGTCCAATCTACATGAGTGGCGGCAATTTTGCCTCCTGGAGGACATATGGCAATGTGTCATGTTCACAACTACACCAATTGTCATGCTTGGGGATAGGTTCCAGCCCATGCTGAGGTCCGGAGGGAATGAGTGGATGAGCAGAAACAATACTCAGGGGGCCGTAGGCAGGTGAATATGGTTTTATTCAGCAGCAGCTTTCATCAACAGCTTTCTCACACTGTCCGCCCTGTCTTGGCTACTTAATCTGGCGGCTCCCACACACAGCTGCGTGGCCCGCTCTCCCTTGCCTTCAGGGTCAGCAGCTTAATTCTTTCTTTGGGCATGTGTCCTGGCTCCCCGCAGTCTGTCTGCAATGACAGGCAGCTCTGACTCTCTCTCTTTCTCTGGGCACAAGCGCAAGCATGCCTGCACAGTGTCAACAGGACAATTATATCTTTTACAGACAATAGTGGTGTACAGCCAAGTGATGGCCTTCTCATGTTATGGCTACATGGCTGTGATAACAAGTGGAATTATACGCCTGCACTCTAAACTTGCTGACTCACGCAGGATGTAAACATTCTACCTCGGTCTATCTTTGACCAAAGCACAGCCATATTCCTTACACAATGTATGGAGGCATTTTTTATTGAAACGACTGGTGAGGGAAGTGCTGCTGGCGTTTAGCAGGCAAAGGCTAGGGATGCTGCTACATATCCTGTAATACACAGGATGGTCCCTCCCCTGCCTTCCCCTCCACTACCCCCTTAACCAAAAATTGTCCATTCCAAAATGTCGGTAGTGCCAAGGTTGAGAAACTGTGGCCTATACCACGTAATCAGCCCAAGCCAAGCACATCAAGGTGCAAAGCAGGATAAAGGTTGATCCTGCCCTCCCACCTCCCACTCTCGTCCTAGAGAGATTTGGTATAGCTGAACTGTACCACAGGGAAGAGGGTGGTTGGTGCTGGAATGGGGGTCTGAAAAGAATGCTGTGATTGCCCCAAAAGGAGGGACAGTGTAATTCTGGACATAAAAAATGGATATCCTCTGATTTTTTCCTCAATAAAAATGTCATGGAAGCATGTTTGAAGCTGTGCAACCATACACTTTAAGCTACATGGGGTATGTTACTGGGCTGGTGACTAGGAAGGTAAAGGAGCCTGGCTGGAGTGCAACAAAAGACATCACTTTCCCGTGGCTCTGGGGCATGAACTCTCAGTACTGCTGCTGTAGATGCCTCATGTTCTAGGTTCTGGAAGGTTGCCAGTCACTATGAGTCTTGCTGAGAATTAGCAGTTGGGCTGGTCAGGTTCTGGAGTGTGTGAGGTCTAGACCAGCACTCTGTACATAGGAGCTCAGGGTCTCCTGCCATTGCTCTTAGTCAAGCGCTTATCTATGCCTTCCTTCAACACTTATCTAAATAGTCCATGTTTGTCAGCATTGGGCTAGATCCTGGGGACACAACAGTGCCTAACGAATGAGGTCCCTGTTCTCAGAGCACTGAGGGAGCAGACGTTCATCAATGAGTCACATCTATCAGTATATAAAATGCTAATTGGGAAAGATTTATGAATGAGAGAAAGGTAGTTTGGGGAGCTTGTATAACCTGACCTAACCTGGGGAGGTGCAAAGGCCTTACGGAGGAAGTGACGCAGGAGCTGAGAGTGAAGAAAGAGTGAGGCTGGTGTTTAAAGGAGCCAAGGAGTTCTCAAGAGCTCCCAGGGCCATGGGCAGTACGAATAGGAAGCTGAGTTCCTCCTCATGCCTCTCTTTTTCCCTGGCCCACCCTTCCAGGTGTGTGAAAAGCTGTGCGTGCCACAGGATCTCTGGAAGGCTGGGTCTTGGTGCTGGCAAGAGAGACTTTGTGTTCTGATTTTGGTGGTGCTGGTAGGTGGGTAGGTGTGGGAGGTAATGAAGGTGAGGGAATAACAGAATGAATGCCCTGGAGAACTATTAGACAGTTGCTCAAGCCCTGGATGGAAAATCAGTTCTTTTCCCAGCTGTGGTCTGCACTGTGACTTTAGGCTAATCTCAGAGCCTCACAGGCCTATTGCACAGTGGAATAAATAATCTTGCTCCCCTCCACCCTGCTTATCTCACTTAGTTAAAAATGTAGGCCAGGTCCAGTGGCTCAAGCCTGTAATCCCAGCACTTTGGGAGGCGAGGCCAAGGCAGGTGGATCACAAGGTCAGGAGTTCAAGACCAGCCTGGCCAAGATGGTGAAACCCTGTCTCTACTAAAAATACAAAAATTAACTGGGTGTGGTGGTGGGCGTTTGTAGTCCCAGCTACCCAGGAGGCTGTGGCAGGAGAATCACTTGAACCCGGGAGGCGGAGGTTGCAGTGAGCTGAGATCACATTACTCTGCTGGGTGACAGAGCGAGACTCTGTCTCAAAAAAAAAAAAAGTAATAATAAAAATAATAAAAATAATGTAAACAGTACCAGGGGACCATACCAGAATAAGCTGGTTTTCTGTGGCTCTGTAGGCCCTGAGCAGAGCGATAAATAAGAGATAATTATGGTTATTAAGACTAAAAGATTTTTCAAGGAGGGCCAACAAAACAAGGTGAAAGAATCAGGTGTAGTGAAGAATCAGGTATAGAATCAGTTGCAGAGAAGGCTGAAGAAGCACTCAGCGCTGACTTGCCAGCACTTGAGTAGTAAGAATTACTTGGAACCTATAATATTGCTTTCCCCATCTTTGCTGACAATGGGAGGAGGAAACTGACTTGAGATGTAGACAAGAACTGGGATTAGACAACAGGGGGATTTGGGGTTCGAAGTGCTGCTGGATTCAGGAATGGTGCCTAAGGTGAGCTGTGAACTAGCCTCTCCTGGTTCATGCTAACATGAGAAAAGTGTGTGGGGTGTTTGAGTGAAAGGCATGTTGAGGGTCCCGTTGATCTCTGGAATTTTCTTGCAGCTCATTTCTTGCTCCAGCCCAGTGCGAGAGACCACATTTTGAATCAGATCCAGCAATCCTAGTCTGAGGGTGGGGAAGGAGGAAGGATAATCCAAAGGAAGGACTGGAATGTGAGCGTGACAGGAGCTTGCGCTTTTACCCTACCTCAGGTGTGATGCTTCTTATTTCCAATGATGCTAATAAAATCCCTGCTTGCAAAATTGACTCTCTCCTCACCCGTGTTCTCCTACTGTAGCTTTTGAGACAGCTGGTTTATGGATTGTTGATAAGTCAGAGATTCTGCTGAATGCTAAGCAGATATACTTCCAGAATCTTTGCACACTCTCTCTCACTCTCCTTCCTTTTCTGAAAAGCCCATTCATATTTAATTCAATTCTTCTAAATGGCTTCCACATCAGCCTGTCTTCCCACTTTATAATGCATCATAGTCTCCCTTAATGCATGTACCTGCCAAATTAAGCTTTATGGCTTATCAGCTAGAACTGCCATAGGATCAAGCCAAGTATTCTTGCCAATTATGTTATGGGCTTTCACACCTGCCAGCTCTTTTTTATTGTTGAGGTTGGTATATACCTTTCTTCTTACAAAGCCCCGCATTCATTGTTTTCAGCTGTCAGTCACTTCCACACTGGCAATTTCGCACGGTTACCGCTTAGGTAACTGGGAGGAAGGGAGAGGATCGGCTGAGATATAACTCTCTGGGGAGTTCTCATTTGGAGACCTAGATTATTTGGGTATGAGGGTACACTTGCTTCATCTATGCAAGTTAGCCTTGGCTTGGGGCCATTGCACATCGGGCAGAAGGCCAGAAGGGAGCAGCAACAGCTCAGCTGCTTTGCTCTTGGGCCTATTAATTGTTCTCTGCCCTTCCCTCCTTATGAGGTCTGAGTCTGCTCTAGACTCAAATCCAGCGATAACCTCCTCACACTATCTTGTCCAGTCCCCCTTTAACACACAAATACTCTTGGGGCCTTGATACCTTAAGCCAATGGCAGTTGAGATCTTATTAGGAATTCCTTACCAGTCAGCAGGGAGCTGGAGTGGAACCTGGACTCGGGGCCTGGGTGTGGGTCACTCAGAGGTAGGAAGGGGGATTATCCCATATCCCCTCAGAGCTCAAGCACCAAAATGTGTGTCCACAGACACTTACAAATGCAGTGCTGAGGCAATGGGACACCAGGGGCCTCCAGCAGGAGAGGCCTCAAGTAAGTGACCCGCACCCGCATCGTGGTACGGGAGAGGAAAGGGGGCTTAGGGAGAGCAGGGAAGACAGGGTTTGAAGCCTGGCTCTGCCACGTACTTCCTTGAGGGGCCTCAGTGGGCCATGAGTCTCTCTCTCTCTCTGCCTCCCTACTACTTTATATTGAATGCTTTCTGTATGCAGGCACTGTTATATGCTTTACATTCATGATTGCATTCAACTTTACAGCACCATGCTGTGTGAGTATTATCCTGAAAGTATTTGGTCCTGTACAGTTTGAGTCCTTTACAGATGTTGAGAGTGCTGGCTTTGGAATCAGAGCTGGATTTGACTCCTGGCTATGTCATTACTAGCCATGTGACTTTGGAGCAGGTAATTTCACCTCAAACTTCATCTGTAAAACAGAGATAATAGTGCCTAGCTCAGAGTGTTGTCATGGGAATTAAATGCAGATAGATAAATAAATGCATATTTACATATTTGTTTATTTATAAATCACCTAGCAAATGGCCTAGTACATTCGTAGGCACCCAATCAATGGTAGTTGTGCTAACATGCAAAGGAGGAGAGGGATGGTGAAGCAGTCTGGATGCAGAAGCTTTCTACTGGCTTTTGTAGGACTGGGCCGAACTCTAGACACTTTCTGGCAGAAGGCTCTGCAGTCCCAGGTCACCTCCCCCACCAGTGAGTGTCAGTGTTAACCAGTACACTCTGGGTTGTTTTCAGAGGCTGCATAAGGAGCTACCGCTCAGCCTGGAGGAACTGGAGGATGTGTTTGATGCCCTGGATGCTGATGGCAATGGCTATCTGACCCCACAGGAGTTCACTACTGGATTTAGTAAGTTCTGATGGGTGCTGGGGACCTCAGGGTTATGGGTCTACCTAACACTGTATAAGGTGCATTCCTGTCCCTTGTAGACCTGGGGGGCAGGTAGTAAAGCTTTCCTGCCCTCCTTTCAGGGACCTGGAGCTCAAGGTCTCCAGGCTCTAGATTGCTTGGGCCTCCTCACATGCCCGTCTCAACTGCTTACATTGCCGCTTGCTCAGTGCCCACTGCACTGCCATTACCAAGCTCCCTCCCACTGGGACTGGCAAGGGAGATGGACGGAAGCTCTGCAGAAGCCATAGCATAAAAGGGGGAGCTGTGATGAGATTTGCAGCCTCTCCTTTTCTGCCTTCATAGAAAAATGGCCAAAAGGTGGGACAACTGGATGGCTCATTCCAACCCAAGTCTGGCTGAATTTTCCAGGTTGAGGGATAACAGCTATCAGAGGAATTTCTAGAAGGTTTGAACAGACTAGACATTCTCAAGGTAACCAGGAGGAAGAAGAATCGAGATCTATGAACAATATAAAGAAACCAGACACACTATCCTATCAGATACATCAAAAGCCATATATCTGCCTTATGTGTGGGGCCATATAATTTTCTTGTAAGTATCTGATGCCTTTCCTGACCTTCAGGAGCTTCTAATTGACTTGGGAGGATAAGACAGACTGCTGTAACACTGGACAGTATGAGTATGGAGGAAGTACACTGGAAACTGTTAAGGAGCTTGTAGATGTGAAGTCTAGTGATGCTAGCGGGAGGATGACTAGGATGACAATAGGAGCCTCTGCAGTCAGGGTGCTGGAATGCAGTGCAGGGAAAGGCCTTGTTGCTTAAAGAAGAAATCAACGGAGATGCGTTCTAAGCCAGATGTTAAGGGACTGAGAACCACAAAGGAGACACCGTATCCGTCTTACATTCTGCCATTCCCAGATTCTAGCATCACTGATGGGGTGTTTGTGGAAGTGGAAAAGTCACAGAATCTGGAACGTGTCCACGGACCCATGTCCATGGATCTTTGCTGGAGGGGCTTTCCCTTCCCTTTCCTTCTCTCAGATGAACCTTCAATGATTCCTGGCAGGTGAGAAAGCTGAGCTCTTCCTGGATGGGTATGGTCTAATTCGGATCCTTGTGCCCTGCACCCCCCAGGTCACTTCTTCTTCAGCCAGAATAACCCAAGTCAGGAAGATGCAGGTGAACAGGTGGCCCAGCGCCATGAAGAGAAGGTGTATCTGTCCAGAGGGGATGAGGATCTGGGCGACATGGGCGAAGATGAGGAAGCCCAGTTCCGGATGCTGATGGACAGACTTGGAGCCCAAAAGGTGTTGGAAGAGTAAGTGGTGACAGTGATTTGTAGAACGGAGACCAGCCTGGTAGGAACCTCTTCCTGTGTCCATTCAACAATTAACATTTGTTAACCATGTGGTGCTGGTCCCTGCACTGGAATGCAGTGCAGGTAAAGGCCCGCTGGTTCTGCCAGTGGGGGCCTGTCCTTTGTGATGACCTGGCTGTGTGTTGGGCTCTGTCTCTGCTGTTTACATTTTTTTTTCTTTAGGAATCATTCCTATTCTCCTTCTCTCCCACCCCCTCTACCTTCCTCACTCCTGGCCATGCATTATCCCCCAGTCCTTGGCTCAGCCTTGCTCCTCATGAGGCACTCACACATCAGAGGTCTGTACCATGCTCTCAGGGTTTTTCATGGAGTTCTCCCTAAGGCTTCCTATCACCATCAGCTCCCCAGCATCTTTACCTCTCCTGGGTCTCTAGAGCTACGGTGCCTCCCAGCTGCCCCAGCTGTGGGTGCCTTCCTGGCCAAAACCCATCATGTGGAAGCATTTGCACACGGTATCCTCGGCAAACCAGGCTTGTGCAGGAAGCCAAGGTGGGAAATGAAGCAGTTTTTAGCAGGCCACTACTTGGAAAATTGTAGATGGCTGAGATCTCAAACAAAACATAACTACCCCTCCACCATTTTTTTTCCTAAAATGTGCTTTGGAATAGACACAGGGATCTAAGCCCTGACATTGAAGTAAAGTAAAATAAAATAAGGAAAATGTGGTGTTACAGCTAGTAGAAACCAAACAGAGGGCCTGAAAAGCATGTAATACCTTCTGCCCCTTTAGCCTTTGCCTTTGGCCTTTTTGTTTTGGGGTCCTTAGGTCTTGGGTTAGATGTATGTTTCCTGTAGTGTGGGAATGCCCTACTGATTACAGCTGACATTTCCTGAGCTTGGGAAGAGAAGGGGCTAGGGTGGAAAATGATAAAAAGGAGACAAGAGAGAAGAGGCCTATATACGATTTGCAGGCCGAAGCTCTGTGAATTTTTCAGCAAACAATTTGGTAGACTGTGGCAGAACTGGGAAAGGCTGGCGAAAGTGTGTTCCAGGCAAGAAAGGGATAGGCAAGTGCCTGGGGAAGATCCTGGTGGGGGCGCTACACAGGAAGTGGAACTCAAGACCAGCAGCAGTAGCAGGTTTGCTGAAGGCCTGGAAGGGGCTGCAGCAGGTGTCGACCACAGAAGGTGTAGCTGGCAGGTGGAAGGGGCACAGGTGGGTGGGAAGCTCATTAGTCATACACCTGACCCAGCTTCTCCAAGGACAACAGGCCAGAGCACAGAGACCATTCCTGGTGACAGTGTGACACCTCCTCCTGGAGAAGGGGGAAGGAGAAGGCAGTGCAGGTGAGCTGAGGCACCGTAACGGAAGGAAGGGGCCTCTCTGCCCAGCCCTCACTGCAGGGTAGCAGCCTTACTGGCAAGGTTCTCAATTAGAGTCCACCAGACGTGACTCTGAGGACCTATAGTAAGGCAGTGCAGAACTGAGCCAAAATGAGATGTCCCGAAGAAGAGGAGGTTTTGTGGAGGTTTCAAGAGTGGTCTGTAAAAGATGATACACAGAAGATGGTGACCAGCCACTTCCATCCTCACTGAAGTGGGCTTAGATTGCAGCATGAGGGAAACATTCACGGCTGTGAGACCTCAGATAGGGAAATAGAAAAGGCTATGAATATTTGAGGGCTCTTTAAAGATTTTGCTCACCAAAATGATTTGTGTGTTGTTCTGGAAGCAGTGAAATGGATTGATAAACCTCCCAGAATCCTTTCTAGCCTATACTCCCATATCCTCCCAGGAGGGGTGGCCTTGGTGTGTTCTAGAAGTTCGAGACTGGGCATCTGCACTTTGACTTTTCTTGGTGGTCCGATTGGCTAAGCGATTTGGCAGCTTAGTGAGCTTTGGCTTGTTTTTCATCAAAAGTTGAAAGACTTGTCCCTTCTCCAGAAATCTGGGGCAAGTTGTTGTTGCCATGACTAAGTAGTTCAAAGAGTGTTGGAAGAGGAGCAGGTGGGTCTGCAAATCTCACTGGGGACTTGAGCTCAGTTGGCTCCATCAGGAACCTGGCAGGTGTGGACAGACAGACCTGGGCTGGCAAGGTGAACCTTGATTTTACAATGCATTTACTTCATGGTGGCGTGTCTCAGTCCATTTGGTTTGCTGTAATACCTGCCATAGATGTGGTACTTTATATAAATAACCAAAATTTATTTCTGGCAGTTCTGGAAGCTAGGAAGTTCAAGATCAAGGTGCCAGCAGATTTGCTCTCTGATGAGGTCACATTCCCTCATTCACAGACAGTTGTCTTCTCACTGTGTCCTCATATGGCAGGAAGGGTGAATGAGCTTCCTCTGGCCTCTTTTATAAGGGCACTAGTGCCATTCGTGAGGGCTCTGCCTTCATGATCTAATCACCTCTCAAAGTCCTCATCTTCTGGCACCATCATGTTGGGGTTAGGATTTAAACATATGAATTTGTAGGAGATATAAACATTCACACCACAGCAGGGAACAACCTATAACAGGGATGGGAGGTCACCATGGTGTCTCTCTGAGACCCTCTTATCTCTGAACCCTTTGCCACATCTAAATTTTACCTATAGGATGAAATAAGACCCCCACAACATGCTGTGTGTGTGTTGTGGGGCTGGGAGGAATGGAACTCATTCTGAGAAACAGAGAGGTTCCTTACCTCCTTTTCTCCCATTTCCCAGATTCACCCATGACATCCAGTACAGTGCAAGGTTTACAACAGATCATAATAAATACTTGTTGAGTTAATAAGGAAATGGGTGGGTGGATGGATGGATGGATGGATGGTCTAAATAAGTACGCGGATGTTTGGATGGGATAGAAGAAAGAATTGGTGGAAGTGATGGAGCAAGGAAAGGAGGGAGAGAGGGATGAAGTGTTAGAGATGACCAGATAACTGATCAGAGGTGGGCCTATTTCTCAGTGGTCCTCTTCTCTGCTGGGTGCAGAGAGTCATGTCCATTTCCCAAGAGCGTTGCTAGCATGGCACTATTGAATATCCCTTCTGAATAAGGTTTCTAAAATATAATGCTTAATAACGCAAGCACAAAGGATTTTATTCCTTCTCCTGAGGGTTCCTTGTCAGAGCTATCCTCAGATCTTCTGTTTCTGGAATTTAATGGAAGACAAGTCACATTTACGTTTCTGTTTTTGTGGTTTTTGTCTTAAAGTGATTTATTAGTGAGGTACTCCCAGAAGAAACTGGCAAGGGATTTGGGGAAGTGGGACAGGGAAAGGAAGTAAAACAAATAATGGCGTAATTTTAGGAAGAGTCCTGGTTCTCCAGGGGTATTATTTATGTAGTCATAATAGTATAAACATTTATTTAATATCATATTTGGGAGTTAGCATACAGAGTTTTAAAACAATACTAATTATAGAACACAGTGTCAATGGCACTAGTCCCATTTGTGAGGGCTCTGCCTTCATGATCTAATCACCTCTCAAAGGCCTCACCTACTGATGCCATCATGTTGGGGGTTAGGATTTAAACATATGAATTTGTAGGAGATATAAACATTCACACCACAGCAGGGAGCAAGCTGCCACAGGGATGGGAGGTCACCACCCATTTCTCAGTGGGCCTCTTCTCTGCAGGGTGCAGAGAGTAATGTCTATACCACAGGGGCATTGCTAGCATGACACTAACAAATATCACTTCCGAAGAAAATTTCTAAAATATAATGCTTGTTATACAAGCACAGATAATTTTATTCTTTATCCTGAGGATTCCTGGGGAGCCAACAGGAATCTGTTGGTGGCAGATTGTCAAGGTGCAGATGACTGTAATGGACAAGCAAATTTTGGAAAGAGCTCAAGAGAAGTATAGGCATACAGATAACTTTATCCTCATAAAACGAGGGTCATAAGCGATTTTCCATAATCAGGTTAAATTAATTAAATGTGAAATATACATTACATAAAGTCTCAAAGTTTAACAGAGTAAAAAATCAAAATGTAATTATGTTGAAAGGATGGAAGGAGGTGAAGGACTTATATTTTCAATAGCTGGAAACTTGAAAGATTAAGACACAGAGTGAATATTTAAGTAACAAAAGACTTTGAGAAGACAATGAACTGAGCTAGTTATTACATCTTGTTATATAGATGTGAAAAAAGTGTTGGAAAATACATATGTGCCCATTAATTTAAAAAAATCAAAAGCCTGATTGTTTGCGGGATAAGATTTATATTTATTCTCTACTTTGCTAGAATAAAGTTTAATTGATAATTTATAATAAACTAGCCTGTGAAATTTCACTTGAACTCTACTGTTTATTATTATATAACTTTCAAACTTGATGCTATAACACTCTACTGTCTGCTAGCTGTGAGAAATTATTAACTTTTATTGAATTAAAACCTATCCTCTTTCAGATTTATGTTTAACTTAGCTTGATCATTGGCCACAGATTTTTTAGTTTCCCCAGAAAGGGAGAACAGGGTCCACCATGTGTGTCTCCTCCTCATTCCCTCCCTGGGTGTCAGCCTGAGCCCCTGTATCTCTGTCACTGAGCTGTGTACACACGTGCCTCTGTGCCTTTGTCTATTGGCCTCTGGGTCTCCCAAGTCTCTCTCGCCTTGTCTTTCTGTGTGTGCGCATCTTTCAGACTTGCTCCTTCCCTTCTTTTTGCCTGTCAGTCATCCCTAGTGCCACTAGGCCACAGTGGGGTGCTGCATATTCTCTTCCCTTCCTGCAGTGACAATTGCTTTCTGCCATCCATCACATGGCACGTCTTTACCTCTCAGCAGTGAGGACCATCCTTCCTGGGGGCAACGAGCTCTCTGCTTTAGCTCCATAGTGTGTGTCCTTAAACGCACTGGGCTCCTGTCCTCCTGTCTTCTTCCTGGCATTTGGAGATGCACCAGAGCATGTTGCTGTGCACGCCCAGCCCCACGAGCCCGTCGTGAAGGCCACGGGAGAACAGAAGCAGCAGAGCGAGGTGGGGAAGGAGGCCAACACCGGAGTCAGACAGCCCTGAGCTGGACCCCTGACTCCATCAGTGACTGCTGGGTGATCTTAGACAGCTCACTCCACCTCTCTTCACCTGCTTCGTCATCTGTAAATGGGGTAATTGCAGCTCCTGCCTTGTAGGGTTATTGTGAGGACGAAATGAGCTGATATCCTTGAAGCTCCTCACATGCAGCAAGCATTCGGTCCACGTTAGCTACTGTCATCTTTATAATGATTCTGACGGTACTGTTTCTGGCTGTCAGTTTCCTGTCTGGGAACCTCTGTATTTCCCGTGAAGCCTCATCTCCACACTTCCACATGAGCGTCCCTTCTCTTGCAGTGAAAGTGATGTCAAGCAGCTCTGGTTGCAGCTGAAGAAGGAGGAACCTCATTTACTGTCCAACTTTGAAGACTTCCTGACCAGAATCATCTCCCAGCTCCAAGAAGCCCATGAGGAGAAGAATGAACTGGAGTGTGCCCTAAAAAGGTGGGTACCCCAGTGTCAGCCGCTTTCTGTAACTATGTGTGAAAAAGAGAGACACACGGTGCACTTTCTCTTAGATCTTCTGCCAAAACATCGTGCAATGCCTCCTTTTGCTGTCTGCCAAAGTGGGGACCAGGCCCTGTGTCTGTCACGATATATGTATTTTTAAGCTCTCCGTCACCTTTTTAAGCTATATGGTAGGCACTATTCTAAATACTTTTTATACACTAGCTTATTTAGTTCTCACCACAACGCTTTGAAGGAGGGACTGGTTATCATTTTGCACATTTATTATCTGCACATTTTGCAGGCGGAGGGTTGGAAACCCAGAAAGGTTAAGTAGTACACCCCAGAAGGCATAGCTTGTGAACAGTAGAGCCAGGACTGGGAGTGAGCTAGCCAGGTGCCTGTGACCAGAAGAAAAATCACTCTGCTTGCCTCCAGGCAGTAAGACCCCAGCATACTGGGCCATCCCCCAGGGCCAGATCAGCCCACTTTGCAGAGGTGGCGTGTTTGGTAAGGTGACCTATAGCCCTGCTGAATGTCCCTCCTCCTGGCCGCTCTCTCCCGTCACGGCCTCATGTCTCTTCGTCTACCCTATTTGCCTCCAAGACCTCTCCAGGAGACAGGACCAAGCATTGTTAGAAACAACCCAGAGTCCTCCTCACTCACAGCCCTGAAGAAGCTGCTGAAGAACTGAACCAGAGTCAGAACAGGCAGGTATATCACAAAACTGGGGCAAGCCCACTAGACACCAGTCCCTTCATGAGAATTAATGCATGGTTATGGGCACTGTGCTGTTCATAGTCCTTTAACAAACATTTACAGCCATGAGCTCGCATTTTATGAACATGGACTTAGATGTGGTATGACTAGGGATGGTTCATAACCCTGAAGGTGAGGCTACAACACAGGGCTGGGTTTGAGTAGAGCTTGGAAGCATATACAGAGGAGGCCCTGCCCCATGCTTCTGCCATGAAATCTTGTACACACCCAGAGATTTGCTCATTTTCTGTAGGAAGCCTCAACAATCCCTTGGCTATGCAGTTCCACAGACCACCTGCTCCTCCATTCAGATACTTCCAGCAAAGCCTGGAAGGCAGTTTCAGAGTTTGTGCTGAAATAGTCTTAGAGCAAACATGCAGCCTCTAATTGAGCAAGATCACCATGTGTCTTGCTGTGTAGATCATCTATTTACACATTATTCTGAGTCCCGGCTCCTTTTCGTCTTGTGTCTCCCTGACCTTAACTCTAAAAATAACTTGTTGAGGTCCATTGGGTATACACAGATCTGGGGAGAAAGGACTTTTAGGACTCTGCATTATGAGGAAGCTGAGGACAAGTATCACTGGAGGAAACATAGTTTGGCTGGAGAACTGTTAAGAACATTCTGGGGAGAGGCTCCCAAAGCTCAGAGAAGGGAAGGATTAAAGGGTATATTTTTATGTAGCCATTACCTAATTAAGAATCAGACAGAACTGAATTTGATTCTTGAGTCTGCCATTTACTAGCTGTGCAACTTAGGACAAGTTACCTAACCTCTCTGAGTCTCAGCTTCCTTATCTGTAAGATAGGGACAGTATCCATCTCACAGAGTTTTCAGTATTAAATGAAATAATGCATGTAAGTATTTGGAACAGTGCTGGCACATAAGTATTCAATGAATGTCAAAATAATAATTATTAGTATTTTAAATAAGTATCTTTGTTAATCTTAGAGGATTTGTCTGGCTGAAGTGGAGAGTTTGAGCCTGAATATAATCAGAGGCTAAGTTTAAGGATCCCTGTATCCTTCCAGACAACAGTGTAGAGACTTGCTGTTGAAAGTGTAGTCCATGGACCCGCAACATTGGCGTCACCTGGAAACATCTTAGGAATGCAGAGTCTTGCCCCCAGCCCCACCGAATCTGCATTTTAGCAGGGTGTCCAGGTGCTTAGTGTGTAACTTTGGGAAGTGGGAGGCTCGGAATCAGGAGTTTCTGGTTTTGAGTCATGTGTGGCTTTGCAACCAGCTAGCTCTGTGACTGCTCACATTTCTTGGCTTCTCTTGAGCCTTGGTTTTCCTATCTATAAAATAAGGGGGCTAGATTAGTGGCTGACCCCACTTCACCCTTTCTCCTCTCTGACCCCAGCACTGATCACCTGGAGGAGCCTCAGCAAAAGTTAAGTGGTCTCTCCCAGAGAGGAAGGCATTCTTCTGTTCTCTAAGGAGATAATTGCAGTCTGAAACAGTGGGCAATTACCCAGCCTTAGCCTGGCATCTCATCTGCAGGACCTCCTCTGCTGGCCTGCATTTCTGCAGGAAGAAACAAGTACCCCTGACTTGCTGGAGAGCTGCTTAGCCCTGGCATCCATCTTTAAGGGCCTGTATTAGTGGTTTGTCCTCATTTAGTAATTGTGCTCGAAACGTTGTTGAGATAAAAGTCAAGCCACTCTTGGCTGCATGTGCAAAACCAGCTCAGCCAAAGGTTCCAGCCTCTCCATGCCCATCCTCAGTCAGTATCCCTGCCAGCCATGCTTGCTCTGGGGTCAGCTGATCAAGGCCCACTCCCTGCTAGGGAACTGTGTTGGGATTGGGGACTCACTGAACTCTTTGGCCAGTCCCATTCCAGAGGTATTCTCTGGATGCAGAACCAGAGAACTGCAGACTGTTTTGAGCAGGGCACTGAAATAGGAGGCAGGAAGGACTGGAGCTCTTGCCCAGCCACTGGCACTTACCAGCTGTGTAACCTCAGGCAACTTGCATTACCTCTCTGGGCATCAGTTTCCTTATTGGCAACATCGGATGTTTTCTACTAGAGCCTCTTTTAGTCTCTTCTATTTTTTAAAAAAAGGTGGGTCACACCTTGCTGGTGGACCTATGTATAAAGGCACTTGTAACTCAGACATCAAACAAGAGACTGGAAATCCCAATAGGGTATAGGATATGAAAATGGGATTCTTTGCAAATGACTCAGGGTGAGGTTAGTGATTCTGAGACATCTAGAAAGTGAGTTTGGAGGTGTGAGGTTGTTTGTGGGAGGGACATTTTCAGGTTTTAGAGAGGAAGTGGGAGGAATCTCTTGGGGATGGCCTGATTTGGGAGGGAGCCTAGAGGAATCCCAAGAAGAGCGGGTTCTGGTGAGCTGTGAGAATATCTCCCAGGCGCCTCCACACACTCACTTTTCATTACAGTGGATGACATTTCAATGAATGCCTATCCCAGAAGCTGGGGATGACAGCTCAAGTCACGACTGCTGCATGTCTGCCCCAGGCCAGGCACCAGGCGGAACACAGTCTGTGTGTAACCAGTAGCTAGCATCGAACCAGCACTCCCTCCATGCCAGGCTCTGAGTTAAGCAAAGGGAACATAGAGTCCCTCTCCTTGAGGAGTTCATGATCACACCAAGGAGATAGCGCTTAGATGCCTGGAAATTCTGCACAAGACAGACCAGAAAATCCTCCTGCAAATGAAACATTAGACAGCGTTGCCATGGGCAGCATAGCCTCTAATTTTTCTCCTTGTGCAGACCACACACCTTTCTCCCACAGGGCCAGAGAAAATGAGGCTGACCTCTGGGGGAGTCTGGCCTTATGCAGGTTAGGCAGGACACACACTCCCTGTCCCCAGCCTCCCAGGCTGGGCCATATCCCCCAGGTCGCACGGTGGCTGTGAGTGGAAAAGGCCCACCCCAGCTTCCTCCTCACATTTACTCCACTTCCTGGGAGGGAGGACGTGGCAACTGAGGTGGCTGAGTGCTAGGCAAGCCCTCAATAGCTAAGGCCAGGAGAACCCCTCAGAGTGTCCTGGAGCATTGTTAGAAACAACCCAGAGTCCTCACTCACAGCCATGAATTTTTTTTAACCTGCATATCAGAAATAGGAGCAGGAAAGGAGTCTGGGAGCATTCAGTCTCCCACACCCTTGTCCTTTTGCACAGAGGTTGAAGAAATTTCGGATTTGAGCCCCTTGTGGGCCTCTACTTCTCTCCAAGGAAGGGAGGTGAGACTTCCACTCAGCAAGTCCCTTCAGCATTCACAGTGCAGATGTGCGGAGGTCTTCACACTTTAGCATGAGGGATATAGTGTAGACATTGGGGAGAACTTAGAATTGGGAATTTCTTTGCCATGGAAAGCATCCCCTGCATTTACCTTTTTCTGGAACAAAAGCTTGAGCTCTCCAGGGCACATAGAGCAGTGCTGTCTGGAGGCAGCAGTAGATCCAGACTTTTCACCAGAACCATTTTGGGATGCCAGAGGTCCCACCCCAGGGGCACCAGTTCACTTGTCTGAGGTGGGGGCTTAACGTCTGTATTTGTAATGTATGGGGGCAAGGATAAATTAGGCAGCTTCTGAGTGGGGTGCTTTGAGCTCTGAAGGAAAGTGTTTTCTAGATCAAAGGCCAGCCCTAGGCTGTGCTCTGGGAGGGCTCCTGCTCAATCCTCTGCAGCTCTGTAGCCTGGGAATACCAGCTGGCTGCCTGTTTGGCATCATTGGTTGTTGCCTGTTTGGCATCGGCCTTGACAAGCTTAGCAGCAGTCCTCATGCCCTCTTTGGAATCAGCTCCTTATCTGCACAGTGTTCCCTGGTCCATCTGAATCAGACCTCAGGCACTTTCTTAGGAGCTCACAGGCCCTTAAGTTGCAGCCCCTACCAGCTGCTATTGAGCCACTTCCGGTCCATGGTGATTCCCTGTGCTCTGGGAAGGTGTCCAGTCCAGGAGGGAGTGCACCTTACAGACTGACAGGCAGCCCCAGCTATGATGGCCTGCACACCCACACAAGCCTAAGGATCGGCAGCCTGTGTTGTGGAGCCTCGAGGACAAGGAAACTGTCCCCAAAGCTTTTCAGGGAAGAGATGTCATCATGTCACTGGCCCTGCCTCCAGATAGGGCAGCAAATAAAGCCTCATATTCCTGGCAGGTGGTCCTTACATTCCACAGAGTTCTTAGTGACCTTGGGGAAGGCCTCAGCTGCATAGTTCTTGAATGGTAGGTTGCTTAGATTTACCAGAGGATTTTTAAATTAAAAGGTAGTTCCCCCTCCCCTAGGGAGTCTAAATCGGTGCGTCTCAGGGAAGGGGCCCAGGAACGTGCACCATAACACACATCCCAGGCGGTTCTGATACAGGCAGGCTGTAGACCACACTCTGAGAAATGCTGCTTTAGCCAGTTCTTCCAGAATCAGTCAGCCAGCAAAAGGTATATCCCATGGTGCCCTTCCAATCTGGAATGCTAGTCCTATTCTTAGGGTGAAGTTCTCGGCGAGGACTCTAGGTGACGAGGTTGTGACTTAATCTAATGCATGTCTTCTGTGGGTATATTATTATGTTGAGCATATTGTTAACATTGCCCTGAGAGCAAATTGAAAAGTGAGGACGGTTTGTGCTCTGTGTACACCATGGGCATGATTTGTAAACCTGACTAATAAAAAATGGTTTGCTTTATAGAATAGGATAAAGCTGCAAAGTTGGTTTATACAGGCAGCAGAATCTAATTTGGAAGAAACCATCCATCTTGAAAATCCAATCGGCAATTTCACAGCCTTTGCAGAATTTTCTACAAACTCTTACGTTTTCCTTTCATTCAGCTCTACTCTAATCATGCATGTATGTGTGTGCACGTGCATGCGCCCACGTGTGTGTGAGAGAGATGGAGATGGAGAGAGACAGAGATAAGCAGATAATTACAGAGACTGAGAGAGACTGATTTCAGGGGAACAAAACTCTAAACAGGATTTTTCTAGTGAGAGCTTCTTAGCTGTCAGAGGACTGCAGCTGCCTGAAGAAGGTGGCAGAGGGCAGTGGGGAGTCTAAAACCCTGTTTACCATTCCCATTCCAAGCACAAAACTGGCTGAGGCTGAATTTGCTTCCATGTTCTTCTCTTGCAAAGAGCAGACTTCTTGAGACTTCTGCAGTTGAGGGTCTTCATTCTGTGATCAGCACGTTGAGGCAGGGGGTGGGAGGGAATGTGGGTAACATGGGGGAATGGGAGTCAAGCCCCTCCCATAATCTTGCCTCTCTTTGGCCATGGCAGTGTGGACTGTTGGCCCCATAACCTTGCTCCAGTTCGTGCTCACTCCCCAGTTGACAGATTCCAGGTGTAATTTGGAAGACTGACAATTCTAAATGCAAATGTATGGAGTTATCTATTTTACAACCTAGGCTGCTGGGCCAGACATCGTAGTGATGTGAATGGAACCATGGGACCCAAGTCAAGGCCTGGGTTCTGCCTGCTACTCTGACCCTTGGAAATTTGGTTACTTCACTGTTTTGACCCTCATTTTCTTCACTTGAAAACCAAAGGCATAGGGAATACATGAGCTTTATAAGCTTTCATTCTGTGATGGGGAGGAGGGATTCTCCTTCTCTTTGCATCTAACTTTGCAAACCGGGAGACATAATTGATCAAACCACAGCCCCAAAGACACATGCAATCAGAATGGCAACTCTCCAAGGCCAGGGGCCATTTCTGAAACTCTGCCTTGAGTTCAAGCTCCTGAAATGTACCTAAATTGTAGAGAAATGCCATTTCCTCTCTCCAAGGCCAAGCCTACGCTTTCATTTACAAAAGGCAGAAGCTACATTTTTCTTGGAATGATTTCAGCACACCCCTGCCTACAGCCTAGGCAGGGGAATGGACGACTTTCTAAGACCCTCTGAAATCCCAACAGATTTTATTTAAAAGGGAGGACAAAGGAGAGAAAAAGCAGGAAAAAAATCTTTTGACCAAGCAGTATTCCACAGCAGGAAGGCCTTGGCCTATGTGCCGTTAGCTGGAGCTCCAGTGATGTTGAGTATTAATGCCTCGCTCCGGCGTAGCACCTTAACTTGCCATGTGCAAAACACTTTGTGAAGGTTAATTAATTTTCACAGTTCCTGTGGGAGGCTGGCAGGATAAGTTAACGCTAACTACATCTCACCTTGTAGTTCCCTGCAAATTATCTCTAAAGGCCTCTCAGAAGCTACGCTTTGTATTTACATTAGAATAATGAATTCTTCACCCCTATATCCTTGTTTCATATCCCATCTGCCTCCCATCCTTAGCTCCCCAGTAACCCAGCACCAGATGTACACATGAGCGTGTGCGCGCGTGCGCGCGCACGCGCACACGCACGCACACACACACACACACACACACACGCAGCCGTCCTTTAGGGAGGGACATTTGCCAGAACCAGATATCTTGGGTGAAGATGTTTAATGCCCTGAGCTGGACCTGGGTTTTCATCTGGGTTTTCAGTAGGACTCATTCTTTCCAATCCACTGTTGCCCTTATGGCATCCGCAGTATCTCACTGGTACTCTCTCCCCTCTGCTGTTGAGAATCTCCCTATTCTGAACTCACCTCTTCTTAGCTTTTCCCCTGATAACTCCCCCCTCCTCCCCACCACCAGAGCAGGTAGCTTCCTTTACTTCCCCCTAGCAGGGCTCTGAGGTCACAGATGACCATCAGCCAGAACCTAGGAGGGTTCTTTTGGGTCTGCCTCATAGTGCATGGCTTCTTCTATCAGTTCCTTTCCTCCCTGCCACTATAGCACTGGGCTCAGTACTCTTAGATGCTAAATTACACAGAGAGTATAACTTCAGTCGAAAATATTTTGCCCAGAGTCATACTGTAAGAAGGGCTTCATCAACACTTTTCAATGTTGGTGGGATGTATGGACTTCTCTCTCCACATTTAGTCTTCTCTATTGAGCCTCGTCAGGTTTTATCCACCCTGTGTCTTCTGTCCCCAACTCCTTCACCATTCCTGCACACATTTCTTCACACCACATACAACAAGCTGCCACTTGATCCTCCACCCCCCAGTTTCTACTTGACCCTTGGCTGACATCTGAAGGAGCTATAGAGCAGTGGCTCTCAGAATGGGGTCCTTGGCCTCTGGAGAATCAGAAAACTTATTTAATTAGAATTTGTTAAATGCATCTTATTGTGCTAGACACTTCCACATGCATTATCTTTTTTAATCTTCACAACTTCTATCTGAAGTAGGTATTACCAACTGATTTTTCAGATATAGGACACTTCAGGCTTACTGAGGTAATGTGACTTATCCAAGGCCAGAAAGTTTGTAAATGTCAGAACCAAGACTTGAACCCAGACCTTCTGTTTCTGGATCTAATGAACTTTGAGGCAACCATACCTGTGTCAGCAAACGGTCTGTGACCTAGACTACCCTGAAACATGCCAGAAGAACTACCCAGCTATCATGGGGAAAGAAAAGGACGGGGAGGATAAATATTAGTGCTCATGACTGTTGCTAACTCTGGTCCTCCACATCTTTGTCCTTCTCTTCCACTGAGAACTCATGTCTCTTGCCCTCACTCTTCTTTCATCTACCTCTTCTTCGTCTCTTCTGCGTTACATAACTCAAAATGATTAGGGTCAGATGGTAGAAAATGAAATAATTAAATAGATACCATTTGAGTTCTGGGAGCCAGGTGAAGAAGTGTTTGTTTGTTTTTGAGACGGAGTCTCACTCTGTTACCCAGGTTGGAGTGCAGTGGCCTGATCTTGGCGCACTGCAACCTCCGCCTTCTGGGCTCAAGTGATTCTCCTGCTCCAGCCTCCTGAGTAGCTGGGGCTACAGACGTGTACCACCACACCTGGCTACTTTTTGTATTTTTAGCAGAGAGGGGATTTCGCCATGTTGGTCAGGCTGGTTTTGAACTCCTGACCTCAGGTGATCTGCCCACCTTGGCCTCTCAAAGTGCTGGGATTACAAGCGTGAGCCACTGTGCCCGGCCAGAAGGAGTGTTTTGAGAATGGCTAAGAGAAGATAGGTTGAATAGCTATGCCTACATGTCACTAATTAACATCTCAGAGATCTCTGCTACAGGTTGTCGTCCTCATTTTGTCTAATATTTTTCCAATGGCATGAGTATAGGAAGATAAACGGGGAATGTTTTGAAGTAATAAAAAAATTCCATCCATAAAGAAGAACAACATGTATTAAGCTTTGTGCACCAAACAACACAACAGGAAGACACATAAGGCAGAAGCTTTTAGAAAAAATAAAGAAAACTTAATAAAAAAAAAGACTTTAGACTTTAACAAATTTGCTTCAGATTTGACACATTAGTCAGGCAAAAGTACAAGAAGGATATAAAGTATTTGAAGCCATCAATGAATACACTTTAGAGACGAATATAGAATTGTGTGCCTTACAAATAGAATATATATCCCTCTCATAGAAGTTGTACAAAAATTGATCATGTTTGTGGCTACAGAGGAAAGATAACCAATAGATTCCAAAACCATTTCTTACTATAATATAATAAAACTAGAAACCAATAGTTTGTACCTTTTAATAAACTGTCTTTTAAATAACTCTCAGATGCATTAAATTATAAAAACCAACATTATAGATTATTTAGCCTACATCCTGATTGAAGATTTAAAATGTCAATGAAACTTGGAAGGTCATTGAAACACTGCATGACCAACTGAAACCTATTAGCATAGTGACAGGCTGGAAAGATGGACTAGAAATAGCAAACACAAAATCTAACAGCATTACATTTGAGATGTTGCTGTGTGTTCAAAACGCCAATGGCAGAAGCACAAAGTGGAGGAGATATGATTCAGTAGTACTATCTTTAAAACAAAAATGATCACACAGACATAAAATTTAGAGATTTTAGTTGACGAATGGGTTCCACATACGTCAACTGTAATGTGGCTGCCAAGAAAAGTTAATGAGGTTTTAGGCTGTATGAATAGATATGCAGCATCTAGAACAAGAGAGGTAATAGTCAGCTCTAATCTGCACAAGTCCAACTCATACACTGGGCATTCAGTTTGGCACTGCCGTGGCTTGAGAAAGATCATTACGGCCCATCTGAAGAAGCATGAAGGGAATTGTAAAGGGATTTGTAAAAAATCCATGTGAGACACAGTTGGAGGAAGTGGAGAGGCTTGACCGGAACCCAAGGCAACTCCTTGAAGTCTTGATGCCATTCTGAAATACATGAAAGGCTTTTATGCAGAAGAAGAGTAAGGTCATGGAAAGACAGATTTCTGTGAGCCAGAATATCCCAAAGATGAAATAACTGCTTAGAGAAACAGCAAGTTCTCTGTCACTGGGGGTATTCTAACCTAGTCTGGGTAAGTCCTTGACGTGGTATTGTCGCAAGAATTTTAACACTGGAAAAACAGGTAGTTAGATCAGACAAACCTTCCAAATCTGAAGTTCTTTAACTCCCATGGTATCTAGTATTCCCTCGAAATGGTCCATGAGCTTCTGAGTTCGGTACCCAAAATTGTAAATTGAGTTTTTACAGGTTTTTGGCATTAACATTTTGAGTTCAGGCCCTGTGGGTGACATAAATGCCTGCGTGTTTATAACCTAATTGAGACAACATGAACCCAAATGAAACAGTTGTTCAGGACTATTTAAGATTAATTGTTAAATGATCAAATGAAGACATATGCTGTCATCTGAGTTCAGAGAAGGGGTCATGAGGGTTGGAATAGATGGCAAAATCTTCACAGAGAAGACTTCAAAGTCCATTTATATGCATTAGGCAATAGAAGTGGTTTTAGAAATTGTGGCAACGAGGATGTATATGATAAGCAAACATGATGAGTTGTCTCTTTCCCCTGATGGCAGAATATGGCGAGCCTTGCTGAATGTGACTCACCATATGTGCACATCTTTTTAGTGTCTCTTGCTGCCACTGCCCGCGCAGCCACTGCGGGGCTCCTGCAGACACAGGCTCCTGGCTCTGCAGCTCCTGCTCACACACAGCCTGGGTCTCCAATGGATTGGTCTGACAGGCACTTTTATTGACTGAGTTATTTCTTCTTCATCTTCCCAATTGCATCAGCCTTTCCAAACCCAGCAGGCCTTTTATCCTTGAAACCAAGACTCTCTTCCCCCTGGGGAGCACTGCCCTTTGTCCTCCACAGTCCATGATTAAAATGACAGGAGTAAATAATCCCTTACATTTACTGAGGGCTCTGTGGTTCTGACGCTTTTCACATCCACTCTCATTTGTTCTTTATGACAATGTAGGGAGGAACATAGGGCAGGTACCGCCTCAGGATGTGAGGAGGTCAGAGCACTTACCCAAGGTCACACTGAGGAAAGGAGCTGGTTCTGGGATCAGAATGCAAGTCTTCTCGTCCCTGCGCTGGTTTAGTGACATGACTGGTATGCACAGCACCTTAATCTTCCCCATTCCTGGGATTAGTGTGTTCTAACCGAGGCTTCTCATAGTCATTCAAGCCTGGAGAGTCTCACAGCAGACCAACTTTCCAAAAGCTTGCTTCCATATATGAGTCTGGTTGGGCCCAGGATCTCTGATGCCCACCTGGAATCCTAGGGCTTCTCTGTGGTAGGCCTAGCCTTTGTGAGTGAGGGCTAGGAGGAGGCACTCTTCAAACCCTGTATCTATCTTCCTGCCAGTTATTTTTTAGTGGTTTGTAAAATAACTTAATTCACATACCAGCAAGCTGGTATGTGAGCATGAAAAACTTAGAGTGTGTTAATTTAATCAAATAAAAAGTAGATCAAAGTTACTATAGCACATTTAATTATATTATAGAATTAATGCCCCGCATGGTTATTAGAAATAAATAGTAAGCCGTTTATATGAATAACTTTATATGAATTGCTTTAGCAGAGCCAAATCAATGTTTAAGTTTCTCTCATCTTACTTTATTAGTTTTACCGTATTTATATAGCTGGAATCTCTGTCTAAAGTTTTCCTTGATATCATTTACCATCTAGCATCTGAGTTTCTTCAAACACAGGAAGGTCATTCCAGGGACCAAGAGAAAACATCTTGCTTTCTGAAAGTTCCTTCAAACTGTATCTGCTTCTGTCACTGAAGTATCAGGGTCAATAGCATGAGCCTTTTTCCTTACTTTCCCTCCAAGATTTTATTTTAATTCTTATGAGTTAGCTCAGAGCAAAAGTAACAATCCCAAACATTGGTCATTTAACAAGAAGAGATTTCTTACTCTTAGCCAAAAAGAGTAAGGGATGCAGGACGTATCCATGAAGACGGGGTCCCAGCTTGTGGAGGTCTGGGAGGACTGTCATCTCTTGCTGAGCCCACCCTGGACCGTTACTGTACAGTCACTCAAAATCAAGTTTCTGGTCTTGGGGTTGCAGCCAAGCAAGGGAACTCCAAGGCTGTGCTCTGTGATCAATGCCCCTGACCATGGAGTCTCACACACTGTTCCTTTGTCTGGGTCAGATTTGTGGTTTCTGTAAAGCTGGAAGGATGCCAATCAAAATGACTCCTGTTCATTGTTCACCTGTGCACATGGTGAAAATGCTCTCCCAACAGGTGGCAGGTGAGAAAGGGACAGAAATTGGGCTGTGGCAAAGCCTTGGACAGCAGAGAAGGTCTGGTCCTGGATTGGAGGCCCAAGTGGACATGGGAGTTAGGGGTTAAAATGATGGAGGGCTCAGGGGAATAAATATATTCCCATCCTTTATGTTCAGTTCAGAAATCTTCCTAGTACCTCTTAAAACTGAGAACCAGGGCTGTTTCCTCAATTATTGAAGTCCCTTAAATAAAGGGCACAGTGGGCTTGCCATCATTTAAGTTAGAATGGCAGGGGCCAAAATTGTGTGTGTGTGTGTGTGTGTGTGTGTGTGTGTGTGTGTGTGTGTGTGTGTGTGTGTGTTGCATGTTCAGAACAGGCCTTGATAGCCACATTAGCCTGTTCACAGAGCCTGAAGTTTCCTTAACAGGATGGGGAGAGGATAGGGAGTAAGGGCCACAGAGAGGGTCTTTCACTGCATGGTCAGCAAAAAAGGTATGAAAATGCAACTATCTGGGAATGTTAATAATTCAGTGTGGTAACTCCCAGTTTCAGTTCCAATGCTACTACCAGATCTTTCCTGTTTGAATTTGGAGGGGCATTGAAGTTGGATGTATCATGGGGAGAGGGGGGAAGCAGAAAAGGGTCATCCGTGGGGATGACCTACAAAACTTGTCCCCATGGCTGTGTGTTTGTCTTCATCTCTCTATAGGCTGTGTGTTTGTCTTCATCTCTCTAGGTACTTACTTTCTGACGGGGGAGAGGAAAGAGTGGGAAAAGGATGCTGAGAAGGAGAGTGGGGATGAGGACATCTCATTGTCATCGCCATCCTCCAACCAGCCTCGCCTGTCTCACACTGTCTGCCTGTGCCCTGGAGCCTGAGATGGCACAGGCACTAGACATTGTCGCTTTTGCTTTGTGGTGGGGGGTGTGGTAGCTCTTGTTGTCATCATCATGGAATCTCTTGAGAATCTCATGAGAAACATGGATCACACAAACTCAGGCATACAGGGAGAGTCCCCTGAGAGTGCAGGGTCAGAGGGTCCTGATGTGGACAGGCAGAGAGAAAGCATGCAAACAGGGACAAGATAAACCAGGAAACGGAACAGGAAAGAAACCCACACAATGCAACTTCATATAGTCTATGAGCGTGGAGATCAGCGGGAACAGGGATGATACGTCTGGCAGAGGCCTGTGGGCTTGTGTTGAAATAAAGTAAAATAAAGGGAGATGGTCCAGGGAAGCTTCACCGAGGAGCATAGGGATCATCTAGGAGTGATGGCTGGGGGACAGAAGGAGGAGAGGCCACATGAAACCTAACAGTTGCAGGGGCAGGTCTCGCAAGGCCTCTGTGGTCTGCATCCCTTGTCGGGTTAGCTGATCATGAGGGACTGATCTTATAGCGTTGGCTGACCTGACCTATGCTGTCACCCCCACACCCACAGCTCCAGAGTTGGGGAACTGGTGTCTGAGCTCCAGGAGCTACCGCTGTGGAGTAGGGGAACCTCAATGAGACTCTCCTTTTGCCACCTCTGTAGGAAAATTGCTGCTTATGATGAAGAAATCCAGCATCTCTATGAGGAGATGGAACAACAAATCAAAAGTGAGAAGGAGCAGTTTCTCCTGAAGGTAAGTGTACGCTCCCCAGGCTTGGCTCTGAGGCCAGCTTGACATATCTGCTCTGTCTCCCCCAGGTTTAAGATTTTGGTGCCCCCATCCATGCACTATTGATTCCCTCTTTCTCTGCTGTATTTTTTTTTCAAGGCATTTATCACCTTCACACAGGACATGTAATATCCTTGTTTATTTTTATTGAGTGTCTATCTCCTCCTGCTAGCATATAAGTTGCAAAAGAGCAGAGATTTTATCTTTTATTAACTAAGGTATCCTCAGCACATAGACAATGCCTGGAACATACTAGGTGCTCAACAAGTGTTTGTTAAATGAATGAATGAATGAACAAGTGAATGAGTGAATGAATGAAAGGATGGAGGCTCATGCTTTCCCTGTTAAATTGGATCTGACATTGACTTCCTAGATTTATATGGCAAATGCACCCAAATGCACCAGCCCAGTTCACCCTGTGCCCAGCAGCTCCCCTAAGTGGACAAGCATTAGAGCCTGTGCTACCTATCCTTTACCCTTAGACACATGGAAAATTTAATAGCCAAGAAAAAACAAATCCCACCTTCCACAGATACCACGGAGGAAGTGGTAACTCCCTTCCCTCTTCCTGGTCTGACCCTTATCAGCCCCTTCCCAAGCCCTGCCATTTGTCTCAAGAGGTCAGGATTGGCGAAATCCTCTTCTTTGCCAAGGTAAGCAGGATCCTTCTGGAAACATGTTCATAAAACTAATTTAAAAAAAAAAAAGCTTCAGAGAACTCTCTAGTACCCATTTTTGGACTATCTACTTGGTGAGTTCTCTGCAGAAAAGGCTTTGATCTTAGATGGCAGCCTCCCTTGCCGCTCAGCACTAAGCCCGGCTATTCTCACAACCCCTTCTCTTGAGCCAATTTTAAGTTTTATGCTGCCTCAGATTATCGACACCACTGCTGCATTTATTATCACAGATGTCATTCAAACTGAGGGAATCGGAGTGCTTTTCAAGAAAATCTGGTCGTGTCCTCCAATTAGCGCCCTCTGGAGGCTTGTCAGCATTTCCAGGCCTCCTCCCTCTTGTAGCGCCTGAAAGCATTCTGGCTGCTCCTGCCCCTCAACCTAGTTGACGGCAGACAGAACTCACACACTTCTCATCAGCAGATCCCAAAATAGTTCCTGAGAACAGCAGCTCCCCACCCCACCTCCCCGCCATCGGACAGCCACCCCCTTTATCCCGAATGACATCCTGCACAGAGAGGCTGAGCTCCATGGGGCATCTTGTCCCCTCTGCCTGGGCCATGACTATAGGTCAGAGGTCCTAGCTAAAGGAAAAGACGTGATTTTGGAAGTAAATGCTGGGCCAGGGCATGGGGAATGGGCGAGGGCAGAGGTCAGAGGAAAAAAATTCAAGGACAAGTTTGCATCACTGTAGGTGACCCAGCCTCCCTCTCCCCTTCTGCTCCCTCCTTCTCCCTTCTTGACACCAAATGCCTTTAAAGCTCAGTGCTTAGATTTATGCCTTCTGGGTGAACATGGAAACTGCTCAGATGTTTTTGCAGCACTATTAAGCCATTAGATACAAAGGCTTTTGCCTGGAGATAGATCAAGGATAGTGGTGCTACAGTTTCTGACATCATGGAAAAGGCTGGACCCTCGGACCGGAATTTGGATCCTGGCTTGACCCTTACCAGTTTGTTTGACCGTGAAGGAAGTACCTAATCACTTGCACCTTCCAACCCCAGGATGTGATGCTACACCCCCTGAACGCCCTGTCCTGGCGCATTGTGAGGATGCTCTGTAGGCCCATTGTGGGTACAGCCACATCATCATGGGGATTCTGGAGCCGCTCGCTGCTCCCAGCATTTTTCACAGAGAGCAGCAGCCAAGCTGAAGGAGGCAAATTCCCTGGGGCTGATTCTCTGGAAGCAAATGTTGGGAGCAGGTGCTGTCTGGTCAGATCGTACCTCTGCCATTCATGTGGTTAACATGAGGATAATCACAGGCTGTCCCAGTGGTTCTTCTGCCCATTTACCAGCCTAGAAATGGGCAGAAGAACCTGGTAACATCCATAGAGGATGCGCAAGGAAGCATCCTGCGCCTTTGAATGGAGGTGTCCAAAGGCCTCTGGCCCGAGGGGGCCGTGTTCCCCCACCGCGCTGCTGCTGCTGTCATGCCAGGACACCCGTCTAGTGCAGCATCCCACGCTGTCCTCCTTGGGAAAGAGTCCTTCCATATGACAGGAACCCCAGGGGGCTCCGGTAGTGAGTTATATGGCAGTTACAATGGTTTCTTCTCTTCCTGCACATTTTGTACCTCCATTCCGCCTTCAGGCAAGTGGAGTGCTGCAGATGGCATGGGTATTTTTGTTTCTATTCTGTGAACAAACAGTGATCCAAAAGAATGAAGCAAGTTGGTTGGATGAAGCCAGGGCTGGAACCCAAGTTGTGTCCCGCTCGGCTCAGGGGCCTTACACCACAGATCTGGCTCTGCTGAGAGCATCAGGCACCTGATAGCCCACACACTTTCCTCCTCGTCCCATAGCCAGGCCCCTTCTCACCTGCTTCAGCACCTCTCTGTGGGGGAAGCCCAGCCTAGGGAAGGAGCAGATATTAAAACATCCTGAGGAGCAGGGCTTGGGAGACTTCAGTCACAGTGGGCAAATATGAACACTTAGACCCTCAAGAGGAAGAGGAAATGGCCCTGTGTTTCCAGAGTGAGGCCAATTTAAGGGATCCGATGCCAATGCCCAACCTGGAACAGAATATCCAGGTCGGAAGGTGTCCGAGGGGTCATCTGCCTCCCCCAGTCACCCCCAATTTGCACATGAGGAGACCAAGGCCTGATGTTTGAACTCAGCCCCAATTCTCCCCATTCAGTGTACCACAACTGGCTGACACTGCCCCTTTTTTGGCGGAGAGGAGGGTGGTGGTGCACAGTCATTGAACATGGCCACGCTTGCTGGGAGTTTGCATCCTGCCTCACTAAGCGCTTGCACTATCTCTGTCTCATTTGGTCCTCCCTGATGGGGCAGGCAGGTTACCAGAGCCCTGCAGTGCTGTGGGAAAAGCCCCATGGTCTAATAGGATGGGCCCTGATGTTGAGTAGGTTCAAGGTGGGAAAAAAAAAATCTATAACCCGGGTGTGCTACATTTGGGTCCTGTGTGTCCCTCTTTCTGGCTTGGCAGGACACAGAGAGGTTTCAAGCCCGCAGTCAAGAGCTGGAGCAGAAACTGTTATGTAAGGAGCAGGAGCTGGAGCAGCTCACCCAGAAGCAGAAAAGGGTATGTTGCCATCCATGGCCCCAGAGTACCTGGCTCTTCACTCTCTCCTTTTCTCTGCCTCTTGCCCACTTTCCCTGCCATTCACTTAAGGACTTTTGAGTTTTTAACCTGAGAAGAACTATTTAGTCGCGCAAAAGATAGCATTTAAAATCACAGGTGATCCCAACATAAAACCTTTACTTCTCCAATACCAGGTGTTTCACTTGGAAAAGTTGCCGAGCATTCCCCCACGAGGTATCTGCAGACATGTTCCTATAATTATACCCAGGAGCCACGAGAATGCCAAAATTTGAATTTGTTTCCTGCCTCCTGTATAAGAAAAGAGGGGAATGCTGAGGTACAAGAGACACTGTCTACCACTATATCTGGGGGGAGGCTGCAGATAAGTTTCTTCCCTCTAGAATATGGCCATGGATACCTCTGCTGGAACAGGTTCTTCCAAGGTCAGCCTGTCTCTTCCCTGGCTGTGTGGTGCCTGGACTGGTTCATTGGCATCTTTTGTGGCTGCTTCCATCCCTGCAGGAAGGATGCAGACACCAGACACTCCTCTCTGATGTACCCGAGCCTCCAGGAGGCAGGCTGGGTGGTGCCCTCTGCAGGGCAGTGTCTATATGGCTGTGTCTCTATGGCTGGGAGTACCTGGCTAACGACCCCAGAAAGACTGACTACCTAGGCAAGCCTCCTACTTAGTGGCCTCCACTGCTTAGCAAGGGCTCCTGAGGGAGACAGGCTAGGGTGCCACTGGCCTCCTGTTTTGTTGTGCCTGGTGCTGGAAGGAATCCAGCTCTGGACAGACCAAGACACATTGCTTCCGTTTCAATAGAGAGGGCTATTTTTAGCAGCACATCAAAATCTACTTGAAGACAGCCCTGCTAAGACTAGAGACTATTCCACTGCTGCTGCTACCCAAGCTATGAATTTAGGTCTCTTTCCTTCTGCAGCAAGATGATTTCTACTCCGGGAACTGCCAGCTGCCTCCCCATTTCCCCATCCACAGTTGTACCTTGCTTCTCCTACTCTTTCTCTTCCTCTCTATTATGCATTAAGTTCCTAGCAATTACATTTATCCCTCAAATGAATGATTGCCACTCGATTTAATTACTGCATGCTTGCCTGATTACACAGGAGCCTCTTGAGAATCACGCCAAATTCCTTGTTGTTACTTCTTCCTCCCCTTGCCGGCCATATTCATTAAACTAAATTTATTATGATATATGTACCTTGGTTTGATTCTTCCTCTGGTGAGAGGATTGGAAGCTCTGCAAAGCATAATCAACAGCCAAGAAAAGCTGAAGCTATAAAAATGCAGGGTTTTTAGTTGCTTTAGGGACATAGAAAAGGTCTATGTTCTGTTTGAACTGTTTTAGTTATTTCCTAAGAATTTTCAGGGCTTCTGGCTACCCTTAAAAGCTTCTCTAGATTAATGGAATTGGAGTTGAGAGGAGAAAAGGGAATATATAGATTTGCTATCAGCGTGCAAAATTGGGAAGGATGGTTTTATGAAGCAGGCCATTTAGCTGTTCCCCTTCTCCATCAAGGACCAAGGGAAAGAAATTGGCTTAAAGGACAACAAGATGGATTTAGGTTAGATCTCAAGGCCATTCACACAGACGGATTGTGGAAGTTCCTTTGCTAGTGGTCTTTTTGAGTGGAGCAGCTCCTCCTGGACTATTTAGTGGTCCTATGTGGAGACAGGGGAGAGACAAGATGTGTCTGAAAGCTCCTTCTTGCCTAGAGGAGTGTGTACGTGTGAACTGAGGAGAGGACAATGCTGATTTAGGCTTGAGGCCAGTGAGGGGTGGCAGTGACGGTTCCTGCCTGCCAAGCAGAGAAAACAAGGTGAGGCCAGGGCAGGCCCTCCTGAAAATGGTGGTCACTCCTCATTCCCCTCTGCTCCCCATTCCTTTGCAGCTGGAAGGTCAGTGCACAGCCCTGCATCATGACAAGCATGAGACCAAGGCTGAGAATACCAAGCTGAAACTCACTAACCAGGAGCTGGCCCGGGAGCTGGAGCGGACTTCCTGGGAGCTCCAGGATGCTCAGCAGCAGTTGGAAAGCCTCCAGCAAGAGGCCTGCAAACTCCACCAAGAGAAGGAGATGTGAGTCCAGCCTTTGTCCACTCCTCTGCTGTCTTCCCGCACCACTCCCCACTATGGGCATGTCCCCTCGCCGCTCAGAGACCCTGTCTCCTTGCCTGTGAAAAGAGGATTTGGGCTTGTTGCTCCCTGAGACTCTTCTAACACTCCTCTAGGATTCTGACACTATTAAGCAGACCAGTTCTGTGTCCAGCATTGCCTAGGATTGACAAGAAATGTACAGCCCTGTTCTCAGAAAATGCATTCTGTGATTACAAAGACATGTTATTCCGCAAACAAATATGAGGTTACTCATATGTACTCATATGTTACTTTATGACTATATAAAACAAGTACTTACCAGAACTTGTTTTATATAGTATGTGGGCAAATGCTGAGTGAGCAGACAGATCCTAAGTGACTGTGGTCGTGTAGAGACCTGGGAGGCCAAGAGGGACCAGAGGGAAGCAGGGAGGCTTCCAGGATCAGCATATGATCTGATGGAGCATGTGTCACTGCCCTGGACTCGCCTCTCCATCTCTGCCCATTTTTTTCACCATGTTCCTCAGATTCAACTGTGTGGTCCCAGTAGGGGGAAACCCCACATCTCTCAGGGCCCGACCTGCCAATATCGTCCAGCCATGGGGGTTAGTTTACTAGGCAGAGGCACACCTGAGGCAGAATCAAGCCTGGGTCTGCACCTTAAGCTGGAGGAGTCCCTGAAGAGTCAGTCATTTATCTTGTCTTGGGAGTATTAGGTTTTAGAACAAATGTACTCTGAGGCTCAGGGCAGAGGACTCTCATTTGTTTATTTGTATATTCATGTATCCATATAGTCAATGACTTATTCATTTGGCAAACATTTATTTTGTGCTAGGTACCGTGCTGGGCATTCAATATATCTCACTTATGTCGATAATTTGACATCCTCTCGTTTGATCTTTAAATCATCCTGGGCCAGGCGCGGTGGCTCACGCCTGTAATCCCAGCACTTTGGGAGGCCAAGGTGGGCAGATTACAAGGTCAGGAGTTCAAGACCAGCCTGACCAACACGGTGAAACCCCATCTCTACTAAAAATACAAAAATTAGCCAGGCATGATGGCGCACGCCTGTAATCTCAGCTACTCGGGAGGCTGAGGCAGGAGAATGGCTTGAACCTGGGAGGCAGAGGTTACAGTGAGCCAAGATCGTGCCACTGCACTCCAGCTTGGGTGACAGAGTGAGACTCCCCGTCTCAAAAAAAAAAAATTATCCTGGTATAGCAGGTTCTGCTATTATCGAGGAGGAAACTGAGGTTCAGAGGTTTAAGTAACTCTCCCAAGATGCTAAGAGTTAGGCACGTCTTGCTGATTTTCCCTAGAGAATAACAAGCCTGCAGAAAATATTCTTACAAGAGTTGGACTTGCTATCATTTACTCACGCATTCGTTTATGCACTCTTCATTCATTCATTTATTCTGAAAAAAGTAGTTGTGTGTCTGATCCTGAAAGGTACCAGGTAGTACTGAAAGTCTGATTTTAGGGAAAAGGGCAGTGCTACTTACCGGAACTTGTTTTATAGATGTTAACTCCCCTTGTTCAAAAGTGAAGGTGCTCACTCTGTCTGACTGCTGGCAGGATTTTGGTCCATAGGCCTAAATAAAACTGCTCTGCTGGTTTGACTTATGTGCGGAATCCTGTACCATTTGGCACTAATTGCCTGGGGTAAAAGGAAGGAGACATGTTTGAGCTGGGAATTTCACCCTAGTAAGATAGCCCTAGTTAAAAAAAAAGCAAAAACAAAAAAACTCCCAAGTAGCTGACTTAAAATAAGCCCCTCCATTCCAATTCTTGGATGACCAATTGTGGAAGGACAACATATTTCATTGTGAACAAGCAAAATCAGTTCCTCCTCATTGAGAACAGGTCAACAAGGTACAGGCATTTAGCTTTACAAACAGAATTAAGGATGCAGGCTCTTGAAATTCAATCAAGCTCTAAAAGCAACAAACATCTGAAGGCACAAGCATTAGAACAGCAAATGGAAATAAACACCCAGTGCTGGAGCATCACATCACAGCATGAGGATTCAAAGCTTTCTGAAGTCTTATCTTAATTAACCAAGCCAGAGACACAATCTCTGGAGGCTGGGAATTGAAAAAGAGGGAGGGAGGGAGGGTTGGGAGGAAGAGAGAAATATGACTCCAGAACCTTCACAAACTTGTTTTCAAGAAGCTTGCAGTTTCTTGTGCAGCCGGTGAGCATGCTGGGGCCCGGAGAGCATGTCCCGTCCAGGGAGGCCAGGAGAGCAGTGCAGCAAGAGGATTAGCTTGTTCTCCATAGAGTGGGGTTGCAGACCGGCAGATGGAGAGGGCTTTGATGCTCTGGGTCACTTCCTTCATTTCATACATGAAGATTCTGAGGCTCAGAGAGGTGTAGTGACCTGCCCAAAGCCATGCAGCTAGCTAGTGCCGGATAACAAGGACAGAGCCCAGTTCTCCTGATAGTCCCATGCTCTCTGACAGGGTCTTGCTGCCCCGTGCTACTGCAGAGCAGCTGGGAGAGGAAAGGGTGGAGCTGGGAGGTAAACAGGCTTAGTCACTGATCAGCAAGAATTCTGAACAGGCAAAATTAATTTTGCTGATCTCTGAAGATGCTCAAGGTAGCAGAAGTAGATTTTAAAATGAGATAAAGAAAGAACTATCAAGCAGAGAGATAATGTAAAGATGAAGGTCAGCTGAGAAGCAGCAACTCTGTTTTTTAATTAACTTTTATTTTGAGTAAGTAATTATGACAAGGCAGGAAATTCAAAAGGCACAAAAGGTTATACGTTCAAAAAGAAGTCTGTGTCCCCCACATAGCCCCGATCTGCAGTCATCAGATCCACTGGCCATGGTTTCTTGTGGATCCTTTGAGAGTATGCTCTGTATATGCAGGCACAGGCACATATATGTGCGTGCACACACGTGCACACGCATGCATACACACACACTTTTCCTTTATAAATCAGTAGCATACTAAGCATACTGTTCTGCATTAGCATTGCATTTTTCACTTGACAGTATGGCTTGTGAAGTGCTCCATAGCGCATCCCTCCCCTAAAACAGCCAATAGCAGTTCCCTAAGGGTAACCATAAACGCCTCACCAATTACCACTCCAAACAAACGCAGGTTCTTTCCCTTTCAGTTTACATATTACCCATGTATACACTTTTAGAACCTCTAGGTTAGAAGGACTTTAGAGGTCATTTAGTCAAATATCTAAGTGTCTTTCTTTTTTCAGAAGTGCCTTTCTTTTGTTGACACAAAAATATATTTCTGAATATATGTGTGTATATATGGATGTACAAATATCCAAGCAGATATATGTTTACTAGACAAATAGAACAGTACCTGTATTCACATGTATTTCTAATACATATGTATGGATATGTAGCTCCAGTGGTCACTGGTGCTGTGTATGCAGAGCCAGAGAAGACTTAGAATTTGGGAACTGGCTATTTGGTAAAACGCTCCGTGAGAACCCAGACCTTAAGTCCCTGGTGAATGATTTTCCTGAGCAGAGGAAAAAGCTGTGAGCTCCTGGCCACCCCTGGAGAGAGGCAGGACACAGGGTGGGGTGGGGGGACCCTAAAGCACAGCACCAGGATCTTCAGCTCCCAGGGCTCAGAGTCGGGAGCGGGCAGCTCTGCTCACGGAGCACTCATCACAGCAGAGTCCCAGACAGGGGTTTAGAGACCCAGTTTGGATAATGGGAAATACATTGTTTTACTTCAAGTTGAAATTAAATATAATTGGTAATAAAATGTCAGGAATTTGCATCTCTGCAGGAGCCAGAGAAAGTTTGTTGCTCAATTGGAATTGTCTGAGTTGAACTTAGAATTTCATTCAGCCTGTTATTGCTGTAAATTAACTTTGCAATTATTCTATAAAGTGGGGAAAAAAAGAAACATCGTGCTTAAGGAATCAGGTTAATAGGAGCTTGGCAGGAGAGTCCTGTGGGCCAGCATGTTGGTGCAGTTTTTGCCAGCTCAGTAATGATACTGATGGGGTGGCAGTGGGGTCCTTGCCCAGCCCAGTGTGTGCACAGCCTGGCAGCCCTGACAGCCCATGGAAAGTGACGCCTGTATCAACTTGCGAGATGCTCCCTACATGAAAAGCTGTGCTGCAGTTTGGAAACGTGAAACTATGAACCCTTGTAGTAAGATCGGAGGGTGATTAAAAAATGTCTAAAGCATGGTATAGAACACAGAAGGAAAAATGAAGACAGAATTGTGAAGTTAAGCCAGTTTCCCATTATCACCTAAGTGCTTATTTTTTTCTTTCCTTTCTTCCCTGAGTGATGCTGAAGACCTCCCCAATTACCCCATCTTTCCTTCCTCTTTTTTCTTCCTTTTTCTCCTTCCTTCATTCCTTCCTTCCTCTCTTCCTCCTTCCCTCCCTTTCTTCCTTCTTTGCTCCCCCTCACCTCTTTTACTCTCTCTCTTTTCTTTCTTCCTACAACTATTTGCTGATTACACCTCCATGCCAGGCACTGTGTTGAGGGTATCGATGTAAACAAACCAGACACAGCCCTTACCTCCCCACCTGAGTTGCCCTCTAGTTGCCCTGATTCACAGCCTCCCTGCCTCTCTCTTCCTTTCCTCACAACTCCTGTTATAATTAACACGTTTGCACAGTGATATCAATGATTATAATAGATACATTCAATCTCTGCATTACAGCTGGATCATAAGTCAGAGAAATGAGTGCCCAATAGTGAAAAGCCCAGATATCTGGAGACTTTGGGAGGAGGGTGGGAAAGAGAAGGTGATTCTTCCAGAGCTCCTAAAAACATACTGAACCAGCCTCTGGGTGGGGTGAGAATGGGAGGGAAGGTAATACAAATTCTGCTCTCACCCTTCAAGATCTGGCTGGAGAAGAATATTGATTTGAATTCCCTGAAGTCTGGATAGGATAGGGCAGTTTGGAGCCTGGACAAACTCTTTTTTATTTATTTATTTATTTATTTATTTATCTTATTATTGTTATACTTTAAGTTTTAGGGTACATGTGCACAACGTGCAGGTTTGTTACATATGTATACATGTGCCATGTTGGTGTGCTGCACCCATTAACTCGTCATTTAGCATTAGGTATATCTCCTAATGCTATCCCTCCCCCCTTCCCCCACCCCACAACAGTCCCTGGTGTGTGATGTTCCCCTTCCTGTGTCCGTGTTCTCATTGTTCAATTCCCACCTATGAGTGAGAACATGTGGTGTTTGGTTTTTGAGCCTGGACCAACTCTTTAGTGACCATCCAGCCTATTCACAGGTGGCATGTGAAGTGGCTGTGGAATGAGCTGGGTCTGGGGTTAGGAGGGGACCCTGGTTCAGTCGCGGATTGTCTGTGTGAACTGGAAAGACTTAGCAGACTTCTTTGATGGTCAGAGTCTGTGAAATGAGGATAAGTTCACCTCCCAAATTGGCCATGTGTGATGCCCAAAGCACTTGCATACTGTAGGAGCTCTCCAGGAGGAGGCCACGTTCCTCCAATGCCCTCCATCCCCAGCACGGCATCACCTGCTGGTCTCCAGCATGAGGGGTCCGGGCATCCGGCTTCCACCTGGGAGCTCACTGCCATGTGTTTGCCTCCTCCTCAGGGAAGTGTACCGTGTGACGGAGAGTCTACAGCGTGAGAAGGCCGGGCTCCTCAAGCAGCTGGATTTCCTAAGGTGCGTCGGTGGGCACTGGCCTGTGCTGAGAGCACCTCCCAGAAGCCTGGGGTCGGAAGGACCAGTCTGAGGGTCATCCTTGCCTACGTGCTGGAAAAACGTGCCTGCTGAGAGAGTGCCCTCAATTCCCTTGGTCCCCAGTGCAGTGTTTGGACCACCAAGTAGCCACTCTATTATGTTTGGTCCGTTTACACATGCGCCCACATCCAGTTTATTCCTCCTGGTGGGGAGGCTCTGCCCCACTCCTCTGAGTCCCTCACAGGACTGTGCTTGGTACTTGATCTCATGCGAGCAGAGCTGGGTTTAATGAGCATTTAATCTATGCTAGAAATATTATCTCGTTCATTGTCAGCAAAACTGTTAGGTGAGTAGGGCAGTTCATTCACAGGAATTTACTGATGGGAAGTTGATATTAGAGGAAAGAAGTAATTTACCACAGGCGACACAGCTACTCTCTGATGGGGCCAGAATGGAAATCCGTAACTCGGCTGTGTTCTGTTCATGTTTGTTGAATGAGTAAATGAATCACAAACAGAGCACCAAGAAAAAGCTTTCTCAGCCTTCAAAGACCCCCAGCAATAAACTCAAAGTTTACTGGTCTGGAATGTGCACCACCCTCCCCTCCTCAGAAAGACAAACCCGTGTGGGGAAAGATGGAATTTTTGATGTTGCCCATGAAGTTTCTAAGTCACTGCCTGCTGAGCACCTCTTGGGGAATGGTGAGGAAACAGAAGGACTTTGGGTTCTGATTTTTGAAGTGCAAGTGGTTTTGAATCACTTCCTAGTTATGTTATGAAGGTTTTTGTTTTTGTGAAAGCAAGGGAAGCTCACTGTGTCTGGCATCTATGATGCTACCAAATGGAAAAGTGCTTTAACCTGAATGCGTTTCAGATTGATTGTGCTCAGTACATGATTCAGCCTCCAGAGCCAGGGAACATGTAAAGGGGTTCTTAGGTGACCAGGCTATAATCCATTTGCGCGAAGGTCTTGATTCTTAGGAAGACTTTAGTAAAAGGAAGAGAACAAAACGTATAAGGACAAGTTTGGGGTCTTTTTTTTCTATTGCATTTAGAAAAAAATGAAAGGGTAGATTCAAAGAGAATGAGCAGGGGAGAATGACAAGGCAGCTCTCTACAAATACTTATGGGTCTTTTTAATGGAGGCTAGCATTTGTGCAGAATCACAAAAGGCCTGAGGCCTTTCTGTGCCATCGATCCAGGGTTACCAAGCTTAAGCCCCAATGGCTAATGAAAGCTGAGAGGTGGAGGGAAGGCCTTATGGCAGATCTCCCCTTCACAGTGAAACCACCAGGAATCAAGGGAGAGATAATGCTGAGGTGGGGGTGGGGGACAGCGGGAATGTCAGGGGAGGGTAGGGGTGGGACGGTGGTGGAATCAGGACAACAGCTGGGGTGTGACGGGGTGAGAAGGGCTGCCATCCGAAGGACATTGGGTACAAACGCAAGCAATTTCAGGGCACTTGATTAGGAACATGCACTTTGAAGCTGGATCTGATTCAAAACCCAGCACTTCCTCTCATTAGCTTGTGTGACCTTGGGCAGTTGACTTAACCAACCCGAGTCTTAATTTTCCCATGCCTAGCTGACAGGCTTCTTTTGAGAATTAGATGATACATGTGAGTAGGAATCACAGTAGAGCAGCGATGCAAACAAAAGCAGATATGTTTCTTTAAATACTGAGGCTTCTGTATGGGGATGGCTACATCCCCATAAAGCAGGAAGCCACAAAGCAGGAAACAATGCAGCCTGCTTTCCAAAAAACGGTGGGACTTTCCAGGTCTCCCAAGGTCCTTGCTCATGTGCAAGGGTGCTAACTCACAGCTCCGCGCGGAGCGAGGATCCCTCTGGCATGAGCAGCTCACTTTGCCATTCTCAGGACTTGTGAAATAACCTCCATGTCCCTCCTGACTTATTCTGAAGGCCCTGGCTGTGTGCCTGCCTGCTCACCTCATGCAGGTAACTGAAAACAACCCTGGCACATTCCTAATGTTTTCTGCAAGACTGGTGGAATTGGAAGTCAGTTGCCCAGGTGGTGACACCTCAGGCCCCACCTAAAATCTCTTTCTATAGTTTACAACACACTTAGCGGAGCGCCTGGCCCACAATAAGTGCTCCATAAATGGCTGCATTATGATGATCAGGGCCTAACCATGGCTGTGCCCTCCCTTGCCCTTCAAAAGTGTGGGTTTGTTCAGAGGCCACTGGCCAGAAGAGTCATAGAATCACAAAACTGCTAAGCACGTTGAGGTCATCTGGCCTGCCCTCTCCACCTCTTGTGTTAACGGATGAAATTCTCCACTGTGATCCCCAAGTGCATTCTGCAGTCGCGCTGCGACCCAGTCAACTCACTTTCCCAACTGCTCCTACTTTAAGTCCTGGAAAAAAGACTCCTCCTTTTCCATCCTCACGCTTGCTCCTGTTTCACAGCTGGAACCATGCAATAAGAGCTTCCTCCCATGCCCATGTCTCTGCCTTCTTCTCTGTTACGGTGGATGTACTCCCCATACTCGTCACAGAGGCCACCCCCTACCCCCGTGCCCAACTCACACTCTAGAATTAGAGCCTGTCCCTTCCTGGCTCCTCAAGGACTAGTCCAGCATTTGTTCTTTCTCTCCTCCATTGTCAGTTTTATCTCTTTTGAAGATACCTACAAATGTACTCTAATGTTTCTTGTCTAACAACTCTTGTCCTCACTTCCCCACCCAGCTACTTGCTTTGCCATTTCTTCAACCCCTTTACAACAAAACTTTCAGAAGAGTTGTTCACATTCACTGTCTCCACTCCTTTTCTTCACATTCTCAACCCACCAATCAGGCCTTTTCCCCGTGCTGTTCCAAAAAAACGGTTCTTACCCAGGTTGCCAATGACCTCCATGTTGCTAAAAATATTCGTCAAGTGTCAGGACCCCACGCTTGCCCCCAGCAATCTGTTCTTAGCACCCATCCAGAGGGATCCTTTGAAAACTGAAGCCAGATCTTGACACTTCTTTGCCATCTGCTTCACCCCCACCACCCCCAGCCCCTTGGCTTCATATCTCATTTGGAGTAAAAATCAAAGTTCGTACAGTGTCCCACAGGGCTGTGAAGAGACAGGTCCTGACCACCATCCACTTTTTCTCTCGCTTCATCTCCTAACTACTCTCCCTTTGGGCACTCTACTTCCTCCTATTTCTTGCTCACACTAGGTGTATCCCAGCACAAGGCTTTGCCCTAGCCTCTCCTCTGCCTGGAATGCTTCTCCCGCTCCTTCAAGGCTCTATGCAAATGCTGTCTTATTAGTGAGGGCGTCACTGACCACTGTAGTTGAAATACTACTCCACACTCTGGCTTCTTTTACTCCACTTTCCTGCTTTATTTTCTCAATAACAGTTATACCTCCACTAAAATACAAGTTCTGTGAGGCAGGAACTTTTTGTTTTGGTCATTGGTGTGACCTTGATGGCTAGAAGAGTGCCTGACATGCAGTGGGTGCTCAGGAGACATTTGAGTGAATGCGTGCATGCATGCATGAGTGAATGAATGAATGAATGGTGCACAGAGAGAAAGAAAGAGGGAGCCCAACAGGAAGCTCCCAGGTGGAGCTGGAATGCTGAGGTCCCCTCTGTAGGCAGTGCCCCTAATAATAAGAGAGGCCATGCATAATCCTGATGGGCCACGGGTGTCTCAAGGGCATTCAGTCTATCCCCCACATCTGTGTGTACCTATCTGTACACAAAAACTATCCTCTACCATTAATCACATCCCTATGGAAGGAGATTCCACAGACTCCCCTGTCTTCCATACCACACCTTCCCCTGCACCCATCTGAATAGCAAATTGGCTGCCGTTGGATCTGTCAACTGCAAACTCCATGTTTGAATAGATTCCCCTTTACCATCCACAGGGAAAGGAACAAGCACCTTCGGGATGAACGGGACATATGTTTTCAGGTAATTGGCCAGTTCTCCCTTACCTGTGGGGGACCAAGGGCTGTGGTCCACTGGACAGCCAGATCCATGTCGAGACTGGCCCAGCAATGTCCTGACACTCGGGATCTATTTGGCAGGATGACGGCATGAAAACGTTTTGCAAATAATAAAAATTCAGGGTGGCCTACTGGGTAACAACGTGTTAATTTTCCACAGAGTAATGCAGTTTCCTCTTGGCACAACAAGACTGAAATATTTGGGAGGGTCGCACATTTCTTGGATGCAGAAATGATAGTTCTATCCATGAGATGGCGCAGTTGAAATGTCATTATCACTTCTAAACCAAAATGCTCACACCGTTCTTCTTCATTTAAATTTTTATCTCGATGAAAATTTTGCATTTTATACTGTCATAGACCACATTAGAAATGTGTATTTCACTGTTTTCATACTTGATTTTATGAACAATTTTTCTCTATCCTATAGGGACCCCTACTCTTCCATACCTGAGTACCATGTCTCTCTCTCTATATATATGTAGTGTGTGCATATATATATATATATATGAGTCGTAGAATCACAAAACTGCTAAGCACTTTGAGGTCATCTGGACTGCCCTCTCCACCTCTAGTATTAACGGATGAAATTCCCAGCTGTGAACCCCAAAGTGCATTCTGCAGTTTATATATATATATATAATATAAATATATATAATATATATTATATATTAATATAAATATATATAATATATATAATATAAATATATAATATATATTATATATATTTATATATAATATAAATATATATATAATATATATTATATAAATATATATATAAACTATATATATATAGTCTGTGTGCATATATATGTATGTATGTGTATATGTGTGTGTATATGTATGTACATATATATATATACACACACACACTTTCCTAAACGACATGAAATCCTATATTTATTTGAAGGTCTTCACTGTGGACCACATTGGCCAAAACCTAGGATTCCATGTTCTTACTCATCTTTCCCTTTAGACAGGAGCCACTGGGTGCTTTGAAGGGAAGAAAAATGAAGGCCAAATTGATTGATGTGACTTCCTAATTATCAGGGTTACCATCCTATGAATTTCATGTGGGTCCCTGGGCAAGTCATTTACTGCCTTGGACCATGACCTCCGCTGTCACGCGAGGAAAGTGAATTCCCATCCCCCCTCCATACAACAGGAATCTTTGAGAAAGATTCTTGGAAAGGGGATGATGTGGATTGCACCCTTAGCTGAACGGTGACCTAGATATGGTCAGCAGAAGGCAATTGGTTTGCCCTAAATTAGATCTGACCTGCTTTATAATTGCAAATCCCTGAGGGACTGCATTACGCCACAGTTTCTTTTCCATTGCTGACTGGCAGCAAACATCTCTGCCACCCACCTGTGTGTACTATTAGAGCAAGACTTGAGCCTACACATGTTTGTTTGATGATGATAATGGTTATAATTGTTTTAGAAGTAACACTGAATTTATTTTAAAACTTCCAACCAAATGTCACCCGAATCCCTTCACCTCCCTTCCCTTTACCTGCCAAACTCATTCTGCTTTGAAAGGGGTATGGAATTAAGAACTTCTGTGGGGAATCAAAGAAAGGGATAAATTCAATAAGAATTGAAGATTGATTTAGAATCAGCATAGCCATACCTTCAGGGGCTCTGGGAGCATTGCAGCCCCTCCTCTCATTAAGGATCACTGGGAATCATGGGATGGCTAATTAACGAGAGAGATTTCCTGCAGTCTAACTCCCCCGCCTCATCTCCTGGAAGACATCTGTCAGGGAGCATAGGCAAAGGGGGTTGTAAACCCCTGCTCCACCCAGGTCCTGTGTTACAGATGTTAGTAGTTTATCTACACCCAGCCTACTTCCACCAAAGAGCTGAACTACCTTATGCTAGCTCAGGACAGAACACTGAGTTAATTGATCCTCCTGGCTAGTTACTTTCTCATTACATCTGAGGCTTTAGAAATAAAAAGGGATTGGAGCCAGACAGAAGAGTGTGAATTAAAGATTCACAGAGTTTTTTATGCCTGTAAATATTTTTTCTTTTTTCTATCTGACCAGGCGTGGTGGCTCACTCCTGTAATCCCAATACTTTGGGAGAGTGAGACAGGAGGATCACTTAAGGCCAAGAATTCAAGACCAGCCTGGACAACATAGCAAGAGTCCATCTCCACAAAAAATGAGAAAATTAGCCAGGCATGGTAGGGCGCCTATAATCCTAGCTACCCAGGAGGCTGAGGCTAGAGGATTGCTTGAGTGCAGGAGTTTGAGGCTGCAGTGCGCTGTGATCATGCCATTGCACTCTGACCTGGAAGACAGAGCAAGACCCTGTTTCAAAAATATAGATATATTTTTTCAGAAGAGATAAGTGTTTAATGTATATTTTCTAGATGCATTAGAAATATGTATAGAAAATATGCATTAAACACTTATCTCTTCTTTTCCTTTTACAAATCATCAGTGCTCCTGTGAATAGCATGATGGGCCCCAGGCTGTAAACTGTGCACTTGTTCATTTGATTAGCTGACTGGAAAGGAGATGGAGGGATTCTGGTAGGGGATGATGGCAAAAGGGAAGAGTGGCTAGACGCTAACAGGGAGACCAGAACACTGCCTACTCCTTTCAGAGTTTTGTGTAGAGCCTAGTCTATGAGGTGGGAACCATGAGCCCTTTTCTGTTCAAACATCGGAGCAAATAGGCATGGATCTGAGGACATTTTGTGTTTCTACAGAAAAATAAGGCAGCCAAGGCAAACACAGCTGCTTCCAGGGCAAGTTGGAAAAAGAGATCTGGCTCTGTGATAGGCAAATATGTGGACAGCAGAGGGATTCTTAGGAGGTAAGTCATCTCCACTTGCTCATCCCTTCATTCCTCTCAGGCTCATTGGGAGCTGGCTCTGGGCCCATACTCAGTGCCTGCTGACCCCTTGAGAGGTGCGGAAACTGAGGTCAGCTGCACTCACTCCCCTCAAATCTTGGAACACATGCCCCTCCCTGTTCTGACATCTAAGCCAGAGGGGGAATGTGCAGAGCAAACCCCACAGGACAGACCATTGTCTTCTGAGGCTGCCCCACCCTACTGTGTGTTTGCAGAGAGGGACTGCAGAGCAGCAGAGGAGAGGGGTCAAGGGAGAGGGAGGGAGTGTGTAGCTGGGTAGCACTACACTGCTGTCTGCTGAGCAGAATGGATGCACTTGGTTTCGGGGTTTTTGTTGTTGTTGTTTTTTGAGACAGAGTCTTGCTTTGTTGCCCAGGCTGGAGTGCAGTGGTGCAATCTCGGCTCACTGCAACCTTTGCCTCCCAGGTTCAAGCGATTCTCCTGCCTCAGCCTCCCAAGTAGCTGGGATTACAGAGGTGCGCCACCACGCCCATCTAATTTTTGTATTTTTAGTAAAGATGGGATTTCTCCATGTTGGCCAGGCTGGTCTTGAACTCCTGCCCTCGTGATCTGCCCGCCTCGGCCTCCCAAAGTGCTAGGATTACAGGTGTGAGCCACCGTGCCCGGCCAATGCACTTGGTTTTTTAGGAACATGACTATATTGGCTATGAAGGTTAATTAAACTGTCAAATAGAATCTCCAATAGTTAACTCCTTTTACAGACAAGGCTAGGGCTTGTGCTTGACAGATCGTTTCCATGACCTATATTTAATTAACTCAAACATAACACATTTTGTTGCTCTTGGGCAGCACATGATTGAGCTTGAGTACCCAAGGGTTGGCTCATTGCTCATTGAGAGACAAACCAGTCCCCTGCCCACTCTTCATTTTGGCATGTGCTGTGTCCACATAGATGGCCACAGAGAGATAGAGGCATCCCGACTCTTCAGTATCAGACCCAGAGAGACCTTGAAGACTGCAAGCATGAAATGAAAAAGATATGCAAAGCGGAAGTGACTCTGGAGATGTAAATCAGCTCATCAGTAAAACCTTTGGGCCTGATCATCATGAATTCTTGTTCTAAATAGCTGAATAATGAGATACAATTTGGGAGCCAAATCTCTGCAATAGTGGTTGGCCTGTTGGTTCCTCAGAATGGAATGGATTGATTGATTGATTCAGCAGACGTTTACTGATTACCTACTGTGTACCAGACATTCTTTTGAGTTCTGTAAAGCCTCCAAAAATAAATTAGACATGAGGTCCTACCATTAATCTCCATTATTAAATGCTCACTTAATAAATATTTATTGAGTGTCTACTATGTGTGAGGTCCTGTGCTCTTTGCTGGATATACAGTAGTGAGCCAAATGGACCTACCTCTGTGTCATTGAATTTCTGGTTGAGTGGAAGAAGCAGACAATAATCAAGTAAGCAACAAATTGTGAGCCCTGAATTCTAATGCAGACTTTGACAAAAGTAGCTGCTGTCCCTACGGATGGCAGAGAGCACTTGGTGGTAAAACCAAAAATGAACTCAGTCATGCCGTGATGCAGGTATTACAGAATGGCAGTAGTGCTTGAGAATTTCCCAGACAGAAAGCTTTTTCCAAGAAATGCTTTGTTTTAATGCCTGTTTAAGTGACTATTTCTTTTCTGGTTGCAAAGCCTTTGAAAAAACATGCTCTGTGTGTGTGTATGCGTAGTTGCTCATGTGTACATACAAATAGTCACTTGTGTGTGTGTAAGCAGAGTAAAAGTAGATGGGAATACCAATTGTGTTCTTAAACAAATAAGCACTTAATAAGCTTGATGCAATATATAGGAAGTTTGCTGGAAAGAAGACATTTGGCTTTTTTAAAACTGTTTTTATAAGTCAAAGGAAAGGTGCTTTAATTGCTGCAAATCCTTTATTTTTCATATCAAGGAATCCAAACTAATTCACCCTTTCTTCAAGCAAGCACTATATCGTAATTTATCTTGCAGAATCGCAGTTAATTTCAGGATGGTGATACCTGCATTTTTTTTTCTTTTTCCTTTCTACTGTTGATCTTTAAGAGTAATACATATTTTAAATTAGGGAGCAAAAGAAAGTGTATTTCTCTGTTCTGCATATTCTGTGTCCTTCATTTAGTTCCTTTCTCCTTTGGCTCTATCACCCCACTGCTTCATCCCCATTCCATTTTCTTTTCTAGTCTGTGTGCATGCTTGCATGCGTGTGTGTGTGTGTGTGTGTTTCAATTCTGGACTTAAGGTCCTCCCTGTCAAACTTCCTTTAAGACAATTTCTGTGAGGCCTTTGCTCTCAAAACCTACTGAAAATACAGACCCTGCATTGACCCCCACATCCAGTTCCCCGATTCCCTGCACTGCCTACAGCTTCTCCTTGCCCTTAGTGCTCAAATGCTTCTAGAAGATATTTAGGCCTCTGAGCCACTTACTCCTGATTGTGACTTCTAGGGATACAGAAAGGGGAAGAGAAAGGGAGAGGAAGGAGAGGTGGATGGAGATGCTCTGCCTGGCTTTCTTCTGACCCAAAGCCTCTTGTCTAGGGGGAAGCTGCCTGTGAGCCAGCAGACCTGCTATGTCTGGAGGTGGGGGGCCCTCCCAAAGCAACAGCACCCCTCACACTGCTGAGGATGTTTTGCAAACATGTCTGTTTTTATGCATTGACTTATTTGGGAATAGAGCAGATGGGCCACGTTTTACAGCAAGGTCTGAAGAGTTGGAGTGTCCTACCTAAGGACACACAGTGAGTAAGGGCTGGCGCTGGGGGCAGAGCCAAGGTCATCTGCTAATGTTAATCGGGGGCGCTTTATTAAAATCTGAGTCTGAGACACGTTTCTTCACAACCTTTCCTTCTCCTTCACAGCAGTCTCACAATTTGTAAAGGATGTATTTATTTGTGTCATTATTGCTTTAGTCCCCCACTAAATCAAGTATTCTGTGAGGACAGGGATTATGTCCATCTGTAAATGGCATCTTTACTTAATACTTGGTCATCATCATCATCATCTTTGTCATCATCTGCCACAGCAGTGGCAGCAGGCACTTAGTGGAAGCGTGTTGAATGAATGAGCTGCAGAATGCTGGCTGGTTTGTTTTTCCCTCTCCCGGACTGCTCTTGTCCAAAGGTGTGATGCTCCTTGGGTATCTGTTCGTCACAAAAGCTGTTATGCAGCCCGTATTGAAATATTTTGTGAAATCCTCCCAACTCTTCTCTCTTCCCCGCCCCAGTAGCCAGTCAGAGGAGGAGGAGGAGGTGTTTGGCATCCCAAGGAGAAGCTCCCTGGGCCTGAGTGGATATCCCCTAACAGAAGAGGAGCCAGGAACCGGGGAGCCAGGGCCTGGGGGTCCGTACCCCCGGCCGCTCCGCAGAATCATCTCCGTTGAAGAAGACCCCCTGCCCCAGCTCCTGGATGGTGGCTTTGAGCAACCCCTGAGCAAATGCTCAGAAGAGGAAGAGGTCTCTGACCAGGGGGTACAGGGACAAATCCCGGAGGCCCCACCCTTGAAACTCACCCCCACATCCCCCCGAGGGCAGCCTGTTGGAAAAGAAGCCCTGTGTAAGGTAAGGGCACAGCCTACCTTGGTTCATGCACATCACTTCTATGATCTGTCTCTTGCATTTGAGGCCAAGCGCCCGGAGAGGCAGCTCAGGAGGTCAGATGCTGCAGGTCTTATGATTCACCACATATGTGTCCTCCAAATACCACTTTCCCCTGCTTAGCTGAGTGTCATGCGGGGAGACTCAGGGGTCCTGATAAATTCTCCTTAGACCTCTGTTGTGTTTGTAATAACGCTCAAAATCCTAAGGAAACTGAACATTTGAACAAAGGATTCTTAGCAAAGCAGTTCTACTTCTTCGCAGAGGGGTGCCTTCTTGGCCAGTTACCATGAGAGCACACCTCAACAAAGGGGCACGAGAGCCTTTATTTCTGACGCAAGTCCTTCCCCATTGGCCGGGGTCGGGTCATACAATCTAAACTAATCCTGGCTGGCTAAACATTTGATTTTTTTTTTTAGATAGGGTGGGCACGTAAAAGAAAGTGGAGGGAAAGGGGAAGGGGTGTGTGTAATGAGCCAGAAAGTGAGTCCCCTTTCCAAATAAGGAAAGAAATGTGAGCTGGTACTGATAACGCTTGGTACTGTGGCGTGCCTGGGCATTTAACAAAGGCAAGAAGGAAAAAAAGGAGAAAATTGGGGATTGAGAAAATTGAATTAAAGAAGAAAAGATTGATCAGATTATTTGAAGAGAAACCTCATCACATCCCACCGTTGTTTGCCCCCTTCCCGACCCTGTGCTCTCTCTTCCGATTCAGATTCAAAAGCATTAACTGGGCACCTACTTAAGCTAGACTGTATGCCAAGCTCCTCGCATACAATTTCCTACACTTTTAAAGTTGCAGGCTTTGTAACTGCTCTTAGCAGAGGCAGGTTCTGCTTTAGAAAGTTTGCATACCATCATTTTTCTCTTGGTTCTTAATCAGCGAATCACACTTTCATCCCGACATTCCCTGCCTGCTCCTCCCTTCAGTGTGACCCTGTACTGCCCACCAGGTCTTCCTGCTAAATTCTGTAGGAAAAGGGAGACCATATGAAAAGCGGCTCCTCTGGCTCATGGTGATAGATGCTCTTTGCCTCGTTTGGGACCCAGGCCTCGGAATAGGCCCCTCGAGCCCTCATCCTGCACTCCGCCTTCTGAAACAGTTTAGAACGATCCACGGCAGTGTGAAAGAGGCTCCGCCCTGCACGCCGCGGCAGCCATTGAGAACTGAGCCTTTGCCGCCTTGAACTTTTCCCAGTGGCTGCAGTAGGGTGTGAGCTACCTAATGGACTTCCCGGCATAGGTTACCATTCTCAGGCCAGGATTAAGACTCATGCCTGCAGATCACTCCTCAAGGGCCCTGGTGCAGGGGAGAGTGGAGAGCTGGGTGGCACCAATGTGGGGTCCCCCTCCCTCCTGCATGCCCTTCCACATCCCCTTCAATGCACAGACCTACACTTGCTGGCAGTGGGTACAAATAGGGTCTTATATAACTCCAAGATGTCCCCGTAAAATGTGAAAGAAGAGGTCAGTAGGAGCTGGGGTTGAAGAAAAAGGCTTAAGCGTCTGCTCAGACATCTGCTATGGCATTTTATCCTCACCGCTATCTGATGAGTCAGATCAGAAATTTATTCTCCCCATTGACAGATGGGAAAGTCAGAGCTCAGAGGGGAGAGAGGCCAGCCCCACAGTGATGGGGAGTCCAGCCCTCCTCACTGAGCTCTCTCACTTCTGTGCCCACTCCACGAGGTCCTGCTGCCGTTTTGCTGGGAACAGGAACTGCAGCAGGGAAGAAGTATGATTCACTAGCAGCCACATAACAGCTCCAGCAAGAGAAGGTACGCTCGTTTGAAGGCTACTGCAAGGCAGGCCGTGCCATACAAGGCTGGTGAGGTGTAAATTGGTACAACCCTTCTGGAAACCCATTTGGTAATATGAATCAAAAACTTAAAAATACCATATCCTTTGAACCAGCACTTCTATTGCTGGGAATTCTTCATAAGGAAATAACCAAAATCAGACAAAGATTTAACTCAAGAATGCAAGAGTTATTTATAATAGCAAACAATTTTAAAAAAAATGTCCAATAATAGGGACATAAGGCATAGTATATTAATTCACTAGAATATTATACGGCTGTTAAAAGTATTTTCAAAACTCTTTAATGACTAAAAAAATTTGTAAGTTAATAATATATGATAAAGTAGGATAAAATTTTATATATCTCAAATTTCTGTAAATAAAACAAAGATGATATAAAGAAAAGTTGGAAGGAATGCATCAAGATATGAATTGGTAAAATGGTGGTAATCCCAGCACTTTGGGAGGCCATGGTGGTAATCCCAGCACTTTGGGAGGCCATGGTGGTAATTCCAGCACTTTGGGAGGCCATGTTGAGAGGATAGCTTGAGGCCAGGAGTTCAAGACCAGCCTAAGCAACATGGGAAGACCCAGTCTTTACAAAAAATAAGAAAATTAGCCAGGCGTGTTGATGCATACCTGTAGTCATAGCTACTCCAGGGGCTGAGGCAGGAGGAGTTCTGAGCCCAGGAGTTCAAGGCTGCAGTGAGCTATGATTACACCACTGCACTCCAGCCTGGGCAACAGAATGTGACCCTGTCTCTTAAAAAATAAAAATAAAAAGATATGAATAGTGACCATTTCAGGATGGTAGGGTAGACTATGAAGAATTAATTTCCTCTCTACTTTTGTGTATTTCCTAATTTTAAAAATTAGCATACATTTTATTTCTTAAAGCCTTATTTTTTAAATTAAAAAGCATGAAGGGAGGGAGGGTGAGAAGAGATCTTCTGATTTGCCAGCCAGGTACTCCTTCTCCAGCCCCCTCCCCGCAATCCAGCCATCTTATTGTCCTGTGGCAGGTGGCCTGTCCCCCAGAGGGGACAGTGGGTTAAGTGCATGAACATACCTGAGAGTTTGCTGCCCCTGTGAGGTGAGTCCTGCCTGACACTGAGCCATTGCTGTGTCTATGGGCTTTTGCCTGCAAAATCAAAGTGCTCTGCCTGGGGAGGGGCAGTGGTCACAGGGCTAAGGATCAGGCAACACCTCTACCACCAGGACCATTGCCTGCCATCCTGGGTTTTACCTTCCCTATCCTGTACTGTGCTTGGGTGTATTAGATTGATACATTGAGTTTTAGTCTCAAATAAATAACAATTAAAAGTACAGGGACCAGCAGAGAGTTGGTGCCCTTGTGCATTGCATGAATAAAGAAAATGGGGCAGGAGGCATAGTTTTTGAGTGCAGGTTGGTTGTTATTTTTTTTTTAACTTTTAGTTTAAATTTTTGTAGATGACCTTGAATTCTCTCCTAAATACTGCATGGAATTGATTTCTCTCCAAAAGGCAGTTAATGGCTTTTTATCTGAAACTCAAGTACTGCTAATACACCTGCCACTACATTATAGTATTTGCTCAATGAGAGGAGCTAATTCCCCCAAATTCACTTTTAAATAGATTCAAAAGAGCCTCCCCATGTGACCAGGCAACGCTGAGCTGGGCCTGAAGGCAAGATGCCTGCGTTTGAGCGGCAGCTCCTGGAATGAATGATCATTCCTCAGAAGGACGCTGTGCTGGAAGGTGGCTCCTTACTCTACCTCCTGCTTGCTTTTTGTCCTAGAGCAAGTTCACTCCCCTCTGGGCTTTCCTGTCCCAGCCGTTTCCCTCTGCTGGGCCCAAGAGACAGGGCAGCAGTGACTGGCTGACTCTGGGAAGCTTTGCCCAGCAGCCTAGCATTTCCCAGCTTCCTAAGTGGAGACCCTCGTGCCTCAGTTACCCAAGGAAGATGGCAGTGCCTCGATGGGAACCGATAAGATGGACGGAGAGGGAGGCAAAAGCATCCTCCATTTAGTCCAGGCTTCCGAGGATAGGGCAGAAATAAGGAGCTCCCTGTCCCAACCTGGGACGTCTCTGTCCCTGTGATGTGGATAAGCCTTCTTTCGTCCTTCTCTCCTTCTCCGTGCAAACGCCCCACCTTGTCCTTCCCCACAGAAAGAATTCCTGCCCCCTCTTGAAGCCACCGCTCAGATCCCCTCCTCTGTGCCCCGTCACACTTGGAGCACCGAGTTGTCCTTATCCGTGAGCGTGCTGCCTCCTCCACCCCACTGGAATCCAGGGTTGGCCTCTGCCTCCCTGCCACAGGAGGCAGACAGCAAATGTCGCTTGGGTGGCTGTTTCTCCTTCCTCCTGCGGATGCTGGAAAAAGCCTCCATGCCCCAAGACCGACTATGCTCACTGCATTCTGAGGCTGTGGCAGCCTCCTGGTGCAGGTCTAGAGGCCGGTCTGCACCTCCTGAGGGCCACTGTAGGGATGGGTAAAGGGCCTCTGGTGGCAGGGGCAGGGGCTGGCAAGACTATTCCCTGCAGTTGGTCAGATTGTGTGCCATCCACAGGAGGAAAGCTCTCCCTCTGCCCCTGACCGGCTCTTCAAGATTGTGTTCGTGGGCAATTCCGCGGTGGGGAAGACATCCTTCCTGAGGAGATTCTGTGAGGACCGGTTCTCCCCAGGCATGGCGGCCACTGTGGGTGAGTTCTCATCCCTGAGGTGGGTCCTAGGCCCATCTTTGGGAAGGGAGTTTGTGAGAAGGGGGCCCGGGGCAGGGAGCGTTAGAAGCCCATGGGAAGGGCCATGGGGATTGGCCAGTAGGGATACTGGTGTCTGCTCTGTTCAACAGACAGGCTGGGAGGGGCAAGATGAAGCCACCTCCCCTCACGCTGCTAGCTGCTAAGCTCATCCTGTGTGTGATGGGACCCCTGAGTACTTTGTAAGTCCAACCTTGGGTTTATGGAACTAAATTTGGTAAAGGTAGATTTGGGTCCCCTTCCCCTCTTCAATGAGTACCCCCTCCTTTTGACCACTCCTCCCCACTGTCAGCAGGGTCCTGGGTCTTCCTGCTCCCCCTGAACTGACCAGGACTCCTCCCGAGACCCACATCCTGCCACACCTCCCCCTGTCTTCCTGAGGGCCTGCTACATCCTGGCCTTGCTCCTGGATGGCTTCTTTTACCCATCGCATTGTATCTGTCCTAAGTCCCCAGCCTGCTGGGCGACAGCTGGACTTAAATGTGGAAGCTCATTAGGCTCAGCTATTAATGGATGATCATGGCTTAATGTATTCCCACTCTGGGTGATATTTTATTTAAATAGAGGCCTTTAATCCCTTCACCCACAGTTGAGGGTTGCATTGGAATATGTGGTGAGACCCAAGGGCATATGGACCTTTCAGCTTGAATCACTCAACAGAAGGGTGAATCACTCAACAAAAAACAAATACATTGCATGCCTATTTCACTGAGCTGATAAGTCAACTGTACTTGAAAATGTATTTGTATGACCTGAATATTTACCAGAAGCTTTTATAGTCATCCTTTCCATCTATGTCCACGACAACCCTGGGGGACAGGTACTGTTCAGCACAGTCGACAGATCAGGAAACTGAGGTCCAGAGAGGTTAGAGGCTTGTTCACATTCCCTTCAGTTGGTTGGTGCTGATACCTTCCCCTCAACTACCTTCTCTTCCATGCCATAGTGTCCCTAAATTGAGTTGTATGCACTTAGCACCCCATGAGAGGTGAAGATGCTTTTCTGCCTCTGGAGGTGGGCAGAGGTTGGTGCAGACAGGAGGGGCTGTGGAGGTTCAGTGAGACATCAGAAGTCCTGAGTCCTCATCTGGGCCCCGCCACTGACAAGCTGTGTGACCTCAAGAGGATGTGGTGCCTCTTAGGGCTTCAGTTTTCTCTCATTTGAAAAATGAGAGGTTGTAACTGGGTACCTGTATTAGTCTATTCTTGCACTGCTATAAAGAAATACCTGAGACTGGGTAATTTATAAAGAAAAGAGGTTTAATTGGCTCATGGTTCTGCAGGCTGTACAGGAAGCATGGCTGGGGAGGCCTTGGGAAACTTACAGTTATGGCGGAAGGTAAAGGGAAAGCAGGCACATCTTACATGGCCAGAGCAGGAGGAAGAGAGGACAGGGGAGGTACTACAAACTTCTAAACAACCAGATCTCGTGAGAACTCCTTCATGAGGACAGCACCAAAGGGAAGGTGCTAAACCATTCATGAAGGATCCACCCCCATGATCCAGTCACCTCCCTCCAGGCCCCACCTCCAACACTGGGGATTATAATTGAGCATGAGGTCTGGGTGGGGATACAAATCCAAACTACGTCAGCACCCTAAGACTGCCTCCAAGCCTGGGTCTCTGACTCAACCATCTTCAACCTTTGGCTGTGTGACAAGCTGGTTCTACAAGACCAACTTTGAGTGGTCCAGAGTCCTGCCTGGGGAGACTCCATTTTCTTTCTCCTACCCTAAACTGGCCCTTCTAACATTTCTCCCAGAGAGGGGTCCCTGCCTAGGTGCTTCAGGTGTCCCATCCTTACTGCTGGGCCTTTTCTTACACTGTTATCACACCTGGAATATCTTCCCATGCCTTTCCTTCTGCTCAACTTCACCCAGAGACTGAGAGCATCCCAAGACAAAAATTGGGACCCAGATGGGAAGAAGTGCAGAGCCTGCAAACCAAGCTCAGAAGAGCCTGGCCTTGTCTGGCCTTGAGGGAGGGGCAGCTGGGAGTGTGCTGAGCGTGGTAACACAGGAGACAGCGCCTGGGAGGTCGACTTGCCCTCCCGGAGGGCATTCCATGGGGGAGGCCCTACAGTCTCGGCTCTGGCACAGGTCTGGGGGAGGCAGGGAGAGGGTGCCCAGCCTGCAGGCCTCAGAGCCATGTGCCCTGAGCAGTGTGCATGTGGCCTGCCTCTCCTGACAACAAAATCAGGATCCGTTTACATTTTCGACTTGTGGCCCTGAGATGGTAGGCTCTGAAAAATAGAAAATCAGACTCATTTGCACTTCCCAGGAGGCCAATTATGGAAACACCCTCCAATTTAGGAAGGGGAAAAAATATCAAAAGTTCCAAATCAGGATGCCCTTCATCACACCACTCCACACATGCTCGAGCAGCAGCTCAAATTAGTTTCCCTGCCACACTGCAGGCCCTGCTCTGGGACACATGTCAGGAAGCAGATGTCACACCAGCCACCTGCAGGCTGCCCCCTTTAAAGAGATATAACAGCCACAGAGTCACAGCCTCTCGGGCCAAAGCTATCCAACCCCAGAACAGGGCTCCAGCCCATCTCCTGTCAAGGGCAGCGGCTACAGCACAGTGGCAGGGCTTTGGTTGTTCTTCCAGCTCACCTCCATCCTCCGAGGGGTCCTCCAACTTCCTGGTCTCCCACTCCCTCATAAGAGCATGTTTTGTACTGCACCAGTGGCTTGTGTGAAATGCCAGTTGCTCCAGTGCAACTGGTGACTGGGGCGTCCTGCCTGCCCCACCTAGGGCCCAGCCTGCTCCTTCAAGAGCAGGTGCTTGAGCCCTGCGGGCATCCTGGAGGCAGCACGGATGGTTTTAGCAGAATGCGAGGTTTGGAAGGAACCTTGGGAATGGTCTAATTACATCCTCTCATGTTTAAGTGAGAAAATTGAGATCCACAATAGAGGATCTCCCTGGAACCCAGGACTCCGAGTCCAGCATTCTTCCCACTTCTCCACTTTGGTTCACAACCTCCCTGTGTTAAATCACAGGCCAGAATCCAAGGTGTTTCTTCCAGAAGCTGTTTCTGGAAGAATGCCCCTGCCCTTTCTTGGCCACCGGTCCAGGTTCTGTCCCACTGCACATCTGTACAGAGAAATCCCTGCAGCAGCCCCCTAGGGTATTTCTCCAGAGCAACTTGCTGCCCCTGCTCCCCATCACTCCTGCCTTATGACAGCTCAGGGCTGTCACCTCGAGAAAGGTTAAGGTCACCCTCCTGGCAACCGTCAGCCCAGCGCTAACCCACACCATCTCCACAGCACCTTTCAAGGTGCCAGGAGGCTCCTGACTTGAGCCATCCTTCGGGAAGCAATTCATTTGCAATCAAGGGTCACCTCGATGTGAGGGTCGAATGCTCCAGCTGCACTTAAAGATTGTCAGCATCCAACTTAGCCCCTTCATCCCGTCATACCTCCATCTCACTGCCGTCTACCGATGAGGAGAGAGAACCCCCCAAAATGAGCTGCAGCAATGCCATCAAGGTCACGTTGCTGGTCAGTGGCAGAGCTGAGACAGGAACGCACAACACGGGTCTCCTGACTCCTGGGATTTCAGAACTGGTGGTAGTCTTAAAATCAGTTTCATCCAGGCCCTCTGGTCCCCAGTTATTCCGTGTTGTCTATCCCGTTGGACTTGTGTTCTCTGGCTTCATGTTTGCACATGCCACCTCTTCATCCCCCCCCCCCCTTGTCTTTTCCTTGTGTCCTTCACACCCAGCCCCCAAGAGCCTGTTTATCTGCTTCCTCGGCCTGCCTGTCTGAGGCTGCAGAGAGAAACACGTCGCGTGTCCAGCAGGGAGTCTCACCAAGCTCACCACAGCACAGAACATTTTTCCAGCACACTCTTTTGCCCATCTCACTCCCTGCCAGAGGCAGCTGCCTGTCCTCCAGCAAAGCACCAGGAGCTGAGGGCAGCCAGGACCCAGCTGCCCCAGCAAACTCCCTGCCCGTCTACCTGCAAGCCTTACCAGCAGGCAGAGGCCTCTGTCCTCGGGCAGCACTGGCTGGTTTCGGATCTGGCCCTGAAGCTGTATGACCATGGAGGCCTTTCCCCTGAGTTGTTACCAGAAAGCAGGCAGCCCCTTCTGTCTCCCAGAGCACAGACCGGGACAGCCCCTCCACTTCTAGCCAGGAAGAAAACTCACCCTTGGATTCACCTCCCAGCCACTGTAATCTGTTTTGCTGGGAGCACTTAGCCCTGGGCCTTCTAGGTGAAACAAAGCTGCCTGTGTCCTGTGCCCTGAGTCTGGCTACAGGAGGAGCAGTGAGCCTCAGAGCTGGGATTGCAGCTCACCTTGCTTCCGACCAGCTCGGGCAAGGCACGACGGCTCGTGACTCCTGCTTCATCTCTCGGTGTGTGTGTGAATGTGTATGTATGAGTACATATGCATATGTGTGCATGTGTGTGCAGATAACTCACATGGATGTCACAGTGGGACTCTGTGAAGGTGAAGAGGGAGCACATAGAAATGCTGGAAATAGAAAGCATTCTATTAATGGGAGAAATCACTTTCTCAGCGCAGACGATTGCACTCCTCTCTGGCCCTCATCTGTGAAGCAGAGGGCCTCTAGACTCCCTGCTGCCCCTGACACTCTGGAAGTGGATGGTCCTCCCACGTCTCCTCACTCGTGGGTCTTAATGCACTAGCCTTTGCCCAGCGGCAGTGGCTGGGATGACCGTTTCCATTTACTGCCTCTTTGTTATCTGTTTGGTCTCTTCTGTCTCTATCTGTCCAAGCTGCTGTTGCTGTTTGTCTTCCTGAGCCCTCCAGAGGCCTTTCTGAAGGTTGCGGGAGATGCCCTAAAGTTCTAAGATCTGGAACTTATGGTGGTGGTGGGGGGATGTACTTTCGAACCTCTTTATGCCTTTGCAAACATTCTTACAGGATGCAGGAGTGGGGAATACCTGTATCAAAACACCTGTGTTGAGGTCCTGACCTATGAGGGCTGCTGTGGGATGCAGAATGCACTTCACTGACCTTGCCCCCTCTCTCTGGGGTTGAGGACCCCAGGTAGGGTCACACCCCTGGAGAGATGGTTGTGAACAGCCCAGTGGTAGGATTAGGAGCTCTAATCCATCTCAAGGGTGAAAGTTGCCTGTGATTTTTTCTCTTACCCCTTCTGTTCTGTCCTTTCCTCTACCTGCCAGTTCCTACCCTCCTCCTCCTATTCCTCCTCCTCTCCTTCTTCTTCCTCCTCCTCCACATACCTTTGGATTGGTTGATGGAGGCCATACCCCTAGGACATTTGAATTTTACTAGGGGGCCTCTGAAAGAATTTTAGGAAAGAAGGAAAGAAAGAAAGAAAGAGAGAAAGGAAGGAAGAGAGGAAGAGAGAAAGAGAGAGAGAGAAAGAAAGAGAGAAAGAAAGAGAGAGTTGGGGGAGAGGGAGGGAGGAAGGGTGAAGGAAGGGAGGGAGGGAGGGAAAGAGAGAGGGAAGGAGAGAGGGAGGGAAGGAGAGAGGGAGAGAGGGAGGGAAAGAGAGAGAGAGGGAAGGAGAGAGGGAGGGAAGGAGAGAGGGAGGGAGGGAGGGAGGGAAAGAAAGAGTGTATGGCTTGTATTACAGTGAAGAGCCCACAGTTCAGAGTGGTTAAGTGATTTGATCAATGTTCCACAGCTAATAAGTGGCAGAGACAGGACCAGAGCTGAGGTCCCATGCCTCCCCATCCAGTGCTCTGTTCTTTTCTCCATTTTGCCTCCCACGAGCTGCACATGGAGGGTTGTCACCTTGGGCCTGATGTGATTTCAGATGTTGGAAGCATTGTTTCCTGATTTGGAAGTGAGGTGCCCCTGGCCCAGGGCAGCCCTGACAGGCCCATTTCACCCTGCAGGCATTGATTACCGTGTGAAGACGTTGAATGTGGACAACTCTCAGGTGGCCCTGCAGCTGTGGGACACGGCTGGGCAGGAGAGGTGAGGAGCTGCCCGAAGTTCTGGGCTCCAGAGGGAAGGCCGTGCATGCCTGACCCGTGGCCCTTCTGTGGCAGGTACCGGTGCATCACCCAGCAGTTCTTCAGAAAGGCAGATGGTGTCATCGTCATGTACGATCTCACAGACAAGCAGTCGTTCCTGTCGGTCCGGCGGTGGCTGAGCAGCGTGGAGGTGAGCTGGCGACCTTCCTAGGAGCATTTAGGCTTGACTGTGGCTTCTTTTTTCTTCTCTGTCCATCTCCCACGTGGGCCTCTGCATTTTCAAAATCTGATTCGGAACTTGCCTTTTCCAGGAACAAACTGATGCAGGCATGTGTTCCTCTGTTCGTCTGGGTTCCCAGTACCAGGCCAGTTCCTGGGGACCCAGAAGTGAACAAGACAGACACAGTCCCTGCCCTCATGGAGAGAGGGACACTGAAAATCCAGATTATGCCAGTAGCTGTGTCATTGCTGGGCCATGATTGAGTGGGACTGGATTGGGGGAGGGGACACAGTGGAGTGTCAAGGAAGGGTCCTGGAGAAATCAGTGTTTGAGTCACAACCAGATTCTTCCCTCATTCTCACCAGCGTCTCTCCCCATCCCCTGAGTCTTTCCAGCTCCAGTAGGCCCAGCTATGCCCTGCCCGGGAGCCACACCATGCAATGTTTGGGGGCCTCTGTCACAGCTCTTCACACAAGGGGAGGTTGATCCAGAATGTGAGGGCTCCAGGCTCACCTCAAAATCAAGAGTCTTGGCAGGGCCCAAGAGCAACTGTGTTATCTTTGCATTCTGAATTATCTGGGAGACTCTATGTTTATGATTCCTACTTGCAGTATGTCGTTTTGTACATGCTTTTTTCATTAGTGTTTCCACCACCCCAGTGCAGGCTTCTCAAGGCCACTGCCAGTGTGGACAAGCTACAAATTGCTTTTTGCCAGGCCTCGGCTGATTCCTTCACAGAACAGCCAAGCAGGATGTCCCGCCCCTTCCACCAGCAGGATTCATGGTTTGTTCACGTATTTGTTCAAAACACCGGCAGGCACTATTCTAGAGCCTGGGAATCCTAGCAGTGAATAAAAGAGACAAAGCTCCTGCCCTCATGAAGCTTATGTTCAGCTCTCTGCTCCAAGCCCATAAAACCTTGCATATCCCATCACATATTTATCATGCTGCAACAAATTGCTTATTTACTGGCCTGTGTCTCCCACTGGACTCCGTGCTGCCTAAGAACAGAAGCTGCATCTTCGTTGCTATAACCTGGATGCTTTGCATGAGACCAACAACTCCTGGATGAATGAATGGATACCACATTGCTATGAAGGCAGACTCTTGGAGTTGTCCATTTCTTTGACCCTTTTGGCCCTAAGATCCATGATCCCTTTCACCCAAATCTGTTTCTCTGTAGTTTTGCATGTCTGGGTCACCCGTCTGTCTTTTGTTAATCTGCATCCTTCTGATTACCAAGAAAAATAAGGAACAAAATGGAAGCCAGATTCAAGGGTTTCTCAAGAATTTGCCTACTACCTGTTATTTCTCAAAATTACTGTGCCTGACGCACTTACAAATGAGAAAATGCAAGTTTTGAAATGTAGGTAGTAGATTGCCTGTACACCAAACTAATAATGGAAGCAAATGGTATGGGTGAATCCAGCAGTAATTCCTTTCTAAACTTTGGAGTTTACGACACGATCTTTCTCTTCTGTTCTTTTTTTTACTTTTGTTGTTGTTGTTGGCAGCACCAAGCAGATTTATCTTCTTTGCAGAAGTTAAGCACCAGGAGGGATGTTAGGGATTACCTAATCCAGGGGTTTCCAGACTCTCTTCCTTGGAGCCCTGGAATCAGACTGACATTCCCCAGAGATTGGGGAGCGGCAAGGGAAGGTTTAGTGGTCACGGATCCAGGTCCCTCATCCCCCATCTCCGTCAGAGCTGCCTTGCCTTTTTCAGCATATTGGAGGTCAGCTACAATTTTGTTAGACAAAAGAGTTTCCCTTTGAAAATCTCCCATCTAGTATGGCCATCTCATTCAAAAGTGAAGAAAGGGAAGGCCTAACTTCTCCAGGGTCACCTGTCCTTTTCACAGACATTTAGTTGTCCCCCAGTATCTAAATTTTGGTGTGTGCTAGGGCTAAGCCTCCAGGTGGTCTGGGATTAATGGGAATGGATGGTGACAAATTTGGGGAACTACGCTCTCTGCTGTCATTAGGGGGTGTCGTTTCTAAGGCTCCTGTTTTGCACAGAGCCTGGGATCTAGAAGAAGAGGTGGAACAGTTTGGTGGTGGAGGTGAAGACATCTCAGAAGACCATCATCACAGCTTGAAGCATCAGTTTAGTCATCCTCCAGAGACGTTGCTTTGTGGGACGGGGCTGAAATCATCAGCGGCGTGTGGCTGCTAAGAGGCCCACGGAAGCCTTGGTGTGTCTGTGGGCTCGGGAAGCCTGGCTGAGATGGCAAATCTATACATAGTTAAATCAGAATTGCTTATGTGTAAACAGGGCTTTTCTATATGATTTCTAGTTTGAGTTTTTCCTTTTTTTTAAGATATTAGCCAAAGGTACATTTAAGCTCTAATTGATTATTCTAAACCTGGGTGAACATCAGGATCACACGTGGAGCTTTTAAAGGGAACAGAGGCCAGGGGCCAGGGCCTTCTCTCCCAGAGTGGTTCAGAGCCTGCAAATAAAAAATAAAACGAACAGCTCCCCAGGGAATTTTGATTCTCAGCCACCACTGTTCCCGGCTAAACAAGCGCTCCTTGAACCCTAACATATATAGGACTCTCCTGGGGAACTTCTTAAAATGCAGTCTCTGCTTCAGCAGGTCGGGACTGGGGTCTGAGATTCTGTGTTTCTAGCAAGTTCTCATGTGAGGCTGATGCTGGTGGTCCAGGGATGACCCTGTGAGTAGAAGAGCTCTAAGTCATTTCCGAAGATGCCTGTGACCCCTCACCAAGGTTTTACTACACATCTGCGGCATGTCCAGCACACACTAGGAGCTCTGGGACTCAGTATGATAGACCAGGCAATGCGTTCAGTTCAGCAGCACAGAGTTTCAGAAACAAGTGCAGGAGGCTGTGTCAAATGGCAGAGTGTGTGTTGAAGGTGTGGAACGGTGGCATCATAAATGCAATTATTCTCTAGATTCTTGAAAAGCTAAGTCATTCTGCCTTGGCAACCAGCAATCAGAGGTGTCAGGTGATAGATTAAAACTTGACACCTAATTTGATCTGAGGGGAACTGAAAATAATAAGTACCTTATATTTGTGGAGCACCTTATTTTTCCAAAGAGCTCTGAGCACTTTACCAACTCCCTCGCCTGGAGAAGGGAGGGTGGAGGGGGAGCTTTAATAACAGTCTTCAAGGTTCTGAAGCCTTATTAGTAAGTGAATGGTGGCCAGCTGTTCACAGTCCCCCTTCCTCCCTCAACCTGAAAAGCATACAAGAAAAAAGGGCTTCAGTTGCTGTACATGCCTGCATGGGAAAGACTCTTGGAAGAGGTTGTGTGGGGTGGGAACAGATGCTCGGGGGAGGTAGTGGAGTTCCCTGAAAGGAAGTTCTTACTATCCCATCTTGATCACTTCCTGGCCATGAAACTTTGGCCAATCATTCAACAAGGCAGCAGACCAAATGCTCCCTCCTGGCCCCTAAATTTCTACAGTGTATGATGGCATTTGACTATCTCTCTGGGAGGCCAAGACGGAGCAGGAATGTGTGTGGATGAGGAGATTCTGGAGGGTCCTTCCAGCCCAGAGGGAACCAAAATCCTTTGGTGCAAGAGAGCACCAGCACTGCTTGATGAGATGGGAAGACTGTGGCCTTGCCCTTGTTCTGCTATTTCACCCAGTCTAGGCAACTTTACCTTGCCTGCAGGCCTTCTGCAGAAGAGGCCCAGCAGATGCCCTCTGTGCCGATTCTCCTGAGTGCCTTATAGGAAGTCACCGCAGGCAGTCTTTCGGCCAACTCGGCATTTCCAACCCACCCCCAATTTCTTATCTCAATTGGGTAGAATTGGTTTAACCATTCCAATCTGGAAAAGAAACTAGTCAGGCTCTAAGGCCCCACGTGTGGCCATGGGACAAACTGGACATCAGAAGACTCTGGGGCCTGTGTCGGGTAGAGAAAATAGAAATTAGAACGCCAGCCTGTACAAGCCTGTATGGGCTGGTATTTCCCCCAGAGCCGGATTGCTGGCCCCCAGTGTCTGCAGTCCTGGGATGCTGAGCTTCTTGTTTAGAGCCTCTTGTCGTTCTGATGGCACTAGATTCCTGGGCATGTGAGTCGAGGAAGTGAAATAGAATTGGCGGAGTTAAGCCGAATAGACCAGTGTTTCCGAGCTGGAAAAAAACGTGGAGATTAATCTAATGCAACCTCTTGTTTTATAAGTAAGAAAAACTATGATCCAAAAAGAGGAAGTGACTTTCCCAAAGGCGCCCACACTTGTCAGCAGCACCACCCGATCTAGAAGCGAGGGCTTTGCCACACTGCACTGCTTCTCTCTTGTCCTGTGGTCCATGGCTGAAATCTGCTCCTGAAAAGCAGGTGTTCATTTACTTTTCAGTCCTTCTTGCTTCTCTCTCAAAGCAGAACAGTTCTTCAGCTCAAGGGGTCCTGGCCCACTTCCCTCTCCCTTCCTGGGCTGCTAGCTAAACCTCATTCTGCGATCTTTGTCATTGGTGACAATGTACAGCATGGTGCAAAAAATAGCAGTTTGATTTTTTTTTCTCCACGTTCCAAGTTGAGCTTGAAGTGCTGGCAGTTTAAAATGAACCACACAAATAAATCTTGTTTTGACTCATAGTCCAGGGGATGGATAAATATGGAAACCCCCAAGATATAATTTTGCAGGCATTTTTTTTCTTAGCATAACTGCATGCTTTAATGTGCTGAAAAAATTTTTGCTCTAGCTCCAGAGAAATAGCAGCACTATCCCAGCTAAGTGCTTTTTCATGCCTCCTAGCAAATAGATATTAAAACGCACGCACACACACACACACACATGCACATAGGCAACAACCAACCAAACCCAGCAGCTGCACATTCTGAGCTGAATGCCAATCCACTGCTCCAAGTTGACAGCTCTTGTTATTTAAAGTCAGAGATGGGTGATCTTTTGAATTTCAACAAGTCTGTCTTCCAACAAGCTCAAGTTCACAGAAAGGCAGCTGAAATAACTGAAGGTGGAGGGAAGGCTCTCTGTTAGAGGGTCATAGAACAGAACCTGGCTTTGGAACAGAGAGACACAGAAAAGAGGAGAGACTCAGATGAGTCACATGGAGAGATGGTGACAGAGCTAGGGCAGAACCCACATCTCCTAAAGAGAGATTGTGTGCCTGATGAAGGAGCTAAGATGACTTCACTCCAACCTGTCATGCTGATGGGATTTTTACCAACATCTCTCACAGTCTCAAGACAACAGAGTTTGAGTAGACCTGAGACCTGTTCACCAAAGCCCTAGGGGCTTGAAGGAGGTGTTGCTTCATCTAGGAGGTAATTTTGAACATCTTGTGCTGAGTGGTATGCAGGCTGAAAACCTAGTTAGGTATGAGAAAGGTGTAAAGTTTAGACAGATAGTTCCAGACTTTTGGGGTCAAAGTCAGAGAGGACCATGAGACACCTACCCCAATACCAGCTCCTCTCCCTGCCCCTGTGCCAGAGACTGATGACCTTGGGCCAGGGTGATGGTGACTGACTGTGATAGTTAGCACACTCCCTGGTCTTATGGGTATTCTCATTTATTTTTGCCAAATATTTGGAGATGAGTCTGTTTCTCCTTTATCGGTGGCAGGCCAGGGTCCCTGCAGGGAAGCCAGTTGTCCAGAGTGGCTGTGTAAGAGAGGAACAATACAAAGAACAGAAACCGCAGCTCCTGCTGAGTGCTTTGCTTTTAAATTTTTTTTTTCTGCTCCTTCTAAGCTCCTTTATTTTTATATCCAGGAATTGCTTTGGTTTTTTTTTTTTTTTTTTTTTTTTTTTTTTTTTGACAGAGTCTCTCTCTGTCACTGAGGCTGGAGTGCAGTGGCACAATCTTGGCTCACTGCAAGCTCCGCCTCCCAGGTTGAAGCAATTCTCTGCCTCAGCCTCCCAAGTAGCTGGGACTACAGGTGCCCACCACCACACCTGGCTAAATTTTGTATTTTTAGTAGAGACAGGGTTTCACCATCTTGGCCAGGCTGGTCTTGAACTCCTGACCTCATGATCCACCCACCTCGGCCTCCCAAAAAAAAAAAAAAAGAAGAAACCTGCCCTTTCTTTTCCCAGGACGCAAGAGGCACCATTGCTGTTTATGGTGCATAGGACCCAGATGTTGGGCTTATGACCCATTCCCTACCCCATCCTATTGGGTCATTCAGTATCCATCATCCCCTCTGCAAGCGAGGAAACAGAAGCCAGTGCCCATTCCAAATAATACCAAAACCTGGGGTAGAATTCTGCCCTGGGATTTCAAGTCTGATGCTCATATTTTCAGAGTTTCCATGTCAAGAAATCCCACAAGCCTTAATCATTCCTCACACATAAATCTACAAATATCTCTCTCCCATGTGCTCTAAACAGCAAGCCGCTTGGCCCATTTCCCTGCTTCCTCCTCCTTTCTTCCCTTTCCGTGAAAAGCTCTTCGCACAAGTATCCCGTGGCACAGCACGGTCAGAGGAGGGGGTGTTCCCATTAGTGAACGCTCTAGCTAATAGGGGGCCACAGGGTTCCATATATGCCATCAGTGGCTTTCTCACTTTCAAGTAGTTGGAATATGTACAATCCACTTAGGACATCAACTGCAGTGTCCAGAATTTAATCTATTTTTGATGGGTCAGAAGACACTGTAAGATCTTGTAGCGCCTTTGAGTCATCATTGCAAACACAAGTTACCATCTGACCAATAGATACCATTTTTAGAGGGTTCCAGTTAATAAGATACTAAGTAGCAGAGACTTGATTGGAAATAAGAATCTAGAGGAAAAGGTTGGAGAAGTGAGGACCCATATACTAAAGAGTTCTCATAATTCAGTGCTTATGGTGTTGAATGTTCTTTTTGATTCTCTGAGCCTTAACTTTCTCATTTGTTAAATAAGAATTTTTTTCCCCTATTAAATGGCAGTAAAAACGAATGCACAGATTAAGGAAACATTGAGGCTTAATTTCAAACATAATAGCATTTAAATTTAAAATTGGTATATCTGTAAGATGGACTTTGGACATTTATTTGAAATGCTCAAGTAAAACAGCTAAAGTATTGGCAAAACTGTAACTGCTTATTAGCTTCTGTTATCCCACAGGTCCCTCTATTTAGTAAAACATTTAGCTACAATGAATAACTATTTGTTACTAAATTATGATTAAAAGCCCCTAATTAAATATTTAAGTAAAAATAACAACCTTCTTCAATGTGCACATTACCACATTTACTCACTGAATGGCAGTCGGTGGTCCCGGGCCCTTTGGGCGCCCTCAGGAGAGACACACACGGTGCCCCTTTCACCAGGGAGGAGGTGGAGACCCGGGAAGCAGGCCCCTGGCTGGTAAGCCACAGCCATTGGGGAAGTAAACAATGTGATACCTTGAATAAACCTGTGACTTCTGGCCCAAGCAGTGCAGCTGCTATGGCCACAGTGTTCCTTCTTACACAGGGCTTTCTTCAGAGCCAAAGCGCCCAGTGACAGGGGTCTGTGGTGCCAGCCTCCAGCAAGGCACATGGCAGTCATTTATGGAGCCTTGTGGGCGCAAGACCATGAGGCAGATTTGGATCCAACCCTCAGAAGCTTATGTGCAATCAGGAGGCCTCTAGTGATGCAGTTTCTAATCAAAGCAGCCTCCAGAACAACTCCAAACCATGGGGCATTCATGGCCTTGGTCCATCGGACTAAGCCTGGCCAATTAGGCACGCCCTCAGGGTGCTGTAAGCTCTGGAAGGAGGCATGCAGCCTGTTGGCATCAACTGTCCCCTCATCCAGCACACCTTGGGGGGCCTGCTGTTCCATCTAAGATCCAAGGAGCATCGTGAAGGGGGAGCGGTCATTGCACACACAGGGACTAGGAGACACCACAGGCAGGCCTCAGGCACCTTGCAAAAGCATGATAAACTGAGGCTCTTGGAGAAGGCGGCTGTTTTCTGCTTTCAGGATGACTCTGTTACGGCCTCACCTTTTATGGCAGCAGGGGATTCTCAAGCGAGGTCCCATCTGTCCAGCCGGCATTGTTAGCCTGCCCTCTGGGCAATCCTATGACACCCCTCTCAGTTGAAAACATTTTCTGTTCTGCAGGAAGCTGTGGGAGACCGGGTGCCTGTTCTTCTGCTGGGTAATAAGCTTGACAACGAGAAGGAGCGGGAAGTCCCCCGGGGCCTCGGAGAGCAGCTTGCCACGGTAAAGAGCAAGCATTTCCATCTCTCTGGACAGAGTGTGACCCCGAGGGAAGTTGGGCAAGTGCCCAAGAGCCTTGGTGGGGACTTTCTCTGGAAGTGCCATGGGAAGGAAGCAACTGGAAAACATGGGTGTCTTGGTATCCTGGGAATGGCTCAGCTCCTGTGCATGTAGAACTTTGCATAGAAAGCCACAGGTTGCAAGATGGAGTTGGTTAGGGACCACTAGGGCATGGGGAATTATCCTAAAGTCCCTTCCTTGTAACTCAGAAGTATACATTCTAAGATAGCAATAGTTTACTTATTTCAATCCCCCTCCAATCTGCATTTCCACTTGATCACCCCCAGGGATGAAAAACTCACTCTCTGCAAAGCAGTGTATTCTTCTGCAGACCACTGTGTTAGAGAGTTCATCCTTTTTGTCAGGATTGAGCCTCAAAGTCATGAACTCAAGATAAACTCAGGAGACACACTGGAAAACCTACCATTAAAAAGCATGGAGCCCCTTGCTCAAAAATGGAATCAATGGGGCTTAATGGAAATCAGGCAACAAAATGTGGTTCCTTGGCTTCTTTTACTGCCTCAGAGTTTGTTTTCATGGAACTGTGTGTCTGGGAGGTTGGGGTGCTTACCAGCCCCATGATTCTGTAATTCTTTGCATGCTCATCCTAAACAGCGTTTCATGAGTTCAGAGCCTGGGAGAACGAGCACAGATGGTAAGACTCAAGGAAAAAGGAGGAGGAAGGGCCTGGCAGGTATCTACATGGAGGGTCACTAGACAGTTACATGTCCACAATTCCGAAATCCAAAAAGCTCTGAAAACAGAAAGGGTTGTTTTGTATTTTATCTGGCAGAAAAATCTGACCAGAAATGACACGAGGCTATTCATGGTTGTAACCTCACTTTGAGTGAATAGTCAAAGGTTTCACTGAAGAAATAGTAATATATTTGATTATAGAGTGCTGTCTGAAATCCACTGAGGGTATTATATAATATATGGTATATACATGTATTACCTTTCTAAGATTCAGAAAATTCTGGATTTCAAAATATACCTGGACCCAAAGATTCTATCCATTCTCTTTTCTTTTCTTTTTTTTTTTTGTTAGTGAAAAAAAAACTAAGACTCGGGAGTTAAGTGATACATTCGTATTATCACAGCTCACCCGAGGTGGGGTCAGAACTCAAAGCAGGAAGGCAAATCATGTCTTCCAGTTCTAAGTCCTATGTCCTTCTCTCCCCTCCCCACTATTCCCACCCCATGGAACTTCTACTCTTTGACAGACTGACCCAAGAGATTGCAGATCTGAGAGAAATGCAGACAAGGAGAAATAGAGCCCATGGGGCTGGGTGAAAAGGGCAGAGGGTCGAGCTGGCCTGTGGGTGTAGATGGGGAAAGCTGCACTGGGAGCATGGCAGAGCCTCCTGAGCTACAGCCACAGAACTGTCCTCACTCAACTGGCCTGCATCCCCTCAGGGCATCAGCCTCCAAGAACAGGCCATCTAAAAGCCAGGGCCCTGTGCCATCAGCATTGTCATAATGACACCAGTAATCTATTAATGGGAGTGATCAATGGAATATGATGAGCCTTAACCAAGGGCTCCCGCACCATGCAGGCAGCACAACCTCATCCTAATGAGCTGACGGCCAGTCTGGTGCACCAGTGCTGACAGCCAGGGCAGCTAGAGTATTAATTAACTGGTGCGAAAGAGAATTCCTACCGGAGTGCCTCATGACACCTGTCCCCAAGGCCTATGGAATGCCACTGTCTTGGGAAAAGCATGCTGCAAGGAGCTCTGCCATTAACTCAATGTGGGACTGAACAAGCCAGCCAAGTGCCCTCTCTCACTACAGCTTATCTGCCTGTGAAAGGGGGAAGAATATTGCCCACCCTGGCCTTTGTGTCTTTGCCTGAATCACAGGGCTGGTGTAACCTGGAATGAGCATGTGTGTACTTGAGAGGAATTTGGGAAAGTGTAAAGAGGAACTAAGACAGCGTATGGTTTCATTGTTTTACAATTGTTATAGCTCACCTGGGAGATGGTTACAGAGCTTGCATTGTCAGGGAGGCTGTGGAGACAGAAATCAGCCATGTACAGAGTGGGGAAGGATTATGAGGAAGGTCAAGGGGCTGCGAGAGGAAGTGAAGGCTGTAGGTAGATGCACAAGGGGGCTCTCCCACCACCCCCCACAATCCCCTCTCACTCCAATACTCTTGTATTCGCTCTGTTTTATGATTCTAGGAGAACAATCTGATCTTCTATGAATGCAGCGCCTACTCTGGTCACAACACCAAAGAGTCCCTGCTCCATCTGGCCAGGTAAAGAGATGTGCTCCCCAGGTGCAGTAACTGCTGTGTCCAGCTGTGTCTGCCTTCAGGGAGGCACCGTGTTTCCCTCCACCCAGGCCACACCTCTGACCCCCCTTCCTCCCTATTGGCCAGAGCCCTCTGAGTATAGGCAACGGGGTCCTGGGCCTTTGTATGGGATTGCAACATCAGGAGCAGCTTTCTGAAACAATGATGTTGGGAAAGAAAGCATCCCTACCTGTCACCCCCATTGCAGTCTTCTTCTTAGTCTTAAAGGCTGCCTTTTCCTAGGGATGCTCTTTTTAAATGCCAATCCTTCTGGGGGAAGGCCAGATCAGAGGCCCCTCAGCACTGGCTGATGTCTTAGCAGGGACTAGCTGGAAGCCAGCTGGAGGCAAGAATGGGTTATAATATGAGTTCCTGGGTGTGGGAGGAAGGAGTGGGTGTAGAAACCAGAAAGAAGAGGGGCTGTGATGGGAAATCAATGGGAGGTAACCAAGGTAATGGTGCTGGTAGCATGAAAAGACTGGTTCCTTAAGGCCCTGCCTACACCAAAAATTTAAACAACAAAACCATGCTGGGACTCATTTCTGATACTTAAGAATTCACTCATTCATTCATCCATCTAGGCCTTCATTTCATTCCATCTATTCATCCGTCCAGCAAATACTTAACAGAGCCCATTTTGTGCTCAGCACTCATTCTGGGGCACTTAAAAATATTTTTCTTTGAGTAATTAAGAGCCCAGAACAACTCCTCTATGCATTGGCGAGGTTATAGGGTTATGGAGTATCACAAGGAAACATTCTAGGCTTTTCTCTGCCCCTGACTCCCTGGGCAAATGCCCTGCCTCTCTGAGCTTTGTCAGGAAGGTAGGAACATCAATCACACCTTCCTTTCCTGCCCACTCACAGGTTGTTGAGAGAATCAAAGGAGGTGCGTAACGCAAAAGCGTTTGGAAAGTATAGAGAAGAGACAGGTGTTTACCATTATTTTTAATTCCTCACCTCCTACAATTAATCTGGAGCTGTGGCCACATGGCACAGCCCTACTGCAGAGGTTACGACCCATCAGTATATTTTGGAGCCTCACCTGTGTGCTGGTTACTGTGATAAGCTGCAGAGGCACAGAGACAAAAGATAAGTCTCAGTCCCAAGCAACTCATTTTCTGCCGAGGGAGACAGCCAGGGAAGTCACGCATTGTGACACTGGGTGATGGGGTCATGACAGAGGAAGGGTCAGATGCTGTCAGGGGCACTTAGGCTTACCTAGAGGATCAGGAGAGGCTTCCTGGAGGAGGTGTCTTGAAGGATCCATGTCAACTAAACTCTCTGGCTTTACAATTACAGCTGTGCACCTGTACTGTCCAGGGGGGGATGTTCAGGACTCTCTCTGATGCCGTGGTGAGGGTGGGTTCTCTCCATATGGCCCAGATGACCTGTAACCTGAGGGTAGCTTGTCCAGGTTGCCAGCCCCTGGGCCTATCAACTTCTCCATCACTGACACGATCTCTTCCCCTCTCCCAGGTTCCTCAAGGAGCAAGAAGACACAGTGAGAGAGGACACCATTCAGGTCGGCCACCCTGCTAAGAAGAAATCCTGCTGTGGCTGATAGGGTCCTACAAGGACTGCCCCCAGCAAACCTGAGGTCACAGAGCCTGCCCTGATCCTGCACACGGCTCCTGCACAGATGCCACCCACCGGGGCCCGCCCAGTCCTTTTCTTTGTCAGTCACTCACCTCCCCCAAAAGGAAGGGAAGCACATCCCATCAGGAGAGCTGCTCTTGGAGCATCTCAGAGTCTTTTCTCTCCTTTCTCTTTCTAGACCCCAGATGCCTGTCCCTGCTTTGTTGTTGTTGTTGTTTTCCCCGACTTAGTTTCCTAGGGGAAAGAAACAGATGGGCTTTTCCAGAAAAGCCACCACGTGCCTTCTCCACGCCCCCTTCTCCTCCCCTTGCCCTTAGGAGCCTCAGCACTGCTGTTGCCGTGACAACTATGCAGGGCTCGACTTGCGGCTTCCTGCAGGCCAAAGGTACAGCACTCAGGTGCCACCGGGGTAGTTAATCTTTCTTGGCCCCTGTTCTGCGGCGGCCAAAGGGATAGTCTTATACATGCTTCGTGGACCTTGAGATACCCGAGTTGTTGACTGCAGCAAACCAGGGCAGCCACATCCTATTCTACCCCCTACCCAGGGGCTCTGCTCTTTCCTTAATCCCAGCTTTGAGCCTTCCCTCTCAGCACCATGCCCGCTGCCTTTGTCCCCTTGGGTTTTGTGGAACAGTGCCTTAGGGAGAACCCACAGCCTTTCCTTCTCACCCCCCACCTACAACCCTGACTCCAGGGTGGACTGTGGGTGATAAGTGTGTGCCTGGGGTTAGGGAGTAGGTTGACTTCCTACTTAACTTTGACTGAGAAATGAAAAGAGAACTAGTGGAAGAAAAGCCATCTGCCGCTAAACAGAGCGACCATTTCTGGAGGGTATAAATGAGGCATATATAGCTATATACAAGCCATTTTCTAAATGTTTCTCAAAATAGATCTTTGAAAAATCATACGTGATGATTAACAGGGTAGACTGACATGCAGGCAGTGGGGCCCAGCGCGAGGGCCATAGTTACTGACTTCATTTTATTTTCTTTTACTTTATTTCAGAACACTGTATTTTTTTTTCAGTGTGGCTGTGATGTTGACATTTTGCTGGTGTTTGAGAAGTGAACAGAATGTAGCTGCTGGCTTCAGCACCCCCGATTGCAATAGCACAGGGCATTTGGACTGGGGGAATGATCTGGGCCCCGTGAGATTCCTGCAGCTGGGTGGTGGTGGGTTCCCAGCCAGCTCCGGCATCACTAGCCAGCTGTTACAGCACTCTTGCCCTGAGTAGGAAGTCGAATGAAAGTTATTACAAAGACAACTGCCAATCACTGGGCCTGCAGACCCAGGCCCCCACAGGAAAGTGGGTGGTCCACACCCAAGTGGGGCACACAGAGAGGGAGAGGGGCAGAAAGTGTCCACAGGCTTCCAACAAGATAGTTGAAGACAACCCCACACAGCCACGTGGATGGGGGAGAGGCCACTGGCCAGAGTTCTCAAGGCGTTCCAATAGCCTCCTTCCAGACTCCCAAAACAGTCAGAGGCTCTCTGGGTCACCAGGCAAGTACCTACCTCTTTTTTGCAGACTTCTGTCTTTCACTGAGCACTTGCAGGAACCAGAGAGCCCGTGGAGGGTGCGGAACAAAAATGAGGACTGGGTACCAGAAGGCGCTCCGTGATCCTAAGCAAGCCCGCTCCCTCCTTGGTCCTCACCACATCAGTAAAATGAGGGGATGGGGTATCCGATGCTTTGAGCTCTTGCTCAGATGCACAGGATGACATATTTATTTTCCATCATAGGCTGGCCCTGGACCCCAGTCCAAGGTTAAAGAGAATTCACAGGAAACTCCCTTCCCCTAGGGAAGAGCAGTGGTGGTGGTCCCACTAATAGGATGAGGCAGGGAGAGGGGATGCATGGGTCACCCAGAGGTGGCCCTCCAATGTGTGTGTGTGTGTGTGTGTGTGTGTGCGCGCATGCACGTGTGTGTTGTGTGTGTCATGTGCGGGAAGGGAAAGGAAGGATAGAAGATCATGGTGGCCATGGAGGAAGTAAGCTCACTCTTCTGCTTTTGACAGAAAGCAGATATAGCTATTGGGATTTATGGGGCAAACAGACCATTCCTGGGGTTCCCTAACCCCACAAGTGTCTTTATTCCTAATTCCTTGCCCCTGCTTTCCACTGCATTCTTCCATTTAGAAACAGGCCATGCAAGGTTTAAGGCAGGGAAGGGTGGCCCTAGTGACCTAGTGCCTGGCCTTCTGGCATGTGGGATAAATCACCACGATTCTTCAAAGGAGAGAGAAAGGAGCAGGGAGGGTCTTCAGGCCTCTGATGCTCTCTTCCCCAACCCCCCTTTTAAAAAGAGGAGGGGGCCGAGTGTGGTGGCTCACACCTGTAATCCCAGCTGAGTCAGAGGATCATTTGAGACCAGAAGTTTGACACCAGCCTGAGTAACACAGCAAGACCCGACCACTACAATAAATAAATAAATAAATAAATAAATAAATAAATAAATAAATAAATAAATAGAAAATTAGCAGAGCATGGTGGCGTGAGCCTGTAGCTTTAGCTACTCAGGAGGCTGAGCCAGGAGGATCACCTGAGCCCAGGAGTTTGAGGTTAAAGTGAGCTATGATGGTGCCACTGCACTCCAGCCTGAGGGACAGAGTGAGGTTCTGTCTTTAAAAAAAGTGGAGGATTGGGACTCCAGAGGAACTCTGAGAAGTTCCTTGTCCCCAGCTCTCAGCTCCCCTCCTCCCATTCCTTTTAAGCCACCATGTTGATCAGAGCCACCCTGGGCTGTCACTGTGGCCCAGAGGCTGCCAGAGGAAACTTCTGGCTCTGTGTCATTCACATCGTTGTAATGGCCTTGAGCAAGTCACTTAACCAGGATCCACATTCATCTATAGACTGGAATTTTCGATGTGTACCTCACAGGGTCATTTTAGTATTAGATGAGGTAATGTATGTAAAGTACCTAGCAACGTGCCCAGAATATAAGAGGTGTTAATACGTAGGGGCTATTTTTGTTGTCAACATTGAGTTGCTGTCCTGGCCACTTGCCTTGCTTCAGTTTTATATTTAGAACCAGCTAACAGTTACTAAGCATCTGCCCAGAACTGGGCACTTTCACAAACACAACCTCATTTGAGCATCTGTTTGCCCAGCCCGTTTGCCTGAGTTCTGAGCTCATATCTGGCTTGCCTCTTGCTGTTCTTTGTTCCTATGAGTTTCCTAGTTTCCTGGTTTTTCTATCAGTGCCTATGCCTTCCAGTGCCTGTTGCCTGATCTCAGCACCCAGCCCTCTCTCCCTCCCTCTCTGTGGTAGTCCAGGAATCACTCGGCAGCTCAGACCTGGTCACAACTCCTGGGTATTTACCAATGAATGGCCTGTGCTCATTGCCATCCCCGGCTCTTGCCTGCTTCCCTGTTCTTATACCTTTTGCTTCTTCTAGGGGCTGATGCTGCCCTCAGTGCTGAGTTGCCAAACCAAGAACCTCATCACAACGCAGTGCCCCAGTTGCTTTGCTCCTTGTCTAGCATTTGTTTCCCACACTCTCTGTGGGACTTTTTTTGTTCCCCTGCGATACTTTTTTTGTGCCCCTGTGATACCTTAGCTTTCTCCCTGCTCCTCATCCTATACTCTTTCTCTATTCTTAATACTTCTACCCACTCTGAGATGCTTCTTCTCCCTGCTTTCCTCCTGGGCCCAGGCCAGGCCATACCTATATAATCTATCAAAAATGGCTCAACCGTTTGTCTCTGTCACTAGCAGTCACTGCTCCAACGGAGCTTAAACCAACTTCAGCTAAATGGAATTGCAACACAATTGGTGGCTTCCAGGGACATATTTATACTTTAACGAAGAACTGTAGGGGAGGCAAACCTTTAACTCCAAGGAATGAGTCCCTAGTTATTGGATATTAACCACTATAATAGGTTATGGCAGTCAAATATTTAGGACAAAGCTGCCTTCTCTATTCTCAAAGACCTCAGTTTGCTTCATGTATTTTGGGGCTTTATTGCTAGGTTGAAATATATTTATAATAGTGATTTCTTCTGGATGGATTGACCCTTTATCATTATAAAGTGTCCTTGTTTGTCTTTGGTAACAATTTTTGTCTCAAACTTGATTTATTTTATTTTATTTTTTTTGAGATGCAATTTCCCTCTTGTTGCCCAGGCTGGAGTGCAGTGGCGTGATCTCGGCTCGCCACAACCTCCACCTCCCAGGTTCAAGCGATTCTCCTGCCTCAGCCTCCCGAGTTGCTGAGACTACAGGCACCCACCACCACGCCTGGCTAATTTTTTTGTATTTTTAGTAGAGATGGGGTTTCACCATGTTGGCCAGGCTGGTCTTGAGCTCCTGACCTCAGGTGATCTGCCTGCCTCGGCCTCCCAAAGTGCTGGGATTACAGGTGTGAGCCACCGTGCCAATTTTGTCTGATATTAGTGTAGCCACTTCAGCTCTCTTTTTATTGCTGTTTGCATTGTATATCTTTATCTTTTACATCCTTTTAATTTCAATCTAGTTGTACTTTTAAATCTAAAGTGAGTCTCTTGGAGACAGCGTATAGTTGGATCATGTTTTTTAAATCTATTCTTCCAATCTCTTAATTGGAAAGTTTAATTTATGTGCATTTAATATAATTGAAAAAGTAAGATTTGTCTGCCACTTTGCTATTTATTTTCTATACATCATATGTCTTTTTAAATCTCATGTTCTTTCATTACTGCCTTCTTTTATGTTAAATAGATATTTTCTTTCATTCTCTTGTTTCATTTACTATATATTTTTGAATTATTCTCTTGGTAGTTGCCCTGGGGATTACCATTAATATCTGAATTTATAACCATCTGTTCATGTTAATACCAGCTTAATTTCAAGTATACAAAAATGTTGCTCTAAAGTGGTCCTGTTTTCCCCTCCCATATGCTATTATTGTCACAAATTTCATCTTAATACATTTTGTGCCCATCAACATACATTTATAATTATTGCCATACACATTTTATTTAAATCAGAAAAAAAGAGTTACCAACAAAAAATAAATTTGTATTGTTTTATATCTGACTTCATAATTTCTTTTCCTAGCACTCTTTATTTCTTCATGTTGATCCACATTACTATCTTGTGCCTTTGCATTTCAGCCTGAAGGATTGCTTTTACTATTTTTTGTAGGGCAGGCTTGTTAGAGACAAACTCTCTTGTTAGAGATAAAGTTTCTCAGTTTATCTGGAAATGTCTTAATTTATCCTTCATTTTTGAAGGATAGTTTTGCCAGATATAGAATTTTTGATTGACAGCTTTTTTTTTTTTTTAAAGAACTTTGACTGTGTCATCCCACTGTTTCCAGCCTTCATGGTTTCTGATGTAAAATTAGCTGTTGGTATCATTGAGGAACCCTTCTATTTGATGAATTGTTTCTCTCTTTGTGCTTTCAAAATTCTTTGTCTTTGTTTTTCAATGGTTTCATTTTGACATGTGCAGCTATGGATCTTTTTAAGTTTATCCCACTTGGAGATTGTTGAGCTTCTTGAATGTGCAGATTAATAGTTTTCATGAAATTGGGGGAGATTTTGGTCCTTATTTCTTCAAATATTCTTTCTACTTCTTTCTCTCCTTTCCTTCTGGGGTTCCCGTTATGTGCGTTTGACATGCTTGATGGTGTCTCACAGGTTTCTGAGGCTCTGTTTATTATTATTCATTCTTTTTTCTTTATGTTCCTCAGATTGGGTAATCTCAATTGACTGATCTTTAGGCTCACTAGTTCTTTCTTCTGCCTGTTCAGATATGCTGTTGGGCCTGTCTAGTGAATTTTTCTTTTCCATTATTGTACTTTTCATTTCCAGAATTTGGTTCCTTATTATAATTTCTCTGTCTTCATCAGTATTCTCTATTTGGTGAGACATTATCCTCACACTTGCCTTTAGTTCTTTAGACATGATTTACTTTAGGTCTTTACACATATTTAAAATAGCTTAAAGTCTCAAAGAGTAAGATTGGTAGCCACCTGTCCTGTGCACAAACCAAATTCTGCTTGCCGATCTCTGCTTTCTTTCTCCTACTTCACACAACCCAGCTAGGACTCTGGCCTTTTTCTTTAGCTTGACCTCTACCCTCCTCTCTAAGGTCTCTCGTTTCTTCTGGATTCTAAGAAGGAGGAGGCCCTTCAGGTCTGAGAACGCCTCCCCTCTTCCTGAGCTTCTATTGCCCTTCTGGAGGAGGTGAGCTGCCCAAGGAGTTATCCGGTCTCTCAGGGGAAGTAAAGAGAGGCCAGACGTGCTCAGACAATCTTCCCTGTCCTTCTAAGAATTCAGTCATCCTGCAAAGCTTTACTCAAAAGGGATTGCAGGGGAAGACTGCAAATCAGGGCAAATCTGAAGCTTTTCTTTAAAAAAGCCAGCTTAATTACTTCAAAATAATGAAATTATGGGTACACATGCATACAAAACCCAAGACTTAAGTAGCCTGTTGTTGCTGGTTGTGATCAAAGCCCGAGCTTGGTTTCTGAGCTGGCCCTAGGAGCACTGCCACCTCTCCTCCCTTCCTCTGGGGAGCAGAAAGAGGCTGCACAAATTCCAACAAAGTTTAGTCAAAAGCCATGGGATTTTTACTTTATTGGTTATTCTGTCCCTTCTTATCTGGCAGGGGAGAGGGTTAACAGGATACAACCACCTTCTAAATCTCCTCCCCCACTTCCTAACTCTGTTGATGTTTCTATTAATAGACATATTAATTACTAACAATAGCAGTGACAAAGAACATCATAACTCCACCTTTTCTACAATTCAGTGGAACCAATTTAATCAAAGTGCCCTACTTAGGGAGAACATTGCTAGAAATGACAGGGATTGGGAAACCATATGGTGCTTGGCAGAGGACCCGAAACCAATGTAGAAACTGAGGAGCTTGGGCAAAGTGTGTCATTTATCGTTCTGGGGCTAGGGCTGAGTCAGGTCCAAGAACTGACCCCCTCTCAGAGCTGGGACTTCATCAAGGCTTTGGCTCTGGTTTGAACGTGGTACTTGCAGGCTCTTGTCGTAGCACCGGGAGACTCCTCTCCCAGCAACTCAGGACTCCTAGGACCAGTGAGGCCTGTGCTATCATAATGAATTATGAGTGGATCCATCTGACCTATAACAAATACCACCCATAAACAACACTGCGGTGCTAAGCAAAAATGCCTGAAGACCATAGACAGAGAGAATGGGATTTTTAAAGAAACATTTATAAATAGAAATCAAAACATGTGAAGCTCAGAATGAATTTGGGAAACATGATGGGAACTGGGATTCACTGAGCACGTGCTGCACTAGGTCAAGGGCAGAGTGTCAGGGTGTGGCCCAACATCAGGCGCATGGGCTCTCCAGGCCACTCTGCACTGAAGCAAATTGCGCCATTCTGTATGGTGCTTGTTCATACACACTGCCCACAGGGCTCTAATAATTTAGAGGCACTGGACTGAGCTCCTGAGGGCAGGAGCATTCATCTCTGTGGCCACATGTTTGGTCCAGTGTCTGACAAATAACATTCAACTTGTAGGAACAAGTGAGAGCAGAGCATCCTTTCTCAGGAACAAGGCCCATCCCCTGGTGAGCTGCTCCACTGGAGTCCCAGGTCCCTAACCTGTGGCCTAGGTAGACCTTAGGATTTGCCTCACTGATGCCAATGAGTTGCTGCTGCTTACTTTTGAAACAAAGTGTTGGCATGTTCCAGCTGCTGCGATTCAATTGCCTTTCAGACAGTGTGGTGCCCAACAAAGCATCCGTCTCAACACCCCGCGGCCTCCCCAGCTGCCACTAGTAGCAATCCATTACCCACAGGCAGCTCAACAACTCAATGTGACTTGGGCTCCACGCCTCTACACAAAAGATGCTTCCCTGCCCTGTTCTCCTCCTTCCTGTTGTGAAAGCAGCCTCCCTTGCCCTTACCCAGCTGTGGCTCTCTCAGCGGCTTCCTCTAGCCCCAAAGGCCTGCTCAGAATAAGGACCTGCACACAAGTTGTGTGGCCCTGGGCAAAACCTGGAGCTGCTTGATGTTCTGAGCCTGCTTTCAAATCTGCAAAATAGTGCTCTCTGCCTTACTCCCTCGCAGGCTCGTGTGAAGGTCAAAAGAGAACTCCTGGGAAAGAGCTTAGTCAGCTGAAAGGCTCTAAACAAATGATAGTTATTACATCGTCCTCTGTCTCCCCATGCAAGAGACCAGAACAAAACAATATACAAAAGAGAGAGAAAATCCCACACCTCTTGGTAACTGGAAAGGCTGAGGCCATGGGTGAGAGCACCTCCCATTTCCCTGGGAAAGGAGAATAAGTAAAACTTGAATTCCTTCAATTAGAGACTCATCTAAGAATCCTTTCTATCTTCCCACTCTGTTTTGAAGTAGGACAGGGGGCCCAGCATCACAGACGACAAGGTTCTTACCTTGTAGTTCTGGTCTCATTTGTTTCTGTATTTATCAAGCCTGGTACATAAACACAGTAGGTAGGTGGATGGATGAATTTGCTGTCCGGTCAAGACTTCAGCTAGCACATTCCTAATTGACCTGCCTTTACATATATGGTTTCTAAAACACTTTCACACTGGGATGATGACAGAGTTCTGGAGATGGATGGTGGTGATGGTTGCACACACTATTGGGAATATACTTAATGACGTTGAATTGTACATTTTTAAATGGTTAAAATTGTAAATTTTATGGTATGTATATTTTACCACAATAAAAAATTTTAAGAAGAAACACTGTCACAACATTTGTGTTCCATGAATGAAGGAAGGATTCAATTCTCTTTGATCCCCAGCAACTGAAGCTGTAAGACGCTCAGTGTTGGTCTCAGGTTATATTAAGAGATGAGAGAGCTGGAAAGGAAGACAAGCTCACGTACAGGATTTGGTGCTTCACTGTGCTTCAGGGGAGGAAACAGCTAGAAATGCACAAGCAGAAATTAACATGCCGTACAAATGCCTCTACCATAACTCCCACCCTCCTTCCCCTGAGGGCCTCACCCCACCTCACCCGACTCTCAGCTCCGCAGTGGGAGGGTGCTCAGTGCTCCTCGACCTTCTACCCCTGCCCACGAACATGCTTCTCTGTTGAGTGTGGCCCCGCACCCTGTAGACAAGCTTCTGGTCGACAGACCTTCATATCCTGTATGCCAACAGGAGCCCCTCGCCTAGCTCCAGAGTAGATCGTCAGAGTGTGTTGAATGACAACAACAACAGAAACAAGTGGCAAAAATCTTGTGTGGTTCCTGGAATTTTGTTGCATTGACTATAGCAGGAGATACATTAATTAACACCCAGAAATATGTTGGTTTTGCAGAGATTTGCATTGTAATAATTTACGGTAAAGACTAGAAATCAGCATAGAAGGATTGGCGCTGGAGAGGGAACCTGAGTATGCAGTTCGGGGATGAAGGGCTGACTTTGGCTTTAAGCTTATTCTGAGGGACTCAGGAGGGCCGGATTAGAACTGGTGATGGCAGAGCGAAAGGATTTCAATTTATCCCAACGGAGGAGTTTATCTCCAACAGTGCTGTCTAGCAAGGAAACAGGCTGCCTCACAGGGTGAACTTTCTGAAGCTCTGCTCTTAGAAATGCAGTTGGGAAATTAGGTACAAAGGATTACAAGGCCCCCATCTACACCCCACAGTCCTGGATCTGAGGGTGAAGTGAGAGGATATAGCACAGGTGGTACAGGGAGTCAGGATGACCTGAGCTAGGAAGATTTCCAGGCCCAGGAGGACGGGGGGCTAGTTCATTTCTCAAGTTCAGTTTCCCTCCTTTAACCCGTCTCTTCTTCACTTTCCTCCCTGTCCTACTTCTTCCTCCTCTTCCCCACCATCCCTCCTCCTCTTTCTACGTCCCCATCAGGGAGGGGAAAGCACCTGGCTTGGAAGTCTATCTAGCCCAGAGCGATTTGCTCGGCAGCTTCCCTGGCGAGGAGGGAGGTGCTGGATCCTGGCCAGAGCCCTGCCAGCTTCCCTATTGTGGCAAGTGAAATCATCAGCTTCACACTGCGGGTCTATTTAAATCAGCCTTTCATGTCTGATGGATTTAAAAATATGCTAGGAGTCGGCATCTTAAATACAAGAAACACAAACAAGCAGATGAAACTGCATTTTTCCTTCCTCTGTGCTCTCCCCGCTCCCTCTCCCCTTCCTTTCCCTTCTCTCCTTCCCCCTCCCAAAGCAACTTTCATTCATAAGGCCCATCTCCCCTGCTCTCCCCTTCCCTCCAGCCCACTCGGTGGCACAGGAAGCCTTTAGTCTGAGCAGTGGCTGGCAGCACAGGGGTCTGGCTTCCCTCAACTCTGCCAGAGACCAGTAAGTACCCCTAACCTCTGCTCCACCCCCCAGGGTGAATGCTGGGTGCCCTCACTCTAGCCAATCCTCCCCTCACCCCCACCCCCGGCCAACGGGGTCTTCTGCATTGACTAGTGTGTACAAACAAGCCCCAGGCTGGCTGAGAATTGGCTCATTACGCTCACTATGCTCCCTCCTCAAATCATAGACAGGAAGGAGACTGTGGCCCAGGCAGGAGGAGGGACGTGCCCAGGGTTTGAGGTCAGTGAGCAGCCAAGCTGGTCCCTGGCCCATTGCCCTTGCTATCCACAGCTGGCTCCACACAAGCCTTGCAACTTCTTCCCACTCAGTGCTGGGAAGGGGGTTCACTGCACCCAGAACCCTACAACTCCAGTAAGGCATCTGTGAGAGTCTCACAGCTTCCATGGCAGCAGGGTTCCCCACATCACAAAGGACGGATATTCACTGGGAACCCTTCTGGGGCTTTGATCTAACCCAATCTTCTCCTGCTGTAAATTAAGCCACATCCCCTCTAATCCCTGGGCATCATTCCTTTGAGACTTGCTAAGTGGTCTCTCATATGCCCCATCTCCTGGCAGGTGGCCGGCTGCCTGGCCAGCACTGCAGTCGCTGGAATCAGGAGATCAGCCCCCCAGACCTGGCAGTACTGCCCTGGCCGGACTGCACTGTGTCCCAGACCACATGAGCCCAGGTGAAGGGGCTACTTCGGGTTCTCAACAGTGGATGCAGGTTCAAATCACCTGCGGGGCTTTTCTTTATTTTTGGTAGTTTATTTTATTTTTTAAAAATAGGTCAGGTGCAGTGGCTCACACTTGTAATTCCTGGCCCAGGTGGGAGGATCACTTGAGGCCAGGAGTTCAAGGCTGCAGTAAGCTATGATTGCACCATTGCACTCCAGCCTGGGTGACAGAGCAAGATCCTGTCCCTAAAAATAGTAATATCAACTCTTGCACCCCCCCGCCCCGCAACTGCTGCTGGAAATTCTGATTTAATTAGAAGCTGGAAGATCTTTATTTTTCAATTGTTTAACATTACTATTATTAGCACCAACAGTAATGAAATGGAATAATAGAAAGCGAAAAATCTCAGAAGCTTGCAAGCATTTTCTTGACCTTAGATCCACTCTTTGATGCCTCTTCCTCTTTGACCACACTGCCTGCGCTCTCTGAATTCTTTAAGAGGATGTTGATGACTTGCTTAGTGCCACACGGCAGGTCATTAGTAAAGCAGAGATCCCAACAGGGTGCTGAGGCCTCCCGAGTACTGCCAGACCCTCTCAGTGGCCCGGACAGCGGTCAGTGCTGATTGTCTACACCCAGGAAGGAGGTGGGCTCAGGGGCTACACTGACTCATCCTGTGTCTGTGGGTGTACAACACACACACACACACACACACACACACACAGATGAAACCACGCACACTACCCATTCTGATTTCATCCCTAACTCTCTCCTCTTTAGTCCTTTTGTTAATGGCCTGAAATACTTCCCACCCAAGTTTCAATACGTGCTGAGGTACCATGCCATACCCTATGCTCTTAGAATATGAAAATAAAGAAATCAAGAATCAAGGAGCTCCAAGTTGGTGAAAGATCTATATCAGCAAACAGGTAGAAAACAATGAGAGAGGGATGATGCAGAATACAGGATGAGCATCCCTAGTTGGAAAATCCATAATCCTCCAAAGTCTGAAATGTTTTGAGCATTGGCATGACGCCACAGGTGGAAATTCCACACCTGACCTCATGTGATGAACCACAGTCAAAACACAGCCAAAAATTTGTTTCGTGCACACAATTATCAATCTACATAAAATCACCTTCCGGCTCTGTGTGTAAAGTATATAGGAAACATAAATAAATTTCATTTTTAGACTTAGGTCCCATCCCCAAGATATCTCATTATGTGTATGCGAATATTCCAAAATCCAAAAAAATCCAAAATCCAAAAAAAAATCCGAAACCTAAAATGCTTCTGGTTGCAAGCATTTTAGATCAGGAATATTCACTCTGTGCTATGGACATTGAGAACTGGACACCCAGTTGCCTCTGGGTGGAGGAATGGGGGTGGGGGGGACTGCTAGTTCCAACAAAGGGGTTCATGATTGGTGGGGGGAAATAACAGAAGGAAATCAGGGAAGCAGGAGAGTGACAGCTGACGGGGCCCAGGCATGCGGGACACACGGTTTGTATGGCCAGGGCGGTGCACAGGATGAGGACTCCGGGGATGGGGGACAGAGCTGGGGCTTCGACAGTGAATGGGAGATGGGAGATCAGAGCCAGACAGCCTACCCTGGGCAAGCAGGAGTTTCAGTATCAGCCTGTAGGTAACAGAGAGCCACTGGTGGTGGGGGGATCGGGGGTGGGGTTTAAACAGGAAAGCGACAGGAGCAGATTTGCAGTTGTGCCTGAAGAAAGAGTAGAAGGATGGGGTGGGAGGTAAGGCCGGAGGCACTTCGAGCATCACCCTCTGGCCAGCTTCCTCAGGCCAGCACAGAGTAGTGGGGGTGGCCAGGGTGCGTGAGGATGGAGGTAAAGCAAGAAACCGCATAAGCAACAACCTCAGCTCTAATGTGTTACGTGTTTATTCTACCAGCCAGGCCATACCTTTAATCTCAGTCTTCCCAGAGTCCGGCGTGCTTCCAGGCTACCCAATTGTACTTCCCCCATCCCAGACTTCAAGTCATTAAATCTCAAACACTGAGTTTTTAAAACTTAAATCCAGACAGCCTCTGATTTCTCAAAATAGGATTTCTCAGAATGAGGTGAGGGCATGGGGATTGCACACTACAAGCTTCAAGTCAAATTACATTTTTGGATTATCCATTACTTGAAATTCTGCAGGTCATAGTCTTCTCCATGAATGTGAATATTCAAAGCCAGCTGTGGCTTGTGGACTGGGAGGGAGTAACATAAAAAGCTACGTGTGTACAGCTGTGTAGAGTTCACAAGTCACTTCCGCAGCACGCCCTGTGGAAACAGAGCCAGGGAGACTGGCGACCAGGGCGAAGTTGGGGGTGGGAGGGCCAGGGCTTATCTGGCCCCAGGACCCCCGGCTTCAGGGCTATAGTCACGGTTGGGGGTGGCAGGGCCAGGGCTTATCTGGCCCCAGGACCCCCGGATTCAGGACCATAGTCACTTTGTGTGGACGCGGCACGAGGTTTGCCTTCTCGACTGGCCATCGCTCCCCAGGCCTCCCTTGATCCTAGACATTACCCGGCTCTGCTCCCCACTCTTCTCCCCTCACAGAGCCCCCAGAAACCACATTGCCAGAGGCCCACTCAATAGAAACACTTTGCAGAGAAACACCTGAAAGAAAATATTGTGAGCGATAATCAATAGGCAACATTAGCAGAGACAAATTAACTCCCCGTGTGGATGAGAGCCACGCGGTCCTGGCCAGATGCCAGCCAGCATCCTTAATCCCATTTGCTCTCAGTTATTAAAATGGTTTTCCAAGAAATGGCCCATCTCTGTAGTCGCACGCTAATGAACGGCAGTCAAGCAACTGAGAAACCTCACATCTTGGTGGTTCAACCCTCCATTCCTCCGGCTACTCACTGGCAAAGCCTCCACGGTGTCTTTCTGCAGCCCGGGCAGGAAATTCTTTTCCTCCTGGAGCGTTTACTTCTCACTCCTACCCCCAACTTCCACCAAAAATAAGCCATTCTACTCTCCTCCACTACACAGTTGGGGGCGGGATCTTCTTAGAAAGCTCTGAGCCCAGGGTCACAAAATAAGAGCTGTAGAATCACAAAAATCACAGTTTCTTTAAGCTGGGTGAGGACCTGAAGTTAATTCTAGGCGAATACCTTCCTCCCATAAATGAGAACACCGAGGCCCAGGGCGGGGGAGAGAGTAGGTTCGGAGATTAGGAGCAGCAGGCAGGTTGGAGACTGCCGTGGGTGCCATGGCATCAAGTCAGCATTCGCTCATTTAGCAAAGATTTACTAAGCACCTGTGATGGGCTAGGGACTTGTACTTGCCACTGACACGCAGCATAAGTGGGATGCAGAGCCTGCCCTCAAGGAGATCACAGTCTGCTGGGGAGACAGATAGACACAAAAACAGATGCTGGAAATGCAGCATGGTGAGGGTAGGGCACAGACGGTGGGCTTTGCTCACCTCCAGAGAGCACGGGAGCCAGGTTGTGGGGCTCAGAAGGGCCGATGTGCCCAAGTCCCGGAGGTGTGCAAAGCCTGGCATAATTCCTAGGAGGAGCAGCTATTCTATACCTATGCATCACATACCTGGCATGCTTCTCATTTAACTCTTACCACAATGCCACCGGGTAGATAATACGACTACCATCATTTGTAAGAAAGGAAACTGAGGCAGAGAGAGGCTGAATGACTTGCTCAAGGTTACGCAGCCAGAAGTGGGAGAATCGGGGTTTGAATATGTTCCTCCGGCTCCAGGGTCCTGTGCTTATTCTTATCTCAGGTCATTCCGGGTCCTCAGTCTAGGACACCATGGGGAACCTCCTGCCGACTGGCCCGTTCCACACTCTGCAACGTGCAGCCTCAGGCCCCGAGTCACGTTTAATGACCTCAGATGCCTGGAAGTCCTGGCCCTGCTCTGAATTCCCCTGGCATTTCTAATCTAGGTATCTCCGAAGCCACCTTTGGAATTATTCCCAAGCAACACAGGATCCTGTGCCTTCTCTCTTTGGCCACGTGAAGCCAGCACTCTGACCCATTGTGGAGAGAGACTGTACTTGGACTTGTTTTTCCCTCTCTCCCTGGGAGAGCCCGGAGTCATCTGCATGTTCTTGTCTGGAGCCCTCAGTTCCAAGAAGAGAAAGAGCTGCCGTTGATAAGCAGCTGCCTGTGCCCCGGGGTGCATTACCATGTGATCTCACATGATCTCATTTAAATCCTTCAGTGTCATTTGACACTTGCAACAACCCTGGGAGAAAGGTGTTATTATCCTCCCCATCTAACAGGGAAAGAATTCACTCAGAAGCAGACAATTCCAGTAACTCCCTGCCAGTCTCAGCTACTCACTGGAGGAGCCAGGCTCAACCCCAGGCCTGTTTATCTCCATGGCTGTCTGGAGTTCAAGGCATCATCCATGCCCATGAAACAGAGCTGCGTGTCTATGTAGCCTGTGACTTTGGCTTGAAGTTCGATGCTCTATCCAACGGAGCTAACCAACCATGGCCAAAAAGCAGTTGTCATGATATCAGAAACCCATTACAACCCACGGAGCCTCTGAAAGGTGCTTCAAGAATATGTTCCGTGAGTTGAAAGTGATGCCAAGCATTCTGCTCCCCTGGAAACAGCTGCCCAGCGCTTGAAGCAGCAAGAACAATCCCCAAACGCAGATCCAGCCTTGCACCAACCCTTCCAACTGCCTTCCCCCTCCCAGGCGATGACATACTCTGAGCCAGGAGGAGGCTGTCCTCCTGGGAAGAACAGTATGACATGACACCAGAAAGGACGATGCAAATGATCTCAGAGTTGCACAAATTGGCCGGTTGCAGATTTCCTCCGGGTGAACAAGGCAATCCTAAAACGCAGCAATCTATTCAAGCCATTGTCAACAACAGCAACCAAAAGAAGCCTCAGTCCCCATCCTTCACTCATGGTTCCTAGAGGTTCTGCCGCTGCTACGGATGACCTGTTCTGCGGTTGATTTTCTGAAGTAGGCAGTGGGTTAAGCGTATTACCATTTTTCAAGGGAAACAACTGCCAAATTGAGCTCGTTAGCTGGTGAGCATGTGTGGCATGCAAATCTTGTCTTGTCACTTTCCTGATTAAAATCCTTCAGTGTTTTCTCATTGCCTAAGGAAAATGTGTCCTTGACATAGTTTGCAAGGCCCTTGACCATGGAACCCAGACTGTATCTCAGGCCTCCCTTCTCTGGGTTCTCCCCTGGTCCTCTGCGGGCTCCTCTTTTTCAGCTGTGCCAAGCTCTCTGGACTCCTTCGGGCTGGGCCCTGACACTGGCTGTTTTTGCCGGATCCTCCCTCCATCTCTCCCTCCCCTCCTCTTCCAGTTTTTCAAGGCTCTGTTTAAAGTCCTCTCTTCAGGGAAGCTCTCTTGTTCTCAGTCTCTAAATAACAGTCTCTTACTCCCTCAGCCTCTGCTTCCTTTTCATAATATTTATCCCTCTTGTTTAGTGTCTGCTTCCCCAGCAGCCAGTAAATTCCAAGACAGTAGGCTGGCATCTCTTTTGTTCAGTGCTGCGTTCCCAGCACCTAGCAAGAAGTCTGCTACACAGGAGGCACCCAAGAAATATGCATGACATGGAGGAAGTCAGGAGAGACCACTCATGTAGCACTCCTGGTTCCAACTGGGTCCAGAACCTGGCCTCATGCTGAAAAAGAAGTAGCATCATCTGCGCGCCGTGCCCAGCATGCAGGTAACAGGCGCTGAGTGAGTGTACCTCCCTCCTGCCTCCAAACAGATCTTCCATGTTTCGTGGTGACACGCATACAGCTGTGTGTGCAACACACTATACAGACCATACAGACCATACAGCTGTGTGTGCAACACACTATTTCCACATCTCTAGGTTTTGCTCCTCATTCCTGCACAGATGTTTTCTTGGGAGGCCCAGTCCTTCCCTGAGCACAGAGAAGGACCCCTACAGTTCTGTTCTCCTGTTGCCTTCTGACTCATAATGCCATAGTGGTGCATGCCTCTGACATATTAATGGCAATTTCTGACAGTGGGGATTTGGTTGGTAATTTCCCGATAAATGTAGCCAAACAAGTCTTAAGCATTGATGCGGCTGTTATTGCCATCAAGATTAGGTTCTCAGCCTAGTCCCCACCCCATTCCCCTGGCCGGTCCCCAGAATGTGCTTCCAAGCCACTAACTCCGGTCATCAAAGAGAATAGGTTCTCCAAGAATACAAATTCAATATATTATTAACTGAAACTAAATATGACTAAAGGAATAATTCTCCCAGGAAAAGCAGCATGTGTTGAATTCCAAAGTAAAATAACACTTTGGATTATCTTCTGCTCTTCTCCCTGGTATGCAAAGCAGGCACTGGGCCTAGCACGCTAGGCACGGTTTCAAGGTCACCAGCAAGTTCTTGTGATTTGAAATGGATGCGGAGGCAGCCAGAAGGTGAAGCCCTGCCCGAGTGCCCCAGGTGGGTCTGTGGCTTCTCTCCAACTGAGGATCTTTTCATTCCAATGGAAAGACATACACCTATTGGTGCCATGGAAGGACATACATGGGTGCCAGTTAGTCACAGCATGCCAGAGGGCTACGAGATGGGCTTTAAGATCTCCACAAGCCACTTTTGAAGCCCTGAGTCAATGAACCAGAGCCCTGAAGCAGGCCACTTCTGCCCAGGGCTTTTGGAAAGCTCTGCAAGTGAGTCACCTGAAGTGCTGCCCCAAACTCTGGGCCAGGCCCTGCAGCCCAGGAGCCTGGGCCGCTGCTGCCCTTGGCTCCAACTGTGGTGCCTGCTGCCCTCAGGGCCTTTGCAGACCCATGGGCCTCCACTTCGTCATCTAAATGTGCTTCTCAAGAACAGAATTGCAATCCAGAGCAGAATGGCTATTGAAGCAGCAGTTATCACTAGAATTTCACTGTGCTTTGTTTTTTTAAACACATTTTATATTGATTTCATTTCATTCTGAGTTGTCTCCTTTTCAGCAGAAGAAGATATAGAGTCTCACAGTGACTTGCCCAAGATCACGTCGTTAGTAAGCAGCAGTGCCAGGAGTTGACTAGGTTCTTTGGCTCCAAAACTCATGTCATGCAGCAGAGCTGTGTGGCGGCTGATGGTTGCCTTTGGAAATGGGGACAGCAGGAGCCTGGGTCTGGTGACCCGCATGCTAGGGCTTTCTCTGCCCCGTTTGCTCCAGCTGCTCTCTAGCCTTAAGTGTCAGCTAATGGTTGGCACACTCTCTTTGGCACTTCTGTTGTGAGAAATGACTTACTGCCAGCTTTAAAAAGGGCCCTGGGCCTCCCGGAGCACTGTCATTCTCTGAAAATGACAGGCTGCCCCCCACCCCACCATGGAATTCACAGATAGCAGGAAATTCAAGCACGTTCTCTTTCTGTTTCTAGGGCTTAGTGACTGAGATAAGCCAACAAGCAACATGGCTCACCACCCCCTCTGACAGAGGTTGTGTTGCAGAGCTGGGCTAAGAACTGTGGCTGGCCCTCGGGATGAGATGGGTAGAGCTGGAGCTGGTAGGCAATGGCAGAGGGAACTTACTTTCTTGAAATTTAGGCAAGAGCAGGCCCAGCCTAGCTAGACACTAATAACCACAGAGTTCCATGATGCCTGCTGTCTCTGCTATACTGCTGCTACCTAGTTCAGTGCCTGGAGCCTATTAAGTATCCAATACTGGAATGTGTTGTGTCTGAGCCTTTGCTGAATATGGACTAATTGCTTCCAATGGGACGGGGACATTGGAGGCTCCAGGCCTGGAGCTCAGCACATCCACTACGGTTAGACACGTACTGAGGAGATCACCTGTCCTCGGGAAGTCAGACTTATGTTGGAAGTCACCAGACAACAAAATAGGAGTCTGGGTATAATATGCCACAGCCTGGCGGTCTAGGGAAATCTAGGTGCCCCCAGGTAGAGCTGTACTCAGAAACAAGATATCTAAAGAGATGCTAGTCAGGAACCCAGGCAGGTAGCAGGGGTCCTGAAAAATGTTTCTTCAGGAAGAGGGCTCCTAAAACCAGGCTGGGGCCGTCAGTGTGGTAGTGAGGGGATTTGCAAAAACAAGACAGAGTCCCCATACTATGTGAGATCAAGGAGATCAAGGCAGGGCACATGCCGGGTGATCAGAACTGCCCCTAGGCCAGGGACAGATTCCAGGCCAGGTGAACACGGTGCAGAGACGGGCCAAGATGTCTGGCTTAATTTCATGCCACTACTGAGGTCTGAAGTGAGGTGGAGTCTATAGGTGGGATTGCAGGTATGACGTCAAGGGGAGAGGGAGCCTTCGGAGATGGGTCCATGGAGGGCCTGGCTAAGGCCTCATTTCCGCCCACAGAGTTGACAGAGGCTTGGGTGTATCTAGGGTAGATGGCCTCCATGGGGTGGTTTTTATGAAAGTAAAAAAAATATTGGCATCTCCCAAGGAGCACAAATAGAAGAGGCTGGAGCCTGCAGGTCCTGGGTGGGGGGCAGGTGCTCATGGGCACATTCCATGGGATCAAGCAAGTGCTGGGTCAGCTGCCACTCTGTTACCAGCCACCCGCACCCTGCTCTCTCCAGGCAGGTCTCCGCCCTTGGAGCTTGTGGTTTAGGAGGGGAGAGAAACCATGCCTCCGTGGACTTCGGAACAAGCACAGAGTGGCCTCTGTACAGACAAGCCCAGATGCAATCACAAAAGAGGACCACATTTTGGGAGAAGGGAGTTGGGAATAGAAGGGCAAAGTTCCCCAGAGCAGGGGAAGAGTGACAGGCGAGAAAGTCTCTAAAGGGTTTTGTACAGCCTCAAAAATGTAAAAGAGGCAAAGAGTCGAGGAAAAAACAGGTTTTATCAGTGAAGTCATCTTTATAGCATCTCTGTTGTCATTCGAGACCGCATCTCATGCACTGACTTCCATTCAGAGGCTGTTCAAAGCAGAGATTGCTTATTTCCCACTGAATCGGAGGGAAATAATTCCCACTGGAGCATTCGCCTGAGCAGGTGGGAGGAGGCTGCTGTGGAATTGATCCCTTATGCATTACAGGCTTCCCTTCTGCAGCCCAGGGGCAGGGAGGGGTGGTGGTGGGGCAGCCCAGGGCTTGTACCACTCCAGAAAGCTAAAGATGGGGGTGGGTGCAGGATAGGCCCCTGGGATGGCCCTCTTCTCCTCTGATGGTCAGAGAGGCCCGAAAGATTGCTGGGCCTTTGCTCATTCTGGTCCTCCCCTAAGCCTCCTGCCCCAGCAGCCTCCCCAGGTCCCAGAGTGTCAGGGATGCCTGCAGGACCCAAATGCCTGGAGCTCCCAGGAGGCCATCATCTTGACCGCTCCACTGGGCTCCTGACAATGTGGGATTTTGCTGGTTGACCATGGATGGGATCCTACACCAGGTTGAATGAGCTTCCTGCCCAAAGTTAAACCAGGTCAGTAGGCAGAATCCAGGGGACCCCAACTCTCACTACAATGGAAACCAACTCCTGAGTTCTCGAATGCCCCCGAGGGAGTCCCCACTCCAATGTCCTCCTTCAATCTCCTCTCTCCTCTAATACACTTGCTTCTGTGCCCTCTTAAGTTTCTCTATTTTTCTTCCCAATACATGTACACAAAAAGCATTAAATAATTTTCACTGTGTTTTTCTCTAGGTATAAAAAAGACAGTCTTAGCCTCTGGGCCTGAGGCTTGGAAGAATCAGTGCAGGGCAGGGGAGGGCACATTAACTGGGACTTGAGACCTTGGCCCACCTCAGCTAGCAAATGGCTGGGGTAAGGCCTCTGCGTGTAACTCCCAAGGCTTCATGGAATTGACAGAGTCCATGGACATCAGAAGTTTATGGAAGTGCAGAGGCCATTGCTATTGGGTTCAGTTATCATTATCCAGGGGCTCTGCCATCACCAGCACTCCCCAACCACGCAAAGCCAGGCCCGAGGTCTCCCCTGCATCTTCCTTCTTCCTGGATCCCATCAGCTCCACCCATCATCTCTAAATGGCCCCTCTTCCTTCCCCCACCTGGAATGTCTCTTCCCAGGTAGGTGACATAGATGAGAATCATGGTCTTGGAAGCTAAAGCATAGCCCAAGACCAGACCAAATCAAAACACTCCACCACGCCCTGCAAAGTACATTGCATTTCCATCCTTCACAGATTCCGCTGTTACCACGCCCGGACCAAGGCTGGACATTATCCTAAGCAGTCTCCAGGCTATGCATGGCCTGCCATTCTGGCACACTCTTGGTTAGCTCCTGTCCCCCACCCCAGCTCCATGACCTCCTTACCCTCTAAGGTAGGACCCCTCAGAGTCCATGGGGGAGATGCTCTTAGACCAGCCCTGACCTCCCTGCTGGGGAGCAAACGTGAACCCACGTAGGTGCTGCTGCCCTTGAGTCTCCACTCCATCATGGCCTCTGGCTTCCCCCCAGCCCTCCCACTTCACAGCACCAGGAACCAGCCATCCCACCAGTTTGTTCTCATGTGTGTTTATTGAGCGCCCACGGAGTCCGTGGTACTATGCTCAAGGTTCAGAGCCACAGTCCAGTCAAAAGGAGACCAGAACTAGTACAGAGAATGTTTCATAGCTGCTTAACATCTGGTAAGGGGTGGGGAAGGGGCGAACTAATCACAAAACAAATTCCTATTCAAAAGCAACAGAATCTCCTCTGAGAGTAATATATATTCTAGGCACACGCGCACGCACACACACACACACCCCTCTGAGAGAACACCTAGGTCTACCCACTTGGTTGTATATGCACGCATATACAGGTGTTTGTGGGTAAATATCAACTATGCTGCTCACATTCACACATGCACGCACACGCACACCACCGCACACACAGATAATCTGGCTTATGCTATCAAAGATGCTATGTCTCCAGGTTCTAGTGGAAGCAATCTGTCCTAGACACCCGCAGCATGCAAAACTCAGAAGACCCGGAGAGTCACAGTTAAGGAGGAGACGGGGAGACGCGAATACGTTTCCACCCTCGGGGCCCAGCCACAGCACGCCAGGTCGCTCTTTGTTGGCAACACAAAGCCTTCGTGAAGGGCTACCAGGGCAGAGCGGAGGAGCTGGAGGCCTTCTGTCCAGTGGCAGAGCCCACGGGAGCCCTGGGGAGTTCACCAATCTTCAAGGCAGAGTTGAAAACTCTGGTTTTCAAGTGTGTAGTCCTGCAAACGGTATTCTTTGGGACGGCACGGCAGATCGAGGTGAGAGTTCCTTTTCTCGTTGCTCTCTGCAGCTTCCCACGTGTGCTAACGCATTTTGTAGTCATTAGATACAGATGTTTCACACAGCTGTCCCTTAAAATCCAAGTCTACTGTGAAATCGAGGTCTCGCTGCAAGGCAGAGAGAGAGCGAAGGGTCAGGCGGCCGTCTGGGTATGAAGCCACAGCCCCACTCTCTGGCACCACCTGCTCCTGGAACCACAGGGATGGGTAGCACCAGCGTCTTAAGGCTTTCTGGCTAAGGGGTTCCCCTGAACAGCCCACAGGAATCCATTCTGCTGCCTCCTTGTCCTCACAGGAAGTTCTTCCATTTCTCCCTAAATCCTTCCTGCTCTAATAACAAAACGTTCCGAGTTCGTCCTGGAAGTAAACTGATTGGGGTGGTTAAGTGTTCTGTGAGGTGACCTTCAGAGCACTCTGCAGACGTTTTTAGCGCTCATGCCCACACCTGGGGCTGCCCCGAAAGTGCCAGCAAGTCTCCCTCGCACCAGGCCAGCTGAAGAAATGCACGCCAAACATCCTCCAGCCACCAGGAGCTTATCTCCTGGCCCAGCTCTTACTAAATGAGGTAGGACCCATTTATTTGAAAGCCCCTCACAGGAAGAGCTGGAAGCTGTCTTCAAAGCCAAGGCAGTCCAGAATTGGACCCAGGGAAAACCTCTATTTGCGGAGTTTTGAGGGGTCAAGCCTGAGTCCCTCAATTAGGCCTAGTCATGTCCACATGTGGCTACCGACTGCCTGCCTCAGTAAGTTTCTGACTGTTCATGAGACACTTAAGAACCCGGGCAAGTGGGTCCTGAGCGAGCCAGCTCTGTGGGGCCCTTCTCCCTTATGTCCTTATGTCCCTCGGCACTTACCACATTTTTGGCATTTGGCTTCATGGATATGGTCCCGTAGATTTCCTCCCCCCTCCGGACAGTGAGGTAATCTTCCAAGTAGAAGACGGTCTGCTTCCAGTGGGTGTAGGGAGCATCAGGGGCTGAGGGGTGAGAGAACAGGGGAGGTGGGAAGAAAGAGTCAGAGACGAAGTCTCCAAAGGGATGAGGCTGGGACCCTGCATAGAAGTTGCTGGGCTTCCCCTGGGACTCACTGAAACCACCCACCCCAGTACTCTTGTTGGGTCAGGTGCATAGTCCTTATAGCCTTCCTCCAAGCCCCATCAGAACTCCCTCTCAGTCCCAGTGGCCTCTCCTCCCATCACATCCCCATCTCCTCAGTGCTGGGGATCAGAAGACAAACAACCCGATACTACAAGTTCATAGCAAGGGATGGATGAGGAATACCCTGTCACCCACTAAATGCATGGACATACATGCATCTGAACATGCTGCTGTTTTTAATTAGTTCAACAGAATGAAGATCTTCAGACAGTATGGGGAAGAGATTTGTAGAGTAGGCCCTCCTATCTCCCCTTAAATGACATCATTCATGCAAACTCCACAGCTAAACCAGTTTCCCCAGATCCACTGATATGGCAGGTACTTGGTCCTCAATCTTACAACTAGCTTTTCCTGCTGGGCACACATAGTGGCTCATAGCTGTAACCTCAGCTACTCAGGAAGCTGAGGCAGGAGGACTGGTTGAGCCCAGGAGTTCAAGACCAGCCTGGGCAACATAATGAGAAAACTAGGCGAGTGTGGTAGCACACATCTGTGGTCCCAGCTACTCAGGAGGCTGAAGCAGGAGGATGCATTGAGCCTGGGAGTTCAAGGTTGCAGTGAGCTGTGACTATACCACTGCACTCTAGCCTGGGTGCAAACCAGTGAGTGAGACCCTGTCTCAAAAAAAAAAAAAAAAAAAAAGAGCTTTCCCTGCCTGCTTCTCTGTGCACGGGGAACTAAACCTAGCACCTTGGCCCAGACCTGCTGTAGGGTTTCAGGTGTATCTTCCTAACCAGATCAGAAAGAAATGAGGGATGGTTCTTGTTCCACAGCCCTAATGCTGGCCCACAGCTCATTCATCCTGTATGACCCAAAGCCATAGTGGTACTTGCGCCTCCCCCATATCTGCCATTGAGTCTCTTCCCTCCCCTCTCAGCACACGATATATTCTCCAGTTAAATGTGAGGAGTTCTGCCTCAGAGGCCACCGTCCTTGCCAGCAGCTGTCTCTGAAATCCTTCCTCTCCCTCCTTTCCAGCCTCTCTCTTCCTCATCCTTCCTCTGGGAAGCCTTGCCTGACCCGCAAAACCTGGACTGAGAGCTCCCAAGGCACCCTGAGCTCCTGTTATTGCGGTGCCTGTCACACAAGATAAATGCCTTCCCCCCATCCCCGTTTGTCTGCATCCTCCATGGACTGCAAGCTCCATGAGGGCAGGGACCGGGCCAGCCTTGCTTCCTCGGTGCCTGCCTCTGTGCTTGGTAGATCTACGAGTATTGAATAAATGAATGATGGTAAGAACCCAAAGAGCAAATGTCTGTAGTGCTTCAATGTACTCGTACTGGAGTTCAATGTACTCCAGTTACCCTGGGGGCCTTTGGAATCTACAGACTGCAGAAGAACCCATCTTATTACAGGAAGTTCCTCTTGGTTTGGGCTGTTGCATTCCTCTACCAGGATTTCTTTTTTTTTTTTTTTTAGGACTAAGGATAAAGATGAGAAGACTTGGGGATAAGATAAGGGTCTTCAAAACACTTCAAAAGCTGTCACATGGAAAGACTTACATGTGGCCTTATCATGGCTTTGGGGGCAGAACAAAGGCTAGTCACTAGGCATGATTAGAAGGCAGATTTTTAATTTACCAAGAATTAGAGCTGTCCCACAATCATATGAGCCACCTGAGGTCCACCCTGGCAGGTGTTCACACAGCGCCAACTGGGGCTTGATCATGCACTGACTCAGACCAGGTGACCTCTAAGAGCTTTCAAAACCCCAAGGCCAATTTTAACAGCACTGAAGAGTCTGTCTTTCTCTGCCCTTCACAATGAACTGGCTTGATCAAATGTCAGTGGTTTGGAGAGAGACTCAAGTAGCCCTCCGTGTGTGCATTTGGGAAATCGATGCAAACTCAAGGTCATGGGGAGAAAGTGCAGCCTGCACATTTGGAAAGGGAAGGAGGATCATGAATGTGCAGTCTATCCCTTTCAGACCCTGCCTGGGTTCCTGAACACATCCAGCCTTTCTGGCCTTCAGGGCATACTGCTGTCTGCAGACAAAGTCCACCTGCTCCCAACAACCATCTCTCCCAGCTACCTCTAAATAGTCAAAAGATAGTTCCTGGTTATGTGTGGAGACTGTCAGTGTATGACTGACAGCACTCTCGCCCCCACTTCCACCTACACCAGCTCAGACAGGTGTCTCTCTCCTGTTCCTAAAGACCTTCAGGCAAAGGGATTTCAAGCAGCCTCCTTCTGTCACCTAATCCGATGCCTTATGAGACCCCCAGAGACTTCCTGGCCCAGATTTGTCAGCCATGGGGTCTGCCTCTGATGGTAGTCCCCAAAACATGCCGACTTTGAGTTGGAGGAAGATGATTATTTTCCTTGATATCAACATCAAAGGGTTAAGAACATCCATAAACATCTCGTTTCCATGATGGGCCCATTAGCCATGGAGTAATTGTCTAAACCAGTTTTCCCAATCCTGATTCTCCATCAAAGTGCCCAGGAGAAGCTGAGTAAAAGTCAATGTTTTGATTCTACTCCAAGAGATTTGAAGTCAGTAATTCTGGGGGGCGTGGAGGGGCAGGTGACGTAGACACACAGCCATGGCTGAATCGCAGTGCATCTCCTGACCTCCTTTGGGAAGGTAGAGTGGGAAAGACATTAATTAGGTGACAATAGCCCCGTGTCCAGTGTCCACTTTGCCACTGACATGCGATGTGACCTGGGGCTCCTTTTCCACATCTGCAGAATATGGCTCATGATATTCACCTCCTGACGTATTGTGAGGATGAGATGAGATGAGAAAGGGAAAGGATCATAGACTAAGGGTGATCAAACCTCCTGCTGTGCCTGGGACAGTTCCAGTTCACATCTGTTTTCCTGGCATAATGATTAATAGGTCTCCCTTTCACCTGCATACGTGTCCTTAATGGAAAGATGCGTTACATGGCCACCCTACCTAAAACATATTAGGCCCATGTTAGGGACTTACTAAGCCATTGCATCAGGCAAGTCTTTGGTCATTAGAGTGGTATATGATTTTATTAGTCCATCAACTATGGCTCTGGTCTGCAAAGATATGCCGCCTCTCTCTACTGGTGGAGAATGTCTTGGAAAACATCCAGAATGTCACCGTGCACAAGGGTGGGCGCTCAGGAAAGGGTTGTGGACAACATCTAGAGTTCTCCTTGTCAGGGAGGAAAGCTTTCCCTTCCCCTGCCCCAACCCCATCTATGACCATCCAGATTGTACAACTGGCTTTCAGCCTTCCCCATTCTGAAGATGCCTCCCTGCTCTTAGCATTCTGGCCCCACATACCCCTTTTCTCCCTCCCACAGTTCCCTTCCCCATCACAGTCTCTCTGATTCTAGGCTTTAGGCAGCTTTTCTTCTACATTTTGAAGTGAGCATGACCAGTACTGCCTGCAGCATTCCTAGTGCAGTGCATTCATTCACCATTCCACAGACTTCCACTTAGGATGCCTGCCACAGGCCGGGTATGGCTGTAGAATTGGGGAACAGCAAACGGGATGAACACCACTTTGTCCCCTCCTCCCCCGATCATACAGCCTCAGTGAGAAGACATTCAGGCAAATAGTGAGAAGTAGGGTGGGCACTATGACCAAGGATGGGGCTTGGGAACACAGGGAGCTGAGGGTACAAATGGCAGGGACTGGCCTCTCACCAGAGTTTTCCTGGTGCTTTTGGAAAGGGAATGGAATCCTGCTTCCCATCTCACTGACCAATGGCTAAGTGGCTGGTCGTCCTTTCTGGGATATAATTTTTCTAGCTGTAAGTTTGGAATTATATTCTCTAGAGAATTCATAGGCCTTTTGGAGAATTGAGGACTATGCACCAAGAAGCTTCTTTAATGTGGGAAAATGACTCAATGTCACAGGATGTCAATGGCAGAAAGGAGCTGCCTGAGCCCAAGGCGCAGAAAGTAAACTTGCCCAAAGTCCTTTCCAATGTCTGATCTGCCTACCTTGCTGATACCTGAAAAAACCAGGGCTTGCACCCAGGCCTGCTTCTGCTGGGGCTCCTGCCCTTCCACCTGCTACCTGGCTTTCCTGGATTACACAGCAGCCCCAGGGGCCCCAGTTCCCACTTCTACCCCCACCCCACTGAGGATGTGTTGTGGTGGGGGGGGCACCGTGCCCACTGGCTGCCACAGCCTGGAACCCTGGCTGTCTGTGCCTATTTGTGACAGCTTCTGCCTGGAGCTGCAGAGACGTCAGAGTCATTAGAAGGGATCATTTTTCAGGCTGTGCGGTATGGGATGTGTTTCTAAGTGGCCCGCAGAGCGCGCTACCACTGGGCTGAGAACAGAAGACTCAGTTGGGGGTTGATGCAGAGGGACCACACACAGCAGGCTACACTTTGCATCAAGTTCAAAAACAGCTGAGACCAAACAATACCTTGTTTAGGCACACACATCCATGTGATAAAACTTTTCATAAATAGCAAGGGAATAAGGAACACAAAATTCAGGATAATGTTCATCTGGAGGCGATACGGGAGGTGGGATGGGGTGGGGCATCCAGGAAGATGCAGAGGTGTTGGCAGCATTTCAGTCATTGAGTCAGGGCATAGCTCGAATCAATAAGTGTAAGCAAATTAATGCAAATATGCATTAATTGATTTACATTTAATTATAATTATATTACAGTTATTACCATGTCTTTCTAGTCAATATTTATATTTTAGTTAAAAACAATTTATTTTTAATATTAACTAATGTATTTACCTTCTAATAGTAATACTAATAAATTTATTAGTATTTATTAATTTATTTTGTTAGTATTTATTAATTCATTCTAGTTACTATTTACATTCTAGTTAATAGTAATTAATTTATATTCTAGTTGCTGAGTTATGTGGTGAGTTCATGGATATTCATTATATTAATATATAATATAATTATATATAATTAATATATAAATTAGCAAAAAAAGTGAACCATGAATGGTCCAATAATGACATATGGCATGAGCCAAGAATTAGGATTAATCTAAGTCTGTGCATCTGAGATCCATAAAAACAGAAAGGGTTACTCGGTCAGTTGTCAGAATATAGATGGTCTGAGTATACCCCACTGCTAACCCACATGAACTGGGAAAGAAGTTTGCTACCTGCTAGAAACAGAGCCCCCACGCTGACACGCGAAGGTGGCTGAGAAAGCAACTCAACAAAGTATTCTCCCACCCCCATTGCTACCCATATAGGCATGTGCCAAGAAGAGGGATCTACGTCAGCCAGAAAGCAAAGAGTCTTGGTGAGGCCTGAGGGTATACCTGAGTGAGGAGATGGAATAGCCTTTCCAGAAGAAAGTCAACATTGGTCAAATTCTCAACCCTCTGGTTCAGGGCAGTCTTGCACAGAGGCAGTGGTCCTTAAGCTGGAGCATGCATCGCAATCACCTGGAGGTCTTGTTAAGACACAGACGGCTGGCCCCCACCCCCAGAGTTTCTGATTCAGGAGGTCCAGGGTGAGGCTCAAGAATTTGCAATTCTAACAATTTCCCAGGTGATACTGGTGTTACCCGTCCAGGAACCACACTTTGAGAACCACTTCCCCAAGGCATGACAAACTGGAGACTGTAGGACCTCCAAATGTCTTTCAGAACCTAAGTTTGTAGAATTCTGTGCAAAAGGGAGGAGGCATAACACTATAATTGCAAAAAGAGGAGTAGGCTCACAACTGGGTTTAGATCCTTGGTCTTTGAGCCACGTAGGACTGTGGTGGGGGTGTGACCAAAGACTAGGAAGGAAAGCCACTGGGTTAGAGCCTTCAACACTCAGGGCAAATCCTCGCCATCTTTCAGGCAGCCCAGAGCCGATGTCTTGATTCTGGATGTGAGCTTAATCCAGGCTCCTCCACATGGGACCATGAAGAATGTCATCCCTAACACCCCAGAGCCAGGGAGCCATCTCTAGACAGGGTCCAGCAGGCTGTCTGCTTGACTTTGGAGACTAGAAATATTAATAGATCATCTCAAGGAAAATAAAACTATGGCTGAGAGCTGCAGGGATAGAGCCTGGGGTTTGGAAACTTAGAACTTTTCCCAGAGCATCCTTGCCCATGGACTTTCTCATCAGCAGGGCAGGCTCTGGGTTAGACATCATCCTGGTGATGGAATAGGCAGAGCCAGCTCCTATGACTTCATCCTTAGCTTCCAATCACAGCCACTGTCCCCAAGAAGGCTCCTCCCCAGCTCCCTCACTACCCCTACTCTCACCATTGCTAGGCACAGTCTTCCCAATCCTTCAAGATCAAAGTAAAATCCACCTTCCCCCTCCTGGCTGCTCCTGCCCACTGGGAAGACATGTACTGCTCCTGTGAGGAGGGCAGCAGCTGATAATGACCCAGATCAGGGCAGGAAAGCACCAGCACTGCCTGGCTGACGGAGACCAAAAGTCCCAATCTTAGTAATCAGGAGGCACTGGTTCTGGGAAAAGCCTTTCTATGAAGAGATAAATCTGTCTCTTGCCCTCTCTTTCCATAGGTAAAAGAGAATCATTGAGACCAGCCTGGGCAATGAGGCAAGACCCCATCTCTACCAAAAAAAAAAAAAAATTAAAAAGTATCCAGGCATGGTGGCATGTGCCTGTAGTCCCAGCTACTTGGGTGGCTAAGGCAGGAGGATCGCTTGAGCCCAGGAGGTCAAGGCTGCAGTGAGCTATGATTGTGCCACTGCACTCCAGCCTGGGAGACAGAGTGAGACCTTGTCTCTGAGAAAAAAAAAAAAAAAAAAAAAAAAAAAGCATCATTTTCTTCATGGCTTCTGGAAGTAAAGAATCATGTCCTCGATTTCTGGTAGAACTCACCTTCCCACTCCCCCTACTAGACATACAACTACTCACCTCCTCACCCCCTGATGACATGCTCCCAATTCCCAGGAAGACTCAATAGGAACACATTCTTAAGGGCAGGGGTCATATCATCATACACTTCTTAGAGCAATTTGTTTAGAACTGTGCTTTAGAAGACAGGAATGCAGAGATCACTGAGATATGATCCCTACTCATGCAGGAGACTGACAGTTGCAAGAAAGGGTGAAAATGCTGAATAAATAATGGCAAGCCCTGTGTTGGAATCCTGTGTGGTTGTTTAAAAAAAGAAGCTAGGTATCTCTGTGAGGCTATGAGAGTATCACCAAGATAACGTTGTTAAATAAAGAAAAGGTAGCTGAGGGCAGTGTGGAGGGTAGGATCCAACCTAAGTTTTTTTAAAAAGGTGTAGTTTTGATATTGTACTATGCTTACGTAAGACACCATCAATGGGGCAGCTGGGCAAAGGGTTCACACAACTCTGTGTACTATTTTTACAACTTCCTGTGAATCTATAATTATTTCAAAATAAAAAGCCAAAAAAGAGGCATCTATGGATATGCATGTGCTTGTGCACTCACTGAAATTTGGTGGAATGATACAAAAGAAATCATTAATAATAATATTTGCCTCTGAAGAGTGGGAGTGGGATGGGTTGGGGGTGAGAATGCTTTCTTTGACTTTTTATACTCTTTTGTCCTGATTTCTTCTTGCTGTTGTGCATGTGTCTCACTTGAAACATCACCATGCCAGGCACATGCACGAGATGTTAGGTTCACCCTGAGGACATCGAACCTTGACCCAAAGGGAAAGCGGGGATCAGGTAACCCCTGAGCTGAGACAGGAAACCAGGTGAAGAGATGGCTCAGGGGTGGTGTTACCACCTGAATTGTCCCCCCCTCCAAATTCATGTTGAAGTCCTAATCCCCAGTACCTGAGAATGTGACTGTATTTGGGAAAAGGGCTTTAAAAGAGGTGATTAACTTCATCCAATCTGACTGGTGTCCTTAGAAGAGGCAATTAGGACACACATAGAGCCACCAAGGGCTCATGAGCACAGAGGAAAGACCACGTGAGGACACAGTGAGAAGGTGGACAACTACAAGGCAAGAGGAGATCCCTCACCAGAAATCCACCCTGCTGACACCTTGCCTTTGGACTTCCAGCCTCCAGAACTGCATGTGTGGTTAAGCCCCCAAGCCTGGGTATTTTGTTATGGCTGCCCTCACAGACTGATACAGGAGAAGAGGGGATGATGAGAGCCTCTGACTAAGGCCCCTCCCACCTCCAGGGCACACCTGGATAGGCAAGGGCTGGTGTGTGTAGAAGCCATGGCCCAGAGAATGAAGAGGCCTCACTGAGTTTAGAAGTCAGCAAGGAGCTCGGTGTAGCTGGGCCACCTGTGGGGTAGCAGCGACGGGACAGGGCTCGGCCAAGAGGGGTGGTGAGGAATGAGGCTGGAGAGTGGGCCAGGGCCAGGCCATGGGATCCCCATTTGCCAGGCTTATCTACTGCAGGCAGCGAGGCACCTCGTAAGCGGGGCTGGGATTTGGGAGTGGGAGTAGCAGTGGGGTGATCTTGGGGGAACACCAACAGAGATTTAATGAAGGATGGGTTGGTGTGAAAGTAAGGGAGAAGGGAAGGAGACATAGAGACCAGTGTGCAGGCTGCTGCAAGACAGGCTGTGTCCTGCACAGAGGCATGGCAGTGCAGACTAGGCTTATTCAACTCCATCCATACCCACCACACAGAATGTGCTCAGAAAATGCTACCTGAACAAATATGCCTTTGAAAGGGCTTGGGGCCCCTCCATGAGCCCTACCTCCTGCCTCTCCCTCATCCAACACACTCTCAACTTGTGCTGTAACAACCACAACATTATTTACCTTCTCCTTGGACAGCACAAATATAGGGATGCATGGTTCCTCCATGGCTGGAGAGGGTTGATAGGTGTCACCCAGCTAACACCCAGCCCCTTCTCCCCAAGTCAAGGCCAGCTCTGGTCACCCCACAAAGACTTGAGGAAGCATGGGAGAGGGAGGAGGCTCTGGGAAGCAACAAACAGCTCACCTGTGGAAAACCCCATTTTCTTGTGGCACTTGGTAAATTCAATATTAAAATAGGTGACCAGGGCGTGGACGTAGTCGTTGCGCTGTATCTGCAGGCAGAATGCAGATGTGAACGATAGCTCTTCCGTCTTCACTGTGTAAATGTCCACCTCCTGCAGCCCAGAGAAGAGAGAATGCCGGGAACTTATCGCCTCCACCAAGTCTGGGTCCCGGTCAGCAGCCTCGTTCTGTGAGAGACTGTGGTCTGTCAGCTCTCTGAGGGATATCTTTATTCTTGGGGTGATTTCCCAGGCTCCCCACCGCCCTCCCAATCACCTCCTCCATCCTTTCTAGGGTGGAGTGTGCTCAAGCAATGGTGCAAATGGATTTGAATCAAAACCTGAGGGGAGCAGAATTCGGAAGATAAATCTTCCAGGGTTTGGGGCTACAGGGGGATGATGGGGAAGGGAGAGAACAGGAGGGTTAATTAGACAATGCATCCCTTCACCTGTCAGAGCAGCCTCGAGTGGTCCACCCAGGCACTGCTCCATCCATCGCTCTTAAAATGTGGTCCCTGAAATATCAGCATCAACAGTACCTGGGGGCAAATTCTGAGGGGGGCAGACCTGCTGGACCAAAACAGCAATCTGTGTTTTATCAGGCCCTCCAGTGATGTAGATGAACCAGACTACTCCTTCCCCAATTTTTTGATACGCAAGTTCCCAGCAATAGGAGGCATCAAGGATGACATTAGGAGTAAGGACCTGAGCCCACAAAGTCACAGACAGAGCTTAGGAAAGTTCTGCTGGCCATTTTTAACAAGGCTGGACTGTTTTCAAAAATAAATAAAAGGGGAAAATAAGAAGTGAGAATTTTCAGTTCTGGCTGGGGAACGTGGAACATGAAGAACTAATAACTCTTAAGAATTTCAACTGGAAAGTGGCTGAAAATCAATCTCGCATGGGGAGCAGGTGGAATTGAAAGACGTCTGCACTGTGCTGTTCTTTTCTATGGAAGAATGCTGGCCTGCTGCTTGCTGGCCCCGTGAGGCAGGGCAAACCTACTAGGGCCCAAGAGGCATCCTGACAGATTCTAGTGAGGCCCAAGGAAGAACTTCCCATTAGTCAAGGTTGCGCAGCAAGGACCTCTGTCCTGAAAACTCTGTAAGAGCCAGAAGGCCATCTGTATGCCTGGTTGGTTCCACAGGGACCTCCTGAGGCCTGGAAGATGGAATTATTAGTAGGAATTAGGAGAGAGGGACCAGAGGGTAGGAAAACAAGACCAGCAAAGCGATGAAATGGCTTTTGTCTCAATGTATTTCCAGGATAAATAAAGGAAAAACAGACGCAAACTATCCTGGGGCCTTCAAAGAGAAGTCCTAACTCCACAGGGATGGACAGAGAAAAAGTGGTTAAGGGAACCAATGAGATCAGAGTCCTCCTAGGATCTGGGGTGTGTAGCCATGACATCTTCTGTGGAAGCTGAAGCTCTCTGACTGTTGATTGGGAAGAAGGTGAGATTGTAGGTTTAGGGGAATGTGGGAGGCCCTTGGTGAGGTCACATTCAAATGCCAATTACACTGTGTTTCTAGAGCCCAGAGAAGGGGAACAAGAACTAATTGAATGGTGAGCCCTTGGTCAAGCATGCAGAATTTGATGGGATTATAAAGCCCATCTTCTTAAGCTGAGCCTTTTATCCAAGGCAAGAACCTCCTCTTTAGTGGCCATCTAGTGCTTGCTGAGCACCCACCTAGTGCTTGCTGAACACCTTTAGGGATGGAGAATTCACCATCTGCCAGGCAGATCAGTCCACGTCCTGGCATCTCCAGTCATTAGGTCCTTCTTCAAAACTAATGAAGAAAGTTCACACTCATCCCTCTGTAACTTCCACCCACAGAAGAAGCCAAATGTGTGTTCCAATTCACACAGGTCCCTTAAACCTTTTCTTCTCCAATGCAAGCTATCTCTGGCTTTTTATTCATTCCTCATAAGTCGTGATGTCTGACCGCTCATCACCCTGGCCTTTCTCCTCTGGGTGGGTCCTGCCACTTGCAAAACTGAGAGTTATACTGACCACATCAGGTCCTCCACGTCCTTCCATTGGCACATACTTATAGCAGCCTGTGTTCCCAAGGAGCACACTGCTGGTTCAGCTTGCATTTAGGTCGGCCAAGCCCCTTCCTCCACCACATCCCTCAAGGGGAGGGGTCCTTCATTACATGTCATCTGTTAGCGTGGGCCATTGCTCAAATCTAGGAAACGTTTTAGACTGAGTATATGTCAGCCTTCATAATGCTCATTATCCCTCCCAGCCACATGGCCACATGCTGTCCACAGGTGTCCTCCAGCTCAAAAACTCTTCGGACAAGCCTTGGTTGCCTGTATTGTTGTTAATGGCATCACAGTGTCTACCCTTACTGACTTTTCCATCACCTTCTCAGGGCCAATCAGCCAGGCTCCAGGCTCTTTCCAAGGTCCCTGGTATCTTTCTTTCTTGGTTCCCTCCGTCACCAGTGTAGCATGGCCTTCCAATCTCACTTCTGGCTCATATCGCAGTCTCACCACCTTCGCCCTTGCCCTGGCCGATACACTGAAGCCTTCAGTGGCAGAAGTTACACCTCATTGTCCTGTGTATCCTCAGTGCACAGCAGCACCTAATACACAGCAATATGTGTTGACTCATCAATCTTCTTCTCAGAACAGGTCTCCCTGCTTGAAGACTTACTTCTTTGCCTAGGCCCCTCTTTCGTAACTCAGGTTCATCCAGACTGTGTCAGTCTCTGGATCTATAACCTTCAATGATTCCTTATGGCTTACAATCTAGACGTGGTTACTTTCTCCTTCTATCCCGCATGCGCACGCGTACACACACACACACACACACACACACACACGCACACGCACCCCCCATCTGGCAGGAATTCCACCTCTAAAGGATCTTGCTGTCAGATGTCCATCAACAAAATGTCAGCTATCAACTCTTGTAGCTGACAGCTTTCAATAGATCCCTGAGACATTTGCATCTTAATAGAGGCCTCTGATAGAACAAAAGCCTTTAGGACCAAAAGTATTGAAGCCGCACATTATAATGGCAACAATAAGGGCAGGTGGTCTTTTGGAATGGGGGTCCAGGCCATCTGTGAGGATGGGATCAGCTGTAGCTAGGCTTCAAAAACACAAAGGTCCTCTGGGCTCAGGTTCCCCAACCCCCAACCAAATCAGCCCCAGTTACCCTGACTCCCCAGAGCCCAGCCCCTCGACTAGGAGGCTTCCTCTTTTCTGCAGCAGAAACAGCAGCTCTGAGACCCCAGGGAGACCCACTGACTTGGCCTCAGGTGACCCGCTTGAAGCAGAGGGCTTCACCAGCATAAATTACTCAGAAGTGCCCCTGGCCGCTGCGATCCCCACCGTTAAACAATGTTAGAAATGGATGTCTCGGAGCAGAAGTCTGGTTAAAATAGAACCTTAATTATAATAAAGTGTCACACTCTGCAATGTTAATAGCGATGAAAATAGCAATTAAGTGTGTGAAGAAGGGCAAGTGTTTTCCCAACAGGCTCGGCAAGATGTTGCCTAGCACATCAGCAGGAGAGAGCTGGCGGAAGGGCTCTCCTGGAAGCAGAAGCAAACACAGACAATCGTCATCCTTCTCAGGAACACAGAGGAAGAAAGGGACCAGCGTGGGACAGAAAATCATCACAGGTCACGAGTCCTGAGACAGAACCAGAGCCCCGGGAGTTTTCATAAGGAGTGTACGGAACACACACCCCTCCAGCCGCTCCTTGGCTGCTTTGCCCCTGGATATGCTCAGGTCTAACCAACTGAAAGGCCCCTGCTAGTTCTTGCCTGGGGAGTGGAGAGGGCCAGGACAGTGGCTGACGTGTCCGGCAGTGCAAACAGAAATGCAGTGGCTACACCTGCCAATGGGGCCTGGGTCAGGGGCAGAGAGCAACCTGGGGTCCAAGAATATTGAAGGAATTTTATCCCCAAGCTGAAGCCAGTACGTGCAGATGCCTAATGGTAAATATCACTGCCACATGTCATTTTGGCAAATTCAGTTGCACTAGTGGACTTCTATCTATTCTACATTTACAGAAGTGCCTTGTACTATGGGTGAGCTTCTTGCTGGGGGCATACTTTCCTTGTTCTTGTTTAGGATGGCAAGGAGGAAGAGGCTTCAGGGACAGAGGGACTGGTAGAAAGAAACAAAAGGACACATTTGCTCACAATTAATCCTGCCTGGACCCAGAAAAGGCTGAATGAAGTAGTGAGAACCCTGTGAATGGAGAGTCTGAGGCTTAGACTCAAAGCCAAACCTCTCAGGCAGGATGCTACTAAAGAGAGGGGGCATCTGATGGGGTCTGATGAGGTTCATTCTAGGTTTATTTGCCCTGTGAGGACCTTTCTAAAGTCCACAGTGATACTCCAGCCCAACGGGTGCAGTTCTTCCTAGCAAGGCTTGTGTCCAGGACAAAGGACAGTTCTCACATGGGCAAAGCAGCAGTTGTGTCAGTCTTTCAGAAACCTCCCCCACCCCCGTCCTTAGTGGCCCTGAACTCCAATCCCTTTATCCTACTATAAATATTCCAGTCCAGTACCCTGCCCCGATACTTTCAGAAAAAGAATGATGCGTGCAGGAGCACAGTAGGCCGGCATGTTAGCAAGATGAGACTCAGGTGGGCTGATTTTTGAATTTAAAAATTAACCTGGGCTGGGCGTGGTAGCACATGTCTGTCATCCCAGCACTTGGGAAGCTGAGGTGGGTGGATCACTTAAGCCCAGGAGTTTGAGACCAGCCTGGGCAACATGGCCAAACCCCATTAATACAAAAAAAAAAAAATTAGCCATGCCTGGTGGCACGTAGCCGTAGTTTCAGCTACTCAGGAGGCTAAGACAGGAAAATCACCTGAGCCTCAGTGAGGCTGCAGTGAGCTATTATCACACCACTGCACTTCAACCTGGGTGACAGAGAGAGAAAGAGATCCTGTCTCAAAAAAAAAATAGCTTGTGGTACATGAAACTGTTCAGTTAGTCGAGATTGCAGTGAGCTGTGATTGTGCCACTGCACTCCAGTCTGGGTGACAGAGTGAGATTCTGTCTCAAAAAAAATTTTTTTGGCTTGAATTATATGAAATTGATGTCTCTATTTTAAAAAACTGTCAAATATCAATAGTTTTATATGGTTCAACATAATATATTAGCATATATAATGCAAATGCATACAAAAAGGACTGGAAGAGGCAACCCAGCCTGTGAACAGTGGTTACCTCTGGAGGAGGATGGGGCTGGAGGGAGGCGGAGGGCACCTTTCACCTTTATTCTATCTAACTGGACATGTTTGAATTTTTAATAATAAGAATATACTAGGGATTGGTGTGGCAAAGACGCTGAGCAGCTGTTCTTCATCTGCACTGAAGGAAGCCTCGGGCAAAGGTGTTTAGAGCAGGCGTGTCTAATCTTTTGGCTACCGTGGGTCACATTAGAAGAAGAACTGTCTTGGGCCACACATAAAATACACTAACACTAATGATAGCTAATGAGCTAAAAAAAAAATCCCACAAAAAAGTCTCTTAATGTTTTAAGTTTACGAATTTGTGTTGGGTTGCATTCAAAGCCATCCTGGACCACATGTGGCCCAGAGGATGCAGGTTGGACACACTTGGTTTAGAGCATGTACAAACAGGGACGCTCAGGAAGGGGCAGCTGGAAGCTCTATCTGGCAGGCCGCTGGGGCAAAGGTGTATGTGGAGGCGAGAGCATGAACAGGGACGCTCAGGAAGGGGCAGCTGGAAGCTCTATCTGGCAGGCCGCTGGGGCAAAGGTGTGTGTGGAGGCAAGAGCATGATGATGATTACACAGCATACTGAGGTCCTGGATTTCTTCCCTAAGAGAGACGTCTACCTCTGAATGGACCAACTGCCCCAAACCTGAGCACGCTCTCCTCTTCCAGGTGTCCTCTCCTGCAATGCCCCTCTCTTCCCTGCACCCCCACCCTTCTGCACGCCACCAGGGCCCCTGTGCTGGGGCCCTCCCACATCCGTGCCACCATGGAGCCACTCTCTCAGTGGCTGTGTCCAGGCGGACTGCCAGCTTTTGACTTGAGCTTAGGGAGCATCACAGGCTCTGGCCAAGGCAGCCTTGCCTCACCAGGTGGGGGCTGTGCAGGAGCCGGCATTGCCTGGACTCCAGGGTGGCACAGCGGGGCTCCCAGCACACCCAGGTCCACCCCGGATGAGTGTCCAGACCTTTATCAAACAGGCATTGGTCACCACTTGCTTTGGATCCACGATGTCCACTAGAGGCTCCTTCATGGCCACGTCCCGGATGCAGGTCATGTCAAAGCCATAGACATTCTCCCACCCTGTGGGAGCAGAGCAAGACGTGAAGGCAGGCGCAGGACCCCCAGAAGCTCACCCAACCCTCCTGAGTCCTAGAGCACAGCGTGCCTGAGGGCTGAGTGGCAGCTCGAGTTCCCTTGCATCGAAATAGAGGCAGAACTGCTCACCTGGGGGCACTTTGCAATGTGCCAAATGCTCACTCCCATTTCCATTTCTACCTCGGGAAAAGGTAAGTCCCACTTTGTTGTTAGGTAAACTAGAGCTCAGAGAGGCTGGGAAACTGCTCCAAGCTCCTATAGCTAGAGTGCAGCAGGGCAAAGACTAGAACCCAGGCTAGCTGACTCTTCCTTCCTGTCCCCTCCCCAAGCCAGCAGCGTCTCCTATGAACTCCCTTATCTGTCTTCTACGTTCCCATTCCTATGCTGTCTCGAGCTGTTCTCCACACCTAGAAGACCTAGAAGGCCCATCTCTCTCCCTTTTCCTGTCCCCATCCACTGAACCTTTAATGCAGCACAGAGAATCATGGGCTTTTAACGTGAAATCAACTACAGTTTAAATTCCAGCACCACCACTTACTGGTCAGCCTTTGTACAAATGACCTAACCTCTCTGAACCTCAGTTTTCTCACCTGGGTGGGTCCAGGAGCATCTCTGCCTTCCTTGTATGCCAAGATGCACTCACTAAGGATCCACCCCATTAGGAACTACCCCCAAGTGGAGCACAAACCCTCTCCTTGTCAGCCGTGCTCCTTGTCCCCTTTGGGCTACTCATAAGATACTTTGTATGGGAGGGAGAAAGATCTAGGGGGTTGGTGAGAAATTAATTCAAGTCTGATGGCCCAGGATCACCCTTAATATGGTAATAATTGCTATCTTTTTCTTTTTTTGGAGACAGAGACTGGCTCCATCGCCCAGAGGCCTAATCTGGGCTCACTGCAACCTCCGCCTCCTGGGCTCAAGTGGTTTTCCTGCCTCAGCCTCCCGAGTAGCTGGGATTACAGGCACCCGCCACCATGCCGGGTTAATTTTTGTATTTTTAGTAGAGATGGGGTTTCGCCATGTTGGCCAGGCTGGTCTTGAACTCCTGACCTCAGGTGATCTGCCCACCTAGGCCTCCCAAAGTGCTGGGATAACAGGCATGAGTCACCATGCCTGGCCAATAATTGCAGTCATTGATTGATCAGTCAGTCCAGGCCAGACTCTTCATTTAATCTACCCAGCAACCACATGAGGATATTGCTATGCTGCAGATGAGAAAACTGTGGCTGGGAGAAGTTGGCATCTGGCTCTCATATAATATCTGGCCCATGATCACACATCAGGGAAACAGGGGGGCGAGGGCTCAAGCCCAGCATGTCCCCTAAATCCTTCACCTGCCATGGCCCAGCCGTGACAGCAACCAGGAATGCAAGATTTCTCTCCCTACAGTGCAGAGAGGACAGCTTTAGCAGACTCTTTAGTTTCCGGGCACCTGAATCTCATTCATCTGTTTTTTCAATGGGTTTCAAAATGCCTTGAAGTAGAAATGCTTTTCTCTAAAATCTTACAGGATTAAATTTTATTTTAAAACATTCACCAAACAAACAGGACCTTAGGGAACGTATGTTCCTGTGTGTGTTTAGGAGAGTGGGTGTGTGCGGCAGGAGGTGTGAACGGTCAGCGACAGCTTTTCTCCTTTGACTCTGATTCTTTTATAAGGCACACAAAGAGCTTCTTTCTTGCGAAAAGAAGGCAGAGAAGGTAATCCCAGAGGATGAGTGCTTGTGAAATTCCAGTTTGAGGAAAAGATGCCCATCAAATCCCATTAAATCACCCGAGGCTGGTGCCAAACTCCCAATTAAAACCTACTTCGTGGGGAGGAGGCTGCTTAGTTGGCAACAGGGCAGGTTTCAGAGAAGACTCCCCTCTAGAATGTGGAAATAGCTATCCACCCTCTCCCCAGATAAAACGTACACGCCAAAACACATTGCCTTCTGTGTCTTTCTCAAGAGACTTGCAGCTATGCACCTGCTCTTTTCTCCCTGGACTCTGCCGGGAGTTTGAGTTCACTGCTAGTGCTAAGCAAAAGCCTGAGAGTCAATGCATGTAATGGTTAAAGGCCTAGGCTTTGGAGTTCAAATCTGAGCTCTGCCACGTATTTGCTGTGTAATCTTAGGCACGAATATAACCTTTCTAAGCCTTGGTTTCTAAGGATTCTGTAAAATGGAAATGATGATAAAGATGGTAATCCCATACGATTGCTATGAGGATTAAATGTGATTATACGTAAAGTGCATAAGACATTGCCTGGCACACAGAAAGCACTTGATACATAAAAGTGGTTATCATTATGTGGTTTGAGCTCTGGCTTTGCTGCCATGCAAGCTGTGCGGCCATGTGCAAATCAATCCTTTTTTCTGGGCTTACTTATAAGGATTTTGGTTCAGTGGTTCTGTGTTCTCGAATCACTTGGAACAGTTTTTAAAATGCAGACTCCAGGGCCCACGCCAGACCTACTGAATCAGAATCTCCAGATTTGAGAGCCAGGGAGCTGGAGTTTTACAAATCTATACAGACAATTCCAACCATTTGGAAACCTTTGGGGTACATGATCTTTACTGTCTTCAAGTCCCAAAAATGGTGATCTTAATGTCTCATGGCCTTTGTGAGACCTTCTCTAAACGCTCCTGACCATATAACCTCTCCTGTACCCTCAACACCCATAGTACAGCATTTAGCACAGAATAGGCTCACAGATAATGTTTTTTGAATTGAGATTCATTCCCAAACATTTAATGCCTGCACTGTTTTGCAATGCCTGGTGTTTTAGTTACCTTTATATGGGTTAATTTGGGTCTTATCTCCTCAGCTGGACTGCCCCACCTTCAATCATTCAGAGCACAGATCACCCAAGGGATTAGATTTTTTTTTCTTCTTTCTGCTGGCCATTTATTTCCCAGTAGCCCTTTTTATCAGAAGTGGAGCAGAGATGGAGTAGGATACAAATAAATCACATTAATTATTTGTTGCAATAATTATTTGTATGCTGTATGCCAAATAAGTGTATGTGGGGTAAGAGCCATTGGTCATCAAGAAATATCATGATTATCTAGAAATTAAAAAATAATATCAGAGAGGCCTGTGAAGCTTTTGTTAATGGATGAAAACAGACTCCTAAAAAGGACTATACTATGGCATAATGTATGTAATTAAAGCAACAACAAAGCCCAAATCTACTATTAATACAGACTAGATTGACTCACACACACCCTCATTCTAATAGCCTGGCAGAGGCAATGCTCTTTTCTGGACATAGGTGTGATTCACCTGTCTCTACTGGTCCTTTTACTCACAATGCCCAGCATTAATGAAAAATTATAAGACACATGAGAAAGGGAAAAATATGACTTATCATCATAAGAAAAAAGTCATAGAACCAAATTTAGAGATGCTCAGATGTTAGAATTATCCAACAAGACTTTAAAGTATCTATACTAAGTATGTTAAAGAAGCTAGTGGAAAAGGTGGACAGTGTGCATCAATGAATGGAGAATTTCATTAGCGAGATGGAAACTTTTTAAAAAAGCCAGTGGAAATGTTAGAAATCGAAATAACAATATAAGGAAAGAAGACTTTTTAAAATGAACTTATTAACAGAATGAATATATCAGGGAATAACCAATAAAGTTGAAAACGGGGCAATAAAAATGATCCAAACTTAAACACAAAGAGAAAAAAGGGGTGAAAAAAATAGAGGATCCAAGCTCCATAGGACAATATCAAACATTATTTCATATAATGGGAGTTCCTGAAGAAGGGGAGAAAGATAATCAGGCAGAAAAAAATATTTGTAGAGATACTGGCTGAAATTTTTCTAAACTAACGAAACAATCCATCCACAGTTCCAAGAATTCCATGTAACCCCAAGCAGGATAAATAAAAAGAAAAACACACCTAGACACATCAGAATCAAACTGCAGAAAATCAATAAAGACAGAAATCTCAAAAACAGTCTGAGGAAAGAAAATTAAGTACCAGGGGAGAAATGTGATTTCTGATTGCAGAGAGCTGTAGCTACATCCTCCCTCACCACCCCAGCCCCAACCATCTGAGTTTCTCTGATGAGGCTAATGGGACTGCCTCAGAATGAGGTCAGAGAAAAATAGAACAAGTGCCACCAGATGCTACTTACAGATTCTCCTCTGTGCAGAAGGGAAAGTGTTTACACTAGATTGACACATTTTAGGCTCTCATGAAGAAAGTGGAATCCTTGCATAAAATGGGCTGGAACCAGAGGAAACTCTGGATGTCATGAGTGGAAGTGAAGCCCACAGACAGCAGCTGAGCCATCCAAGAGGGCCGCCCTTCAACCATCAAGCTATAAGCACTGCCACCTCTGCATGAGGTCTTTCTTTCAGTCTTCTCATCAGCCAAGAAACTGGTGCCCATCTCTCTCATTCTCAGCAGGGTGTAGATTCATGCACTGGGTACAATTCATGGGTTGTGCATGAAATTGAATAGAACATCCACCGAGTTTCCTTCCATTTTTGAAATTCTGTGTATTTCCTTTATAGTAGAAAATGTGTGTAAAATGATTGCTCCTCTCTAAGAGTTAAATACTACACCTTGCACATCCCTCTGCTGGTTCACTTTCCTTCCTTCCTTCCTTCCTTCGTTAAAATTATGTATTGTGAGCCTAGTATATGCCAGATATTTATCTCTGTCTCTATGTGGTCTCTATTCATTGGTGAGCAAATGGAGGGCAGGTTCTGCACTGACCTCATTCTTGCACTCCCATGTTGCTGTGTGTGGTTGAGAAAGAAGAAGAAAGGAGGGGAGGGAAGGGAAGGAGAGGGAAGGAAATAAAAGAAAAGGAAAGGAGAGGAAAGGAAAGAAAGCTCTCCCTCTAACAACTTACTTTCTGAAAGGGGCTGAACATGTCTCACTCTCCTGCCTCATTTCAAAATTTTTCCTTCTTAGCTGGTTCTTGAGCCAATAGAAAATTGCTTACAATTGTTGCCTTAGCAACCAGCAACCTTTGTGCTTTACTTCTGATTTAGAACTCATAGTAACCAAAGTCTCCATTTATTTGAAATGAATTTCTAAGTGGGTTTGCTTCCTTTACAAAAAAATAGATTATTTTCAAAAATGTAAATAGAAAATGTATTTTAAATACATTTTAAGTGTCTGTTTCTTGGTGTTCTTTTGGGGTGGGGAGGAGGTTGGGGTATTTTTCAGAGACTCTAGAACAAGCACAAGATAACATGGTGCTAACTTTCAGATTTTTTTTTTTCCTTTTCCAAAAGGTATGAACACTGCAATGAGAATCAAAGAAATCACATGATCTCCAGTCTGGGGCCAGTGCCTTAGGAGCCCCTCCCTGCCCCAGGCTGGCTCATTGCAATGTGCATACCTGCAAAGGCTCCTGACACAGGTATCTTTGTTGTGGAAACCATGAGAAAGTTTCTTAAAGAGGTGTGCCTCGGGTTGGAGCTCAATAAATATCTAAGTGAACTTGACAATGAAGAATGTACCTAGAAGCTTTCCTCCTCAAAACACTATTCAGTACAATTGCACAGCAAGAACTCCAAAATGCAGCTCCAGGGCAAAATATGTCCTATTTATACATGCATTTGATCAACACTCACTGTGGAGTTGTGTCTGCAATCTTCCATGAGAGTACATCTGTCCTAGATTCTGAGCCACCAGGGGCTTGGCAGTCAGGCTCACTTGCCAGAGCCAGGGGCAGAAAGGGGCTTAGCTACACAGTCAGAAACTAGTTCCCATCTAGTCCCATTATAGGACCAAGAACTGTCACGTCCTTTAATATATGTCATCTCACTTAATCCTCATGACAAGTCTGTGGGATTGAGAAAATTATCCCTTAACTGAGGCCCAAAGGTATTAGATAATTTGCTCAAGGTTACCCAGTTAGGACATGGCAAAGCCAAGATTTAAACCCAGGGCTGGCAGTGTGCAAAGCATTTAACCTGGGCCCCCCTGCCTCTCACTGTCCTCATTTGGTATTTTGCCTCCTTCCCCCAGGAGGTCAAATAGTGGAAATCACACCAGATTGGCTGGAGGCAGACAGCAACCAGAGACGGTTTCCAGGGCACAGAGCTTCAAACAGCTGTCCCACTTTTGTCTTCTTCTGAACCTGGCTCTGAACTTCACACTTTGAGTTTATATTTCCAGAAAGGCATGAACCCACACAAATACACACATCCATAGCAGAGTCCAGCCGAGTTTTCATCAGTGCCACTAACGACGATTAGATGGCAATTGTTTAAATCCACAGAGCCACAATTTGTTGAACTGTGGATGGAGTCTTAGCCTCTTGGAGGCATTTATTCTTCTACTCAATCTGTGAACCCCTCCACAGTAATCTTGCCAAGTAGGAATGGACCACCCTGTTGGGGCAGGAACCGCAGATGTGCCCAGTCTGATGGATAGGTTGGAGCTTCTGCCTCTTGCTTTAATTTGGATTTTTGGGTGTTTGCCTGTTTGAGGGGTTCTTTGCTCCTTTGTTGTATTTGGTTCTGGTTGAGGAGACACAGCCATGTTCAACTTTACAAAAACATGTTTGGTATAATCTCATTAAGGATCAGGCCTGTGTCACAGAGAAGTGTCACCCTTTACGAGAAATAGGATAACAGCCCTTTTCAGACCAGGTAAAACATTGCGGGGGAGGAGAAGTTTTTTGGCTTTATTGTTCTCAGAGAACCACACACGCCTAGCTGATAAGGCATTAAGAATACATGTTTAGATACGAGCCCCTGCCTCATGCACACATGCACACTCGCCTTTCGTTTGATTGTTCAAAGCAAAATCTCCACTCTTTCCCACCCCCTCTGCTATCTATTCCTCAAAAGAACCTCAAATAATATGTATTTGCATAAGAGAATCAATATTATTTTGATAAGTTTGAATGGAATGGAGGCAGGATTCAAAACAATTGGCCTGGCAAGAGACCTGCTACTTCAGACCCCTGCGGTGGACTTTTGGGCTAACTGAACCTTGACAGGTTTCAAGCCACTTGCCCTGCTGATCTCTGCAAAAACTCAGCTTCTGCTGCCTCAGTCCAATTTTTAATTCACATTGCATTCATTCTTTCACCCCAGGACATTTCTCTCATCCCAGCCATATGGCTTATTTTCTGTCTGTAGACCTAACACCCTTGGGACTAGATAGAAACATTTAGAGAGCAGACTCCAGAAAGGGTCCCAGATAAGCTCCTCTTCAGGGACAGCAATGGTGTTCATGTCACTGCCTGCTCATCTCGGGCCCACTGGAGTGCCTCCCACCCCAATTGTGCAGTGGAAGTCCACCGGAGAAGCAAGAGGGGACTTACAGTGGATTTTGAAGTCCTTGTACTGTCTGTCTTCAATCGCTACCACGTACAAAGCTGCCCGGTCTGGAAACATAAGCCCTCCAGGTTTCTGTTGATGAATTGTGGGGAAATGGGTCTCGTAATCTATTCACCTGACAAAGACATCACATTTTGAACTGCACATAGAGTCACCAGACAAGCACCCCCTTGCCACCATCTCTCATGCAGTGGACTGTCACCTTGTCTGGGGTGAGGGCTAGGACAGCAGTGCTCAATTTTTATTTTGGAGCAAGGAAAATTTAAGGGACCTAGGTGGAGTCAATAGGACAAATGAGGTGAGGTGAAGGTAAATCCAGTGAGGAGCAGTGAGAGATGTTACGACTTTGGCCTGGAGAAGCCCAGATGAATAGCACACCTGGCTCTGGCAGCCATGCAAGTCCTAAGTACTTGCTGACCGAAACGGACCTTTAACTCGACAAGAGAGAACGGATGTCTGTTATTGCAAAAGAGGCTGCGGTGAGACCCACGGAAGTCCACTCTGATGGTTACACATGCTGGACCCGGGGCAACCATTCTGTTCCCTGATACAGATCTGCTCTAGAGAGAGGGGCTTGGGGCAGTGACCTCCTGGCCTCAGTCTTCTCTGAAGTCTTCGTATGCCTCCTAGGCTGCAGGCCTTGGGTAGAGGAGCAGGACAGCCAGCCGGCCAACGCGGGGACAGCATGCAGGACACTTACCAGCCACTTGTCCCTGGCAAAGATCACCGTGTTGAGCATGGACTCATAGAACAGACAGTAGCCCATCCACTCGCTGATGATGATGTCCACCTTCTCCACAGGCAGCTCCACCTCTTCCACTTTACCCTTAAATATGGTGATGACTGGAAAATAAGAACCCCAGGGCCATACTTTGCAGGGACCCCACCCAGGAACCACAAGCACCTCACTTCAGGGCCAGATCTCCAGGTTTCAGCCCTATTCTGATTCTACTTTTAGGATATGATGTAGCTCACCCTTTACCAAACTAGTTTATACCAACATAATTGAAAACTACCTGCATGTTTTCCCTGTAAAATAAATTGAGCCATTACTATGTGCCTGGCATAGCGCTAAGCCCGTTATATGCGTGGTATCACGTCATCCTTCCAACAGCCCTGTGAGGTAAGCACATTACAACTGACCCTTAACAACCTGGCTTTGAACTGCACAGGTCCACGAACACGCAGATTTTTTTTTTTTATTTACACCAAGTGTGCCTGCCTCCCCTTCCACCTCTTCCAGCCACCCCTGAGACAGCAAGGCCAGCCCTTCCTCTCCCTCCTCCTCAGCCTATTCCATGTGAAGGCAATGAGGACAGAGACCTTCATGCTGATCCACTCCACTCAGTGAGTGGTAAATATATTTCCTCTTCCTTAGGATTTTCTTAACAATTTCCTTTTCTCTGGATTACTTTATGGTAAGAATATAGTATATAATACATATACCAGATATGTGTTAATTTTTTTTTTTTTTTTGAGACGGAGTTTCACTCTTGTTGCCCAGGCTGGAGTGCAGTGGCGTGATCTCTGCTCACCACAACCTCCGCCTCCCAGGTTCAAGCGATTCTCCTGCCTCAGCCTCCAAGTAGCTGGGATTACAGGCATGTGCCACCACGCCCGGCTAATTTTGTATTTTTAGTAGAGACGGGGTTTCACCATGTTGGCCAGAGTGGTCTCAAACTCCTGACCTCAGGTGATCTACCCGCCTCGGCCTCCCAAAGTGCTGGGATTACAGGCATGAGCCACCACAGCCAGCCAATGTGTGTTAATTGACCAAGTTATCAGCAAGACTGCTGGTCAACAGTAGGCTGATAGTAGCTTACTTTTGTGGGAGTCAAAAATTATGCTTGGATTTTCAACTGTGTGGGGGATTGGCACCCCTAACCCCTGTGGTAGTCGGGGTCAACTGTTATTTTTGTTTACAACTAAGGAAACCGAGGCTTAGAGAGGTTGAGTAGCAGCAGTGGAAACAGAGCCCAGATCTGATATGACATGACTCTAAAACTCTTCTCAAGGCCCCCACCCCTATGTTAGGTTACCATGACAATTCAAACTCAAAGAAAGCATAGATGCCTCCTCTATTGCTTTTGCATTTGTTCACAGCCAGGCTCAATACCAAATGGGTGCCCTTCTAGTGTTTGTGAGGGAGGAAATTGATATTTTGATGAGAGCATGGGCTCTGCAGTCAGGGAAACCTAGGTTTAAGTGCCAGATCTTCTCACCATTAGCTGTACGACTTTAGACAAGTTACTTGACCTAACTAAACTCCAATTCCCAAGTGAACAACCATGAAAAGCAATATCAATTTAGAGGGTGATTGTATTGATCAAATGAAATAACACATGTGGAGTGCCAGGCCCATAGCTAAAGCTCAACAGAAGGTGGACATTATCTGACATATTCCTGCTTGTTGATCCACAGATGGAGAGGGGAAGCAGATAGGGCCAGGGTCAAAGCCCCTGTCCCCAGTGGCTTCTTCTTATGAGTCACCTTCAAGAACTTCAGTTTCCTCTGTGGGAGGAGACACTTCTTAGTTGAGTTTTTGATAAACTGACATAGACATACACATAATTTTGGAGTCCCTTTTTGTATTTGTTGCTGTAAAGATCTGAGCAAGCTAGTTTAGATACCACTGTTAAATTGGCAGGCTGATGTATTGGTTGGTTTGTTCTTTCTGAACATTTCCTTTGAAAGGTTACATATATTCATGCTCTGAAACTCTCATTCTGCAATATCCTCTGAAAAAAACTCACACAATGCCTGAGCTTTGCTGGGAAAAACAAACAATGGCCTGTACTTAGGAGTAAAAATCAAAAGAACCACATCTGCCTAGAATCTGAGTTTCATGAAAATTAATTTGGACTGAGGCTCCTGGATGGCAAAGAGCACACCGTTTGCTGGCTTTATTTAGTTTCTTCACAGTGAATAATGCAGGTGATGGAGTGTCCATTAGCAGCTTCTAATAACAGTTTACTCTCCACTATGTGGTATTTAATCAAGCTTTAATTGGATACAGCCTGCTCTACAAGGAGTAAGACACTTTGTACACATGCATTGACCCTGGTCACTCTACAGTGAGGTTCAGTCTTGGGTGGCCCTCCTGACTGGTTACTGCTCAAAAGCCCCTACCATTAAAAAGTATGAGCAGGAAGAGCTATTCTCCAAAAGTTTTGGTGGGAGTGGGAGGGGTAGGTGTTGAAGTTTCTCTGGGTCTCAGAGACCCCAGGGCAGGAACTCAACTGAGAGCAGGGCCCAGGGTGCACTAAGAAAATTCATAGAGTGGCAAAGTAAAGGATTTTTTAAAATGCAAACATTGTGCCTAATTTATTTCTTATTTTGAAAGAGAACTGACAAATATATGCATGACTCACCTGCCTAATCATTTGCATGCAAAGCCTGGCTTGCCTTAGTTTTGTAAACTTAAAAATTGTCTTTAATGGCCTCCCTTACTTTTTTTTCTTTGCACGTTTCTTGAAGGTTCTTCCCTAATGTCTGCCTGTGTCTGTGTGGCTATGGGTCAGTTCCTCCTCCTGCATTTATATCATGACCTCTCTGTAGCCCTAGAAGATGTTTTCTCCTGCCTCCGGGGCCTCATGACCTCTACCCTGAGTGTTTAGTACAAGGCTCCACCCATGACAATTTTTGTGGACAGGACTCTATTAGGAGCTGCAGGAAACAGACAAGGAGTAATCCATCATCAAGTCTAACAAACAGGTATGTATGAAATATTCCTCAGGTGTCCCCCAAAGAGAGTTACTGCTGCTCATGTTCTCTGTGTTAGCCCTCTTATCAATTAGTTGCTGTAACCTCATCAATATGGATTACAAGAGATGATTGATAGATAGACAGACGATATAGAAGACAGATAGATGATAGCTAGATATAGGGGGTCACAGAATAGCAAAAATCACAATCTCTGCTTGCAAAAAGGCAGAAGGAATCAGTTAACCCTATAAAATCCTCAACAGTCTGGACTTCTGTTCTCTTAACATCACCCTTCTACATCTATTCAAGTGCAGACATTTCTCAGTGTGGACATGGCCCCACAGTTGGCTTGGTGAGGAGATGAGCCCTTTGTCAAAGGAAAAGGACCCATCTCCCTTCAATCCAGTGCTGGACTGGCTTTTAGACTCCATTTATCCCCTTTCTCCGGTGCTTTTGTGCTCAACCTGCACAACTTTATGCTGGAATCCTAAAAGGCAGCAACTTACGCTCTTGTTCCAGGTGACAGCTAATCTCAATCAAACATCTCCTCTCTTTTATTTTCCTCATTAGGAAAAAAAAAAAGAAGGGAGGTTGAATCTGAAATTCTTTGCAGTGCCAGAAAGCTGCGGTTCTTCAAATGTGTACTGAGCACTTGTTATGTGTAAGGCATTCTGCAAGATTCACTGGTGGAGACAGCTGGCATCAATAAAAAAAGATGGTGCCTCCAAGTTCCAGTTTGACTGTCATTTTCAACACTTCCTGGGTCCTTTTATTTTTTATTTTTAAGAGGTCACATTCTTTCTGTGCAGCCAAATACAACTGTCCAGCTGAATCACCATGAATATTCTTCCTGCAGTCTGTAGTCACCACCAGCAACCACTTAAACTTCCAGATTCAATTTTCCAATCTACAAAATGCTACCTGTCATGGTGGGGCATATGCCAACTTACTAGGGGCTATTGGCCAACATAGGGCATTAGGCTGGCTCAAGGAAGTGTGTGGGCACACACAGCAGCAGTCTTCCCTTCTCCTCCATGCAAAGGATTTTCAAGGGGGTCTAAGCTATTGATATTAAGATTCCGAGCAGCCGTAGGCTGCAGAGCTCCATGCCCAATCTGGACCCCAAGTCACTAAAACTGCATCAACTCAAGGTTGCACTGAGGTCACCGTCCGGATCCATGTTTTTATTCCAGAAGGATGATGGAAAGTTTGTTCAACGAACTATGACAGGACTCTGGCTGGTAAATTACAGAATGATTAATCAGAACTAAATGCACAGCAGGGAGCAATAGACTCTAAATTGGGAAAACTTCTCCTGTAGCTTCAAGTTTGTAAGTGAGACATCCAGATTTTTAAAAATGGTTTTGAGTGGAATTTTTTCTTTTTGGTTTGAGTGGTTCTTACAGAAATCTAGTCATTCTCATTAATGGTCATTTTTGTTTTTAAACAAATCAGGCCAGCTCAACCTCATTTGAGCCTCCAGTGCATCCATCAGGGTCAGCTGATGCCCGTAGGATCTGAAGTTAGTGATCATTTTTAGGTCCTCACTCTTTCAGAGAGCAGGTCCTGTGCCACACAAGAGGAGGCATGAGGGTCACAGGCATGGGAACATATTATGAGCCTATGAAGCCCCCTGACCCCCCTGCCAACCCCACTGCAGCAAAGCCCTTCGCTCGCCCTCCCCACTCCCTTGGTCCTTGCTCATACACCTATTTTGGTGACACCCATGCTGGCTGCCTTGCACCTGCGGAGGGCCCGGCTCACCTCCAGCGTATGCATTCCTTCTCTTCGTTGTCTATTTTAGCTTCCTATTTCCAGGATATAGCGGAGCATTTGACTCCTCACAAACATTCAGAATCATTACTCAATGAATGGATGGATGAATGAGCAATGTTGAAGGAAAAAAGGTGGGGGGCATTGGGTTAAGAGACAAAAGATATTCAAACTAGTCCTAATTGTGACAGTAAAAAATTACTAGCATTTGAATAGCAGCTTGCAGAGTGATTTTCCGTATGTTACTTCAGTAATCCTCCTAGGAACTTGTGTGCTTGGTTTTATTATTATTTTTGCCTAAGGAGTGAACTGGAGTTTAGAGAAGTCAAGTTGTGGGGGCTGAACCTAGGCCTGTTGTGCATGTTTGTGCCTCTCCGTGGTTCCTTTCCTCACCCGGCAAATGGGTGTATATCTGACCTCCCTACCACCTGGGATTCTTGTGGACATGGAGCAACTGCTTGGGATGTTGAGAGAAAAGAAATCAGAGAAGGCAAAGGACTAACCTACCCTTCTCCTGCGGCTGGTCAGGAGTGATGGGAAAAAGGATGTCGATATCTCTACCCTCCATGAATGGTGGGACTGGGACTATGTCCTGCAGCAAACTGACCCTATTGCTGCAGTGGCATAAGGGAGCCCCCGGTGTCATGAAGCCTCAGGGTGGTCGCTTCCACAATATAGTACCCCTCTCCCTGCCCAAATCCCCCACTCACCCGAGAACATAGGACTCGAGGGTCTGCTTTGTCCTCACTGTGTAATCTGCTTGGCTTCATGTTCTAGCCCGCTCTGGCTCTCTTGAGGGCTCAGGGCCCAACGTGCTTGGCTGGAGCTCTAAAGCCCTGCTAGCTTTGCCAGAGCCATTCCCTGGCCAGAGACCCTGCCTGGTTTCTCTCCTCCCTTAGGCAGTGGCTGGAGTACTCAGTGAATCAGAACAATACCAGGACTCTTCCCACCCGAGATCATCACCCACCACTTAGAACCCCACCTGTGGTCCAGCCTGGCAGATACCCAGCACCATGGCCACAAGCAGATGATCATGTGGGCTTGGCCAAAGGGGAGCAGGGGTTATCAAGAAGGCACTGGTACTGGGTAGAGTGGTTGAAATCAATGGGAATGTAAAGGGCAACCAAAGCTTCCCCAGGGCTCAGGTATTCAGAAAACCATTCCAAGTTTCTCTATCTGGAATGGTTTCACTCTCTCCCTGCAGCAGAAGCTTCCATGGGACAGAAAGTATCTCCCACCTGAGGGAATGTATACAGGCAGGTAAAACGCTCTTCCCACTGCTCTCAGCATGGCCCCATCTTCACCTTTAGGTCTCCAGAAGGGAAAACAAAACAGCTCCGGTTTGTAGCATCCGCCAATGTCCGTGGTGTAAATACTTCCACCATAGCCAATTTCAAGCTAACGACACAGATGATGTCATTCAAGGCAGAGTTGAGAAGAGATGAGCGCACGCAATTGGCTCTTGGCAGGCAGTGTGTGACAGCCAGCATGCCCCTGCAACCACCCAATTGGAAAAAACACATCCCCATTTTCTCAATTATTCCATGCTGTTTTTTTCTAAGCACGTTCACAGTTTGTGATGATGTTGTGATTTTGTTTGTTCGCTTGCCTTCATGTCTGTCTTCCCCCGAGACTGTAAGCTTTATGAGAGCAAAGATGTTGTCTGTGCTAGTCACACCACGAACTCCCCTATGCCCGACACAGGACCTAGTACGTGGCTCAATAATACTCGAAAGGATGAATACATGAAACTCACTTTGAAGATTATTAATGGGTTGTTTCTCGAGCTGTTAGGGAAGGAAGTAGCAGTTGCCAGCAGTCACTACTACAGGCTCATTAAAAATAATTACATATGATTGGTCTCATTTCTTTTTTTGATATGGTTATTAGTCAAGTTAATAAACGGAATAATCATAACAACCGCTAATGTTTATTGGTTGCTTAGTGCCCACCGGATGCTGTTGTGTTTTATACAGTGGTGTGCTGGAGATACTTAACAACCGGCTCTCCAGGAGATAGAAGCCCTGGTTTGTCGCCTTTGCTGAATTCTGTGGTATAGATACTTCCACCATGGCCAATGATGGCATCCATTCTGCAAATTTACTGAAACTTTCACAGTCAGCTCTCAGGATCCTGTAAGGTGCTGACTCCAGAGTGCCACAGTTATACAAACAGCAACTATGCGATCCCCACAATGGCCCTGGAATGTATGACCACTAATTCCTGTCTCATAGATGAGGAAACTAAGGCACATAAACTAAGTCATCCAAGAGCACAGCCTAATTCTGGCAGAGCTGGGTGTGAGCCAGAAAGTCTGATTCCAGAGCCCATGCTTGCAGTATATCATGTGGGACTTCAACAAGGACGTTTACAAGGCCCCACCGCCATGGCATCCTAAGGGAGAAGATGACAAAGTACTGTGTGGATTCATGACTTGGCTGCATGACCCTATTCCAAGGAGCTGGTTAAGAGCCTAATGTAGAGCAGCCTGTAGGAGCTTCCACCCTCACCGTAGGACACCCATCACAAACCGGGAGCAGTGACCCCAGGAGAGTGATCATCTGCAGGGCGTCTTAGTCATTTGTGATAGAAGACCAACTCTAACAACTTGGTGTTGAATATGAATAAAAACATGTGACTCTTGGTTTGGATTGATTCAAAACATCCACCAACCAGATATAGGTTAGGAGGTATCGCTTGGCAGCAGTATGTGAATAGACAACAGATTGTATTTGGTCTCCAGCTAGGAACAGTGTGACATGGTGTTTTCCACAACCGCTGGCAGGCAGAAACTGGAGGTGCATTGCCACAAGTGCAGCATCTGGGCCCCTCCCATTGACTGGCTGTGTTTAATTCTTAGCACGACCCTCTGTTGGTGAAAGAGCTGCTAAAACATGGCCAGAGGAGAATGTTCCAACCACTGCCCTCCTAAGCAAAAGAGGAAGGAACTGGGGATGTGTAGCACTTGTGGAATCCCCACCAGGAGAATCATCCCAGGACTGGGTGGTTGCAAAGCACAGAGGATTACTGTCAGAGCACTTATATAAGGCTGGGAGTGTGTGGCCAAGAATCATCAAGGTGCAGAACCTTACACCTGAAATGACCTGTAGCTGACATTTGAGCACCTACTGTATGTGAGGCCCTATATCAGGCACTTGACCTCCACAGTCTCTGAGCCCCTAATAACCTTACGAGCTGTGCACTGGCCTATCTCCTCTAAAGGGGGCAAATAGAGGCTCAGAAGGGGGAAGAGATTTGACAAAGTCCTCCCTACCATTAAGTTGCAGAGGCCCAGCTGTCCCTTGCCACTACCTCATGTCATGCTACCTTAAAGTTTCTTGTAGCTATGACATTTATGCTTTAGGTCATGCAAAAGTAGGAGAAGGACAAGGAGGGGCATGCTTTTTTCCTTGAGTTTTCTGGGAAGTAAACGGGTTATACATTTTTTGTTTCTAGAGTTAAACCAATGCAATCAACCTCTGAGCTCCTATGTCAACCTTCACAAATGAATCTACCTTTTTAAGCATCTCGGCAGCCCACTGGTTTCCTCATCAGATGGGGAGGAAATAATAGTTGTTAGTGCTTAAGTCAAAGAGGAGTCACTGAAGCGCGCGTGTGGGCCACACATGTGGAAGAAGCCATGTGAAGGCTGCGTGCCTGCCGCAGGTGGCTTCCTGTGGGTGTGTGTCTACATGTGAATAACTCCATCACGGGAGCTGTACGGAGGTGGAGAGGGAGAGAGGCTGATTGCTTCTGGGAAGCAGGTATTCTATGCCCCGTGTTGTTATTTATGTCTCTACACCTACGCTCCTGAGACCCACATGGCTGGCTGTTGCAGCATTTCAAAAGCATTTCCATGGAAGCATCCGTGCAGCCAAGCTGTCCTCCTCTGAGTACACACACCAAGGCTAAGTGAGTGAGCAGGTGCAGCAGCCAGGGCCCTGCGTGGCCTCGCTGGCTCTACCCACCTGTTGCAAACCCTGGGAGGAAAAAGTAAAGACCACTCAGCTTTATGGAGGTCCCTGGACCTGGAGGTCCCTCCTCCCTGGAACAGGTGTGTGAAGGGAGGAATGGGCACGAGGGCAGCTATTCCCTTGGGGACAAAGGTTTGCACTCTTCAAGCCTTTGCCTCGGTAGCATAGAATCAAGTCTGAGCCATCAAAACCCAGAGCATAAACGATTCCATGCTAAAGCCATGAGGTGGGGCTGAGCAAACCCAGGAAATGGTAGGGGTGCGGATGCCACAACGGGTCAGCATGGACCACAGCAGCCCGGCTCAAGCAGAGGAGGGTGCCCATGTGGGACGCTGCCCAGCAAGGGTGTCAGATCCCAGCATGGGGTGACAGACATCTGCCTGGGGCAGGAGGTGGTGACAATGGGAGATTGGTTACATTCAGGGGTATGTAAACATATTATAAGTGAGTAGTAAGCAAACATATTACCAATAATAAGAGTCTGGTTTTTCTGGTAGAGAAAGGAGGTAGAAATATGGAAAGGGAGGAAATGAGAGGAAACTCCATGGTATTGGTTAACACTGAAGTATCATGTGAGCTCCTACTTGACAATACATATAAATAGATACAGTAATAAAGTTTGTGTAAATGTGTCCACTCACTCAGAGACACACAATCCCCAGCTCTCCCCAGTGAAACAGCCTGGGAGCATCAACGTTCTAAAATCAACGAGCATCTAGCCCCGACCTTAGTTTCTAAATGCTGTGGTCCACTAATTGGAATCAGGGAGAAATGACTGATTCCAGAACAGAGGCATGGAGGCACAAGACAAGCCTGGAATGTCTTGTGCTGGAAAGTAAGAAGGCTCGGGAAAAGGGAAAACGGCATTTCAAAGGGATACAGAAGCCAGCTGGAATGGCATCAGTGACCAAATCAGGGACAATTTGAGTATCGAAGCAAGTAGTGATAACAGCTGTAACCTATTACATAAAATAGGAATCTATAGTGAAATGAATGGACAGATCAGTAGATGGATGAACGCTGGCTGTCTGGCTGGCTGGCTGGCTGGATGGATGGACAGATAGACAGCTAGATTAGATAGATTAGATAGACAGGATAGATAGACAGATAGATAGATAGATAGATAGATAGATAGGTAGATAGATAGACAGATAAATGTTAGTTTGGTGAATAATGAAATATTTACATGCTCTCAAAGTACCTCCCCCAGAAAATCTTACTAATTACAAAGGGAAAAGAGCAGCTTTCCCATGGCGAAGGCTGGCAGCAGACACTGCCTTCCCCAAGTGGCCTAAGTGATGCTGTCAGTAATGAGACAAGCCGAAATTGTACGCAATGAGAACACAGCATCCTGTCTGTGAGATTTCTACCCAAGATGCAGAACCTGAATCCAATCACGAGGAACCAGCGCACAATCCCAAACTGGGGGACATCCTACAAAACACTGGCCTGTGCTCTTCCAATGTGTCAAGACCATGAAAGTCAAGGAAAGTCTGAGCAGGCCAGCTTGAAGGGAACCAGTCATGACAACTAAATGCAACGTGTCATTCTGAACGAAATCCTTTTGCTACAAATGATGTTACTCAGACAATTGACAAAACATGAAAAGGATCTGGGCATTAGGTAATGATGACGTTTTAATTTCCTGACTTTGATGGTTGCATGTGGCTTGTAGAAAATGTCCTCGTTGGTTTGAAATGCACACTAATGTATTCAGGGATGACGGAGCATTGCATCAACCACTTACTCTCAAAGGATTCCATAAAAACCCGGCTGTGTGCGCACCTTTTCTGTATATTGAGTATTTCAAAGGTTAAAATAAAGAAGGGAAAGGGGAGGAGAAGGAAGGGGAGGAAGGGGAGGAAGGGGAGAGCCCTATGGTGTGAGACAGAGCAGGATGATGAGGGGGCTGTGTGGTTCCTTTCCTGGCAAGCAGGACAGAGATGCCTCAGGGGAAGTTAGCCACCTCCCCTGCCGGCCCACCCCACACTCTGCTATGAATGGCTGCAGGGCAGTAGCCCCTGCAAGCCTAGGGAGGAGGGAGACCAGGGAGGCTGTGTTTCCAGAGCCCCAGACATTTACTGGGGGTGGGCTGGCACTGAGAGGGAGACGAAGAGTCAGGGGCTGGGTCAGAGGTCAGGAATTACGGCACAGGTGAAACCTGTGCAGAGGGAGGGGAATGGTCTAGGTGCTGTTTGGAAGCCTCTCAGGGCTCAGGGATGAGACTCAGGACCACTGAGAGGACATCTGATCCTGCTGTGCCCACACACTGCCTCCCCTCCCAACAGGCTTTCAGGCTCAGCAGCACTCCTGGTGCTTCTGCATCCACACAAACACACCTTAGCAAAGGGCTCAGTCACCCACCTCTCCTAGCCTCAGTTTCCACACCTGTTAATGGGGAAAACCATCTGCCCTATTTCACAGGTTGGGGAGAAGGAGGCCAGGCTGTGTCACCCTCCCAGAGAAAGAATCGACCAGTTTTCTTTATCTGTCTTTAGTAAGCAGATAGGGAGCCCGGGTCAAGCACTTCTCTGAGGAGGGCACAGAAGAGACCCAGCTCCGCTGGGTGAGCCAAGAAAGGCTGGACACCAAGCCAGAGGCCAAGGGGTCTGAGCAGCATCCCCCTACTTGGGCCTCAGGATCGCAGCTCCACTTGTGGCCACTAGACATGCTGCCCGCCCCTCGCCCCAGCCTTTGTCACAACCACCACCATCCTTCTCCGCTTCCTTCCTGGCCCAGCTTAGATCCCACGGCCCATCACTGTCATCAACTTCCAGCTCCCCCTCCCTCTGCTGCATGCTCCCAGCAAAGCCCTGATCCCGGCAACCTTCTACTCCAATCGCACTCGAGCTCCTGAGAGTGGTAAGAGAAAGATCACACAACAGCAAGGATGGGACTCACTGAGCCTCTATGGTCACACATCTCTACAGGCATCAGACACATCGCAGCAATCCTCACTCCCCCAGCCTATCTGCTGCCCTCCCTCCTTCCCTCTCATTCCAGGACTCACCTCCCTTCACCTTCTCTCTTTTTGGCATGCAACTGTCTCATTCTTCACTAAGCAAATGAAAGCAGCAAAACAAGGGCTTCCCACCACTGGCACCTCCATCTGGACCCACACTCCCCACTTTCCCCCACTTCTATGGCTGAACTGTCCCTGCCCCAAGGCAAAGGCCGCCTCTCCACCTGTGCAAGGCAAAGACCACCCCACCACCTGTGCAAGGCAAAGACCACCCCTCCACCTGTGCAAGGCAAAGACCACCCCTCCACTGGGCAGGGCAAAAGCCACCCCTGACACACACACCTTACCTTCTCAAGGTCTTTGCTGCTGAATTTACTTTTTCCTGCACCTGCAATCTTTCTCTGTCCCTCTACTACACCAGTGAATCACATACACGTTTTCATATCTCCTATTTTTTTTTTAAAAAAACTTCTTCCCTTAATGCCACCTTCCTTTACAGCTACTGTTCCATTTTTCTATTCCATCATTTCTGGTCCTTGCCTCACAGTCTTTCCTGAACCTATTCTAACTGGATTTCTCTCCCAGCCCCACATTGAGCCTGTGCTTGTTAAGAGCGCTGGTAACCTCCATGTGGCCAAAGTCAATGGTGGTCACTTCTCTGTTCTTACCGGACCAGATCCCTCCACATTCCCTACAGTTGAGCAAGCCCCCCTCCCTGGGCTTCATGGTCCTCCTCTCTCCTGAATGCCCTTCAACCGACTGCATCTTCTCTACCTCTTTGCTGCCCTTCTCCCCTGCTTGACCTCCGAATGTTGCAGTGTAGTGCCCTAGAGCCCCATCTTTGGCCCATTTCTTTCTTCTAGCTACACACCATCCCTAAGTGACCTCATCCTCTGGCTTTAAATACCACCTATAGGTTGATGACTCCCAAGTGGAAGTCTCCTGGTCTGGCTCTTCCTGAAATTCTGGACGCACGTATCCAAGTCTGACTCAGCGCACCTACCTGGATGTCTGATGGGCATCTCAAACCTAACACATGCAAAAAGGAGCTCTTGATTTCCTTCTCACTCCTGCCACCCCCATGAGTACTTCACCTCCAGCCAACCACCATCCACCCAGTTGCCCAAGTCAAAAAGAATCCTTGCTTCTCTCTTTTTTCTCATCCCCACACTCAATGCATCCTCAGGTCCCATCCACCCAGTTTCCCAAGTCAAAAAGAATCCTTGCTTCTCTCTTTTTTCTCATCCCCACACTCAATGCATCCTCAGGTCCCATCCACCCAGTTGCCCAAGTCAAAAAGAATCCTTGCTTCTCTCTTTTTTCTCATCCCCACACTCAATGCACCCTCAGGTCCTGTGCCTCCATCTCCAAGCATGTCCCACAGGGATTACTTCTCTCCAGCTCCACTGCTGCCTCAGTTCCTGCTGCAGCCCCTCTCACTGGAGCACTGCAATAGCTTCTTCCCGTGTGTCTGCTCACACCCTTCTTGCTTGCGACTTATTCCAACCCATCCTCCATAGAGAAGCCACCTCCCTTGCTTGAAATCCTCCAACAGACTGCAGCACCTGGAGAATAAAATCTAACCTTGTTTTCCTGGTTACAAATCCTGTGTGATCTGGTCCCCTCCTCCCTCTCTGATCCCTGTGCTTTCCATGCCCTGGCCACACGGCATGATCTTCTTTGTGTTTCTGGGCATGCCAAGCTCAGTCCATCCCAGAGGCCTTTGTACTGGCTGTAACTTCTGTCTGAGATGCTCTTCCCCTCACCTTTGTCAGCCTGGCTCCTTTCTGTCATTCAAATTTGAGCTTCACTGTGACCTGCTCAGAGAGCAGCTAACCTAACGCAGCCATGGGGTCTCTCTCCGTCCTGTCAGCTGACTTTGTGATCTGCAAAGCACTTATCACCACCTGATATTTTTCTTTGAGTGTCTGCTTCTTTATTTATTATCTGTAACCCCTACCCCTAAATGGAATGTGGATTCCATGAGGTCAGGGACTTTACCTGTCTTGTTCCCTGCTCTGTCCCCAGAGCCTGGCTCATGGTGGTTTGCAGAGAAGTTTGTTGAGTCAGTAATGCTCCTGCCCTTGCAAAGAGTCTGCAGCAAGTAGGTCAAGCACCAGAGAGGACAGGTGGCAGGGCTGAAGCCACATGGACACAGGTTTGTAGTGTTGTGTGCAGGCAGGTACCACCTGGGCCTGGGGACTCAGGTCAGACCCAGAGGGGTGACAGGGCAGCAGGCACCCTCTAGGAGGGCAGAGGAATTCTGGCAGGTCAGCAGGGAGCATGGCAAGGGCTGCATCCATAGAGCAAAGGGTCGCACAGCACAGAGAGGGGAGGCTGAGCTGACTCCTCGGTGCCTCGGACTTGACAAAGCCCACCTGCCAGAACTCCCTGCCCAGGCTCCCTCAGGAGGGACACTGAAATCAGATTCCTTCCCAACCTGGCCTCTTTTTCCCCCTGCCCCAGACCCCTCAAGGGAACGTCCTTCCCTCCCAGCTCCAGCCTTCCCACCTTTTGGAACTCTGCAGTGAGCTCTGCCTTTTGGAGCTGACCCTTTGCAGCCCTCTGCTGCAGGCGGCCTCTGTCTCACTGTGGCTCACCTCCCTGTCTGTATTGCAACTTCCTGTCTACCAGTTCCTCTCTCGGCCTCACTGCAGCCCCGGCGCAGTAGGACAGGATGCCTACAGGGGGCTAGTGCCCTGTCTGCCTTTCTGATGTTCTCCCCAGCACTGAGCACAGGGCTCGGGACTGCATCTAATCCTGCTGTCAGATGCAAGCTCCAAGGACGTCTCCTGATCAGGGACCCTTGCGGGTCTGTTTCCAAGATGGGCTCCAGAGAGGAGGGACTGGGAAATGTCGCTGTCCATGGGAAAGGTGAGAGGGGAGGAAGGGAAGGGACGCCCCTCTCTATAATCAGACTCCAGCTGAAGAAGGGCCCACTCCCAAAAGCAGCCTCATTCCCAAAACAGCCCAGCAGTGACAGGGCTCGTGGGCAGTGGAGGACCACAGCCTGGGGTCTGCCATGATGCCCCTGGGCAGGTGGTGGGGAAACATTGGGTCGGGGCTCATGGAGAGGGAGGGAAGAGGAGGAAGAGGAGGAGGAGGAGGAATGTGGCCATTTTGCAGAAGGCAATAGGTTGCCCACAGCTGGGGACAAGCAAAGGGTCTGGCAACTCGGGATTTAGCTACAAGCAGGGCTTGCCAAAAGCGGAGAGGGGGTGGCTGTGATCCTCAGCTGGCCTGGTGTCGGGGGGAACATCAGTACCCATGGCCGCAGTCTTGCTGGCGGGGGCCTCAGCTGGGTGCACCACCTCCCCAAGTCCAAGTGCTCTGCGCTCCTCCCGCTATGCCATCCCAACAAGAAAGTGTGAGCTTCCCGTCCCCTCCATCCAGGAGAAAACACTCAGAGGTATGTCTTACTGTTGTCCAAGTGGTTGGCCTTAATGATCTTCTCTGAGTAGTCAGAAATACTGGAGCATTCGATCTGGAAAGGGCATAGGACAAAGGAGCAAGGCGTCAAAAAAAATCACAGCAAGACCCACACCGATTCAATGGATAGAGACGCTGAGGCCCAGACAGGGGTGGTGACTTGCCCACGGCTGCATCACAACTTTGTGGCAGACTGAAAACCGAAACCCAGCCCCCCCACCTCAAGGCCAGCGGCCTTCCACGAAATTGGGCTGCCTTTGCGAAAAGACTGATGTCTAGTCACCACCCGTGATGGAGGGATTGATCTCTGTGCTGGAGACTCAAAAGGGGCTGGCAGACCTCATGCTCCTGGCCAGCAGAGAATGGCAGGAGGCAGTACGTCCTCCCCACCGTGGGGGACGCGGGAAGGCAGATCCAAGCCAGAGTTGCGAGCCTCCCTCGACATGATCCTCCCCACCGCAGCCCAGCCCTTCCAGGGTAAACGAGCCGCGTGCCAGGATGGGACCATCTGGAAAAAGCCAGGTCAAGACCTCAGGGCTGGTTTAAGATCTTTCTCTTCCCCTCCCACCCCCCACGTTAGCTCTCGCCGCTTCATCTTTGAAAGAAATTATTCCTTTTAATTCAGACGTCTTTCCAGGCTCTCCAGACCTCCTAAGCAAAGGGCCAAGGTATTTGAGAGATGAGTGGACCTTCCCTGAGAGCAGGCCCTCATGGGAATGGTTGGAAGCCAAGCTCCAGCCCAGGGTTAGCGTCTCAGGCACACTGCCAGGGGTTCTGGACATGGAGGGGCAGCTGCCAAGAGCCGTCCTCACCTCCGGAGCCGGCTCTCTTACAGAGGCTGGCCTGTGCTAAGGCCCTGGGCTCTACTCACCTCCACACTTGGGGGCCCCTCAGACTACCCCCAGGCCTCGGGCAGGGACCATTCCCTTGAGAAGTACTCGCAAAGGGGCACTGAGGGAGTTTCTGACGCCTCTGGCCACGCCTTGAGGAAGGGTGAGGGCACCTACGGGGTCAGAAGGGGTCACTTGGTTAGAGCTGCATCCAAGGAGGCCGACTCCAGCCAGGGTGCAGGTCCCAGGAGAACCAGCCCTTTCCTGGGCTGCCAGGTCCCTGGCCTTCAGGCTGCACTGTCTGTGGGGTGTGATTCCCTCCTCTTCTTCTCCCCCTCTGGCCATGTCATCATCTGATCTGCAAGAGGCGACCATGTTGAGTGATGAGGAGCATGCGACCCGGAGCCAGGCCTGGATTTATGCCTGGCCACTGCCCTTCCTAACTGCGCCTCAGTGTCCTCCCGAGAGAAGTCGAAGCCCCCAATGCACGTGAGTGTGTGAGGGTAAACTCAGCCGAAGCTTGCTCAACACTCAGAGTGCGGGGCGGTGTCCTTCCCTCCTCATTTTCCTTTCTTCCATCTTCTCCTCTTCCATTTCTTCCCTCTTCTCTCTTTACCACCTGTCTTCACTTTTCTGATTCTTATTTTTTGAGACAAAATCTCACTTTGTCGCCCAGGCTGGAGTGCAATGGCGCGATCTGGACTCACTGCAACCTCCGCCTCCCGGGTTCAAGCGATTCTCCAGCCTCAGTCTCCAAGTAGCTGGAATTACAGGCACCCGCCACCATGCCCGGCTAATTTTTGTATTTTTAGTAGAGACAGGGTTTCGCCATGTTGGCCAGGCTGGTCTTGAACTCCTGACCTCAGGTGATCCACCAGCCTCTGCCGATTCTTTTCTTTTGTGCTTTCTACTTTGTCTTCTTTCTGCTTTTCCAGGCCCCTCTCCCATTTCTCTAGCTTTTCTCTGCACCTTTCTCTGTCTCTGTCTCCTCTCCATTGCTCTTGTCACATCTGTCTCTTTCTCTGTGCCTGTCTCCACTCTGGGACGATGGTCTTCCTCCCTCCCTCTCTCTCTGTCTCTCTCTCCCGCCATCTCGTCTCCCCACTGGAGGACAGCAGTGGGTGGAAGGGGGTCTGGAACAGGAGAAACTGTGAAATGAGCCATCCGGAAAGGAGCCCAGCTAAATGTGGTGGAGCCATTTATAAAAGAGCTGTTAGAGAAAAGGGCGGGAGGCAGACAGATCGCGCCAAGTCACCGCAGCTGGAAGGCGCCAAGTGGGAGCCTCCTCCTGACAGCTCCTTGGCTGGAGCCCCCGGATGACTCAGGCGCCAGGGACACCATGCTCAGCCCTGTCCCCCACCAAGGCCGGCACTGAGACGGGGCCTCGGTGCTGGGAAAGAAAGCACGTGGGGGTCACCAGAGGACTCAAGTCCAGCTCTGATGCCCTGTGACCTCACTAAGACCCTTGCCTGAGGTCTCCATCCTGGAGAACCAGCAGTTATACCAGTGATGATGACATGACCTGCCCTTGGGCCTCCGGATGGGCCCCTGCCCTCAGCAAGTGCCTCGGCTGAGAACGTCACAGCTTTTCCTGGTCAAAGCTGCACCTGAGGCAGCTTGAGGGCAGCCCAAGCTTCCAGAAGACCCTCGGCAGCCATGGCCCAAGGGTTTTCCAAGTCAGGCTTGGAGGAGGAATGCTGCCCTGCTGGGTGACTTAGGAGCAGACCTCTGGAGGCAGCAGGTGGCCAGGAGGATCTAGGGGGATCTAGTCAACCTGGGAGTCAGTGGGCGGGGGGGGGTCCCCAGGGCTGGCTATGGGATGGCCCAACCAAATGCATGGGAGCAAAGACCCACTGAATGCTGCTCAGGTCGCTGAGGCCTCTGCAAATGGGCCGGCTCACATGCAGACTGGGAATCTCATTGTGGTTTGCCTTTCATTTTGACCAAGATGAATGCTTGTGCTCCAGCCCTGGGCCCACTGCATTTTTCAAATATCAGCCAGCATCTCGCAGCTCTTCTTTTTAGTTTCTTTCCAGCTCTGGACCTTCCCAGGCCCTCTGTCATCAGGCTGGGCAAAGCTGCCTTGGGAGAGCCAGGGGATAGGTAGGAGGCTTCCCAGAGGGTCAGCCTCCACATCTAGCCTGGAAACGCTGCCACAGCCAAAGCAACAGAATTTAAGTTGACCGACTTGCCCTCTAAAGAAAACAAGAAGGAGATGTTCCCATTATCTCTAGGGCCCCATCTCAACTATAATAATAGACGCCGAGCATTTGCCATATGCTGGGCACTGTTTTAAGCACTTTACATATGTATTATACTCATTTAATCCTCACAATCACCCTATGGGCAAGGGACTGCTATTAAGCTCATTTTATAGATGGAGAAAAAGTGAGGTGCAGGGAAGTGAATAGTCCAAGGTCACATGCCTAGTGAATGGAAATGCAGAGATTCAAACCAGAGCTCCCCCGAGTAACCACCTGCACTGCCTCTGAAGCTGACCTTGGGGCTAAGCACTGAAAGGTCATGATGACATTGGAATGGTCTCAGGAAAGCCACAGTTCCTCCGCAAATGTCAGTGGTTGTAAGGATCCAGGAGCCATGCACAGGGGACAGGCAGCCTGCTCCCCTTCCTGAGAGTCACACCTGATTTCTTCTACTCCTCGAAGGTGTGACCCCAGCAAAAGAGATGGACCAAATTTTGTACTTCTAGAAGGGCGGGTGGAGGCAGAGGGCAAGAGGCTGGCTCTGTGGAAGCCAGCATGCAGGAGGAAGCGGCGTGCTCACCCCAAACACCTTCTTGGCCCCTGCCTTGGCAGCGAACATGGAAAGGATCCCAGTACCACTCCCCACATCCAGTACCACTTTGTCCTTGAACACGTGCTTGTTGTGGTACATGGAGTTCCGGTAAGTGAGAGTCCGCACCTCATCCTTCAGCATTTCCTGTGATGGAGGGAAAAGAAAGGAAATGTCAGTGAATTCAAGACACCTGGGTGTACACCATGGCTATGAGCCCCTGGACCACCCCAGGTGACCCTTCAGGAGACCCGATAATATCATCAGGCAGAGCCACAGAGGACAAAACTGGGGTAGCTGGGCCATGTGCTAACAGCATCATTCCAAACTTCCCCTGCCTTAAAACTCTACTCAGAAAGATAGCTATTCACCATCAGAAGAGAAACTCATGTTCAGACCTGGGAAAGCTCTGATTTACTAAAGGACCAAAGGAAAGATCAGTACAACATAGCATAAGAGATTTAAGTTAAACACGAAGCAGAACTTTCTGTCATGGTGAGAGAATTGTCATTGAACACGTCATTCAAAGAGGTTTTTGTGAGTGTATATTTTGTTTTGTTTGCCTTTTTTTTAAAAAAAAAAAAAGACTAGAAAATGTGTTTCTCTGTCCAGCATATTGGCTTTGCAGTGAGAGAGAAACAAGATTACTTGTTACAGTGGACTCTGACCCAAGGAGAACATGTTAATTCTGTGTATGGTAGTGAGGTAGGGATCTTTGGCCATTCAAGGTATTAGCAAACGCTTTTACCTAATTCATCATCAAAAGTATTGGGGTGAATTTTTTTTTAGAAATCAACACTATTAAGGTATAATTTGCATGCAACAAAAAGCCCAGGTTTTAAGCTTCTGGTTCAGTAAAAGGGCTTTGACAAATGTATACCTGTGTAAGCACCACCATAACCAAAATCTAGAACATTTCTATCACCCCAGAAAGTCCTTCATGCCCTTTTGTAGTCAATCTTCAGCCTCTCCCAAGATGACAAATGATCTGATTTCTATCACCAAAGCTTCCTTCTGCCTATTTTAGAACTTTATATAAATTGTGCAACATAAAGTTTTTGAGATTCATGTATGTTATTACACAGATCCGAGGTTTGTTCTTTTGTTGTTGTTGTTGTATGGTATTCCCTTCTATGACTATACCACAATGTATTTATCCATTCACTTGTTTGTGGGATATTAGGATTCTTTCCAGTTTTTTGCTATTTATTCATAATAGCAAAGGATATGTTTTCATTTCCCTTGGGTAGATACCTAGAAGTAAGTTTCCTGGGTCTTAGGGTAGGTACATGTTCAACTTCATAAGAAATTGCCAAAGAGTTTTCCAGACTAGTTGTACCATTTTACACTCCAACCAGCAATGTGAGAGTTCAAGGTGCTTCACAGCCAGACACCTTAGCATTACTGATCTTTTAATTTAGCCATCCTAGTGGATGTAAACTGATTTGATGCCTCATTGCAGTTTTAATTGTATTTCCCTGATGGTTACTGAAGTAGATCTTTTTTTTCATGTGCTTATTGGCTATTCACATGTATCATCTTTTGTGAAGTGCCTATTCAAGTCCTCTGTTCATTTTTGTCTTGAACTGTTTGTCTTGTTCTTACTGAATTGCAGTTTATACATTCTGGAAGCTAGTCCTTCATCAGATATACTGCATATATATTGTGAATGTCTTCTCCCAATCTGTGATTTGCCTTTTCATTTTCTTTTTTCTTTTTTTAAAGCAGTTTTTAATTTTGATAAAGACCAGTTTTTCCATTTTTTTCACTTATGATAGGTGCTTTTTGTGCCCTGTCTGATCTTTGTCTGCCCCAAGTCACAAAGACACTCTCCTTTGTTTTTTACCAGAGTCTTTATGGCTGTGGCTTTTACATGTCAAATTAATTTTTGTGTATAGTGTAAGTTAGGGGTGTGAGCTCATTTTTTCTTGCAAATAAATGGTCCAAGAAACATTTCCTCCATTAATCACCTTGTCACCTTTACCAAAAATCAATTGACTCTACATGTGTGGCCTCTCTGATCTATTCCACTGATAAACAAAGTCAACACTGACTTGACTGCTGCACCTTTATATTAACTTTGAAATAACGTAGTGAGAGTCTGCCAACGTACTTCTTTAACAAGATTATTTTGATTTTTCTAGGCCCTTTGCATTTCTATATAAATTTTAGAATCAACTTATTAATTCATACAGAATAGGCTCCTGGCATCTATCAGACTTGTATTAAATCTATAGATCAATTTGGGGAGAACTGACATTTTAGCAATTTTGAGTTTTATAATCCAAGAACACTTTGCAGCTCTCCATTTATGTAGATCTTTCATTTATCTCTGGAATGTTGTATAGATTTTTATATAAAGGTCTTACATTTCCATTCAACTATTTTATTTAGTTTTTCAAAAAAATTTATCTTTTTATTTATTTTGAGGCTGGGTTATGAGACTGGCTAATTTTTGTATTTTGGGGGTAGAGATGGTGTTCTACCATGTTGCCCAGGATGGTCTTGAATGCCGGGGCTCAAGTAATCTGCCCACCTTGGCCTCCCAAGGTGCTGCGGTTACAGATGTGAGCCACCATGCCTGGCCCCATTCAACTATTTTATTTTGTGATACTGTATATGGTGTTTAAAATTTTTCATTTTGCAATGGGTTGGTGTATACATGACCTTGTATTTTGCAGCCTTTCTCTCTTCACATATTAATTCCAGTAGGGTTTTTTTTTTAGATTTCTTTATTTTTCTGTGTGAAAAATCCTGTCGCTTGTGAATAAAGACAATTTTACTTCTTTTTTCCTATCTGTATGCCTTTTATTTTTTGGTTCTTTCCTCTTGCTTTATTGCCCTGGCAAAGACTGCCAGTAAAATGTTGAATAGAATTACAGAGGACAGACATCCTTCCTTTGTTCCAATAATATATCCATTAAGTATAATTTAGGCTTTCTATAAATGTCTTTTATCAGGCTGAAGAAGTTCCCTTCCATTTTTAACTTGGTGAGAGATTTTATCATGAATTGGTATTTAATTTTGTCACATGCTTTTTCATTTATTGAGATGGTATATGACTTTTCTCCTTTATTTTGTTAATGGGGTGAACTTCACAGATTGGTTTTTAATGTTAAATGAACACTTTGTCATGATGTATTACCCTTTTAAAATATTGCTGGGTGTTTTTTGCTAATATTTTGTTGCATATTCATAATTATGAGAAACATTGATCTGTAACTTTGTCTTACCTTTTCTTCGGTAATCAAAGTTATACTGGGCTCATTACATAAGTTAGGAAGTGTTCTCTGCTCATATATTTTCTGCAAAAGTTTGTGTTAGGTATAGTTCTTCTTTAAATGTTTATTATAATTCACCAGTAAAACCATATATGCCTGGAGTTCTCTTATAGGAAGTTTCATATGAATTCAATTTCTCTAATTAGGAAAGGGTTATTTTAGCTTTCAATGCATTTTATGTCAGTTTTGACAAGGTATTTTTTCAAGGCATGTATCCATTTTATGTAAAATGTCAAATTTATCAGCACGACATTGTCATAATATTCTCCCATTGCCTGTTGAGTATCTGTGTGATCGTCAGGAGGTCCTTGCCTCCATTTATGTTATTTTAATTTGTGTTTTCTCTTTTTTTCTTGATTAATCTAACTAGATATTATCAATTTAATTAGCCTTTTCAAAAGGCAACTTTTGGCTTTGTTGGTTTTCTCCACTGCTTGGTTTCTATTTCATTGACTTCTGCTTTCATCTTAATTATTTCCTTTCTTCAACTTACTTGAGTTTTATTTGTTCTTTCTCTAGCTTCATAAGGTAGAAGTTTTGGTCATTGATTTTATGACTTTTTTTCCCCATAAGCATTTGAAGCTGTAAATTTCCCTCTAAATATTGCTTGAATTTCCGTCTCCAAATTTTAATATGTTGTATTTTCACTATCATTTAGTTTGGGATAGTCTCTCTTTCCTTCTGTGACTTCTTCTGTGACCCATGGGCTATTTAGCAGAGTGCTGCCTACTTTCCAATTATTTGGAGATTTTCTGGATAGTTTATTGTTCTCAGTTTCTAATTCAATTCATTGTGATCAAAAAACATACTCTGCATGACTTTAATCTTTGTTTTGTGACCCAGCAGAGGATCTATCTTAGTGAATGTTCCCACGTGCACTTGAAAATAACATGTCTTCTGTAGTTTGGGGATGAAATGTTCTAAAAATGTCAATTAGCTCATGTTGTTTGATTGTATTATTCAAATTTTCTACATTCTTACCGATTTTTTTTGTGCATTTGTGTGATCACTTACCAAGACAGAAGTGTTAAAAATATTTAACTATGACTGGAGATTTCCCTTTTTCTTCCTTTAGTTCTGTAGGTTTGGCTCCATGTTTTCTGGAGTTCTGGGTACCACGTTGGGAGGCTTTGTAACGTGTCACCTCAGCCAGGTGGTGCTACATTTCCCAACTTCTCTTTCTGTTATGTTTCCAGTTAGGGTGAGTCACAGAGGAGATTCAGGTGAGATACAGAAGGTGAAAAGGAGGCAAGAACCATTCTGAAGCCCAGCCATCACTTCCTGTGCTGCCCCAGGGCTGATATCTTTGATCTTATTAGAAGTTGAATAAGGTGGGGGTTTGGTTGGATTCAGTTCAATTCTGGCTTTAAATACTTTGAAGGTGAGCTGAAGCCTTTCGCTTTAGGAGATCTCGGACCAAAGACAACAAGACAGATGGTATATCTAGAACCAGGCATGGGGCATGGCGCATAGCAGGTGCTCAGTAAGCCGGAAAACCATACAGCACAGTGGTTAAGTACACAGACTCTAGAGCATTCAAATCCCAAATTCCCGCATTCAGATCATACCTCCACTGTTTGTGAGCTCTCTGACCCAGACCAGCTTTCAGCTGTCTGTGCCTCAGTTCCCTCATCTGGAAACTGGTAATAACATCACCTACTTCCTAGGGTTTGTTATGATGATTACACAAATGTAGTAAGTTTCACGAAAATGCTAGTTCTGGCTCTTAGTGATAACTACAACCCTTTCCTTCATCCATGCAAGGAAATAGCTGAGATGAGCAGGGAATGGAGGCAAAATAACGACAAAGGCTGCAGAAATGTTTCAATCATAACCACAGTTAAAAGTCTGAAGTGCCTTTAGTAGATGGAAGTGGATTGGCTGAGTACCCCCGGAGAGCCTGTTCGTCCAAACTGCACCATTTTGTAAGCTCCCAGCTATTGTGCAGACCTTGGTCAAAGTGAAGCATTTCACGGGGGTTCAGGCCATGAGAGACATCCTGCCTAACCACTTGACCGCAAGGCAAACAAAGGCCCAACTAAAGAAACATCCGTATGGTATCTTGCTGGGGACAAAAGTCCAAGGAACACCATGACGACATCCTGCCGGAACAAGGGCCAGAACCGCCTCATCACGGGAACATCTTAATATCCTGCCAGGCAGCGAGCCACACTGCCCAGACCCCTCCCGCCCATACCTATAAGTACCCCCAGCCTGTAAGTAGCAGGGGGCTCTGGCATTAGGCGGTCCCCCACTTCTGTAGGTTTTATGCTGGACATGAAGCCTGTATTTGCTGTCGAGCTGCACTCTTTCTGTGGGCGTGTCTTTCTTTAACCCTTGCCTTCCCTTCAAAACCTAACAGAGAGTATGTTTGCTAATGGGGAGACCCCCCAGTGGTCACCCTTTAGTTCATTGCCTTTGTCGCTTTTTTGGCCAAGTCTCCTTTCCTGGAGGTCCCAGGCCCCAGGAGTTAGGTTGGAAGGTACAAGTTCTGGGAGAACAGAAGTTGTGACTTAGCAAGGCTTCCCCTACCTGACTTGCCAAAAGAAGAGGTCCTCTATCCCCTTCCTGGGAGAAGAGCCCAAAGAACTCCCAAGACATTTCAGGAAGGAACATGCCACCCTGTGGAAAACAGTTCCCAGCCTCTAGCTGTGGATTCACTTGTGTCCTGGCTTTCCTGCCTATTAAATATATGACTGCCCATTGACAAATTGTTGGACTATAAGGCCCCAAAGAGTCTGTTTCAACAGAACCTGCAGCGAGAGTGTCAAAGGAAGGGAGCTGGCCGGGAGTGGGATTGGCACCCAGAGCTCAGGGTGCTGGAGGGACAGCCGCATTGGCAAAGATTCTTCTCGTGGCTGAGGCACCAAGCCCAGTGCCGACTGTTAGAGACGCTGAGATTTCAGAGCTGGGGTCTGGGAGGTCATGGAGCCTACCACCTCCTCTCTAGGTGGCGGCCTCAGGAAGCACACATCTTCCACTTCAGCTCCTGTTCAAGATTCCATGTTTCCCAGAGAGGCCTAAATTGGAAGGCTAGGGTCTTCCTCTCGCTAGCCCCTGCCCTCTGGAGGCTGGGGATAGAGTTGTCTCTGAATGGAGCATGGGATGAGAACAGAAGTGTCCAGAGTCACCCCCTGCTGTGCTCTCCAGCCCCAATAGTCCCCTGTACTCAGCATTTCTTGTTTGTATTTACAGATCAATCAAACCCAGTCTATCCGCACCACGTTTCCTCAACACTCACTGATGGCTATTAATCAGCAGGCCGGTGGGGCTGCTCCCCACCGTGTGAGGGTCTTGTTAATGATGGGGAGAAGACTGCCAAATGGCCAGCGTGGCTCCAGATGGATGCAGAAATATGGGTCTTGCCCAGACCAAGGAGGCAAGGGCATCACCACGATCCATCTGGCATGGAACAGAGATCCCTGGTGCTTGATAACAAGAACTGGGTAGGCCTTCTCTCTGCGAAGAATGGTGTTAAAAGTTCTTCCACGTGCCCCCCACCTCCTTTCATGCAGATGATCTGGGAAACTGAAAACAGGGTAAAAGGAGACCTCGGGGGGAAGGAAGGTTACCTAGCTGTTCCTGCATTAAAGGACCTATGAGATGGTCTATAGCAGCAGCAGGAGGGATTTAAGCTAGATGTCCAGAAGTATTTCCCAATGGGAAGGCTGCTAAGCACTCTCCCAGGACAGGAATGTGATCTATGACTCACAGGTCTTATACTCTAAGTCCCCTGCTCAGCCCGCACTATGTTTATATATACGTATGCACAAGCTTGACTTTTCCATAAGTACACACAATTGAGGGAAACTGGTCTAGTATTTATTTGGTGAAACTTGATGTCCTCTCCCCTGGGTGCTGGGTCATGGTGCTGACCAGGCATCGCCTGAATGACTGGATTAGCAGCCATGTCAACAAGCCTTTGCTCTCCAGACAATGTGCCAAGCTGTAGGTAACAGGCTGGGGACACCAAGTCCCAAAGGAATTATAGAGATCGGTAATAGCCTAGTGGAGCACACTCTAAACGCCAAAGGTGTGGCTCAGCAGGAACCTAGCAACTCAGAGGGAGGTGTCCAAGAAGCCGATCACGGAGGCTCCGAGTGGGGAGGGGAGACTGCAGACCCAGCTTGAGGTGCACCTCATGGTTGTTTGGTTTCTAATGGGGGAGTTCTGGGCAGGCCCAAGAGGAGACATTTTGGGGTCCCTGGAACTGCTCTCTTTTCCCAAGAATCTGTCCTGAAATGGGTACCCAGAGCCACAGGCCTGTTAGAACTTGTCACATGGAGAACATGACTTTTAATTAGGGACAAGGTCTTGAGGAAGGGGCCTTCGCAGAGTCTCTTTTGCCCCCAAGAGCCTCTCACAGGCCAAGGATGGGGCTCCAGGAATCCCTAGCCCAGTGGAGAGCAGGGTCAAGGAAGGGGTAAGAGTTCATCCATCTGCCCTGAGATGGCATTTTATCTCCCAGAAGCTGCAGGCTCAGCTGTCCAGGCCCTCCTGGGCCAGGACCTTCTGGACCGAACACAGGCCCCAGTCCTCCTCCCCTGCAGGTCCAGGCTTAATGGTTTTACATGGTGAACAGTTCTCAGGGACCCAAACCTTGAGCCTCCCTGGATTAAATGAGGCTGAGCCCCTGAGTCTAGAAGTAACTGGGGGGCCTCCTTCCACCCTCTACCTCCATGTAGGGCTGCAGAAGAACCAGCAGGAACAAATATGGCAATTTAATTTTTACAGTTTCCAGATGGAAAGAAAGGAAACTTGTTTTAAGGGCTGTATGGCATGATGGTTAGGAACAAAAGGTGAAGGTTTGATTGCTAGCTGTGCCATCTACTAGCTTGTGGCCTTTCACACACGCACACACGCACACAAAAAAACCGTCAAGGATGAATGAGGGTTGATTTGATTCTTAAGGGCCTAAATCATCTGGAGAATGGGGACAAGCAATAACACCAACCTTGCAGGATTGACCTGAAGAATAAATGAACCAATAATATAAAATGCTTGGAACAACACCAGCACGTAGTAAGCACTAAAACGAAACAAACAAACAAAAGAGCTGGCTATTATTACTAAACACCCTTCCGGCAATGGCAGGGTCATCATTTCCACATAGGAAGAGTTTACAGCAGTGAGTACGTGGAAGGAAGATCTTCAAGACTTGTTTTGAAAACCGATTTGCACAGCAAGCAAACTTTTGTTCCTTTTTCAATTTTTTCTTATGCTGTAAGAGGATCACGGACATATTTTCTTCATAGAGTTTAAATGAAATGATACGTATAATGTGCTTAGAACTGTGCCTGTCACTTAGCAAGCACTCAGTAAATCCTACTTGTTTATTTGGGGTGGCTGGAGAGAGTGCTGGAGATTATAATGAAAGATATACAGTAGGGGCACCATTAGGCCCCCACTATGGCCAGGATGCCTCTTGTTAGGAGGTTCTGTTCTGTTCCATAGTCAACATTAGTCTTCCCTGCTATGGGGTAAACTGGCATTTAGACATAAGAATTTCCAGACAATCAATCAGGGTGTCAGACCTGGGCCAAGCTCCCAAGAAAGCTTCCTGCAGCTCTTCCCCCGGAGGTGCTCATTGGTCAAAAGAATGCACATCATGACCTCTGAAAGGTCCTTGCTGCCTCAGGACTCTGACTGCAGCATTTGAGCTCCTGGTCCAAAGACCAGCGCTATCCAGCCCACAATGGATGAGCTGGGTTTATGGCTGGGGAGAGACACGGGAGCTGGAATGTAAAACAAATGGACCGTAAGCACCTTGTGTGCTCTCTCTGGCTGTGGAGTATACAGACACACACTTTCACCTGCTCCCCTGCTCCAGGCCTGGCCTGGCCCCCTCCCAGAGGGGCCCCCCGGATTGGAGAAAGGGTCAGAGGACTCAGGAACACTGGGAGCACTCCCTTTACCATGGTAAGGAGTTGAACACACTATGCTGCCTCTGAAAACAACAGAACAGCAGAGTCAGCCTCGCCCCATTAGCCACCCACTCGGGACACTTTACCTCGTGGATCCCAAAGTGGGCATAGGAGTCGAAGTAATAATCTCTCGAGGTCATCTCCTCTGGGTTCAGCAGCTTGGACATCTTGCCCCGTCCTGGGCAGCTGGGTTGAGTGGACACATGATGGACGCATTGCACGGGCTTAGCAGGGACGACGGGCTGGGGGGGCTGGGAGGGGGGGCTGTTCACCTGAGGGGAAGAGAAGGGGGTCGGGTGTTAGGAGAGACAACGGGGTCCCGCCCTCGGAGGCTTGCGGTCCTCTTTCCTTCCCCCTCCCTGAGCCCGGCCTCAAGCAGCCACAGCAGCCCTTCCTGAAAGGGAGGTAGGTGAGCCCTTCCAGCTCCCAGCAGTTGGGCTCATGGCTGTGATCTGTCCAGAGATGGCAGTCCACCGAGGAGCCACACACACCTAGATTTCACCCACCTTCAGCTCTTATTAGCTAGGTGACCTGAGCAATGCAGGCCTCAGTTTCTGTATCTGTGAAATGGGGAAAATAGTATCTTCCTTTGAAGGCAAATAGGAAACATTCAATAAAGGGAAAGATGCATAGCACAGCATGGTGCCTGAGAGTGTAGATTCCGGAGCTGAATCCCAGCTCTGCCATTTCCCAGCTATACAACTTTGGGCAAACTTATGAACTTCTCAGTGCCTCAGTTTCCTTTTCTCTAAAATGGGAATAAAATGGTCCCTGCCTCCTAGAGTTGTCCTGAGGATTAGACAAGTTTGTATTTCAAAGTGCTTAGAAAAGGGCCAGGCATATAGTAAGAGTTTGTTAGAGGAAACGAAGTCCCACCTGCATCCTCAGGAACGTGAACCCATGGGCTTCTCTCCACTCAACAGGCAGCATCAAGCTAGAAGAGGATACGGCCCCCAAAATGCAGATGTCTTAGGTTCTGGTGTCTCCTACCTGTTGTCTTGCCCCCTAGTTTCTGATTCACAGTTCTACCCTGAATTCAGCACTGTGGATACCCACACTGATGGCCTCCACACAACCAATTATTGCTATTTCTGGGTGCCCCAATCCTGAGGCCCAGCCCAGCTCTACACCCACTGCTGCTGCCCATCACTGTCTGCTCCCTGGTCCTCCACAGGCTAGGCGGAGCAGGGAGAAGGAGATGGGGGTCCACAGAGCTTCTGGAGCCCAGAGACAGCAATTGGAGCCCAGAAGCTCAAACACTGCAACAGAAGCAGTTATGCCAGGAGACCTCCTCTGCCTGGAGTGCAGGAGACCCAGATGTACAAGGCACAGTAAAGGCCTCAAAGCAGGGCTGAACTAGAAAAATAAAAAAAGGAGTATTATCTAGTAGTCAGTCCTCTAGGGCTGGGAATCCAGGCTCCTGGGTCCTATCCTGGCTCTAGTAAAATTAAAAATAGATACTAGGAGGCAGATAGCGAACTGGCTGAAAGTACAAACCCTGGAGCCACAGTGCCTGACTCTGAAACCCAGCGCTTGTTGGCTGTGTGACCTTGGGAAATAATTTGTCATCACTGTGCCTCAGCTTTTCCTCCTCTATAGAACACAAATCATAATAAAACCTACCTGAAAAATTTGTCCAAAAGTTTGGAGGAGTTGATATATGGAAAGACTTTAGAACAGGCTGGCACATAGTAAGTGCTTATGATTATTACATACATCATGTCCTTGTTCTATGTCTCGATTTTCTTGTCTGTGAGCTGGGTCAGCTCAGACTTACTGTCTCCTTTCTAGCAAGAGAAACAGGGGAATCCTAGGACACAGCAAGATCAAGAAAGCCAAGTTATTTCAACCCCTCCGTGGAATCACTCCGCGCAGTCCCAAGACTGTTCTGTGTCCAGGGCTGCAGGGGAGTGAGCTGGGGGCAGTGGGATGGTCCCATCTTCCCAGTGTACCTAGGCTACCGCCCTTGGGAAATAAGCAGACTTCCCAGTTTAGCAACATCAGATTTCACGTCGGTGAGATCCCGGGCGGGCTGGCAAAGGCGAGTGGGGCTGCCTCATTAGAATGCAGCAGGTGTGCCCACTCTCAGCTTGGGATGTTGGTCACGGTCTCTGGGAGGCTAAAAATAGACTGTGTCAAGTGCACACTCCTGTGCAGGCTGCAGAATCACCTCTAAAGCTGAAGAAGGCTCCGTGCATGAAGCTGACCCCAATATCGACTCCATTTAAATATGTGAAGGAGAGGAAAAAGTCGGAGCTGGTCTGGGCATTGTGCATGGTCAAGGTCACAGGGGCCTCCAGCACCCCTTAGCTGTCACTCCACTCTGGTTCCAAGGCTCTCTTTTCCATGTGCTTCCTGGGACTCCACAGGCTAAGACTCCCCGGAGGCTGGGAGTGGGTGGGAAACGGCAGTGGCCTGTGATCCCTGAACATTCAGCGACATGGGGTGTTGCTTTTAATTCCACAACTGCCTACTGCACAGATCTCCAACAGCAAGGCAGCGTGCAGGTCCTGTGGAAGAAATAGACGTGTGGGAACTGTGCCCTCCCAGGACCCTGTTTTCTAGATTCTAAGACCCTTATTGTCTCTGATAGATGCTGGAATAAGGTTTGTTCTACAAGAGAAGTTCAAGCAAATTGTTCTGGAGGTTCACAGGAAAGAGAATTCACTTTAATGCAGAGAGTCAGGAAGCCCTGGGATAGCAGGAGGTGGGGTGAGGTGGGAGCTTTTTGAACGGATTTTGGCAGGTGGAGGAAGAGACGGCTTGAGCAACCAAAAGGCGGGAGAGCAGTGAGTTTGTTTGGGAGCAGCTTGGCTGAGACAGTGAGAGATTCAGTTGAAAGGAAATTATGGCCAGGCTAAGAGGTCGTAATTAAATACAAAAGACAACGGGGAGCTATTGCCGGTTTGTAACCAGGGAAGCAGTGACTTCTGTGTTTGGGCTCCTCTTTAGGAAGATAGATGTGGTAGCAGCACACAGGAGGGGCCAAGGAAAAGAAGGGAATGGAAGAGAGGCAAAGTATGAACTTTGGAGGCTATGTTCAAAGTCCAGTCAAGAAATAATGAGAGCCTGAACTACTGGGGTGTCCGAGGGGCTGCCTGCCAGAGAAAGTGCAGAAATAGACTCTACAGGCTTTGGCAACTGACAAAATGTAGGGGAAGAGAGAGGAGCTGGAATCAAAGATGACTTCAACATTTCAAGCCTGGGTGACTAGGGAAATGGTGGTGACATTAACAAAAATAAGCCAGTCAGCAGGCAGAGCAGGTTGGGGTGGGGGGAAATAATGAATTTCAATTTGGATATGCAGAGTTTGAAATGTCATTGAGTCATATAAGAGAAGATGTCTAGCAAGAAGACATTAATGCAGTTCCAGACAATAAATATCATAAACAAAATTAAAAGGCAAATGATAAACCGAGAAGTACGTTTTAACATATGTGGCAGACAAAGGTTAATGCCCTTAATACGTAGAGAGCTCTTACAAGCCAATACAAAAATAGATGAACACCCACAATGTAATATTGGGGAAAGGATTGGATAATCTGTCCACATGAGGCAAGTACATGTGAAATACAAATGGCAGGTTGATGTGCAACAAAAATGTTTAACCTCATTAGAAATCAGGTAAATTCAAATTCAAATAGAAAACTTACAGCTTTTAAATACCAGATAAGCTCTTCTCCCACCAAAACAACCACAGCTCTGCATATGTAAGAGTTGCAGAGAGATAGGTCCTTTCACACATTTCTAGTGGGAATGAAAATAGGTCAAGACTTTTAGAAAGGCCGTTTGGTAAAATGTACTTGAAGTGTTAAAGAGCACAAATCCGTTAACCCAGCAATTGAAGTTCTGTGGACTTTACCATAAGAAGAGAATCATGGATCATCATAATGATGTAGCTGTTGAGAATTTCATGACAATGCTGTCCTTAGTGACAAAAGGTAGGAGTCAACTGAAATGTTCCACAAAGTGAGACATTAAACTGTGGTGTAGCCACACAATAGAACACTATGCGGCCATTAAAGGTATTATGGGAAGAGTGTTTGATTACACAAAAATATGATCATGACAGATTGTTCCACCACTTCCAGGCTGCCCTTCCTCCAAGGATGTGTGGCCCGAGCATTGCACTCCGGTGTCCAAGCAAGGGCTCCGAAACAAAGTCAACCTCCATCCAGCCTGGCTGGGGCCCTCCACACCTCAGCCACCAGGGAGGACCCTGCTCAGGAAGCTGTGCAGATCACCTCACCTCTAGGGCTGAAGAAGGCTGTGTGCATGAAGCTGACCCCAGTATTGACTCCATTTAAATATATTAAGGAGAGGAAAAAGTCCTAGCTGGCCTGGGCATTGTGCACGGTCAAGGTCACAGGGGCCTCCAGCACCCATAAGCTGTCATTCAACTCTGATTCCAAGGTTCTCTTTTCCATGGGGCTCCCTGAGACTCTCCCCAACAGCCAGCTTATGAAGTGTCTGCCGTGTGCCATGCAGGAGGCAAAAGGATGCATGGATTTGGGGGCATTCATTTCAATAGCCACAGGTCATGGGGACAAATAAATGACTGGCCCAGACCCTGGTCTGCAGCCTGGCACTCTGCCCATTGGCTGACAGGCATACCCTCTCCCTGAAGGCTGGGAGTGGGTGGGAAGCAGCCGTGGCCTGTGATCCCTGAACATTCAGCTACATGGGGTGATGCTTTTAAATTCTACAACTACCTGCTGAACTTCTACAACAGCAAGGCACTGTGCCAGCCCTGTGAAAGAAACAAGAGACATATGGGTATTCTATGGATCCTATGCAGGCAAATTGGAACACTTATAGGAATCCAGATGCATCTCCAAGAGATATACATGATTGTTCAGCCACAACTGAAGGCTCTTGAGACTTGAGGAGCACAGGGGATAGGTCTTGGGGGATGACAGTGGTCTCCTCTGTAAAGTCAGAAGGCTCAACTCCTCCCTAAGCCACACCAGGCAAGCAGAGTCTCTGAGTGAAGGTGACTTTCAAACTCCAATCTTGTATACATAGTCTGAGAAGTCAGCAAAAGGATTTGGAATCACACTCGGATGGGCAGCTGGACTCTCAACATCAGCGTCTTGGTCTGCTCATGGCTGCAGCTTTCTCACCTCCAATTTGCTCCCTGTGCCCAAGTCCCTCCCCACTGGACATTCCAGTGCCCCCAGTCCCTTCCAGGGTTCCTGTGCCCACATCACCCTGGAGGTCTGGCCCTGCCTGCTCTGCCCTGGAGTCGGTTCTGGTACCTGTTTCTGCACCATCGCCTCCAGCCTTGTCCTGTTGGGTTCTTGGGCCCCAGGGCAGAGAAAGCACCCTGCCTTGCTCTTTCCCCACCTCCGTCCAAAGGCCCAGGCCCAGGGCCCTGTTACTTGCTGGAGGTCTCCCGATGTTGTCTGCCTCCCTGATATGGTGAGAATCACCCTCCACTGTCAATACTTGTGATTTGCCTTCGACTCACCACGCCAGCGGCTGATCAGGACTCCCCCAACACAGTGTTCCGCCCCCAGACTGGCCTTACCCAGGGCAGCTTCAGCACAGTTTTTCTCCCTAATAAATAAAGTGCGATTGTCTTAGTCTACCCACTCTACTGGGGTGAACAGGCCTCGGGCCCACTAAATGCAGAGATGAAAGGTTATGGACGCAGCAGAGCTGGAGACAGGAGGAAGCTGGCTTCCTGAAGAAGGGGCATGTGAGCTTGTGAGCTCGTCCTTGAAGGGTGGGTCGGATTTCCACAAGCAGGGGTGGGGATTTGGGGGAGCATGTTTGACCTAACCCACATCCCTTGAAAATGCAGGTAGATGGCAGAGGATGATGATGGTGATGAGACCTAACATTGACTAAGGGCCCACTGCGCCCCAGGCGCTGCGCCAAGCACTTTATAGATAGACACCATCTCGTGAAATCCTCATAGTAACTGACATTTACAGATGAGGAAACTAAAGCTCACAAAGTCCAGTCATTTGCCAGGGCCCAGAGATAGCAAGCAGCACAGCCAAGATGTCAACCAGTATCTGTTTTATGCCAAAACCTGTGCTCTTGAAACTGATGCCATGGTTAGCTCAGTTCGGCCCAACCAAGCTTAACTGAGCTACTGCCAGGAGCCAGGCCCTGTGCTCAGAAAAGGGTAACACAGCTGGCCCAGGCAGGAAGCCCAGTGTTGAGGGCAGAAAGAGAGTCAACAGGCAATAACTAGACAGAGGAGAGCGCTTCAGTGGAGGTAGGCACAGGCAGGCACCTCTCCAAGGTGACAGAGTTTAAAGAGAGCAGACAATAGGTGTCAGGGTGCAGATGGAGAGACTGAGGCCCACAGAAGGAAAGGAATTTGTTTAGGCTCACCTAGGGGAATCTAGGTCCGGAGGTGGATCTGGAACTGGAACCTCCAAGAGAATAGGAAAGAGGTGGTAGAGGAGAGGAAAAAGAAGCTTTAAGGAAGGAGAGTGAAGGTGCTGGACATCTGAAGGGGGAAGGCAGCCTGCAGAGGGGAGAGGGAAGCCAGCACTCTCTGCACCAGGCAGCCAAAGTGAACCTAAGCCCTTTGGGCTATAAATGGCTCCTGCTGGCACCAGCCCAAGCTTTAAAATGATTTCCCTGAGAACAAGAGGCTCCACTAGAGGAGCCAAATCCTGCTCTGTTCTCCAAATGTCAAGAGAGCTTTTTCTAACCTGAGTCGTCTGTCCTCAGCAGCCGCCTGCCTGGCCTGGAGGGCCCACGGAGGGAAGAAAGAGGATCGCAGTGGGAGGGGACAGAGTAGGGGTGGCAGGAGGCTTCCAGCCTGGGCCTCACCCCACTCTTTTGCCCACCGCCTTCACCTTCTTCCCTCCTTGCCCACCTTCGTGCCAGCCCCTCTGCCCAGTGTCGCCCTTAGACACTCACCACACCTCTCTTCAACCTGTGTTTACTCACCAGGCTGTGATCTAAGCTGTGGCTCCCGTTCTGCATAATTACACAAAGGGTTAGCTCTTCCAGAACCATCTGCCTGCCTTTAGATAGGGACCAGAGGTTTGCAGAAAAAAAGAACATTCTTATGTGAAATGTCAGGCAGCAGCAAGACAAGCAAGGGCTCTGCTGGGCATTGGGACCTCTCCTATCACCTAAGAAAGCAAAAGTACAGCTTTATTGCCTGCCTTTGGCCAAGACAGCCCTACATGCACCCTCTCTCTACTCTCCTGCACCCCTGTCTTATCATCGGGGCTGGCAGATGAAGTCAGCCCCCTCAGAGGGGTGTACTGTGCTAGGGTAGGTAGCTCTAGCTTGCTGCTTCTTACCCTCGGGGCTGGAAGCCCAGAGTCTGGGGGCAAAGGGGAGGAGGGTCAGGGTTGTCCAGGCTTCCCTGGGCCACATTAGAAGAAGAAGAATGGTCTTGGGCCACCCATAAAATACACTAACGATTGCTGATGAGCTAAAAAATAAAAATCCAAACAAAATCTCATAGTATTTTAAGAAAGTCTGTGGATTTGTGTTGGGCCACATTCAAAGCCATCCTGGGCGGTGTGCAGGCTGCAGGTTGGACAAGCTTGATCTAGGTGTTGCCAGTCCTGCGAGACGGTGTTGTCTTCTGCATGTGGCCTCCCGGGCTCCCCAGCTTGCTCTGGTTTATTCTTCAGTCGTCTGCCTCATGCCCTTCACAAGACTTGGCTTCGTAGGCACAGACGCTCTCCAGATCTGCCTTTTCCAGGCCTGGATGTTGGGGGCAAGCCACTGATGCCTGTCACAGAGGGTCGGCTGTCCCCCATTTGGAACCCCCTGTTTTATAGAATCTCTGACTCTAACTCTGGGATCTTGGCAGAGCCCATCCCTACATAGGGTTTTCTTACCTTAGAGTCAAGCCTTCTCAAGGCTGTGTTTCCTGGAAACCCCTTCTCTTAGCTCCTGCTGCCCACTGCTCTCAGTCTCCACCCTCCCACTCTGGGAGGCCTCCCAGGACCCTCGGCTGAGCCAGGGCTTGCAGAGGGGTCTACGGCAGTGGTTCTTGAAGTGTGGTCTCCAGACCACCAGCATCACCTGGGGACTGGTAAGAAATGCAGATTCCCAGGCCTTGAAGGACAGAAACCAATGAATCAGAAATTTTGGGACGGGTCCCAGCAGGTGATTCTGATACACCATAAAGTTTGAAAACCACTGGTCTAGAGTAACATTTTCCCACATTGTATACTGTATAATTGGTACTCCTAGAAAAAGGTTCCATGGCAAGTAGGTTTGGGCAGATAAGCTAAAGAGAGAGCTCTTTTTTTTTTTTTTTTTTTTTTTTTTTTTTGAGACGGAGTCTTACTCTGTCGCCCAGGCTGGAGTGCAGTGGCGTGATCTCAGCTCACTGCAAGCTCTGCCTCCCGGGTTCATGCCAGTCTCCTGCCTTAGCCTCCCAAGTAGCTGGGACTACAGGCACCCGCCACCATGCCAGGCTAATTTTTTTGTATTTTTAGTAGAGACGGGGTTTCACCATGTTGGCCAGGCTGGTCTCGAACTCCTGACCTCAGGTGATCCACCTGCCTCGGCCTCCCAAAGCGCTGGGATTACATAAAGAGAATTCTTAATTGCAATACTTTTAAGCCTTTAAAATGCTAAAATAAATGATTTTATTATAGTATATGTATTAAATATATTATATAAATATTATATAATATAAATTTCTAAGAGGAATTAGGGCATCTACTACTATCACATTTATGGCTGTGACACACTTTTTCCTGAGATCTATAAACATCTCTAGAAATTAACGTTCTGAAAGAAACAACCTGGGCTCCGACTTCAAACAGTGTTTCTGTTTTATAATCCATGTCGGCCGTCGCTGGTGGATCTCCAGCCCACCGCAGACCAATGAAATCAGGGTGGGACTGAGACCCAACACTGGGCATGTTAACAGGCTCTCCAGCTGGTGCCTAGGAACCCTGTCCTGACAGTGCCGAGGACAGCTTCAGGCCTTCTCTCTTCCTCGCTGAAGCCCTGAGCTCTGCCATAGCTCTCAGATGGCAGCCTGGTGCTGCCATCTCAGAGCCAACCAAGATTCCCAGAGCCGGGCCAAGGACATCTGGAAGAGAGGCACCCAAGGCCACAGAGAGCACTTTAGCTCTGAGAGTAGAGGGGCTGGGATTGGGTGTGGGCGCCGCCACCTTCAGGCTTCGTGACCTTGGGCCGGTCACTGGTAGGGACTCGCTGTCCTGACCAGGGTCACTGAGACGCTTGACGCGAAGGCCGCCCTCAGCAGCTGCATGCTGTGCACAGGCGCCTCCTGCCAGCCCTGGCTGTCTCTTGGTGGTACAACAACAATGTCTGCTTCAAATCAAAATGGCATTGCACCCACACAGCACTCCCTCTGTCTCCTGGATCCGTAAGTGCTGAGAGGGAATCTATTGGATTTGTTGGGCCTGACCTATTTTTTAAATAAACTGGGGCTGTTTTCCACTATTAGTCACTTGTCTCCCAAGCCTCCACATATTAAATTCGCTTCTTATATCCTCAGATATTTTGGCTGCAAGAGATGTCAAGTTAATTGGATGCTTGGCTCTTCCTCATTAATGGGCTTAAAAGCAGACTTCCCTATGCATTCCCCTCCTCTTCCTCCCTCTTCCCTCCCCAAGGCAAGGGAGCCTCCTCCCCTCCTTTGACTTGAAGGGGGTTACGGAGCCCTGGCTTCCCTCTCCACTCTCTTTTATGGGCAGATGTGTAGAAACACACAGCCAGTGTCCTCTCTTACCCTCACCTTGCCTGGAGTTAGACTACACTTTTAGTTCCAGATTTGGGTCAAATCATCCCTGTGGGACCTATGCTATGTTCATGACTCTCTTTACCCCAGGCTGGAGTCCTCAGAGGAGTTTTCCCTGTACCCGCTTCGTAGGCACACAGCCAGAAACAGCACCGGTGGGTTCTGGACTTGCTTCTCTCCTTCCCTGTTCATGTCACTGTGCAAAGGCCATTGAGCCTTCCCTATCCTCGGTTTCCTCTTCTCCAAATGGCAATGATTTTCTGTCCCGCCTCTTTTGTGGGGCTATGGTGATGACTGGAAGACGCTGAGCGTGTAAATATTCAGAGGAAATTCGAGCGTGTGGTACAGGAGTACCAGGCTTCCCGCTCTCGCCGTATGACTCTGTGCCAGGGTGCTATCTTTAGATGCTCTCTGGGCCTTTCGTGGCACAGGACACAGTGGCTTTGGCTGCCCGTAGAGCCCTGTTCTGCTGGCTGCTTGGCCCTGGCCCCTCCCTTACACATTGTGCACTCTCAAGCCTTTGGTTCTGCCCTTCGTCCTCTGAGCTTTCTGGGCATTATGGGATTGATATCTTTAGGAAGGTAGCCATCATTGAAAATCAGTCATTTTCTCCAGCCGCTGATGCTTGGGTCTCTCCTGCTCCTATTTTGACCTCCTATGGCATCTGCTTATCTGAAACTATGGGCTATGTTCCTATTTATTTTGCTGGCAAATTGTCTCCTGAAGATTATCTCACAATTGTAGGTGTTACTTCTACAACAAGAAGTAAATTCTTTCAGACTAGTAACCAGATTTTATATGTCTGTGTTTCCCTCTTAATACTTAGTATAAAGCTAGATAAGAAAGATGTGATAATGGTACACTTACACTTCAACTGGGTGAATGTTGCCCTTCATAAATTTATTATTATAGTCGAGTGAAGGAGGCCCTTTCCCACCATGTGATCAGAGAGCATTCACTTCCCTTGAGAGGGCAGAGAGGTGGCAGAAGAAAAGCAAAATTGGGAATAATAATCATCAGAATCTCAATAATACTCAATACTCTTTGGAGGGTTCAGTGGTACTCAAAATGTCTTTACCAAGAAGTGTCTTATCTCCTGGGAGATAAGGAGATTTCTAGGAGAAGAACATATCTTGCAAACATAGAATGCATTTATTAAGCATCCATAATTCCACACACTACAAGTGGCTTCAAATACAGATCTAAGTGTATTTGTTAGACATTTTCCAACCATCTCTTTGCACCCGTGTAGTACAAGCCCTCTCTGCAGGTAATGATGCCATGGTTCAGAGACGCTGACTGACTGATTCAGCCCATAGAGCATAACTGGTGAGGATCCAGGAGCTGACTCCTCATAGATTCTCAGGCTCCATCATCTGGCCATTGAGCTGAAGGTGGAGAAAAATGAACTACAAAATCATGTTATAAGAGAGAAAGAAAATCACAAGTTGCTGGCCAAAATCATAGCCATACCAACTTAATCTAGATTCTCACCTGGTTTCCATAGACTCTTTCTAGACATCTTCCACCTAATTCTAGCAAACCCATCTACTCCAAATGATTATATTTCCACTCATATTTTTAGAAGAAGTGACTGACTTCTTTAACCAGAAATTCCAATGTACACACTCACTGAAAATACTGGCATTCTGGCTAGAGAGGGAATAACGTCAGCCACTGGGTAATATGCGGGTCTGCTCCAAAGGTGGCCTCATATTAGCCAATACAGATTCCAAGAAACTGGATTTTTTAAAGCACTCCCAAGCAACCCAACAATGAGTTAAAAAAACAGATAAAAGATAAGAAATAATAGGTTTTGAGATATTGAACATTAGGCAATAGAAAACCATGATCCCTGAGAGATGACAAATAAATGAGGTAAACCCTAAGATTACCCCAGCTTACTGCCTAGAAGGATTATCCAGCCTACCATACAGAGAACAGGAACCCAGGCAGACCCAGTAATCTCTCTCAGTTGAAGGTGGGAATCTGGGGACAGCAAGACAGATAAAGTTTGCAATGCAGAGTCTTGTAGATTAAAATACTATACAGAGAAGAGCCTTCAGAGATCTGTAAAGAGTTCCCTGCAAGCCTTCAGCTGAGACTGATCAAACCATGGATGTGAAAAAACTACCACAGCCTCGGAAAAGAACTACTGAAAAGACACAGGGACTTCTCTGTGGGGCTCACAGAGCCAGAAATAGTTCTTGCTCTCCCCAGCCAGAGTAAAAACTTCATAATTCATGAATACTCAGAAGAGGTGTTTTGTTGTTGTTCCCCTGAATAGTGGAAAATTAGCTCCAAAGATAGTTCAAATCCCACCAAAGCTTAAAAGCAAGATCTAAAAGGATTAAACTAAATTAACTGCATCTCAAAACAAAGCTTAGAAGCATAAAATATCTAAAAATATCCATCACCCAATGAGGTAAAATTTACAATGTCTGGCATCTAGTCAAAAATTACTAGGCTTGCAAAGAAGCAAGAAAATACTACCTATAAAGAAGAAAAAAAATCAATCATACAAAACTGAACCGAGAAATGATACAAATGATGAAATTAGTATATAAGACATTAAAGTACTTATTAAACTGTATTCTATTTCCTCCAGGAAGCTGGAGGAAAGATTGAGCATGTTAAGTAGAGATATGGAAGATATTTAAACGACCGAAATTGAACTTCTAGAGATAAAAACTATGTGAAATAAAAAGGAAATACACTGATTGAGGTTAATAGCAGATTAGACATTACAGAAGAAAATATTAGTGAACTTGACACAAGGCAATAAAGATCATCCAAAAAACCCACAGAGAAAAAAATACTGAACAAAAGTTAAACAGAATATCATTGAGCTGTGGGACAACTTCACATAGCCTAATATGAACGTAATTGTAGCACCTGAAGGAAGAGGAGACACAAAAATATTTAAAGAAATACGGCTTTAGAGTTTCATCTTCCAAATTGATGAAAATCATAAACCCACAGATCTGAAAACCCCAACAAACCCTGAACACAAGAATCGTGAGGGAGTAAAAAAACTATACCAAGGTACATAATCAAATTGCTCTACACCACTGATAAATGGAAAATCTTAAAAGTGGCAGGGGTAGAGGGGGATGGGGAGATATATTACAAAGGAACTAAGATAAGAATGACAGCCAGCTTCCCATAAGAAACAACACAAGCTAGAAGATAAGGTAGCAACATCTTCAGAGGACCAAAAAGATAAAAGAAAAAACTGTCAACTTAGAATTCTATACCCAGTGAAAATATCTTTCAGAAATGACGGTAAAGTAAAGTCTTTTAGAGACATACAAAAACTGAAAGATTTTATCATTCACAGGCGCATACTACAGAAGGAAAACAATACCATGTGGAAATCTGGGTATGCACCAAGAATGAAGTGCTCTGGAAATGGTAACTCTATGTGTAAATATAAAAGGCTTTTTTTCTTATTATTTAAATCCCTTTAGAAGATCATTAACTATTTAAATTTTTTAAAAATCTTGTAAGAATTATAAATACATAGGAATAAAATCAATGACAGCAATAGCACAAAGGCCAAAAGGGGAGGAATGGTGATATATCGTTGAAGGTTTCTATACAGTAGTCTCCCTTTATCTATGGCTTTGCTCTTCATGGTTTCAGTTACCAGATATCAACCATTGTCTGAAAATATTAAATGGAAAATTCCGGAAGTAGGCAATTCATAAGTTTTAAATTACACAGTATTCTGAGTAGTAAGATGAAATCTTGCATCATCTCACTTTCCACCTACCGAGGAAATGAATCATCCCTTTGTCCAGCATATTCATGCTGTATATGCTGCCCGCCCATTAGTCACTTAGTAGCTTAACTGTCTTGGTTATCAGATTAAAAAAAATAGTACATATATGGTTCAGTGCTATCTTTGATTTCAGGGATCCACTAGAGGTCTTGGATTATATCTCCTGCAGCTAAGAGGGATTACTATATATAAGGTGCTATAATATTACTTGAAGGTAGATGATGATAAGTTCAATACATATACCATAAACCCTAATGTGGCCACTTTGTAAAAGTACAAAAAGTTATAGATTGCCCCCAAAATGCAGAAAAAGAAGATAAGCATAACAAAGAACAGATAAGTAATAGAGAAACAAATAGCAAGATGGTAGGTTTGAACCCAACTGCACCAATAATTACATTAAATGTAAATGGTCTATACACTTCAATTAAAAGGCAGAGGTTAGAGGTTATCACTTTAGATTTTACAAACAGCCATATGCCATTCTATTTAAAACTTACTTTAACATAATAAAAGCTTAAAAGTAAAAAGATGACAAAAGATATATACCATGTTAATTCTGATGAAAGGAAACCTAGAATAGCTATATTAATATCAAACAATGTATATTTCAGAACAAATACTATCACTGAGAAAAAGATCATTTCATAATGATAAAGGAGTCAATCAAGAGGACATAACAATTCCAATTGTTATGTTTGGAATTATGCTTATTCATCTAATGAAAGAGCCACAAAATATATGAAACAAAAACTGATAGAACCAATAATTAGGGAAATGCAAATCCAAACTTCAATGAGATACCACTTCACACCCAGAAGTTGGCTAATATATATTTTTTAAAAGAAAGACAATGACAAGTGTTTGTAAGAGAGTGGAAAATTGGAACTCTTGTGCACCATTGGTGAGAGTGTAAAATGGCACAGCTGCTGTGGAAAACAGTATGACCGTTCCTCAAAAAATTAAGTATAGTATTACCATGTGATCCCATAATTCCATTTCTAGATATATACTCAAAATAATTGAAAGCACATGCTTAAAGAGATATTTGTACACCCACGTTCACATAGCATTTCTCACAATAGCTAAAATGGGAAAGCAAACCAAGTGTCCATTGATAGGTGAATAGATAAAATATGGTATACACACACACTTTAATATTATTCTTCCTTAAAAAGGAAGAAAAATCTGACATATGCTACAAATGAATGAGCCTTGAGGACATATGCTAAGTGAAATAAGCCAGACACGAAAAGACAAAAACGGTAAGACTATACCTATAAAAGGTAGCATCGTCAGAATTATACAGACAGAAAGCAGAACAGTAGTTGCCAGGGGCTGGAAGAGGGAATGGGGGTTGGTGGTGTTTGATGGGTAGAATTTCAGTTTTGCAAGACGAAAAGAGTTCTGGAGATGGGTGGTGGTGATGGTTGCACTGCAATGTGAATGTACTTATCACCACTGAACAGTGTATTTAAAAATGGTTAAGATGGTAAATTTTATGTTATGTGTATTTTATCAAAATAAAACAATTGGAGAAAAAAATCTGATAGAATCACAAGGAGAAATAGACAAATGTATTTATTTTGGTGGTTTTAAACCACCGAAATCAGCAATCCTTAGACTTAAGGCCTGTGAAATCTAGACACAGCCTTTCCCTTTCTATCATTTCTATCACTTCCCAAACTCTCAAATCAAAGACTTTTAAGCATTTACTTGTCATATAAACATCTAAGTGTGAACTCACTCATGAGGTTTCTTCACTCCTAAAAGGAGGGGGAAAGCATATTCCAATAATGATGGGAAAGAGAGAAGAACAAGTCTAAAAGACCATTTTCCCAAGGAATATCTGTGGGTCCTGAAGCCTAGAAAAGGCAATCTCTAGAAGCAAAGGAAGGCCATATGCTAAATGGAGAAGTAGGAAGATTCAGAATGCAATGGCCATCCCCTCAGTGCTCCAGAGTTCTAAACTTTGATCCTCAAACTCCTGTATCCTCTGCATACCCACAAGGCCCTGCAACTTTCCCAGCCCCCTCCTGCTCTTCAGCCTCTGTCACCCTGATCTTTATTCTGCTATCTGACACCCACAAACTAAGGGTTTCCACCTAGAGACTATGCACCAGCTGTTTCCCTTATATTTGAATAGTTCTCTTTTTTTTTGAGACAGAGTCTCACTCTGCCACCCAGGCCGGAGTGCGAGGGCATGGTCTTGGCTCACTGCAATCTCTGCCTCCCAGGTTCAAGCCATTCTCATGCCTCAGTCCCCTAAGTGGCTGGGATTACAGGCATGCACCACCACACCCAGCTAATTTTTGTATTTTTAGTAGTGATGGGGTTTCTCCATTTTGGCCAGGCTGGTGTCGAACTCCTACCTCAGGTGATCCACCCGCCTCGGTCTCCCAAAGTGCTGGGATTACAGGCATGAGGCACTGCACCTGGCCATATTTGAATAGTTCACTCTTTCACCTTCTGAGAAACAAACTTACCCATTTAAACCCAAACAATGGACTCAGAGACTTGGAGAACAGTGAAAGCGAGACTTTCAATGATGGTTTTGCAAGATTGGGTGTTTGATAGGCAAGCACATCCAGCACAGTTTTAACAAGCAATTTATCCCCTAGTGGGCAGGTCCCTCTCCCGTTTCCTTATAGACTGGACACATGGGGTCACAATTTTCCCAAATGTCGCCTATTGATTGTTGGGTAGGGGCTTCAGGTGCTTTTTTTTTTTTTTTTTTTTAGATTGTCTTGCTGCATTTTGTTGCAGCCCACAATGCATTGCAATTCTAGTTAGCTCAGGGGCTCTTCAAGTATTTGATTTATGACCTAAGTAGCTGGGCAGGCTGATAAGAACCCACAAAACAAGCTATTCTGTAGGCTAGTAAACTCATCTTAGACTAAACTTCTTTGGTTCGGGTGAGGGCAACTAAGGGGCGGGGAAGAGGGGGAAGGTGGGGAGGCTGACAAGCAGGCATCAGCTATCGAAGCAGGGGCCTAGTATTTCCTGTTTCTTCTGTAGTTTGCTGACCTAAGCCAATTTAAGGCACTTTGTCTTGGAAATGGACCACTGTATGCGTTGTTTCCTTTAATTCCTTCTTCTTTTTCTTTTTACTCTTATTGTTCCCATTTCCACATTTATTTTTGTATTCTTTCGTTTTTAAATTTATTAGATACTCCATTAGGAACTCCTATTGAGTTACCATAAATGTTGGAATTAAAAGAACTTATTAAATTTTTCCACCTTTGGTGGCCATGTGGATTCTTGGGGATTTTTATGGAATGTCAAGGTGAATGGAATGGCCAGTTGAACTAAGTAAGGCACAAGTTCCGGTGCAATTGGATACTAACAGGTTACTGAGGTTTCTCTTCCCACAGTACCACCAGACATTAGCCCAGGGCATATGAAGAGCCGAGTAGTCGCCTTTGTTTGACTCATCAGTAACGTTTAGGATGTGTGTACAAGTTGGGAGTTTTCCCATAGGCTTATTGAACTTTGCCCCTGCATAGAGAGGCAGAAGGAGTGGTTTATATTCCCTATGGAGAACAAGGGGATTGCTCTAGAACTTGACCTTCGTAAGGCAGGAAAGAGCAATGATAGGCTTTTGTAAGTCTTATTTCCCCATGCATTTCTGTTTTAGTACAGAGCCAACATGCAATGCCTGCCTTTGGGATTGGTATTCCATTTCAGGGGAAACAGAACTACCCTGTGCCTGAGGCCGCCCAGCAGACCATGCGTAACAGTCGCTCTTATTAAGAGCTAGTATTGAAAATTTGACCCATTTAACCCAGGCATTTACACCCCCATATTCAGTCTTAACTTTTTAAATTTGCCTTAAGTTAGTTATTTTAATTATTTTTACTCTCTTAGGGTTGTCTGGTGGGTTAAAGGAAGTAGTGGGATGGGGAGTGACAGTAATCCTGGGTGGGCTTGGGGTGGAGATGGTGACTTGCCTAAAAGCTAACCGTCCTACAGGATCCCTTCCTGAGATATTTATTCCTAATCCATACCTCCAAGCTTCCTGGTTTAGAGTAGCTGGGTTGTTTATGGTAATTAATATAGGATTGCATTCTAAATTTTTACAGTTAGGTGGCGTAGGGCCCTTATACAAATGTATTTTCTTTTTTAAGGGTTTGTTTTTGGAAGAGTGACTCACCCAGCCTTGAAATTGGGTGGTTTACCAGACCCCATTTCAGCTAGCACAGGGCTTTTCCCAATAGCAACCTGTTTTAGGACATAGATATTTGTTCGCTTGTGACAGCTGCCTTTGGTTTCCTAAATTTTCACACTGTAAGACTTGGCAGGCATTGAACTTTATGGTTTGGGGGGTGGAGGTTTTAATTCTGCTGACTATTAGTTTGATGGGATTTTTTTTTTCTATCAGGCTCCATTTAATAATTGTGAACCCCCTTACCCCTGGTAGTAGAATTAATTCTAACCGCATCCACCCCCAATGACGGAGCCTGCTTATAGCTTCCTTTTAGGTTTTCCTTAGAGTTAGCTTTAAGGGTTTCTTAGGTGATTTATACACTTCCCATTTACCCTTTTCCCTTTGTTTCATTTTTTTCTGTTTTTTTTTGTTTGTTTGTTTTTTGTTTGTTTGTTTTCCAGTTTTTTGACCCTAGTGTAATGTATTTACCCTTGTTTAGCTATTTGCACGGTGGTTTGGTGGTTAGGAGCACCTGATGGGGACCTTCCCAGTTTGGGTGGAGCTTGTTTTTTTTTTTTTTTTTTTTAATGGAGTCTCAGGCTGGAGTGCAGTGGTGCAATCTCTGCTCACTGCAAGCTCCGCCTCCTGGGTTCAAGCAATTCTCTGCCTCAGCCTCTCAAGTAACTGGGATTACAGGCACCCACCACCACGCCCAGCTAATTTTTGTATTTTTAGTAGAGATGTGTTTTCACCATCTTGGCCAGGCTGGTCTCGAACTCCTGACCTTGTGATCCTCCCACCTCGGCCTCCCAAAGAGCTGGGATTACAGGTGTGAGCCACCGCGCCCGGCCTGAGCTTGTTTTTCTTTAAGTGGTAATTAGCACTGAGCTGCCAGGCTGGAAGTGGTGAACTGTGAACTTCAGAGACAGGGTTTGAGTTAGAAGTCCTTTTAACCTAAGGAATGACAGGGTGGAGGATATGGCCAGTATACAATTTTTTTTTAAATTGGTTTTTGAGTTTTATAGTAGGAAAGTTAGTGGTCCTACCTAAATACGGGAGTCCATATAACAACTTGTAAGGGGACAATTTCCAGTTTTTTGTGGGGGCTGTCTTAATCCTAAGGAGTGCTATTGGGAGACATTTGGTCAAAGGCATTTTAGTTTCTAAGATTAGTTTAGTAATATACTTTCTGAGACTTTGATTTATTCTTTTTACTTTTTCAAAGGAAGAGGGATGCCAAGGGGTGTGGTAATCCCATTTAATGTGTAAACTTTCCGTAATTCCCCTTAGTGCTCTTGAGGTTAAAGTCGCTCCCATTGTTTGAATTAATACCTTCTACCAGGCCAAATTTAGGTATAATTTGTTTTAAGATTATTTTGACCGCATTCAGGGCAGTGGCAGTTGGGAGGGAGAAGGCCTCCATCCAGCTGAAGAGGTGGCCTACCATTACCAGCAGATACTTTAGTCTCCCTATTTTGAGCATTTTTGTAAAATTTACTTGAATGATTTGAAATGGCCTTAACTCAGGAGGTCTTTCTCCAGTAGTTTGTTTTCTGACCATTTTTTCGTTTACTTTTTGTCAGGTTACACAATTTTCACACGCTTGTTTAGCAAGGGTATCAATTCCCGTACACCCGTAATTCTTGTTTTTGTTTTTTTTGAGACGGAGTTTCGCTCTTGCTGCCCAGGCTGGAGTGCAATGGTGAGATCTCAGCTGACTGCAACCTCTACCTTCCGGGTTCAAGTGATTCTCCTGCCTCAGCCTCCTGAGTAGCTGGGATTACAGGTGCCTGCCACCATGCCCAGCTAATTTTTGTATTTTTAGTAGAGACGGGGTTTCGTCATGTTGGCCAGGCTGGTCTCGTACTCCTGACCTCAAGTGATCCGCCTGCCTCGGCCTCCCAAAGTGCTGGGATTACAAGCATGAGCCACCATGCCTGGCCCACCCATAATTCTTGAGTATTGGATCACACATGGCCTGGGCGACCCCAGTGACTTCCCTTATGCAGAGTGGATGTTTGTTAGTTCTCTTATTATGGGTTTGCTTATTAGTTCTCTCCCATCAGGGAGCACCCATGTCCCATCCTCAGTTTGAGTGGCCCTGATTTTGCCCAGCTTTTCCTTTTTCTCTTTAGAAAATTGGGGTTTTAATACCACCTTGGGATATCTGGGATTAGGCCGGAGTTTAACTTCTTCCTCCAGGGAGACTTGCTTAGCAGCTTTATCCACAAGCCTGTTCCCTAAAGCTTCTATAGTGTTTCCTTTCTGATGGCAGTTTACATGAACTATGGCTATCTTTGCTGGGAGCAGGTGGCTTTTTACAACTTGTTTGACCAGTTCCCCACATACCAAATCTTTCCACCTGCTATTTATTAGGCCTTGCTTTGTCCAGATTTTTCCAAAGGTGTGTATTACTCCATAGGCATATTTGGAATTAATATATATAGTGTCATTGTGGCCTTATAGGAGCTTCAGGGCCTGGCTAAGAGCATATAATTTACAGATTTGGGCTGAACAATTATTGAGTAATTTACCTTTTTTACATAAGGATTGTTTGTTTTCATTGATGACAGCATAGTTATTGTGTTTTTTTACCATCTATTACTTGGGATGACCCACTTACAAACAGCCTTATTCCATTATGTAGTGGAGTTTTTTAAGGTTTGGTTTAACTTTAGTTTGATATTTTATGATATTTAAACAGTTACAGTTTGATGCCTTTTTATTCTCCTCTCCTTTTTATAAGAAACTGGCTGGAGTTAGGTTAGGCACCTTTCCAGGGTGCACTGGGAAACGTGGGGAGGCAAGGGACTGAACAGCTGGGCTCCCAGGGTGCCTTTGGCTGGGTCCTGCTAGGTCTGGCTTTGGGCCAAGAGCCGCTGGTTTGAAGAGCTGTCAGCCTGTGGCTCCTTCCCTGATGGGCACTCTCATGAGCAAAGGCATCCCTGGCTTCACTCTCCTTTCCTTTTCTTTGCTTTGAAGGCACCGTTGGTTTTCCCGACAGGCCGAGAGATGCACTGTTTGTATTTTACATCGCCCCTTCTGGTGACCCAGCAACTGCAAAGGGTCTCCGGTTTGTCCCCACTCTGGGAGGGGACTCAGTGGCTTTTCCTCCTCCTCAGCTGCAAGGATCCTCCCCTGGCCCAGCCTGGCTCTGGGAAACTTTCATACAACCCACCTCAAAGCGTCTCGGCAGACTTTTCCCCAGCATGAGATCTCTCTATTTCAGAGATGGCAAAGTGGCATCCTCTTTCGCCTGTATTGGGTTTTTAAGATTTTTGAACTGATCACCAGCATTTAAAACTTATATTTTACATTAAAAAATTAGATGTTTCCCAAATTTTGTTGACAATTTGGCAACACAGGGCTGGCACTGTAAGAGCAGCCGAGCAACCATGGCCCCTTTAACAGGGTGTGCCCTCTTGAGTTAGTCACAGTCCCCATCCAACCCTGCAGCCCTTTTTCTCACCATTTGCTGGCCCTGTAGTCCTTGGAGTTTACAACCCTAATTTGGATCTTCCTTATGTAGCCCCCCAGCCTTTCTGCAGCCTTACTGACAGCTGCCCCTGGTGGACTCACAGCTTCTCAGTAAAACAACAAAACCTTAATAGTCATCTCATCCATTTACCCTTCCACATCCTCAATGCTTTCTACCCCCACCTCACAAACAGCCATCTACCCTTTGCCATAGGCAACCCACTGTTCCTCAAACAGCCTGATCCTAAACTCTCCTCCACATCCCTTTCTCACTTGCATCCCCCAGTTCCTGGGCCCTGTCCCGCCTCAGTGGCCACACTGCATCCTTTCCCGGCACCTCTTTGTTGCTTGAGCCTCTAGAACCTTCCCCCAGCCCTGCCAACCTCTCCGCATCCTCTCACTTCCTCTTGTACTCTTTCTTCCTTTTCCATTATTTTTCTCCCCAGTCTCATCTTCAGTGTCTCCCTTTGGTCTCTGTTATTTCCAGTCTCTATCTCGCTTATTTTCTTTTTCTCTCTCTCTCTCTGTCATTCCCTGTTTCCTTTTTCCCTTACACTTAGTTTTTTCTTCTTTCTCTCTCTGGCCACGAGCTGAGCCGTGCTGGGCCCTGGCTCCCCTCTGTCCGTCTGCAAAGACGGACAGTTCTGCCAAAATGACAAAGATTTAGCAGTCACTTCTATTAACAGCTTTCTAGCAGCCAGCTTCCACATATAGCTGTGTGGCCGGCTCTCCCCTGCCTTCAGGGTCAGCAGCTAAACTTTTTTTCTCTTCTTACAAAAGCCTTTTGAGCTTCCTTTAGTAATTTTTAATTTTTTAAAACTTTATTTGTTAATTTTTTGCAGTTTCTTAGTAATATCAGCCCAGCTTTTAGTCACAAAATTAACCTTTAAAAGGCCTTGCCCTACTGGGTTTCTGGATTTAACCCTGAGTATTTTCTTATTTGGTCCCCAAGAGCCTTTGCAGAAACACAGAGGGAGTCTCCTCTTTTTCTTGTTGGATTTTGAATGCTTTTGAGACATTCTGTGTTTTAGGAGTGGACTCTTGAATCCCTTTAATTATTATTAGCTTTCTAGGGTCTTGCATTTGGGCCCGATTTCTGGGGTTATTGTTATCCCATCTGGGATTTGCATTTGGGAATTTCTGCTCAGCTGGCAGGAGTCCTTGCCTGGGAGGATGCCGTTTTTCCCAAATGGTTATGGCTGCCCTTTTCATTATTCCCCTCTCTTCCCCAGTAAACAAAATATTCACGATTGACATTACCTTAGCCCAGGTACAAAAATTGGGTTTTAAAAATTGATTTAGCTGCTTTGTTAAACTGAGGGGATTTTCCAAGAGTGGCCTTTTTTTTAAAAAAAAAAAAGAATTCCTAACTCTAGTACTTGTTAGAGGTACACTCACAAATTTAACTCTTCCCTGTCCCATAGAGGCTTCTCTAGGAGGGCGCACATTAGATGCCTGCTGTTTACAAGGAAGAGGGAAATTCTTAATGTCCTTCTCACGTTGTTCTAATTCTTCCCTCAAGTTTAGGTAAGGATTTAAGGGAGCATTGGGTTTAGCTTCTTCTTGACCCCCAGATTCCTCTTCCTCCGACTTTCCTGTTGCCCCCAGTCTCCCTGTCCTCTACTTTGTGACATGTATGGTGAGGGGGGCAAGCGTGTTGGGGAATCCCAGGGCTTTTCACTGGGCAAGGGCTGTTTACTATGCTTTTTTTTTTTTCTCTTTAAGGGGAAACATGTGGGTTAGTTCACTAATCCAACAAAGAGCATAACCCATCTCCTCTTGTGGGGATGGGATTTTATTATTCACATAGAAAATTAAAGCTTCGCACACTCAATCCTTATCTGAGCCAAACTTAGACCAAAAGACTGAAGGCTGACAAATAGGCTCTTTAGGCCAGACAAAACAGCAATACTTTATTATTTTTTGCTTTTCCTTTTCCCTGGTTTGAGGATTATCCCTTTAAACCTGCAACATTCTCCCCAGCGGACTATCTGGGAGAATGTTAGAAGGGGTTTTTAAGTTCCCTCTTTCCCTTGTTCCCTAGGCCTAGAATTTCAGTTTCTCATTTTCAGCTGGTTTCTGTGTTTGAGCTTTTCCCTGTGTACTCAGCCTCCCTCAATGGAGGTTTCTTGCACACCTCTGTGTACTCAGCCCCGCTTACCGGAGGTTTCTTCCACCCCCAAGACCTCCAAAGATGCCCAACCACCAAGGCAGTACTTATAGTTCAATTTTCCTACCTTAGCTCATGCATGAGCTTGCCTGGTTGCTGCAGTGCCTGCTTTTCTCCCTGTGTCACTTTCGCTGTCTCCTGAATAACAGTGTTGGGTTTGTCTATGGCTTCTGTGGGGAGCCAGGACACCTGGACAGAGCGGGCCACATAAATCAAGTGGGATGTGTCTCCCCTCTCGGCCAGAGACTCACTCCACGCGGGCACAGAGATCTCTGTACGGGCCACCAGGTTGTGAGAAACAAAGTCACCCATCCAAACCCAAGGAATGGACTCAGAGACCCGGAGAACAGCGAAAGTGAGACTTTTAATGACGATTTTACAAGATCGGGTGTCTGATGAGCGGGCACACCCAGAACAGTTTCAACAAGCAACTGATCCCCTGGTGCACAGGTCCCTCCCCCAGTTCCTCACAGGCTGGGTACTATGGGGTTACAATTTTCCTGGACGTTGCCTATTGATTGTTGGGTAGGGGCTTTAGGTGTTTTATTGTTTTGTTTTTGTTGTTGCTGTTGTTGTTTTTAGGTTGTCTTGCTGCATTTTGTTGCAGCCCACAATGCATTGCAATCCTAGTTAGCTCAGGGGCTCTTAAAGTATTTGACATATGACCTAAGTAGCTGGGCAGGCTGATAAGAATGGACAAAAGTGAGCTATTTTGCAGACTGGTAAATTCTTATTTTAGATGAAAGTTTTTTGGTTTGGATGAGCGCAACTAAGGGGCGAGGGGGAAGGTGGGGAGGGGGAGGCCAACAAACAAGCATCGGCTATCGAAGCAGGGGCCTAGTATATCCTGTTTCTTCTGTAGTTTGCTGACCTAGGCCAAATCAAGGCCCTTTGTCTTGGAAATGGACCACTGTATACATTATTTCCTTTAACCTCACTCAAGTCTTTATTCAAATGTCACCTTTTCAGAATGCCCTCTCCAGATTACCCTCTCTGCAAACACTGCCACCTCCATCACATTCTATTTTCTTACTTGCTTTAGTTTTCTTCAGAACTTTCTTCAGCACCGGACACCACTTCATATATTTGCTTATTGTCTGTTTCCCCCATAAAATGAAAGCTCTGTAAATGCTGGCAGCATCAGGCTCCTCTGTACTATAATCCCAGTTTATAGAACTGTCTCTTACGCTGAGTGAACATTCAATAAATATTTGTTGAATGCAATGCATGAGTAAATGAACAAACGAATGAATGAATGAATGAATGAATGAACCCCTTAACAAATCACCAAGAGGGGACCAGGCAAAGAAAACAGCAGAGAAGCACAGTGACAGAGCAGCTGAAGCCAATCCTGGAGACCCAGTCTGCCACATGCCAGGTAGCTCCATACCAGAGAGCCCTAGGGCCTATGGTAAAGAAAAGTGCTTCCTCAACTGCCCAAGCATGGCCCTGGCCCCACTCAATGCTGCTCTGAGATGCTCCACCATGTGAATGGCCCACCCTGCCTTGCTTTATCTCAGAAGGAGGTTGGGCACTCCAGAGCCCAAGAAAGCTGGGTCAACTATTGGCGGATACTTTATACACAAGGCCAAACTATAAGCTGGAGCTACCAGAGACCTTACAGGTAAAGTTAAATTCATCAGGGAGAAGAGCAGCAAAAGACAGAGCCAGGACAAATAGGTACACAGACCTGAGAAACCAACCACCAGGGAAGCCTGGGCTTCTGGCTGGCCACAGTCACCAGAAGATGGGAAATAGGAACTGCCAGCACTAACGACAATGCATGGGTGTCAAGGCAGCCTGTTTCGCAGAGCAAGCTAGAGAATGGGGCCCGCCCTGCTAGTTCAACCACACCAGGCTCAGAGTGCAGAGACCGTAAATACCCCTGCAGGAAAGCAATGTGCTTCTACTCACAGAGCATGTGGGTGGGTTCTGTGCAGTGTGGTGGCTGTCAAGCCAGCATGTCCACAATCACCTGGACAACAGATTGCTGGCCCCGTCCCCAGAGGTTCTGATTTAGCAGGTCTGGGATGGGGAGGCAATTTGCATTTCTTTTTTTTTATTTTATTATTATTATACTTTAAGTTTTAGGGTACATGTGCACAACGTGCAGGTTTGTTATGTATGTATACATGTGCCATGTTGGTGTGCTGCACCCATTAACTCGTCATTTAGCATTAGGTATATCTCCTAAGGCTATCCCTCTGACAATTTGCATTTCTAACAAGTTCCCAGGTGACGCTGATGCTACTGGCCCAGGGACCACACCAGTGAGCAGGTGGAGGGTGGACCTAACTTTGCAAACCAGGTCTGCTTTTCTGAATTCATCCAAAACATGTGAGCAGCTAGCAATCCTAATGAGCAGCCGCCACCACAATCAAAACCACAGCCAGCACCTGTTGACCAGACCCTATGCTGAGTGCACGCTGGAATAGGACTGCTTTTGTTTGAAACCTTGTTATCCTGGGAAATTTACTGAACCCATTTGTGTCTTAGTTTCCCTGTTGTAAATTGGAGACATTAGTATATCCTTAGAGGATTTTTTTAGGATTTAAAAGACAGAATTCATGTAGAAAGCTTCGAAAAGTGCCTGGCACATAGCAAGTGCTGGATGAATGGCATCCATAATTTCTGTTTGTCAACATAGCTTAGAGGAAGCAAAGTGGCAGTTGCCTGGGATTGGTAAGAGAGGAGCTCCAGGATGACCCCTAGATGTAGGAGGCAAGAGGGGAGAAGTTACTGGAACCCAGAAGCCATGAAGGAGTATGGGGTCTGCTACACGAAAGTTTCAGGTCGGGGAAAGAGCAGGTCGACAGTGACCCCCATAGGGAGGGGCCGAGGGAATCAATGCCCCTCCCTCCCCCACCCTCCCACTGGTGCTCCTGTTGCCCTCCCACTGGTGCTCCTGTCGCCCACAGGCAGAACCCAGCCGGAAAGGTCAGCTTTGCAAGGAAACCTCTCCAGAGCAGGGTGCAGACAGGTGCAGAGTGAACTGGAAGGGCACATGTGGGATGCTGGCACACTCAGAAAAAAGGCTCCACGTGTTATGTATTTACATTCCACTTGGAGGCAGGGTGACCCTGACCCGCTTATATTGGACATCTTCAGTGGAAGTACGGATGGATTTGGAGAGGCTCTGCAGGCCTGGGTGAGCAACCCCTCTCTAAACCACGTCTTGCAGCCCGAATGCCAGCCACACCCCAACAGCAATCTGGTGCTGGCATCCCCCACAAGGTGAGCCAGAGGGTCCTGGTGCCAGCCCAGCCAGGGCTCTGACACTGAGCCAACCGGATACCAACCTCAGAGGAACCAGAAGTGCTCAGTATTCTGTGGTGAACAAAAGAGCACCTTAGGGGTAACAGAAAAAAAAAAAAAAGGCAGGATGAATTCAGAGAGGCTAGAACATCTGCACGGCAGCCTGACACATGGAACAGTCAGGGCTCACAGCCTGACTTTGGCCCTGCGGCCAACTCTTTGACCCTGACAAAGTCCCCTCCTTGGAGCTTCCCTCTCCAAAGGACAATCACAATAAATCCTGCCCCTGCCCCCTGCCTCTGCCCGGATCTGCCTGATCCTTCAGTATCCGGGGGCTCAAGAAGGATTCCAAGATGTGCTAAGTCACCATAGGCTCCTAGGAGGAAATCACTAGAGCAGTACCTGGTATAATTGTGATTATTCATTATCTAAAATCGAACAGGATAAAGTACCACAAAATAACATACTGTAGGGAATGGATCTGCTGAGGCAATGAACTGAACTAAAATAGTTGTTATTAAACATTTTTCCAAGACTGGTAACTTATGATGCTCTCTATACCCATATTCTGGCTCTCATCTCCAGAACACTTGAAAGGGGCTGAGGACAGGAAAAGTGACATGAAAGAACCACATAGCTGGCTTTCCAAAAGGATCCAGATACAATGAAGTAGAGAAAATTCGGCAGGGAACTCACCATGGACAGAGAAGACTGCACTCTCACGGAGCGCACGCATTCCCTAAAAACTGCAATTGGAAGAGTAGAAGTAACAGAAGGAAACACAGAAAGGAACACATTCCAAGATGTGCTAGAATCATGGGCCCCAGCCTCTGTCTTCAGGTAAGATGTCATTACGCAGGCTCAAAGGGTCTAAGGGACTTACTGGGACCCACACAGTCAGCTACTCAAACTAGATATAAAATCCCTGTTCAAGCCAAAATATAAGGGAAACTGAAATAGGAGTTATCTGTTCAGTAGGTACATCGTATATTTAGTTTAGGTGTCAGGGGTCTGCAAAGAGGCTTCCAGAATCCCCAAGACCAAGCCCTCTTTGTCCTGAGGGAAAGAGGAACAGAGAACTTTCTGAGACGACTGGGTGATGATGGGGGATTGAACAATGTTTTGCGTTAAGAAACTAGCAAGATACCTCCTTACAGATTCCGCCGCTTTTCCAGCTTCACTCTATCTCTATCTTTGTCCTTCTTCCTTTCCAAGGAGAGTGCTGCATGGTAGACGCAGAGCAACTGAGACACTCAAACCCTTTGATCCCCGGTGTTGCAGTTCTCTCAGGGACAAAAATAGTCTCAAAAAGGACCTGTCACATGATGAGCAAGTTACAGAGCCTGGACAACAGCCCCAGTCTCCTGAATCCCACAAACCTCGTTCTAAAGTGGGTTCATTCACAAGCAGCTCACTGAGGGCAAATGAGATGAAGAATGGTGATGCCTGGTGGTTACTCACAATGCCACCCAGCTGTGGAACAACCACCCTGCATTACTCCCCTGAGCAGGCAATCTCTACCCATAGTTCATTTACTTATTCATTCATTCATTCCACCAACATCCACTAAGTCATCCTGTTGGCCAGGCATTGTGCTGCAGTGCGGAGACGAGACAGGCACGGAGCAAGAGCTGGGAAGAAGAGTTAATGAGTGCTGATCTAGGGCAATGTGGATAGAGAGAAGGAGATGGACGTAAACAGTGTTAAGAAAGTAGAATTAGCAGGATTTTGTCATAAATCATCTGAGATTGGGGCAGGGGAGTTGAGAGTAAGGGAGGCCTCTGGTCTGATTCCTGACTTCTGGCTGGGGTGAAGGGGAGAATGGCAGTGCCCTCCATGAGACAGGCAGACAAGGAGAGAAGCAGATGAGCAAATTGGAAGGAAAGGTGAGGAACTCAGTTTGGGTCATGTTGAATTTAAAGTGCCTGCAAAACACAAAGCAAGAGAAATCCAGCCAGAAGTGCAGATCTGGATGTCCCAAGATGTAGAAGAGGATGAGATCACCCAGGGACAGTAGGCTGGAGGCAACATCCCTGGGCGAGAAAGAAGAATCCACAGGAAAGCTTGAGAGAGAACAGTCAGGGAGGTGGGAGACGCAGGAGAAAGCAGAGCTTAGAAGCCCACAGAGCAGTGGGTATCAAGTCAAACGCAACAAGCAACAGTGTCTAGTGTAGCTGGCTGATTGGCCAGGTGAGATGAGACCAAGGAGAGTCCACTGCAGTGAGTCACAAGGGGGTCTCCAAGGCCACTGTCAAGAGCCACATCAAAGGAAAGTAACTGCAGGGATGGCCATGGAATCACTTCCCACTGCCCCCCACACTCCCAAGGCCCCAGTGTGAAGTTCAGCTGCTGGCACCAGCCATGGTACCCAAAGGAACACAGCATCCTGGCTCAGGCCTATGTCCTGGGAGATAAGCCAGCCCCAGCACTTTAGAAATAATGGTCCAGCACTACACACTTAGGAAGCCAAAGAAGGATGGCTTTAATGGATTTGAAACTCAAATCTTTGCTTTTTTTTCCCCTTTAGCTCTTTTCATATTCAGAACAGTCTAGATCCTTGACACCTATGTAAGGTTATGCATCAACTGCCCAGTGAAGCAGGCACCAATAGAACAGCTGCCTGGGACTGGATTCTCTCCAACACCCAGGCCCACACAGCCCAGAGCCGAAAAACTGGGGCTGCCACTTGGATAGTGAGCCCCTCACAGTCTCTCCTGTTGGAAAAGAAAGAGCTCTTGCACTTAGATGCATAGAAACCCAGGCCTGGGAAGGGAAGAGAAAAAGAAGACTGAGCCAGCAGGTGAGAAACAAAAGTGAAGGCAGAGGTTTCTGGAGCAAGGTTTCTTCCCCAGACAAATAATTGCCAGCAGGCTGCCTGCAGTGAGTCACGTCCTTTGTCCAAGTCACAGACCCAGAAAGTTCAGATTGTCCAAGTCCTTTATCCAAGTCACAGCCCCTTACGTTCTTTGTCCAAGTCTTCCTGCTGCTCCCCAAACCTCCACCTTCTATGCCATTTGCTGCCTAAGGGAAAAACATCTCTCCATTTTCAACAGCACGAATTCAGCACCCATGGGCATGTCTGGAAGGGGCAGCCATGTGGAGCTGGCATCCAGCTCCATCAACAGCATGATAAGGGAAGACAGGCATGGAGCTACCCTGGAGGCCCCTGAGAGAGCAAGGTTATAACAGGCAAAGTGTGAGGTTATAAGAGCAAAATGTAAGATCTGCACACAACCTCTTACCTCTTAAAGTCCTCATGCCCATTGTCTCCATTTATTTAAGGGGTAAGCCTACAGACTGAGATAGATGGGGATCATTTCATCCACTTTTCAGATGTGTAACTCTCTGCAGCAGGGTCAGGATCACGGGTTCTGGCTCTTGATTCTTGACTTTTTCTATGTTACTTGGTATCAGCTGAGGGCCCGAGGAACTGGAGTGAATGTGTAAGGAAAGTTGAGGCAGCTACTCCTTGGGGCTCAGGATAGGTCCCTGCTGCCTTGACTGGATTACGTGGAGTGCACTCCCGAGGTGGAGGTGGACCTGAAGACCTCTGAAAACTCTGATTTCTGCCGCTGAGGCAAAGCTGTAAGAAGAAAGTGGGGTGGGGTACAGGCTGGCAGCAGTTTGGTTAAGCCTCCAAGAAAAGCCACTGGAGCTGGCCTTGTGGACAAGGCCCCAGGCCCTGCAGTACTGGCAGTCCAAGCCATTAGTTTGGTTTTCTTTACATCTTCGAGTAGGGAGCAACTTATTTTGATCTATTTTTAAAATTCAATTTAATTTTTTCATTGACAAATCATAACTGTACATATTCATAGGGAATATAGTAATATTTGAATACATAGGATGTATAGTGATCAGGTCAGGATAATTAGTACATCCATTAACTCAAACAGTTGTCATTGCTTTGTGTTGGGAACATTCAATATCTTCCATCTATTTATTTGAAACTGTATAGTATATTATTGTTTACTGCAGTCATCCTACAGTGCAATATATAGAACCCTAGACCTTATTATAAAGAGAAAAGTTCATGGTTGTGTCGGACCCACAGCACACATGAGTAAAGGGACCTGGACCACGCTGGGAGCAGGGGTCATGTCCACTCTGCAGAGCCGCCCCACCCCAGAGCAGGACCCCAGGCCCTGAGTGCCCGCAATTAGGAGCCTTGGCCTCAGGACAGTTCAGATCTCTGGTCTGAGAACATCCCCCACTGCATCTTCTGCTCAGAGCAGCCAGTAATGGTGGATAAGGTCAAGGGAGAAAATATATTGGCTCCTCCAAACCCTAAAATACTCCTGCCTCAAGCAAGGTTTTTCAGGGGCTCCCTACAGTCTCTCTGCTGCCACTGCCTAAGCACAGGGCATTCTTGATTGTCTCAGGCAAAGCCCTCACTCCCCTAGCCCTTTCTGAGACTTATGCCGTGCCGGTTACACTTGTCTATGCGAAAATCTGTTACTCAGTTTGCATTGATTAAAAACCTCTCTGCAACTCTGACTTTGCCTGACTTTGCTCTTCAGCAGTGAACATCTAACTGGGACAGCTTAACTGCGGACTTGCTTTAGGTCAGATGGATGGTGGCTTTGACCTCAGAGGTATACTCTTCTAGTGGGATCCTCTGTGACTGATACAGCCTCAATCACTGAATTAAGAACGGGACCAACAAATATTCATTTAATTGCTAGCATCCATAGAACATTTTTTTTCATACAGGAAAGGTACATGTGGCCAATGATAGTTCATTGAACAAATAGTTTTAAGTCTCTAGCAGGCACCAGCTATCGTGGTAGATGCTGGGGTTCAGTGGTAAAGAGCATAAACAGTGTCTACTCTCACAAAGTTGATGGTTGACTTCTAGATGAGGAAATAGGGAAATAAAGCACAAGGCGATATGCGCTGAGACAGCAGGAACTGGTACTATAGGATAACATAGGAGGAGACTTGGATCTGAAGGTGGTAGCAGGAAAGCCTTCTTGGAAGAAGCGACATCCACACTGAGACCTGAAGAGAGAGTAGGAGCAACGAGTCGAGGAAGGGAGGTAGGCAGCTGAGTGTGGCTGGAGCAGAGGGAAGGGCTTGTAAGAAATGGGGATGGAAGAGGACTCAGGGGCATGATTACACAGGGGCTCCTGAGCCCGGGTGAGGAGTGGGTCATGATCCTAAGAATAATGGAAAAGCCACTGATGGGGTTTAAGGAAGGGAGAAGCATAATCAGGTTTCTATTCTAGAATATGCACTCACACTGCTGTGATAGGAGAACCAAGACAACATCTAAAAGATCACTGCAGAGATCCAGGCCAGAGGTGAAGAGACACGAACAGGGACGGCCACAGTGGGCCTGGAATGGGGAGGACAGATTCAGGACAAAGAGGAGAAACATTTCAGATGTAGAATCGCCAGGTCTTGTTATGGAGAAAGGAGAGAGCAGAGTTCAGGCTTGTGATTTTGGTGACTTATTACCAAGAAAAGTGAGAATGGCAGGAGCTGGGAAGAGGGCAGGACTCCGGAGGCAACCCAGCGAACCTGAGGTGCCTATGAGACATCTCAGTGAAGATGTCCCGCAGGCAGGCAGCTATGCCTCGCGTATCTCAGAGGAGAGATGTGGGCTGCAGTCTGAGAATGGGAACTGGTCATGACGCTGAGAGAGTGGATGGGGTCACCCGGAGACAGCAGGCAGAGAAGGTGACCAGAACCCTGCCTGGAACAAGCCCACAGCACCACAACTCACAGAATCAACGAAGCACATCAGCTGCAAAGTCAGGGCTGCATAACGTCTCTGACCCTAAAACTCGGATCTATCTTTACAAGACTCTCCCTCAACTATTCCCACGCCCGGCCTCACCTTAACATGTTTCTCACAGGAAACACACTCTCCCGCGTTCAGATGTCAGACCCTGTGTGTAGCTCAGAAGCTCCAGGCCGGTAATTAAACTTGTACCTCATGTCTCACATATTATGAACTACAAATCACACAGGATATGTATGTTTGTATATGAGCATGTTCTCCTGCATGACGCACCTACTGACTCAGAAGCGTGTACATATCCCCACACAGAAACATCCCGACACCCTGCAGTCTGTCTGGAATAGGTCATTTATATCTACTTTCGGTGAACATCAGAATTGACTATTCCCATTATGAACTATAAATTTTCTCCTAAAAGTGAAACAACAACTGGGCAGAAAAAAATCTTAAAGTTGTAACAGTAAGAAAAAGAAGAAAACATCTACCAGCTTTATGTCGTATCCCATTATCAAATGTAATCCTCATGGCCAGCCTATAAAATGGGATTTATAATCCCACAGGGATGAAAGTGAGATCCAAAATCAGATCTGACTATTATACTCTCCCCTACACCATACTGGGTCAACAGCTTTAATGTGGGAAAAAAGGGGAAAGAATACAAAAATTAGCAGGGCGTGGTGGCACACACCTATAATCCCAGGTACTCAGGAGGCTGAGGCAGGGGAACTGCATGAACCCGGGAGGCAGAGGTTGCAGTGATCCGAGATCGCACCACTGCACTCCAGCCTGGGTGACAGAGCAAGACTCTATCTCAAAAAAAAAAAAAAAAAAGAAGGAGAAGAAAAAGAATTCTAACAAAAGGAATAGTATGTGCTATATACAGGTTTATTTTCTTTACTCATTCAATAAGAGTAGTCGTCAATTTTCTACTATGTACCTGTGGGCGAAAACTGAACTAATGCATGTTAATAGAGAACATGCCTTAATTAGGGCCCTATCTACACTTCTGATGGGCTATAATCATTTGTGGAATCCTTTGACTGAGCCTCCCCAGAGAATTACTGTCATAACTGCTTGTCAGAGAGAGAGGAAGTCCTTGAATTTAATGTGACTATGGGAATTATAGTCTTTCATTTTCTGGGAGACCCAGGCTTGAAAGGCCACCACTTGGCTGGGCGCGGTGGTTCACGCCTGTAATCCCAGCGTTTTGGGAGGCCGAGGCGGGCGGATCACGAGGTCAGGAGATCGAGACCATCCTGGCTAACACGGTGAAACGCCATCTCTACTAAAAATACAAAAAATTAGCCGGGCGCAGTGGCGGGCACCTGGAGTCTCAGCTACTCGGGAGGCTGAGGCAGGAGAATGGCGTGAACCCGGGAGGCGGAGCTTGCAGTAAGCTGAGATGGCGCCACTGCACTCCAGCCTGGGTGAAAGAGCGAGACTCCGTCTCAAAAAAAAAAAAAAAAAAAAAGAAAGGCCACCGCTTTACTTTAGCTAACAAGAGATGATATTTCACAATACAGTGACAAATGGGGCCCTAATTGAGGAATTTGTTAACAGCCCTTCCCCTTATAGTGGCATTAGCCCAATTTGGCCTTAGCTGTACCACTCACACAGCTTATATTCTGCAGGATTTAGCGCCAAGAAGACGGGGAATTTAACTCAATAATTAAACCTCCAAATTGTCATGTCAGCCTGTGTATCTCTCTCTCCTACCTCCTATCCATGCCTCAGTTTCTCTCGGTAGGAGCACAGGGGAAAGTCACCAATCAGTCCAGTAATCAACATGTAGGAATTGAGCAAGGCTTGAGTGGTGTGTCAAGCCTGAGAGAAGCCTGAGACAGCGTGTCTATCTCGAGGGAGCCTCCCGTAGAGAATGACCACTTCTCTTCCGTGCCCCCATTCCCTCACACCTGTAGGAACTCCATGAGGCTTCATTTTCATTTGATAGATGTGGACAAACACCTGAGTTCTACATCCCAAAGCTGGGAGTGAGCCTGGAGTGCGGTAGGCAGCCTGTGGGTCACGAGGCTCCCTGTTCCTCCTGTAATGGGCCCTTCACATGGCACAGTGGACCTCTGGGCAGGGAAGCTAAAGAGCACTGTCTTCAGCTGCTTTCTTGACTCCACCTGGCTAACCTGAGGATGAATTGCCTGAATCAAAGGTGCCTTCCCTCAACTGTTCTGCTCCCGTCTCTTCCAGTGCCGATTCCACACTGTCACAAACAAGGCCCTGTACTTATCTGTTCTCCTTTCATATACTGTTGGGTAAGCCCAGATTACTAATAAAGCTAATCTTTCTTGAGTATTTACCATGTGCCAGACATGTGCTTTATGTGAAATAACTCACTTAGTCCCTATGATAACCCTATGGGATAATGCACCACTACCCATACATATCATAGAGGATGAATCCCACACACAGATAACTGCAGTAAGCGATGCAAGCTAGGAAGCAGCAGAGCTGAGCTTGAACCCAGCTAGCAGCCCCACACTAACCCCAGAGCCTGCACAATTAACCCCCACACAGAACTGCTACAGGCTGAGAAGTCGGTGGGCCTACATGTTTTAGTTATTTATTGTCCTTCCTGCCCTCCAGAAGAGCCCTTCAAATAAGCTGCTGATCAGCGCCCAAGTTTACCACTAAAGTAATTCCTCTGACAACTACAAAGCAAAACCGCTAGGAAGATGAGGGGATCTAACCCAGGGAGCCTATTACAGGGCCACAAGCTCCAATCAGTTATAGGCTCGTTTCCACACGTGGAAGTGTATCTTCCAAATCTCCAGGTGGGTAGGAGCTGGTGTGGAGCAAAGGTTAGGACAAGCCTGGGGTTGGGAGTGTGGACAAAAGAGAGGAAGGAGGCCATGTCAACAGCAGAGAGCATTCCAGCTCTGCTACTTACTGGCTCCATAATGTTGATCAGGATAATGAAACTCTGCAAATTTCAGTTTCCTTAATTGCAAAACAGAATTAATAAGAGTTGCTTTGCAATGTTGTTGAGTAAATTAAATAAGGCAATGTTTACAAAGTGACTGACACAGCACCCAACCCATAATATGTATGCTAAAATGGTAGCTCTTGCTATAGTGATTGCTACTGCACAAGGAAAAAGCCATGATAAAGACCCTGGGAAGCCAGTGGGTGCAGTGTGCAGCTGAGTGAGAAGCAGGAAAGAGATAAGGGAGAGAGACCACTTTCTCGGACTTGCAACTATTCTGAGGCCATTCATCAGCCATTTGCTATATGGCGGGCACCGTGTTGAGTAACATCATGGGTTGAATTGTGTCATCCAAAAACATGTGTCGAAGTCCTAAACCCCCAGTACCTGTGACAGTGAGCTCATTTAAAAATAGGGTCTTGGGGAGGAGGAGCCAAGATGGCCGAATAGGAACAGCTCCGGTCTACAGCTCCCAGCGTGAGCAACGCAGAAGACGGGTGATTTCTGCATTTCCATCTGAGGTACCGGGTTCATCTCACTAGGGAGTGCCAGACAGTGGGCGCAGGCCAGTGTGTGTGCGCACCGTGCGCGAGCCGAAGCAGGGCGAGGCATTGCCTCACCTGGGAAGCGCAAGGGGTCAGGGAGTTCCCTTTCCGAGTCAAAGAAAGGGGTGACGGACGCACCTGGAAAATCGGGTCACTCCCACCCGAATATTGCGCTTTTCAGACCGGCTTAAGAAACGGCGCACCACGAGACTATATCCCACACCTGGCTCAGAGGGTCCTACGCCCACGGAATCTCGCTGATTGCTAGCACAGCAGTCTGAGATCAAACTGCAAGGCGGCAACGAGGCTGGGGGAGGGGCGCCCGCCATTGCCCAGGCTTGCTTAGGTAAACAAAGCAGCCGGGAAGCTCGAACTGGGTGGAGCCCACCACAGCTCAAGGAGGCCTGCCTGCCTCTGTAGGCTCCACCTCTGGGGGCAGGGCACAGACAAACAAAAAGACAGCAGTAACCTCTGCAGACTTAAGTGTCCCTGTCTGACAGCTTTGAAGAGAGCAGTGGTTCTCCCAGCACACAGCTGGAGATCTGAGAACGGGCAGACTGCCTCCTCAAGTGGGTCCCTGACCCCTGACCCCCGAGCAGCCTAACTGGGAGGCACCCCCCACCAGGGGCACACTGACACCTCACACGGCAGGGTATTCCAGCAGACCTGCAGCTGAGGGTCCTGTCTGTTAGAAGGAAAACTAACAACCAGAAAGGACATCTACACCGAAAACCCATCTGTACATCACCATCATCAAAGACCAAAAGTAGATAAAACCACAAAGATGGGGAAAAAACAGAACAGAAAAACTGGAAACTCTAAAACGCAGAGCGTCTCTCCTCCTCCAAAGGAACGCAGTTCCTCACCAGCAACAGAACAAAGCTGGATGGAGAATGATTTTGACGAGCTGAGAGAAGAAGGCTTCAGACGATCAAATTACTCTGAGCTACGGGAGGACATTCAAACCAAAGGCAAAGAAGTTGAAAACTTTGAAAAAAATTTAGAAGAATGTATAACTAGAATAACCAATACAGAGAAGTGCTTAAAGGAGCTGATGGAGCTGAAAACCAAGGCTCGAGAACTACGTGAAGAATGCAGAAGCCTCAGGAGCCGATGCGATCAACTGGAAGAAAGGGTATCAGCAATGGAAGATGAAATGAATGAAATGAAGCGAGAAGGGAAGTTTAGAGAAAAAAGAATAAAAAGAAATGAGCAAAGCCTCCAAGAAATATGGGACTATGTGAAAAGACCAAATCTACGTCTGATTGGTGTACCTGAAAGTGATGTGGAGAATGGAACCAAGTTGGAAAACACTCTGCAGGATATTATCCAGGAGAACTTCCCCAATCTAGCAAGGCAGGCCAACGTTCAGATTCAGGAAATACAGAGAACGCCACAAAGATACTCCTCGAGAAGAGCAACTCCAAGACACATAATTGTCAGATTCACCAAAGTTGAAATGAAGGAAAAAATGTTAAGGGCAGCCAGAGAGAAAGGTCGGGTTACCCTCAAAGGAAAGCCCATCAGACTAACAGCGGATCTCTTGGCAGAAACCCTACAAGCCAGAAGAGAGTGGGGGCCAATATTCAACATTCTTAAAGAAAAGAATTTTCAACCCAGAATTTCATATCCAGCCAAACTAAGCTTCATAAGTGAAGGAGAAATAAAATACTTTATAGACAAGCAAATGCTGAGAGATTTTGTCACCACCAGGCCTGCCCTAAAAGAGCTCCTGAAGGAAGCGCTAAACATGGAAAGGAACAACCGGTACCAGCCGCTGCAAAATCATGCCAAAATGTAAAGACCATCGAGACTAGGAAGAAACTGCATCAACTAATGAGCAAAATCACCAGCTAACATCATAATGACAGGATCAAATTCACACATAACAATATTAACTTTAAATATAAATGGACTAAATTCTGCAATTAAAAGACACAGACTGGCAAGTTGGATAAAGAGTCAAGACCCATCAGTGTGCTGTATTCAGGAAACCCATCTCACGTGCAGAGACACACATAGGCTCAAAATAACAGGATGGAGGAAGATCTACCAAGCAAATGGAAAACAAAAAAAGGCAGGGGTTGCAATCCTAGTCTCTGATAAAACAGACTTTAAACCAACAAAGATCAAAAGAGACAAAGAAGGCCATTACATAATGGTAAAGGGATCAATTCAACAAGAGGAGCTAACTATCCTAAATATTTATGCACCCAATACAGGAGCACCCAGATTCATAAAGCAAGTCCTCAGTGACCTACAAAGAGACTTAGACTCCCACACATTAATAATGGGAGACTTTAACACCCCACTGTCAACATTAGACAGATCAACGAGACAGAAAGTCAACAAGGATACCCAGGAATTGAACTCAGCTCTGCACCAAGCAGACCTAATAGACATCTACAGAACTCTCCACCCCAAATCAACAGAATATACATTTTTTTCAGCACCACACCACACCTATTCCAAAATTGACCACATAGTTGGAAGTAAAGCTCTCCTCAGCAAATGTAAAAGAACAGAAATTATAACAAACTATCTCTCAGACCACAGTGCAATCAAACTAGAAATCAGGATTAAGAATCTCACTCAAAGCCACTCAACTACATGGAAACTGAACAACCTGCTCCTGAATGACTACTGGGTACATAACGAAATGAAGGCAGAAATAAAGATGTTCTTTGAAACCAACGAGAACAAAGACACCACATACCAGAATCTCTGGGACGCATTCAAAGCAGTGTGTAGAGGGAAATTTATAGCACTAAATGCCTACAAGAGAAAGCAGGAAAGATCCAAAATTGACAGCCTAACATCACAATTAAAAGAACTAGAAAAGCAAGAGCAAACACATTCAAAAGCTAGCAGAAGGCAAGAAATAACTAAAATCAGAGCAGAACTGAAGGAAATAGAGACACAAAAAACCCTTCAAAAAATCAATGAATCCAGGAGCTGGTTTTTTGAAAGGATCAACAAAATTGATAGACCACTAGCAAGACTAATAAAGAAAAAAAGAGAGAAGAATCAAATAGACACAATAAAAAATGATAAAGGGGATATCACCACCGATCCCACAGAAATACAAACTACCATCAGAGAATACTACAAACACCTCTACGCAAATAAACTAGAAAATCTAGAAGAAATGGATACATTCCTCGACACATACACTCTCCCAAGACTAAACCAGGAAGAAGTTGAATCTCTGAATAGACCAATAACAGGCTCTGAAATTGTGGCAATAATCAATAGTTTACCAACCAAAAAGAGTCCAGGACCAGATGGATTCACAGCCGAATTCTACCAGAGGTACAAGGAGGAACTGGTACCATTCCTTCTGAAACTATTCCAATCAATAGGAAAAGAGGGAATCCTCCCTAACTCATTTTATGAGGCCAGCATCATTCTGACACCAAAGCCGGGCAGAGACACAACCAAAAAAGAGAATTTTAGACCAATATCCTTGATGAACATTGATGCAAAAATCCTCAATAAAATACTGGCAAACCGAATCCAGCAGCACATCAAAAAGCTTATCCACCATGATCAAGTGGGCTTCATCCCTGGGATGCAAGGCTGGTTCAATATACGCAAATCAATAAATGTAATCCAGCATATAAACAGAGCCAAAGACAAAAACCACATGATTATCTCAATAGATGCAGAAAAAGCCTTTGACAAAATTCAACAACCCTTCATGCTAAAAACTCTCAATAAATTAGGTATTGATGGGACGTATTTCAAAATAATAAGAGCTATCTATGACAAACCCACAGCCAATATCATACTGAATGGGCAAAAACTGGAAGCATTCCCTTTGAAAACTGGCACAAGACAGGGATGCCCTCTCTCACCGCTCCTATTCAACATAGTGTTGGAAGTTCTGGCCAGGGCAATCAGGCAGGAGAAGGAAATAAAGGGTATTCAATTAGGAAAAGAGGAAGTCAAATTGTCCCTGTTTGCAGACGACATGATTGTTTATCTAGAAAACCCCATCGTCTCAGCCCAAAATCTCCTTAAGCTGATAAGCAACTTCAGCAAAGTCTCAGGATACAAAATCAATGTACAAAAATCACAAGCATTCTTATACACCAACAACAGACAAACAGAGAGCCAAATCATGGGTGAACTCCCATTCACAATTGCTTCAAAGAGAATAAAATACCTAGGAATCCAACTTACAAGGGATGTGAAGGACCTCTTCAAGGAGAACTACAAACCACTGCTCAAGGAAATAAAAGAGGACACAAACAAATGGAAGAACATTCCATGCTCATGGGTAGGAAGAATCAATATCGTGAAAATGGCCATACTGCCCAAGGTAATTTACAGATTCAATGCCATCCCCATCAAGCTACCAATGACTTTCTTCACAGAATTGGAAAAAACTACTTTAAAGTTCATATGGAACCAAAAAAGAGCCCGCATCGCCAAGTCAATCCTAAGCCAAAAGAACAAAGCTGGAGGCATCACACTACCTGACTTCAAACTATACTACAAGGCTACAGTAACCAAAACAGCATGGTACTGGTACCAAAACAGAGATATAGATCAATGGAACAGAACAGAGCCCTCAGAAATAATGCCGCATATCTACAACTATCTGATCTTTGACAAACCTGAGAAAAACAAGCAATGGGGAAAGGATTCCCTATTTAATAAATGGTGCTGGGAAAACTGGCTAGCCATATGTAGAAAGCTGAAACTGGATCCCTTCCTTACACCTTATACAAAAATCAATTCAAGATGGATTAAAGATTTAAACGTTAGACCTAAAACCATAAAAACCCTAGAAGAAAACCTAGGCATTACCATTCAGGACATAGGCGTGGGCAAGGACTTCATGTCCAAAACACCAAAAGCAATGGCAACAAAAGCCAAAATTGACAAATGGGATCTAATTAAACTAAAGAGCTTCTGCACAGCAAAAGAAACTACCATCAGAGTGAACAGGCAACCTACAACATGGGAGAAAATTTTCGCAACCTACTCATCTGACAAAGGGCTAATATCCAGAATCTACAATGAACTCAAACAAATTTACAAGAAAAAAACAAACAACCCCATCAAAAAGTGGGCGAAGGACATGAACAGACACTTCTCAAAAGAAGACATTTATGCAGCCAAAAAACACATGAAGAAATGCTCATCATCACTGGCCATCAGAGAAATGCAAATCAAAACCACTATGAGATATCATCTCACACCAGTTAGAATGGCAATCATTAAAAAGTCAGGAAACAACAGGTGCTGGAGAGGATGTGGAGAAATAGGAACACTTTTACACTGTTGGTGGGACTGTAAACTAGTTCAACCATTGTGGAAGTCAGTGTGGCGATTCCTCAGGGATCTAGAACTAGAAATACCATTTGACCCAGCCATCCCATTACTGGGTATATACCCAAAGGACTATAAATCATGCTGCTATAAAGACACATGCACACGTATGTTTATTGCGGCACTATTCACAATAGCAAAGACTTGGAACCAACCCAAATGTCCAACAATGATAGACTGGATTAAGAAAATGTGGCACATATACACCATGGAATACTATGCAGCCATAAAAAATGATGAGTTCATATCCTTTGTAGGGACATGGATGAAATTGGAAACCATCATTCTCAGTAAACTATCGCAAGAACAAAAAACCTAACACCGCATATTCTCACTCATAGGTGGGAATTGAACAATGAGATCACATGGACACAGGAAGGGGAATATCACACTCTGGGGACTGTGGTGGGGTCGGGGGGAGGGGGGAGGGATAGCATTGGGAGATATACCTAATGCTAGATGACACATTAGTGGGTGCAGTGCACCAGCATGGCACATGTATACATATGTAACTAACCTGCACAATGTGCACATGTACCCTAAAACTTAGAGTATAATAAAAAAAAAAAAAAAGAAAGGAAAAAAAAAATAAATAAATAAATAAAAATAAAAATAGGGTCTTTGCAGATGTTATCAAGTTAAGATGAAGTCATATTGGATTAGAGTGGCCCCTAATCCAACAAGACTGTTGTCCTTATAAGAAGACGTATAGACACACACAGGAAAGAATGCCCTGTGAAGATGAAGGCAGAGACCAGATGATGTGTCTATAGCCAAGGAAGGCTGAGCATCGTTGGCCACCACGGGAAACCAGAAGAAAGGCAAGGAACAGATTCTCCATGAAGACTTCAAGAGGAACCAACCCTGCTGGCATCTGGATTTCAGACTTCTGGCTTCCAGAACTGTGGAAGAAGACATCTCGTTGTTTTAAAGCCACCCAGTTTGTGGTACTTTATTACAGCAGACCTAGGAGGGTAATACAGGTGATGAAACTACAAAGATAAATTTTAAGAAACAAAGTTCCTGTCCTGGAGACTTTAGTATTCATTTTATCCCAATAAAGTAGCTGGATGAGAGTCCAGATCTAATATTGATGGCCTAGGGTCAAGCTTCCGAAGAGCTATACTTTGTTAGACAAGTACATTGTCTACTGGGTCCAGCTAGGAACCCACGCCTAGGGATAGTTTAGATGCGCAGGGAGAGTGAGGTGATGGCTGTCCCTGCCACAATTATGTCAGGCCCCTGTCACTCACACGGCACAGTACTGGAGACTGTGAAAGTGAGGATGGCAAGATGGCGGTGGAAGCAAGAAAAGACGTCCTGGAAAAAGGAAAGCTGGGCTGGTGTCTCTTCCTAGGCTTCTTCCAAATTCACCATTCCACATTCCTGCTGTTAATTTCTCCACCCTTTCTCTTCACATTTTAAGTTTGTACTCTGGTTCTTCTCATGCCTTCGCAGCCTAGCGGACTAGAAAAAGCATTTTGGTGATTAGAAAACCAGACTTTGAGCTCTAGCCTCATCACTTACCAGCTGTGGGATTTTGAGCAAATAACAGTAACTCTCTGTGCTTCAGTTTATTAATCCATACAATGGGGATATATGTAATTCACAGCATTGCACACAATGCAATGTAATAAGCGAGCATTTTAAGTTCTACAAGAAGGTCAGAGCTCTCACTATGCACAATTCCTAGACCTTATGCAGAGAAACACTGGTCTTAGACAGTACAGATCAGGATATACCAGAAAGTTGGCACAAAAAATAAAAACAATAAATGAGATGCTACGTTTAAAGGAGGTATAAAGAGCACAGACCCAGGAGTCCACAGGATCTTGACCCCAACACGGAAGAGCTCTGTGATATTGGACAAGTAGTTCCTATCTCCTGACTTAAGTGATTTGAGTTTCCACCCAACTTTAACATTCTATGACTTTATGAAAATACGCACATCAAGCTGTTTGCTCAATATAAAATTACACTTTAAAAAGAGATCTTTACTTATGGGCCACTCATTACAAATATGGGAAAAACTGTGATGCTTGAGGGAATTCTTATAACAAGTGAAGTAAGAAAAGACATTTGATGTGTGAAATATCCAGTGGCTATTTTGGCTGGATAATACTGGAGAGGCAAATCTCAAACACTCCTCTCCTAGCTATTCCTATTAGAAGTCTAATACCAGAATATCAGAAAAAGGGATTGGAATCAATTGGAACAAAAACTAGTAAAAATGGTGAGACAACCCCAAATGAAAAGGTAGCAGCCAGTTTTCATCTCTTTTTAGAATAACATAAACGAAGGTGACTCAGATTGCAATCGAAGAGGTTGAGCTCAGACTTCAGGGAGAACTTCCGACTACTGAGACACTCGAGGAGTTTGGGGAAATTCCCTTCTCTGAAGCTTTTTAACAAGAGACCAAGTGGCCAACAATGCATCTTCGGTTAGGTGGTTCTCAGGGACAGAGGCATGGACAGAATGACCTTTCAGAGGTCCCTTCTTGCCTGTGCTCACTCTATCTTGTTACTAAGCCAGTTCACAACAGCACCACCTGCTTGCTTCTCACACACAGAGGCTGCTTTCAGTTACCTTGGCTGTTCACATATTTTCAGGCTGCCCATTTTCCCCCTGCTGGCAGAGTAGACTCCAAGGTGTAAGGACTGTTTTTACAGATTTTTGCATGTTCCACACTGGTATGTGATAATCACTTCACATTGCAGTTAGCAAAGAGGAGGAAATGAAACCCACTCCTGAATTGGAGACAGGAGTGTTGTGTTTCACTGTCTTTGACAGCCAAAAGCCAATTTAGGACTCTGAAAAGCCAAATTAGCCAGGCAAAAAAAAAAAAAAAAAAATTGGGTATCTTCTTAATTCTCCTGAGCTCACTTAAGGACTGAAATCAGTGTTTGCGGAGGGAGGAAAAAGTCACATGGACTATGGTTTTATGGATCATTTCAGCTACAGAAATGAGAAAGTGGGAGAATACTTTCAGTTTGCACTTTTTTGGCAAGACTCCTAAAAGCTAGCAGGATAATAATCATAAACGCTTATTGAGAACTCACCATGTATAAGGCAATGTTCTAATTCCTTTGCATAAATTAACCCTTTTCATCTTCACAACAATCTTAAAAGGCCCAGAGACATTAAGCAACTTGCTCAATGTAGCAACACATCTACTAGGTCCAGAACTGGATTGAAAACCAGGAAGTCTGTCTCCATAGCCTACTAGTTAGTGTACACACTCTGCAGAAACAGACATAGATGAAGACCATCCTCAGAGAACTATGCCTGGTTCCTCCTCTTCCTCAATTCCCTAACCCCTGTAATAATGGGACCACATTCTTCAGCTGAAAGTAACTTCCTGAGGAGAAAGATCTATTAGCCAAAACCACCAAGATACACCATGCAAGAAGTCAGCTCAGTTATCCCCATAACTCACTGCAACCCCTAATCTCATTGTCACATTGTAGGATTTTTTCCAACCTGTAATTATTCCCTCTCCCTGGGCCAGCAAGTCAACAGAACATTCAAAAAAAAAAAAAAAAAAAAAAAAAATATATATATATATATCAGTTTCCAAAGTGACTCTTTGCTAAAACTGTTTCCCAACTCCTGGGGGCTCTCCTTTGAGGTGATAAAACCCTAATCAGGGAGTCATCGCCATAAATAATGCATCATGCATCAGACTTTCACCAAGTATCAGTAAAGCAAGCAGTAGCTCAGGAGGGTCCATTATCCCCCATGGTTCATAATTGGGCATTGTGATTAATCCATTTATCTGCTATTCAGATGAGCACTCCATAGTAAGAGTCGATAATTACTGAATATTGAATAAGTACATGAATAACCAAAATGTACCCATGATTTGACTGGCTTCAGCACCTTGATTCCCAGAATATTTACCCATTTTGAGTTTCAAAGGTTCACAGCAACTAAGTACAGCAGACAGGTGGGGTGGGAGATAGGAATCCCAATTTCCAGGAAGCCATGAGTGACTAAAGCCCATTAGGCTCAAGAGTTTGTTCACAATCACATACATCAATTCAGTCAACATTTATTAACATTTATTACTTATTGTGTGTCAGGCCCACAAATTCAAAAAAAAGTGCATTATCTAATAGACATATAAATAGACACACAAAAAGCCAATTATCTTGCAATAGGAAAAGTGAGAGACAGGCGTTAGGAACACATAAGAAAGGGTAATGCCCCTCCCTGGGGAGAGAGGATAAATGGCAGATCTGGGAAGCCTGCCCAGAGGAGGTAACGTTTGAGCTGGGTCTTGCAGGTTGAAAAAGATTGTTTTCCAGAGAGAAGAAGGAGGAAAGACCGGCACAGGCAGAGGGAAGAGTATGCACAGAAGCATTCACATATGCAGTCGGAGGTCTTTTCCAAGAATTGCATGATGCAGGTATTGATGGGCTTTGCACACCATGCTAAGGAAACTGGGCTTTATCTAGCGTCCTGTAGGCAATAGGACAGCATCCTAAGTTTTTAAAGAGATGCCTGATCATGAGCAGATTTGTGCTTCAGAAAGCTGATCCAGTACAGTAGGATTATGAGGCTTGATTAGAGAAGAGGACAAACAGTTCAGAGGAAAGTGCCTTAGTGAGGGCAGAGGTGAGATGATGTGTCTTGGGCACTGACAATGGGCTGAAGAGGAGAGTGGGACTGGAGGCTTTGCAAATGTTCCAGAAGGCCACAGAGGAGGTTTCTCATGACACCTAGGGAACAGGGGAGAGGGAGAAGAGGCTGGCAGAATGGTGATTCCCTTAGCCGAGGAAGAGAAGCATAGCTGAGTGATCAGGAGAAAGCGTACATGGAACTAACACTATTGCGTGTTTGCCATGTGCCAGGGGCTGTCCTGGCATTTCCTTATACCCATACCTGCCCTATTCCATGAGGAGAATCAGCTCAAGTTAACAGAGAAGGGAACTGAGGTCAGAGCGGTTGAAGAGTGCCCCCAGGGCCACCCATTGCCAACAGTGTCCAGCAAGCACGTGATGTTGATGCTCTCGTACCCTAGCTGGGTACTTCGCTTTGTGGAGGGAGGCTTTGGTCAAAATGTAAGTAGTTTTATTCTTCACTTGCTCCCTTCCTGCCCAATGGTTAGAGTATCTCTCCGTAGCTTTAGCTTTTGAACGAACACTTTCTCCCATCCTTGCCCACCTCCATCACTGCATCTCTCCCTTCCAAAGTATTCCTCTCTGCCCACTCCTCATCTACTCCCATTCACACATGGCATCTTGTTAGAAATAGCAAGGGCAGGGCAAACAGCAATGAATCAGAAGTGGGGGCAGTCTGTGTTTCAGGGCTGACTTAACCCACCAGAAGACTTTCAGCAATTGCTTGACCTCAGCCTCGGTGTCCTCAACTATAAAATGGGTATAAGAAATGAATACTAATCTTTGCTTATCTCACAGGATTGTTGTGAGGATGGAATGAGATAAACAACAAAAAGCAGGAAAAGGTGGCTACAGGATTATCCATCATAGTTGTCCATGAGACTGTGAGCCCCTCCAGAGGAGGGACCAGGTGGTCCTCATGTTTGGAACTTGGGTACCTAGCTTTCCTGGTACAGAGCCGGTGCTTGACAAAGAGGTGTGGAATTCAGAACTAGGACCACTACCACGCTCCCCACCACCCACTGACACACGTGGAGGCGTGCTCCTGCCGCTCTCATCTACCATAAATGCAGGCAAGTCCACAACACCCCACTTTTGGAAGTGCTGCTCTAGTCCTGGCTTATTCCAAAAACAGCCAGTTCCTGGAGGGAAACCAAGTGATTGTCACGCTGCCTGGATGCCTCCGCTAGGCACGTTTGACCAAGTCTGGGTTCTACCCCTTCTCCAGGGAAGTTGCTAAGAACCGATCCGCCAACCTGGCTCACACCCCTCCAAGGAGCCCCAGCTGGGTCTGTCCCTCCCCGCACCGCCTTGGTGCCCCGCACGCGACGTGGTTTTTTGTTTGTTTGTTTTGTTGTTGTTCGCAGGAGCCCGGCCGCCCCTACTGCTGTTTTCATTGATGCCTTCAGCAGAGCTGGCATGTGCAACTGCTGAGAAGGGGGAGCGCGGAGCGGCGGGGGAAGCAAGTAAAAATAGACTGGCGCGCGGCGCTCTGCCTGCTCCGGACGCCTTTAACCCTCGCCGAGGCTGGGAGAGCGCAGCAGCCGCCGCTGCACACTGCGGAACCTGGCAGGGGTCTGCACCCAGACCCCGCGCGGCAGCGGGGGTAGGAGGCAAAGGGAACCGCAAAAACTTTTTCTTAGAAAAATGAGCCGGGGGTGGGGTGAGGTGGAAATGCAGGGAGGAAGCGCCTTCTCGCTTCCAGGGCTCCAGCCACCTGGCAGAGACCGCTACGTGCCCGCTCGCTCCACACTTCACAGAAGCGCGGCCTTGAAGCCCTGGGCTATTTTTAGAAACCCTTTCGGCGGGTGGGCGATCAGAGGGCGGAGGGTGAGGGGAATGGTAAGGATGGCTTTCTGCTGGGAGGCTAGCCGCCTCGCACTACACATCATTCCGAATGTCTGCTCTCAGGTGGGGGCTGGGGAAGAGGAAGTGGTGAGGGGACGGCGGGCACGCAGGCTTTGCCCTAACTCAAGGAGACAGCATTCGCTACTGAATGCCCCGCTGCGTTCAAGTCCCGGAGCGTGTTTGTTTTGAAATTGACAATTGTCAGATGCATGCTGCTTCTAGTCTCTCAGAGAAGGGGGATTTATAAAGCTTTGCTGCCTACGCCGTGGGGTAGGGGTTTTAGCGCAGAGTTAAGAACTCGAGGGAAGAAGACCAGGAAGGGTCTCTCTACCTTTTTGCATTCCGGCAAGACAGAGGGACAATCCCCGCGCCACACCCCCATCCCCGCCCCCCGCTGCATATGGGTAACCATATGTGAAATGTGCGGCAGCCCCACCAGACACCCAGCTATTAATAGAGCCTGGGAGTTTGCTCTCTGTGTCTTTTTCCTGCCACTGAGTAAGGGATGATCTTCACACACATGCCCCACTCCGCCCCCATCTCGGCGCACCGTTTCTCCAGGAAGGTAAGGGGGCTGCCCACGCTGATCCCCTTCGTGACTACAGGTGCCCAGAGCCTACGGAATAGTCCGGTTGTTGTAATGACAGCGGGGTCAGAGGGAGGCGAGGGATCACAGCCTCGAGTCTCGGGACGCAAAGCCCAGCAGGGCTCTCTGCGGCTCAGGGCCAGCTGGAGAGTAGAGAAAAAGGCTGCCGAAGGCGGGGGCCGAGAACACAATTTGCGGAGCTAGAGCGACCTCCTCAAAAGCCCTTGCGGGACGGGTGGCTGCAGACCCATTTCTCACTGCAGCCGGCGGCGCGCAGCCCCCACAGTCCGCGCAGGCTCGGCTGCTGCAGGGGCGGACGCTGTCCCTGGTGCTGAAGGTGGCCGCGGCCCGTGTGCCCTGCCGGGTTTAGCTACCCAGAGGCGGCTCTGATATCTGAGGATTGCAGACTTCTCTCTGGCCCAGATCTGGGCCGGAGGGTCTGTAGGAGGTGCCCGAGTCCTCCTGCCGGCTCGGCCCCCGCGGCCGGGGGCTCTCCGCGCGGCTGCGGGGACGGAGAGCTCGGGAACCGACTCGAGCTTGAAGGGTAAAGCTGAGGCAGCGGCAGGAGACGGTCAAGGCACTGCAGGGGGCAGACCTGGCCCCAGGATTACCCACCCCAGCTCTGCACAAAGCCGGGACCCGGGAGCCCTCACGGAGCCCAGAGGAGAGGGCAGGGGAGCGCGGCTGCCCGGGGTTTGGGACTTGGGGGCGGGAGAAGGGAGCAGCGGGTGGCAGGAGAGGGTGATGGGGTGAGAGTGACTGTTTTGCATTTTCAAGAGGGAGGGGACCTGAGACATGAACTTCCCCCCCACCCCCCACCAACACACACACACACACACACACACACACACACACACACACACACACACACACACACAGGAGGAGGCCGGCAGAAGCGAGCGGGATGAAACTGGGGAAAGTTTGGCACTCGGCGCTGAGCGGCGGCGGCGGCGCGGTGGTCCGGGTGGGCGGCGGGGTCTCCGAGAGCCCCTGCTCGCTCGCCTCCTTACCTCGGTGCTCTCGGCCGCGTTCTCCGCCATTTTCCTCCTCAGGAGCAGGCAGCGGGAGGAGTGTTTCATGCCCATAAGAGCCGGCAAGGGTTTGGTGATACCGAGATAGTAGAGGAGGAGAGAGAGCTGGTGTCGCTTTAAAAGAGAGAGCGAGAGGATGGGAGAAAAAAAAAAATCCAACCCAGCCCCTCAGCTGGAGCGTCGGCCGGCACAGTCAGCCACAGCGGAGTCTGTTCTGCAGTCTCCACTTTCTTTTATTTTCCTCCCTTCTCATCTGCTCCGGATTCCTTCACACGGTTTCAAGTTCTTCTCGTGCCCCCGACCCCCTCCCCGCCCCTCTCCACCCGCGCTGCGGGCTAAGCTCGAGGGAAGCAGCCCCGAAGCCTCCGCGGCGGCGGCGGCGGCGGTCGCGGATCCTCTCCAGGCTGCTCGCAAAGTCCGGCCGGCCGGAGGCAGCCGCCAACTCCTCTCAACTTCTGCCGATCCGCTGGGCGAAGCAACACGCTTCCTGCGCGTCTCTCCTAGGGGCTGAGCCGGGTGAGTGGGGGCGGGGTAGGAGGTTCGCTGGAGCCGGCGGCGGCTGGGCGCAGACCGAGGGCCCCCAGCGCCCCCGGGCCCGCCCCCTCCCCTAGTCTCCGAGGGTCTCGGCCGCCTCCACTCCCTGGCGCTGCACACAACTTACGTGGAGGCCAGGCCCGCGCGGGGGGCCCAGAGAAAGCCGGCGCCGGGCGAGGCTCTTGCAGGTTCTCAGACCCGGTGCGCGTGCTCCCACCTAGGGCGAGGTCCGGGCGAGACCGGGCCACAGTTAACTCGCACCCTCCCCACCCCGGCCCACCCCAGCTCTCCCGCTCCTCTGCCAGTTCCTGGATCCTTCCTCGGCGAATTACGATTTGGGGAACGAAGGGGTGGGTGTCTGGATGGGGGAGGGTCCTTAACTCCTTCAACTCTAGGGGTAAGTGTGGTGTCATTCTTTATCCTTTTCTCTCTCTCTCTCTCTCTCTCTCTCTCTCTCTCTCTCTCTCTCTTTGTACCCAAAGCCCTTGGGACTCCAAGCCCCTTTCAGGCTGAGAGGGAGGGGCAAAGGTGGCGGCCAGAGTGGCTTGGGAAAGAGGGTGGGAGAAAGTCAAATGCGAGACTGCAGTGCCCCCCCCCCCACTCCAGTCTTCCCTGGCAGCCCCCTGCCCACGCATTTCTCTTCTCCCTCCTCACCCTTCCCCCACCATCGCCAGATTTTGAAGTCCCTTTTATGGGAGAGAGGGAGGATGTCACGTACCCGTCAGGATTCTCTTGATCCTTTTTTAAGGGAGTTTGGGCGGCAGCAGGGGGTGTGAATTTTTATACAATGCATTCCTGTCTTCACTTTGAGAGCTTCTTTTTCTCTGTTTTACTGGCCATCTGTCGGGCAGTGGGAGATAGAACAAAAGCGGGGGACCCCATTCTGCCTCTCCCTTTGCAACAGGACACTCAGGCTGACTCCTTAAAACAGCTGTACTTTTAAGCTTTCAACCTACGAGTCAAGGACTGAGACCTATAAGATGCTCCCTGAGCACCCGGCTGTCTTCACTTCATCTCTGTACTTGTTTGGGGAGGTCCCTCCCAAATGCCCTATTTGCTTTTTATCATCACCTTCGATAACTGGGAAGTGTGAGCCTGACTGTCCTCAACTAACCCCAGAGTCCATTGAAGAAAAGGTCTAGAATCATTCTCAGTAGGAAACATGCCTCCATCATCTGGTCCTCGGGCAAAGAGAGGATACATTGCACTAAGTAGAGGTGAGAAGTGAGGGATAGAGACAGGAGAGGATGAAGAATGAGAAGGATGAAAATGTAGCAAGAGGCTTGAGTGTGTGTGTGTGTGTGTGCGCGCGTGTGTGTGTGTGTGTGTGTGTGTGTGAAAACTTGAATAAAAAGATGACCTTAACCTCCTTAACCTTTTCCCTTCTCAGAACACAGACCTGGGTTAGAGTTGGGGGTGAGTGAGCAGAATCCTTGACAACACCCAGTCGTTCCTCCCGTTCTGTCAACATGCAGAAAGTGGTAGGAAAATAAATGTGAATCTGGAGAATGACTTTTATCCTATTGAATTCCCTTTTCTCTAGGCATCTTCTCAGAGACAAAAGATTCTGAGAGACATCTAATTCCCTACCAAAAGTGTCTCAGTGTTTGTGCAATCAAAGGAAATCAGAAAAGAAATGATCCTCACCGCTCTGTGGTCCAATCCTCTCATTTTACAAATAAGGACCCCAAGATTGGAGAGAGGAGGACATTTGCCCATGGTCCATCAGCAAGCAGAGGACCCAGCTCCCCAGCCTCCTGACTTTCAGTCCGACACTCTGCCCCCACCCAACACTGCTTCTGCTTGTGCATGCCTTCTGTGACTAACCAGGGAGGAGGGGAGCTGAAACAAGCTCCCACCGAAATAGGCTGCTGCCTGTGCGTGATTATGTTGCTATGAGAACCTCAGTGGGTGTGTTTCCTCCTTTCGCTGTTGAAATCTTTTGCTTTGCTTGGCTTCTCCCCAAGCACAGACACGTCTCCCTTTGGAATGGGGAGTGGAGAGGCTGAGATGGAGAGCTATATTTTCATGGCAAGAGTTTTCTGTCCCAACCCATCCAACCCAGAGCCAGCCTGGGGCTGTGAGTGAGGAGCCTATGCCACTAGGGTGGTTCCATAAAGGCTGGAGTACAGGAGTGAACTGTTTTGAAAGTGGATACTCTAGCCCCCTGTTGAGCTGTCTTAGAACAAAGAGGTGCTGTTCCTGCTATGTAACCACCTAAGAACAAATTCACAAGCAAGCTAATTATTACTTTAAGAGACGAAGTTTGGGGTGATTTGTTATACACCAAGAGATGACCTGAACATTCACATCTTATGATTGTGAAAAGTGCCTAGCACATAGTAGGTACTTTGTAGAACTATTTTCTCAGCATCCCTACCATTCCTGTGAATTCAGTCTTTCTCTATCTCTTTTGCAAAAATATATTAGCATAGTCTTTCACCAGGTTAATTAGTTTAGTCATCCCACAAATAATTTACTAGGCATCTCTTAAATGCCCAGCTCATTAATAGGCACTAGCCTTAACAAGAGGCAACAAAACATATTGAATTGACCATTGATGAGCTCTTAATGTAGTCATGTTGGATGCTTTTACAGGTACAGATCTTCTGTAGAACTCTTAAGGAGATTTTCATGGGAGGCAAGAAAACATGTGGGATGATAAGGGGTTCAGAGAGTTCACTAGTGTGTGAGTCAAATGGGTAGTTTGAAACAATAGACCCTACCAGGTAAAGAGGTTCTGAAGACGCATTTTATTTATGTAATTTTTCTTATACTAGATCTTCAACACAACAAAAGTAGAGTGCTTAGAACAATGCCTATCTCATGGCAAGTGCACAAATATTATGTCAACATTCGCTAGGCCCTGTCCTAGGCACATGAGTTAAATTTTATAGAACACTTGCTAAGTCTTATAGAACACTTACTATATGCCAGAGATTATTCTTGACCTACCTGTGTTCTCATGTAGCCCGTTCAACAGCTTTTTGAGGTAGATACAATTATCCCCATATAACAGATGAGAAAACAAAAACACAAGGAATTGCCCAAGTGGTAGAGGCAAGATTCAAATCTAAGATACCTGATTCCATAGCATAAACCTCAAGAAGTTGACCAGGTTCAGGGAGCAAGACAGTGGTTCTCAACCTTGGCTATACAGTGGAATCATCTGGAGAGCTTTAAAAATACCAGTGCTTTAGTTCTACCCCCAGAGAGTATGATTTAGTGAGGTTTGGGCATCAGGATTCTTTAAGCCTCTAATTCTAAGGGACAGTGATGATTGGAGGACAACTGGACAAGAATATCTGGAGACAAAAACACCTGCAGAGGAAGAAGATCCCTAAGTTACAGAAGATCCAAAACAAGAACCCCACACTGTAAGGAGGTCTATCTCTAACTCACAGGTTCTTGAGAGGCCTGGACTGGAGGAAAGCTGTGTTGATGGTTGGGATGAGACCCTTGGGGAGGGTTACAATTACAAAGGTTATCCAGCTTTGTGAGATGCTGCAGAAGAAGTGAGTTTCCTATTACTGGAAAGGCTCAGTTAGATTAATTGTTGGCGTAAATGATGTAGAGGCCCCACAAACGCCAGAAGGTTGAGCAAGCCCTCTGAGGTTCCACCTGCCTTGTGCTGGGACTCTGTAATTCTGTCTCCTGTCAACTCTGAGCCCATGCTGGAACCCCAGAAGGTGAAGACTGTACCATACTTCATCTCCAGGGGCCAACCAACACTTCCTTTTGCTGCTGCCCAAAATCCCAGGCCCCTAGAATCAGGAAGCAGCATTTTAACTGCGGACCATGCTGCCTGGGAAATCTCAGGCTCTAGCTTGTTCCAATGGTCGTTGCTGCTGAAAGGGGCGACATATTATGTGGTTTTCTCCTCCTCCTCCCAGGGGACCTCACACATGGCCAGGGTTCACATATGGCCACAGCACACTGCAGTGAATCCACGACTCCTCGAGAATCAGGCCAGAGCCATGATCCATCACCACCTCATGGCAGCTACCCCAGCAGTGTTCTTAGTGTCTTCTGGGCCAGATGGGAGCCAAGCCAAGGCTGCAGCAGCCAGCTACCTGGCTGAGCCTCCAGGCAGCCCCACACCTGGGCCGTTCTCCTACACAAAAGCCTCTGTGGTCCTATTCCTCCCTAACCCAAGGCCCAATATTTTTAAACTGCATTCCAAAGAACAACTCGCTGAGTGCCACCAATACCTGCAAAGCAATATGAGGTGGGATTTTTCTTTTGCCATTAAAACCAGAATGTTATTTCTTCCTTGCTCTGATAATGTCTGATTAAATCAATTCACTGCGGTTTTGTGCTGGATATGATACTATTTGCTTTAACAATATCTGGGAGGCATTTTCTTAGTATAATACTTCTGCATTTATAGCTTAATCCTGCTGTTTTATTCTAAAAAGTTGAATACTCTTGTTACCTACCTTTCTCTAAGGATGAGAAAGACCCAAAAGATTCTGTTGTGCTGCCACAACAGAATTAGCTTTTTCTACTGGGTGGACGTTGTATACTCTACTCCTTTCCTCCTTTTTAAATCTTTCATTAAGGCTCACCTTTTTATGGGAAATCTCTCTGGAATCCCTGAAAGCCAACTGGAAGCCATTCAGTCTTTCCAGTGCAATAACTTAATACATATTTTTTTCTGTTAACTTTATATGACTATGGGCCAAGCAAGTGCTAAGTATTCTGGACTAAAAGGTGAAGAGACTTATCTCTGCACTGGTGACCCTTATCTTCCAGGAAGAGTTGGTTAAATGACTAACTCTAATATACTAACTGTTATAATAGATTTAGGTACCATCGGGGGTCTTATGCATTGGTTCTCATAGGTTAAATATATATATATAATATAATCAATGGCTTACAGTCAGGTAGGCCCTGCAAGAAGTATCTACTGATATGGACCGGGAGACCCTGGAGGCTGTAGGGCCTCAACCAGAAGCATGGTAGATTCCAAGTGTGCCTGGAGACACATTCTTTTTACCAAGATACCAAAGTTCTTGTATGCCTTGGAAACTTTTACAGATGAGAAGTTTTATAGCCTTTTCTCTCCAAATGCACTATTTACCAATGTCACTTGTGGCATAACACATTGTCATCTGCCTTAGCATAGGGCTGACCTCTGGTGCGTCAGGGCAACCCGACCTGAAAACGCATAATGAGTGGAGGTGGTAAAACAAAGCTGTGATTGAGTCCACCTTTTCCTTTCTGGACCATGTAACCATTCTGATCCCTTTCTTCTCAGGGGATTTTATTTTAATTTAAACTTTGCTAGATTTTTCTTTCATTTAAAACTTCACCCCCTTAAGGTAATATTAACATTTTACTGTGTACTCTTCTCTATTTTTTGCTCATGCAAATATATATAAGACCTAAGTTATATATATAAAAGTGTGTGCTGTTGGTGTATGCTGTATATAAATGGAATCATGTTATATACATTACTCAGAAACTTGCTTTCTTCATTAAACAGTGTATAATGGGCCTCTTTCCAGGTTACTACATGTAGATCCAAGTTATTTTTAAAAGTGTATAACATCTCACTGTATGGATAAACCATACTTTCCAAACAATTCACCTACTGATGAATTTTCAAGTTCTAAGCAATATTTTAATAAATGAGTTTTAAATATACCCTTATGAACAGAAGCTTTTATTTTCATATGATAGTTTCCCCCAAAGTGATATTACCTTAATATCCATTGCCAGTTCCTCATGAAATTGTAATTTCTAAGACTGTAGCTGGAACAATCAGAAGGTGCAAATCTAATTATCTTTCCCTTTCCTACCCAACATCGCCCTGGATCACGCACTTGAGGAGGAAGATCCATGAAATAAAAGACGTAATCCTGTTTTAAATGTGTTTCTATAGCAAGAGTCTTCCAATGCCTGGGGAAAGGCTCATGAGAGATGCTGAGACCTGGGGCATTCTTTCCGAGAGGTCTTTACAGAGAACAGATCACTTCCAATTGCTGGGCAACAGAGCATGGATTTCATGTTACCAAGAAGTACTGTGATCCGAAAAACTTAAGATTTTCTTAATTGGCATCAGTTACCTGTCTCTTAGGTAGAACTACCACAAAGGACACTCAGGCCTGAGGTGCACCCTCTCTTTCCTTTCCTTCCAGAGGTTGTGCCTGCAGGAGAGCCTGGATTGATAGCAGCCTGCCACCCCTGCCCATACCAGTGCCTAGTAGAAGCCCACTCCCTCAGAAACCACACTCCCCACTCCCCAGAAGGTCTTGTTTGACTCCCTTTTAAACCAACATTTTCTGTATTCAGACTTGCCTGTAATAAGTGACTTACCCATTGCCCTCAACCTAAGGAAGCCTTGCCATTTAAAACCTCCCAATGGAGCCTATCAAAGCGTGCTTCAAAGTGTGAGGGAGGCTGAGAGAGGAAGTAAGTGAGATGAAGGAGGCGTTTAACAGAGCCTAGGAGAAAGAGCTTTGTGGTCTTACAGAACAGTAAGTTAACCTCTCCATCTGTGTACAAACAGCTTAATGGTGATCACTGCCTGGCTAAGGGGTTGTGAGGACAAAATGAGCCAATGCAGATGAAGCATCTGGCACAGTTCCTGGGACATAGTATTGTTAACACAGGTGAGTTTCCTTTTCTTCAGCTCGTCCTAAAAGACCGTATTTAACCATAGCAGACAGAGACACAGAGTAAGAAGGAGAAAGAGCATGACAGCAGGGGTCAGCGTGCCTGTGCACTACTAGTCCCAGCTCTGTCATTTAGCAGCCAGGTGGCCTTAGGAAAGTCATTTAACTTTTCTGGGCCTGTTTCCTCCTCTTTAAGAGATTTGCCTGAGACAAACCCCGCATCCTCCTTCTGTTTGCCATTTCATTCATGATGTGGATTATGATGCTAACCACCTCCAAATGACAGCAAAGACTGGTCAGAGGCATCTCAAATCAAAATTCAACTCTGATGGCCAAAATAAAGGCTGAAGAGCAGAACGCCCCCTCCTTCCCACTGTAAAACTGATGGGAAGGGAAGTCAGCCTGCCATCAGTTCAGGGGTTTACAAAGGAGGCCTGTAAGTAATGTTAATTACTGTGTTCATTCCAGCACTGGGCTCTAGTTTAGCTTTTCCAGAGGTCGAAAGAGGTGCCATTTTTTAAGAGCCCCATTTGGCTCCAGCAGCCTCAATAGTAGTAGCCAAGCAGCCATTATAAGTAGTCATCACTCGATTTCCTCATCACTTGTCAGGAGGCAGAGCTTGATGGGGAAGTCAATGAATTTCTCAGCAATACAGGCTACTGGGCTGTAAGTCAGCATAACCCCATAGCTCTCAATGATCCATGTCAATACATGAATGACACAAATCGCAGATTATTGAAAAAAAATTGTTCTTTGACTCATTGTATGTATTATGTATTTTTACATGCAAATAAAATTTCTACCTGTCTATCAATTCTTGACTACAAAATATATTCAAATTAACGGGCTGCTCAGACATACGCAGTGATGGCGACAGACCATAGTCCTTAAAGCAGGGGGCCAGGTTGCTGGAGAAGCCAGCCAGAGTCCTCATCTTACCAGACACAATCTACTCTGTGGCTTATTCACCTATGGAGAAACAAAAACCCATGTTTATCCCAGCGTACCTCTCAACCTCAAGTCTCAATAAAGTGGGGTTAAGGACCACTCAAGTTATTCCACAGGAAAAAAAAAACTATCATGGTTAAGTGACATTTTAAAATCACACAGCAAGAGAAGAGTGGTTTCCATTTCTTGGATCTTCCAGGTATCCATTTATTTCCAACACAGCTGTCATTTACAGAGGGAAGGGCTTTCGTCTCCAGGGATGGAAACCCTGCAGGCAAGTATGAGAACTGTCTCCTGTGCTGTGCTTCTTTCTGCCTAGGGCCTCGCAGACGGGAGAGGGAGCCTGGTATCATCAGGAGAGTGACCACAGGCCAAGTACCCACTGCGGACCGGGTGCTGTGCTGTGTGCTTCCCGTGGAGCACACCCACCAATCCCCACAGCAGCCCCAGGCATTAGTTACATGGTTACCCCCATTTTACAGATCACGGAAGGATGGCTCAGAAAGGTTGCTGAACTTGTCCAGGTCACACAGCAAGGTGTGGGTCTGAACCCTGCCTAAAAACCTTGTCTCCTTGACACCAGCGATGGCACAGACCTCAGAGCCACACAGACCTGGCCTTAAATCCAGGCTCTGACAGTTAACTGACTCTATGATCTTGGACACGTTGCTCAACCACTCTGAGCCCCCAAAATTCCCATTTGCCGAGAGAGATGGGCCTGGTAAAACCTACTATTATGGGCTGCTGTAAATTGCCTCACCCAAAACCAGGCTCATTGTGGACCTCAGTAAATGGGAGTGATGACATGTGGCGTATGGCTGAAGGTGACAGGCTCAACCCAGCAAAACTGCATCTGTTGTTCAACTCTCAGGCACACATACAAGTGTAAAAAGGACACCCCAGCCCCAGAGGCCAGAGTATCTGTCAGCCTGACAATGGCTCTTGACAGGGCAACTCCACTTAAGTGACACCTGTCAACCTGTGTTCTTGCTGCAGCTCTTTCTTTCACATCCACTTAGTAACTTCTCCAAGTGCTGTCACTCCAGCTTGCACACCATATTTGCAGGTGTTGAAGACATAGCTTTTTATTTTTTAACTTCTAGAAAACTGGGCTTACATACTGCCCAGATCTGCTATGCAACGACATCAGGACTTAGTTAGTGCATCCTGAGCAAATGTGGGCTTCATCACAGGAAGGAAGGAAAGATCTAGCACCTTGGCAAGTGGCTGGTGGAGGAAGGAGGAGGAGAATAGTATCAGAACAACTTTGCATATATGCCCCAACTCTTTTCCAACCTACAAAGATGGTCTTTTCTTTTCTTCCTTTCGCCTTCTTTTTTAAAACCAATCTATTGTCATCTCGGGCAGGATAGTCCATGCTACACTGGGATTAATTTAAACTGAACATCTGTACCTTTTCCTCCTGGCCCATAAAACAAGTCCTGGAAGATTCAAGTCAGAGTTTGTGACTGGAGGGCTCTGAGCAAATCTTGCCCTTTTCCTTCAGCCTCATTTTATCTCAAGTTAGCTGAGACAAAGATTGGGCCTCTCCCTTCCTTTCCCCGATTGGATAACAGAGTCCCTGAAGCCATTCTCATCACTATCCTTTTGCAGACAGACTTTGGCACAGACTTTCTAGTCATGTAGAATCATAGCCTAAATTTGGTTGCATTCGAAGGGAAGAGCTTGGGCCTGTGAGCTTCTGGGCCACTTTGGTCCATCAGCATCTCAGGAGAGCTTCTAAGGATCTAAGAGGAGCTCAAGTATCACCAGGCCATGACAGCTAGTGTCACACCATGTAACAATTGTCCAAAGTTCCTCTTCTGGGCCCCTCTTGAGACAAAGCTCCCCGCCACCAAGGACTTCCAGGAGACCCTGCAGGACCACATCATAGGTTCACGTCTTCTTCACCTCTGGCTGCCCTCAGTCAATACTCCATAACCTCGAGGTTGCTTTCAGAAGCCCTGCTGTTGCTCACATTAACAGTGTCCCTCATGAGGTGGTCGAGGGCTATGCCAGGGCTGCTGCATCCCAGTACTCTCAGAGCTGGATGTTGTGCAGAATTAGATGAGCCCTAACCCCACTCCCTGTGTTCAGAGTTCCAAGGCTCCTGGAGAAGCGCCCTTTCAGTTTCTGGCCCTAACTCTTCCATTCCTCTGTAAGGGCACAAAAGCCAGTGTCAGGGTGGAGTGCAGATGACACCCCTTCCCCTCTGTTGTCTAGGTCTTTTGCCCCATCTTCCACTCACAGGATAATAAGACAGACTTGTCCTCTCTTGAGCCATAGACAAAAGTGCCCATAAAGGTCAATCCATGCAAGGGAAGCCTTGGGGGAGGAGAGAGGGCACCTGTTACAGAGAAAGCACTGGGCTGGCTGCTCTCAGATAGTATGTGGGGTGGGCAGCCCTGCCTCTCCCTCTGGGTTTCCCTGGGAAGGGGATTTCCCAGCAGTGTGCCTGGGCCATGGTCTGTCTTCTGCATTTGGTCAGGCAGATAGTAGCGTTTATCAAATATCCACAAAAGAGTGGACCCACCTTCAAATCAGTCTCACATGCATCCTCCCATGTGAACTCCCTGTCCTGGCCCCTCCTCTAGACCGCCACCACCTCTTGTGGATATCAGCTCTCAGAGGAACAGCCTTTCCTGTTTATTAGCTATCAACACTTAGCTTTCCCAGAGGGACTTCTGTTTCAAAAGGAGATTCTGGAAGAAAGCCTCCTAAGCTCAAGTTACAAGAGAAAGAATCTCTAATGGTGGGAGGTCAAGCACCAGTTACAGGCTGGTGTGAGCATGATTTTGGGGGTGGAAGTTCACCCTGCACTCTTTAAAATCATGTTACACTGGTATTTAATTCTGCCTGCCAGTAAGTTATGCCGTGGACTATAGGCATCAGAGAAAGCATGAAGCTATAAGAAAGCGGTGGGGGGAGGAAGCACTGAACTAAAGTCAGGAGAATCAAATTCTAGTCCCAGCTCTGCCACAAGTTACTGGAGACCTCAGGGAAGGTGGGTGTCAAGAAAAAGACCCCTGAGAAATGGGGGTGGGGAGTGGTTAAGGTATGCTTCTGCCCTTAAAGTCCCTCGTATTCCTGGTTTTCATTTCTTCCTCTATAATGTGAGAAGTTTGGACAAGTTGAATTTGTCACTTTCAACTCTTCCATTCTAAGATTGTGAACCCTGTGACTGGCATTCAGAGTACAGATACTGTCCCCAGTTCTTGGAACAAGCAAGGGGGAAGAAGGAAGAAGTACTGGGAAAGCCTGTGCTCTGGGGCTCAGGCACTTGGGCCTCAAGAATAACCAACCCTACCTACCTTCCAGGTTGTTTTTCTTTAAAAAAACATTTTTTAAGCTTTAATTTAAATACCGCCTTTTCCCCATGAAGAGCTCAAATGCTCATGGTCTTTGGGCAGAAATCATCTGTTTTAAAATATGGCATTCAAGCCAGACTTGCAGAGAAGGTCTTTCTAAATAGAAATTTTAAAGAAATATGCCCATCAGGGTTTGTCCATTATCCATGTCCATGGAAGAGGCTTGCTGATGAAATGCATCTGTGGACTGCTACTTCTGGGTATCATTTTGCCAGGCGACCCTGAACAACAGCCTGTCCCTCTCCCATCCTCCCCCTCACACGTTTTAACCTTTTCTACCTCTACCATAGTTTCCTCTCATTCTGCTCAGCTGGTTTTAAGTGGGTATATAGTGCCTGATGCATGAAAAAAAAAAATCTGAGAGTAGAAACTGACACTAACATGTAACAAATAAAAACTCTCTACAGCAGGTTCAAGAACCAAGAGGCCTTCTTATTCCTAGGCAAAGATGGCATAAGGCCAAGGGCATTGAGTGCTCTTTATGGGGTGGGGAAAATTCTCAGGCTGGCCCTTTCCATAAGTCATAGTGGGTCTGCAGAAGAGTGACTTAACCCTTCTTGGTCCACAGCAAGAAATGCAGGAAAGCCTTCCCAAGAGATGCTACAGTAGCCGCTTCTTTAGGGGAGTATTTTTTTTTCTTAAAAAATTGAGACGATGGCTATCTGAGGAAACTGGTTCAAATTCCATCCTCTCCAGTGCCAAGAGACAGGACATAACAGCTTCAAGGGCTTCTTCTAGGTTGTACATCCTATGATGACAATAAAAGGACTAAAAAAAATTAGCCAAGTCCATGGGGCTTTTTTGAACACAATCAGTTAGGCACAGTGTCCAGTCTCCTTCCTATCTGGAGAGCCAAGGGGCAATGGCGGAAAAGCCAAGAGACAGATGCCCACCCAGGTGAAGGAAGATCGAGGGGGCTCTGTTTCATGGAGGGCCAGGCCCAAGTGAGAGCTGGGGGGAAGCCATTGGGAGGCATGAACCTGTCCTGGGAACATTAGTCCCACTTGGTTTTCTCAAACCCAATTAGGCAGAGGACAGAAATTTGAGGGGAAAGAATTACTTTAATAACCTACGAATTTTTAAAGAGCCTCCAAACTATCCTCTGTGGAGAAGCCTGCCAGGGAATCCAGGCCACTTCCCAGTCAGAGCCTGCTGTACCCTGACTCTGACTCTGGTCACCCGTGAGGCCGCCCCTTGGCCTCCTCTTTCTCACACCTACCCAGGAAGCTTACCCAGGTGCTTACAGCAGCACGTACAGCCTCCAACAGCAACTGTTACTTTCTTCCTAATGCTTCCCTGTAACTTTTATTTTTTAAAACTAACTGTGGAATCATTGACCTAGTGACTGATTTCAAGTAGATGCCAACCTTGGGACATGATGGTGATCTCAGGCCCCAGGAGGGCAGCTTGCACTTGCCCCTCTCTATTTCTTCAGATTCCCTGAGGATTGATAAGCTGGAGAGAGACCCTAATATTTTCCATTAATAACAGGTGACCACATGAGCTAATACCCATTGGTAGCTCCTGACTTCAACTTTTTAACCCTTCTGAAATATTAGGAAAATTCAGATTCTAGGGAATGGAATAGGCCTTTGTCAGTGCAAGAAGAAAGTGTATCTTCTTCCTCTGCTGCCTTAGAAGCACCTAGAGAAGCTCAGGAATATATAGTCTCCTTTCATGTCATCTGAGGGAAAGCCAAGGTACAAGGTTCTCTTCTGCAATTCACCCTTACTATCAAGGAAGCAGTCACAACCAGAAATGAACCATGGCTTCCTTCAGAAGGTGGAGGGGCCCAAGCCAAGGTTCTGTAGAATAAATCCCTGCATGGCCTGGCAGGGTGGACCACAGGGTATCATCTATAACCTCATGATTAGATAGACAGACAGATAGATAGGTAGGTAGATAGATAGATAGATAGATAGATAGATAGATAGATAGATAGATAGATGATAGGTGGATCAATAGATATAAATATATGATGGATAGGATGAAGACTCCATTTCTTTCCATTGGAGAGTTCAGTCTACTCCTTTTCATTAATTATGTGGCTACTTCCTCTCAACTCACCCAGGCCCTGTCCTGTCCTCAAAGTCCGATTAAGTTTCCAAACCTTTCCTGGGCCTCCCAACCCACAGGAAATCTTCTTTTTCTTCTTTACACTCTTAGAGCATTATAGATGATGCCACCCATTCTGACACCTCATCTTATAGAGGACCATCCTCCCCTAGCCAGCAGTTACATCCAGCTACTGTGATTATACAGAATACAACCTAAGAGAAAGGAAGGAAAACATCCTCAGAAAGGTAGGAGAATATTTATTCCATTATTCATGCAACACCCAACCACCAAACCAGAGCTTATTAACTTTGAGCTGGATATAAAGTTAAGCTTGCTCATAAAATAGTTCTCTTGTTCCTCCAAGTCAATCTTCAGTCTTAATGGTTACAGCCCATTCGGGTACAGGAGCAGTGGGGACTTTATGTAATGAGAAACGACCGCCAGTGGTTTGGAAGGAAAAAGCACCAACAATCGGAAAAGGTTGAGAGATATTCAAGGAAGGGCGAGTTTGGCGCACACTATCAAAAAGAGATAAAATTGTGTTCTGTGAATTCTTTTTTAGGAGGCAGAGGAGGGTATCTTTTTAAAAATCTCTATCAGAAGTGTTCAAATAAAATGTTTCAGAACTCAACGTCAATAAGACTACATGATGCAAGAAAATCCAGGTGCTTGGGACACCTCACGTCCAAGCCAAGACAAAGAAAACTCAAGCCACCTCCCCCTTCCTTGCTGTACAGGTGCTTGGCTATTTCAGGTTATACCTCTTGGTTTCTCACTGTAAGCTCCAAAGGACAGGCCATGCCTTCTGTTTCATTTCCCTCTCAATGCCCAGTCCAGTGCGGAGCACTTAGAAGGTGCCTACACACTCGTTAAGTGAATAAACGAATGAATGAACACCTCTCAGTTCTGATTCCTTCCTCTAATATTTTAGTCCCACTGGCTTTTATGACTTTGGAGAATGACCAGGAAACAGGTTTCTAAAAATAATTTTTGAACTAGGTAGCCTTGTTACTAGACCACAGTTTCAAGAGCGTCAGTTGGTCTGCAGCCCCCCAGTTCTCATCACCCCAACTTTAAGCTTCTCCTCATTCCCATCACAATGATAAAGAAAATGAGGTCTCGCCTATAGTCAATCACACTCCAGGCTGACCCTACAAATAGAAGTTCCCAAACAAAACAGTGCAGGATACGGATTCTCTCTAAAATGCTTCCCAATTTCTCCATGGCCTGGACCTTGTGGGCCCAGCTCTTGAGGGGCTCTCCTCTCTCCACCACTCACTAAGTGGACAGACTCGAAGCCCAGTGCCTACTTAGCTCACAGTCTTGCTGCATGCATAGATGCTCACATCCAAACCCACAAATGTAGCTGCAGACACTTTGACAGGTAGACAGGAGAAAGAATACAAGAGGCTGCTGTTGAAGTTCCCAGGGAAGGCATCCTTCCACTGGCTATTCTGATTTAGCCCAACCTGAAGAGAACTTTGCCTAAGAAAGCTTTTTTTGCAATGACTCATCCAGTCCACCTTGTCTCATGACCTTTCTGCAGAGCGACGAGCAAAACTCCTATCCTAAGAGAGAGAGATGGGAGAGGGAGAGGGAACACATGCTTGCTAATGAGCCAGGGATGAGGCTCTTGTTGAAAGGCCTAGAGCACCTGTGGGCCTTCTGGACAGATGCAGACCAGCTCGCAGGCACTTCCCTGGTTCACTGTTTATGTACCTGCCAATAACAAAACCTAATTCAAGCAGAAAATCAGATTCCTTGAAAGAAATGGTCTGTCTGAGACCAGCAGACGCAGGCTCCCAGTACCCAACAAGCCCACGTGTCTGGCACCCTACATAGAGGAGAACTCACCCTGTTTTAAAGACCTCTGCGGAAAGGTTACAAACGCTCAGATTTCCAAAAACATCTTGACTTCTAGCAAGGAGTGTTGGTGTGTGTCTGGCCTAAACCACTCCCACTTAGAGCTGAAGCTCCCTTCAGATTGCTTGGTTCCCAGTAGGGCTAGAAAGTGTCTGGCTCTCTGCTCTGGAAACTCAGTGTTTAGAGGGAAAATGAAGTCATTTTTATTATCAGTCTTAGGACCTGTTACTCAAATGAGATTGTCCCTCTATAAAGGTGTCCAGATCCTAAAGGCTCTGCTGAGTTTCCAGCCCAATGCTATTTCTTAGCAAATTATAAGAAAGGCAACTTTGAAAGCTCTGACATGGAAAAGGTGTCTATAAACAGAATTGGAGGCATAGAATTCCTGACTCCTCAGACCCTTCTCCACATACATCATACACCCACAGGATGTAGAAGAGAATGAGCATAACAAACAAGAGTGTTCTGGGACACCAGGCCGCCTTCCCCCTCCCTCCCCAAGAATCAGCAGCCGAGGCCCCCCATCCCAACCCTCCCCCTCCACACCCCACGGTACTGGAAGGGAGGCCCTGCTCAGGCCCTTTCAGGACAAGGAATGGGGAGCTATCTGCAGAGGCCTTGCAATCTGCCTCCACTTCTGTTACAGACCAAAAGTGGCGAATACCCCAGTGATGTCTAACAACTCAGGAGGTGGTAGCGTTCTCTAGACATAAGGACGCTGCGGACAGAGGGCTGGTGAGCCAGCCTGACCCGGATCCCGAGGCAGAAAAAGTCCCCAGAGCTCCCTCTAACTAAAAACAGGCAGGCTCACTTGTGATCTGCTGGAAAGTAATGTTCTGAGACTCTCTGTCCTGCCTGAAAACTGATTTAAAAACAAAACCTAAAACCAGTTTGGTGGTAAAAGTCAGTCCTTATCTGACAGTCCCTGGGGCAAATGTCCACGATTCTATCAGCTAGCCAGAATAAGAAATCGTGCATTTCCTGTGGGACTTTTTTCTGCCCTTCCCCTCCCAAACTTCCTCTGCCTCCTGCCCACAATGTCCCCCTCTCCTTCATGACTGCCACCACTCCAGGACCTCCAAGCCAACCCAAGATGTTCCACGGCCACTGGGTTTGGTTTGCACTAGGCGAAGTGAGGGCCCAGCCGCCTCCTGTTAGACTTCCCTTCTTTTAGTGGCCAGGCAGTCAGCCATGAGATCTATGATGAGAGTCACCTGTCTGCTAATTCTACAGGTCACCATGCTGCTAGGAGCCTGCCCTCAGGGAGCCTCACAGTGTGAGGGTGGGCTGGATGACAGCCACCGTGCCTGAGAAGAGCAGAACAATAACCAAGAAACAATGAGAGCAAGGGCATTTAAATGCCATCTGGATTTGAATTCCATGTTTGTTTGTCCATCCAGCAAATGTTCACTGACAGCCTAATATGTCAGGTCCCATGCTAGGTGCTGGGGATATGAAGATAAATAAGACATGATTCCTACCCTTGAGGAGATTCCGTGCAAGGGGAAGAGCACATGAGAGGGAAGGCAATTGCAAGATGAGAAAGTGAAGGCCTTATGGGGGCAAGCAGACTGCTTTGGAACCTTTAGGAGAAGCAGCTCATCTTGCTGCTTAGGAGAAGCTTCCAGCAGGTCATTCCTGAAGGGAATCTTCAGTGACTGTGAGGGGTTAGTCAAGCAAAGAGGAGGAAGGCCAGGGGAGAGCATGGAGTCTGCACAGTGTCAGCTGGTGGAGATGAGGCACAGCTTCTCTGGGGAGGACAAGCCCCTCAGGATGACTGGAGCAGAGAGCATCGGGTGAAAAGCCAACAGGAAGAGACAGGTGGGGGATGGGCTGGGAGCAGAAACCATGGGTCCCGCATGCTGGGTGGCTGCAGCAGAGAAAAAGGCAAATGGAAGAACAAAGGCGCAAAAGTGTGCATTTTATCCTCTTTACACTCGTGAAGCAGGCAGGGTACCCCCATTATACACAAAAAAACACAGAAGCTTATAGAGGCTAAGTAACTTACTCAAAGTCACACAGCAAAAATGCTGCCAGGATCTGAACCTGGGCCTATCTGAGCCCCTCTCTCCAAGTGCAAGCCCCTCACCGTGTGATGTGAAGGGACTTGGATGCCCCACTAAGGAGTGTGGACTTTATCCTGAAGGCAGTGGGGTTACCCTGAAGAATCTCAAGCTGGAGGAGGGCAGGGCATGAGCCAATTTGCATTTGTAGAAGCTCATTCAGGCAGCTGTGTGAATGGACTGGGGGAATCCACAAACCCAGAAGAGGAAGAGTTGAGTGGCCATTGTGTTAACCCCAGCAAGGAATGGCAGGGTCTGGAGTGGATGGGAGCAGCAGGGATGAAGAGAAGGGTGACCTCCACAGAGATTGAGAAGGTGGGCAGACGGGACAATGACACAAGGATGGGGTGTCGGCCTGAAGGAGAAGGAACTGCCCAGGATGAGAGGGAGAAGCAGGGAATACGCCCAGCTAAACTAAGGCGGGGCTGGGGCTCATGGGATGATTTATTTGGCCAATTGGGTGGTTGGAGACAATATTTACCAAGATAGGCAATAAAGGAGCAGAATAAAGGAGAGGATTTGGGGGTGAGAGAAGGAACTTTGTTGTGGGGGTGGCCAAGAGGAGATGCCCAGGTGACAGGTGGCCGTGCAGACCTGGTCCTTAGGAAACACACCTGGGCTCTAGATCCCAGTGGGGAGTTGTCAGCAACACAGGGGTCGTTGGGCCTTTGAAGAGAATCAGCTCACCCAAGGAGAAAGTATTGATTGGGAACTGCAGAGAGCACAGGACTCTGGAAAACTCCGATCTTTAAGTGAGGTGGGCAGAGGTAGAGGCTCTCAGGAAGAAGGCTGAAGAAGACCAGCTAGAGAGGCAGAGGAGAACCAGAGGCAGCACCATTGGGGAAGTCGAAACAGGAGACCGTTCTGGGTGGAGCGATCAGCTGCATCCCATGGAGAAGCCTGGAGGTCCGTGAGGCCTGAGAAGCCGTGTCTGTTGGGCTTTATGATCCAAAGGTCAGCAGGGATTTCAGCCCAAGGGGTTGCATGGAATGTTCTTGGGGAGAGGGGAGCTGTGAAAGTCAGATTGTGAGGGATGAGAAGTGAGGGAGGGGAACATAAAGACAGTGCATGCAGGTGATGCTTTCAAGAACTTTCTACTGTATATAGAAGTGATGATGAGGCCACAGTTTCATAGGGACAAAGGGCTGAGAGGAGGTCTTGTTATAATTCCATTGAAAGCGCCTGGGGCATGTTTGAATGCCAGTGGGGAAGAGCTGGAGGTGGGGTGGGAATGGCATGGTAAGGGAGATATAAAATACGAGAACTGGTTGGTTTGGGCACCACTGGTAGAATTCCCCTCATATTTGATCCTGGTCCTTCCCAGCGCTTCCCCAAGACCTGGCTTCTGGAACACAGCCCCTGCCTGCCAGACACTTTAGCCTGGCCGTGGCTCCACAGCCTCCCTAGTTCCCTGGGTGGTGAAGAGAAACATGGAGCTTTGGACCTCCCATTCATTTCCCTCTCTCCACCACAGTCAAGCAGCTAAGTGTCCCAGGCTTCTCCATGCACCCTGCATATGGAGACCGAGATGCTCTGACCCTCCTATCCCTTTGAGTCAGCCTAATGATTACAGCCATCAAAGCTTACTGGGTCAGGCCCTGTGCTAGAAAACACAGAGTCACTTGGACTTCCCAAAGAACTTCTAAGTGGGCATTATCCTAGCCTTACAGTTGAGGGAAAGGAGGCTCAGAGAAGTTAAGTAACTTGTCCCAATGTCACACAGCTTGCAAGCGGCAGAGCCGGGATTCAAAGTGAGGCCTTTCTTACACCAAAGCCAAGCACCTTTACCCACTCCTGTCCTGCCTTCAGTGAAGGGCTGCGGACAAATTCATGTTTCATTTATTCATCCATCCATTCATTCATTTATCAAACAGTTAAGCATTTACTATGCTCACAATACCACTTGGAAATTTAGAAATGTAAAGTTTAGCATAACAAGGAAAAGGCTGAGGCCAGCCGGAATGTCAAGCAAACAGAGGCCCTGGGGAAGCCATTTCACAGGGCAATCTGTGGATCACCTCCTGTAGCCAGAAGGAACACCACACACCTTTCCGATCACCTTTTCTTGTTCTCAGTTACAGAACCGCCTGACATTGGCTGCAACCTGATGGGGAGATCTGACTCAAGGAACAGTACGATGGCCATTGATGTCCCCGCCCACGCACTCTGTAGAAGCCTTGGGAATCTTTTCAAAGCACTGCCCCCACCCGAGAGCATCATGACTTCTGTTGCTGGGACAAAGGTTCAGAGAGGCCAAGTCTTGGGAGACCCGCTCTTCCCTCATTCAACATTCTCCTACCCTCACCCCGCTACCTTACCATCAATGTAAGCAGAGAAAGCCCCTCCACAGGGCAAAAAAGCCCATCTTTGGCAAGCCCACCATCCCAGCTGCAGCTGATTCCACCAGGGACGGGCGCCTGCCTCCAGCCCAGTTGTGTCTTGGTGGCCCAGCATGGAAGTGGGTACTTACAAGGGCCATGGTGACCAATCAGCCTTATTAAATTCTCTCAGTAAGTGTGAATGTGAGAGAAAAGGCAGCTGCTCGTGTGACTAGAGGCTAAAAGCCACACAGAGCAGAGCCATGAACAAGCAGAAGTTGGGGTGAGCAGATGCCCCATGCTGGTTGAGGGAGCCCAGGGGTTGGGGGACTCAGGGCCAAGGGGGGGTGACTGAGGAGGCATCGTGCTGGGAAGATGGGGAGACAACCAGATCCTCGGAGCCCTGAAGACCCAGAGTCCTGGTCCAGGCTCTGAAAACAAATCTGCCCTTGGTGTTTATGGAAACCTGAGGATTGGTGGCCTTTTGATTTCCAGAAATATCCTTACCATAAATCCCCATTGCTGACAGTAACCTGGAAGGGTCTCTGTGGCCCTGAGGGATTCTGACTGATACTTAGGCTCTAAGCACCTGGGGTTTGCAGAGAGAGTAGGGGAGAGCTGGGAGCAGAGCAAGCCACCGCACTCCCACTCTTGCCTGTTTTCATTCCACCTTGCCCCTCTCCTTCCCGCCACAGTGACAGACTGCACCCACCCAGAAGGAAGCCCTGGGTCAAGGCTTTGGGTCTCAGTCCAATCTCTTAAAGTGCAGCCTTCAGACAGGCACCTCTGTCACTACCACTTGCTGCTCTATGAAGAAACCACCGCTCCTTCTGCTTCTCTGAGCGCTGCGTCACTTGGTTCCAGGCCCCTAGAGCTTTAGACACGTGTCACCATCTCTTCATTTTCAACCCCCAGCTTCCGCCCAGGATGGCCTGAAGGAAAGCCCCACTGTCAGAGTGGGAGTCGTCCCATTAAGCCTGTCTTTTGCAGGAGCAGGTTTGAATTGTCATCTTTAAAAACTCCAAAATACTTACTTTACAAAGCAGGCCCTGTGTCCCAGAGCTTGCAGCAAGTGGGGACCTTAGGTGAAATCGCCTGAGTGTGGAAGTGGCGATGTACAGCTGAAGAGATAATCTGAATTCACCAGGCTGGTGTGGAGTTGAAAGCAGGCCCCGGTTCTGTCCCTCCATCCCTGAGGCCCCTCCCATCCCCCCGCCCTGGACACCGGGACCACAGAGGCAGTGCTGTGTGCCAGCCTCACTCCTGCGTATTCTGGAGACCCTGTTCCAGGAAGGAGGTTTCCCCACACCTGCCCCATGCCCCCCACCCAGCAAACTCCAGTGGGCAGAACCACGCCAGCAACGGCTTCACAGTGAGGCCCTGGAGGGACGGAGCTCACAGACCTCCCACTTAGTGAGAAAAACATGGTAGACAGCCTGGGGAAGGTTGGCAGGTTCAAACAGAGCCCTCACCACATCCCCTGCCCAGCCCCTACCATCCGACCTCTTCCCTCCACCTGGACTCAGCACTGTCCTGAGTCCCTGTGTAAGAGCACATTGAGTCCTATGGAAAAACAACCAAAGTGAGAACAATTGCTGCAGTTGCCATGAGGCCCTGGATGCCCAGAGGACTGGAGGCCTTGACACCCTCTGACTCGGCCCCTCTCAGGGGATCCTGAGGACTATGGGGATGTTTGCCTCTCCACACACACAGAGCATCCCATTCCCTGCTATTTGAAACCAGGGGTTTCAATATTTCTTTAAAAGGTTGGCAATTTTGAAATTTTTTTTTATGTGTATTCGTTATAATCCGCTCCTCTGCCTTCTTATAATTGAGCGTTTTGAAAATAATTTAACCTTTCCATCATGACTTGGGGTCCTGATGACGAACACCGTTATTGTGTTGAGGTGTCATTCCCCCCAGAGTGCAGGGACCACGTCTCAGTCCTCTGTGTGCTCCTCGGCACCTTGGCCAGCACGTGGCGATGCTGTGTGTGTGTCTGCGGGGTGGCACTGACAGAAGCCCACAGAGCCTCTGACATGGAGGCCGACAGAGCCCTGCTGCTCTAGGCGGCTCTGCTTGATGAATACACATTCCTTAGTGTCTTCCAGATCCTCTCTTGCTATCAGGCTATGAACTTGCCAGATCCTGAGGCCCTTCTTCTTTTTTCCACTTTTTAAAAATTGAGATATCATTCACCTATCATAAAAATCACCCTTTTAAGGTGGTTTTTGTATATATTCACAAAGTTGTGCATCCATTACCACTATCTCATTCTAAACATTTTCAACACTTCCAAAAGGAAATTTCTGGCCAACGGTCACTCCTTACTCTCCCTTCCCCTAACCCCCGGCAACCATGAATCTACCTTCTGTCTCTCTGGATTTGCCTGTTCTGCACATTTTCATGGAAATGGAATCCTGGGCCATGTGGTCCCTTGTACCTGGCTTCTGTCATTTGGATCATGTCTGCAGGGTGCACCTGTGCTGTAGCGTGAACCAGCACTGGAAGCTCTTTTTGCTCCTGCCCCTAAGCATTTCTTCACTTCTAAGGACAATTTCCACTTTATCTTTCTCCAGTAGACTGCCTTCAATCTTAAGGACTCAGCTCCTTACATGGGCTTTGGTGGGGGTCGTGAGGCAGCACGTGAAGGTCTAAATCAGGATGGGGGTGTTTGGTCCTTGCTGGCTTCACTAGATCTGTTCCTGACTACTTTGCTGTGAATTGCACACTCACACAGGAATATAGCTTCACTTACAGCTTGGGAAGCACATAGGCATGGAAGACTCTGGCTTCAGAAATGTCCCTGACTGCTGCGGCCTCCACTGTGTTTCAAATGATGAATTTCTTAATGGCCTTGTTGTCAGGCACGCATTGTGCACAGTTCATGCAGTGAATAGACAGCACGTGGCCATGGCCCTTTTTGGCATAACGCTAGTTCCTTCTTTTCTTTGTCATCTTGGAGGCATGGACTGGAGAGAGGAGCCTTCCTTTATTTCTAATGTTCTATGAGCAGGATAACAAGGCACGCGAGAAGTGCGTGCAAAACAGCATACATAGAGCTTGTGCAAAACTTTCAGTTCTTGTAAAAATGTGGGACATTGGGGGACTTTTATTTCAGGTGTTTCAGGGACATTGCCTGCTTGCTGACCATTTCTTGGCTATTTTCTCAATGGCTAAGGTTTCTGGATAAGTGGGCCCCAGATAAGTATTAATCTGAGACTCATTCATTTCATCTCCATTGTGCTATACATTTTTACAAATCAACTTTCATAACTATTCTCTATTTTGAGTCTCCCATCAGGACTCAAGAGTTGGTGTATGGAAGAAAGAGAAAAGCAGCCTCTAACATCCAGGAATTGGCCTGATGCCAACGACTGGGCCTCAGTGTTGGGAGGAGCTGGCGTGGGTACTGGACCTTGGTGTTCTGTTGCACATACACAATCCCATGGGACCCATATCAGAGATGGGCACTCTGTGACGACAAAGTGAGAGAAAAAGCAAGACTATAATCTTGTCTAAGCACAGACAAAAACAAGGTCTCTGTGCACATCGCAGAACTATCAAACATCTCCTCCTCCTGGCCGATGGGAATGGCTGCTGCCTCTTTCCCAGCCACATCTTCAGTCTTGCTTCATTTTTTCTCGTCTTCTAGGTAAGAATCATTAGGAAACACGATCACAGTAGTGCACCTGCTTACGCACGATATCCAGCCCAGAGAAGGTCCCGCTTCCTAAGCCCTCCTGAGACTCACCAGCCACAAGCCCACATCTATACTAAGTTCTTTCGAAGGCCCTCTTTACTGCTGGACATTCTTCCTTTGTGCAACACGTTAATAAACCCAACTTGGTTCAGCCACAGGTGAGTTCTTGATGGTTTTTAATTCAGGAGGATTGGCAGAAATAGAGGTTCCCTGAGTCAGCCAAAGCCCTCCCTTCTTGGACAAGAGCCCCCGCCTCAGTTAGGGTGGACACAACTGAGACACACAGCTTGTCTCTGCCTGTCTGAGGTGCCAGGTGGCCCACAGCTGGGAGGCAGCTCAGGCTGAATGGAGTCTGATGTTCCCTTGAGGTCCCTTCGCTTCGCTTCAGGTGCGTTCTGTTCTAGGAATGAGGTGCCTGTGAGACTTTTCCTGGTGATCTGATCAGATTTGCCCTGCTCCTCGGTGAAACTGCTTTCTAGCCTTCTGAGAAATGCTCCTACGTCTATCTGCTGGTTGAATGTTGTAAGTGTTGTCTCTAAGTGGAAAGTCCACAGTCGACAGGGGCCTGGGAATTCTGTCCTTAAGCTGGTCTTGGAGGCCACAGCACTCAGGAGCTCTCCTCAGACCAGCATCCATTGGAATGAGCTTTGCGGAGGTTCACCAAAGGGTTTCCACAGCTAAGGGTAGATCTCCCCTCAACCTCGTCTCTGTGGTTTCTGAGAACGGCTCACTTTAAAGTTGTCTCTGCCTGGAATCAGGATTGGGGACAATCAGCCTGTGGCCTCTGACCAAGCTCCAGAAGCAAGAAGTCTCTTCTCAGACTGCTCGGGTGTCTGTGCGACCTTCTTCATCGGAAGTGGCTTTTCCCCAGGCCAAACACCTGCTGCTTCCAGATTTCCTCACTGCCGTGTGAACTCATCTTATGTTTCTGCCACATTTCTTTTTTTTTTTTTTTTTTTTTTTTTGAGATGGAGTCTTGCTCTGTCGCCCAGGCTGGAGTGCAGTGGTGCGATCTCGGCTCACTGCAAGCTCCGCCTCCCAGGTTCATGCCATTCTCCTGCCTCAGCCTCCCGAGTAGCTGGGACTACAGGCACCCGCCACCACGCCCGGTTAATTTTTTTGTATTTTTAGTAGAGACGGGGTTTCCCCGTGTGTTAGCCAAGATGGTCTCGATCTCCTGACCTCGTGATCCACCCGCCTCCGCCTCCCAAAGTGCTGGGATTACTGGCATGAGCTACCGCGCCCAGTCATCTCTGACACAATTTCTTAAGAGACCATTTGAAATTACAGTGGCCACTCTGGGGAATTTTCACATGAATGAGATTGTTCATTTGAGAGGTTCCATACAGCAATAAGTGAAGGAGCTCCATGAAGAGTTTGTTTTGTAGAAAAGAGACATCGATTTGTTTAATGCAGGAGACATTAAACAAACTTTTTCCTTTGTTTCTATACCTCAGGGATTAGTAAGTGCTGCTGTTTTGACAGATTGATAAAACTGTCAAAGGCCCAAGCTATTGTCCAAAACAAGATAATGTCACTAGCTGTTGAGCGTATTTGTCAAAATCTGTTACTCTAACTTTTCTTTTTTCACAAAAAGAACCCATTTAGCCTGATAGTGATAATGTCATACTTATTGGAAGCCAGCTCCCTCTAATATTTTGGTTTCCATCCCTCCATTTTTCTTGGGCTAGAGAACATTGACTCATTATTTTTCAGAAAAGAAAACAGAGGCTCAGAGAGGTTAACTGACTTGCCCAGATTCACACTACTAACCTACAACAGGGCCAGGACTCCACTCAGACTGTGAGACCTGGCCGGGGTTCTGAACAAAAGCACATCTCATTGTGTTGCCTCCCTCAGCACCAAAGAGTCAAAGGAGAGAAACTTGGGGATCATCAGACCGGCCACACCAGAGCTCCCAGAGGTCTCACTCAGTCCCACGAGCCCACAGGATGTCAGCACCATCCGGTCTCACCTCTCAGTTTACAGATCCAGAGACTAAGTCCTGGAAAAGAAATGTGACTTATTCAAGCTCACACAGCAAATTAGTGGCAATGCCCAGACTTAAACCGAGATTGGCAGAGCTTGGCACAGTGCAGCGTCACCTTCCTCCTCCACAGCAGGTGCAGGGAGGGTCCATCCTTCTGGTCACTACAGCATGTTACAGTTTTCTGCGTCAGTGCCCTTCCTCCTAGGAAGAAACCTCTGGGCTGAGTGGCTAGCTCCCCCCTTTCAGCTATGTAGAGTTTCTCTCTGGGCATTTTAGGTAGGAGTGTTGACTACATTTCTTAGGCGTCAGAAGCTATCCCGGCTACAGAGATGAATTAGAAAAAATCAACCCTCCTGCGTATGTGTGCAGAGTTCTCCATCCAAAATAAAGTGTGAGTGAGAAGCAGCAAATGCTATTAGCAGGACAGCAAGCCAAAACGGCTATGCCCTCTGAAAGGTCCTCAAGTCGTCCTCAAACCCACCCATGTAATTACCTTATAAGTTCGTTTTCAAAAATCAGATTCTAAATTTCAGCGTCTGTTTACAGCCAGGTGATCATGGCACTCCCCTGTTCAATAAGCCTCAATGACTCCCTATGCCTTCAAAATAAAGTCACAAATCCCTAACCCATCATCCAGGGCCACTTGTGATCTGGCTCAAACCTGCTTCCAGTAGAATTGCCCACTCTTTCCTTTCCAGGCACTCATCAGATTTCCTAGAAATAACTGCTCCTCTTTCTAAACCCCACAAACAAAAGTTCCCAGAAAAGGAATTTGGAGCAAAGAGACTTTATTCCAGTGGACAGTTTGCACACTTGGGAAACCCGCCTTCAGTGTTAAAATGTAGGTGTGTTCAGAGAACAAAGAGAGGAGTCGGGTTTATTTTATTTTTATTTAATGTATATATAATATATATTTTATTATATATTATATATTTTTTATTTTTATAAATATTTATAAAATATATTTATATAAAAATATATATATTTTATATTTATAAAATATATATAAAAATATATTTATATTTATAAAATATATATATAAATATATATTTTTTTATAAAAAAATTATATATATATATATATATTTTTTTTGAGACAGAGTTTCACTCTCGTTGCCCAGGCTGGAGTGCAATGGCTCATGGTGCAATCTCTGCTCACTGCAACCTCCGCCTCCTGGGTTTAAGCGATTCTCCTGCCTCAGCCTCCCAAGTAGCTGGCATGCACCACCACGCCCGGCTAATTTTGCATTTTTAGTAGAGACAGGGTTTCTCTATGTTGGTCAGGCTGGTCTGGAACTCCAGACCTCAGGTGATCCACCCACCTCGGCCTCCTAAAGTGCTGACATTACAGGTGTGAGCAGGAGTCAGGTTTCATAGCAAAATTTCCTACCCAGGTTTCCCATGAGGTCTGTTTATGCGAATGAAAGATTGAAACTTGCTTAGTTCTGATTGGTTGATACAGTTGAGTCCTGGTTGGCCAGGGCAGATGAGATCTGATTAGTCAGTATCCAAGCTCCAAACCAGAAGTCTGTCAGATGTTTCTTTTAAGGGGTAGAGGCTACAGATACCGGGGTATGGGTCTTTTCTTCCCTTAAGGGCAGGGATTTATTTTTGTTAACCCCATCTAGCAGACAGCTTGGCACAGGATAAGTAATAAATATTGAATAAATGAATGCATGTGTACTTGGAAAAATTACATTTACCCTCCCCCACTCCATGCCTGAAAAAAACCAACTACTACTGAGGAGAGAACGAGTAATGTCTTGATATTTTCTCAAAAGAATATAAACATGAAGCTCAAATTATATAGCAAGTTGAAGAAAGTGTGACACTGCTTTATTTTCAGGGTTTTTGTTTTTTTTCTTAAGGAAACACAGCACGTTAGGAGTTGAGGTGAAGGTCCTGACTGTCTTTGTGGTTTGTGTGCAGTTTGTTTTTTTTTTTTACCAGGATTCATAACTGGGGAAACAAAAGCACCTCTTTGTCTGTATAACTTTGTTCCCTTCCTTTATTGCTTTAAATAGGCAAGATGTGGTTTGCATTTCTTTCACTGCTAATGTTTGCTTTGTGTTCCTTAATAAAAATAACGTGCCGTTCACATTGCTCTCAAAGGTCGCTAAAGATCCCCTCCCCGCTTAGTCATTCCACTCATTTGTAACCAAGATCCTCAGTGCTGCTAACAGAGGCTCCCTCCGCCCCGTATCTTCTGTGCATAAAGCAGTAGACAGTGGGTCCAGTTATATTAAACATCCGGTAATATTGGTACCTTTAACTTTGCTATGAGAATCCTCAAGACGGAAGCATTATCCTCTGCTTACAAATGCTGTAGGTGAGGATGTGCATCAACCCTCCCAGGAGTATAGGGATCATCACCATCACCATTGTAAGATGACAGCTCTTTACAGTTCACATATCTTTGTCCTGGTTATTCTCCCTCTTAATCATTGAGAGTCTTGTGGCCAGGTGCAGTGGCTCATGCCTGTAATTCTAGTGCTTGGAGAAGCTGAGGCAGGAGGATTGCTTGAGAGGAGGTGGAGGTTACAGTGAACTATGACCTCAACACCACTGCACTCCAGCCTGGGTGACAGAGCAAGAGCCTATCTCTAAAATTAATTATTTTAAGAGTCCTGCAAGATGGGTGTAAATCTTTCTAGAGCACAGCTGAAAAGTTAAATGGCTTGTCCTAGAGTACACAGCTCAGCAGAGCCAAGAGTAAAATGGAAATCCAGTGCTTTTCCATCTATGCTGCAGTGAACCTCCACTAGAGTTTTATGCAAGTCCAACCTCCCAGCAATAGGGAGAAAAAGCAATTATAGCCTTTCTTGATATTTAACCTAGCTAAAAACTTCAGCCCAGAGAAAATCTTCCAAAAGTCCAAGACAGACAGGTCTGGATGTGTATACTTTCCCCCATCAACCATAACCTTAAATCTGAAGCCAGGAATTAGAAAGAAATTCTCAGGGTAACACAATTGTTTCACTCATGAAGTCTCACTTCCAGCATCAGTGAGACTAGCTGTGAGACTCGGGCAAATTACTTAACCTTAATTTCCTCAGTCTGTAAAATGGGGATATAATATTGGGTAACACACTAAGCATAATGTCAGGGATATAATTTGGATGTTTGTGTCTCCATCCTCCCAGATGTCCCTGATCCCACTGTAACCCAACCCCAGGTTCTAGGGCCTTCTTCTGCCAATTTCACAGTTTCTATACATATTTTCCAGGCACTTCTACCGCTCACCACCCTCCAAAAGGGACTGAGCCCTAAGCTTGTGCAGTGATTAATGCTTTCCATGTCTTTTCCATCCGCCTGCAGTTATGCTACAAGATCTCTGGGTAAAGGACTAGCCAGGTCTGTCTAACACATACTTTTTGGTGTGACTTAACAGACTGGTTTCTACCACTTTCAGCCTGAAGTGACAGTGCTTTTAAATGTTGGTTGCAGGCAGGGGACTATTGCCCCCTCCCAAGCACTTCAACTTCCTTGGCTTCTGTCTGTCCCTGCCAGCAGCTCTTCATGGGACCCATCCTGACACTCAACGAAAGCAGAAAAGGGAGTTCCTGATGCAAAAAGTAAAGAGCTTTCATCTGAGGAAGGTGGGTCCTTTTAAGTCATCAGGCCTGGAGAGACAGTAAAATGAGAGCAATCATGTCCCACTCCTTCTTTTGAGCTATATATTCATTTTTTAAAACTGCTTGCTATTGCCACATATAGCTCTAATAATGCCACACTGGACACTATCACCTATAGTTTAACAATGAGTAGCAAGTCATTCATCTAAGTTATTTCTGTAAATCAGTAAGATGGTTAACGAACAACCCAGTACCAGCCCACTCTGCCCCCTTCTTTTGCCTTTAAAAACCTTCTTGTGCTGTACATATACCATATTTTCTTTATCCCATTTGTCATTGAAGGGCATTTAGGTTGATTCCATGTCTTTGCTATTGTAAATAGCGCTGCAATGAACATTCACGGCATAAAAAGGAATGAGAGCATGTCTTTTGCAGGAGCATGGATGGAGCTGGAGGTTATCATCCTTAGCAAACTAACACAAGAACAGAAAACCAAATACCGCAAGTTCTCACTTATAAGTGGGCACTAAATGATGAGAACACATGGACACAAAGAGAGGAACAACACACACTGGGGCCTATCGGAGAATGGAGGTTGGGAGGAGGGAGAGGAGGAAAAAACTCTATTGGGTACTAGGCTTTGTACCTGAGTGATGAAATAATCTGTACAATAAACCCTCGTGACATGAGTTTATCTGTATAACCTACACATGTAATCCTGAACCTAAAATAAAAGTTATTTTTGTTTTGTTTTGGTTTTTTAAAAAACCTGCTTGTAACAAAGGCTGTAGGAAGCTCACAGCCAAGGGTATCTGGGACAGAGTCTTTCAGGCAGTTGTCCTCGTTTTGGTTCAAGTAAACTCTTTAAATTATACTTTGTGTCTCAGCCTCTTCCTTTTAGGTTAACACTGAGCAGAGTAAATAAACGAATGGCCCCTGCTTCTCTGTCTGAAGCTTGGACTCCTCTTGAGAGGACTTCCTGCTCTGAGATAGGAGGGAGTCTCGCTCAGAAGAAGGAGCTTGTGTCTGCTGAGGACACAGTTCCATCCAATGAGGTCAGCAGGGCTGTTGGCAGCTTCCGTTAATTCCGCTGGGGCAGACAAGTGGCAAGTGGCAGTTATTTGAGCTGAGGATGCTGGGATGGATTTTTACATGAGCAGTTGGCCCTTAAATCATGAGCCCAACTTAAGTGCCCAAGGAAATGGCACAGCAGGGAGAGGGACATCACACACACCACCAAATCCTCTTGTTAGTCTCTGGTTTCCACATCCTTTTCCAAATCTTCAGGCCAGCTCATAGCCTCACTTTTCCATCTCTTCTCCATTCCTCCAAAGTAGAGCTTCCTGCTGCTACAGGAATAGCTGCGAAGTGGGAAAGATCAAGGGTTGTAAGAGCTGCCCCAGATAATCTACAAAGAGCTTTGCTAGAATTAGGTTGTGCATCTCTGAACCTGAGCTACTACATGTGTTGGGTCAGGGACCATGCTTACCTACCAGCTCAAGAATTGACAGAGGAGGTATCTAAGAAATGCTTGTTGGATGAATAAATAAACAGCTGAGTGGGTGTTTATATGAGCCTGAAAACTGCCTGCACCAGCACAAAAGTAAAGCCCTGACACCCTCAGGCCACACCTACTGGAAAAAGATATGTCAGCCCCAGAAAAATGTGGGCAACTTGAGGTAAGTCCGGAGCAACACAGGAAACTGCCCTCCTCTTCTGTCTTCTCTTCCACTGTGATGCTCAAAATCTCTTCAAGACTGGTCATCTAATCAGCAGGATGTAAGACGGTCATTCTTCACTGTGGCCATTCAGAAGTTTCCTGGTAACCTGGCTTTCTCTTGACCATTGCCCCACGAGCATGGTGGTGACAAGCTTGGGCTCTGAAATCCGACAGCCCCAAGTTTGAAACCTATAGCTTCTTACTTGCTAGCTGTGAGACTTGGGCAAATTACTTAACCTTAATTTCCTCGCTCTGTAAAATGGGGATATAATATTGGGTAATACACTAAGCCTAATGTCAGGGATATAATTAGTGCTCAATAAATGTATCTCTATTACCCCCACATCCCATTCTGCCATTCCCTTCTTTCTCTTCCTCCCGCAAACCTCCAACTTCATCATTGCCTATGAACAGCCAAAAGGTAAAACAATCACAAAACTAGGCAGTTTTGGACAGCCCAGAAGTTGTTTACAAGTCTACAAGTAACCACTGCAGTCTGCCCAGCTGCCTGGTCTTCTGAAAAGCAAACTTAGAAGCCGGTGATGTCCATGATCTCACAGAATTTCCTAGGAATGACAGGGACGTGTATTCACAAAGTTACTCTTGACTCTTTAAAAGAAGACAACCATGTTTTGCTCCCATGATATCCCAAGGGGCACCTAGATTGCTGGGGGCCTGTGGTCCGAGAAGTAATGCCACCTGGAAAAGTGGGTGTGACTGGTTTAGGGTCCAGGTCTGAGAACTGGGGTAAGCCACTTCGTGTCTTAGTTCGCTTATGTGTAAAACAGAGGGATTGGACCAGATGATCAGTAAAGAAACTTCCAATGTTAAGACTTCAAGGGTAAATGGCTCTTTGATAGAGAGGGATCATAGAAAAGTAAGATCCACACAGCTTAACCTCCCAGGGGACAATTAAAATGCTTTCATGTGAAGTGAATGACGGTGTGGTAGGGTTTGACGTGAACGTAATGGCATAGGAGGGTCGGAGGGCACGGGGGCCTCTCAACCTCATTCTCAGCACCAGATGTAGTGCCTGGAGCATCTGAAGAGGGACTAAGAGATTCCGTCCTCACCCCAGCTCTAAAGATGCCTCCACCATGAGAAAGAGACAGGGAGTCCCTGACACTTTCTGCTCCCACCTTGGAAGACAGGGGAGGAGGAAGGCTCCAGCGTCTTCCATCACTGCTGCAGACACCAACCAACCCCCTGCCCTTCTCCCTGCTCCTCTGCTTCAACTCTCTCCTGGGCCCCCACCCCAAACAGCCCTCTGTTCCGCTTTAGATGTTAGCTGCACTTCACCTGTAAAACACCTTTCTTTGCCAAATTTGTCAAAAATTTTGGCATAGTGTTTGCATAAATTTGCAGGTAGGATTCCAGAGACCCTGACTCCGATGGTGTAAGAGAAAAAATCATGCCTGCACTTGCAGTCAAAGGAGGCTTTCAGGAGGGCACACTGGATTTGCTACACAGGGCTGGGAGAGGCACTCAGTTTGTGAGGCTGGGATGCCCTGACAGGAGCTTCCCCTCGATCGAGGAAATCGGAACTTTTTCAATGTTGGCTTCAAATCGTGGCTAATAGGCAGAAAAAAAGCTCTTCTCACCATGAGGGAAGACTGGGGAGGTGGGAAGGGGGACAGGGCCCATCTATTCCATCCAAGAGGGGTCAAGGAAGGACAGTGGCAAGCTCAAGTCTGGAGCTGTTTCCTCCCCATAGTGAAAGTCTGGTAACTTTACCCAGAAGTTCTGATTTTTCTAGTTAGCCAAACAGGGCTCTGATTTCCAAGATTAGGTTAAATCCAGAAGAGTTTGGGGGATGAAGGAATCTGGATGAACAATGGGAGGTGGAACCATTGCCCCACCATCAGCAACACCTTAACAGGAACAAACTCCTCTGCCCACTCGTCATATCCACAGTTTCAGAGAAGAGAATGTCCCAGCTAGAAAAGCAAGTGGACAAGTGCCAACCCGATGAGGCCACTGAATTGTGAGTGGAGACCTCTGAGCAACTTGGTAAAGAAAGCAGCCTCCCCCTGAGAAGTGGGGGGCTTGGGAAAACCTCCCCAGGTGAACAGACAGGAAGGAGGGGCTTAGTGACAGCCCTCGGAAGGGAGTGTCTATCCACTGGCCACAGTGATGACTGGGGTGACACCCATGCCACAGAAAAAACACAAAGTGCACCAAAGCCAGTTAGAGCAGACATTGAGTTTATTATTTGCCAAAGAAGAGGAGGGTCTGATTTCATTAAGAAAGGTCAGGGCAGCTCTCCAAACTGAAGTGGAACAGGACAGATATACTGTGGTAAAGTTTTGTTCAAAGGTCTGATTGGCTCAAAAAGCAAGATGTAAACTCTTTTGGGACTGGCTGCTGTTCTGATTTTGTGTCACAGAGGAACAAGCACGGCTCACAGGAGATCCTGGATGGGTCTGACCTGTGGTGCGTGGCCCTGGCAGGCTGGTGTCTGTGCCTCCTCTCGTCAAGGTGGGAGTTTTCTCTGGCACCCACTTGGGTTAAGAGTGAGGAGCCCTGGGGCCCATGGACCTGCTGCACAGCTCTGTGCCCATCAGCACCTGGCTCTCTGGTCCTCACCGCCAAGGATGGAGTGATATGCAGCCCTCCTGGCCACAGGGATGAGGAAACCTCATGAAAGCAGTTGGAGAATTTTGTTGGCATGTGACCATCATATTTTCTAACCATGAAAACTGAGTCACAGAGCGCCACGCCCCAGTAAGTTGGAGGATACACGATTAAAACACTGCTGAATAGCGGGGAACAAAAGGCAAACTGGGCCAGGCATGCTCACGCCTGTAATCCCAGCGCTTTGGGAGGCCGAGGCGGGCGGATCACGAGGTCAAGAAATCGAGACCAGCCTGGCCAACGTGGTGAAACCCCGTCTCTACTAAAAATACAAAAATTAGCTGGGCATGATGGCACATGCCTATAGTCCCAGCTACTCAGGAGGCTGAGGCAGGGGAATCACTTGAACCCGGGAGGTGGAGGTTGCAGTGAGCTGAGATCACACCACTGCACTCCAGCCTGGCAACAGAACGCTGTCTTAAAAAAAAAAAAAAAAAAAAAAAAGCAAACTGGAAAGACCTAAAGCAAAATTAATCATGTCCAAATCCAGATGGGGGGTTGCAGATCTTTATTTTCTTCTTTTTTGAATTGGTTTCCTACATTATTCTTCGCTATAATGGTATTCTATATTCTCCAAATTTTCAACTATGTGTGGTTCGAAACTATATTTAAAAAATGTTTTTCATGCAGCAAGGATGAGCTCAAGGTCAAGGTACTATAGATACAAAGATGTGCATAGGTCAGCCATGGTGGCTCACGCCTGCAATCCCAGCTCTTTGCGAGGCTGAGGTGGGAGGATTGCTTGAAGCCAGGAGTTTGAGACCAGCCTAGGAAACAGAGGGAGACCCCGTCTCTACAAAAATTAAAAATTAGCTGGATGTGGTGGCGCATGCACCTGTAGCCCCAGTTACTCAGGAGGCTGAGGTAGGAGGACCACTTGAGTCAAGAGTTCAAGGTTACAGTGAGCTATGATCCCTCTACTGCAGTCCAGTCTGGGTGACAAAGTGAGACCCTGTCTATAAAAGACAGAAAAAAAAATATGCTTAGCAAAGTCAGGACATTCTCCCAGAACAGCAGTTGAGAACTGAGAGCTTGTGGCTAAGCCTGGCAGCCTAGATAGGCCTTCCTCTGCCCTTCCACAGCTCTGAGAGCCCAGCAGTGCTCAGGGACACCAAGCCTGCCCTCACAGAGCTCACTCAGACACTGCTGCTGCAGACACCAAACAGCACCTCCCCTTTAGGAGATGCCTCCTCTGCAAACAAAACAAAACAAAACAAAACAACAGCACTCTTCTATTCACTCAAATCAGTGGTGGCACAATAGTCCCAGTGGTGGCGCTGGAACTCTATTTCTCCAGCCTTACAGTTGCCATGGCAGGCGAGGTCAGCGAGGCCAGAGCCCCCACCCCCTTAACACGGCTAGGACGTCAGCCACAGCAAGAAAAGACGCACCTGTCCTCTGTGTTTAAAGCCTTTAAGAGAGCCCCAGGTGCTGTTCTGTTGTTGATCTGCTTTCCTGGCTAGAGGGGTTCGATTCTCTTTGTTTGGTGACATTTTTTTTTTCTTGTTCAATCTTAGTCAAGGGTGTAAGAAACGGTGGCTGCTCCGGGCGTTGGCCCCTTCTCACGGGTTCCTCACTGCCCTCCCCTCCAGGCCAAACTAGCTCACCCCTGCACCCTCCCGCTTAAGGTCAGCTTCCCCACTGTCCACTCATTCCCTCGCCTTTCATCCTCACCCTGTGGGTAATTCAGACGGATGGTCCCGGGCGTTTCGCGAGGAGAAGGCTGTTGGTGAATTGGGGGATGATCGGGCTGCACAACAGATCGCTCGTGATGCCGAATGTGTGCTCGTGGGTCCTGCCCTCCCACCTGGGAGAGGAGTTTTGCTTGTGGCTTCAGAGTTTCTGGGAGTTCCTTGAAATTCTGTCGAAAACAGTGTGGGTGATGGATATGTGGGTGCTAGGGTTTTTCCCTCGGGAAGGGGATCCACGATCCAGAAAAATGTCGTGAACATTTATTTAATAGCTCCACTTTGTAAATGAACCACCCCCAGAGGAACTGTAGTTTGGGCCATGGAGAACAGTGAGGCCGGAAGAACTGCAGGCAAGGGGAGGCTGCCATTTCCCGCTCAAAGGTGGCGCTTGGTGTGCCAGCGCTGGCGTACTTGGATGTGGTCATCGGAAATGTGGTTTAAGTGAGGAAGAAAAGCACTCTTAGCACCTAGCTCATGGCCAGGAGTTGGGCTAAATAGTTTGTATTTGTCTTCCTGCGTCAGCCTCAGTTTCCCTGTGAGGTGTGACTTACTATCCTCATTTTACAGATGAGAACGCAGGCTCAGAGAAGTTAAGGGACTTGCCCTATGTCACACAGCTAGCAAAGAGACAGAGATAGATATAGAACTAGGACCACGTGGTCAAAGGAACGTGCTGTTTTCACGGCATCACGCGGCCCTGTCCCACCTATGGTGTCACTGAGGGGTGTGGTAGGGGGCACTGGCACAGACATGTCACCTGACCTCTTGGAGCTTCAAGTTCTTACACTTCGAAAATGGAAATAAAGTCCACCTGCCTTCCCTCCACTTTCTGGCTATTTGTCAAAGAGCAATTAAGAGAGCCAAGAGGACCAAGCCAAATTCAATGTAGCAGGCTCAACCCCACCCCCCGCTGACCCTCCAATTCCGGGAGAAGGTTCGGAGGTGAAGGTCCTTGGCCAGGTCTCCCAGGACCGAGCCCAGAGAGCAGGCTAGCGTGGTGCCTCCTCCATGCACACACCTACTCCCATGCATGTGTGAAGAGCTTGCATCACAGGGCAGTGAGTGGCATTTCTTTGTTCAGGGTGGCAAGGGGAAAGGGCGTGAGTCAATTCCCCTTAGGGAGAAGGAGGGCAGAGCACAAGTGAGGGCAGCATCGACGCCTGAAGCAGCTCACCCCTCCCTCCATCCTGTCTGTGGGTTCTCTTCCCCTCTTGCCTTCCACACCCCAAGCCCAGGCTAGAAGGCACCTCCCCTCACCCTCATCCTCCACTTCCAATCTGCAGCCACAAAGGGTGCGAAAATTAATCTGGTGCTTTCGTGAGGGACTGGTGTTATAGGACCAACAGGTTCGTATGCCCACTGCACAGGAGCAGACCAGTTACACAGTAACAGACCAGTTATGCCCACCGCACAGTAACAGACCAGTTACCAGTTAGGGCTGCAGCAGAGAAAGAGTTTAATGGTCACAGGGCACTGAGCTAAGAGATAGGAGGAGCCCCCAAACTCCATCTCCCCCAGGATTTCTGGGCTGGAGTCTTTAAGGGGACTGTGGAGGACAAGGGACTGGAGAATTGGAGCTGTTGATTGGTTGGGGTAAGGCGGATGAATTCACCAGAATGTAGAAACTGCATTCTTTGGTGCGTCAGCTCCTATGGGGTCCTTTAGACCAGCTGACGTGGTAATTTCACAGGTATGTAGGACCTGAAGGACTATCTCAAAGGGAAGACTTAACATTTCGTACTGCTCCAGTTGTTATCTGTAGGACCCTTAGGGTGACTATAACCTTGTAGCGGGGTCTGTGGGATTCTAGGTCAATAGGCAGCAAACAACACGAGGAAGCAGGTGGGAGCGCAGGCCGACCCGCGGTGAACACGAAGTGCGCTGCAAGCTGGGTTTGGTTTCACTCCTCCCCTTCCTTTTGTCCTGATTCATTTTATGAAGTTTATAGGGGTGGTTTCACTGGGAGTGCTGTGCTCCCTTTGAACTTGGTCTCCCGCTTGAGAAATGCCACATGCCGCTCTTGCCCGCCCCGTCTTCCCTGGCCCCTGCTCCTCCTCTCTCCTCCAGGGCTGGGCATGACGGGCTTCTTTTGTGGTTTAGTTTCCCTTCCTTCCTAGACACCCCCCTCCCCTAGAGTGCTTTTACATCACGTGGCCTCTGATTAACGTCAGTGATTCAAACCTTAAATATTCTCCCTCTGGAGTGAGTGATTCTTAGGGGAGCCCAGGTGGCTGCCTGCCCTCTTGCTCCCTGTGGCACCAACACCCTGGCCGGGGATGTCTGAGCCAACAGCAGCCGCCTTGAGGAACCAGGTCCTGGGAATCCATCCGCAGGCTCCCCGTCAGGGAGTCAGAAGAAGCGGCTTCAGGAGAAGGCAAAACAGAAGCCAAAAGACACAGGGCGCGGGGTGGGCGGGGGCGGCATTAAGCTGCAGGAGAGTGAAGAGACAGCAGGGGCTAGGAGCAGAGACAGAGCCAAGTCAGATGGGCCTCCGTGTTTGGCCCCAGGCCCCTTTGAGCCCCGTGGTGCTCCAGTTCTCTAGAGGCTGGGCTAGGCTGACGCCCGCATTGCTGTGCCTGGCCTTCCTGCAAACCCTCCGCCCTGAGGTGACCCGAGCACGTCGCTGCTTCTCGAAACCTGAAAAAGCCCATGGTAAATGTGCCATGAGGAGCACACGAGGCACCCCGTGTTGAACGCTGAGGACAAGGCTGCACCCGAGGCTGCAGTCATTTTCAATCGCCGGAGCAGGGCCGGCGTCGGAAGCCCAGACCTAGCATAGCAGGAGCTGAGAAATAGACACAGCGGGCAGGAGGACAAGGGGGTCCACAGTCGGGCCACGTCAGGACACAGACCACAGGGTGCCGCAGGAGATGTGTGGGCAGAACAGACGAGGAGACAGCCAGCATGGCTGCGCCCCAGCATTTGCCCTGGCTGTGAAGGGCAAGCTCCTCTCCTAAGGGTGTCCCCTGACCGCGCTCACCAGTTCCTGACCCAGACACCTCATTCTCAGCCCTACTTCAAGGTCACGATGGCATGCGGAATGCAGCGTCTGGCTTCCCCAGGAGAAAGCAGGGCCTCTGAGGTCAGAAATCATGTCCTACGGCACCGCACAGTCCCAGCAGCAGTAGCCTCCAGGGGACTCACTCAGACTTGGCAGGGCTGGCCTGGGAATCTGCATTCCCCATGCGCTCCCTCACCTGCTGACGGCGACACCCAGCCACCAGTGCAAACTCTACCCCTTGGGGATCTGCTGCCAGACTCAACACTGGGGCCCGAGGCCCAGGAGTCCTAAGGGTGCTGTTTGGTCATATTAGGCCTGTGTAAAGGGAGCCAGGACTAGAGTGAGCGAGGGGCGTGGGGAGGGAAGGAACCGTGGCTTCCCTGCACCCTTTCAGCAGCTTCCATGGTTCTTGCTGGCCTTTTCCATCACAGGCCACTCTTCAGGACGGTCTCCCGGACTGACCCCTCTCCTCTCCAGCCTACCTGATTCCCCGTGCAGTGTCCTCTGTGCATCCCTCATTTCATCTCCTTTCATGTGATCCCAGTCCAGGGTTTAGCTTCCCTCCCCTCTTAGGCTGTAAGCTCTGAATAGGCAGGAATGTTTTCTTTGTGTGGATTTTTTGTTTGTTTGAAATGCCAAGTAAGCTGCCACTCTGCCTGTCGGTCAATGGGACTTGCCGAATTGTCCTCTCACCACCCCACTCGCCCTTAAAGATGCTGACTTCTCAGGCCTACAGTTATTTCCACAGCAGCCTCCTGGCAGCCAGCACTTCCCAGCAGGACCTAAGCTGTGGCTTTACCTCTCCTCTGCCTTGAACGTTCCCCAGTCCAGGTCTTCACCATCTGGTGAGGCCTGACCTGAGAAGCCCAACCTGGTGAGGCAGAAGTCCTGGGAAGAGGCCCAGAAGACAGCAGACCCTGTTCCTAGGATAAAGCAACGTGCTTCTGGGCTATACAACTGCCCTGCAGGTGACAATCCTGAGATGTGAGGCTGTTAGTTACCACAAGGGGATTAGAGACCTGGAAGGGACCAAAAGAGGCCACCTAACCCAGGTTCTGCCCCTGGACAGGTGATCCCCCAGCCCAGGGCAGCTTCCGAGGAGACCGCTTAGGACATTAATTCTCGGATCTATCTGGTGGGAAAATGTATGAAAAATGTGGCTAGAAATAATTCTCAAGTTCCATTGAAGACTTCTAAAGTTTCCTGTGCTCTTGCATGTTGCCAGTAAGTGGTCTCCTTGTGGGGTGTGTGTGTGTGTATGTGTGTGTGTGTGTGTGTTTAATTTAGGTTCAGGGGCACATGTGCAGGTTTCTTAAATAGGTAAACTTGTATCACAAGGGTTTGTTGTACACTTATTTCCTCACCCAGGTATTAAGCCCAGTACCCATTAGTTATTTTTCCTGGTCCTCTCCCTCTTCCCACCCTCTGTCCTCAAGGAGGCCCCAGTGTGTGTTCTTCCCCTCTGTGTGTCCATCTTTGTGGTCTTTGAAAGCAACTAAGAGGGTACCCATTTTCTCAGCTCAGCTGTCTGGAAGCCAAGCAGGCCAGGCACTTTCTTCCTAAAGAAAATTGCAGGCCATGGGAGGCGTTTTTCATCCTAACAGTCACTAATAGTTTTTGACTGGGTGTTGTACAGCTTATTTATGTGGAGAAGCCGCATCTATCTTCTCTACTCCTCAACTGCCAGGCAGAGAAAAATGGCCACAGTTTTCTTCTGAAACACCATGAGGCACAATGGATCAAGGATATGACTGGAATCAAGGAAATTAGCAACGTCAAGACACTCCAGTTAAGGCAGTTCCCATGGAAAATGTTCCAGAGGTTTCCTTTAAGTGAATCAACATGTAGGTGGAAAAGTAGAGTCCTCACGTCATCATCAACAGCACTGCGGCCTAAGCGGGTGGGAAAATGCATAGCTCTCTCGGCTAACCAACTCTATAGGATGTCTAACTGTTGGAGCACGAAAGCACAGCTAAGCACCCATGTATGCCTCATGGCCAGTTTGAGTCCTTGTAGGTCAAGCAACCAGAGAAAATAGGCAGCCTCCTGAATGTTGGCTGGGCAAAAGCCAACTTAGAAAACAAGAGCAAATATGCCAACAATCATAAAACATTGTTCAAGCTGAGCATAAAAAGGATCTTTTCTGCACATGAACGTGTGTTAGACGCTCTACAGAGTGCTTGCAAACAGCAGGACGTGGTAGAGCACTGCACTGGGAATCAGAAGACCTGAGTTCTAGATCTTGTTCTTCCACAACTAGCTGCAAGACTTTGGGTGTGTCACTCCCGCTTTCTGGGCTAAATATGCTCATCTGTAAGCTGAAGAAGCTAGATTAAAGCATCTCAAAGGGCCCTTCCAGCCTGAAATCTTGAATCCATGACTACTTCCTTGGCAGTTTGTGAGCCAATCACATAAATAGAGCTCCTGTGCCCTCATTTCTAACTCTTGTGGCAGTTTTAGTTCACCATCAAAGTAAAACAACATTGGCGTAGACCAGCAATGTGTTCTAGGCATCCCTGGGGTCCCAAAACCTTTCGGCGGGGGGGGGGGGGGGGGGGGGGTGTCAGCAAGATCAAAACTGCTTTCATAATAAAACTAAGATGTGATTTGCCTTTGTCCCTTGTTGACATTGCACTAAAGTTGCAAGAGCAGTGGTGGTGAAACTGCTTTGCCTTAGCACAAATCTAGGCAGTACTTGTGTTTCTAGTCATCATAGTGTTTACAGCTGAGTGCTTGCAGAAGCAAAAGAAAGCCAATTTCACTTGGAAATGTCCTTGATGAAACAGTAAACATTTTAATTATATTAAATCTCAACTTTGGAGTACACTTTTTAAAATAGTCTCTGTGACAATAAGAGAAGTTCACATAAAACATATCAAAGCATGATAGTTGTCTTGAGGAAAAGCAGTGTGGAATTGAGTTGCAGGCTAAACTAGCCACTTTTTACATGGAACATTATTTTTACTTGAATTAACAATTTATGATCTATGGTTATATAGACTTTGGTGTTTGATAGCCATTTTCTCAAAATTAAGTGAGCCATTCACTTCAAGAAAGAAAACTGATAGTAATTTGACCAATGATACAACCTGAGCTTTCAAGAGGAAATTGGAATTTTGGAAAACCTGCATCTGCTATTGTGTCCTTGAGAGCTTTTCAGTACTTAGAAACATTTCTAAGGTTAACAAATGTAATTTCTCTTGTATAATGAGACTTGTCAACATTTAAAAGAACAGCATAAATATTTTCCAAATGACTAGTATACGATGTTACAAAATCTCATATGGGTAAAAGATCCATTCAACATCCAAGATAAACCAATACATTTTAATGTAACAGAGTAAGAAAAGTGTATTGATGTGGTTTCAGATTCCACATTACAACAAACATTTAAGAAACCACCACTTTTTGAGTTTTGGTGTAGTATCAAAGAAGAATATCCACTATTATTATCTTTAAAAGCTATTAAGATACGCTTTCAACTATCTATCTATGTAAGGCTGTAATTTCACCATCCACCTCAACCAAAACAAGATATGGCAACAGAATAAATGCAAAAGGAGATATAAGAATCCAGCTCTCTTCTATTAATCAAGACATTTAAAAGGATTTCCTATTTAATAAATGGTGATGGGAGAACTGGCTAGCCATAAGCAGAAAATTGAAACTGGACCCCTTCCTTACACCTTATACAACAATTAACTCAAGATGGATTAAACACTTAAATGTAAAACCCAAAACTATAAAAAGGCTAAAAGAAAATCTAGGCAACACCATTCAGGACACAGGCAGGGGCAAAGATTTCATGACAAAAACGTCAAAAGCAATTGCAACAAAAGCAAAAATTGACAAGTGGGATCTAATTAAAGAGCTTCTGCACAGCAAAAGAAACTATCATCAGAGTGAACAGATCTCATAAAGAATGGGAGAAAAAGTTTGCAATCTATCCATCTGACAAGGTCTAATATCCAGATTCTACAAGGAATTTAAACAAATTTACAAGAAAAAAACAACCCCATTAAAAAGTGGCCAAAGGACATGAACAGACATTTCTCAAAAGAAGACATTTATGCAGCCAACAAACATATGAAAAAAAGCTCAACATCACTAATCATTAGAGAAATGCAAATCAAAACCACAATGAGATACCACCTCAAGCCAGTCAGAATGGAAATTATTAAAAAGTCAAGAAACTACAGATGCTGGTGAGGCTGTGGAGAAATAGGAACTTTTTTACACTGTTGGTGGAAGTGTAAATTCATTCAACCATTGTGGAAGACAGTATGGCAATTCCTCAAAGACCCAGAACCAGAAATACCATTTGACCAGCAATCCCATTACTGGGTATATACCCAAAGGAATATAAATCATTCTATTATAAAGATACATGCACACGTATATTCACTGCAGCACCATTCACAATAGCAAAGACATGGAATCAACACAAATGCCCACTAGTGATAGGTTGCATAAAGAGAATGTGGTACATATACACCACAGAATACTATGCAGCCATAAAAAGGAATGAGATAATGTCCTTTGCAGGGACATGGATGCAGCTGGAAGCCATTATCCTCAGCAAACTAATGCAGGAACAGAAAACCAAACACCGCGTGTTCTCACTTATAAGTGGGAGCTGAACAATGAGAACACATGGACACAGGGAGGGGAATAGCACACACTGGGGCCTATGGGGGTGCAAGGAGAAGGAGTGCATCAGGATAAATAGCTAATGCATGTGGGGCTTAATACCTAGGTGATGGGTTGATAGATGCAGCAAACCACCATGGCACATGTTTACCTAGGTAACAAACCTGCATGTCCTACACATGTATCCTGGAACTTAAAATAAAATAAAATAAAATTTTTAAAAAGATTTGCAAAATAAAAAAACGGTGGTTTTCATTTAGGGTGATGTTTTTCTCTCTCTCCATCTGTCCAGGGGATATCAGGCGACTTTTTGGTTATCAAAGTGGGATACTATCATCTAGTGGGTAGAGGCCAGTGATGCTGCTCACCGTCTACAATGCACTGGAGAACTTCCTACAACAAAGAAGTATCTAGTCCAAAATTTCAGTAGTTCCAAGGTTGAGAATTCTGATACAAAATAATGCCATTCTTCTCACTAAATTTTTTGTTTTGAACATATGTATGTTAGCTTATTATTTTAAATGAACTAATTTTTAAATTTTCCTTATTTAAATTTGTAATACAATAACTATCAATAGATATAACCCACATAAACAAAAGCTCTTTGGTGCCCTCAATGATTCTTAAGATTATAAAGGGGAACCAAGCATGGTGGCTCACGCCTGTAATTCCAACACTTTGGGAGGCCAAGGCAGGAGGATCACTTGAGGCTGGGAGTTCGAGACCAGCCTGGGCAACATAACAAGACCCCACCTCTACAAAAAATTTAAAAAAGAAAAAATCAGTCAGGCATAGTGCCACATGCCTGTAGTCCTAGCTGCTCAGGAGGCTGAGGCTGGAGGATCGCTTGAGCCCAGGAGTTAAAGGATAAAGTGAGATATGATCGATCACACCACTGCACTCCAGCTTGGGCAACAGAGCAAGAACCTGTCTCACAAAAAATTGTAAAGGGAGTCTGAGGCCAAAACGTTTAACTCTAGATGTAGACAATCGACCATAGAGATTAGAAAAGTCAGTGTGCTAAGCCTCCCTGCACATCCGTCCCTATAAAAATCAGAAGCATGGCAGGTGTGCCCAAGTACATGTAGTTTTCTCCTTAAGAAAAGAATTGTCTAAAATGAGGCAATGTAAAGAGGTCAGTGCAGGGGTGAACACCAATTTAAGCCTTGATGATGTGTCAGGGTTTGTGATGGCTACAAGGAATGTAATCATGACTGAAATTCCTCATTATTCCAAAAAAGCTATTGTCTAGAAGGAGAGAGAGACAACTGAGATTTTGCTTGACATGTGGTAGGGAGAAGCGGGGTGGATGCACGGGTACAGGAGGTCAGTGGGCAGGGGCTTGGGTTAGAGATGAGGCAAGGGGACAAGACAGGCTTCCTGAGAAAGAGATGTCTGTGCTGCGTCTTGAAGGATGAGTGGGAATTTGGTGACTGAGTGCGAGAGGCACTGCGGGAGAGGGGGGCGCCTCAGCTGTGGGAACAGCATAAGCAAAGGCCCAGAGGTGAGAACCAGCATGGAGTATTTGAAGAAGACAGGAAAGCAGATAGAGAAAACAAAAAACAGACTGGAGTGCACCCCCAACAAAACAAATGTAATGTCCCCAATAAAATTAAGATTGTTTGAAAATCAAGAAAGAGCAGCACTGCTGACATCAAACATCTACTCTGTTTTTGGAAGAGAATAGCTGCTTCATAACTTCGGTGCACAGATACAAGCGCCTGTTTTGGAAAGCAAAATGAGACTCTGCTCTTGAATCTCGATAAAAAGGGAAATGCTCCTGCCACCCCTTCCCCTTCCAGGTGCTTTTCGGTCTTTGCACGGGTTCTGTCTCTGGCTCACGAGGGCTGCCCAGAGTGATCACTGTGGGTGAACAGGTCCCTGGGAGCTAAGGGAGGAGGAGGAAAGCCCACCCGCTCAGGGCTCCTCAGCATGGACCCCAGGACTTCACTTCACATGGTTCATAAAGGGGATGTATGGTTAGTTCATACCACACATGTGGAATTGTTTTTCCCAGCAAAGGAGTCAGTCAAGGTGGTTGAATGTTTATTTTGGAAGCAGCGGATCAACACCATTCTGAAAAAGCAGTATGCTCTTCTAAAGCACATGGGGCAAAGGGAGGCCCCGCGTGGTACATCAAATAAAAGAGGAGAGGCAAGAGAAAGGGAACATTTTCTGATGGTAATCCGTGCCCACCTATTCCCACCAACAGCTTCCATCAAAGGTTGAACTGACCCAAAAGACACTCCGGCATTTGCCCAGGGATCCCCAGGGAGAAGTTGGCCTTTCCAACAGGCATTGGTGGATGGCAGAAGAAACCTATATGACACACAGCTGGGACTCCGTTTCCAATAGAAGTCTGATGGAAAGTCCTGGAATTAAAGAGGGCTAGACAAGTCCCCAGACCAGGGACTTGGGTCCCTCAGAAGGCCTGTGCAGGTTGGTGGCAACCTCGGCTGGTGTTTACCAGAACAGCATGTGGCTGAGGGAGCGCAGCTGCAGCTGGAGCAAGATTCTGCAGGCAGTCAGGCTGGGGGCCGAGGCGGTGCCCACAGAGAGAGCCGGCTCACAGTAGTCTGCAGGTCGAGAGGATTCTACAGACAGGAGCAGGTTGAGATGGGACTCTCAGAGCAGACTGGGGGCAAGCAGGAAAGGAATAAGGATTTGACTGGAGAGACAGGAGGTGAGTCTGTCCTTCCAAGCAAAATAATTCAGCAACAGGCCACCTAACATAAAGGATTTCATTCTTAGGGACCTGGCCTTAAACCCCTCTTGCCAGTAATCTGGTGGTCTAGTGTCATTCATGGGCTTTAGGAACATCTATGGGCCAAGGAGGGCAGTGCATGTGCCCAAGGAACTGAGGGTGGGGAGGGGGAGTGGGCCACATTTCCCCAGGAGGGCCTTGGCTGTCCCTCTCCACTGATCCAGGATGCTGTAGGAGGCCTGATAGTGAAGGCTTATCAATCTAGTCTCTGAGTCCCAGTGGAATCATATGGGTACCCCCTACCAATGGGGCCAGGAGGTAGGTGGCTCAGGACGGCTCTCCTAAGTAGTCTGATGGTCTCACAGCTGACCGCAGTAAATATCGCCTTGGTGTTTACTCCACCATTGCAAACAAGTAGGTTCCTGTTTCACCAACAGATGTGCACCTTGCACACATTATACGACACATGCATGTGTATGTGGGGCCACTGGAGAGTATTTCCTTTTCAGAATCTCCAGCGTCGGAAATATTTAGTCAGAACAAATGACTGTGTGCAGAGCCGTTCCTTCAACCTTTTCTCTTCATGCCTTTTAAGCCCATCAGGCAAGCAAATGGAGCTGATCAGCATTGCCCTGATCCCTGTGGAGTAACACCGAGAGCTATTTGTCTACACAGGCTACCTGAAGTCAGTGGCTGAAACACCATAGCTGCAGTAGTAACGATTGCTGTTTGAGGAATAGCTAAGAGTGCCAGGCACTGGGCTAAGTTTTACAAATATTAACTCATTTAATTAGCAGTAGCTGATATGGCATTTTATAAGCAACTTTAAATCAATAAAGTGAATTACCTGTGTTTGGCGACTAATCAAACACAAAGGTTATGGCATCAACTCACTATTACACCACACTCTGGGCAGGCCCAGCCCTCCCAGGGGAGGCAGTGGCTAAGCTGCAGGCTACCTGGATCACTCCTCCCCGGCCACCTTTCCCTGGGCACCAGGAGGGTTAGCATTTCCCTCTCTACATGCTAGTTTTGTTTAAATAGTGACGACAATGAGGAGAACCCATGAGGCAATGTGGATGTAACTCTGAATTCATTATTTACACACTTGGTCTGATTAAAAGCAGGAGCAAGCGGTCTCCATACTAGAGGCTGTCTCCAAGCCACAGCTCCAAATAACCTTTTATGCTTCACTCAAAATCTCCCCTTCCTACCAGTCATTCCTTTCTCTGGCACAAAGCCCTCCCTTCCCCATCACCCCTAACCTTCCCTAAAGGGAACGAGGGGATCACAGGTGGTCGAGCTCCAGATGACCATGGGCTTCCACTACCCACTGTCTTTTCCTTGCAACGCCATAGCCCCGGGTGGGGTTTGCTGCCAGGCACCCGAAGGGGCATGTGCAGGGCAGCCCCAATGCAGCTTTTCCTCAGCTTGGCCCTCCATATTCGTCCCTTCCACTCTTGCCATTGGGCAAAGGCAATCTCCCACGGAACTGCTGGGTTTTCTCCTTGTTTGACTCTCTTGCTCCACGATGCCCAGTGGCCTGTACAGATTCTCTTAAATGTGCCAGCCTAACTCCTTAAATAGAAATTGTGCTAACTGGCATGACCTGGATGCCTTTCCCTTCACCTGTCATATAGACTTGACCTCTAAATTTCCCCTCTAACCAAGACCTTCGCTCAACATTTGCTGATCACAAAACATGCCTAGAAGAAACAGAATATGACCAGAGTGTCAGGTTTTGCAAAAAGACTAAAAGTGGGTGACTTCGGAGGAAAGCTCCTTGCCCCTCTAGGATTTTGTCCTAGCAAGTCTAGCTCTGGGGCTGCTTAGGACAGTGGTCTCCAGGCTGTTACCTGGGCTAAGTGTCCTTCCCCTTCTTCCTGCTTGCCTTAGAGGTCTGCAGGCCAAAACAGTACTAAAAGCAAGGCGGCAGAGTCAGATGAAGTCAACACTAGGCCAGGAGGGCACTGCATGCAGGTCAGGAGTGTTTACTAAGCATCTGGGACGAGGACTTTTCTTGATCCAGAACCGCTGGAAAAAGCTCCACAGCACATCTGATGAGAAAGGAAATTAACCCAAGTCCTTGTCTGGGTTCTGGGCTAAGAGGAGATAGGACAATGAACCTCTCATCACTGGCCATTTCTATACATATACAGAAATGCATGAAGACTTTTAGATGGTGTTGTACATAATATAATGAAAATATAACAGGGAGATGTGATAGAGTGAATGGCAGGGAGAGCCTTACATCGAGTTTAAAGCAATGATGTTTAGGCCGAACTTAGACGAAAGAAATGCCTTGTCTTTTGAGGGGCATGGATTACAGGAGAGAGAGCTAATGCAAGTCTCTAAGGCAGGAACAAACTTGGGGGACAGACACAAAAGCAATCGTGGCTGAACCATATGGGGTCCAGGGGTTGGAGGTGGTTGGCAAGGCCAGGTGCTGATAAGGTTGGCAGGGTCCAGGCCTGTGCAGCCTCTAGGGAGAGGGGTCTCAATTTCATTGCAAATCTGATTGACAAGCCTTGGAAGGTTTAAACCAGGAGGATGATGTGATCGATTTACTTCATAAAGATAACTCCAGCTGGTCTAAGGAGAACATCTGAAGGGGGAGAGAGCACAGGCATGAAGACTGAGTAGGAGGCTGTTGTAGTGCTCCAGGCAGGAAATGATGGTGGCTTTGGCCAGGCTGGACGTAGTGGAAAGGGAGGGAAGTGTATCCATTCGGAAAATGCTTTAGAGGTCTCTTGGCAAGACTTTATGGTGAATTGGATGTGAGTTAGACAGGAGAAGGGAATCAAGGATGAACCTCTAAGGTTTTGGCTTAAGCAACACTGGGCAAATGGTGGGGCCATTAATCGGGTGGAGGGGAGAGACAAAGCCGGTTTGGGGGATGGGGGAGGCACCGTCATTAAGAACTCTGTTTTTGGACATAGTGAATTTGGTTATTAATAGCTTATAAAGTTTAATGCTATCACTGGATCCATAACACCTGCCAGGAACTGTGGCTTTTTCACTGGGGTGTTAAGTTCCACTGGGAAAAACATCGGCAGCATCCACAGTGTGAGATGTCATCCTCAAGGGCAGTAGACAATAGCGTTGTCTTAGGATCACTCATTCATTCATCCATTCATCCCACAAACACATAGGTGTTAATTCCAGAAAGAAAGTCCCTCCATTTAAAAAATGACCTATAGGGGACTTTAGATTCAGAATCTATCATTTTACTTTTTTAAAAATTATCTTTCTTAATAGATATGGACATAGAAAAGTACAAATAAGGCCGGGCGTGGTGGCTCACACCTATAATCCCAGCACTTTGGGAGGCCGAGGCGGGTGGATCACCAGGTCAGGAGTTCGAGACCAGCCTGGCCAACATAGTGAAACCCCATCTCTATTAAAAATACAAAAATTAGCCAGGTGTGGTGGCACACACCTGTAGTCCCAGCTACTCAGGAGGCTGACGCAGGAGAATCACTTGAATCCGGGAGGTGGAGGTTGCAGTGAGCCAAGACCATGCCATTGCACTCCAGCCTGGGTGACAGAGTGAGACTCTATCTGAAAAATATACAAATAAGGCCATCACCTAGTTTAGGAAATGCATCCAAGCGGTGGCCCTGGCCTGGGCTCCCTAGCCTCATACCCGTTCCAGGCCAAGCCCTGGTACCCCATTCTCTTTGCAGCATAGATGGGAAGCTTCTGTTTCCCATCCCAGGAGAACAGGCAGCCGCACCAGGAGGGACTGGGCTGTTCACATGGGGTGACAGATCAGGAAAGATGTCACCAAGAGCCCAGGCAGAGCTGCCCCAGCCAGCTCCCCTTTTCTCTGCCTCCCTACACAGAGTTCTGGGAGGCAGCCTCTGAAAAGTCATTGTCCTTCATGCCTTTGTTTTTTTTTTATTCTTTCTCATTTTCAATCTTGTATTTCTGTTTTTTCGGTTCAAAAGAAAAAATAACAGCCACCCTATCGTTAGCTCTTTGACTTTATCAAGCCTTTGGATTTTCTGAGTTGCAAAACATCTTGTTCCAATATTACTTCCGTTGTTCTGCTTTCCTTGAGTTACTTTTTGTCCCATTTCTAGCTTTTTTAGCTTGATGCTGAGTTGCCCAATCCGTTTTCACACTTTCATTTTTAGTTATGTTAAGAATTCGGTGCTATGCATTTTCCTCTTTGAATAGCATTTGCTATGAGTTTGGATGTGTTGTGTTTTCATGGTTAGTATTTTCTGGATAGTTGTTCGGTTTGGGTTCTGATGATTCTCTGATCCAGAGTTTATTGACGGGAGGTTTGTGATTTCCACAGTTGCTGTTTTTACTTCAATTTCTGTTACCTGTTTCTAAATGTACTGAAATGTCATTACAGAAAATGATCTCCATTAGAGAATTGTACTTTTCAAACAATTTTTAGGTCCTCTTTGTAGTTTAAGGGTGAATTTTGGGGAATGGCATGTGGTCACCCAAAGCTAAACATTTGTTAAATATTCCCAATTACATTGCACGAATATTCGACATCCACAGGAGTTCTGAACTCTCCTAATGGAACCATCTGCTGCGTCAGCAGTGCTTTGTGAGTGACTCCTCAGGGATGGCCAGTGCTGGCTTTGTCCCTCATCATTAATTCCCTCATGAATTCCTCTGCAGGCATGTGGAGCACGGAGCACCCTCTGTGTGCCAGGCCTTTCCTGGGCACTGGGGAGACACAGGGTATGAGGCCCAAAGGTTACAGGTGGCCTTGTGATGGCCACGCGGGCAGTAAGCAAAGGCATTTTGGAAACAGAAGGAACAGCAAGTGCAAAGGAAGGGGAGGTTGGCTCCTCTGGAAAAGGGGAGCCCTGGCAGCGTTGAGGAAACGTGAGTTGTTTATTTCATCAGAAATATGTCTTCCCCACTCTCTCAGAAAGAATGAAAAGACCTTGGTTTTTCTGTATGTACTTACTAATACATTCATTATGAAACAAACAAAATACTTTTAAAGAGATGCTACAAAAGTAAAAAAAAGTTCTTAATACATAACTGTAGTGATTAATTATATAAAAATGTCTGCCCTCGTTAAAATATTATCTGTAATCATATTATTTGTGAGAGCAATGTGGTAGAATTTGCATCATTTTTTACATGCTGGAGTTATACTTTGAGATACATCAATTCAAATATCCCATATATCAAACTTTTGATAATCAATTCAAAAGTTCCATTTATGTTCATGCTTGCTAATAATGATTGTCAGAGCTGAAAAAGATAACTCACAAGGGCGCAATTGGCACACCGAACAAAGAGTATTGTTAACAAGAGGAAGTAAATCCCTATCTTTAGAGAATTGGGGGGTTTAAGGCAAGTTCTTGTCTGATCCAATTAGATCGTCATTGTTTTTAGCTCATGATGACACTGATGGAAAGATTATTCCAGGCACAGAAGGAGGGTTGATTCTGCCATTTTCTTGCTGTTTTCTTGTCCTGGTATAATTACTGTTCTTCAACCTCCCCATTTCTTTGCAGGAATCTTTAGAGCACTCATTCACTTCTTGAGAGTTTCTTTGGTTCAAACTAAATAATACAATGTAATGGAGCATTGGCAGATTGTGGAACACTGCAATATGAAAGCTAACAAACTAGTCAGGAGGCCACTGTACACACCTTTGTATAATGAACCTCCTCCTTTCCCCAGTAACATAGCTGTGATGTGACTGTCTGACATCACATGTATGTTACTGGGGAAAGGATAGTGACCAGTCACTATCTAAATAGGTTTTGTTTTGTTTTGTTTTGTTTTGTTTGTTTTGACGGAGTCTTGCTCTGTCTCCCAGGCTGGAGTGCAGTGGCGCGATCTTGGCTCACTGCAACCTCTGCCTCCCAGGTTCTAGCAATTCTCCTGCCTCTGCCTCCCAAGTAGCTGGGACTACAGCCGCGTGCTGCCATGCCTGGCTAATTTTTTTTGTATATTTAGTAGAGACAGGGTTTCACCATGTTAGCCAGGATGGTCTCGATCTCCTGACCTCATGATCCACCCGCCTCAACCTCCCAAAGTGCTGGGATTACAGGCGTGAGCCACCACGCCCGGCCTAGATAGGTTTTTTAAAAGATAATATAATCATCAATTATCAAGGTCTAATATCTTCATTTTGCACCTTAATGGTCTGTGTGGGGACCCCCATGTAAAGACCATTATATTTGTTTTCCAGATGCAGAAAGATGACGCACAGAGAAGTGGCAGCCTGCTCCAGTTCCCGTAATTAAAGATTACAGTCAGGATTGGAGCCCGAGGTCCTAACACCCAGTGCTCTCTCCACACTACCGTGGTGCCCGACTCATACTTCTGCCACGACCACCCTCTCCATTTCTGGCCCTGTTTGAAACCCCTAATTCTCACTGAAAACAATAAATCCTCCAAAATTAAGACAACACTTTCACACACAGTAGAGCAAATGGGTGGATGAGAACAAATTTATCCACAGCAGAGACAATACAGGCACTCTGTGGTTCCCGTTAGGTTAAAGTTGAGCCCCCTAGAGACACCCCCACCTTTGTTTCTCATGTGAACCCCTCTGAGTCAAATAGTAACAACAGCAGTTGCTGTGAATGGAAGTTATAACATTGAACTCCTGACTCTTGAAAAGTGTACATTGTATAGTGAACACTGTAACAGTGAGCCAGCAAAGGAGTTTTTCTGCTGCTGAGTCCATCAGGAAAGTCACTGGGATGTAAGCTGAGAAAGGGAGAGGGTGAGGTTTCAGAGAAATAAGGGAGTCATTTAAAAATACGTTTGTTTAGTTTGTTTTTAACGGTTACAGAACAATAGACAATAGAGCCAGGTGTCTCAGTGACATCTCTCAAGCTTTCCCAAGGTGTAACATGACTGACAGCCCATTCTGTTGAGACCACCGGTACCCAGGAGAGACAGGGAGAGAAAGAGACCACCTAGAATAGTGTCATCTGTGCAAATAAGAACATTAAAACAGATGGGTGGAGGGAGCCAATGAATTCAAGACTTATTCAAGTTTAAGTGAAAACAAGTCATACAAAGTTGAGATAAAATATAGAACAGAGTTAGATTTATTTTTACTGCTTTTATTATCTAGGTCACAAAAAATATAAATGAAATGTAAACTACACATCCAAAGGTATGCATGATACATAAAATTAACTGGCATGTGGCCAACTGTGATTTTCTTGCAAATATTTTCCTTAGGGGTTAATGTTTTTAAAATACATCTTGCAAATCTATGTGAAAAACTTTAACATCCAGTGGAAATGTGGACAGTGTTCTTGAACAGAAAATCACAGAAATTAAAATATTGTTGAAAGTTAAATGTTCCCCTTGTAAAAAAGGAAAGAAAAAATAAAAAGAAATGACCATCAATTTTAAAAGGACATTTAATGCCAAGAAAGTAATCCCTGAATCCCAAAGGGCAAAGAACATCCCCATAAATAGAATATACTTAGCTCTATGAAACTCACCACTCTGTTCTTATTTTTCTCATTTCACTGCTAACCAGTGACTGAAGTCAGTCTGGGTCACTATTCGAACTACTGACCTAGAAAGTTCTGAGTGCATAGATAAGTAAACCTGTGCAAATGGACGGAGGGGTCCTAATCCACATAAACACCCAGGATTGCTGGGATAGCAAAGGAATTTGTCATCAGTGCATTTGTCTGGTGGCTCTGAGGCCTCGTGGGAGAAACAGAAGACATTGGGACTACCCGCCCCACTTCTGGACCCTAGGACGAAGAGGCTCTATCAAAAGACCTTGTTGATATCATGGCGGGAAGGGAAGCTGCCCATGAAAGCAGGTGTCATGAGAAGAACACTCTGCCCTGGAGGGCAGCAAGCTGTCAAGGCTGACGGCCCGACCCCACGTGCCCTAAGGAGAACTGCCAGTGGCTCTGGTCACTTCACACAGGTTGTGGCAGTGGCTGCAGCCCACCAGCCACATGGGCGACAGCAGGGTCCCTGAAACCGCGAATGACTAAACGGGAGACGGTCCTTGCAGGAGGACCTTGCATAAGACCCTCTCCACCAGAGCAGCCTCCCTCCACCTCTCTGAACACAATGCCCCCATCTAGGATAAGCCAGATGCCTCACAGGTGCGCTGGCAGCTCACAGAGCAGAAGCAGGAGGCTCTGAGGCTGCCCAGGACTTCCCCAGGCTCCCCACTCGGAGGTGGCTGTGCCTTTTTCTGCAGGAATCGTAGACTCAGGGCAAGCTGGATCTGCATTTCTCCAAGGACTTCCTCCTTGGGACCCCAGACCCCATAAGAGTCCTGTTCTTCAATTACAGCAGTGAGAATTCTGGCAAGATGAAGACTCCCAAACCCCAAGTTACTGCTCGAGCTAACTGGGCCCTCGCCGTGTGTCAGGCCCTGCGTTAGAAGCACACACTGTACATCACCTCATTCCATCACCGCATGTGACACCGTGAGCTGTCTGCTGCTCTCATTTTGCAGTTGAAGGCCTTGAGGCTAGACGACCTTAGAGAACATCCCTAAGGTCACACAGTCAGTGGTCAAGCTGGGATTCAGGCCCAGGTCTGCCTACACCAAAAGCCCCCGTGTTAGGTATACTACACTCCCAGAAAGAGTAGCTGAATGCAATATATATATATATATATATATATATATAGCCTGAATGCACACCAGAAAGGGAATGATTACATAAATTTTAAGATACCCACATGGACACAAAGAAGGGAACAGACACTGAGGCCTACTTGAGGGTAGAGGGTGGGAGGACGATGAGGATTCAAAAACTGCTTATCGAGCACTATGCTTTTTACCCGGGGGATAAAGTGATCTGTACACCAAACCCCTAGGACGCACAATGTACCTATATAACAAACCTGCACATGTACCCCTGAGCCTAAAATAAAAGTTTAAAATAAAATAAAATATATAAAACTAAATTGTACAATACCCATACTATGTAACTGTATGTAGCTATTATAAATAAATCAGCTAGATTTACTTGTATTAACCTAGAAACTTTCTATGTCATATGGTTGAGGGGGAAAAATGAAGTTGCAGAAGATATATATAAATATATATTTTTCTTTTATAAAAAGCCCTGTGTATGTGATAAGTTTCTAGAAGCATCAAAAACTTGTGGAAGCCTACAGTGCAAACTCAGTGTTGGATACCCCAGGAGGGTGGGGTTGAAGGGGTAAGGGGTGGCCTTCCAGCTGTCATTTGAATTGTCAGAACTGGAATATTTCATTTTCGTGACTTAAAAGGTAAAAGAGGACCCTTATTTTGTGTACTTTGGACACAGTAGAAGGTGAGTAAATGTTTGCCAAACTGAATCAAATTGAACCTACCAAACTCTCGCCATCCACTGGGACACCCCACCAGCTGGGCAGGCTGCCCAGAAGCAGGAATGCAGAGCCTGTGCTTGCCCTGCCACAGAGGCCACAGCATCAGTAGAGAGAAATCGCAGCCTTGCCTGCTGGATCCGCTTCTCCCATCACCCAGGCCTCCATGCTGTCGGGGAGATGCTGCAATCGATCCGCTGGAAATAACTTCACCTTGATGTTTAACCGACTCATGGCTTTTGCATTTCCAGGCAGCACAATCATATTAGCAGCCCCGTAACCCAATTATGGCCATGCACCCAGCTGAAACTTCTCAACGCAAAAGGGGACAGTGGAGCCCAGTCGGCCGCATTCCTGCCTCCTCTTAGAAAAATTACTGGTGGCATGAAATCTTTACTCTATTAATAGAGATCTTCTGCACGCTGACAATAGCAGCTCATAAAAAAAAAGAAAAAAGAAAGAAAGAAAGCAGCTACCTGGGTTCTGAGGGATAAAACCAGAATTTTATCACAGTAGCTCAGCCCCTGGCTTACCTGGGGCTGCTGGTGCTGAAAAGATGAGGAGCTTTTGCCTTTCAAAGGCATGAACTTGAAAGTCACTCACTGTGTCTGTGGTAACTGTATTAAGAGGTTTGAAAAGCAAGTGAGTGTCAAAAACGAAGGTGACGGAGCTATGCAACAGGAAAAACTAAATATTTCTCCAGGACTGACACGAACTTAGTGTGTGATTGGATCCTAACCATCCTCACAAGGTCACAAACGGGAGGGGACGACTTGACTTTTTTATAAGCAGGTAAGCAGGGCCTGAGGCACCCAATAACCTTCACTCAAAGTCACAGGGCAACCAGAGCCAAGCCTTTGCCCAACCTCACCACAGGTGTGAACTCTCCATCCTGAACACATACCATCTCCCCTTGCCCGCTAAAATCACCCCTCCTGAGGAGGAATAAATTGGACATCAAGCCTCAGTTTCCTTGCGGACACGGGGTGTCATCAGGGACCAATCCCTCGGTATCCTATAGATGAAATATATCAAGCTTAATTCGCCATCCTAGGACTAGGAAAGGACCCACAAGCCTGAGCGGTTCAGAGAAGGTGGGGTTCAAAACACACGACGTTGGCCGGGCGTGGTGGCTCGCGCCTGTAATCCCAGCACTCTGGGAGGCCGAGGCCGGTGGGTCATGAGGTCAGGAGATCGAGACCATCCTGGCTAAGATGGTGAAACCCTGTGTCTGCTAAAAATACAAAAATTAGCTGGGTGTGGTGGCAGGTGCCTGTAGTCCCAGCTACTCAGGAGGCTGAGGCAGGAGAATGGCATGAACCCGGGAGGCGGAGCTTGCAGTGAGCCAACACTGCGCCACTGCACTCCAGCCTGGGTGACAAAGGGAGACTCCCTCTCAAAAAAAAAAAAAGAAAAAAAAAGAAGAAAAAAAAAAACATGACGTTGTCATTTCTACAGCCATATGGCACTTGGCAGTTTTGAAAGCATTTCTGCAGGATGAACTGCATGAACCTCTTCCCCTTTCCCTTGAGAAGGAGGCAAGGTGGTCTAATTATCCCTGTCTGATATGCAGAGAGACTCAAACAGCTGGGAACAGGCAGAGCCAAGACTAGAAACCCTTCAACTCACCAGCTCAACGCCCTTTCTGCAGCGTGTAAAGAGCAAAGCAGGCTGGACCGGGTGGCTCATGCCTATAATCCCAGCACTTTGGGAGGCAGAGGTGGGCGGATCACCTGAGGTCAGGAGTTTGAGACCAGCCTGGCCAACATGGTGAAACCCCATCTCTACTAAAAATACAAAAATTAGCCGGGTGTGGTGGTGGGTGCCTGTAGTCCCAGATACTTGGGAGGCTCAGGCAGGAGAATCGCTTGAACCCAGGAGGTAGAGGTTGAAATGAGCCGAGATCGCGCCCCTGCACTCCAGCCTGAGAGACAGAGCAAGACTCCTTCTGAAAAAAAAAAAAAAAAAAGAGCAAAGCAAAGCAAACTTCACTGGGGACTCCTCTACCTCTGAGATCTTTGTCTGGCCTGAGAGTGAGGGCGTCTATGGAGCCACAAGCAGTCAAGCATTGTGTTGGGAACACTTCCTCCTGAGGCCCTTCGATCAATCTTGCCTTTTCATTGCAGCCTCATGTAAACTCTTGCACCCTGTGAGAGTCCCAGCTGGAATCTGAGTTTAAAAAAAAAAAAGATGGGGCTTCATTCATGTTCACCATCTCCCCTCCAACACACACCCACCAACCCCCAACACACACGGAACACCTGCCCTTGGCACCAGTGTTTGAAAACAGCCCTGTCATCAGCTCCATTTTCTGGGGGGCTCCTTCTGTAACTTCCTCTGTCAGCCATGTCCCATTGTGAGAGGGAAAAGACACTGATGAATCTGTAGGGGATCTGGACGCTGTGCCATTTTATGGTGTGTGTTTAAATAGCTCTTGCTCCCTAATTTCATGTTGCTTAGGGTTATGTTAAAATTAGTATGTTCAGGAAATAGCAATGAGGAAAGGTGGCCCAGAAACCTTTTTTAGATAGCAAGGAGAACGGTGGCCTGCTTTTAGTTTTGTGCATGTGGATAGACTACAAAGTGAATGGGAATTGACAAAATCTGCATTTTCCTACTATCTTTTCTTGCTTGTGCCTAGTAGCCCTCAGAAAAACGAGCTCAATGCAGGGGTTTCTCTGGAGCACCTCAGCTTCAGCCTTCTCCTGTCTGGGCTACCTTACCCCGGATTTCTCAACAGTCCCTAAAGGGTTTTAATGGTGGTGCTTTCTTGTTAATGACTAGACCTCGAGTTCACAAAGCTCATCATCCTCTCCAGGTCACAACAAATAATTTCATTGTTGTGTCCAAGGCTCTTCACGTTCCTTTTCATTCTCCCTTCCTGCTCCCGCCTATGGGGACCCACTCAAATGTTTTTTCACTGAAGAACATCTAACAGTTTTTTTGTGAATGTCTGTGCTCGTATAAGAGTAATGTTGGGCTATGCATCTCACTTTTTCATGCAACATGAAATCTTTTAAAAATCTTGTCACTAGGCTGGGCATGGTGGCTCACGCCTGTAATCCCAGCACTTCGGGAGGCTGAGGCAGGTGGATCACCTGAGTTCGAGACCAGCCTGGCCAACACGGCAAAACCCCATCTCTACTAAAAATACAAAAATTAGCTGGGCATGGCGGCATGCACCTGTAGCCCCAGCTAGTCGGGAGAATGAGGCAGGAGAATTGCTTGAACCCGGGAGGCCGAGGTTGCAGTGAGCCGAGATCGCGCCACTGCACTCCAGCCTGGGTGACAGAGCGAGACTTCATCTAAAAAAAAAAAAATCTTGTCACTAAATCTAGTTCATGGTTTCTAACTTCCACTATGTCCACCCCACTGTATCCCACTCTGCCACTTACCAGCTGTGTGATCTTGAGCAAATTACGTAACTGCTCAGTGCCTCAGATTCCTGATATATAAAATGAGACAGTAGGAGTATCTACACTGCAGGGTGGTTACGAGGATTAAATGAATTTTGAATGTATGTATCTGAAGAGCATTGAGAAATCCTTTGCACATAAGTGCTCAAAAAAGAAAAACCCTAGCTGACATTGTTATCATTACTTCTCCATTCCCCTGGTGAAGGGTATGTCTGTCAAAGCTCTCTGCTACTGCAAACAATACTGCAATGGGCATCCTCTTATAATCGTCCAAAGGATATGAATTCACAGGAGGCTAACTAATGCATGAAGGGATGCTAACCTCACTATTGATCAAAGACACACAACACAAAACAAGAGGCCACTTTCCATCCATCAGATGAGCAGCCAGTGGGAAGTAAGCTACCACCAAGCATTGGAGAGGATGTGGGGAGTGGGATCTCTGAAGACTGCCGCTGGGACTGCTGTAAATTGCACATCCTGGAGAGCAGTATGGCATTTCCTGTGAAGCCATTTACATACTCTGTAAATCAGCAATCCCACTGCTAGGTCTGTGTCCCAGAGAAATCTATGGACGATTATAAGAGAATGGCCATTTCTTCTGGGAATAGGACGATCCCTTTCACCTGTTGATTCAATGTTCCTGCTCTATTTTTAATCCATTTCCACACTTTCACCACCTCATTTCATGTGTTGAGTCCCAAGTGACTGCATTGCTTTTTTCAAAACAAAACAAAACAAAAACCAACAAAACGAAGACCACAAAAAAAGAATTTTTTCTTGGAGCTAGAGAACAATTTGGGTCACATGACCGGGCCATAAAGATGAGCACCTAGAATGGAAGGCCAGGCAGGCACCGAGACCTGCAGCCTCTTGCCCAGAGAGCCTTTCTCACCTCTCCTGTTGCTGCTTTCCAGCCCCATCGGCCTCCTGAGCTGTCTCCTCCCTCCAGCCCTTCCTGCCTGGGCTGGGCAGATTTCCCTCTCGGGAGTCTCAGGTACTGCCCACTGCCTTGGGATCACATGCTTTGCATGTCATCTCCTCTGCATTCTGACCCTGCTTTTGTCTTTCCCCGGTGGAATTCCCTGAACCATTATTTCAAAGTGTTTCCATTCTGCCCAAACAAGAGAGTTAAGTTCCTTGAGCGTGTGTCTTACTCTGCAGTCAGCCAATGCTCCGAATGGCAGAATCACAGTCCTGGGTTCACCTCCACAGGCTGAAGTGCAAGGTGACTTGCTTCCTGCAAAATGGAAAGTGAAACCAAAAAAAGCCCTATCTCCATCTTGCAGTGAGGCCTGCTGTGGGCAGCCCTGTCAGATTGTGGCCTTCTCCCTGCCATCACCATCATCTCAGCCACACCAGGCCTCTGCCCAAACCCCCTCTGATCTGGGTCTTCCACTTCAACTCGGGCCTTCTCTGAGAAGGGATCCCACGTCTCCTCGCAACCCCTTCTAGGGGGACTTGGGGGCACTTGCCCCACAGGCTGAGAAAGAAGCTTCAGCATTCTTTAAACTCTGCAGTCTATTCCAAACTCCTCTGTCTTTAAGCAAAAATTCCTGCTCCTTTAATGCCCTCACTGCCTGCCGAAAGCATTCTCTACCCCTCCTTGCTGCTGCCAGCGAGGTTCCTCCCAGTAGGTAAATATGCTCAAGCCTCAGCCAGCTCCCTGCGATGCCACACCATATCTCACCTTCTCTTTCAAGACAAGCTTCTTGGAAGACTACACTATACATTTCTCCATTTGCTCACCCCCTATTCAGTTCACAACCCTTGGCTCAGACTCTCTGAGGAAACAGTTCTGGCCAATGTCTCTAGAAGGGAGCTTCTCCTTTGATATGTAACATTTTTCAGCCCTTACCTTGCTTGACTGCAGCCTTTGACACTACGTACCTCTCCTTCTTGGAATCCCATCTTTCCTTGATCTCTGGGATGCCATTCCCTTGTGGTTTTTCATCCTCTCCAGGTCCCTCCCCTCCACCAACTCTGAAACATGCATGTCCCCAGGTCTCACACTTGGCTCTTCCCCCTCTGACTCCTTGATCCTGACCTCCCACGCTCCTCATCACAGTGAACATCATCTGCCATGCCTATCTGGAGGCCTCTGCCTTCTGGAAGTCATTCTGCATCTTTGTTCTGCCTTCGGCCCCACATTGAAATAGTCCCCAAGTGCTAGTAACTGCAGTTTGGTGCCCTCTCTGCTACTGATCTCTCTCTCTCTCTCTGTGCCCACTCTCACTGCTTTGGATCAGGCCCCCACCCTGGTCAAGTCAAACCACTGCTGTAACTTTCTCACTGGTCTCAGTCTTGCCTCCTCCCAGCCCATTCTCTGAAATGCAAAAGGGTATTTCTAGAACAAAAATCTATGTCACTCCTCTGTCTAAGGGCTAGCCATTGCCTTCAAAACCAAATCTAAATTCCTTAGCATGACACACAAGGCCCTGCAGGATATGGATATTCCTTGTCTCTAAAGCCTCAAATGTCTAACTCCTGGCTAACTCCTCTCATCTCTCCAGAGTCGAACAGCCTCACCTCCAGCACACCTGCCTGGCACTGCCCCAGCTTCTGGCTTGAAACTCTTCCCAAGTGCTCCAAGAGGTCCCCCAGGCTCACTGATCTCTACTCCTGCTGATGCTGTATTAGATTGTCCCCCACTAGGCTATAAACTCCCTGTCTTTAGCTTCTGTGTTTCCAGCAACTATCATAGTGCCTGGGCCTTAGCAGTTGCTCCAGAAATGTTGGATGGATGAATGAATGGACGAGTAAATGAATGAATGAATGTTCTACTCTGTGGGTCAACCCTGCCTCAAGTATATTATAGTATGAATAATTCTTGCTGCCAAACTAGAAAGGTTGAGAAAATATGAGTACAATTAAGTGATGTGAAACTACGTCACTTGACAATTTTAAAATGGGTAGGGAGTAAGGTAAGGGAAAGAGACTTAAGGTTTATTTGGTAGCTACTTATGGTTTCCTGGTAGGCATTTTTTTAAATGTTATCTTAGTTAATCACCATAAGAATACTCTGAAATCAATATTGTCTTCATTTTACAGATTTGGAAACAAGATATGAAACAATCAACTTGGTTGTAAGGGAGGAGACCACCCCTCATATTGTCTTATGCCCAATTTCTGCTTCCAAAGAAAGAAGAAGTAAAAACTAAAGGCAGAAATGGAATCCACAGGCAGATAGCCCAGCACTGTGCCCTGGGCCTGGTAGTTAAAAATCAACCCCTGACCTAACTGCTTGTGTTATCTATAGATTGCAGACATTGTATGGAAAAGCATCGTGAAAATCCCTTCCTGTTCTGTTCAGTTCTGATTACTGGTGCATGCAGCCCCCAGTCACATATCCCCACTTGCTCAATCAATTACGACCCTTTCATACTGACCCTCTTAGAATTGTAAGCCCTTAAAAGGGACAGGAACTGCTCACTCAGAGAGCTCAGTTTTTGGAGACATGAGTCTGCCGGTGCTCCCAGCTGAATAAAGCCCTTTCCTTCTACAACTTGGTGTCTGAGGGGTTCTTGTCTGTGGCTCATCCTGCTACATTTCTTGGTTCCCTGACCTGGAAGCAAGGTGATTAACAGACAGTTGAGGCAGCCCCTTAGGCAGCTTAGGCCTGCCCTGTGGAGCATCCCTGTGGGGGACTCTGACCAGCCTGAGTGATGCGGATCCAAAGAGCACTCCTGGGTAGGCAATTGCCCCGGTGGACCACCTTACCAGAGCAGCACATGGGAGGCCCCCACGGAAGATCAACACAGTGGCTGAACACCGGGAAGGAACTGGCACTTGGGAGTCCAGACATCTGAAACTTGGTAAGACTGGTCTTTGGAACTTGTGCACTCCATTTGAGTGGAAGCGTGGCCTGATCACCCATGACATGCCTGTACTGTCACTTTGGTTTTTGTTTGTGACTTGACTTGGATTGCTTGATACTTTGGTTTTGGTTTTGACCTGGCTTGGATTTCTTGATACTCTGATGGTTTTGGTTCAGATTTGGTATAAACTGTAAAAGTGTGTGTGTGCCCTTTTTACCTGTTCTTTGTTTTGTGGTGTGCGTGTGGTGTTAGCATGGTGTTTTGTCTCAAGGAAGCATGGGTCAGGCACAAAGTAGGCCCACCCCACTAGAAACTATGTTGAAAAATTTCAAGAAAGGATTTAAGGGAGATTACGGTGTTACCATGACACCAGGAAAACTTAGTAACTTTGTGTGAAATAGGCTGGCCAGCATTAGAGGTGGGTTGGCCATCAGAAGGAAGCCTGAACAGGTCCCTTGTTTCAAAGGTATGGCACAAGGTAACCTGTAAGCCAGGGCACCCAGACCAGTTCCTGTACATAGACACTTGGTTACAGCTGGTTTTAGACATCCCCCTCCGCCCCACCCACAGTGGTTGAGAGAACAGCAGCATAAGCAGCTGACAGAGGCAAGGAAAGACCAGCAGAGACAGAGGAAGAGACATAGAGACAAAGATGGGGTCAAGGAAAGAGAGATAGAGAGAGAGAGAGTCAGAGAGAGAGGAAGAGACAGAGAGACAAAGATGGAGTCAAGGAAAGAGATAGAGAGAGGCGGAGAGAGGAAGAGACAGAGAGACAAAGATGGAGTCAAGGAAAGAGAGATAGAGAGAGACAGGCGGAGAGAGTAAGAGACAGAGAGACAAAGAGAGAGTCAAGGTAAGAGAGATAGAGAGAGGCAGAGAGAGAGGAAGAGACAGAGAGACAAAGACAGAGTCAAGGTAAGAGAGAGAGAGAGAAAGAGAGAGGCAGAGAGAGAGGAAGAGACAGAGGCAAAAGGAAAGTCAAAGAGAGAGAGACAGAAAGTCAAAGAGAGAAAGAAATACAGAAAGAGAGAAATATACAAGTAGTTAAGAAAAAAAAAAAGTGTACCCTATTCCTTTAAAAGCCAGGGTAAATTTAAAACGTATAATTGATCATTGAAGGTCTTCTCCGTGACCCTATAACACTCCAATACCACCTTGTTGTCAGTGTAAACAAGGGCATAGCCTGAAAGCACTGAGGCCGTTGACAACCTGTAGCCTTCCTATCAAAAATCCTTAACCCAGTGACCCGCAGCTGGCCCCAGTACATTCAGTCTGTAGAAGCAACTGCTACACTAACGGAAGAAAGTAGAAAAATAACTTTTAGAGGAAACATCATTGTCAGCACAGCTCACCAGTTCAGAAGTATCTTAAGGGGAAAAAAAAAGCGGGGACAAAAGGTAGCTTACTAACTTAAAAATCTTCAAGTATAGGGCTATTGTGTTAAAAAAAAAAAAGAAAGAAAGAAAAAGATGATTTAATAACATTAGCCACTGAAAATTCCCTTAACCCAGCAGGTTTCCCAGCAGGAGATCTAAATCTTAATTACCATACAAAGGTCCGACCAGACCTATGAGGAACTCCCTTCAGGACAGGATGATAGATGGTTCCTCCAGGGTAATTGAAGGGAAAAATTAAAAAGCCATCTATACCAATTCTAAGTTAATTTGGACTAAACAAGATCTTATTAACAGCAAAGGATAATTGAAATCTCAAACTTACAAAGTTTTCAACAAAAGTAAAATTTGCTAAAAGTTAACAATGTAACATGTATTATAGTAACTTCTAATCTTGTGGCTTTGGACAGTCTAGTCCACAGACATAAAGGAAGTTCACTTTGGAAAAGAATGATTATCTTCGAAAAAAGGGAAAAAAAGAGGGGGAGCAGAATTTATGTAAAAAAAAGTTATATGGTAAATTCTTGTCCTGAAATAAATTAACTAGTTGTTTAAAATATGTATATTTGTAATAAGTCAGAAAATTGAGGCATGTCAAAAAATTGTCTGCAAAAGTTGTGAAAAAAAGTTATAAAAAAAGAATTTATGCAAGAAATGTTATATAATTTAAAAGTAATTAGGCCTCCCGAATGTAAAACTATTGAAAAAAAAAACAGTTTATGTGCAAGGTGTGTAAGGAAAGTAAAATATACCTCTGGTAAAAGAATTACAAGACGGCATAAGAATGTGAATTTTTACCTACATTAAATGGTTAAAAAATTTTGTTTTGAAGGTTTAAGCAAGTTTTAAAACGTTAATTATAAAGAAAATTCTGTGTGTAAACATATTGACTAAAGTTAAAGGGGTATCATCCAGTTTTTCTGTGAACTGAACTTTAAAATAAAAACACAATGGGTTTTTCTTAAGGCACTAACCTGCTCTTTAACAAAAATTATAAAAGGTTAAAAAGAGTCTATAAAAATTTTACCTTATGGTCAAACATTAAAAATTAAATAAATATGTCTACAAGGTTTTATTAAAACTAAGTTTAACATTAATAACACACTAATATAAAAGTGAAATTCAGCTTATCTGGTATAAAAATCATACAGAAAACATTGTCAAATATAAAATGGTGTTTGGCTTTCTTTGGTCTAAAAAACTAATAAAAATAGGTGCTAAAGGAAATTTGTCAGAAGACACCAAGGACTATAAAGTCCACTGCTGATGTCCCCACATTTAAAACAAAAGGTCAATTTCTTAAAAATTATATACTTGGTTTAGCACATGCACCACCCCTAGAATTTCTGGTAATCCAGCACCAGCCTGACGATCACGTTCTCATCAAAGGGTGGAAAGAAGGAAAACTCGAGCCAGCCTGGGAAGGACCCTACCTTGTGCTGCTAACCACCGAGACTGCTGTTCATACAGCAGAAAGGGGATAGACTCACCACAACCGAGTCAAGAAAGCGCCACCCCCTCTAGAGTTGTAGGGCATAGTCTCAGGGGAAAACCCTACCAAATTAAAGCTAAGAAAAATTTAACTCTCTTTCATCTATTCTATGATTGTTTCTTCTTTCCTCACTCTATTGCTGACCATCTAGTTATTAACATAACCAAGTCAATTTCGCCTCAAACTATTGCATTTAATGCTTGCCTTGTTATATCCTGTGGGGACTTGCCAAGTCAAAGACAGCTCTCTACTTCAGAAAAGTACCTCTATCCCTCCTGACTCTCCTCAGACTGGGCATTAGTAAATTAGGACCATTTAATCCAGGGAGATTTCAATAAAGACCTCGATATCAACCAGTAGTCTTGCCCCCAGATGTAGAGCTTTTATGCCATAGTTGGTCCAACGTTCTGTGGACCACTAAAGAGCAAGGATGGACTGCCCCCACCATTTTTTGTAGTTTCCTAAAATCATACATTCATTTTACTAGAGGATCATAGAAGTTAAAGACTTAAAACAAACTTTGGCAGTTAAGACAGGATACCAAGATGCAAATGCCAGGTTGGAATGGATCAAATACTCTGTCCACACATTAAGCAAAAGCAATTGTTATACTTGTGCGCACAGCAGGCCAGAGGCCCACATTGTCCCCTTTCCACTAGGGTGGTCCTCCAGTCACCCAGGCATGGGCTGCATGGTAGCTCTTTTCCAAGATTCTACAGCCTAGGGTAACAAGTCTTGCCAAGCTCTCTCTCTGCTATATCCCGAAATCCTGCACCCTGCGGGTCAGCCCCCGAGGGCCATCCAGCTTCCGTCTCCCAACATTAAGTTCACTTCATGTCTCTCACAACAGGGAGGAAACTTAACGTTCCTTGGAGACCTGAAGGGATGCAGTGAGCTTAAGAATTTTCAAGAGCTTATCAATCAGTCAGCCCTTGTTCATCCCTGAGCGGATGTGTGGTAGGCCTTTACTGGGCACTCTGCCGAATAATTGGAGTGGCACTTGTTCTTTAGTCCAATTGGCTATCCCTTTCACCCTGGCATTTCATCAACCAGAGGGAGAAAAACAAGACACTGTAAAGCGAGAGAAGCTCGCCTTTCGACACTCACATCTATTTAGATGCAGCTGGAGTCCCATGGGAAATACCTGATCAATTAAAGCCCAAAATCAAATAGCTGCAGAATTTAAGTCAATATTTTGGTAGGTGACAGTTAATAAAATGTAAACTAAATAAACTACATCTATTACAACCAACAGCAATGAGCTTTTCATGAGTTAAAAGACAAATTCATGTCAGCCCCAGCCCTGGGGCTACCTGACCTGACAAAACCTTTTACACTATCTGTGTCAAAGAGAAAATTTTAAAAAATGGCAGTTAGAGTTTTAATCCAGACTGTGGGGCCCTGGCCGAGGCCAGTGGCCTACCTCTCTAAACAACTAGACGGGGTTTCTAAGGGTTGGCCCCCATGTTTGAGGGCCTTGCCAGCAATAGCCCTGCTAGCACAAGAAGCGGATAAGCTAACTCTTGGGCAAAACCTAAACATAAAGACCCCCCATGCTGTGGTGACTTTAATAAATACCAAAGGACATCAATGGCTAACAAGTACTAGACTAACTAGATACCAAAGCTTGCTATGTGAAAATTCCCACATAACCATCGAAGTTTGCAATACTCTGAACCCTGCCACCTTGCTCCCGGTATCAGAGAGCCCAGTTGAACATAACTGTGTAGAGGTGTTGGACCCAGCTTATTCTAGCAGGCCCAACCTCCAAGACCATCCTTGAACATCAGTAAACTGGGAGCAGCAAGTGGACAGGAGCAGCTTCGCCAACCCTTGCAAAGTGACTCTGAGGAAGATGATGAGCCCTGCTCCAGTCACACCCGGAAGCTGACTGGTCCACGCATGGCCAAAGCATGAGGAAACTCATCGCGGGACTCATTTTCCTTAAAATTTGGACTTGTACAGTAAGGACTTCAACTGATCTAGGACTGTTCCCAGTATATACATCAAGTCACTGAGGCAGGACAAAAGGTTGCTACAGTGCTATTATTTTATGGTTATTATAAGTGAACAAGGACCCTAAAAGGAAATTATTTCTTTAATGCTATACAAGGTATGTAGCCCAGGAAACAACTGGCCAGTGTGTGTTATGACCCCTCTGAGCCTCCCATGTCCACAGCTTTTAAAATAAGATCAAGGACTGAAGACTGGTAGGGACTCGTAAATGATACAAGTAAAGTATTAGCTAGAACAGAAGAAAAAGGGGTCCCCAAATGCATAATCTTGAAATTTGATGCCTGTGCTATCATTAATAGCAGTAAGTTAGGAAGGGGATATGGCTCTTTTAATTGGAAAAAAGGCTATATGACCGAAAATAAGTACATTTGTCACGAATTAGGACTCTGTAAAAATGAATGTGGATGCTGGTCTTGCGTCATTTGCGCCACTTGGATAAAAAATGAAAAGGATCCAGTCCACCTTCAGAAAGGAACAAGTAGCCCTTCCTGTACTAAGGGACAATGTAACCCCTTAGAGCTAGTAATAACCAATCCCCTTAATCCTCGCTGGAAAAAAGGGGAGCGTGTGACCTTAGGAATCGATGGGGCCAGACTGGATCCTCGAGTAAATATCTTAGTTTGAGGAGAAGTTTACAAACACTCTCCTGAGCCAGTGTTTCAAACTTTCTATGATGAACTAAATGTGCCAGTACCAGAAATTCCAGGAAAAATAAGAAATTTGTTTTGCAATTAGCCAAGCATGTAGCCCAGTCTCTCAATGTCACTTCATGTTATGTATGTGGAGAACCTGTAATGGGAAATCAATGGCCATGGGAAGCCTGAGAATTAGTACCTACAGACCCAGTTCCTGACGAATTCCCGGCTCAAAAAAATCACCCTAATAATTTCTGGGTCCTGAAAGCCTCAATTATTGGACAATATTGCATAGCTAGAGAAGGAAAAGAATTCACTCACCCCATAGGATGACTTAGTTGTCTGGGACAGAAACCGTATAATGGTACCACAAAAACAGTCACTTGGTGGAGTTCAAATCACACAGAAAGGAATCCATTTGGTAAATTCCCAAAGTTACAAACCGTGTGGACCCACCCAGAGTCCCACTGGGACTGGATGGCCCCCACTGGATTATACTGGATATGTGGGCATAGAGCTTACACCAAATTACCTGACCAGTGGGCAGGTGGTTGTGTTATTGGCACTATTAAACCATCTTTCTTCCTACTGCCCATAAAGACAGGTGAACTCCTGGGCCTTCCTGTCTATGCTTCTCACGGAAAGAAAAGCACAGCTATAGGAAATTGGAAAGATGAAAAATGGCCCTCTGAGAAAATCATACAATATTATGGGCCTGCTACTTGAGCACAAGATGGCTCATGGGGATACCAGACCCCCATTTACATGCTCAACCAAATCATACGGTTACAAGCTGTCTTAGAAATAATCACTAATAAAACCGGCAGAGCCTTGACCATTCTGGCCCGGCAAGAAACTCAAATGAGAAATGCTATCTATCAAAATAAATTGGCTCTCAACTACTTGCAGCTGAAGGAGGGGTCTGTGGGAATTTTAACCTTACTAATTGCTGTCTACACATAGATGATCCAGGGCAAGTAGTTGAAGACATAGTTAGAGATATGACAAAATTGGCACATGTGCCTGTGCAAGTGTGGCATGGATTTGATCCTGGGGCCATGTTTGAAAAATGGTTCCCAGCGCTAGGAGGATTTAAAACTCTTGTAATAGAAGTTATAATAGTAATAAGAACTGCTTACTGCTCCCTTGTTTGCTACCTGTACTTCTTCAAATAACAAAAAGCTTCATCGCTACCTTAGTTCACCAAAATGCTTCAGCACAAGTGTACTATATGAATCACTATTGATCTGTCTTGCAAGAAGACGTGGGTAGTGATAAAAGTGAAAACTCCCACTAATAAGTGAGGTTCTCAAAGGGAGAGAATAAGGGAGGAGACCACCCCTCATACTGTCTTATGCCAAATTTCTGCCTCCAAAGAAAGAAGTAAAAACTAAAAGGCAGAAATGGAATCCACAGGCAGATAGCCCAGCACTGCGCCCTGGGCCTGGGAGTTAAAAATCAACCCCTGACCTAACTGCTTGTGTTATCTATAGATTTCAGACATTGTATGGAAAAGCTTTGTGAAAATCCCTCTTCTGTTCTGTTCTGTTCTGTTCCGTCCTGATTACTGGTGCATGCAGCCCCCAGTCATATATCTCCACTTGCTCAATCAATCACAACCCTTTCACGCGGACCCCCTTAGAGTTGTAAGCCCTTAAAAGGGACAGGAATTGCTCACTCGGGGAGCTCGGTTTTTGGATATGTGAGTCTGCCAACACTCCCAGCTGAATAAAGCCCTTTCCTTCTACAACTTGGTGTCTGAAGGGTTCTTGTCTGCAGCTTGTGCTGCTACAGCTGAGGCTACACAAATTAAATTTGAGGCAAAGCCAAAATTTAAGCACAGATCCCTGCCTGATTCCAAAACCCATGCTTGTCCTCCTACATGATACCAAAGTTCTGTCCAGGTAACCACGAAGGTTGGCAGGTGGAGCTGACACCTCAGAGGCTGGTGGGAAATAACAAGCACCAAAGAAAAGCTACAATTAGAAATGCACTTGGGGATCATTTTACAGGTGAGAAAACTGAGGCCCAAAGAGCTGAAGGGAATGCAGGCTGCTGGACTGCTCCATAACTCAGGTGGACATGTACCCCTTCCAGTGTCCCAGATCAGAGCCTTTTCCCTATGGCCCCACCCCACCCACTGCCCCCTGGAACCAGAAGCCTCCATGTAGGCTGGCCCCTGGGAGTGCACTGAGGAGGGGGGCCATGCTGCCCAGAGCTGGAGCCCACCCCAGTAGCAGGCCAGCAGCGCAGTGGTGAGTTTCCCTGCAGCAGCAGAGAGAGACCTTGCAAACTACCTCAGCAGCCTCAGCCTCCATCCCGTTGCTCATGGCTCTGAGTTCTTTGTGAGGTTAATGGTTCTGCTTTTGCATAAGTCAGCCTGACAACCTGCTCTTTCAAACACTAAAACAAAACCAAAATGCTGCGATTAAATGTGGTGTCATCAAAGTGCCTGTTTCCCAGAGATGGCAGTCAACCGGGAGGGGAGCCAGGGTGAGGACTCAACAGCAAGTCCTATTTGTCCCCAGGGACACATATCAGGCTCTTGTGTCTCAAAGTTTTCCAAAGTGGCCAAAACAACAGCATTTGGGTAATGGGATATGAAAACCGTGTCTTTTATATGTGGCCCAGACCATTTCACGTGACAGATGGCTGGAGCCCAGTCTCCCACCGGTCCTGGCACCAGCTCCTGAGGACCCAGGATCTAAGCAAACAGATATAAGCCCCTGGATCCACCACCCCACCCCCCGGCAGGATGGTGATGGCTGGAGAGCAAGGGAATCTGCTTCTGCTGCTCTGCCAAGTGAAGCCCAGACCTTAGCGTGGAATGTGCCTAACCCAGAGGAAGCCGAGGCTGGAGCATGGCTTGCAGGAGTGTCCTTCTGTCCCACCAGATAAAAATGACTTGGGAGGCTGCCAAAGCCAGATTTGAGACCCGACAGGCACGGCACAGAAATAAATGTCTGCTCCTCGATGCTAACGATCTATGGGAATGGACATGTGCCTTTCCTCATTTTAAAAAAACAATTATGTTTTTAAGCTAAATTTAAGACATGGAGGAGGAGGAGTGGGAGGGCTCTCTATTGGTAAGAAAGTCTTATATTTTCCTTGTCCTTTCCAAAGCATAGTCACAATATCGTCTCCTCCCAGTGGAATGCCTGATATTTGATGTGATTTTTGACTCAGGTTCCAGCTCGACTGAAAACATGCAGTAGATGCTGTGCTCCCCGTCCCAGGGCTTCACCCTTCCCCACGGAACTGCACTCCAGATTCACTGAAGCAGCCCCAGCTCCACATTTTGCTTCTCCCTCACTGCCCTGTGAGTAGGTGAGTATTTGAGTCAAGACTCGATTTCATCTATCCACAGAAACGGACTCTGGTCAGCTAAAGAGCACAGATGGAACTTACTGGGAGGAAATCAGGCTGTTCTAGACATGACTAGAAAGCATGGAAGAAAGCAAGCAAGCTCATGCTGCAGCAAGAGACTGAGCTGGACACCGTGGTGACCGCCTCCACCGTCATTGTCACTGCCACCCTCCCAACCCACTGCCTCTACTGGAATGATTCTCAGTGGGGCCTGCACCTTTGTATTACCCTTAAGTTGCAAAGACCTAGACATGAACACCTAACTCTCTCACTGCTGGGAGGCTGTCACAGCGTCTGGCTTTTTCAGCTTCTCAGTGGGAAACAGTCCACTCCCACCATGGAGGCTCATACAAAGGGGGTCCCCAATATGGAAGGGGGTTCATAGGCTGTGCAACCAAAACAGACAAACAAAAAGACATCTGCACAGCAGGTCAGCTATTATCCCCATTTCACAGATGAGGAAACTGAGGCCCATGGCTTCATTACATTAAGTGACTCACTCAGTATCACACAGCCAGTAAGAAATGTCCCACTTGTTATGGGTCGCTGTGCTTTGGTCACCAAATCAGGATGAGCTGTCTGGAGAGAGAGAGAGAGAGTTTTGAGTCTGCCGCCTTGCATTGATGGACAACACCCACCTCTGAGGCTCGTGCCAATGCTCTTGAGTTGAGAACATCCCATATGAGGTGGGTTCCTCCATGTTGGCCACTGGTTCAGTACAGCCAGGCTCAGCCCTTCTCTCTCTCTCTCTCTCTCTCTCTCTCTGTCTGTCTCTCTCTCTCTCTTTCCCCTCTCTCCCCCTCTCCCCTCTCCCCCTCTCCCCCTCTCCCTCTTTCTCCCCCTCAAACCACCCCCCCATTCCTGTGATCTTTCTTGGCTCCCTCTGGCTCCATCACCAACATACTCACAGCATGATGAGGTCAGGGAACTGAGCATCCTTCTGGCTGGGGTGCTGTGTGAGGCCATGCCCTGGACAAGCCAGGAGAAAGGATGCGAGCCTTGTGATGAGGTGTCTGGGCTTCATTTAACTCGAGGCCATTGAGAGCCCTGGAAGGGTTTTCAGCAGGAGAGTGATCTGATTAGGTATTTGGAAGTACAATGGATAGGAGGGAATAAAGAGTGGAGGTGAAGAGGCTAATTAGTAGGCTCTGTGGTAGACAGAGAGTGGTAGCGGGGATGGAGAATAGTGAGCAAATCAAATACTAAACAGAAGGAATTCAAGGTCTTGGTGATTGCTTAGGCAAGGGGTGGGTGGCGAGGGGGCAAAGGGGAGAAGTCAAGCCGCTTGGGAAGCTGGGAGCTCAGCAGTGTCATCTTCCAAGAGAGACAGCCCAGGTAGATGAGCAGGTAAAAGAAAGCATGCAGCTTCAGGGTTCGAGGGCTCAGAAGGTAGGTCTGGAAGCAGATAGGTCAGATACAGCTTTCTCCTTGGTCAATAGATCACTCCCCTTCCCTGCTCTCTGTTCCTCCAGCTGAAGGCTGTAGCCAGTCTGCTTCCGCCTTCCTCACTGGGTATTGCAAAGCAAGCTATCTAAGCAAGGCGGAAGCCCCTGGCAGGTAGCAGCACAAAGCCAAGACACCGAGGCTCTCCCGTCAGCTCAGCTGTAAACCAGCTTTGTGACCTTGAGCAAATCCTCCTCCCTGGGTCTTGGTTTTCTGGCCGTCACTACCATTCCAGGGTTTTATGGACGAATATTTGAGGAGGTGAAGTGCTATGTAAATGTTTACTGCTAATAACAAACCATCCACAAAACGTCTGTGTATCGCCTGGGCAACCCAACGGCTTTAAAAATCTTAAGTGCCTCTTGTTCCTCTGATTCATCACATTCTATACATTTAACTTCCAGAACAAATTTAGCCCTCAAAATATCTTGGTACATTTTCTACCCACCCTTTAACATTTAAATCCTCCATCTTCCATGCCACTTCACCATTTCTGCACACCTGTTCCCCAACACACCCTCATCCTTTTCCTCTTCAAGCAGCCAGCCCAGCCCCACCCACCCTTCCTCCAGAGGAGGCAAAAGCCACCGAAGACACTGCTTTCCTGGGTCTGCTCCAGCCATGACCTGAAAGAGAAACTGGCAGAGCATCTCAGGTGGGGAGGGGAAGTTAGGACCCAGTAAAGTGGGGTGAGGTAGCTAGAGTCAAAGTTGACAACTAGAGTAATCCCCGCCTCCACACACGGAGTGGGCCTGAAGCCACAAAATGGGGGAAGATTGCAGCAGGATGCCCCTTGCAGCATCAGTATCAAGCCTTTCTGATGATTGGCTAGAGCACTGGCATCAGCAGCCATGGGCTGGACCAGCTTGGAGGATAGGACCAGCCCATCCTGTCACCCATGTGGAGCAGAAGCTCATCAAAGAATGACAAGAACCAAGATTGGCACTGTCCTGCCAGAGCATTTGCCTTAGCCACACTCAGGCCATGCCCCCTTTTCTTTTTCAGCAAAAAAACCGCCTCTAAAACACCTTGCAATTCCAAGTTCTTAAACACGGGACTTAGAATAAGCTGTGAAGGTTGCTAAGGAAAGGGCTGAAGAGGCTTTCAAGGTGTTTGCAGTTGAGAAATGGAGAACTCAGAAATGTCTGCTTCCCCTGGCAACCTCAGCCTCGAACTCTTCTGCACTTGGCTGGGGCCTAGATGGGAAAATCTTTCAGAACAGCAGGTGCTGCCATCCTGAAAGCTAGAAAGAATGATAGAGAATGTTTATTGAGTACTTGCTATGTAACAGGAGCTGTTCTAAGTATCTTGCATGCATGAACTCATTTAATCCTCACAACCTGTGAAGTAGGTATGACCATTTTTCTTCATTTTACCAGTGGGGAAATGCAAGTACAAAGAGGTTAAATAGCTGGCCCCAAGTTCCCCAACTGGTAAGGAGCAGAGCCGGGATATGAAACCAGGCAGGTGGCTTCAAATCAGGCCTCTCTGAAGATAGAGCACATTCAAGGTCACTCTCAAGGCAAAACAAGTTGAGTGCATGGGATTTTTGTCTCTTCTTCATCTCTTCTCTTCCCAGGTGCCATTCAAAGTCCCTTCAATAATGGGAAAAATAATCCCATAAACCTCACTGGAGTGAAGTACGAGTGACAATATGGAATGAAGACCTGATGGTGAAGTTTCAGGAGCTGAGTTCCTGAGTACAGGTCATATTTTAAGCTGGGGTCAAATTACCAACCCTCTTTAAATTATATTACACTGCTTCAGTGATACATAAAGCTCCTCCTGCCCTACCCAGCTCCTCTTTCTCACCCTCCCCAAACATTTATATCACCAACATGAGATGCTTTGGATGCCTTTTAAAAGCTACTTCCAAAACCCACGGTGTCCTCATTCTTTTGTGAATAACATGAGAGCTGGACGCTCCTCTGCATTCTCAATAATTCCTTGAATTAATTCATGTTGCATGGCTCCCTTTTCCACAAATTAATTCCTATGAGCCCAGCCTCTGAGAATCTGCCAAAATCCCCCAGCCAGGGAAGGCAAGATTTGTTCTCTCTCCCCACCCCTGTGTTGCTGTCTGAAATCTGATCACAACAGCAGCTAATTCTAATATGATAGACTCCAAATCCTTTCCCCCAAATAAACCTCTGTGTGGCAACAAGAGACTCCAAAATTTACGAACTCCACATTTCTCATTCAAACATCCTTGGTTTATAAATCTCCTTGGCTTCCCCATTCTATTACACGCCTCTGCTCAGGCACTTAATGGAAGTCATCAAAAACCTGAAAAACTCTGGCTTCAGATCAGTATAATAGTTCCCTTAATAAGGTTCCCTCTGCTAAACAGGAAGTTGCCCCTCTTTCCAAACCCAAGCACATTGGCTTATCATTATTTGCCACCAAAAATCTCACATACTGTTTGTTCTCTGCCCAAACTCATATTTCTGTTCTTTGTTCTCAAGGCCAGCCTGCCCCACATCTGAGAAAATGTACTTAAGCCTGCAGCAGCGCAATCTCCATCCAGGCAGTTTCTAATCTCTCCAGACCTGGGTTTCCACTACAGTGCTTCCTCCTGACATTGTCTTTCCTCAACAGCACAACTTGTTTTTCTCCTTCTAATATCTGCTCTCTCCTGACTCAGGGTCCTAAGTCTTTCTGAAACTGACATCAGAATCAAGGGAGGAAAAGCAGTCAGCAGAAAGCCTTTAACAGGCTCCTGTAAAGAGCTCTGTGCTGCCCACTACTCTTCAAAATCCTCTGTCAGCTCCTTCTGGATGTGCCCCAGCCTCTCACACATTTCTTTCCAACAGCCCACCAGTGACTCCACAAGTGTTTACTTAGTGCCTGCCTCATACAAGACATTTTCCTCCATGTCTGGGAGCACGCCACCAAATGGAGAATTGATTCCTGCCTTCCAGACCTTAGCATCTCTGCAAGAAGACTGACACCAGCCAAAGAAAAATGCAAAGCCTGGAGGATCCTCTCCACATGAGACACTTGGGCTCCACTAGCTGAAGATGGTGAGGATTAGAATTACACCTTGAGGGGTAGGTAGATTTCAGGTAGGAGAGAGGGAGTGGAAAAAAATCTCTTGATAGGGGATGATGTCAGCAAAGACACAAACCTATTTAGGGGCAGTAAGGTCATAACTCAGCATGAAGCCACCAGAACAGAGTTGTAGGGGGTTACAGGAGTTAGAGGAGAGGCCCGTGGAGCGAGGAGACCTAGGCAGGCCGAGGAGGCTTTTGAGTGCTATGCTAGAAAGGCGTCATAGACACTGCCATCCCTGTTGAAGCTCATCTCTCACCAGCCAAATGGAGGACCTCCCACCAACAGCCATGTCTCTGGCAATTCCTCTACCTGAGAAGGTCCGGCTAGATCAAGTGATCCTGCACAGGCAGCCCTAGTTTGTCCCTGTCCTGCGGGGAGAGCCCTGTGATTACCCCAGCTCACATTTACTCCACAAGCTCCTCCGGAAAGAGCACTGGCCTGGGAATCAGGAGACCTGGCTCCTGACCCAGCACTGTCACTAACTCGATGGCAAGCCATGTGGCCTCCTGAGCCTGCGTGTCTGCATGCATACAACGACAGTGAGGGGTTTGGAGAAGATGTACTGATTCCTTTCCAGCTCTTGGATGTTATTTTGCAATCATCTCTCTGTAGCCCCACCTTCCTTCCTCCACTGTTCTATGGGTCTCATGGGAGATCTAATTTTTCAGTTTCTGGTATATTGTGATAGTGTGAAATATTTATTTGGTCTTCATCCAGTTTCCTGACATGCAATTCCTAAAATCCTGGAAATCTCCAAAGTGATGTATTTTTGTATGCTAATGATTGACTGGTGGCTGGCAGCCCCTAGGTAGCTTCAGGATGGGGCTGGTCACTCAAACCAAGACAGGATTAGAGGGTTCGGACTTTCAGCCCCACCTCATGACTCTAGGGAAGGGAGAGGGGCTGAAGGTTAAGTTGATCACCAATGGCCAATGATCTAGTTAATCATGCCTATGTATTGAAGTCTCCATAAAAATTCAACAGGACTGGGTTCGGGGGGCTTCCAGAAAGCTTAACAAGTGGAGGCACCTGGAGAGTGGCACCCAGGAAAGGCGTGGAAGCTCCATGTCCCTTCCCCATGCCTCGCCCCATGCATCTCTTCATCTGTACCCTTTGTGATAGCCCTTACAATACACTGGCAAATGTAAGTGTTTCCCTGAGTTCTGTGAGCCACTCCAGCCAATTAATCAGACCTAAGGAGGAGGCTGAGGAAACCCCAATGTATAGCCGGTGGGTCAGAAGCACAGGTAAACCAACCTGGGGCTTGGGTTTGGCATTGGAAATGGGGGCTGGCTAAACCCCACCCTTAAGCCTGGAACTTTGGCCCTAAGTGAAACAGCTGACCTGGTTTTTCTGCCCAAATGTTGCTGTTTTGGCCTGCCATGCCCAAATCCTGTGCTCATAAAAAGACTGCAGCTGGTAGAGCAACACAAGCGACTGAGCAGTGGGGATACAAGAGGCTGAGCAGCAAGCAGAGATACAACTGAGCATCAGAGACTGTGGAGAGACTCACCTAACTTCGGATGGTGCAGCTTCAGGAAAAGATCACCTTCTTCCCACACCATCCCCTTTCCAACTCCCCATCCCACCAAGAGCCTCTTCTATCGCCCAATATCATCCTCTGCATACACTGCCCTTCAATCTATTTGTGTGACCTGATTCTTTCTGGATGCCGGACAAGAACCCAGATATTGAGGGAGCAGGGGCTTGGAGGCTGCTGCGGGGCCTCAACAGAGCCTGCTCCAGCCAGAGAGAAGCAACTGACCAGTCCCATCATTCCATTCACTCCGGTTCCCACACTCGCTTGCAGGCTCCTTCTCAAGAAAAGTAGCCATTGACAGGCTGAGTGAAACAAGCCACTCCAGTTCCCACCACTAAGAGTGTCAAGGTCAAGGGAATCTCAGATAGTGTCGGAATTGAAATGAACTGGAGGACACCAGCAGGTGTCCCTTCTGGAGGATGGCTTGCTTGTCGATGGGGAGAAACACCCAGACATCTGGAGTCAGAAGTGCGGTGAGACTTTTGGGGAGTGCAGCAGGAAGAATCCAGGTTTGTTATTCCCATATTATCACCTTTTTCTCCAGCTTTCTTGCCTTTTCTGCCTTTCCTGATTGACTACTATTACCTGGCAGTCATCTTTTACAAAATTAGCATTTTTAAAATACAAAATATCCATATTTATTATAGAAAATTTAGAAAATACAAGAAGCACAGAGACAATGAGTAACTCACCTATATTCCAATCATTCAAGAGAACCACTACTAACAATTTGACCTATGTCTTTTTGGTCTTTCGATACATAAATCAGTCATCCCTCTGTATCTATGGGGGATTTGGTCCCAGGACACCTGTGAATACCAAAATCTGTCGTTGTTCAAGTCCCTTATATAAAATGGTGTTGTATTTGCATATAACCTATACACATCTTCCCGTATACTTTAAATCATCTCTAGATTATAGTATATAATGTAATGTAAATTTTATGTAAATAGTTGTTATACTGTATTTTTAATTTGCATTATTTTTTATTGGTTTTTTTTCCCCCGAATACAGTCATGTACCACATGACACTTTGGTCAACGACACACCGCATATGGAATGGTAGTCCCACAAGACTACAATGGAACTGAATAATTTCTATCTCCTAGTGACATTTAGCCATTGTAACATTGTGGCACAATGCATTACTCATGGGTTTGTGGTAGTCCTGGAGAAGGCATTGTTATCATAGGAGATAACAGCTCGTTGCCTGTTATTGCCCCTGAAGACCTTCCAGTGGGACAAGATGAGGAAGTGGAAGATAGTGATATCGATGCTCCTGACCCTGTGTAGGCCTAGGATACTATGCGTGTTTGCATCTGTATTCATTTGTTCTCACACTGCTAATAAAGACATACCCAGGACTGGGTAATTTATCAAAGAAAAAGGTTTAATTGACTCACAGTTCCACATGGCTGGGGAGGCCTCACCATCATGGCAGAAAACAAAGGGGAGGCAAGACACATCCTATATGGCAGCAGGCAAGAGAGCTTGTTCACGGGAACTCCCATTTATAAAACCATCAGATCTTGTGAGACGTATTCACTACCATGAGAACAGCCTGACCAATATGGTAAAACCCCATCTCTACTAAAAATACAAACAATTCAGCCAATTCTTGGCTGAATTAAGGTGGCCTACCCTTGGACTAGCTAACAGCCAGAAGCAAGCGTATATACTTTCTGGAGGAAAATCACATCACCTAGAACCTCAAATTACCCCTACATTTTTCAGACACAATGTTTAGAACTCAAAAATGTAAAATAAAGAAGCCTAGAGGGCTTTTGCTACCAGGATTGCTATGGCAGACCAATGCCTCATGGAATGTAATTAGAAAAGCAAATAAAATGCAGCTGGGCATGGTGGCTCACACCTGTAATCCCAGCACTTTGGGCGGCCAAGGTGGGTGGATCATGAGGTCAGGAGTTCGAGACCAGCCTGGCCAATATGGTAAAACCCTGTTTCTACTAAAAATACAAAAATCTTGTATAAGGGAACGCATCCATAATTCAGTTATCTCCACATGGCCCCACCCTTGACACATGGGGATTATTACAATTCAAGGTGAGATTTGGGTGGGGACACAGCCAAACCATATCAGCTTCTTAGTTTTTAATAAAAAGGTTTAAGAAGTAAAAAAAAGAGAGAGAATTTTTAAATAGAAAAAGGTTATAGAATAAGATATAAAAAAGGAAAATATTTTGTACAGATGTACAATGTGTGCTTTAAGCTAAGTGATATTACAAAAGAGTCAAAAAGTGTTTAAGAATTTAAAGTTTGTAAAGTATAAAAGTTACAGTGAGCTAAAGTTAATTTTTTGTTGAAGAAAGAAAACATTTTTTATAAACTTAATGTAGCCTAAGTGTAGTGTTTGTAAAGTTCACAGTAGTTCTAGGTCTTCACATTTACTCACCATTCACTCACTGACTCACACAGAACAACTTCTAGTTCTGTAAGCTCCATTCATGGTAAGTGCCCTGTACAGGTGTACAATTTTTAACTTTTTATACCATATTTTCACTGTACCTTTTTGATGTTTTGATACACAAATACTTACCATTGTGTTACAATTGCCCACAGTATTGAGAACAGTAACATGCTGTAGAGGTTTGTAGCCTAGGAGCAGTAGGGATAGCCTAGGTGTGCAGTCGGTTATAGCATCTAGGTTTGTGTGAGTACACTCTATGACGTTAGTACAACAATAAAATCACCTAACAACACAATTCTCAGAATATATCCCCATTGTTAAACAATGCATGCCTGTATCTTCAATCTTTGATTGGTTGACCCCACCAATGAGGAACCCATGGTTAGGGAGGGCTGACTGTACAGTTAGTCCATTTTCTATTGCTATAAGTGAATAGCTGAGACCGGGTCATTCATAAAGAAAAGACATTTATTTCTTAAGTTCTGGAGTCTGGGAAGTCTAACATGAAGGTTCTGGCACCTTGTGTGTGCCTCCTTCCTGCATCACAGCATGGTGAGAGGGCAAGAGCGTGCCAGCTCAGATCTCTCTTTCTCCTCTTATTAAGCCACCAGTTTCATCATGGGGCCCCTTGACCCATTAGATAAGATGACCTTATCTAATTCTAGTTATCTCCCAATGGCCCCAACTCCAAATATCATCTACATGTGAATTCAGGGATCAAGTTTCCGAAACATGAAATGTGGGGGACACATTCAAACCACAGCACATATTACACGCTTTTAGTTTTAACCAAGCTAGTACCATACAGCACATACAGGGGTTTTTTCCCATGAAGAATTTTGTATTGTTGAAAGTTCCACCTCCAGTATGTACTGGCTAGGTTGGGGCTGAACTTGACTCCCTGGAGAACTAGAAAAACTGGACAACATACAACAATATTTGTTTGAAGGCAACTGAAAGATGATCAAAGCAATGAAATTTTGTAGTGCTACAATCTGAAAGAGGAAGGAAATCAAGATAAATGAACCCAGAATTTGAGGCCTCTCCACCCCTCAAAGCAACAGGTAGACTCTATAAGCAAGAAGAGTGACTGAGGATCAGGAGCTGAGAAGTGAATGAGCTTTTAGCGGCCTTGTCAAACTGCTGTAACCAAAATGGAGGGCAGGTTCTGCCAGGGAGGAGGAAGCCTGGCAAACACCCCAGGCATTCAGCTGGGACCCCAAAGAGCTATGCTCTAGTTACAAGAGTAAACCAGCCCTCCAAAGACTGAAGCCAAGCCTCAAAGCATGCCGATTCCTGGCTGAATTAAGGTGGCCTACCCTTGGACTAGCTAACAGCCAGAAGCAAGCATATGTACTTTCTGGAGGAAAATCACATCACCTAGAACCTCAAATTACTACTATATTTTTCAGACACAATGTTTAGAACTTAAAAATGTAAAATAAAGAAGCCTAGAGGGCTTTTACTACCAGGATTGCTATGGCAGACCAATGCCCCATGGAATGTAATTAGAAAAGCAAATAAAATGCAGCTGGGTGCGGTGGCTCACGCCTGTAACCCCAGCACTTTGGGAGGCCGAGGCGGGTGGATCACGAGGTCAGGAGTTCGAGACCAGCCTGGCCAATATGGTAAAACCCTGTTTCTACTAAAAATACAAAAATTAGCTGGGCATGGTGGCGCGTGCCTGTAGTCCCAGCTGTGTGGGAGGCTGAGGCAGCAGAATCGCTTGAATCCAGTAGACGGAGGTTGCAGTGAGCCGAGATCGTGCCACTGCACTCCAGCCTGGGCGACAGAGCAAGACTCCGTCTCAAAAAAACAAACAAACAAACAGAAAACCAACAACAACAACAACAAAGAAAAGCAAGTAAAATGCAAGGGTCATAGTTACAGGCATCAGAGATCTTGAGAGTCAATGGGACCTATACAGGATTTGATTATGGGGAGGGGGAATTGCAGAGAGGAAGCTGGGAGCCTCTGTCAATTCTGTGAATAGGTAAAAAGCTGAGAAAGCTTTGCCCAGGCAGTGGGTCACTGCCAGGGGACTGAGAAACCATCAGAACTTCAGAAATCTCATGAGGTATAAGTGATAAAAATTGAAAACTTGAGAAACCTAAAAAACATGGTTTGTTTTTGCCTCAATAAGTTTGCCAAATTCTGTAACTGCACATGGCAGATGCCTCAAATTTCAAGGAGAGAATTTTGGCAGTTTTATGGTGCTGAGAAGACAGATTAGAATTTAGGACCTTCCAGAAAAAAAAGAGTCTTGGTGAACATTCCAGAAATTCATTTGGAAAACTTGAAGGTATATGTTACAGGATCAGGAGCTAACCAGAGGTAACAGGCTGCCAGAGGGCCAGAGCCACTCCATCCACGCCTCCCAGTTGCTGCTACACCCTGCCTCTCTTGGCCTGAGCTGAAGCGGCACCCCATCTCTGGGAAAATCAAGAATCAGTGACTTGGCTACCCAGAACAATCACACCCCCTGGTGCTGAAGCTGATGAGGCACTGTGGATTCCCAGGGAATCCCTGCCTTAGCTACCCAGAGCAGTCACAACCCCAGCACCTGAGCTGAAGTGGCTCCCAACCTCCCAGGAAATAAATGCCTTGGATGAGCTGAGCAGCTGCATCTTCCAGGGCTGAGCTGATGTGGCATCCCACATCCCAGGAAAACAGAGCATTGACTGAGATGGGACACCTCACCCCCGCCCCCAGGCCAAACAAGTGGAAAACCCTGCCTCCCTGGAACTAGACTAGCCACCCCAGATTCGGAGCTGCTGAAGCACCCCACCTCCTCGATGAATAGAGTCATTGCTGTGCTGCTCCATGCTTCCTGAGGCCCAAGCTGCAGCTGAATTTCACCAAGGACCCAGGGGTCCTTGCTATCTTGCCGAGCCTCAGATACTGGCATGTCCCACCATCCCAAGGTCTAGAGACACCACTACGTGGTGCCTTATTCCCCAGGGCCTGAGTTGCTGCTGTGACCTATTGGCTCCAGCTCCTGAATTACAGCTGTGTTCTGCTCACTGGACCCGAAACTCCACAGCACCCCTTCTTCCCTGAAGCTGGGCCAGTGCTGTGCCCTGCACCCCAGAGTCAGGGTCATAGTTAAAAATCCAGCAGGGCCTGAGCTGCTGCAGTGTGCCTCAGAGTCACCGACACCAGCTTTGTGGGCCATCTGCATTCACCCATGCTTCACAGAGAGTGAACCTTCACCCCAAGTCCCAGGTGCCACAGTAGGTTTGTGAGAGCCTGGGCCCAGGACTTGGGCTTTACAGCCACTCTGAGCACCTGCACCCCAGAACCCAGCACCACTGCAGCCACTCGTGGGCCATGTCTAACCCAACACCAAGAAGGATACCCTCATCTAAAACTCACCCTTGTGGATAAAATGAGAACAGGAAAACCCCAAAAGCTCTTGCTACTAAGAACAGCATACACTGCTGCCACAAACTTCTGCAGCCTAGACTACTGAGGCACTCACAATCATCCCTGACATTGATTACAGCTGAAGAAACTGCACAGGGGCTATACTACTGCATCCACTTCAATCCAGAGCCACCACAGCCTGCCCAACCGGCACCTGAAGACCCCTCTGCAGGTGAGTCTTTCCCTATGAAAGCCACTCTGTAAGGTTTTGAAGGGGTAGCTGTTCCACCAGATGCACAGATATTAATGCAGGGGTAAAAGAAACATGAAAAAGCAAAAAATAAATGACACCATCAAAGGAACAGACCTCAAAATAAAGAAAATCTATTAATCACCTGAAAAGAAATTCAAAATAATGTTCTTAAGAAAGCTCAGTTGGGTGCAGTGGTTCACTCCTATAATCCCAGCACTTTGGAAGGCCAAGGCAGGAAGATCGCTTGAGTCCATGAGTTTAAGACCAGCCTAGGCAATATAGGGAAGTCTCATTTCTACAAAAAATTTTTTTTAATTTAGCCAAGGATATTGTTGAGTGCCTGTAGTCCTAGCTACTTGAGAGGCTGAGATGGGAGGATCACTTGAGCCCTGGAGGTGGAGGTTGCAGTGAGCTGAAATCACACCACTGCACTCCAGCCTGGGCAAAAGAGTTAGACATGATCTAGAAAGAAAAAAAAGAAAAGAAAAGAGAGGATAGGAAAGAGGAAGGGAGGGAGGGAGGAAGGGAGGAAGGAAGGAAGGAAAGAAAGAAAGAAAGAAAGAGAAAGAGAGGGAGGGAGAGAGGAAAAGGAAGTAGAAATATTAAATAAAGATAAAAAAGAAAACTCAGCAAGATATGAGATTCAAGCTACAGATAGGTAATTCAACAAAATCAAGGAAACAATTCATGATCTGAGTGAGAAATGCAACAAAGAGATATCATAAAACAGAACCAAAGAAAAACAAACAACCAAACAGAAATCCTGAAACTGAAGAATTCAGTGAATGAAATGAAAAGTACAATGGAGAGCTTCAAAAGCAAACTAGATCAAGCAGAAGAAAGAATTTGCGAACTTGAAGATAAGTTTTTTGAAATTACCCAGTCAGAGGGAAAAAAAGAAAAGAGAATGAAAAAAGTAACACAGCCTACAGGACTTATGATGCACCATTAAGCAATGAAACTCTGGCATGATGGGAGTTCCAGAAGAAGATACAGAGAAAGGCACAAAAAGCTTATTTAATGGAGTAATTGCTGAAAAATTCCCAAGTCTTGGGAGAGACATAGACATCCAGATCCATTAAGCTCAAAGGGCCCCCTGACAGATTCAACCCAAAGAGGTCCTCTTCAAGGCATATTATAATCAAATAGTCAAAAGTCAAGGACAAAGAGAGCATTTTAAAAGCAGCAAGAAAAAAGCATTAAGTTGCATATAAGGGAATCACCATTAACAGAGTTAGAACCATCAACAGAGTTCTCAGGAGAAATGTTGCAAGACAGGATAGAATGGGATGAGATATGCAGGATAGAATAGGATGAGATATATTCACAGTGCTAAAAGAAAAAAAAAAGTCAGCCAAGAATACTAGAATGCTATACCCAATAAAGCTATCCTTCATGATATGGTTTGGCTGTGTCCCCACCAAAATCTCATCTTGAATTGTAATTCCCATAATCCCCACGTGTTGTGGGAGGGACCCAGTGGGAGGTAATCAAATCATGAGGGTGGTTACCCTCATGCTGGTCTTGTTATAGTGAGTGAGTTCTCATGAGATCTGATGGTTTAATAAGGGGCTTTTCCCCCTTTGCTCAGCACTTCTCCTTCCTGCCACCATATTAAGAAGGACATGTTTGCTTCCCTTTCTGTCATGATTGTAAGTTTCCTGAATCCTCCCCAGGCATGCTGAACTGTGAGTTAATTAAACCTCTTTCCTTTATAAATTACCCAGTCTTGGGTGTGTCTTTATTAGCAGCATGAGAACAAACTAATACAGTAATTGGTACCAAGAATGGGGCACAGCTATAAAGATACCCAAAAACGAAGAAGTGACTTTGGAACTGGGTAACAGGCAGAGGTTGGAACAGCTTGGAAGTCTCAGAAGAAGACAAGAAAATGTGGGAAAGTTTGGAACTTCCTAGAGACTTGGAGGGCTCAGAAGACAGAAAGATGTAGGAAAGTTTGGAACTTCCTACAGATTTGTTGAATAGCTTTGACTGAAATGCTGATAGTGATATAGACAATGAAGTCCAGGCTGAGGTGGTCTATGATGGAGATGAGGAACTTCTTGGGAACTGGAGCAAAGGTGACTCTTGTTACATTTTAGCAAAGAGGCTGGTGGCATTTTGCCCCTGCCTTAGAGATCTGTGTAACTTTGAACTTGAGAGAGATGATTTAGGGTATCTGACAGAAGAAATTTCTAAGTGGCAAAGCATTCAAGAGGAAGCAGAGCATAAAAGTTTGGAAATTTTGCAGCCTGACAATGCAATAAAAAAGAAAAATCAATTTTCTGGGAAAAAATTCAAGTCCACTACAGAAATCTGCATAAGTAACGAGGAGCCAAATGTTAATCAACAAGACAATGAGGAAAATGTCTCCAGGGCAATGTCAGAGACCTTCACAGCAGCCCCTCCCATCACAGGCCAAGAGGCCAAGGAGGGAAAAATGGTTTTGTGGGCCAAGTTCAGGGCCCCCTGCTGTGTGTAGCCCCAGAACCTTGTCCCCTGAATCCCAGCTGCTCCATCCTTGGCTAAAAGGGGCCAAAGTACAGCTCAAGCCATTGCTTCAAAAGGTGCAAGTCCCAAGACTTGGCAGCTTCCAGGTGGTGTTGCTCCTGTGGGTACGTGGAAGACAAGAATGGAAGTTTGGGAACCTCTGCTTAGATTTCAGAAATGTATGGAAATCCTGAATGTCCAGGCAGAAGTCTGCTGCAGGGGTGGAGCCCTCATCAAGAACCTCTGCTAGGGCAGTACAGAAGGAAAATAGGGGGTTGCAGCCCCCACACAGAGTCCCCACTTGGGCACTGCCTAGTGGAGCTGTGAGAAGAGGGCCAGTGTCTTCCAGATCTCAGAATGGTACTTCACCAACAGCTTACACAGTGTGCCTGGAAAAACCATACACTCAATGCCAGCCATGAAAGCAGCTATACCCTGCAAAGCCACAGGAGTGGAGCTGCCCAAGGCTATGGAGCCCACCTCTTGCATCAGCATGACCTGGATGTGAGACATGGTGTCAAAGGAGATCATTTTGGAACTTTAAGGCTTCATGACTGCCCTACTGGATTTTGGACTTCTATGAGGCCCCTTTCTTTTGGCCAATTTCTCTCATTTGGAACAGGTGAATTTACCCAAAGCCTGTACCTGCATTGTATCTACAAAGTAACTAACTTGCTTTTGATTTTATAGGCGAAAGGGACTTGCCTTGTCTCAGATGAGACTTTGGATTTGGACTGTTGAGTTAATGCTAGAATGAGCTAAGATTTGGGGGGACTGTTAGAAGGGCATGATTGCATTTTGAAATGTGAAGACATGATATTTGGAAGGAGCCAGAGGTGGAATGACATGGTTTGGCTGTGTCCCCACCCAAATCTCATCTTGAATTGTAATTCCCATAATCCCCATGTGTCATGGGAGGGACCCGGTGGGAGGTAATTGAATCATGAGGGCGATTACCCTCATGCTGGTCTTGTTGTAGTGAGTGAGTTTTCACAAGATCTGATGGTTTTATAAGGGGCTTCCCCCTTTGCTTGGCACTTCTTCCTGCAACCATGTGAAGAAGGACATGTTTGCTTCCCCTTCTGCCATGATTGTAAGCTTCCTGAGGCCTCCCCAGCCATGCTGAACTGTGACTCAATTGAAGTTTTTTTCCTTTATAAATTACCCAGTCTCGGGTATATCTACATTAGAAGCATGCAAATGGAAGAGTACACTTCATAAATCAAAAAGTGGAAAAGATATCCAAGGCTAACCAAATGAAAACTGCTATGGCTATCCTAATAGAGGGAAAAAATAGACTTTCAGGCAAAAACATTACTCAGGATAAAGAGAGGTATTTCATAATCATAAAGTGGTCAATTCACCAGAAAGCTATCACAATTATAAATCTATATGCATGCAACTACATAGTTTTAATATATTTTAACAAAAATTGACAAAATTAAAAGGAGAAACAAGAAATTCCTACTCATAGAGAGAGAGTTTAATACATCTCTCTCAATCACTGATAATGGACCCAATAAAATCAATAAGGAAAGGGAAGAACCGAACAACTTAATTAACAATTGAACTAATTGGCAAATGTAGAGCACCACATGATTCCTACTATATAATGTTCAAAAACAGGCAAATTGATGTTATTAGAAATCATGACAGTGGCTACTTTTGTACGGGAAAAGGATAGTTTTTGGAAATGGGCATAATGGAGAGTTTCTGGGGTACAGATGATATTCTCTAATGTTCTATTTCTTGACCTGGGTGGTAGTTAGATGAGTATGTTCACTTAGCGATAACTCATTGAGCCATTACAATTCAGTTTTAAAAGTGTATTAAATATGTTTTTTAGTTAGAATACTACATATAGCAAGAAAAATTATTTTATCTACGTATATCAAACTGGGTAAAATCTTGGAAATTTTGTTGAATGAAAACAGCACATTGAAGGAAGCTAAAATGTTTGTAAATTATAAAAATGATATATATTTTATGGAAATACATACGTGTAGTAAAAGTATAACTTCTGAACAGGAAGTATACATACCAATTTCAGAAAAATAATTATCAATGGGAAGGTAGGGAAGAGAGGAGTACAAAAGAGGCCTCAACAGTATCTACAACATTTCATTTCTTAAAACATTCTTAAGTAACTATGACAAAATGTCAACATTTGTTGAATTTGGCTAAAGGACGTATGGATGTTTGTTTGATTTCCTGTGATTTTCTATAGAAAATATTTCATATTTTTAAGTTTAAAAAATTACAAATATGTTTTCATGTCACCAGATATCCTGAAATAGCAATTTTTAAAGACAGCATTTTTTCTCTCTCTTTTTTTTTTTTTTTTTTTTTTGAGACAGAGTCTTGCTCTGTTGCCCAGGCTGGAGTGCAGTGGCATGATCTTGGCTCACTGCAACCTCCACCTCCCGAATTCAAGTGATTCTCCTGCCTCAGCTTCCCGAGTAGCTGGGACTACAGACGTGCCACTACGCCTGGCTAATTTTTGTATTTTTAGTAGAGACGGGGTTTCACCATATTGGCTAGGTTGGTCTCAAGCTCCTGAGCTCAAGTGATCTGCCGCCTCAGCCTCCCAAAGTTCTGGGATTACAGTCGTGAGCCACCGCACTCATCCTAAAGACTGCATTTCTCTATTATAAACATTACCATGATAAACATCCTTATCTTATTTATTCTATGTGTATTTTTTTCAGAGAAATTCCTAGATGCTGGATCCTTTTTTTTTTTTCTTCAACTTTTATTTTAAGTTCAGGGGTACATGTGCAGGATGTGCAGGTTTGTTACATTGTTAAACGTGTGCCCTGGTGGTTTGCTGCACAGATCATCCTGTCACCTAAGTATTAAGCCCAGCATCCATTAGCTATTCTTCCTGATGCTCTCCTTCCCCCAACCCCTCCCATAGGCCTCAGTGTGTGTTGTTCCCCTCATGTGTCCATGTGTTCTCATCATTCAGCTCCCACTTATAAGGGAGAACATGCAGTGTTTGGTTTTCTGTTCCTGTGTTAGTTTGCTGAGGAAAATGGCTTCCACCTCCATCCATGTCCCTGCAAAGGACAAGATCTCAATTCTTTTTTTTAGGCTGCATAGTATTCCATGGTGTATCTGTAGCATATTTTCTTTATCCAGTCTATCACTGATGGGCATTTAGGTGGATTCCATGTCACTTTTAGCAAATAGTGCTGCAGTGAACAAACATGTGCATGTATCTTTGTAATAGAATGATTTCTATTCCTTCAGGTATATACCCAGTAATGGGATTGTTGGGTCAAATGGTATCTCTGCCTCTAGGTCTTTGAGAAATTGTCACACTATCTTCCACAATGGTTGAACTAATTTACACTCGACCAACAGTGTAAAAGTGTTCCCTTTTCTCCACAACCTCACCAGCATCTATTGTTTTTTGACTTTTTAATAAGAGCTGTTCTGACTGGCATGAGATGGTATCTCATTGTGGTTTTGATTTGCATTTCTCTAATGATCAGGGATGTTGAGCTTTTTCTCATATGTTTGTTGGCCAAATGTATGTCTTCTTTTGAGAAGTGTTTGTGTTCTTTGCCCACTTTTTAATGGGGTTGTTTGTTTTATTCTTGTAAATTTGTTTAAGTTCCTTATAGACTATGGATATTAGACCTTTGTCAGATGGATGGATTGCAAACATTTTCTCCCATTCTGTAGGATGTCTGTTCACTCTGATGATAGTTTCTTTTGCTGTGCAGAAGCTCTTTAATTAGATCCCACTTGTCAATTTTTGCTTTTGTTGCAATTGCTTTTGGCATTTTCATCATGAAATCTTTGCCCCTGCCTATGTCCTGAATGGCATTGCCTAGATCCTCTCCTATGGCTTTCATAGTTTTGGGTTTTACATTTAAGTGTTTAATCCATCTTGAGTTAATTTTTGTATATGACGTAAGGAAGGGGTCCAGTTTCAATTTTCGCCATATGGCTAGCCTGTTCTCCCAGTTCCTATTAACTAGGAAATCCTTTCCCCATTGCTTGTTTTTGTCAGGTTTGTAAAAGATCAAATAGTTGTAGGAGTGCAGTCTTATTTCTGAGATCTCTATTCTGTTCCACTAGTCAGTGTTTGTTCTTGTACTAGTATCATGCTGTTTTAATTACTGTAGCTGTGTAGTATAGTTTGAAGTTGGGTAGGGTGATGCCTCCAGCTTTGTTCTTTTTGCTTAGGATTGTCTTGGCTATTTGGGCTCTTTTTTGGTTCCATATGAATTTTAAAATAGTTTTTTCTAATTCTGTGAAGAATGTCAATGGTAGTTTAATGGGAATATTATTGAATCTATAAATTACTTTGGGCAGTATGGCCATTTTCACGATATTGATTCCTCCTATCCATGAGCATGGAATGTTTTTCCATTTGTTTGTGTCCTCTCTGATTTCTTTGAGCAGCGGTTTGTAGTTCTCCTTGAAGAGGTCCATTACTTCCTTTGTTAGCTGTATTTATTCCTAAGTATTTTATTCTTTTTGTAGCAATTGTGAATGGGAGTTCATTCATGATTTGGCTCTCTGCTTGCGTGTTGTTGGCGTATAAGAATGCTAGCAATTTTTGCACACTGATTTTATATCCTGAGACTCCACTGAAGTTGCTTATCAGCTTAAGAAGCTTTTGAGCTGAAACAATTAGGTTTTCTAGATATAGGATCATGTTATCCTGTATCAAAGAAATATAGAGATAATTTAACTTCCTCTCTTCCTATTTGAATACTCTTTATTTCTTTCTCTTGCCTGACTGCTTGGCCAATACTATGTTGAATAGGAGTGGTGAGAGGAGGGCATCCTTTTCTTGTGCCGATTTTCAAGTGGAATGCTTCCAGCTTTTGCTTATTCAGTATGACATTGGCTGTGGGTTGGTCATACATGGCTCTTATTATTTTGAGGTATATTCCTCAATACCTAGTTTATTGAGAGTTTTTAACATGAAGTGATGTTGAATTTTATCAAAGGACTTTTCTGCATCTATTGAGATAATCATGTGGTTTTTGTCTTTAGTTCTGTTTATGTGATGAATAATGTTTATTGATTTGCCTATCTTTTTTTTTTTTTTTTTTTTTTGAGATGGAGTTTCGCTCTTGTTGTCCAGGCTGGAGTGTAATGGTGCGATCTCAGCTCACCACAACCTCCACCTCCCAGGTTCAAGCAATTCTCCTGCCTCAGCATCCCAAGTAGCTGGGATTACAGGCATGCACCACTGTGCCCAGCTAATTTTTTTTGTATTTTTAGTAGAGACAGGGTTTCTCCATGTTGAGGCTGGTCTCAAACTCCTGACCTCAGGTGATCTACCCACCTCGGCCTCCCAAAATGCTGGGATTACAGGCGTGAGCCACCACACTTGGCCAATTTGCCTATCTTGAACCAACCTTGCATCCCAGGGATGAAACCAACTTGATCCTGGTGGATAAGCTTTTTGATATGCTGCTAGATTCAGTTTGTCAGTATTTTATTGAGGATTTTTGCACTGATGTTCATCAAGGATATTGGCCTGAAGTTTTCTTTTTTATTGTATCTCTTCCAGGTTTTGGTATCAGGATAATGTTGGCCTCCTAGAATGAGTTAGCGAGGAGTCCCTCCTTTTCAATATTTTGGAATAGTTTCAGTAAAAATGGTACTAGCTCTTCTTTGTACCTCTGGTAGAATTCAGCTGTGAATCCCTCTGGTCCTGGGCTTTTTCTGGTTGGTAGGCTATTTATTACTGCCTCAATTTTAGAACTCCTGATTGGTCTTTTCAAGGACTCGATCTCTTCCTGGTTCTGTCTTGGGAGGGTGTATGTGTCCAGGAATTAATCCATTTCTTCTGGGTTTTCTAGTTTATGTGCATAGAGGTATTTATATTTTCTGATGGTTGTTTGTATTTCTGTGGGGTCAATGGTGATATCCTCCTTATCATTTCTGATTGTGTTTATTTGATTCTTCTCTCTTTTCTTCTTTATTAGTCTAACTAGTGGTCTACCTATTTTAGTAATTTTTTTCAAAACAAGAGCTCTTGGATTTGTTGATTTTTTGAAGGGTTTTTCGTCTCTTTATCTCCTTCAGTTCAGCTCTGATCTTGGTTATTTCTTGGTTTCTGCTAGCTTTGGGATTTGTTTGCTCTTGGTTCTCTAGTTCTTTTAGTTGAGATGTTAGGTTGTTAATGAGATCTTTCTAGCTTTTCAATGTGGGTATTTAGTGCTATAAATTTCCTCCTAGATGTTGGATTCTTAGGTCAAAAGTTATGAGCATTTTTAAAGCCTTCAATAGATTTTGACAGTTGTCATAACACTGTTACTCATTAACCAAGCCAAAAAAAAGTTTCTTCTATCTGGCCTTGGGGTATAGTCATTGATCCACTAAGAATCAGACTCACATGCTCACTCTAGCCTATGCCCTTCCCCAAATCCTTGTATTATTATGAAGATAATCTTTATAATCTGCATCCATGATGAAAGTTCTACTGGTTGTCCAACTTAAACTAATATCCAAAGTATAAAAATTGCATGTAGATAATAAGCCTACGTCATTGAGGGCCCTCCCAAAGGAATGAGGGAGGAGATGCTGTAATGGTTGTCCCTAACTTCACTGTGAGGGAGAGCACAATTCACGATATTGACTCCTCCAAGGACATCATTTCAGGTACAGTTATATTCCTGATATGGTTTTCTGTACACAAGAGGCTCATGATGTCTCTGGGGCCCGGCTCCCTTCCACCACATCATTTTAGTAAATTATAGACAAACCTGCTGCATCTCAGCAGAGGAATACTGGTTATTCTCCCCTGAATGCAGTTGAAAGAAAACTGGGGATACTGGTAGAAGTTTCTCCCTCCAGTCCCCAAACTGCAGCCTTCTTGCTTAAACTCCCTGAAAGCTTGACACTGGGGATTCTCTGAACCACTCTATTTTTGCCCCTCTCCAGCTCCCCAGTCGCCAACTTTGAAAGCTACTTGCTGGTAAAAGGGTTGCTCATCTGCATCTGTGTCCTGTGGGTTCATGATACCTAAGTGTTCCATCTAGAGTGAGTTACAGTAACCATAACCCTAGGTTGAAGACACACTAGTGAGCAGTGCTCAGGCCTGCTCCACAATGAAGCAACAGAAGTATGGTGGGGAGAGCCAACGAGCCCTTTCAGTTAACTTAGACTAAGTCAGAGTGAAAAGGTGAGAGGGTGAGACAGTCTTAGCTGTTCAGAGTCAAGGCAGGAAAGTAGACACCTTAACCTCCAGCCTGGGAACAAGCCCATTCCTTCAAAGGAATGGCTGACAGCTTTCACTTTGACATGGACTTTCATCTCCATCCTCCCAGGGCCATTCCCCCACACCATGAGCAGCCCCACTGCATATTTAGAACCCAGTGTGGTTCATTGCCAGATCTATCAGATGAACTCAGATGACTGCCTTTGCATTCCCCCTGCCTGGTGAGCCTCCTAACGTCATCATGACTGACCCTGGGCTTCCAGGCTAAACAGTAATGGAGCTACATGCCACCCAGGGGCACAACACATCATGTCTTGACTCTACCAGTCTCCTCCAGCACAGGAGAAAAAATGAAGTGAGCCCGGGAAGCTTATGGCTGATTGATTTTACATAAGGGCTGGATGGTTGGATGAGCAGCATAGTGAAGTCATCACCACTCCTGAGCTGGACGCAGGCTCCTACTGGAATGCACCTGAGGAAACCACTAAATCTTTCACTGTGCAATGTCTGAGGGCTCCTCAAAGGGGAATCCCCAAAGGCTTCTGTGAAGTATGAGATCAACTCTCTTTCTGAACATGACAGTATTTCTACACACTAAATTGACACAATAAACAGTGCTGTGTTGTAGCCACACTGTGAGGCACTGCCTCCCATACACAGCACCATTTTTGGCGTTCTCCACTGTCCTCACAGGTTGCAAACCAAAACCTAATGGGCTGAATCCCACCTTTGAAAACGGCCCCACACCTGTAAAATCCTGCAAAGGCCCCCCCATTACCTGCAGTATAAAATCCAAATTTCGAGGGAGGAGCCAAGATGGCCGAATAGGAACAGCTCCAGTCTACAGCTCACAGCATGAGCGACGCAGAAAACGGGTGATTTCTGCATTTCCATCTGAGGTACCGGGTTCATCTCACTAGGGAGTGCCAGACAGTGGGCGCAGGTCAGTGGGTGCGCGCACCGTGCGCGAGCCGAAGCAGGGCGAGGCATTGCCTCCTCGGGAAGCGCAAGGGGTCAGGGAGTTCCCTTTCCTAGTCAAAGGGGTGATGGACGGCACCTGGAAAATCAGGCCACTCCCACCCGAATACTGCGCTTTTCCGACGGGCTTAAAAAACGGCACACCAGGAGATTACATCCCACACCTGGCTCGGAGGGTCCTACGCCCATGGAGTCTCGCTGATTGCTAGCACAGCAGTCTGAGATCAAACTGCAAGGCGGCAGCGAGGCTGGGGGAGGGGCGCCCGCCATTGCCCGGGCTTGCTGAGGTAAACAAAGCAGCCGGGAAGCACGAACTGGGGGGAGCCCACCACAGCTCAAGGAGGCCTGCCTGCCTCTGTAGGCTCCACCTCTGGGGGCAGGGCACAGACAAACAAAAAGACAGCAGTAACCTCTGCAGACTTAAATGTCCCTGTCTGACAGCTTTGAAGAGAGCAGTGGTTCTCCCAGCACGCAGCTGGAGATCTGAGAACGGGCAGACTGCCTCCTCAAGTGGGTCCCTGACCCCTGACCCCCGAGCAGCCTAACTGGGAGGCACCCCCCAGCAGGGGCAGACTGACACCTCACAGGGCCCAGTACTCCAACAGACCTGCAGCTGAGGGTCCTGTCTGTTAAAAGGAAAACTAACAAACAGAAAGGACATCCACACCAAAAACCCATCAGTACATCACCATCATCAAAGACCAAAAGTAGATAAAACCACAAAGATGGGGAAAAAACAGAGCAGAAAAACTGGAAACTCTAAAACGCAGAGCACCTCTCCTCCTCCAAAGGAACGCAGTTCCTCACCAGCAATGGAACAAAGCTGGACGGAGAATGACTTTGACGAGCTGAGAAGAAGGCTTCAGACGATCAAATTACTCCAAGCTATGGGAGGACATTCAAACCAAAGGCAAAGAAGTTGAAAACTTTGAAAAAAATTTAGAAGAATGTATAACTAGAATAACCAATACAGAGAAGTGCTTAAAGGAGCTGATGGAGCTGAAAACCAAGGCTCGAGAACTACGTGAAGAATGCAGAAGCCTCAGGAGCCGGTGTGATCAACTGGAAGAAAGGGTATCAGCGATGGAAGATGAAATGAATGAAATGAAGTGAGAAGGGAAGTTTAGAGAAAAAAGAATAAAAAGAAATGAGCAAAGCCTCCAAGAAATATGGGACTATGTGAAAAGACCAAATCTATGTCTGATTGGTGTACCTGAAAGTGACGGGGAGAATGGAACCAAGTTGGAAAACACTCTGCAGGATATTATCCAGGAGAACTTCCCCAATCTAGCAAGGCAGGCCAACATTCAGATTCAGGAAATACAGAGAATGCCACAAAGATACTCCTCGAGAAGAGCAACTCCAAGACACATAATTGTCAGATTCACCAAAGTTGAAATGAAGGAAAAAATGTTAAGGGCAGCCAGAGAGAAAGGTCGGGTTACCCACAAAGGGAAGCCCATCAGACTAACAGTGGATCTTTCGGCAGAAACTCTACAAGCCAGAAGAGAGTGAGGGCCAATATTCAACGTTCTCAAAGAAAAGAATTTTCAACCCAGAATTTCATATCCAGCCAAACTAAGCTTCATAAGTGAAGGAGAAATAAAATACTTTACAGACAAGCAAATGCTGAGAGATTTTGTTACCACCAGGCCTGCCCTAAAAGAGCTCCTGAAGGAAGCGCTAAACATGGAAAGGAACAACCGGTACCAGCCGCTGCAAAATCATGCCAAAATGTAAAGACCATCAAGACTAGGAAGAAACTGCATCAACTAACCAGCAAAATAACCAGCTAACATCATAATGACAGGATCAAATTCACACATAACAATATTAACTTTAAATGTAAATGGACTAAATGCTCCAATTAAAAGACACAAACTGGCAAATTGGATAAAGAGTCAAGACCCATCAGTGTGCTGTACTCAGGAAACCCATCTCACATGCAGAGACACACATAGGCTCAAAATAAAAGGATGGAGGAAGATCTACCAAGCAAATGGAAAACGAAAAAAGGCAGGGGTTGCAATCCTAGTCTCTGATAAAACAGACTTTAAACCAACAAAGATCAAAAGAGACAAAGAAGGCCATTACATAATGGTAAAGGGATCAATTCAACAAGAAGAGCTAACTATCCTAAATATATATGCACTCAATACAGGAGCACCCAGATTCATAAAGCAAGTCCTGAGTGACCTACAAGGAGACTTAGACTCCCACACATTAGTAATGGGAGACTTTAACACCCCACTGTCAACATTAGACAGATCAACGAGACAGAAAGTCAACAAGGATACCCAGGAATTGAACTCAGCTCTGCACCAAGCAGACCTAATAGACATCTACAGAACTCTCCACCCCAAATCAACAGAATATACATTTTTTTCAGCACCACACCACACCTATTCCAAAATTGACCACATAGTTGGAAGTAAAGCTCTCCTCAGCAAATGTAAAAGAACAGAAATTATAACAAACTATCTCTCAGACCACAGTGCAATCAAACTAGAACTCAGGATTAAGAATCTCGCTCAAAACCACTCAACTACATGGAAACTGAACAACCTGCTCCTGAATGACTACTGGGTACATAACGAAATGAAGGCAGAAATAAAGATGTTCTTTGAAACCAACAAGAACAAAGACACAACATACCAGAATCTCTGGGACACATTCAAAGCAGTGTGTAGAGGGAAATTTATAGCACTAAATGCCCACAAGAGAAAGCAGGAAAGATCTAAAATTGACACCCTAACATCACAATTAAAAGAACTAGAAAAGCAAGAGCAAACACATTCAAAAGCTAGCAGAAGGCAAGAAATAACTAAAATCAGAACAGAACTGAAGGAAATAGAGACACAAAAAACCCTTCAAAAAATTAATGAATCCAGGAGCTGGTTTTTTGAAAGGATCAACAAAATTGATAGACCGCTAGCAAGACTAATAAAGAAAAAAAGCGAGAAGAATCAAATAGACGCAATAAAAAATGATAAAGGGGATATCACCACCAATCCCACAGAAATACAAACTACCATCAGAGAATACTACAAACACCTCTACGCAAATAAACTAGAAAATCTAGAAGAAGTGGATAAATTCCTCGACACATACACTCTCCCAAGACTAAACCAGGAAGAAGTTGAATCTCTGAATAGACCAATAACAGGATCTGAAATTGTGGCAATAATCAATAGCTTACCAACCAAAAAGAGTCCAGGACCAGATGGATTCACAGCTGAATTCTACCAGAGGTACAAGGAGGAACTGGTACCATTCCTTCTGAAACTATTCCAATCAATAGGAAAAGAGGGAATCCTCCCTAACTCATTTTATGAGGCCAGCATCATCCTGATACCAAAGCCGGGCAGAGACACAACCAAAAAAGAGAATTTTAGACCAATATCCTTGATGAACATTGATGCAAAAATCCTCAATAAAATACTGGCAGAATGAATCCAGCAGCACATCAAAAAGCTTATCCACCATGATCAAGTGGGCTTCATCCCTGGGATGCAAGGCTGGTTCAATATACGCAAATCAATAAATGTAATCCAGCATATAAACAGAACCAAAGACAAAAACCACATGATTATCTCAATAGATGCAGAAAAGTCCTTTGACAAAATTCAACAACCCTTCATGCTAAAAACTCTCAATAAATTAGGTATTGATGGGACGTATTTCAAAATAATAAGAGCTATCTATGACAAACCCACAGCCAATATCATACTGAGTGGGCAAAAACTGGAAGCATTCCCTTTGAAAACCGGCACAACACAGGGATGCCCTCTCTCACCACTCCTATTCAACATAGTGTTGGAAGTTCTGGCCAGGGCAATTAGGCAGGAGAAGGAAATAAAGGGTATTCAATTAGGAAAAGAGGAAGTCAAATTGTCCCTGTTTGCAGAGGACATGATTGTATATCTAGAAAACCCCATTGTCTCAGCCCAAAATCTCCTTAAGCTGATAAGCAACTTCAGCAAAGTCTCAGGATACAAAATCAATGTACAAAAATCACAAGCATTCTTATACACCAACAACAGACAGAGAGCCAAATCATGAGTGAACTCCCATTCACAATTGCTTCAAAGAGAATAAAATACCTAGGAATCCAACTTACAAGGGATGTGAAGGACCTCTTCAAGGAGAACTACAAACCACTGCTCAAGGAAATAAAAGAGGATACAAACAAATGGAAGAATATTCCATGCTCATGGGTAGGAAGAATCAATATCGTGAAAATGGCCATACTGCCCAAGGTAATTTACAGATTCAATGCCATCCCCATCAAGCTACCAATGACTTTCTTCACAGAATTGGAAAAAACTACTTTAAAGTTCATATGGAACCAAAAAAGAGCCCGCATCGCCAAGTCAATCCTAAGCCAAAAGAACAAAGCTGGAGGCATCACACTACCTGACTTCAAACTATACTACAAGGCTACAGTAACCACAACAGCATGGTACTGGTACCAAAACAGAGATATAGACCAATGGAACAGAACAGAGCCCTCAGAAATAACACCACATGTCTACAACTATCTGATCTTTGACAAACCTGAGAAAAACAAGCAATGGGGAAAGGATTCCCTATTTAATAAATGGTGCTGGGAAAACTGGCTAGCCATATGTAGAAAGCTGAAACTGGATCCCTTCCTTACACCTTATACAAAAATCAATTCAAGATGGATTAAAGACTTAAACGTTATACCTAAAACCATAAAAACCCTAGAAGAAAACCTAGGCATTACCATTCAGGACATAGGCATGGGCAAGGACTTCATGTCTAAAACACCAAAAGCAATGGCAACAAAAGCCAAAATTGACAAACGGGATCTAATTAAACTAAAGAGCTTCTGCACAGCAAAATAAACTACCATCAGAGTGAACAGGCAACCTACAAAATGGGAGAAAATTTTCACAACCTATTCATCTGACAAATGGCTAATATCCAGAATCTATAATGAACTGAAACAAATTTACAAGAAAAAAAACAAACAACCCCATCAAAAAGTGGGTGAAGGACATGAACAGACACTTCTCAAAAGAAGACATTTATGCAGCCAAAAAACACATGAAAAAATGCTCACCATCACTGGCCATCAGAGACATGCAAATCAAAACCACAATGAGATACCATCTCACACCAGTTAGAATGGCGATCATTAAAAAGTCAGGAAACATCAAGTGCTGGAGAGGATGTGGAGAAATAGGAACACTTTTACACTGTTGGTGGGACTGTAAACTAGTTCAACCATTGTGGAAGTCAGTGTGGCGATTCCTCAGGGATCTAGAACTAGAAATACCATTTGACCCAGCCATCCCATTACTGGGTATATACCCAAAGGATTACAAATCATGCTGCTTTAAAGACACATGCACACGTATGTTTATTGCGGCATTATTCACAATAGCAAAGACTTGGAACCAACCCAAATGTCCAACAATGATAGACTGGATTAAGAAAATGTGGCACATATACACCATGGAATACTATGCAGCCATAAAAAATGATGAGTTCATGTCCTTTGTAGGGACATGGATGAAACTGGAAATCATCATTCTCAGTAAACTATCACAAGAACAAAAAACCAAACACCGCATATTCTCACTCATAGGTGGGAATTGAACAATGAGAACACATGGACACAGGAAGGGGAACATCAAACTCTGGGGACTGTTGTGGGGTGGGGGGAGGGGGGAGGGATAGCACTGGGAGATATACCTAATGCTAGATGATGAGTTAGCGGGTGCAGCACACCAGCATGGCACATGTATACATATGTAACTAACCTGCACATTGTGCACATATACCCTAAAACTTAAAGTATAATAATAATAAATTTAAAAAAATAAAAATAAAAAAATAAAATAAAATCCAAATTTCTTAGCTTGACGTGTAAGTGATTCTGTGATCTGGCCCCAGGCTGTAATTCTGGCCTCTGATGCCACTGTGTGCCTCCTCTCATCCTGCATACCAGAAACATTTGTCTATTTGGTATTTTCTTAATTTGCCCTGCACTTTCATGCCTCCAACCCTTTGCTCCTGTTCCTTGCTCAGGAGCAATATCCTTCTCCTCTCTCTATTTGTGGATAGGCTTCTCTTGCTTCTAGTCCTAGATTAAAAGGCACCTGCTCCATTAAATGCCCTTCATTCATCAATTCAGAGTGCATTTATCTGCCCTCTGGGTCCCCATCTGCACCCTAGTTCAGTTGGTTTCATTTTGCACTGGTTCTGCATTTTTCATGTGCTCATTCATTTGATGGCCATGTATTGAAACATCTATCGTGTACCATCACTGTGTTGGCACTGGGAATATATACATGGTCCCAGTGTTGAGAACCTCACAGACTAGAGGGGGAGACAGATATGCAAATAGCTTTGGTACAGGATAACATGGAAAGTCAGATCACATCCCTCCTCCGCCCGAATCCTCTAGTGGCTTCGCATTCCACTCAGATTTAAAGCCAAGTTTACAGCTATTACCTAAAAGATTTCACACAACCTAGCTCTGGTCACTTCTCCAAACTCTTCTCCCATCACTCCCATCTCTCGCTCCAGTGACCTCCCCACTGCTCGTCCCACACACAGAGTGATTTTGCCCCAGGGCATTTGTGCTGGCTGTTCCCTCTCCCTGAGGCATTTGTATGGCTGCCCCCTGACTTCCTTCTAGCCTTTTGTCAAATGCCACCTTCTTAATGAGGGCTTTAGTGGCCACCCACCTCCCTGATCCTTCATATCTACCTTCCTAAGCATGTATTCTGTTGTATGCACTGTGCGTTTTGCCTATTTATTGCTCATGGTTTTCCCCTCCAGTGGATTGCAAGCTCTGTGTCAGAGGCATTTTTATCTGCTTTGTTCCAGTGAACTACCTGGAACAGCACCGGGCACATAATAGGTGCTCATTAAAGATCTACCGAAAAAAATGAATCACAGGATGAGTGCATGCTATAGGAGATGGGAGCAAGGGCAAAAGAAGGAGCAACTCTGGTGAATCCCCTCAGAGCCCACTCCTTAGAACCCAGTTAGTTCCCATAACTGAACAATTCAGACCCAGGGAATGGCCTATACCATTGGCCTCTCCTACTAGTGTAATTGGCAAAATACTAAATAGGCTATATGGCCTGATCCAGAGCTATTCGCTCAGCCCAAAACATGAATGATGCGTCTACTATGTGCTAGGAGGTGCTAGGCTCCGGAGGCTCAGTGGTGAACAAGTCTGCCTGTTCCCTGACCTTATGGAGCTTATAATCTAACGAACAGCAAAAGGAATGAATGACATGACCATGAATTGTAACGAGTGCTAGAACTCCTGCCCAAGTCACATCCTCCTGGGACTAAGAGGCAATTTTCCTTAGTGGCTAGGAGTGTGGGCTCAGAAATCACACTGCTTGATTCAGTCATAGTGCCATATATATTAGCTGTGTGACCTTGGGTAAGTAACTTACCTTCTCTGAGCTTCTGTTTCTTCCTGTGCAGAACAGGAATCGTAATGGTAGCTACTATTAGGGTTACTGTGAGGATTAAATAGGTGATCCATAAACAGACTGGCACAGTAAAATGTCATTCAATTGTCACAGTTGTTAAGGAAAGGAGGGCTCACTTGGGAGGTCCAGCATAGCCCAAAGCCATGCTGTATGAAGTCATTACATCAGTTCACTGATAGGTAAGCAGATGTTTCCTAATTGGCCTGAATTGTGCCATCGGTCAGCAGGAGGAACAGAAAACAGCAGCCAGAACTTTTCACTGCGTTGGTCTAATCAGTACAGCATACTCCTTCCTTCCAGCTTGTGATGTGATTATTCCCTTGTGCAGAATAAGATTCAGGCTTAGTTTAAATCCCATAACTAAGAGCCCATTATGCAGTGTACTGAGCAGCAAGTGGGAAGATCACAGGGCCTCCTGCAGCTGGAGCTGCAATTAGTGCCCTAGGGCAATTGCGTCCTGGATTCTCAGCATCCTCACCACTTCTTCTCCCCACTCTCTCTCCCCATGCCCAGAAGCACAGGCGGCTCTGGACACTGGGCAGCCTTGGAGGAGGCTCAAGCTCTCTTAACTGAGCCAAGCCAATAACCAGCGTTAGGCTCCTAAGGGCCTGCAGCGGATGCAGCCACCCAGCTGCACCAATTAGTCCTGAGTCTGATCGGGTATGTTTCTGGGTCCCTTTAGAATCCCCCCAAACTCATCAACCAGCCATGTTCTGCCCTTCCCTTGCTTCCCATACTTGCCCTCTCTTTCCTCTGGGAAGACTAGCAGACGGAAAGGGAATTCCAGGAGTGTTCTGAGTAATGGAGCTATGTTTGGGTAGCTCCCCAGCAAACTCCCAAGCAGCCGCATAATTTCAAAGCATCCTTCCCTTTTCTGTGTCCCCAGGGCAGTAGATGAGTGTTGCTCTAGTGCTTAGCACATCCGATCATGGTGTCATATTATACGCTTCCCCTCCACTCACCTAAACAGTGGCCTCCTTCAAGGCTGACACTGTGTTTCTTTTTGCTTCATACCCATTAAGGCCAGCACAGGATCTGGCATATGGTAGGAGGACAACAAATGCTATTGAAGAATGAACAACCCAGTGAAGGAAGGAAGGAAGGAAAGAATGAGCGAATGCCTTCCAAAGGGCAAGTCTGAGAAGGGAAGGGTGGGGAGGAGTAGCAGAGGACCAAGGGCTGGGCGAGCAGGGCTGGACGAGAATGTAACCTTAGGGATTTTGCAGCGCGATAAGCATGGAATCTGTCGTTCCAGCCCCAGATCTGTCTGTCACCAGCGTTGACCCTGGACAGTCCACTTACCAGTCTAGGGCTCAGTTTCTTCATCTACAAAGGAAGGGAGTTGGGCTAGGTGAGCTCTTCCTTTGAAACTAATAGAAAAATGTATTCCCCACCTCCATCTCTCGGTACCCCCAAGTTCCCCTTTATGAAAGAACCCAGAAGGATTCACTGTAATCCTCCCTATGAATGTATGTAGTGGTCTTTCTCACACTGGAATGGATGATTCCAGAATGTAATGGCATCATTCCCAGTGTGGTGCTGGCAAGCAGGTGGTCCTGGGCACCGTGGGATGGAATCAAAGCAGAACTCCACAGCCTAAGGTTCACTGGAATAAAATATAATTTATTCACCACATTCCAGGTTAACAGTCAGAGAAGAGTGACTGACACGCATCAGGCTTTGGGGAAAAAAAGTGCTTGGGAAATAAGAGGGAAGAGACTTGAGAGACGAAATAAATTGTGTCTATATGATCTTGACTATCACTTTTTTCTTGTCTTGCCTGGAGCAAGCGAGATAAGAAAGTCTACTTTCAGCTAGTGCAGTGTAGTAGGTAGAGCACAGGCTTTAGAGACAGCCTGATGTGGGCTGAAATCTCAGCTCTGTCCCTTATTAGCTGTGAGACATTGAGCAAGTTTCTTCATCTCTCTAACTCAGTTTCTTCATTGTAAATATGGGTCATAATAGTGTCTACCTCACAGGGTTATAGTGAGACTCTAAAATGATAATAAACACTCATCATCAGTGGATACTAAAAACATTAGACAAAACCTGATGAGGGGTATTCACACAACCTCAAAGTATCGCTCCACAGATTACTTGTTAATTACAAAGGAAAATGGTACTTCCGCAATGTAGAAACCTGGCAAACACTGCCTTAGCCAAGTGATCATAGCATCGTGAGTGATGGGACACATTGACATTTTATGCCCCCGATGGGATGATTGAGAAGGACACAATGTCACTTATGCAATATTCTTACTAACAATATTTAACCTGAATCTTTCCATGAGGAAACATCACACAAATCTAAACTAAAGGGATTTTGCAAAACAAGAAGCTTGAACTCTTCAAAACTGTCAATGTCATGAAACGGGGTTGAGGGGGAAGGCTGGGAAGTGATTCTAATCAAAGATGACTAAAGAAATATGAAAAGTAAATGCAATGTGTGATCCTCAATTAGATCCTGAATTTAGAAAAAGGGGAGAAAGACAGACAGACAGGGAGGGAGGGAGGGAGGAAGGAAGGAAAGAAGGAGAAAGGAAGGGAAGGGAGGAGTTATTGAGGAAATAAGGCAAATTTGAATAAGGATTATGTAATAGATAATGAAATTATTTTAATGTTAACTTTCCTGAGTGTGGTTATTGTATCTTAGTTACGTAAGAGAATGCTCTTCTTCTGAAGTGATGTATGCTGGAATATTTAGGAGCTAAGTCATAATGTCTGCATGTAATTCAATATATTCAAATATATTTAGAGAGAAATAAAACAAAAATGTGAAACTAAGTGTAAGAAACTAGGTGTAAGAAATAAATCAATTAGTGAAACTAGATGTTTCATTGTATATTCTTCCCAGCTGTTTGCAGGTTTTAATGTTTTCAAAATAAAGATTGGGGAGAAAGGATAATGCATGTAAAGTTCTTGGCACATAATAAGCATTCGATAAATAGTTAATAGGATATTCTGGTGATGGTGATCTCTTGATTTGATTGAAATAATTAAAATCTAAACATGTTTATTTTATGCCCACCTCTCAGTGTCTGCCTTGCTATGTGAGATGGCTCAAGCCATTAGCCCATTCTGGAGTTTAGTTTTCCCATCTACAAAGCAGGGAGACATCAGAGCCATATGTGAAATACCAAGAAAAAAGGGATGCTGAGAGGATGATAAAGTATACACATAATAAGGAAATCAAATTCCTCTCAGGAGCTGGCATAACTCAATCCATGTTGCTGTAATTATAATGGGGACATCCTCTGATTATTTGTTACCCTGGTTTATTTTTCTCTTTTGACATCCTCTTTCATCCGCTGATGAAATTATTGTTGCTGTGTGCTTTTTAAATGTTCTATGAAGCTTAAAAGAGGAAAAGCAATGCCTGTTGAAGAGAAGGCAGGCCCTATTGCATGTATAGTGCAATTCTACATACATTGACCGCATGCTTTCCTCCACCTTCCTTTGTGTCAGGCACTTGGGATGCAAAAAGAGCAATAACATTATTTCTTGTCTTTGCTTGAAGGGCTCATAGCCTATTGGAGGAAACAAACACATAATCAAGAAATTAGGCCAGGCGTGGTGGCTCATGCCTGTAATCCCAGCACTTTGGGAGGCCAAGGTGGGCGGATCATGAGGTCAGGAGTTCGAGACCAGCCTGACCAACATGGTGAAACCCCGTCTCTACTGAAAATACAAAAATTAGCCAGGCGTGGTGGCAGGCGCCTGTAATCTCAGCTACTCGGGAGGCTGAGGCAGGAGAATCGTTTGAACCCGGGAGACAGAAGTTGCAGTGAGCCACGATTGCGCCATTGCACTCCAGCCTGGATGACAGGGAAAGACTCCATAAAAAAAGAAAGAAAGAAAAAAAAAAGAAGGTAGACAAGCATATGAACACCTTGATGAACACTGTGTGGCTTGTAAAACTTAATAGGGTCACAGTAAGTAGGTATTCACTAAATCATTGTTGAACGAACGAATAGCTAAGTGGATGGATAAATGGATGGACAAACGGGCAGACAGAAGAATGAAGGGGATGATATGGAATCAACAGAAAGAATGACCAATTCCACATGGCGACTTCAGTAGGTTGGGGAAAGGTTACTTGTTTATTGATATTAGAAGTGGGCATTGAAGGACCAAGAAAATTTAATCTGGCATGAAAAGTAAGAGGAACGGCATAATGTAATAAATAATTTTTGACTTTTTAGTAAAATCTGTCCTATCATGAGGAAGAAATCACAGGAATACAATGTTAGTGATGTAATCACCTAGGTAAACCTATTCTCAATCAAAAGAGAGATGGCAGCACTTCCTGGAAGAGGAACCACACCATTTTGTTCCATGAGCATTATTGAGCATACACCATGCTGCAGGATTGCTCAGCCCAAAGACACAAAGACAGTAAGATATCGCCATGGACAAGAGGGTCCCATAGCCTGGTAGCAAGATCTTTTCTATAGATTTTTCTGTTCTGAGCTACAAAAGCAAAAGATAAAGAACAAGAGAAAAGCAGTGTGAAACTAAAAACTAGCTCTTGAGTAGAAGTCATTGCTGAACATCGTGTGGCATGTCAAATATAGAAGAGTCATAGTAAGGAATTCAGTAAATCACTGTTGAACAAAAGAATGGCTGAGTGGATGGATGGATGGATGGATGGACGGATGAACAAGTAGACAAAAGAACGGAGAGTCAGTCATGAATAGCTACAAATGAAGGCAAAATAGAAAATGTCCCTTCTTAAGAATGTGCCTACACCAAAGCTGCCAGTGGCTGGGTTCCTGGAAGCCTTGCACAGGCAAAAGAGCTTTGCAATGCCTGGAATCACTTAGAATATGTAAAAGTGTAAAGAAAGCCAAGGCTTAGATAAGGAGTTACTGAAAACAGTACTTGAGTGAGACAACGTATACTCGTTGCCATATTTTAATTTTGCCCTAGTCATATCTTTGCTTAAGAACTGTAAAGCCTAAGTTATAATTAAGACATAGCCTAATAAAGTGTTGATCTAATAAGGAGTTTTCTTTTTAGAAAAAGCAAAATAATATGGCTAAATCATGCTTTTCATCTCTTACCTCTTCTCTGCCATACATAACTGGAGTAAATGCATTCATCTTCCCTCTGTAATTCCTCCAACTGAAGGACTGAAATTGTGGGTACAGTCTGGGAGGAATCACCTGGCTTTTGAAGAATGTCTTGCTACCACTCAGAATAAATGACAGCAAAAGACAACAAAGACTTACTTTCCTGGGGAAGTGGTATGGTGTAGCAGCTTATGCTGATTCTGGAATCAGACCTTGGGCAACTTCCTTAATCTTCGTAGGCCTCAATTTCCTCATCAGTAAAATGGGGACAATAAGAATGCATATCCCCTAAAGTTGTTATAAAAAGTAAAATGATAAAGGATATAAATCAATTAGCACACTGTGTCTCATAATAAACACACAATAATTATTAGATGTCACAGCAATGAGAAATAAAAGCAGATAATTGGGAATTCAATATATAGTATTAAACTCAACCAGTCCTGGCTTGATCACTCCACTGGCTGACCTTGGAGTGAATCATAATTGGTTTAAACCAATGGCTCTCAATGAGAAGTGTTATTGCCAGCCCCCGCCCCCCACCCGCCACACCCAGGGGAAGTTTGAAAGAAGTTGTCTCCATGACTGGAGGGCTCCACTGTCACTTAATAGGTGAAGGCCAGGGATGCTAAATGTCCTTCAGTGAGCAGGACAATCCTGCACAACAACAAATTGTCATCCAACACACCAGGAGGGCCCCTGGTAAGAACTACTGGATTAAACTATTCATGGGACTCCACTCCCGTTTCCATTCTCTTTGCGAGACTGGTTTAGGTTTGGACATGGGCTCACTTTGGCCAACAAGACATAAAAGCCTGTAGGATTCTGAGAAAGATTTTCCTTGTGATTAAAAAAAAGGAGAACATCCCCTACTAGCGGCACCTGGGACCTCTGTAGCCGACTTGCAACCACGAGGGGAAAGCCCAGAGAATCACAGAGAACACCCAGAGCCCTGACAATACTGAGATGCTGAATTAGCCAACCCTGGAACTGTCTGCCTCCAGATATCTTGTTCAGAGAAAAAAATACATTTCTTTTAATTTAATCAAATTTTAATCTGGTTTAATCTATCATTTGCAGTTCAAAGTATTCAGAATAGTGTAAATAGTATATTGTTTGGCCTAAAGCAGGTGAAAAAACAAAAACAAAAACATGATCATAGCAATTGAAGCAGAAAAACATTTGACAAAATCCAATGCCCATTCTGATTTTTTTAAAGAGGAACTCTCAGAAAAAAAAAAAAAGGAATAGAGGGGAACTTGCTCAACCTGATAAAATGCATCTCCAAAAATATTTACAGCTCACATTATACTTAATGGTGAAATACTGACTGTTTCCTCCTTGGGATCAGAAGGAAGGCAAGACTATCCTCTCTTACCACTCTTATTCAATGTAGTACTGGAAGTTCTATTCAGTGCAATAAGACAAGAATAGGAAATAAAAGGTATGTGAATTGGAAAGAATGGAATAAAACTCTCCCCACTTGCATATGACAAGATTGTCTATGTAGAAAATTCCAAAGAATGCAGAAAAAGCTTCTAGAACTAATAAGTAACTTCAGCAATGTTGCAGGATACAAAATAAACACACAAAAATCAAGTATATCACCATATACCAGCATGAACACAGACACAAAAATTAAAAATACAATACCACTTACAATCACTCAAAACAGAAAGGAAACATTTGGATATGAATCCAACAAAACATGTGCAAGGGCTTTGTCTTAGTCCATTCAGGCTGCTGTAACAAAATGCCCTAGAGCGGGTAAAACAACAGAAGTTTAAAACAACAAAAGTTTATTTCTCACAGTTCTGGAGACTGGGAAGTTCAAGATCAAGGTACCAGCAGATTCAGTGTCTGGTGAGCACTCCTTTTCTGCTTCATAAATGGCAGCTTTTTACTGTGTCCAAGTGAACAAACTCTTTCAGCTTCTTTCATAAGGGCACTAATCTCATTAATGAGGGCTCTGCCCTCATGACCTAACCGCCTCCCAGAGGCCCCACCTCTTAATACCACCACACTGGGGATACCACTACATATGAATTTTGAGGGGACACATTCAGCGCATAGCAGACTTTTATGCTGAAAGCTACAAAATACTGTTAAAAGAATCAAAGCTCTAAATAAAATAGAGACACATTGCGTTCATGGTTTAGAAGCCTCAACAGAGGAAAGATGATAATTATCCCTCAAATGTATATATGGATTTAACACAAGTCCTATCAAAATCCCAGCAAGATTTTTATAGATATAGACAAGCTTATTTTAAAATGTATATGGAAAGGCAAAGGAACTAGAATAGCTAAAACAATTTTGAAATAGAAGAATAAAGTGGGAGGAATTAGTCTACTCAATTTTAAGACTTATTATATCAAAATATACAGCTACACTTACCAAGACTAGATGGTACTGGTGGAAGGATAGACACATAGCTCACTGGAACAGAATAGAGAGCCCAGAAATAGACTTGCACAAATACGCATAAGTGATTTTTTGGAAAAGCTACAAAAGTAATTCAATGGAGGAATGAGAACCTTTTCATCAAATGGTACTGGAGCAATTGGATTCCTACAAGAGAAAAAAGCTCCCTTCCCCTAAGTCCTACATGGTATATAAAAATTAACTCAAAATGTATCATGGAGTTATATACAACTATAACACTTTTAGAAAAGGCACAGGAGAAAATTTTCATGATCTAGGGTTAGGCCAAGAGATCTTAGATTTGACACCAAAAGCATGTTTCATAAAAGGAAAAATTGATAAACTGGACTTCATTAAAATTTAAGACTTTTGTTCTGTGAGAAATCCTGTTAAAAGGATGAAAAAAATAACCCACAAACAAGGAGAAAATATTTGTAAACCACATATCTGACGAAGAACTAGTATTTATAATACATAAGAACTCTTAAAACTCAACATTAAAAAAATTAGAAAACGGGCAAAAGATATGAACCAACGTTTCACCAAAGAGGACGTACAGATGGCAAATAAGAAGGTGAAAAGACATTCAACATCACTAGCGATTAGGAAAATGCAAATTTAAGCTGTTAAGCTATCTTACACACTTAACAGAATGGCTAAAATAAAAGGTAGGGCCAGCAAATGCAGGTGAGGACGCAGAGAAACCGGGCCTCTCATAAATTGCTGGTGAAAATGTAAAATGGTACGGCCACTCTGGAAAACAGTTTGGTGGTTCCTCAAAAAACCACACATGCAACAACCATATGACCCCACAATTACACTCCTGGGCATTTATTCCAGAGAAATGAAAACTCATGTTCACCCAAATACCTGTACACGACTGTTCATAGCACCTTTATTCCTAAAAGTCAAAAACTGGAGACAGTCCTTATGCTCTTCAGTGAGTGAATGGTTAAACAAACTATAGTACATCTGCAAGATGGAATACCACTCAACAGTTAAACAAAAGGAACTATTGATAACAGGCAAAACTTGGATGAATCTCCAGAGAATTATGCTGAGTGAAACCAAAAAAGTCAATCCCAGAAGGTTACATACTATATGATTCCATTTATGTAGCTATCTTGAAATGACAAAATTACAGAAATAGAGAATGAATTAGTGGTTGCCAAAGATAAAAGAAGGAGTCTCCTCTTTTAGGGAGGTGGGAGGGAAGTGGGCGTGGCTATGAAGGGCAACAGAGGGATCCTCTGATGGAATGTTCTGTATCTTGATTACTTCAAGGTCAATTTCCAGGTTACAATATTGTGCTATAGTCTTGCAAGGTGAGGGAAAACTGGGTAAAGGGTAAGCAGAATCTCTCTGAATTATTTCTTACACCTGCAAATGAAACCACAGTTATCTCAAAATTAAAAGTTTAATTGAAACAAAAGCACCAGTGTACAGTCAACAAGACTGTGGAGCCGCAAAGCCCAGAGCAGCATGTTATGAACTTAGAAACAGAGACGTGAGCAGGCTCTGCAGATGACAAAGAGGAAAAAAGCCAACAGCCCACACGGGGTCAAGATAAATTGCACTATTTCACTTGCAGGAAGAAGAAAGGAAAGAAATTACCATACAAGCTGACTTACAGAAGAAACCTCTTTCAGCTTGAATCCATCTGAAGCCAGAGACTCCATTCAACCTGGCACACATTCAAACAGCAAGCCTCCCTGGTGCAGAAATCAGGCTCTCCAATTCAGACTGAGTAAGTTGATCCATTTACTCCAAGTCAGCAGTTTGGACACATGTTTGCAATCTGAAGGCTTCCTGTGAGGTACACAGACCCTTAAAAATATTTCTTACAGAAACTTCCTGGTTTTCCATGCCAGGCCAGGCTGGAGTTGGGCTGAAGTTGTGGCTGTACATAAACAAGAGTTTTAAAGGTCGTTTCTCCAGCCAGCAGCCTGGACTGGGTTGGAACTTGAGTGTCAGGGCGTGTGGGAAACTGCTCTCAATGGGTTTTCTCAGGAAAAGATCATTTGCGTGTGCTTCCCTTGTATCAGAGAAGAAAATCCCCAGAGGACTTTTCCACTTTGCTCCTGCATCTGATGGGGGAAGAGGAGATGGCACAAAGCCCCCACCACACCCTCCACCCCCAATTCCCTTAGTCCAGGTCCTAGGAGAAACGCCAGCACGCATGGTCCTACATTAAGCCAAGCCTCCGCCTCTCCGCCTGGCGCCTTAAAGAGCTGCTCTACCCTGCACACCCTGGCTTCTGCACCGGGCCCATTTTACATGAGTCACTCCCAAAGGAGCAGTTCCCTTCCTAATGTGCTGCTTAGGCATTTCAAGGAATTCTTTAAACCACACACTAAAAACCCATAATGTTCTAATGTATTCGTTTGACCCATATCTCATGTAATATTCCCCTGCTGTTCTCAACGTCCTCTTTTAGAGAGCCTGGAAGTCTAAACACTCAACTTCCCAGCACTCTGGAGGTGGCCACGTAACATGGTTCTACCCAGTAATATGTAAGTGACAGTTTTTAGAGAAGGCACCTCTTCCGAACTAAAAAGGCAAAGTTTCAAGAAGAGAAAAGTCTTTGTCTCCTTCCTACTTACCTCCTCATCCTGCCTGTAATGTGGTTGTGATGCTGGAGGGTGCAGCAACTATGTTGCAATCATGAGGCAAGGCTTGCTGCTGAGCAAGCCCCTGTATTGTGTCTAACATAGTATTTAAAATACTCGGCACCATCTCTGGCTCATGGCAGAGCTCAACAAAGAGTAGTCTCTACCTCCACACGCAAGCAAAAGTGCAAGTGATTTGTTTTGGGGAGGAGGTAAGCCGGCCCACAGACCACTTCGTCTCTTGGAAAACTACCACGAAAACTCTAGGAATGCAAATGAAGTTTACCCAGGAAAGTTGATAAACACGCTTCCATCCTTTCCAATTCTGCAGAGCCATTTCCGTAGGGTCACGCACCGAAGATTCTGGCGCAAAATAAATAAACAAACTGTTTTGCTTTCCTCACAAGTGACTTGTTTTTGGTTTCCCTCCACCAAGCTAAGCCCACCTCTCACCTGTAGCCCCTGATGGCCTCCATGGGAATCACCTGCAGGCTGGGATCTGTGACCTGGACTTAGGGCTTTTCCTGAGGGCACGCTGGAGCTTGCTCAGGCATTGGGAGGGGAGCTGACATCTTTCAGCTGCAGGTATGTCCACTCCTGTACTCCTCACTGCAAATATGTGAGCAGGGGTGAGCATTCCTATTTGCCAAAACTACATCTCAGAGAAATAAGGAAAATATTTAAGGTCATCTGGTTGGTAAGTGAGGGGCTGAGTCCCCAGCCCAGGTTGTTCTGGTGCCAGTCCCCTTCCCAGTATGTCTCCTTGCCTCCAAAAGTATTGCTTTCTGTTTAACTTTCAGTTTCAGACTAAAAGAGTCAGGCATCTCCCCCAACATCAGGATCCCATAGAAAAGTCATTGTGACGATGGAAAGTGGAGGTGTTGTCATCACGGCTACCCAAAACCTCTGGCCCTCAGGAAAAAGCAGGCCCTCACTGTGTAGTTGAAGGGCACAAAGATTCCTGGCCCCTGACTCAGAGACCCCCAATCTCAGGAGACCCCGAGAGAGAGAGGCCACTGCAAGAAAAGGCACGCAGACTTCTGGGCCACTGCTCTTTCCAGCACAGCAGGCTCCTGTTGGTTTTCTAGATCCCAATCTATAAGCAAGCCAGATCGGGAGCCACCACGACCAAGTCCCCTTGTGGATTTTCACTCATTCATGTAACGAGTATTTCTGGCACACTTACTGTGGGCACTGTTCTCAGCACTGGAAGTGCAGCAAAGAACAACCAAGATAACATCTCGGCTTTTGTGGGGTTTATAGCCTAGTGGAGAGGAAGATAACAAGTACATAAATACAGAGAAACAAGGACATAGTAGATAGGAATGAGTTCTGAGGAGGGAATAGACAGACAGATGTCATGGAGGGTGACTGAGGAGTGCACTTTAGAATTGGGGTCAGGAAAGCGCTGTCCTAGGGGTGACATTGAAGCTGAGACCTGAAAGGATGAGAAGAAAACAGCCAGTGAAGATCGGTGGAAGGTCAGAAGCCAGGTAGGAAGACTGGTCCAGGCCAAGGGCACGCAGGGGCAAGCCCCTGAGTCAGGTATGAGCTTGGCTAAATGAGGAAGGAAAACAAGGATAGTGGGACCTGAGTTCAGTGAGCAAGGGAGAGAAGGAAGGTAAGCAACAGGTAGGAAATGCAGGCAAAAGGCAGGTCCTGCCGGGTCCTGTGGGCCAGGAGAGGGGTTTTGACTTTGTTCTCAGTACAAAGTCACTGGAGGGTTTTAAGGTGACAAGTGCCACGCTCTCACTGTAGCTTTGAAAAGATCATTCTAAATGCTGTGAAAAGAACAGAAGAAGGGCAAGAGTAAAGGCAGAGAGATGAGTTGTCAAGCCTGGGTTTTCACGAGGCTGCTCCTGAAAGGCTGTGCAGGATGTGCACTGCTCAAGCCTAGGTTTTCACAAGGCTGCTCCTGCAAGGTTGTGCAGGATGTGCACTGCCCAACTGCAGGAGTGCCTTGCACATAAACTGCAGTAGGAACAGCACCCTCTGAGGCTGTGCATAGTGAGTCAGGGTTTTTTTGTTCCCTTATGATGCTCAAAAATACTTACAACCCCTATGTACTCATATCAAAGGAACAAAACAGAAACCCCTTTAACATTATTTTCTACACAAAGTAAGACAGATTACAAATCATTATGTCCAAGACTTGATCATTGGTTACGCCATGAAGTAAATACGAGAAATAATAAAATCTAAAATAATCTTGTACTTTTAATTAACTCATGTCCATTAGAAAATATATTCTATCATTTATATAATTTATATTTGGGTTTAAACTTGCACCTAATGGTGAGTACTCACAGATAAGTTGCAGCTATTCAATGGTCAGTGGTATTTTGGTTTATATCATTGCCCAAACTGAATCAGGAAAGTTAAAAAAAACTTCCTTCATTTTCTTTATTTCATTTTATTTTATTTTACATTCTGGGATACATGTGCAGAATGTGCTGGTTTGTTATATAGGTAAATGTGTGCCATGGTGGTTTGCTGCACCTATCAACCCATCACTGCATTTTCTTATCACATATTTGTTGAGCACCTGCTATATGCCAGGCGCTGCTGGGTCCTGGGCAAAGGGAAAGCCAGCGTCTTTCCTGCCTTTATGACTATATGGTCTAGTGGCCAGGACAGATATAAACAAGAACAAACATACAAAGAAGTAGTCAAACATTGTAATATGTACTATAATAAAAAAGAACAGAGAAAATAATGAGGGGGGGTCTCATTTAGAGCATGAGGGTCAGGGTAGGCCTTCCTGATGAAGTCTCTAAAGTGGCCAAGGACCACAATAGCTATTTGCATTCTTCCACTTCTCCCCCACCTCACTCTCTTCTCCTATTGCTCTGACAAATACTTGCCCAGGGACTCACTGTCTTACCTCGGTATACCTCCCTCCCCACCCACACCCTCCAAGCTCAGCCCTACTGTCTGTGACCCTGAATGCAAGCAGATAAGCCTGGCATCCAGTATGTGCAATCACAGTGAGACAAGAGCCAGGGCGGCCCTGAGTCCCAGACAAAGAGCAGCACGAAAACTTGGTCTGACCCTTGTCCAGGCTCACAGTCCTGTTGTGACCTTGGGCACTGCCTCCTCTCTCCAGAAGTCTCATGTATCTATCTATCATGGAGAACAAAGCACACAGTCTTTGGAGTCCCCACATGTGTCCCCAGAGATTGACTCTGCTGCCCAGACATCCTTGGAGGGTCCCACAGCAGGCAGGCAGGCCCCCAGGCCAGCCTGGGAGCAGAGAGACAGAGGGCATGACAGAAAACCCCTAACCCTCAGGACCAACCGTAGGCTCTGAGCCTGGGGCAGGGTCAGACCCCATACCAAGCTTCCAAGAAGGCATCTTTGCAAAGCCTGTGTCTGGCCCCATCTCTCTCTCCCAAGGCTTCAGAAACAAATGCTGGAGACATAATGAGGGGCGTGGCGGGAACTCTGTGACTGAAGAAAGCATGTGGCTTTGGCCTCTGGGTGCTGCACTGGACTGGGCAATTTACAAAAGAAAGAGGTTTCATGGACTCACAGTTCCACATGGCTCTGGAGGCCTCACAATCATGGCAGAAAGTGAAAGTCACGTCTCACATGGTGGCAGACAAGAGAAGAGAACTTGTGCAGGGAAACTCCCCTTTATAAAACCATCAGATCTCATGAGACTTATTCACTATCATGAGAACAGCGTGGGAAAGAACTGTCCCCATGATTCAATTACCTCCCACTGGGTCCCTCCCATAACACATGGGAATTGTGGGAGCTACAATTCAAGATGAGATTTGGGTGGAGACACAGAGCCAAATCATATCAGCAGCTCAGGGGGCAGATGGGAAGGGAAACTGCTTCAGACCTGAACGAAAGGAAAAAATAAGGCACACACATGAGCGCAGGAGAGAGGCGGTCTTAACCTGGGCTCCAGATGCTGTTCTGACAACACCAACCCTGTGACAATACTTCCCTCCCCAACTCTCAGTCTCCTGATTGTAATGAGATTAGACAAGGTGACCTCTAAGCTATCACCCAGTTCTAGGATTTTTGAATTCTCAGTGAGTACTAATTTCTACAGGTGTGGTCTTCACATCTGTGCTATGCAAGAAAGGGAGTGGGGAGAGAGACTACAGGGGTTCCAGTTTGAAAAGAAGAAAGCCTGTCAGGGCAGCAGACCCCACCCTATCTTTCAACAGCAGTTCACTTGATGAAGGATGATTGAGAGCTTGACGTATTCCCAGGGAAATTTTTGGACTTCAGCACAGATGTGAAGAATCCAGGGCTATGAATGATTCTTGGGGGCTGGAGGTTGGGAGTTGGGGGCCAGCTATAGTTTTACCATGTCACACCACTGTACCCAACACCACATTTAAGAACCACTTAAATCTGCACCAGCAGCAGATGAGATTGGGAAACTCATGTTAACAATGTTACAGACTAGGCCCAAGTCATGCTGCGCACCAACAGCAGAGTGTCTTGATAATTTTATATTTATTCTACATTTATTAAGTCTGTTACTCTCTAGCACTATGCAAGTGCTAGGAAAGAAAAGACGACTAGAATCCAGCCCTTGGTCTCCAGCAGTTCCCAGCTGACCCTGGATGCGCCCAGTCAGAGCATCCACCATTAGTCCAGATGATACTTTTGTACAAATTAGGAAAGGGCCCCCCTTCTGGGAAGATGCCATCTGGGGAACACAAAGCCTGGTGCACATTATAACGGATCATCGGTCCCCTTTGCCCTTTCAGCTGAGTACCCTGGTGTAGCCTGCAATCTATGCAGCTGACTCTGGTGATTACGGTGGGCTGCCAAACTTCAATAAATGTCTAATGTATATTTTTGTTCTAATGGGATATAGATGTTAGTAATGTCTGTCAAATGGAGCACAGACCCAAAGAGTCACATGACAGTGAAGAACCGGGTAAGCTGCCTATGAGATGAGGTGAGAAATGTAAAATCCAGCCAACTTGGTGTTTACTGCAACATAAGAAAATGTAGCATGTGAGATATACTAGACCGTAAACTCAGAACAGAAAAATCAGCATTAAACGGAGACCAAGTGATAGTATGGACACAGTGGATGCTTTCATAGTTGCTGTGAGACCCAGTGATACTGCAGCAGTGATTGCACTGTGATGACTCCTGACTTGTTTAATATGCTTTAGCATTTTCATGCCTTGATGTGTGCACCCAAAAAAAAAAAATCAGTAAACAAAAAAAAAGGTTGGGAACCATCCGTCTAGTGGTTCTAGTGAAAAAGAGGTTTATACAATAATACAACTTATACAAAAAATAATTTCTGCTCCATGATTAAGTTATTCTTGGAGATGTCACATCAATAAGAACAAGTCACTTAGCTCCACCCAGAGAGTCCAGGGAGGCCAAGTTATCACCTAAAGGAGGTGATAACTAAAGCAAATTTTGACGATTGAGTAGGAGTTCACCAAGTAGCCAGGGTGAGAAAGGGCATTATGTCAAGCAACGGGAACCAACTGGGCAGATGTGTGGAAGAAAGGACAAGTTTCGTGTACTGCACTGCAAGCCCTGATACGGACTGGAGAGGAAACCATCAGTAACAGAGTGTCACGAGGTGAGGTGAAGCCAGCTCACAAAAGAATCTTAGCGATGTGGCTCTGGTTATATTCCTTCCCCCAGATTCAAACCACCACCACCACCACCACCACCACCACCACCAACCCAGAAGAAAGGGTAAGAATTTTCCTAAGATACACGTAATGGAGCCCTCTTTGGGCTCAGCAAAATGCCACAAGCCTTAATCTTTTAGCTTGGGTTGAAAATGCATTACACTAGCTAGGTATTTGGCAGAAATACCAAGGACCAAGTTCTGCTGAGTAGAAGCCTGTATTCAGGATCAGCTACCTAGTTTGTGTGACCCAGTACAAAATGGAAATGTGGGCCTCTTAGTCAAAAGCAATTAAAAATTTCAAGACACCAACAGCAGAGCATTAAATGAGGGCTGGGCCCATCTGAGTGCAGGCCCTTGTGTGACACACACACAAACAGCCTTGTCTATAGTTGAGGGCAACCAAGAGGCCTTATTAGAGCATTTTATTGGAATTGAATTGATTTATTTGGATGAAAAAGGAAGACAGACAGAGAGAGAGAGTGAGAGGCCAACTCAAGGCAGTAAAGATATCCTTTTTGAAGCTGAACTTCCAAAGTGTTGTCCTCTCAACCTTTCCCTAATAACAAGAGGGAGCTGCAGTATATCAGCCCTCCACAACTGTCCAATTTGTTTCAGTTCCTATGTCATTGAAAAATGCTTGCATATTTTGCATGCATTCTTCTTAATGATATATCAGTGTTTATTTTGGTATGAAAAGTATCATTAGTAAGGTGACTGGTTCTGAGATAAATATACAAAAATTTACATTTCATCATGGATCAAGGGGTCAGATAGCATACTAGCTTTCATACCCCCACCTACTGAAAGTCCCATCAAATAATAGAAATTAATTGTTGAAAAAGAAATAGAGTTATATTGTTGCTGGAAATTAAGGAAGGATTCTACCTGTGGACTAGAAATATTAAGGATGATTTTTTTTTTAGAAATAGGTTTGAATTGATTTAAAAAAAAAACACACAGAGAAGTAAAAAACAAAAAACCCTCAAGCCAAAATAAGTAGGATGAACTACACAAGGCAAGAATAGCTCTAGAGCACCCCAAGTAATGAGTGATAAAATCCATGTGGAAGAAAGAGCCTGGGACGTCAGTGTTATCAGGTGAATAGTTCAGAACCACTGGGCCAGTCAGGTCTATCCCCTCCCAGACCTCCATAAACACAGAGCAATTTGTAGATAGCCTCCCAGGCTAAAGCTGTTGTCACTGCTCTCTGAAAGGAGAGCTCTGACTCAACAAATCCTGTGAGGTGGGGCCAACAGGCAGAGTAGGACCTCAGGTGACGTGGGCTCCCAAGAAGGATATAGTCCCCATCATCAGGGTCATGCTACACACAGACCCCACCTGTACAAGCACTTCCCCACAATCACTGGGAAGAGCAACAGTAACTGGTATAGGCAACAGGGATTTCCGTTTGAGTCCTGGAAAAGCTTTGTAGTTAGGTATCACAGCCTCTGCAATAGCTAGTTTTTAAACATTTTTGAGCTCTTCCTATGGTCAGGTAATTGATGAATTTATAAGTGTTGCATTATTGAAAAGAACATAAAATCTCTGATAAGTCAAAATGTTTCTTTTATGTAATTATTGGTCCGTATTTTTATTTGTATTAATTTAAATCTTCTTCAGTGCTGTCCAATAAAAATATAATGAGAACCACGTGTTATTTAAAATTTTCTGGCATCCACCTTAAGTAAAAAGAAACTGGTAAGATTAATTTTAGTAGATTTAACTCATCTAAAACATGATATTTTCAACATGTAATCAATATTTTAAAATATTAATGAGCTATTTGACTTTATTTTTTCATACCAAGTCTTGGAAATCCAGTGTATGTTTAACACTTAGAGCACATTTCAATTTGGACTAGCCATCTCTGAATGGTCAATAACCTAGTGACCATTGGCTGTACTACGTGGCTAGTGGCTACTACATTCAACAGTGCACCTGTAAATCCTTGGTTATTTTTTATCTACTTGCGCTATCATTTTTCTTTATACATTTTGAAGCTGTACACAAAGGTTCATGAATGGACAAGAACAAAACAAAAAATGTCTTCTTTGACTATCAATTCTTTTTGGCTTTGAATGCATTTTATTTCCTATTAATATTGGCACAACTTTTTCTTGGTGCTAGCATTTCCTGGGTTAATGTGTATATATTTTTCATTAATTTGTTTTGCAACTTTCCATCACTTTCTTTTTGTACGTGTCCTTTTGAAGAACATATAACTGCATTTTGTTTTGTTACCTAGAGACTTGCTATCTTTTAATGGAAATATTAACCAAATCGTATTAATTCTAAATATTGGTATATTTGGACTTACTTTTTCATATCCTTGTACTTTTTATTTGCTGTGCTTTCTTGTTGTTTCTTTTCTTTTTTTCCACTCCTTACTTTTGCTGGATTAATCAAGACTTTCGGCGTTCTGGTTCCTTTTCTTTTCTTTTGGCAGTTTAACGTTGATATATCCTATTTGTATTCTTTTAATAGTTACCTTTTTTTCAGCAGAAGAAAGCAAATAATTTCCAATGATATGTGACTGTTGGTTGATAACTATTTTAGTTTGTCCTTTTCTGTTAGTGTTACCTTTAATTTTGACTAACTTTAAGTTACACATATATTTTCTACTTGTGAAAAAACTTAAACATTACAAATGTGGTCAAATTCCTCTTTGAATACATCCCCAATACAAGTCCCTTCTCAAGAGATAATGGCTATATTTAAGTTTAAAATATATTTTCTGACTCTCCTCTCTCTCTTTCTCCCTCTATGTATATATACACACACGCACACACGTATGTAGCATGTATGTGTGAATGTATGTACATATGCACCTATACATATGTATGTGTGTGTTTGCGTCCATCCACCAAAAGAAATATTTTCTGTGGCTCCGTTTCTGAATGTATCCTGAAGAAATAGTTGAATAAGTAGGCAAGTATATATATGAAAGAATGTTTCATAACCACATTGTAAAATATTTTAAAAATTAAAACCATCCTAAATATTCATTAATAGGGGATTGATTAAACAAATCATGGTATATCAAAATATTGCATCAAAAATGATGTAATATATTCTTATATCCATTGACATAAAAAGACGACTAGAATATATTCTCAAACTTTAAAAATTCAAGTTACAAACACACACTGACACACATACACATCATCAAAAGGATATTCACCAACATATAGCAAGACAGTGATTCCTTCCAACAGATAAGATTCCAAATGAGCTTTTACTTTCTTCTTTAATATTTTATACTGATCAAATTTTCTAAAATGAGCACATATACATGTTACACTTTTGAAAATATTTGTAAAAACATTACAAAGGTAAAAACCTTATTCCCTTCTTTCCAAAAAATCTTAAATAAAATCCATGTTCCAGGAAAACTTGTGATGTTTATCCAAAGGCTTCTCTTTCTCCCCAGCAGGTGACCTTGGATCCAGAAGACCTGTCCACTAGTTACAGAAGCAGGTTTTTGAAAACTTCCTGGAGATGAGAGAGGATTAGCAGTATGTGCTGCACGTAGCAGAAATCTCCAGCTGTAAATATTTAAGTGTCATTTCGGGTGTTATTTATATATTTGCTCAGCTGTCTGTACTTATGTTATCTGTATCCTAGATGTGTTTTTCTATGTTTTGCCTTAGCTAATGCTCTCCTGGGAAAGAAACAGTCTGTGAAGTCCTTCGCGTAGAATGCCAAGAGAGCATGACAAGCAGTTGGACATTTGAGCAATGCTTTTGACACTCCTGATGAAGATCAATAATTATTTCAAGCACCAATTAGTGCAACTGATGTTCTTAGTGTCATTGAAAGCATGCCTGAGAACAGCTGGAAACCTCCTATTTCTGGTGTAATATCTTTCTCATGGGAATTACACCTGAGATTGTGAGGTTCAATTCTACAGTCATTTCTCTACCCCAGGTATTGTTGCAAAAATGAGCAGCCTCAGTCATCAAGTTCCTAGTCAAATGCAGATTGAACTGAAGCTAATTCAGCTCATCAACATTTAACCTCTGGTCATTCCTCAGTCCTGCTAGAAGAGAGAAAGGTGCTGACGAGAGGCTTTTTAGCTCTATTTTTCACATGGATGAAGAAACCAAGGCCAGTTTCCATTCTCTAAGACTGTAAAAAGAATCCTAGGAGGAGTTTCTCCCCATTTTTTATTGTATTTTATTGTATTTTACTTTATTTTATTTTATGTATATATTTGGTTTTGGTAAAGACGAGGTCTCCCTGTGTTTCCCCGCCTGGTGTCGAACTCCTGGGCTCAAGCGACTCTCCTGGGCACATGGCTCATGTGTAATCCCAGCGCTTTGGTAAGCCGAGGCAGGAAGACCTCCCCATTTTAAAGATGGGGAAGCGGGCCAAGTCAGACAAGCTGTCTCTGATCTGTATGCTGAGGGCATTGTTTCCTGTCTCCAAGAACGGAGCTGTTTTTCCCAGGAATGGCTCTGTCAAGAGTCTATACACAGAGTACTTTTATTAAGGCCACATCAGGACAGCAGCTTAACCAAGCAGGGATGTCAGGGAGGCAGGAGTAGAGGTTGTCAAGGGAAATTTTGTTATCTTGCAACTCTTCTAGGCAGTGGCCAGAAATTGTTTTGAAAGACAGGCTTATGCCCAGGGGACGGAGAAATCCAAGTGTTACAGCTCCTGACCTTGAGGGTTTATGTACAACCTGAACACTAAGCTAATGTGCCATGTATCCTGGGGATGCCAACAATAACAGGTCAGGCTCCTCCATGCCATGCACGTGTGTGTGTGTGTGTGTGTGTGTGTGTGTGTGTGGTAACCATCCTCAAAACAAAGCCACAATTACCATGGTATTTTCTGTGACTCCACTTCTAGGGATGGTTATAGATACTGCTGCTGCATGGTAAGGCTATCAGGCCCTGTGCTGGCATGCAGGAGGTCTCACAAGATCTATCCTGAACCTCCAAGTAGCAAGAGATGTAGGCCATTTCAGATAAAAGCAAGGATGCCTAAGTATTATTATTTTTACATTTCTAAAGGAGTATCTAGAACGTCCCTCACTCCTGCATCCCATGACAGATCTCTCCCATCAGATATAAAGGCAGGCAAATGGTACCAGACTGTGGACTGAATGCAGAAGCTGCTGGCACCCAGCTAGGGACAGCAGATGAGCTACAGGCCTGGCTGAGAGGCACCCGTCTCCAAATCTGGGATTTCCCTGGTCCCTCCTATTTTTCCAAATAAGGAACTACTCTCCCAGTTTGCAGATGCAGAAAATGAGGCCTAGATATAGCAGCTGCGTCCACCTGTTTGTGACGCAGCCAGTGCCCAGAGCTCAACGGAAACTACTAAGATGAGAGTTTGTGCAAGAAAGAGTTGCCCCGTGCATTATCACAGCGCACTCTCGGTTCGCTCTTTGGGGCACCCAACCTGACAAATAAACCTCGTTCCTCTTATGAACATAGAACAAAAATCAAAACGGGATACTTCCAACTCATATCTCATCTCCTTCATACCATTTCTAGTCCAAGCCAAAGCCCCATTTCCCTATTCATAGATGGACTCTCAGACTTCTCCCTCGTCTTCTTCAAGTGAGTTTTGTGAAATGAGATGGAACAGATGAGGATCTTTTTAGTGGTACAGCACTGGGGGCAGGCAAGCCCATTCCTTCACAGAAAATCAGGACAAAATAAAAGCCAAAATCCAAAAGTCTCAGAATTCCAATTCTAGACCTGTGTGGTCCGATCTAGTAGCCACTAGCCACATGTGGGGCCACTGAACACTGGAGAGGTGCTCCATGCAACTGAAGAGCGGGGTTTTTTATTTCATTTCATTTTAATTAACTTAAAGACTGATCATTTTATTCTGTTATTAGAAAGCATAGGTATATATGGGGCAATTTAGGTTTGTAAATGAGCTTCTTCAACCATCAATGTTATGAAATCTAAGTACAGATCGGGTATTTCCAAAGAAAATTTAGTGTCTGAACTTAGATGTGCAATACAGGTAAAATACACACCAGAGTTGGAAGACTTAGAAGGAAAAAAATGTACGGCTCATTATTAATTTTGTATATTGACACATCAATTTTAATGATATATTTTATTTAAAACATATCTAAAATATATTGTGTTAAATAAAATACATCATTGAAATTACTTTCACCTATTTCTCTTTTTTTTTACGTGTGTAAACATGATTCCTGGGAAATTGTTAATTGCATATTCTATTTTTGTTGGTTCACTACCCCAGACGTCTGACGTTCCCAGGGATGGTGCTGCAGAGGGAATATCCTGGTCCAGAGCTCCATTCATCCCTCGCCCTCTCATGTTGCTAAAAGGTCCCTCTAGACCATTTTCCAACTTTCTCTTTCTTCAGTACTGTTTTAATATTACTAACTTCAGGGAATATCAGCTTCCCTTCACCTTTATCTCACCGACAGCGTTGCTCTCCTCTGCCTCCTGGCTTTCGAAGATCCATCTTCTGCTACGAAAAACCCTCGTCTTCACTCCCCATTCTCAATGTTTTCCTTTAACACCACCTTCTCCGGCTTTTTCTGACAATTCCTATCTCTTGAAACAGCTTCCTTGGAGGTGGAGGGGAGAGGCATCAAATCACACGCCTACTCCTTCCTGCCTGTCTCCCACCATCACCCCTTCTTGCTCCTGCTGAGTGGTTCCCACCTCTGTTCTTCCCTCCATCCCACCTTTTCTCTGTTTCACTCACCCTTTCTCGGTGCCGCAGGATCTCAGGTTGGATTTCTAGGATACAGACTCTGCATGGAGATGGAGATCAGCCTGCAAGGGGTCTACTGGGGGCCTGACCAGCTCATGCTCCCCAGACCCGGCAGGCCTCCCTGTGGCGTTCACTCTGGCAGCAGGCCCGAATGGCTAGGTTGTCTCAAGCCACCTGTGCCCAGGTTGCTGAGCTGTTCCAGGCATTCCAGGAGGTCTACGGGGAGGCGGGGGGGCTTACCCCCATAGACCTCACTCACCTTGAGAGAGTGAGGAAAACAGGATTAGGCAGAGACTGAACTTGAACTGCGTTGCTTTCCACAGAGGCCTCGTCAGATCCCTCTGGAAGCTGTGGCTCTGGGGAGGCCCTTCGGAGTCCCCGTGAAGGAAATCAAAGAAATGAACCTTTGTGTCCCTGGATCAACCAACTGGATCCAGGATCCTGATGCCCCCCAAGGAGTGGCAATCTTGTCTACACAACCCACCACTCAAATAATTCTCTTGAAAGCCCCCAGAGATCTCCTGATTTCCAAATCTAAACCTGTTTTCTTGGGCACCTCCTTCCTGGTGTCTCTGTAGCCCAGGCCCCCACTGAACATCCCTCTTCTCCTGAGTTCTTTCACTCTGCACAGTCCCGACCCTCCCACATTGTTTCTCTCATGGGCTCCTTCCCCTCCTTAGACAGCTTCTGTCTTCAGCCCTGTTCTCTCTATCTTTTCTACCCTCTCGCTCCATTTCTTCTCTTGTCAGCCCAACTTCTTTCCAGATGATTCCAAAAATCGCATCTCTTGCCTCAGCCTCTCTCCTAAGAACCACAGGTCATTCCCACTGCATTTGCTGGATGTGTGCCCCTGGAAGAAGGTGGCCTGCTTCTCAAACCCGGCTTGCCCCACACGAAACTCAACCTCACATCACTCCAGGTCTCCTCCAGACTTCAGGTTTTTACCCCCTCACCCCCAGCACACTCCTCCTCCTGCACCGCGCACAGCAAGCTCTGGGGACTCCTTCGCGGCAGCTTCTGCATTCAGGTCTTCATCTCAGGGGACTGTGGCTGTCATCTCCTTCCCGCATGGCCCTGTGCGAAGCCTTTCCCAGCGGTCAGCTGCGGCATTGAGAGCACTGGTGCTCTGGGGCACAGTGGCGTGCTTCGCGTTCCCTGCCCCCCAGTAGCGGCCTCCCTGACCTAGCAACCTGGTATATGGATAACCCGGCTCGCTGCAGTCAAGTTTCAAAAGAACATGGTTGGATAAGCACAAGGCCACCGTTGCTCTGGGAAATAACCCACAATGCACGCCCCACTGCTAGGACAGACCCACTTAGGGACAGCTTTGCACCTCCACTGGGTGCAGGCAGGGACAGCTGGGCCCTACCGTCTACTCTTTTTGCTCCAGATTAGGAAGAATCTTGATTCTCCCTGAGCCCAGGGAATGCAGGGCCGATGGTCCCCAGGACCCTGAGAGGGACAGGGCAGTGATGGGAGTCGCGGGGCGGAGGATGAGGGGAGGGGAGGAAGGGGGCGTGGGGAAGCTCTATGTCATCAAACCTTGTCCCTAAAGTCCCTGGGAACCCCCAGGAGCCAACCTCTCCCAGGGGCCGACCTAGGCAGGAGACAGAGGGATCTGAGAGGGCGGGTAGGGCGGGGGCTGGGGGCTGCGGAGCGCGGGGAGGTTTGAAAGCCGCTGCGCCGCGGCTCATCAAGTCCATCCCTTCCCGCGCTCCCCGCAGGTTTCCCGCAGACAGTCGCACAGTACCCCTCACTCCACTTAATTCGCTCCGCGTGCTCTGAATCACAGAAAGGCAAACTTGCTAACAAAGAGGCGGCCCGCCCGCGTGCGGGGTTCCCGGGCGCGTCCCGCTGGCCAGGTGAGGACGGCGGGCACTGGGCACCGCAGCGGGGCGCGGGGCGGGCTGGAGGCGCGCGGACACTCCCCCGGCCGGCAAGGAAGGGGCGGGCCGAGGCGCGGGCCGTGTGCCGCTGGGTGGCCCTGCGAGCCGCCGCTCTCCGCCTCTCTAGGCTCAGCTTCCATCACCGCGTGGCGGAGCCCGTGTCCGGGCCAGGTGAGCGCGGGCGGCTGCGGCGGGAGAAGCGCGCCCGCGTGGGGTGGGGCGCCGGGGGCGGGGGAGGGAGGCTGGGGGTCCCGGCAAGGCGCCGCCACCTCCGCCGCCCGCAGTCCCTGATGGACCGTGGCGGGGCCGGCGGGCAGGGGGACGCTGGCTGCGGATAGGGGTGGGGCAGGCATCCCGGGGGAGTCGCGGCGCGTGGGAGCACGCGTTGGTGTGTGCAGGGGCCCGCAGCAGGGGGTCCTTAACCACACGCCTGAGTCCGCCTTCTGCACTTGTGCCTTGGGAAGAGCTCTGGGCCTCTGGGGGCCGTGTGCCCTCCCGGGACATGGCTGTCCCTCTTCAAAATGTCACTCTCTTCGCCCACCCTGAATTCCAGTAGCTGCCTCTTGTGCACAAGCATAGCCGACAGGCTCAAACTCGGCTTAGCTAGATGTGGACAGGTCGTGGCTGCCTGCCCCACGCAACACAGAGTCTGCTAAATGCAGGCACCTGCTGTGTGTGGTGCACGTTGTTCCCAGTGGGTCAGGCTGCCTGTACAGGGAGGTCCTGTGTTCCCTGGGCACGTCTGTGCATTTGTGGCAACATGATTATGCAGGCCCTGTCACCTGTTTGTGTGCCCATCCCTGCACATGCAGCTGGCTGGCTCCTATGAAAGGAGGAGGGTCTGGAGGTTTTGGGGTGTATAGCTTTCCTAGGCGATATGTGCAGTGTTAACGTGTGCATTGGCTGGAAAGTGTGAAAGGGAGGCGGCTCAATTGGGTTCGGCCGGACAGCATCTTAACATAGGTCTCAGCTGCTGTGTGTACAGGAATAGTGTCCCAGGGGTCTGCAGTGTGTGGCAAGTATTCTGAGGTGGGGTTGTGAGAAGAGGCGGCTTCTGAAAAAAGTCCTAAGTGCACTCTGGGGCATCGGGTGTATGCAGGCGGAGGGTGGGGTGGCAGGAGAATGAGGGTGGTATTAGGCCAGGGTGTGTTCGATTTGGGGGCAGCTTGTAGTGGAAAGCAGCAGCTGGAGTCTGGAGACCTGGATTTGAATTGGAACTTAGTGGTTGTCACTGTGTCATTCGCTTTGTTGCCTGGAAAGGTCGTCTGGGGCTCAGTTACTCTGTGTGCAAAATGGGACTGATAATCACTGGCTTATCTCCCAAGGAGGCTGGAAGCTCCCATTGGTCAATGCCTGAAAGTGCTTTGGCAGCAGTAAGGTTCCCAGGGCCAGGGGCACTGCTGGGCCACAGGTGCAGAATTGGTGGTCTGGGGAGTGCTTGGGTGGCCTGGAGCTGTTTGGTTTGTGGATAGTAGGCGAGCCATTTGCAGGCTGCTTCCTGTCATATTCAGCACAGCAGGAGTGTCTGACTCTTGCGTGTAAAATATGTATAGACCTGTGTAGTTTCTTATAGTTCTTGTATGAATGCCTTCTATAGCACAGGAGGAAAACTGGCTTTGCTGTCTTTAAATCGCCCTGGAGCACTTTGCCTTTCCAGAGAGCCATCCTCCAGATGAACCAGTGGGCTTATGCCCACCATCTTGCTTTTACCTTTATGCCAAATGAAGCAGTAAGGAACACCCTCCTGTTTGCAGCCGGAGAGATAGGAGATGAAGAAGCGTTCCCAGCCAAGGTCACAGATCTAGGGTGTCAACTGCAGGCCTCTGTCTTTTGCGGTATAGAGCCTTCAGATCCAGAGCCAGCCCTGGCCCCAGCTGAGGAGGGGAGGGGAGGGGAGGGAAGAGTCACGCCAGACAGCACCAAACAGCAGGACATGGTTTGGTGGTTTATCTGCCCTTGGATGTCACCTGTCACTGATAATTTTTTTTTTTTTTTTGAGATGGAGTGGGATTACAGGCGCCCGCCACCACACCTGGCTACTTTTTGTATTTTTAGTAGAGAAAGAGTTTCACCATGTTGGCCAGGCTGGTCTCTAACTCTTGACCTCGGGCGATCCACCTCCCTCAGCCTTCCAAAGTGCTGGGATTACAGGTGTGAACCATTGCACAGGGCCCACTGAGACATCTTTGTATGTGGTAGCTGTTTAGTAATGTCTGTGAAAGCGAAGAGCCCTGGGTGGAGGATGCTGGAAACCCAAGTCAGGTCCCAGCTGTGCCCCTGCCCGCCATGTCCTGGGGAAGGTTGCTTTGCCTCACTGGGTCTGCTTCCTCATTGGTCCAAAACAGGGCATCTTTCCAGATTGTCATTCTGATCTCAGCTTGTGTTTCACTTCCTCAGAGAGGCCTGTCCTTATCCCCATCTAAAGTGGCCACCTCCTCGTCACGTTCACATCACTTCCGTGATCTGTTTCCTCTGTGGCACGGGCCACCCTTTCTGAACTTCCCTTTGCCACGTCCTACTACAGTGTGAGCTTAATGAAAGCGGAGACTGCGTTTGTCCTGTCACCTGCTGGCTCACCAGCACCTAGACACAGTAGGTGCTCAAGAAATATGGTTGTGTGAATGAGTGAACAAAGAGGTTAACAAGGGGCTGGGGATGATGCATGCCTGTTTTTCAAACTGTGCTCCTAGGAGCTTTGGACGGGGAGAGCAAGCCCCATGGCCCTGGATCCCTCACACCAGCAGCTTGGGGTTCATCTAAGTTACATGCCGGCTTCCAGGTAGGATTTCCTTTGAAGAAAGTGTTCTCCCACTAAAATAAAACTAGAAAGCCATTGCACCAGAAGACTTCAAGGGGTCTTTTCATCTTTTCAGCTCCAAGTTGAAACAGTTGTACGGCACCTGGAAGTAATGCACACTTGGCCTTCTGTGAGGGTCACAGGCAGGATTCACGCACACAGAGTGGTTGTTCCTCGGCTCATTTCGGTTTGGCCATGGCATTGATCCACAGCAATTTTTATGCAACTGATTTAATTTCCTGAATTTTTGGTTGGAGTTAATATGAAAACGATTTTGCATACAATACGGTAGCAAGGGCTATGTGGGAACTCTGATCCATGGGAGAGACAGGCCCTGGACAGGGAAAAAACACAAAACATCTGCAAGGTGGAGAAACCACACATGGATATTTGATAGCTCCTTATTTAAGGTGACTGTGTTTGTCGTCGTCCTCTGTTGGGTATGTTCCCAGGCAGCCTGCCCAGATGTGCCTCATCCCCAGGAGATGCCCACTCAGCATTGTCTTGCTTGAGTAGTTGGCAGTGCAGGGGAGCTCTGCTCTCTGGGCGAGTGCTGAGCCTGCAGGACAGCCACGTGGTGCACCAGCCTTGGCCTGTATTTACAGCAGCCATGCATCCTAGGGTTTCCAAGCTCGTCTCCATGTAAAACATTGTCTCGTGCTGTTTTTTTCTATAAATACACTTGGAAATGGTAGGGCAACTGCTGTGTCCAACACTGTGCCCAGGTTTGGGGCACAGAACCTAGATTACCTCTCCCTTTTCTTCTTTTCTTTTTTTTTTTTTTGACAGAGTCTCACTCTGTCGCCCAGGCTGGAGTGCAGTGGTGTGACCTCGGCTCACTGCAAACTCCACCTCCCGGGTTCACGCCATTCTCCTGCCTCAGCCTCCCGAGTAGCTGGGACTACAGGTGCCCGCCACCACGCCCGGCTAATTTATTTGTATTTTTTTAGTAGAGACGGGGTTTCACCATGTTAGCCAGGATGGTCTCGATCTCCTGACCTTGTGAGCCACCCGTCTAGGCCTCCCAAAGTGCTGGGATTACAGGCGTGAGCCACCGCGCCTGGCCATTACCTCTCCCTTTTCTAAGCCCCATGCGAGGAGCATTACTGGCCATGCCCGCAACAGACAAGAGGGCATCATTGTTTTGTTTGGTTGGTTTAGGAGGGCTATTAAGGGAGATTGTGGAGACAAATGGAGAGAATATGGGAGCAAAGAACTGGGCCCTCTGTTCACTCCTTTTGACACTCCTTTGCTTCTTGTACATGTCCCCACTCTGGCTGACTTTGGTGTGTTTCTGGACTCACACACCACAGCACAGATAGAGTTGCAGAGGGGGCAACAAATATACACTGTGCACAAATATTCACCAAGTGTCTGCTATAAGCTTGAACCTCCAGGCCCTAAGAAATGCATCAGGACCCAGCCCCTGAATGCTGAGTGCTAGTTGTTGAAGAGATTAAACTTACACCCAAGAATAGGTGAGAAAACAGCCCAGTGCAGATTGAGTGGCACCCACCTGGCCACACCTGGAGCTCCCAAAAAGGAAAGGTGGGCAGAGCCTGCAGGCGAAGGCAGCAGGCAGCAAGGGTGGCAGGAGAGCTCAGCTGTGGGGGTAGATGGTCCAGGCGTGGATCCTGGCTATGCCCCTTCCTCTCCGTGAGAACTTCCCTGTGTTATGTGACCTCACTAAGCTTCAGTTTCCTCATCTGTAAATGGAGAAAATGACCTGTAACTCCTAGTGAGGTGCATGGATGCCTGCCTGAGCTGAACTCAGTAGAGGGTATGGAGCACCCAAGTGTCTGATGACCACAGTGAAGTGGTTTGGAAAAGGGCCCATGGTGAGGAGGGGGCTCTCAGATGGTGACCGCTATGGGATTGTCTGATGCTGGTCTCCTCTGTCAGTAGTCCAGAGGTCTGTGACCTCCTGCTGGTTAGGCCCCAGGCCAACCAGGCACCCCCTTTCTTCCCTTTCCAACTGTTACTTCCATGCTACTCCCCACAGACAACTATGGGAAGGAAAGTGTCTGCACCCCAACAGCCTCCTCTCCCTTCCTCACCGCTCATGTGCAAGCGCATGGCCCTGCTTAGAGCTGAAGTGTCCTTATTGTGAAATGCCGAAAATTGAGGATGTTACAGAGGCTCAGGAAATGTTCGGGAGAATTGCTTTGATGGTTCCCCAGTCTGTTCTGAAGCATTGAGTAGGGGCCCCCATTGATGGTGGCGTGGGATAAACCCTAGTGGCTCTCAGCCTCGTTCCAATTTACTATTGCTAAACATGGACTTCATCGTTTGAAAGACTTTTGTCAGCCAGACTTCCATATAAATGAGAATTTGACTCTGTATCTTTAAAATATTAATGAAAGGCCATATCACTAATAGTTTGGTTTTACTATCCAGTGTCTAGCTTTCTGCTTTATATCATTTACATTTTTAAAAACATCAGTTTAGGTCATTTACTAACAGAATTCCAGTGTGTTTAAAAGGCTCAGAAAGGGGCCGGGTGCAGTGGCTCATGCCCGTAACCCTAACACTTTGTGAGGCTGAAGCAGGAAGATCGCTTGAGCCCAGGAATTCAAGACCAGCCTGGGCAACAGAGCAAGGCCCCGTCTCCACAATAAGAAACATAATTCTATTCTCAGGTAGTGTTGAGGACTATTATTCTAAAACCAGGGTACAGGACAAAGGTCAAAACCCTACTACTTATCTATGAAAGGCAGCTATGAAAGAGAAATCTCTTTATAGCATTTCAAGAATATTTATGGAAACTTAAACTTCTACTTGCCAAAAAGGCTGTACAGTCTAGCTACCATACCGGCTATGTGGTTAAATAAGATAATGTAATTTTTTTTTCTAACTGACCTCAAACAAACAGGACAACACAGCTCACCTCTATCCTTTGTACTTTTTTCTTCTGAACCTTTTTTTTTTTCTTAAAATTTTTTTGAGTCTCACTTTGTCACCCAGGCTGGAGCACAGTGTCTTGATCATGGCTCACTGTAGCCTCAACTTCCCAGGCTTAAGCCATCCTCCCACCTCAGCCTCCAGAGTGGCTGGGACTACAGGCATGTGCCACTACGCCCAACTAATTTAAAGAATTCCTTGAAATGCCTAACAATAAGTTAAGAGGGATGAAAGGAAAAGGGAACTATCCATGACCCTATTTTTTTTTCCTTCTATGTCATCATTTTGGCGTTAGTGGTTGGTTAAAGCAGGAAGCAACACAAATGAGAAAGGATAGGATATCATAAGATTCCTCGGTTGTTCGTGTTTCTTAGAATGTATATCTTTCTGCATTTGAACAAAGTTCTGATTCCAACATAGAGTGTGGCTTTTCAGTGCTGTGAACGACCTGTTTACTCTGTCGCAGAGATCTTGTCTTGGGCTCACTTTGAGGTTCTCTGAGCTCCCATGCACTGTGGATCCCTGGAATTCTGTGCTCACAGGCATCGTGAACACCATATGCAAATAGAGAGCAGGAAGGCACGGACACACATATGCACATGTCTTCAGCTAATGTTCATGTCCCACTGTCCCACTGGACTTCACTTATGAGACACAAGTTCAAATTTGAAATTATCAAGAATTTCAAGATGCCAACAGCAGGACATTAAACCAAATGCAGGGTCCTTCCAAATGTGAGCCTGTGAGCCCACACATGTTGCACACCCATGAAGCCAGCCCTGCCTCAAGGCTTTGTGGTCACATTTTTAAATGGTGGCCCAGTTAAGGCAACACAAGTCCTTTCAACAGGTGGGCCATCCAAGGGCCCTAGGATTCAAGTTAGTCATTTGTATGTTTAGAAAATGATGGAGGCTTCCATTTCTATTAATATATCCAGATCTCCACCCTCCTGCTTTACGTCATTTACATTTTTAAGAGCTTAGGTGTTTTACTAACAGGTTCTAAAAGCAAATGATCGGAGTAGAGGTGGAATTGTCCATTTTGTCTGTCTGAGATTTGGAACAGATTGAAAAGTAAAAAACTTCTAGGAGTTCTTAGGCCCATTCAGATACTCACTTGCTGTTCTAGGCATGACCATTTTTATACCAAAGCTGAGCAGATAGGTTGGGATGAGGCAGGGCAGGAGGGAAGGAGGGAGTGGCTTAGTTATTGAGGGAGTACTCTTTGGGAGAGAAGAGAGGCACAAGGAAGAGGATGTGAGAAAGTGCCAGATAACTCCGCATTTGGGGATCCTTTTTTGTACATGCAGAGGCTTCTAAGCCAGGCTTTCCAGAAGAAAGAAACTCCTCTGTGTGGAGAGAGAGGGTGAGACAGGAAGTTAGAACTGGAAGCACTGGGAGAGAATGAAATCCTAGAAAGGCAATTAACACTTTCTGACAGCACTGAGCAGATAGCTAAGGGCTTTCAACTCGCAAGTACAGGGAATCAAATGCTAGTACACTGAACCAGAAAGGGGGCGGAGGCAGAAGGAAACCCCTCTCCTCTTTTTCAGAAAGGAGAACTCGGTTAGAAAGAGCAGTGATGGGTAACAGTAAAAGTTTGGTAAGGAGAAGCCACATTTGCATTGTACCTTTAATTCGTTTAAATTATCCACATTCACCTTGGTTTTAATTTATTGTATAAATAATGCTAATTGTGAGTAGCTATTTTCACCATTAAATTTGACAGATACGTGCCTGGTTGATGCAAATTCTCCAGGGCTCCAAAACTGTTTTTACGCTATGACCTGAAAGCTAAGAATTATTTTTTACATATTCGAAGATTTGAAACAAACAAACAAAAAGCAAAGAAGAATATACTGCAGAAACCGTATGTGGCCTGCAAAGCCAAAAATATATACTAACAGGTCCTTTATAGAAAAAGTTTGCTGACCCCTAATCTTTCCCGCATCAGCCTGGGGTTATCAACACCTAAGTCAGTTCAGTGCATGACACTGCTGTCTCTCTGAGTACCAGCCTCTGAGGTCCCAATTTAATTCGCCTGGGGTGCAGCCTGGGAATTGATTTTTTTTAACCCTCAGGTGGTTCTAGTGGACATCTGAGGTCAAAAGTAGTTCTAATACAGTAGTTCCCAAAGTGAGGTCTGGGACCAGCAGCATCAACATTGCTTGTTAAACGCAAAATCCCAGGCCCTACCCCAAACCTGCTGACTCAGTAACTCTTGGGAGGGGTCCAGCAACCTACCAGTGTGCATTCAGGTGATTCTGAAGCACGTTCAAGTTTGAGAACACTGCTCTAAGGCTTGGCCTTTCAAACTTAAAGGCCGTGCTCATGGTTGCTCATGGCAGGCAAACCTCACGAATGGGTCAGGTTGAAAGCACGGAAGCTGACGAGGGGGAACCGAAAGGCTTCAGGTCTGAGCTTGGAAATAACCACAGTTGTTCTCTTACACATAACTGAGGCCCTGGGAGGTGAAGTGAGCTGCAGGAACCAAAGCTTGGGACAAAATAACTCCACCAATGATAATAATGAATTCCTCCCTAGAAAATTATCATTTATAATACTTTTAACATTGGGCTCTATTTTTCATTATTACATGTATATTTATCTTTTAATGTTAGTATATTAATTTACAGAAGGTACCCACTTGGTAAACAAGGATTTAAACACAACTTTGAACTATCTTGAAATAATTTAAATAAATGTTATACATGCCTGGGAAGTAGGAAAATTGGACTGCTGACTTTCACCTCGTAATTGATGGGTGAATTCTGTTCTCCTAACCTCCCCCTATGGGAGGACAGATTCCCACAGGGTACTTGGCCCCAGTTTCCTGCCCTCCAGTGATGTAGCCTGTGGGGCAGTTATAAGAATGTAATAAGAATTACACTGAAGGCCTACCACGTGCCAGGCACAGTACGAGGTGTTAACATACATTATCTCCTGTAATCATTACAACTCTCTAAAGTCAGCGTTATTATCCCCATTTTATAGTTGTGAATGTTGAGGCACAGAGAGCTTAAAGACCTTCCCCAAATCCCAAAACCAATAAATGGCAGAGCTGAGATTCAAACCCAGGGAGGTCTGGCCTCAAAATAGGCGGGACTGGAGGTAGGGAAGCTTGCCTGTGATCAGGCGTGATATGGCATTTCAGTTAATCTACACTAGTTGAGTTTATGAATACGCAAAGTGATCTTTCCCAGCCCTCCCAAGTCTTGCCCATTTTCCTGGGTTTCCTTGGCAAGAAGTGAGTCCACACCATACAAAGGTTGGATTGCTGATGTGCTCATCTTAGAATCCAGGGACCAGAGGCACTTGGAGCAACCAGAGATCTTCTGTCCAGGTTGTCTAGAATGCCATCGCTACCAACAGAGCTGACTGGGTCCTTAAATTCCTCCTTCACTTTGGAAATTAGCAGTCAAGGTGGTGTATAAATATTACACATTATCATCCTCGTCAATAATAATGAGGCAGCCTTTCAGATCTTCGTGTCTCCAAAGCGCTGTGTGCTCATTAGCTTCTGATGGCTTAGTATCGTTATCCTTGGTTACAGCCACAGACAATGGGAGCACAAAGGCCATGACCCCGGGGGGGTAACACTGTAAGTCCACAGTCCTCCCTAGCCTGGAGCACTGGGCTGAGAATCAGAGATACGGATTTGCATCTCAACTCTTCTCAGACTTGATCGACTTGAGAATGGAGAAATGACATCCACCCTCTTGGTCTCTTTAGCCAAAATATGAGAGTGGGCTGATTTCTAAGGTTCCTTCTCCATGTGAGACAGGCAGGCAGCTTTCTAAACCTTGGAAACAATGGGGCGTGAGTGATGATGGTGGTGGTGGTGTGACGAGTACATGATGAAGGAGCTGATTTGGGCACTCTCTAGGGTATTCTGATGCCAAGTTGGTTTCTATAACATCCTCCCTCAACAACTCATGGAACTAAAAATCTTCCTTTTTTTGGAAAGAATTGGGGTAACAGTGTGGGAGTCGTTGGTTAATCGCCATGTGCGTTCATTATTTCCTTGCCCAAAAAGGTCAAGCATCTTTTTACCAGACAAGTATCTGTGTGCTTGGCTCTCTTGCAAGCAGAAGATTCTAATGCTTTCCAAAGGGATTTCTAAGTCCCTAAAATACATGTTTTCACAGACCTGAGATGGAGAGACATGGTTTATTTGTCAGGGAGCTTAGCAACTTCCAAGCTCTTTTCAATAAATCACATCACCTTCGGACTTAAGACCTAACAGATTTACATCCAAGTCCCAAAGTGAACATTGGAATTCAAATCTGGATGCATCAGTGTTCTCTCCCTCACCCTCAACACAGATTTATCAGCCAGAGTGGTGTGGGAGAAGGCAGGCTGGGCCAGGAGTCTGGACACCTGGGCTACCTGGCTTCTAGCTCCAGCTCGGCCTCTAGTAACATCTCTGGAGCCCACTGGGTTTCTGAGCCTGCACCAGGAAAATAGTCTACTCTTGGGAGTTGACAGTTCAGGCCTACACAAAAAAAGAAGGGTTCCACATCAGTGGTTCTTACCCTTTTTGAGTGAGGGAGTCACAAACCCCTTTGGAGATCTGCTAAAACCTGTGGAACTGCAGCACATACATAGTAAAACTCTTCATACCATCTCAGGGGCCCCGAAGTTATAATTCCCTGCAAGGAATGGTCTTTTAGTCTCATTGCTAAGCCATGGTATCCTGTTCCAGAGACAAGACAGGCACTATTTTGAAAGCAAATGAGAAATTGTACAAATCCTTCTGTCTGGGAAAGAAGATGAGTTTTTAAGTTATTCGGACATTGTTTATTCAATTCCTGCTGCCAGGAAGGAAATGTCGCTGCCTTTCCTATTCCCAGCGGGCAGGTTATGAATATCCTTAAGCATGAAATGTCGTGCATGAGGAAGGCTTTTGTGGGAGAGCTCCTCCTTCCACCCCGCAGTAAACTCTTCTCCAGCCTGGCCCATCCTGCCAAAGCCACAGAACATCCAAACTGCCACTATCCCTTGCTGGGCTGCTGCTGTGTGCTGGGGAGGGGCAGCTGCACATCCAGCCAGTACTTACTGAATTCAGGCACCGGCTGGGGCATCACGGTCACTCTCTCGGGGATCCTCAGCCTTTGATCCCCACTGGGCAGAAGACACTGGCTCAGGTAGATCAGAAGACCTGCCCAAGGTCCTGCAGCTGGCAAGGGTGACATTAATTTTCCCTCCATGTGTGTGACATCCCAGCCCCTGAAGAAAACACCAGAGAGCCAGGCTCACATTTATGTTCACCCACCTCCTGGCACCAGGGATGGGGAAGGGGACAAAAGCCACACTTCTGCCTGTGCTCAGGATGGTGTATGAGCTGCCCTACAGAGGACCTCTCCCTGAAGCTTGTGGGTGTCCTCTGCAGCATCCAACCAGAGTCATTTCCCAGTGGCTGCAGCTGTGGACCTGGGGGGTGCTGCTCTGGAGACCCCACCCTAGAAGGGGCAGCAGTGTTATTGAGGGCCCCCTGTCCTAGGCTCTGAGTCCTCTGCATCAAGCCTAGTGGAGAGCTCTTGGTTCAGACCAGTCTGAAAGCTGGGATCATTGTTGATCAGGGGCATGGACGTGCCTCCCACATCCTCTAGACAGCCTTGAGGATCCATGGTCTCTGTGCCTTCCCTTCACCCCTGTACACAGCAGTGAACACTCACCTTGGCCCCTGAGAACAGAGACGCATGTGGGCCTCCAGCTCCAGTCTGGGTCCTAAACCCAAGCCTGGGAGGCTGCTGGGCCTGCAGTGTTGTCTGCTTCTGCCTGGCTTCCTGGGGGACTGTGGATGTTGCTGTCAGCCTCATGGTTACCCAGCCCTCTGGCCTTCTGGAGTTTCTGCAAGGCACCAGCCTCCGGCTACTGGCTGGACCAGCTTGGATGGACAGCAGAGTGACAGGGAAGACCCCCTTCAGATGTTTCTGTCCTAGCTCCAGGTCTGAGGAGCAGAGCAGAGCTGATCTGAAAGGACTCCCATTGTAAAATGGTTACAATGGTAACTTTTATGTTGTGTGTATTTTATCCCAATAAAAAGAAAGAAATGGAAAGGGGTTGGGACCAGGTTGGAGGTCAGCAGAAGCTGAATATTGTCTATGAAATGAAGGGCTTCTCCATGGTCTTGGAGGCCACCTTCAGTTCTAAAAGTGTCTTGTGAGTCTGTGATATGGTCCCAACTCTCCCCACATTTTAACCATAAACAAGTGTGGAGTGATGATAGGCAATTGAAGAATGGAAAAGCTGCTGGCTGCCTGTTGGTCTCCTAGAGTGTCCAAGCAGGAATTTTGTGGTCCCAGCTTTGGGGTCGGTGGCGGAGGGAGACAGTGGTCAGAGGAGCTTAAATGAGTGGAGAGGAGCTTAAATGAGTGGAGAGGGGCTTAACACACCCCTTCAACCAGAGGGGCTCTGCTTTATCTTTTTGATATATCGAGGCTCTACATAAAAACTTATTTGAAAGAATCTACTAGAACACCAACTTTCTCATTGTACAGATAAAGAAACTGAGGCACAGAGGGAGGTGGTGACTTGCTCAAGGTGCTGGCAAGTAGAGAAGGCCTCCTGAATCTAGACCCCATCCCCAACACCTGGGCCTTTGCTTGCCCCTGCGATCGTGTCCTCTGCCTTTATAAACACAGCACATCAGTTAGCGGACGGCCCTGTCCCTAGCATCACTTTGGCAATTCCCCTTTCTTTGATCATCATGGGAAGTGAGGACTTCCTCAGCCCCTGCCCCTCCCCTGGGATCCAGAAGCACACATTCTTCCCCAACCAGATTCCCTCTTGCCAAGCACTGGCCTTCACTCGGGGGCGAGGAGGGGAGGTGAGCAAGCAGCTCCCGCATGGACATGGACAGGGCCTCTTTACATGTGGCTCCGCACGGGTGAAGAAAAGATGGGCTCTTCTCTATGGAAATCGTAGATCCATTCTCCAAGTATGGGAAAAATTATAGACTGTTTCCTTCCCTATATTTAAGCTCATTCAAGGGAGCAGTAAGCATATTAGTATATTTCTGAAAGGTGTTTTGAAGACCCAGTGTGTCAGAATTAAAACTCTGTGCTCTTAGTGTAGAAAGCCAGTGATTTTCATGAGTGAGCTTAGGGTCTGTCTTCTCACCATCGGTTTCCTCTGCCCCTCTAGCTAGGTCCACCCCAGCAGGTGGGCAGCCTGGGCCAGCTTCCATGGACTGACTGCAGGGCAGACTGGACAGCCCTTGACTGTCCTAGACAACTTGGCCTCCGCTGTGGTCTTGCAGAATTACAGGAAATCGATTAATACATGCCCAATTCTCCCTTCAGATAGCTGGGCTGCTAAGTGTATTTTTAGAATTCATTTAAATAAATGCTCATTCCCCAACCCCAGACTCTGGTTTATAACCCACTGGGCCATTTGGATTTCTTTCATTTAACCTCATAATTGGTGACTCTAATTCTCATAATCTGGTGGTCCCCTTTTGCTTACAAAGTCCACGATCATGAGCCTGAACCATACCTTCCCTTCACCTTCTTTGCCTAATTCCTGCTCATCCTTAAAAACCTACGTCCATAGTTCCCTCTTCATCCCTCCTGCACACGTTTCCCCCTGAACTTCATCCATTGTGATGTTGACGTGTCCGTTTTTCCAGCTGTGAGCTATCGGAGTTCAGAGACAGCGTCATTCATTCCCTTCTCTTCATCTCCAGGACCTATGCCACATAGTGAGGCCTAGGATGTTCAATAAATTAATAGATTAATTAACTAGTTAATCTCAGAGGGGAAAACAGATACATGAACCTTCAGCAGACCTTCTGCAATGCTGAATGAGGAGGGGAGACGCAAGCAGGGCAGCAGTGAGAAGAGTGCAATAGGCAGATTTGCAGGGTGTTCTTTGAGGAGAGCTGCAGAAGGGGGTGTCTTGGTAAAGCATTGCATGTTGGGGAGGGAAGTGGTGACACTGAGAAAAAGGGGTGAGCATTTCACAGGCGATGGAGCGTCACTTACTGAGATTAGGAATAGGGGATGAATGGGTCGCAGGGAGATGTTGTTGACTGCGTTTTGGGCGTGCTGAATGGGAGGGACCTGCAGCCATGGGAGGGAGCCTGCAGCTCAGCAGGGTTTTGAGTCATCAGATTGCTGGAGGTGGATGGGGTTGGGCATGAATGGGGGTGGCAAAGAACAAAAAATGTTCCCCACCTCACCCTGGAGGGAGTGCCAGCCTTAAAGGGGTAAGCCAGGAAGAAGACGAGTGGTTGAGGCCAAGGAAGAGAGGACAAAGCTGGAGACTTGGAGGTCATGATGTTCAGATCAAGGCAAATTAGAAACTCAGGAGAAGAACGAGGTGAGAATGTACCACGAAACCAGCAGTGGAGAGAGGGTCTTCAAAAGGAAGGTGTGATCAGTGCTTCAAATTCAGCAGAGGTGAAGCGGGAGGAGGTTTGAAAAGCCACCTTTGGCTCTGGCAATGACAGTAACTTTGGGATGAGTAGAGTGGGCGCGGAGGTCAGACAGTGGTGGGGTGCAGGATGACTGGACAAAGAAGTAAAGCTTCAGAGGAAGAAAGATCTGGCAGTAACTCAAGAGGGAGACAGGATCCAGGAAACTGTGGGTGACTTGAGAGACAGCATGCATTCTGATGAGGCTGAGCTTTGCAGTCTTACAGCTGAGATTCTATCCCGGCTCTATGTACTAGTCTGATTAAGGACTAATTTGTTGCTCCTAGAGCTGGAGCTAGAGTAGGAGCTCTTTTTCTTTTCTGAGAGGAACATTTATACAGAGAAGACTCTGACCACCAAGGGTATGGGTCAGTTTAGAGCAAAGGCTAAGGTACTAACTCGGAGACCCAATAAAACAGTAGCTTAGAAAAAACAAAGTTTTTCTATCTCTCTCTCTCTCTCATCTTACAGTCAGGGTAGGCAAGCTGTTCTGCTCCACACAGTCATACAGGGATCCCGGATCCTGCCATCTTGTTTCTGTACCATCCCCGAGGACAGCGTGTGTCTCCAAATGTGGCCTCCAGACAAGCAGCCCTAGTGTCACCCAGAAACTTGTCATAAATGCAAACTTCAGGCACCACCCCAGACTTACTGAATTAGAATCGCTGGGGGTGGGGCCAGCTGCGGTTTCAGAAGTCCTTCAGGTGATTCTAATGTACCCTTAAGCTTAGAAACACTTCTCTGAGGTGCTGTCCTTGTCTGCATGGTTGAAGCTGGATTTCAGACATATCTCTGTCGCAGTTCTCAGGAAGGGAAAAGATTGTGGTGATGTGTAGGGACAATGTTTTAAGGTCCAGGCATGGAGACGTACTTCCACTCACATTCCATTGTCAAGAACTACTATATGCCCAGATCTAGCTGCTTGAAGGGTTGGGAAATGCAGTCACTGGTTAGGTGGCCATGTACCCAGTTACAGCTCCATTATAATGGAAGAAGAGAAGAACAAATTTTGGGAGATCACTAACAGTCTTGGCTACTTGAATCAAACTTAAGTTAAGTTTAATGCCAATTCCCATCCTTTGGAAGAAAGAGATCTACCTACAGATCACAGTTAAGGCCTATCTATTTAAAGGGATCCATGAGGGTTTTCTTGTCAGGTGTACCAGCCTCCAAACCCTCACTGGACATGAGCAGCCCAACCCTTAGTCACCTACCTTACCTGCTCATCCGAGACACATTGTGCTGCCCAGTTCCTGGTTGGAAACATCCAATAAAAGGATTTCATCCAGCTGGCCCCATCCGAAAGAAGGCACCCCGGCTTGGCAGGGAAGGATGGGTGGTAAAGAGGTGTTGGTTTGCTGGAAATGAGAGCTAGAAGAAGATAAGCAGCTTGTCCAGTGAGCAGCTAGGTACTTGCTGGGCGTTTATGCACACCTGCACAGACTGTGCACTGCACAATTCCAGGGGCAGCCATTCACAGTCACTCTGATGTGGATAGCTCCCCCTGGAGTAGGGTGATGCAGGCACCTGTGTCTCAGCCATGTCCCACCCTCTGCTGAACCTCAGCACGCTGGGGTCTTGGGCACTCCTGTTGCTGCTGCTCATTGCCTTACAGATCAGGGTGAGCTCAGGCTCACCCTGAATGGGCCACTCCTGAAGCCTCCATCCTTCCTCTGAACAGCTTCTCAGGAGGAGTCTCAGTGCTTCATGGACCAAGCCTGGACAGATAAATCAGTTCTGCATGGGGGCAGCTTTTCTTCCCTCCTCCAAGTCTACTAAAAGCCCAAACCTGAGAAGCCTTGACCTTGGCATCAGCAACACCTGGGCTTGATTCCTGGGTCTGCCAGCAGAGCCTCAGCTCCTCATTTATAAAACAGAAGCAATAGCAACTACCTTAGTGAGTTATTGAAACAGTTAAATGAGAAACTTGGCCCATATGAGGGCCCCACCACTATTTATGGCTGAAGCTGCAGGGGGCTGGGCTTTCCAACTACTGGCCAGTGTCTGGAGGACGTGCAGGGGGTCAAGGTGGCTTCTCGGGGCCCTAAAACACCTTGTCTGCATGACTAGGAAATCATACATTTCTGGAACAGGCAGGGTGACCTGCCTTCCTTGGATCTGGCATGTGTTTACTTAATGAGCTACTTTCAGATCCGACACACGCACACTGTCTCTCTCTACCAGCTGTCTGTGATGCTGGGTTCTGCAGCAGGAGAAGGAAGCCACTTGTGTTTGCCACACTGAGATCTCACTGTTGGTGGGCCTTAGGGGCACTGGGCTTTCCCAGCCTCTGCTGTGGGTCCATCATTAAGACCTGGAGCAAAGGCAAAGAAAAGAAGGTGTAGAGCTAGGAGAAGGGGGTCCACTGCATGTTCATTTCCGATACCTCTCAGAGCTGTCCCCTCCTGCTGTGGGTTTCTTCTGAGGTCTGACTGCTCTACGGAAGTGTCTGATTGTGCCTTCAGGTGTTTCCCATCAAGGAAACTGTCTTGTTCCCATTTGTGCCTCGTTTGGATTATTTTCAAAAAGATATTCTACTTTGATGTACAATGGATATAGGTCTGTGTTTCTCATCTGAGGCTGACATGGAAGAAGCAGGGAAAAAAGAAGAAGATGCAAAGAAGGCAGAGAAAGCTCAGGGAAAGCTCCTCTTTCTGTTTTCTTTGACAGGTCTCCTGAGGAACCGGGTGAGAGCAAGATGGGGTGAGAGGTATTTATGTAGCTCTCCCAGAGTTCATGAGCATTCACGTGGCTCTTCAGTGCATTTGCTCATTCGTTCACTCATTCATTCAGCATCGGACACCAATACATGGGGTGCTGTGTTGGGTGCTCAGGACCCCAGAACTTAGCTCAGATGTTGTCAAGTAATGTAGTTAAGGGGCATGCCTTGGGCTTCATTCGTGGGGGTTGGTGACCATGGGGTATAAGAGCAGGAAGTGGGTTGGAGATACCTTTAGAATATGGAGGAGATGGGGCAGAAAGATTCAGAATGTTGTTGACAAGCAGTGTAACATCATGATGAAGAGCCAGGACTTAACACCCAGCCGGGACATTTTTGAAGTGAACTGGAGCACTGCTCTTAATTATGTTGACAATAGGTGCAAAGCAGGATTAATCTCTGTCTCTCTTTCCCCTTCTGTAACGTGGGGAAGATGTATGTGCCTACCTTAAAGGGTTGTGAGGATTAAAAGAGATATTACTTACAAAGGACAGTTGATCCTTGAATAGCACGGGCTTGTTGAACTGTGCAGATCCACTTCTATTTTTCAACCAAACATGGATGGAAAATACAGTATTCACGGGATGCAAAACCCAATTATATGGAGAGCCGGCTTTTCATGTATGTGGGTTCTGCAGGGCTGGCTGCAGATCTTGAGCATGTGTGGACTTTGATTTACAAGGGGGTCCTGGAACCAATCCCCCATGTACGCCGAGGAACAACTGTACTAAAACCATACCTGACACACCACAGTTATTCCCGGGCTCACAAGGAAATGCGCAAAGATTTAAGTGATAGAGCAATGGCCCACAACTCCTGCGCTTGCAGTAAGTCTTAGAGTGGGAAGTATCTTTACCCAACCTGGTAAAGAAGATAGTCATTCCAGTTTTATGGATGAGAAGAGCCAAGGCCGAAAGTCACAAACAGGTTAGAAATGGAAGCGAGACCAGAACCCAGGTTCCTAGATATAAGCTCAGCCCCCCTTACATTGCAGAATTGGGGATAGGGTTGATCAGAAGAGAAGGAATGTGTAGGGGTGACCCAAGCACCAAGACAGCTGTCACCTTCTGCACTCGATGACCTCACTAGCCCTGCTGGGATGGCAGAGGCCCAGGTGCTGCCTCCTGGAGCCCTACCCACAGGGCACCCCACCTGCAGCCCCAGCTGAGGGGCACCTCTTCCCACCCCCCCACTCCACCCAGGGTGTCCTTTTGCAGTGCCTTGCTGTCGTGTTGAGAATAGAGATGAGGTGCGTAATGTTCACTGCAGCCGTGGCCTTTTTTCTCTTCTTTTAAAATGGCTTTCCTGTCTGAACCAATCTGCTTTGTTAAATTGAGGTCCTGGTTTTCTGCAGGTGAATTCTTCACGGCCACCTGGGGACAGGGTCCCCTCTCAATCATCTGTATAGAGTCCACTAAGCGGGCCGAGAGGGTTGAGGGGCAGAGGCCCTGAGACTCCATCCATAACCATCAGACACAGAGCCTGGCCGGTGTATTATTTAGGGTTACCCAACCTTTGCCTGTTGTCCTTCATTTGGGAAGCTCTTAGAGATGTGAGTTTCATCATGACCCTTGTCTGGCAATGAAGCTGTAAAATTGCAGTATACATAGTTCTTGCAACTCTCCATCCCATTTAGTCCTCACAGCCACCATGCAAGGGAGACAAAGCCAGCCCAGCGTCATCTCTATCTTACAGAGGAGGAAGCTAAGGCTCCAGAGGTCACAGGGTTTGCCCAGGGTCACACTGCTGTAGGTGGCAACTGGTACTCACACCCAGATCCCCTAACCTGCTGACTAGCGCTGGGTTTGTGTTTGTTTGGTCACCGATTCTTGTCACAAGCGCTGGAGAAGTCCTCATTTCATAGGTCAGACAGAATTTAAAAAAAAAAAAAAGGATCTAGGAAAAACAGCAAACTGTGATCCTGCGTACAGGCACCTCCAGAGACTCCCTGTGTATGTATACACCTAGAGGATGAGAGAAGCTGAACCACTTGCCTGACAGTAGGAGCAGAATCCTGACTAATACAAAAATGCAATCTGGTACTTGCAAATGAAGTAAAAAATAGTCATGTACTTAGGAAACCATGTCTCTCAGGGCATAAAGACTAGGAATTCTTAGTGCTAGGGTTTTAATTCAAGTTCCACCTACAGCACCATCCACATGACTCTATAGTTAGCAATCAAATCCTAAGTTTAGTCCAAAAGAGTTGCCTGTGCTCATTTACCTGCACACAACAAACACGGTAATGGAAAAGAAAAGGCGGTTGCCGGCCAGGCGAGGTGGCTCACGCCTGTAATCCCAGCACTTTGGGAGGCCAAGGCGGGTGGATCACTTGAGGTCAGGAGTTTAAGAACAGCCTGGCCAACATTGTGGAACCCTGTCTCTACTAAAAATACAAAAATTAGTCAGGCATGGTGGTATTTGCCTGTAATCCCAGATACTGTGGTGGCTGAGGCACAAGAATCATTTGAACCTGGGAGGCGGAGGTTACAGTGAACCACGATTGCGCTACTGCACTCCAGTCTGGGTATACCCTGGAAGGAAGGAAGGAAGGAAGGAAGGAAGGAAGGAAGGAAGGAAGGAAGGAGGGAGGGAGGGAGGGAGGGAGGGAGGGAGGGAGGGAGGGAGGGAGGGAGGGAAGGAAGGAAGGAAGGAAGGAAGGAAGGAAGGAAGGAAGGAAGGAAGGAAGGAAAGGCAGTTGCCCAGAGACCGCAGCCCAGCCTGTGCCTCAGTGGTGGCACTGGCAGCCACTGGATCCCCAGCTTCAAAATCAGAGAGATAGAGGACTAGGGAGAAGGTATGGTTCCCTCCAGAGGGTTCTCCAAACAGTTGGTCTCTTTGTACTGACAGCCATCATGGTCCTCCTGACCCAGGATCCTTTCAGAAAATACTGGCCTTGTGCCTCCCAGCCCCCAACTGGGGTCTCTGCCCTGGACAGATCCCCCAGCTCTTAGTTTTCACCACAGATCCCCAAGCTACAGGAAATCCAAACTAGACCTGTGCTGGGAAAAGTCAAATATCTGTTCTGCACATAACTCATGTGCCTGGCTCTCCAATAGTGTTCTGTGCCTCAGTTTTCTCTTCTGTAAAAGGGGAAGATAATCCCATCGTGGGATTATTATAAGTATTAAATTAACTAATGCACGGTTGGCACTTAGGTTAGTGGCTAGCATGAGCTAGCATTTAGTAAATGTTTATTATTGTATCAGCCAATCAAAATCTTGTTGGTGGCCATGGAAAAAACACTGGCCTGGGAGACAGGAGACCAGGTCCTCCCCTGCCACTGATCTGCAGTGTGGCTTTGACCACAGTGTGACCTCCTGGTCCCCCACCCCAATTCCCACCCCACGAGGGCCCAGCTGCCTCAGTTCTCAAAAGGACTGAGCTCAGAATCCTTCTGGCTCCTTCCAGCTGCCCAATTTCAAGGGTCTGAAGAAGTCCTACTTCTCCGCTTCAGAAGAATAGTCGCACTGTACACCCACCACAGACAAGTGGAATGAAACCAGAGGGAAGCAAAGGCACAGAAGGGCGAGGCTGTCTAGATGGAGAGAGGAAATCCACCGTGCGGGGACTGTCACTAAGTTTCATTAAAACCGAAATGAAGTCATACATTCAACCACGTAGACTGTTTTTTTTTCCTTTCCTACTGTTTTTGCCCATCAGGCAGGCGTGGCCTCTTGTTGGCCAGAAACTCAAAGGTGGAAACTGACACTTATTTAACTGAAGGGGCACGGGTGTGTGTGTGTGTTGGGCGGGGGGAGGGGCCACTGGTTTTGTTGGGGGAGGGGGGATCTTTATTTTTGCTTTCTGAAAAATTGACTGATCAAATTATAAGTATTTACTGTGTATAACATGGTATTTTGAAGTACATATACATCATAGAGTGACAATCTAGCCAATTAACATATGTATTTCATGTATTACTTTTAATGGCAAAAACTGCAATTACTTTTGCACCAACCTAATAGCATTTTAGGGTGAGAACATATATCATCACTCAGCATTTTTTAAGAATACAATGTGTTCACAGTGGCTCACGCCTGTAATCCCAGCACTTTGGGAGGCCGAGGCAAGTGGATCACGAGGTCAGGAGATCGAGACCATCCTGGCTAACATGGTGAAACCCCATCTCTACTAAAAATACAAAAACAAAATTAGCTGGGCGTGGTGGTGGGCGCCTGTAGTCCCAGCTATTTGGGAGGCTGAGGCAGGAGAATGGCGTGAACCCGGGAGGCGGAGCTTGCGGTGAGCCAAGATCGTGCCACTGCACTCCAGCCTGGGTGACAGAGTGAGACTCCATCTCAAAAAAAAAAAAAAAAAAAAGAATACATTGGGTGGGAATTGAACAATGAGAACACTTGGACACAGGGTGGGGAGCTTCACACACCGGGGCCTGTCATGGGAAGGGATAGCATTAGGAGATATACATAATGTAGATGACTAGTTGGTGGGTGCAGCACACCAACATGGCACATGTATACGTATGTAACAAACCTGCACGTTGTGCACATGTACCCTAGAACTTAAAGTATAAAAAAAAAAATACAATGTTATTAACCATACAGAGTCCCGACATGCAATAGATCTCTTGAGCTTATTCCTCCTGTCCAACTGAAATTTTATACCCTTTAACCAACATCTCTTCCCCTCCCCACTTCCCCCCACCACCATTCTACACTCTATTTCTATGGGATCAACTTTTTAGATTCCACGTATGAGTGAGATCATGTGGTATTTGTCTTTCTGTGCCTGGCTTATTTCACTTAACATAAGATGCTACTGTGTATTTATCCAAAGGAAATGAAATTAGTATGTTGAAGAGCTATCTGCATTCCATGTTCATTTCATTACTGTTCACAATAGCCAAGATACAGAATCAACTTAAGCGGCCATCAGGGGATGAACGGGTAAAGAAAATGTGGCATATATATACAATGGAATGCTATTTAGCCTTATAAAAGAAGGGAATCTTGTTGTCTGTGACATGTGGATGAACCTGGAGGACGTTATGTTAAGTGAAATATGCCAGTTTTGTTTGTTTGCTTGTTTGTTTTCAGAAACATCAGGCGCCCCAAAAGCCCTCCCCTGGTATGGGGTGCTCTTCCCTTAGGGAACGGAGAGTCAGGTCCCTCCCAACCTCAGCTTTTGCTAATGGGAGCAGACAAAGAATAAGAGGTTGGTGAGATCCCAGGAGTAGAGAATGTGGGGGAAAGCGGAAAGTCACAACTTAGTGAGGCCAAGTTTGTTCCAGGCCCAGACATGGCTTCCCAGCCCTTCCTGCCCCCGCCGGCCCACCCTGCCCAGCCATGCCGCCAGGCCTTTGCTCACACTGTCCCCTCTCCCTGGGCAGCCCTCCCTCCTTTTCTGCCCGCAGAAACCCTGCCTGTTTTTAAGGACCAAATTAAATGCCCCTTTCTTTTGCCATCCACCCCCACCACCCTCGTCTGGCAGAATCAATGCCTGTCCCTCTGCGCTCCCATCAGGACGGGCCAGCATCTCTGAAAGTGCTCTCCAGTGTCTGGAAGTTGTTTGCATGCATGTGCCCCACCCTCACGACTGCTGTGACCTCCTGAAGGAGCAAGTCCAGTTGTTCCAAGTACCAGCACATAGCACATAGCAGGCACTCAATACATGTTTGTTGAGGGAGTGAAGGATGCAGCTCACCCAGGGCCTCAAAACGCCATGTGTTTATGTATGATCTATACAGCCAGCTCCCACCCCTTGCTCCCCATCACTATTAAAGGACTTGGTCTTGCCCACCAGCCAACACCTGTGGTACCCTGTGCTCCTGGGCACTGGCCCCGGCTGGAGCCTGCCCTGCTCACCAGGACTCCCAGCACATCTGGCCAGCCAGCTGGGCTCTTCCTACACATCCTGCATCTCTGTGCTTTGAGCCTCATCTGCTTGGGAGAGCGGGGGGATGCAGTAGGAGGACAATGATCCTCAAGTCTCACAGCCATGCCATTACACATCCAGCCCTGATGAAAGTCCCCAAAATGCATCAGTTCACCTTCAAGGCATCTGTGGTTGCCTTTCTGAGATGTCCTATGGCATGGATCCTGACAATGACATTCACCGCCCCCGCACCTGCTGGCTGCCCCTGAATCCCACCTTTGTGCTACAGTCAGAACCTCTTCCTGGGGGGAAGGCACCTTGAGGCTCATTGCCGGGCAATCTGGGAGATCTTTATCATTTCAACAGGAACTGTGTCCTAAATGTGAATTTGCATGAGAGGACGGGCCCACCCTCATGTCCCACCCAGTTATGCCTGTTTCAGAGGTGAAGGGTACTTATACTGCAGGCACAGGGACTTTCAGAGTTGGAAGGGACCTTAGAGAACATTGATGCAAAGTGTGGTCCCAAGACCAGCAGCACCTGGGAGCAGTGACTAGCCATCCTGGTTTCCCAGGATTGCCCAGGTTTAACCCTGAACAGCACTCCTGTATCCCAAGAAATCCCTCTGTCCCGGGCAAATGGGGATTATCAGTCACCCTGCCTGGGAGCAAATCCTTCAGGGTCTCACACTAAACCTAATGAATCAGAAACTCTGGGGGTGGGCCCTGAGATCTTCACTTTAACGAGTCCCCCAGGTAATTCTAAGACCTAAGCAGGAGAGCCGCTGCTTTTCCCTGCAGGTGGGAAACCAAACACTCAGGGAGGGAAGTAGCTTGCCTCGCCAAGCACAGGCAGCAAGTAAAGGGCAGAGCCAGAAAGAGGGTCTGGACCCCACTGTGTGGCACCGCTGTCCCCATCTCAGTCCACAAGCTCGGGAAGGTAACCAAATCAGTCAGTCTGTTAAATAAGATGCTGAGAAGCACCCAGGCCAACTGCTGCAGTCCGTGGATGCTGGGCTTTGCCCTGGGGGTCTGGGAAGGTGGAAATAGCCACCTTCAGGGAGGGGTAGAGTCCCCCTGAGCCCTGGAGCATTGGGACAGAGTAGCAGGGGTTTCAGATTCAGGCCACAGCCTGAACAAAGGGCCAAAGGGAGGACACAGATGTGCCTTTTAGAGGCCAAGGAAGAGATCAGCGTCGCGAGGCCAGGGATCTGGGAGGTACGGTCCCTCTCCTTTGTCTTCAGAGGCTTGTCCGTGATTCTGCATCCAGCATTGGTTACACCCGTAGTGGGAGTCTCTGCCTTGCCTGCCCCCTGCTGTCTAGCTGGTGCCCCTCAGGAACACTTCCTTCAATTGGTTCCCAAGCCCAGCTCCCAACTGCTATGAACAGAAATAACACCCACTTAGGAAGGCCAGTCGGCTTCCCAGCAATCATAAGACACTCAAAGCTCAATGAAAAATGATTTGGGGGATTATCCAAAGCCCTGGCCCCTCCATTCGCTGGCAGATAAGCTCACATCAAGTGGCTTATGTTTGCTTTTCTCCTCTCCAGGGGCAGCTGCAGCCATTGCCATGTTCCCCCACCTACCTCCCCTGATATATCACTCTCCAGGGAAAAGGAAATTGGGGTACAATGAGGTCCCAGAGAGGGGAATCCACTGGGACAGTCAGGAGGAGGGCTGGAAGTGGTGGCTGGAGCTCTTCCACTCACCTTCCTTCAGCCCTGTCCCCTTCCCCGGAGGCAGCAGAGTTAAGCAGGCTTTGGAGCCTTTCCCAGTGCACTAGGCATGCCCGAGCCGCCCTCCCTCATCACACAAAAGCACTTCCTTTCCCTGACCTTCTAGCTGCTTCCCTCCCAGCCTTCTCATTTGAAAATATTCACCTCCAGGTCTCCGTTTCCCCTCCCTTCATGGTGCATCCCTATGATCCCCATGTATCCTTCATGGACAAAGGTGAGCCCTTGCTTGGACCTCTTAGCAAGCATGCAGTACTGCAGCCCACCCTGTCCTCCTTGGCTACCTGGACCCCCACTCCCCTGGTTCTCCTTCTACCCCCGCCTCTGTTTCAACTTCCCACCTGGCTGCTTCTTCCTCTGCCCACTCCTGGGGTCTTTCCTCTCCTGCCTCTTCCTGGAGCACACTGCCTGCCTGATGGGGCCTCCCTCTGCGCCAGTCAGGTGTCTGTCCCCTATCTCCATTCCTCCACCATCTCTTTCTCGAACTTAAGCACCACCTTCCTGGGGTCAGCATCACTTTCAGGACATTAATTCAAGTCCCCGAGCTTCACATGTAAGGTCACTCTTGACCTGACCCCACCTAACCTTCAGCTCTCACCCACTCCATGCACACTCTGCACCAGTGGTCTCCAAGGTGGCAACAGACAATATACTGGGATACAGGGAAAACTTACTGAAATCCCTATCCCTCATTATTTTTTAACTTTCAAAACTGCAAAATGAAGTTTTGATGAATACCTGCTATATAAATGGACAATAGTACATGAATAAAAATTATAAATAAGAAATTTGAGGGGGTGTACAGTCAGAAGAGCTCGGCGACCACTGCCTGCCATGGGCCTCTGGTCTTATTGCCCCCACTGCAGTGCCCCTGGCACAAACATGTAGCTTAAAGAAGCTACAAGTTTGTTGTTCTCTAATGTAAACTAAGTCTGGAGGTAAGCAGCTCAGGGATGAACGGCAGCTCTGAAACCATCTGAGACCCAGAATCTTTGAACTAATTGTTACTCCTTTTCAACCCATAGTTTTCAGCTCACGGTTCAATAGAGCTGCTTCAGCTCCAGCCACAACATCAGCATTCCAACCAACAGGAAGAAGGAAAGGGTGAAGAGAGACATGCCCCCACCACTCTAAAGATACTTCTGGCTGGGTGCGGTGGCTCATGCCTGTAATCCCAGCACTTTGGGAGGCCGAGGCGGGTGGATCACCTGAGGTTAGGACTTTGAGACCAGCCTGACCAACATAGAGAAACCCCGTTTCTACTAAAAATACAAAAAATTAGCCGGGTGTGTTGGTGCATGCCTGTAATCCCAGCTACTCGGGAAGCTGAGACAAGAGAATCGATTGAACCTGGGAGGCAGAGATTGCGGTGAGCCAAGATTGCGCCATTGCACTCCAGCCTGGGCAACAAGAGCGAAATGAAACTCTGTCTCAGAAAAAATATATATATATATACTTCTAACTGTTAAAAGACAGATAATGACATTATTAGCGATAAAGGGATTAATCCGCCAGAATAATATCTTAACTCCAAATCTGTTTGTACTCCATAAAATATCTGCAAAACATACGAAGCAAAATTTAAGAGACTTAAATAAGGTATAGACAAATTCACACTTGTAGGGAGAGCCTGTAACAGGCATCTTTCAATAGCCAATAGACCAATCAGACACCAGATCAGTAAGGATACAGAAGATGTGAAAAGCGCAATTAACAAATTTGACCTAATCGACACATACAGAATTCTGTACTCTACAATGACAGGATGTACATTCTTTGTAAATGAACATGAAACAGATACCAAAAAACGATCCTTCTAAAAAGCCGCATATACCATTTCTGCTTACATACCGCTCTCCGGCAAACAGGGAATCCTGGCTATGCCTAGCCGGAAGAGAGGCTGGGAAATGTCTTTTGCTCCAGGTGACCAAGTACCCAATTAAAATGGAGATGCTCTATTCCCAATGAAAAAGGGGAGAACAAATATTAGGGAAACCATCAGTCTCTGCCCCCCACCCCTTCCTGCCTTGCCCTGGGTTCTCTGGTCCTGAGAGTACTGCACAGTGGGTATGAGGGAAACCATCAGTCTCTGCCCCCCACCCCTTCCTGCCTTGCCCTGGGTTCCCTGGTCCTGAGAGTACTGCACAGTGGGTAAGAGCTTGAGGCCAGAGCCAGGGATTCCTCATTCAACTCTGGCTTTGCCATTTACTTGCTGTGTGACTTTGGACAAGTTATTTAACCTGTGTGAACCTCGGTTATATTGCAAAATGGGACTAGCCCTACTTCATAGGGGTATTGGAAAGAGGCACCAGAATAATGCACGTAAAGCACTTAGGTCTGCATCTGGCACGCGAAAGTGTTCCATAAATGTGACCTGCACAGAGAGGTTAAGTAACTTGCCCAAGGTCACACAGCCAGTAAAATGGCAAGGCTAGCTTTGAGATCCAGGCATCCGGCTCCAAGTTTCTTTGGGGCCTTTGCCACTCCCAGCACAGGGACCCAAGTGTGGTGGGATATTACAGGAGATGGAGCCTTGAATAGTGGGGGATAGAAAACTGCAACCATCGATTACAGACTTCTAGAGAAGTCATTTTAAGATGTGCGTTTTAGCTCCGATGGGTAAATTTCCTCATTCTGTCTGCAAAAGATTGAATTAAGTGAGCCCCAAGGTTTCCCCTTAACCCTGACATTCTGTGGTTCTATCTTCTCTACCAATAATGGCTAAAATTTTACCATTAGAATTACGTTTTTCTTTGTTAAGTCCTATCTTCTGCCTGAAGTCCTTTTTAAAAAATACAATTTTCCTTTCAGGGGCCCTGACCCCTTGGTTTGAGTGAGTGAATCGTGCCCCTCTGCTGCAGATCGAGAGAAGGTTCTGTGTTAGGAGTCTAGTGGGCCCTGGCTGGGAGGGGAGGGACGTGCAGAGGGAGGGAAACTGCAGACAGTAGCGCCCAGGCCCCCACAAATCCCTCAGCTTACTAAAAACCCATGGCACCCAGAGGACGCTGCACCCAGTCTCTTGTCAGGGCCGACTGCAGAATGACCTCCAAACACCTTCTGCTCGATTGCCTGGCCACCCCCATCCATCGCCATTCTTGACAGGCTTCCTTTTTTTCTCCTATATCTCTTCCACCACCCTATCTCTCAAACTAAATTGAAGAAAAATGGGTTTTGTCTTTTTTTAATGAGAAGACTAACAGTCTTAAATTACCTTCTTCAAGGTCTGCAAATAGAAATCCCAAATAAGACAGCCACCTTTTCTTTTCTCTCCTCTTCTCTCCCTGTCTCCATGAGCCCATAAGCTTGAAATAAAAGGCAGAGCAGTGGCTCAGGGAAGTAATTTGGGCTTTGGCCCAGCACCAGCCAAAGAGGCAAGAGCAAGCGGGGAGGAGGGCCTGATGGGGGGTTGGGAATGATAGAGGAAGAGAAGGTCATGGGCAAAACCAATGCCTCATTGCGTATGGTTCTGAAATAAAAGAGCTTCCCAAAATGGGGACAATTTCTTAAAGAGCAACTACTCTGTGAGTGTGCAGGTGCCCAGGGGTACAAGTAGGTCCAGGTGAAGAGGAAACCATAGAGGCTTCAGACTTACTGAGGTTCAGACTGACTAAGAAGCAAATGCGATTACTGAGTACAGTGGGCCTTCTCTGCCTTTATCACCAATGTTGACTTTCCCTAGAAAGTCCATTGACGGGTGTCCGGACAAGAGACAGAGCATGGTGCTGGGGCAAAGAGTGGAGTTTTAGGATTGGGGTCGTAGGTTCTAGTACCAGCTCTATGGCATGTAATAATAAAAGCTAACATTAAATACTTACTATGTGCCAAGGACTATGCTAAACACGTCACATAGATTATCCCATTCAATCTTCAAAACAACCCTGTGATGTAGGTATCATTATCCCCATTTACAGATGAGAACACTGAGAGATGGGAAGTCATGTCACTTGCCCAAAGTGTCACACACCTTGTGACAGATCAGGGTTTGAACCCAAGGAGTTAAGACTCCAGAGGCTCTTAGACTTCTTCTGCCAAACAGTCTGGGCCTGTCTGGACCTGCTTCCTCATCTGGGAAGTCAAGGGGTGTAGAGGCCAGGTAAGGTAGAATGGGTCATCATTGAGGTCTTTCCGGCACAGATGCTCTGATATGGGACTCCTGCCACACCTGTGGATGTGCAGTACAGGTTTCCACTGCAAAGCAGCCATGCTGAACGTGTGTGTGTGTGTGAGAGAGAGAGAGAGAGAGAGAGAAAGAGTGTGTGTCTATGACAGATAAACTTGTGTCCTGCAACCCTGATGAGACAGGGAAAGAGAATAAGAACACAACAAGGCCAGGGAAATCTGTGGAAGATTTGTGGGTTAGACCTTTGTCAAGAGAACAAAACCGGCACCTGAAGGTCTGGAAAATTCTGCCCAAATTCACCTCCACTAAGGCATCCAGTAGCCTTTGCGATTCCCTGATCTTTACTCTATGCTGCACACCCACAGCCTCAAAGATCCCTGGCAAGACAGGCAAATAAGCCCTTCAAAGGGAACCTGGCTGAGGCGCCCTGGCTCCTGGAGGGGTGAGGTGGCTCTCGGTAATTCCCCAGCCCAGCCTGTGTGCCTTCTCTAGACTCAGCAGCCATGGCCCATTACAAGACCAAGCAGGATGACTGGCTGATTGTCTACCTGAAGTATTTACTCCTTGTCTTCAACTTCTGCTTCTGGATGAGTGAATTCTGCACACACATCCCCTTTCCCGAGCACTGAATGAGTCAAGCCACCTTTGTTTTTTGTGAGTCACCACTTTGAAGTTGATTTCTTCCAAATCAAAGACCACCCATGGGCAAATTCTGCCTACTTTAAAGCAAATGTGTATGTTTGTTACTGAGGGGGAAGAAAAGAATCCAGTCTGCAGGTTGGCGTGGAGTCCGTACCACGTGGCGTCTGAATAGAAGCACAAACATCACAATGAGCTTTGTGTTCTGGCCCCGCCGTACAAAGGCTCGGCTTCTTTCTTCCCTGCTAACTTGTTGCACAAGTGCCTTGTGGGAAATGTGACTGCCTGAAATAGTGGCTAATAATGGCTTGTTTCCAACCGAAGCCCATTTGCCTTTCATGGTTAACATTCTCCAGGCCCAGGGCAGGGAAACAGAAGTCCCGGAAGCTCAGGCTGCTGCTGCCTGTGATGGAAATGGTCTCTATGGTGACTCCCCGCAGGAAACCTGCCTGGGTGATGTCTTCCTGAGGACCATAGCCTGTCCGCTTGGGGCCATTATCTGGACAATTGGGAGCCGAATACCACCCAAAAATAGCCAGACACCAGAATATAAGTATTTTGTATTACAGTCTCACTAAATTTGGGAAAGTAGGAGAAGGGTAAGAGTGCAGGCTTTGCAGGCAGCTGGACCTAGGCTCTGCCAGCTACTAATGGTGTGGCCTTGAGCAACTGAAGTTCGAGGAGCCTGTTTCCCTGGCTACAATTCAGGGATGATTGGGGTTGCATTCCATAAATGCAATATTTTGAATATCAGATGTCAAATGCCTGAAAATACCACCAAATCAACCCTCAGATAAGGCAGCCAGGTTTCCTGCTACCATGGTAAGGGAGAAGACCCTTTACAGAGTCTTAGAATCATCTCAGAAAACCAAATGCAAATGGGATATGTCTGAGTTTTGAGCATCTTTCCTGCAGGGACTTGATTAAGATTGGGAAGAGCCATGACCTAGGAGTTTGGGATGGGAAGACATGGCAAGGCAAGAGTTTTTGAAGAGTCTTGGTGAAAAGACAGTCATTAGATGCTATTAAAAAGTTGTACAATCTGCTGTTTGTGTAAATGTTATTTGCAAAGTCCCCGAAATGAACAATAAAATTATGTTCAGCTTTTATCTTCCTGGGCAAGAGTCTCCTGTGGAATAAAAAAGCTGTGTTGATGAGGACAGTAAACTGTGTGGCATAGATGGCTTCAATTCTCAGGGACAAATCCAATAGGACGCTTAGGATTCCTACTGATGAGCACTTCTTTTTAAGAATGACTATGTTTTTCCTAATCATAAAAGTCTTGTGTATCCACTACAGATCACCTCTAAAATACTGAAAAGTATGCTAAGAAAATGAAAATTGTCCTTATCTCCCTATGTTAGCTTCCCAGGGCTGCTGTAGCAAAGTGCCATAGACTGGATAGCTTTAAGCAACAGAAATTCACTCTCTCACAGTTCTGGAGGCTACAAGTCCAAAATCAGGGCATCAGCAGGGCTGTGCTTCCTCTGGAGCTTCTAGGGGAGGGACCCTTTATCACCTCTTCCAGCTTCTGAGAGTGGCTGGCAATTCTCAGCACTCCTTGACTTGCAGCTGCCTCCCTCCAATCTCTAAGGCCTCTGCTGTCACATGCTGCTCTCCTGTGTGTCTCTGTCTTCGCGTGACGTCTTCCTCTTCCAAGGACGCCAGTCATGTTGGATTAGGGCCCACCCTTCTGACCTCATTGTAACTTGACTACATCTGCAAAGATCTTATTTCCAAATAAGGCCATGTTCACAGTTCCGGTGGTTAGGATTTCAACATATATTTGGGGGGACACAGTCCAACCCATACCACTGGCCATCCCAGGAATGGCCACTGTTGACACTTCCTCTAGACTTCGCACCGATCAAAGTGAGAGATGGTCATGACCTGCACTGTGGGGATGACAGCGGGGACAGAAATACTTGGAGTCAAGGGACTTAGGAGGTGAAATTGACAAGAAGAGATTCCTTTGGCTGGAAGAGGTGCCTGGGATATGAATCTCCTGATGGATGGTAGAGCTCTTCATTGAAACCAGAGACTGGAGAGAGAAGTTTGGGGTCAGATGGTGAGGTCAGATGTAGACATGGTGACTTTTCGAGGTGCCAGGAGACCTCTGAGCAGAGATGCCCTGTAGGCAGTTAGCTTACAGGTCTGGATCTCAGGAGAAAGTTAGGCTGGCACCCCAGACTTGGGGATCATCCCCACCCCAATGGCAGCTGCAGCCACAGAAATACAGGAGATCCCTTAGGGAGAGCATGGAGATCAAGAGGAAACGAGAGGCAAGAAGGAGACATGGGCGTCCCCACAGGTCAGGGTGAGTCTAGGGTGTCCCCAAGGTCAGGGTGATCTGGGGTGTCCCCAAGGTCAGGGTGAGTCTGGGGTGACCCACAGTCCCAGTTTGCCCTGAACTGAGGGAGTTCCCAGGATGTGAGACTTTTAGTCTAAAACCAAGAGAGCCCCAGACAAGCTGATCAGTGCTTACAGTTTGATCAGGGGAGCCTGAGGCGGAACAGTCAGCGAGGTGGGAGGGAAGCCAGGGGCCTGAGAAGGTCAGCGGTGAGAGGCCACTGGGCTTAGCAACAGAGGGGCAGCTGTGGGGAAAGCACTTTCAGGAAAGTGCAGAGACGGGAGGGTAGAGGAGGTGGACTCCGTGTAGACACCACCGGCCGGGCACCAGGAGAGGGCTGGGCAGTAGCAGATGGGGCCAGAGGGTCATCGGCTCTTTAGTCCCTAGGGCTGTCTTGAGGTGCTCTGCCCAAATATTTGTGGAAGGCCTCGGACCCTGCGCTCCTGCCTGTGCCAAGGTCCCGTAGGTGGGAGTGGGCAGCAGACATGGTGACCACGGTTGGGGAGGACCCAGGGCCTGTTGGGTGTGTGCATCCTTTTGGGGAGGGAAGGAGAAGGGCCTGTGGGTGGCAGTGCACACAGCTGCGCAGCAAGTGTGTTACTGGTGCAGTTGCCAGCAAGGGGAGCTTCCTTCATGCAGCGCTCCCTGCTTCCAGTTAAAAATACCCCTGCCGAGGGCCTGGCTGGCCGTGGACCAGCTTCCCAGGGACCAGCTCAGCTCAGACTTCTTTCCCTGGTGGGGGATGGTTGGATTTTGAAGGTTCAGACCTCAGTCTCCAACACAGGGGTTCCTGGCGTCCGGTCCCCAAGACCTGCTGCAATCTCCTCCGGGGTAGACACTGGGCAGCCTGCAGGCCCAGTCCCTAGGGACAGAGCACCAAGTCCCTAGGAACTCACCAGAATTCCCCAGGAGGGGGCGTTGGCCAGTGAGGATCCCTTCCAACAAGAGAAGGTTCCCTCCCACACAGACACCCCCAGCGTCCAATCGCGGTCCTCCTGCCTGAGCCTGCCGAGGTATGAGGCACAGCACAGGGGAAACACAAGCTTCCTTTCTCCCCCAGAACGAGGTCCTCTCTAGTCTATCACCCTGCACTCTTTATCGAAACCCAGCACAGAGAGGGGAAACCTGGGTTGGCCCCAATGCAGTTCTGAGCCCAGCATTTGACAGGAGCTGTTGGATGGTCACTGTCATTATTATCCTCACTTTACAGACAGGGAACAGGCCACCCGGTTCTGAATCTCACCCAAGGTCTGATAGTGTTGCTAAAGCTAACACTGGCACCCAGGTATTCTAATACCAGGTCAGTGATGAAAATGACAATTAAAAACTCAGTCCACAATTTGTATGAAGCACCTAGTAAGTGCCAGGCATGGGTCTAGGCCCATAGGGTCTATCAGTAAACAAAGTTCCCAGCGTTCCTGGAACTCACTATGGTGGGCCTCTGTGCTTGTCCTTGCAGGTGCATCATCCCATTAATCCTCCCAGCCCTGCCTGAAGCTGTGAATGGCTCTCTTAGAGCCCTGCTTTAGGAATGGGAAGCACTGTGCCTTGTCCCGGAGCTGTAGCCCAGTGCTGCCTGGCCCCAGGCCTGTGTGCTTGGTCACCACGCTTTGCAGCCCCAGCTCTAAATTGCACACTTTCCTAGTGTCCTCGGGGCATTCATGAATTAACGAGGCAGCACAGCATGCTGGGAAGGCTCAGACTCAAGTTTGGATTCAAATTCAGACTCCATTATTTATTTGCCCTGGGACATTGGGTGCTACAGATTGAATTGTGTCCCCCAAAAGTTATATGTTGAAGCCCTAACCAGCAATGTGCCTGTATTTGGAGACAGGGAGGTAAGTAAGGCTAAATGAGTCCATAGGGGCATGGCTCTGTTCTGCTAGGATTGATGGTCTTCTAAGAACAGGAAGAGAGGGAGAGCTCTCTTTTTCTCCATAGACAAGCACCAGGTGAGAACACCGCAAGAAGGCGGCCATTGGCCAGCCAGGAAGAGAGCCCCACCCAGAACAGATCACCTTGATCTTGGACTTCCCAGCCTGCAGAACTGTGAGACAATTAATTTCTGGTGTTTAAGCCACCCAGACTGTGGCATTTTGTTACAGCAGCTTGAACTAAGACATTAGGCAAATCACTTAATCTCACTGAGCCTCAGTTTTTTCATATGCTACATGAGAATACCAATACCTGTAAGAATTAGAGGTTACTATTTAGAAAAATAGCACAATTTGTGCCACATACTCAGTGCTTAGCTATTATGCATAACTATTATGATTAGACTGATGGGCATGCCTGGTCTCTTTAATGACTTTCTCTGTCCATAGTGCTGACTTTGAGACTTTTCTGATGGTGACTCATGATATGCATGGAAGCATAAGAAATGCTCACACGAAACATTCAGAAAACTAAACTTACCCTTACGGTATATGATGCTGTGATGGTTAACACTGAGTGTCAACTTGATTGGATTGAAGGATGTGAAGTATTTTTCCTGGGTGCGTCTGTGAGGGTGTTGCCAAAGGAGATTAACATTTGAGTCAGTGGACTGGGGCAGGCAGACCCACCCTCAATGTGGGTGGGCACCGTCTAATCAGCAGCCAACATGGCTAGAATAAAACAGGCAGAAGAACATGGAAGGACTTGACTTGCTGAGTCTTCTGGCCTTCATCTTTCTTCCATGCTGGATGCTTCCTGCCCTCGAACATGAGACTCCAAGTTCTTCAGCTTTTGGACACTTGGACTTACACCAGTAGTTTGCCAGGGGCTTTTGGGCCTTTGGACACAGCCTGAAGTCTGCAATGTCGGCTTCCCTACTTTTGAGGTTTCGGGACTCGGACTGATCCACCACTGGCTTCCTTGCTCCTCAACTTGCAGACGACCTATTGTGGGACTTTACCTTGTGATCCTGTGAGTCGATTCTCCTTAATAAACACCCTTTCATATATACGTAGATTCTATTAGTTCTACCCATCTAGAAAATCCTAATACAGATGCATGCTGATATTTTCTCTACTATTTTAGCTCACTTTTTTTAGTGCAGGTTACAACCCACTAAATTTATTTTATCACCCAAATGGGTCACATTCCAAAGTTTGCAAAACACGAAGCAGGATTCAGGTGGCAATTCTTCCCCGTCACCCTATCTCTGACTCCCACCGCCCCACCCCACCTAGGGTTTCAGTTAAGCCATAATCATTATGGGATGATCCTGCTGAGCAGAGGAGGAACCAAAATGCCACACTTTCATGCCTCTTTCATGGCCCTAAAAAGAAAATGTGGCCCAGGCTTTCCTAGGCGGCCACCTAGAAGATGTGTTTCTTTCCCCTCCCTTTTCCTCCACGGCTCCCTGCAGCTACCATTACCCCTGCAATGTTTTTCTCTAATTTATTATTTTAATTAGCTGCTTGGCTGTGTTCATAATCAAAACTTTTCCAGCCTCCCAGGAGCTCTGCCAGGCAATGGGAAGCACTCCGTGACTGGAGAGGCTGCCTCTGCTCCTGAAGCGGAGACCTTGCTCCTTCCCAGGCCGCCAGGAGGGCTCAGCCTACAGGGAAGCTTGGGAGCCCTTAAAGGAGGCATGGGACCAAGACAGGTGGCAGAGAAGATGGAGGACCGAGCCTGGCAGGGGAATGAGGTGGCTTGGGAGCATCACTTCAGGATCTAGGGAGGCCCTGGTGGGGCCTTCTGCTCACCTCTTTGCCAGAGCTAGAAAGCCCTTCACCTCGGACAGCATCACCCCACTGAACGTGGCCTCTGCCCCCTTCCTGGGCTTGCCATTTGAGGAAAAACAGGTGAGGGACCTCGTAGCTGGTTTCTCTGCTGCACCGCTTCTTGAGATGCTGAATGGCATGGGACTCCCCACGGCTTTCGGGGCACCTCTACCCCTCTTGGCTGTCAGGATCTGCTGGGGGACAGGGCCATGGCTGAGGGGTGTATTAGTCCATTCTCATGCTGCTATGAAGAAATACACAAGACTGGGTTATTTATAAAGGAGAGAGGTTTAACTGACTCATGGTTCAGCATGGCTGGTGAGGCCTCAGGAAACTTACAATCATGGTGGAAGGGGAAGCAAACAAGGTGGCAGGAGAGAGAGAAGTGCCAAGCAAAGGGGGGAAAGCCCCTTACAAAACCATCAGATCTCATGAGAACTCACTCATGAGAACAGCATGGGGGACCCGCCCCCATGATTCAATTACCTCCCACCAGGTCCCACCCACGACATGTGGGGATTATGGGAACTACAATTCAAGATGAGATTTGGGTGGGGACACAGCCAAACCATATCAAGAGGGATGTGCATTTGGTCTGCTCGGGGCCATGGTGAGTGAGACAAGTCAGGATGAAGCTGTGGTCACCCCTCCTAGCTGCCCATCTGCAGCTCAGGGACTCTAGATCTACTGTAGCCCAGGCACCGCACAACTTGCTTCCTGGGCCAAGCAGCTTCGTGTGGGTCAGCAGCCCAATTGGTAAAATGGACACTAAACTGAGCATTAGGATTCTTGAGTTCTAGCTCCATGCTTCCCCTGGCTAGTTGTGTGACTGTGGAAAAGTCACTTTTCTCTGGGCCTTAGTTTCTCCCTCCAGAATATAAAAGGGGTTGAACTCGATTCCCTCCTCCCTTCCTTCCTCCCTCCCTTCCTTTCTTCCTTCTTTCTTCCCTCCCACATGTAGGACTCCATTGGAGACACCAAGATGAATAAGGTTTTATCAAGAGGCTAAAAGAGGACACACAAGGTAGCAAATAAAACAAATAGGCAGTGATGAGTATAATTACAAAAACATGGGCAAGACATGGAGCTGGTACAGAGGACAGAATGGTTTGCTGAGGAGTGGGGAGAGACAGCTCCAAGGAAGGTTTCCCTTGGATACTGAGCTGGGTTTGGAAGGTGATTTTATGTTCCTTTCCAGCTCCACCCCTCGGTATGCCCCATGAGATTCTGCTCTTGTTATAAGGGTAGATGGGATGGGGAAGACAGAGGGGGAAGCAGTGCTCTGATTTATTTTATCAAGTGCTCTTTAAAACCAGAGAACCAAGAAAAGAATGCCTCAAAGTGGAAAATGGCCCTTAGCATGACAAGCCTGTCCTTGAAGATTCAGTCAAACCAAGGCAATGGCAGCATGGACAGAGCCGGGGAGAAGTGCTTGCCTGGTGCTCAGAAAAACGTCACTCACGAGCAGGGTGAGCAGTGGTGCCTGATACATGCCTGCCTATGCCCTCCTGGAGAGCTCAGAGGCTCAGGTGTGGCACTGAGGTGCCATCTACCCTGCAGGTGAGCGCCAGGCTCAGCAGTGCACTATTGGGACTGCAGCCCGGGGTTCAGCTGACTCTTCTGATGTGGGAACGGGGTACCATTCTTTACAAGCAACCGAGCCTTGCTCAGACATGGCCTCCCAGTCCTCTCCTGAGCCCCCAGGCTGTGTTTGCCAGCCCCCCTCCCTGAAATTAGACCCATTCTCCTCTCTTTCTAATGGAAATCACCCTGGTGATTGCTGGGCCTTCCCATCTAGTCACTGGCCTGCGACATGAGGGCAGGTGAAGTGACAGGTGTGGACCCCACTATGGCCTGAGAGCCTGGCGTCCTCATAGCAAGTGCACAGTGGGTGTGGGTTGAAAGAAAGAACGAGAATAGCCAAGCATTGGTCTGGCATGAAGATCCTTTCCAGGGGCTTCTTCCTAATGACCTGGAGGAAAGTCCATTGCCCTCGGGGACTGCTGGCACTTTGCAGACTGCCCCTCCAAAAATAAAAACGGCCATAAAACAGGGAAGGGGGATACTCGTTGTTGCCTCAGGAGCTCAGCAGACAGACGGGTGAGGGGAGCAGATGCCGCTATTTCCAAAGCCCCCTACAAAGCCCCGTTCGTGGAGTCCCATGCTCATGTGGGCGGCTGCCAGGTGCCAGGTGGTTTGCTGGGCCCGGGGTTCTGAGGGGAGTCGGGGGAGTCTCCCACCCCCGGGCCGAGGGCTGCTGTGAGGGGAGCAGTGCCACAGGTGTGCACGAGAGGGACAAGCTCACCTGCCCAGCAGAGTCAGAGCAGGTGCCGCACTGGAGATGGGGCTTCATGGGTGAGTAGGAATTCAGTGGAAAAGGAACGGCAAAGAGAACAATGTGAGCAGGTTGGGAAGGGACAGGAGAGAGCCTCTCAGAGGCCCAGAGTTTGGTAACCTATCCAAATCCACACAGCCGTAAACAGAGGGGCTTGGACTCGGACACCGGTACTTCACCCCAGAGTTCACCCTCTTTACCACTCTACTATTGCTGCCATAGTTAATGGGTATCTACAATGTTTACAAGAAAAGCAACTACTTTGTTCATGGTGATTAAAGCCCAGGTACGGAGGAAGGAAAGTAGCAGAAGATAAAGCCAAAAATAGGTTAAGGCCAGACACGTAAGAGCCCTGAGGCCATGCAAAAGAGTCTGGGCTTGGGGCTCTGGCTGTTGGAGCCTGTGGGGATTGCTCAGCAGGGAGTGCCTTGGGGCACAGCCTGCCAGCCTGCAGGTAGAGCAGGAGCTGGGAGCTGACGGTGGGGAGATGGAGACAGGTTTGAGAGCAGAGGAGAACTGGCTGTCATTGAGCGGAGAGGAAGGAGTCAATAATGACCCTGAGGTGTCTAGTCTGGTCTAGGGTGGGTGGGTGATGGTGCCATTGACCAGACCGACCTGGAAGGAGAGACACGGATGATGTGTGTGGTTCCCAGTGGGGGAACTCCTGTCCAGGCCAAAAACCTTTTCAGTCCAGCGTGATGCTTGGTTCCTAGTAGCAAACATCAAACAAATGAACTATACTGTCAGCCAGTGCATTTCTGCCTCCCATGCCATGGGCTCCCCCACCCAACCCCAGCACCGAAGGTAGAGAACTCCCCTGCCCGGGGGATCCTTCTTTACTGGGCGTCCCATGGTCCTGGCTCCTGCCCCACCCCATCCTCCCCCCAGCTGTCAACACAGAAGCCCTAGCTAGCAGGACAAAGAAAAATCCTACATTTACTGTTACGCCACTGCCTGCTTTCCTTCAAGCCTGCTGCCTTATTTCTATCCAGCCCCAGGCATGTGTGGCAGTTCAAGCTAACGCTTCTCCCCATGATGACGTGGGCCACACTTTGGCAATGTTTCTCTCCTATAAATGAGAAGTTCCTAAAATTACACGGCATGGGTGACCTGCTCTGCCCTTACTGGTCTGCTCACGTCCTCATTGCCTGACTTCACCCTATGCAGGGTTTGCTGGCTAATCGGCCACAGGCTATGGTTTTGAGAAATGCAGTTAATACTCCACAGAAAACCAACCCAGTTTCTACAAAGAGCCAAATACTGTTGAATCAACTCTACGCCAATGGTTGTTAAAACCGCTCACTGGGGTCAGCGCTCTCCCTGCCCCACCAGTCTTCCACTGCTTTCTGTTGAACTGGGCAGTTTCCAAGTGGTTTGAGTGACAGCCATGAGCCGCTGGTCCAGAAGCATCTTGCTGGTGGTGTCTTGGCAGAACACTGTTGCCCAATACTAACAGGGACAGTTTAACCATGTGGAAGGGACCTCAGAGATATTCCCATCCAGTGCCCCCAATTTGCAGATGAAGAAACTAAGGCTTTGAGAGGCCAACTGTCTGTCCACAGTCACATACCCAGTCAAGGGCACGGCCAGGACTGGCATGCAGACCTGCTGACTTCCGCCCTCCCGTGGCACCCTCTGGTGACCCATTCCAACAGTGAGCAGTTTTCCTTCCCTTGCTCAGAGGAAAGCTTGCTTTCTAAAGAGCTGACCACGTCCCCGGCAGGAGCTTCCCGGAGGACTTGCAGCACTCTGGCTCCTGCAGACCCCTGGCTAAGTATAACCAGGCCCCGTTGACCCAGACTCATCTCCTGATTTCTTCTGGACAGCAATGCATGTGGATTTGTTGTTCTCTAGACCTGAATCAGGGAAATGTGTCCCTCCAGACCCCTTCCAGACCCTGCCCCGTGGCCCAGGATCCGGCGTCACTTTGCAAGCTTTGCAAGATCCCAGCCCCATTTGTGTGGCCTGCAGGTGCCCTGGCAGAGAGCAGGCCTCCGTCGGCCAGATCCACACTGCTCCTCTCCGGGGCTGCATTTCTCATAGCCTCCGACTCCCCTGGGAGCCATGGTTTTTTCCTTTCTTGCATAATCTGATTTTTGCCCCTTTAGATGAAAATTCTGTTCCTCAGGATTACCCCACTTTCTACCTTAAAGCTTCTGCCAAAGCAAACACCCTAACAAACACACGGAAGGAAAGGATGGGGTTCAGGTCCTGAACAAATCTCAGTAGCCCTCCAGGCAACTCCTCCCAGGGGAGGGAACCTGGAGCTTCAAGGGGCCCCTCCTGGGACTGAGCGACCGGGAAGCCGCTGTGTTCTGCGAGGCTCAGCACAGCGTCACCAACTGGGAAGAGGAGGGCAGGACACCTGGACCCCATTCGTTAATTCTGGGCAATGGTTCTCAGCTGGGATCACCCAGGAACTTCATAAAAAATTCATGGCTGGGTCCCACTCCCACAGACACGGATGGGCCTGCAGGGGGGCCTGGGTTTTTCAAAGCTCCCCAGGTGATTGTACAGCCAGGTCTTAGGGCACCATAGGGGTGCAGGAGGCCTACAGACCATAAAGGCCACAGGTCATTAGGTAGTGCAAAATAGACTTCAGCCCCTGGCCCCAAGGGTATTGTTTTGTGTGAATGACCATTTCTCTGGGCAAAGGATGCAAAGCTTTTCATCAGGCTTTCAGTGAGGTTCTGTGTCTCCCAACAGATGGTCCCCAGACCAGTCCAAACATATGTCTTTTGGTGGCCCCAGAGCCATATGCTCAGCCCCCACTCTGGTTTGAGGGACAGGCTTAAGAAGCCTAACAGATCACAGATAATGTGCATATTTCTATAAAGAGGCTATTCTCATGAAAAGCCAAGATTCTTGGCCTTTTGCTGGAGTTAGATCAACTCAGTGTGGTCAAGTTGACTGTCTCATGCTGTTCAGAATCTCTTCCTGGCACTATATGTGCCTTTGATTAATAAAAAATGAGAAGTGAATTATTACTTAATTAATGCACGTTGATAGGCAAAAGCCCTCAAAACATAAAACCCATGGGAAAAAATAATCAAACGGTCCTTGGTAGTTACAGGCTGGGAACTACTGGTCTAATATAACTCACTCCCTTCTTCGAGAGGTGAAGAAACTGAGGTCTGGAGAGGTTCAGGGACTCTCTTTAGGTCACGGAGCTAGTTATACACAGTTGGGACCCGTGCCCAAGCCTTCCAGGCATGCTGTAGAGGGTCAAAAAGAATTCTGTCCAGGATATTTTGCTGGAACCCAGACTCAGGAAATCCCTCACTGGTCATGGAGGTTGTATGGGCCACAGATAACACTCACCCACAGAGAATTTTCAAACCTGTTGTATTCTAGGATTTCACTGAATCTAAGCTATCAGTTGTAAGATACACTGTTGTTTTTTTGTATCACCAAGAAAAAGTACTGCCAAGTGTAATTGTAAGATGCCATCAATCATAAGATGTGCCCCAATTTTAGAGACGTTAAAATGTGAGAAAAAATGGGCATCATGGAATTGAAAAATTATGGTGTGTTAGCCTCTCCCATTCCATTTGCTGCAGCCTGGGTGGTGTCTGGAGGTACCTATGGAGATAAAATGGCACTTTGAAGAAATCATGTCTATTAAAAACGTAGAAGTAAGAGAGAAGCAGGCCCAGCCTACTCTGGGGGATCCAAGGACAGAGGCCTGGATTTGCCCTCAAATAACTGGGTTTGCACCTCAATTCTGACCCTCTGATGGTGTCATCTTGGGCACATTCTTATTCTCTCCAAGCCTCAATTTTCTTATCTGCAAGACAGGGATAGCCTGGCCCCTCCTGCCCGGCCCCATCCTCACAGAGCTGTTGCAAAGCTCAGAAGAGAAAATGGCAAAATGGTAAAATACTTGCGAGTTGAGTAATGTAGGTGCCTGTTCATTGCTAAGAACCACCTTCCATTTACTCAGCCAAGGTCTGCGACTCCCCGGAACAGAGAACTGGGAAGTGACAGGTTAGGTTATACAGAGAGTCTTCCTGGGGCAGACGGGAGACAACTTGCAGGGAAAAGCATCAGGGGATGTGAACAGAGCCCGGGAGGGCTTCTCTAGCTTTGGCTACACCCAAGACCCCTTGAGGAAGCATCTACTGACCATCAGAGGAAATGGACCCGTCCCTAAATGGCGGGCAGAGAGACTGGGAGACAGAAGTCCACCTTCCCAGGAGCAAATGACAGAGATGGTCAGAGGTCCCAGAGGACCCAAATCCTGGGAAAACACTCCAAACAGCCCCCATCTGGCACCTTGAGGACACTTGCACCCACCCACTATGCTCTGCTGAGGATAACAGTCACTAAAAGGCTCCTCAGCTTCATGGCAGGAAAGAACAGTCAAGCCCCACCACCCCAGCTACATTTCCCAGGTACTCTATTTCCAAGAAGGCATCCCCCAGACCTGCAAATCAGCAGTGTCCCGTCCCTGCCCCCTCTCAGGACTGAAAGGGAGTCAGACAGCAAAGAAGGCTCTCCTCCCTCCTCCTGTGGTCCCAGGGAGCTCCAACTTGTCCAGCACAGTGGCCCTTCCATCATGGAGGCAGCGAGACTGAGCAAGCAGGCCCTGGGCTCTGAGTCCTGGTCCTGGCCCTGCCCCTAACTCGGGCCATTTACCTCTCCTCCATGGGCCTCAGTTCCTTCCTCTGTAGAACAGGGAGGGATAAGGGGCCCAGCCGTGCTTCCCCAATGGGCAAATATAAGGATTGAACAAGGGGAGGTGCTCAAAATGGCACCTCCACATCCATCAGGGAAACGTGGACAGAGGGAGGGAGCGCTCTGAGGGGAGGGGAGGCGAAGGGACTCAGGTATATTAGTCATCCCCAAAACTGAAGTCATTTCTCCCCGCCTCATATGCAGTAGGAACCATAGTAAGATGCACAGAATCAGAAGTCAGACCCAGATTCAAAATCTGCAGCTCGCTTACATGTGTGACCTTGGACAAGCCTGCAAACCTCTCTCAGCCTCCGTTTCCTCATCTGTAAAGCTAGGCCACCACACTGTTCTCACAGGCTCTTAGGAGGCCTAAATTGAATAAGACAATGCACGAGAAGTGCCTGGTACCCAGCGGGCACTCAAGGAATGGCAGCTCCTGAGGCCCCCGCCACCCCCTGCTCCAACCTGGTGGTCTCCTGCAGGTCAGGGGGGCAGCTGTCCTGGCCATGGGCATCTGGACCCTGGTGGAGAGGAGCAGCTACCTCAGCATCCTGGCCTCCAGCACCTTCACCGCCTCCGCCTGCATCCTCATCTGAGCGGGTACTCTCGTCATGGTGACCGGCTTCCTGGGCAACAGCACCATCTCCTAGGAGCAGAAGGGCTGCCTCTCCATGCTCTGCAGGGAGGGGGACCCTGCACTACCACCCTATTTCCCAGTGAGGTCCCCAGCAAGGAAGAAGGGCTCCAGTCCTGGAGTGGGAAGCGGCTGAGGCCATGGGGCAGCCAGAGAGGGGGTGGCTGCTCGCCAGCCTGGTGTTCTCCAGGATCTTAGGACACAGGCCAGGAGGCCAGCCTCGGCAGCTGCAGTAGTAGCTCCCTCTCATCTGTCTCTCCTCCTCCCTCTCCTCCTCCTCTGCCCCTTCCTTCTTCTCCCTCCTCTCCTTCCCCTTCTCCCTTCCCTTCTCCTTCCTCTCCTCCTTCTCCCTTTTCCTCTGCCTTCTCTTCCTCCTCCTCCTCCTCCTCCTCTTTTTTCCCCTCGTCCTCCTCTCCCTCTCTTTCATCCTTTCTCTTCCTGTTTCTCTTCCTGCTCCTTCCAGATTTTATCATGGCAATTTTCAAAGATATGCAAAAATTTTAAAAAGTGCTTTAATGAACCTCCATCTTCCCATCACCCAGGGCTCAACAGTTACCACTTCATAGTCCATCTCCATTCGCTGGCCTGCACCCTCCCCTCCATCCCTCCCTCTCCCCACCCCAGGATGGTTTTGAAGCAATCCCAGATATCAAATCATCTGTCAATATGTCAGCATATTTCTGAAAGAGCAATAAACTTTTTAAAACATTTAAAAAACAAATATTTCAGTATGTACCTCTAAAACTTAAGGATCCTCTTTTAGAAAACATAGTAACATTACCATTATCATACCTAAAAACTATTAACAGTTGATTCCTTAATATCACGAAATAACCAGGCAGTTTCAGCTCTCCCCAACTGACCCATAAACTGTTCTTTTTAAAAAAGTTTTTGGGGTCGGAATCTAAATTACATCCATGTGTTAAAATCAGTTAATTGGTCTCCTAAGTCTCCTGTAGCCTCTAAGTTCCACCATCAATCTCTCTCTCTCCTTTTTTCTCCTCTTGCAATGTATGTGCTGAAGAACCACGTCATTTGTCCTGTCACGTTTCTCCCAGTCTGGATTTTCTGATGACACCCCCATGATGTTGTCTAACATGCCCACCTGGTGGTTAGATCTAGAGGCCTGATCAGATCCCACTGATCTGAATGTTTGGAGATCGCCTGGTGCATGGCTGGTGTTACAGGCACCAGAGCCTCCTTGACAGCCTTCTTCCTGGGAAGCTGGGAAGATCCGCAGCTGCCCAGAGTGTCAGGAGGGGAGGCTGGGGTGGAATGTGCAGGACCAGAGGCCTGGAGCCCAGCTCAGGACTCAGGCAGACCCCAACTCCCTAACTTCCATGCCCTCTTGGCAGAGGCAAGCTCCCTGCTGCCTGGGGCCTCTCTTCACCCCACAGCCCCTCCCAAGGGTCAAAGCCTAGTGTGTGGGAAGAGAAGAAGAGGACAGATGAGGCTGAAAAATGTCCAGACCAGCAAGGAAGTGTGAGGGGCAGAACCAGCCCAAGTCTCAAAGAGAAATCAGGCCGAGCCTGAAAGGAATCGGGCAGCGGGAAGAAGCCTCAAAGGCCCCCGTGTTCCTTCTCCGGCTTCCCGGGTTCCACCACAGACTTTGCAGCCTCTGCTTTTGCACAGTGACCCAGGGAACCAGTGGCAGAGGAAGGGTGCTGCGAAAGCCTGTGGACCGTCCCCTGCTGCCTCTCACCAGCAGCGACCTAGTTTCCAGCTGTGGATATGAAGCGCCTGTGTACGGGCCTGCAGGACGGCCCTCCCGTTTGGAAGAGAGGGAGAGCCTACAGCCAGGGCGCTGGGAGAGTGGATGTGATAGGCCTGCAGGGTGAAGGCCCCAGGGCATGGGCTTTGAGCTCTTTTCCAGCACTGGGGACTGGTGTGCCAGGGGGCCAGCCATACCCCCACCCAGCCCTCCGGCCTGGGGCCTATCGTGAGGATTTCCAGCATCCTGGGCAATGCGGTCGCTCAGCTGAGGTCCCCGAGAGCCGAGTGGCACATCCTAGACCTGACCAACGTAGCTGGATGGAGGCACGTGGTGGGACAGTGAACCGGGCACGTACCATGGCCTGGGGTGGAGACACTCTCTCTGTGCAGCACCGACCAGCCCTTAGGGGGCCTGAGGCTTGCGGGACCAGTGCTGTTGGGCCCAGAGAGAGAACCCCTTTCCTCTGCAGTGTTGGCGAGCCCACTGTGTCCTGTCTGGCTCTGTGCCCCCCAGCAGGCTTGGCCTTCAGCTTGGCCTCAGGCTTCAGGCCAAGCTTCCGCCCCTCACACCTGCAGGTCTGCCCACAGGCAGGCAGCCAAGCCGCGTGGTCTCCGCTGCCTCCTTCCTTCCACCAGGTCATCTTGTTGAGGGAGGACAGGACTCACCTCTGGACAGCACAAGAGGGAAGGCAGAAGCCCTCACCTGGAACCTTTCTTCTGACCCAGACCCTTGGTTCTGAGGAGCCCTTAAAGGCCAGTAGTCCCTGCAGCACAGGGAAACAGCCCCCTGCATTCCTCCTGGGGCCTGATTAGAACACAAATGGCCACTGTTCACCGAGAGCCACCTACCTCTGTCCTTACTATAGCAACCTGCAAAGTCCCAATAATCTGAACTCTCTGCCAAGCACCATTCTCAACACTCACACATCAACTCTGTCCTCTCTGTGCCCCAAAGAGCAGCTTATTCTTACTATGTGCATTGACAGGGGAGGAAACAGAGGGCAGGGGCAGGGAAGTGATTTGTCCAGAACCACACTGTGTGTGTGATTATTTTAGGTAATGGTCAATCGGGGGCAGCCGCAAGAGGAGGCACAGGAGAGGCGCAGGGCAACAGGTGTTCCCAGACTCACAGGCCCCACAGAGTCACTGCACACTCCGCTGGGAGGGGTCGCATGGGAGGAGCACCCAGGGCCCAGGCTCCACCAAGCAGGTGGGGGGCAGAGAGCGGGTGAGGCTTTTTTATTGGGGATCAGAGTGAAGCACACCAAAAACAGACACGAGGGAATTCCACCAGTGCATTTGAACGTTACTAGGTCACAGTCAGGGGAACTTGTGGCACGGCCGGCCCCGTGACAATAGTGCACTGGGTCACCCAGGCAGGTGCACACCACCTGTGTCTGGGGATGTGGAGGCAGCAGGAAAATGTGAAGTTTTCAAATGTGCGACACACATTGCTGGCGAGTGGCATGTGGTCTAGCTCCAAGCCCATGCTCTGATCCACCATGACCCACCACACTCCACTGCATCCAAAGAGGTAGTATTCACCCCTGCTTTACAGATGAGGAGGCCAGGCTGAGACGTGCAGGAAGTAAGGGCCGGAGCTGGACTGGGAATTGCAGCCTGTTGGAATTGCCTCCAAGAGTCTGCTTCTCCTGGGGACCAAGGCTGAACGAAGGCAGAGGGGCAGGAAGCTGAGCGGGGCAGGGATGAATGTGTGCAGGGCACACCCTGCCGTCCATCTATGGGTAGGTCTGTGTGGAGCCGTGGCTCTTGGAGATCTGGCTGATTACAAGAGAGGGCTCTGTGCAGGACCCAGCCAGACCACTAGGGCAGGAGACCAGGGGTGTCATGGTGAGACCCTAGACGCCTTGGGCATCCCAGTGCCTCCTTGCTCCCATTATATAAGAAAATAACAGCATACCTGGGTTAGAGCATATTTGGTTCGGAAGGGAACTTGAAGGTCACAAGGTCCAATCCTCCATCCAAAGGTTCCAGGCTGAAGGGCACCGGCTGGGTGAGAGTATGGGCTACCTAGGCATTAATGGAGACACTCAGAATTATTGGCTTTTTGGGAGAACAGTCTAATCTTAACAGCTCTTCCCAGAAAAGCCTTAGGTTTAGCGCCTGACCACACTCTGCTCTCCAAGCCACTGATCACAGCCTCCTCTTCCACACTCTGTCTTACACAATCCATTTGCAAGATCTGTCCAGCCATTCAGGCTGATCCATGAAGAATGGATGTCTCTAGCCTCCCCACACACAATCTGACTGTCACTTAGTCTGGATGGCCTGCCCAGAGGGGACCAAGCCCTGAGCCCAGGGCTGTGCAAGAGAGATGTGGAGACTTAGTAAAGATCAGGGTCCTGTGCTTGCCTAAACGCTTGACGGGCACCTCTTGACCCACCTTTCTGAGCTTCAAGGAGTCGACAAACAGAGAGAGCCTTGTCATCTCTCTGGGGCTTGAGGCAGGGCTGGGGCAAAGTGGCTATTGGACAGGCTGGCATGAGACAATGTCCTTCTTCTCAGCTCTACTTTACTCACTTCTGTGGAGACCTGCCTGCGTTCATTCTCATCCCACATAGAACCGGGAATCTTTCTGGCTCAAGTCACTAAACAGACACATCAGGGAGGCAACAGCTTGAAATTGAAAGCAGAAAAAAGTGTGCGTGTACACAAACATGTACAAGCATGAATGTGTGTGCGCACATACACGCATGCACACCTGCACATGCACACACCTGCACGTGCATGCATGCACACTTGGCCACCAGTTCAGGACTGCAAGGACAGGCATCTCTGCCAGGGGGCTAGCAAACAGCAAACCCCACAGCCTAGAATCCGCTTTTGCTTTCTTGACTTTTCCTGCCCTGGTCTGAAAGAACCAATGACAGAACTGGCTCAGGGACCGAGCATGGGGTGAAGCAGAAGATCTGAGTAACCCATATCCTGGCCCACCAGCCCCAGAATTATTGAGTATTTGATTGTTTAAACCAAAAAGACGGCTGCAGAAACTTTCTTGGGCTAACACAAGTAAGAATTTTTAAACCCATTTAGAGTCAAGCGTGTGGTTAAGGCAGCATAAACGCGTTGTGTGCTTCTTGGCGGTTCCTTCCTGGTTTCATTTCTTTTTTCCTCTCCATGTCCAACTTCCTTTTGAAGTCTTGAATCGGCTGAGGGCTGAAGGAAGCCCCAAGGGGGAAGCACAATGAGTCTAGCACTAGACAAAGTGGTCCCCGAAGAGGAGAGGGAAGGACGAAAGACCAGGCCTCAAATGAAGTGCATCCACCTTGGATCAGGAGGCAGCGGGAGGCGGACATGGGAGTTCCCAGGGAGCTACCCAGAGAGGGGCCGTCCAGCTCCCACATGGGCACGTCATCTGTCCCGGCCCAAACCTTCCTCCAAGTACATCTGCAGCCCCTCAAAATCACTTTCTCAAGAAGGAAATGCTCGTCAGGGACGGGAATAGCATGTCTTTGCTGGTGCTGAGACGATGATCAGCTTGGCATCAGAAATCTGCAGAGAGGGGAAGGGAATGGGGTTTAAATTATTTACACCAGACCTTCTCTTTTAGCAAAGACTGCATGAGAGAGACAGATAATTCAGGCCATCTGGACCCGAGGCCGATGACCAGGACAGATGCCACCTAGATCAAAAGAGGAAGATATTTTTAGAGTTTTGAATGTGGGCTCTGAAAACTTTTATATCTTAAGCCAAATGAACATCATGATGGATGGTTCAGACTTAACTGGGTCTTTATCAGGGGATGGATTAAAAAGTAAGAAGTCCTAGAAACTAATTTCTGAAAATGAGGGGAGCCAGAATTGCAACACTTCCATCAAATATGCCGAGGCTTGGTCAGCCAGGGCAATGGGGTCCAGGATCAAAGATAATATCTGGGCTCAGGCTGAAAAGCTGGTTTTCATGGAGCTTGCCCAGCTTGCTCTGGGGCCTCAGGTAAGTCACTGCTTTCTGCTTTGCCACTTTGGCATTGCCATTTTATCTGGGACGAGGTGTGAGGATAAGGAGGAAGTATTTTCAGGTCTTAGGAAACGAGTCACCACATTATATAAAGATTGTAAAAATGTGGCTCTGGTGAACATTCTCATCACCGTCACCATGGCCAAGCTCCTTTGAGAAGAGACCTACATAAGTAAGAGTTATTCTTGGGCCCACTGCCCCCAGACCCCCACAGCCTTGGCTGGGCCACATCCTCTAAAGAAGCTGGGACTGGTGGGAAGTTCGGGGGAACCTGGGTCCCTGGACCCGGGAACTGGACTGCATCCTCCCCTCATTTCTCACCCACATGTTCCTTTCTGTTGCTCCACCAGCCACCCAGCCCCACGGTGGGCCTTGCCTCGTCTGTTAGGTGGTATTTTCATCTTTGGTCAGATGACAGCCCCCATGCTCCAAAAATTCTCCTGCAGCCAGGGCTTGGAGAATCCCGACCCCTCTCTGGCATGAACCTCTCCTCATCCAGGGTGGCTTGTGTGGTAGAGCCAGGGGAATGGAGAAGATGACCTCTGAAGCCTGAAGGCTCTTTGGGAAGCAGGACACAAACATCCTGAAGAGCCAGCCTTGAGCTGGCTGCACAAGAGACTCATAGACTTTGCGTCAACATCCACCTCTCCAGGCTGCAGTGGGTGTACCTGTTCACCACCACCTCCAGCAGCACTGTCGCAGCGGAGCAGTTCTTACAGCCAATGAGCTTCCACACCACCTCCCTGCAGTTCTCTGCAACCGAGGCTCCATCCTGCACTGATGGGCTGCCTGACACGTCGGCCTCAACAAGCATTTCCAGCACATTCTCAGCTTTCCTGCTCTGCTGGGCAAAACACAGGGTGAGAAGGGGAGAGGAAGAACGGGACTGTGGCCCAGTTCTAGGCTTGGAGTCTAGCGAGGAACACCAGGTGCCTGCATTAAAAGGTAAAGGACCGTGCAGGTGGTTTGAATTTGTGTTTGGATTTGGTCAGAGGCTCTGACCTCTCTGGGCCTCAGGACTTTTCCTAACCTTTAGGCTGCCCTGTTCTTGGTATCTCCTCACTCTTGTTCTTGGTAGCCTTCCCTACCCCCCATAGCCACTTTTGTCCTAGGATGAATTATCACTGCGAGGGACACACCACTAGTCCTGCCCTGGGGCCCTTGCCACTGCTCTTATCCCACCTTCACCACCTGCACAGTCCCTTCTGTCCACCTGTGTGCACAGGTATCTGCAGGCTGCACCATCTCTGTCCAAAGCCTGTAAGAAGACAGCCACGGGAATGTCTAGTGCTTTCCAGGGGGGGCTGGGAAGAAGTGGCAATTGGTCACCTCCCTATACCTGAATCCACTGAGCATCCTCTGAGTCCCCTGCTCTGTGTCTCCCCATGGGGCACCTGGCCCCCATCCCCCCAGCCTGCTGGCCAGGCCCTGCTGCCCTCTCTGGGTGCTGCCCTGACTCAGCCCATTCCAACTAAGTTCTTAATAGTCCCAGCTTGAAGCTCAGTGGACGCCTGTCTTGGGCGTGTAGTTCTGGAATTCTGTTCTCCTTCCAGGCCCACCCCCCACCACACACACACACACACACACACACACACACACACGTTCCTCTTAGACCCCAACATTTGGGCTGGCGCTTTGGATGGCCTCAGCCACATTTTCTCTTTTTTTCCTATTTTATTTTTTGAGAAACAGGTCTTGCTATATTGTCCAGGCTGGTCTCAAACTCCTGGACTCAAGCAGTTCTCCTGCCTCAGCTCCAAGTTGCTGGGCTTACAGGTGTGAGCAAGTGCAACTGCTCAGCTGCATTTCCTTGATGTGCTTGTAGAATACCTCCTGCTTCCCCAGCATCCAGTTTGCTCCCTCCCTGCCTCTTCCAACTTAACCCTCACTCCATCGCATCTACAGCTCTCCTTACCCCAGCCCTGGTCCTCTTCTCTGCTCCCAGCCCCCCGGGTCAGGAATGTATGTTAGTATCAGAAACTGGCCAGAGCTCATCCTCTTGTCCTCACTGTAGAGCTGCTCCCAGTGGAATGGCTGAGTCCCAACCTCCACCATAGCTGCGGCTGGATAGCCCAGGGTGTGAGCCCTGGGCTGGGGCCAGGAGGGGTAGAGGTCACCTTCAGCCTTCCGACAATGACATCTTGTTACAGGAATGGCTTGAGGCTTCCAAATTCACATCCTCTGGTTTGCACAAACAGGCCAGGCAGCTGCACCTCTGAGCTGCCTCCAGTCCATGGTTAATTGCCAGAAAATAATTCGCCCTGAGGTCATTGCCGTTTAAACAGCTGGCTTCGTCTTTTCCTGTTTGGCCGGTCGTTCTGGGCTCCCTGGCCCTCCCTCCACCTGCTTCTGTGATCCTCTCAAACACAGCCGGCTGGGAGCCTCAGGCTGGGCTCTTCTCCCTCCAGCTTAACTTGGCGACGTCTTGATCCTTGTGTTGTGCTGATGCGAGGCTGTTCTGGGAATAGGCTAGTCCCTCCACCTTGTCGTGACCTGCCTGGACACCGAGCCTCCACCATCAGGCTATCACTTGCAGGAAATTTTGCAAACCCTGTGTCTCTCTAATCATACAGGATGGTTGGAGAGACAAAAGAGGAAAATGAATGCTTCCACGAAGCTCCCTCTTTGTGGCAGAATCAGTCCAATGGAGAAATTCTGAAATTCCAGTTTTACAAAGTTCTTCAAACTTACCTCAAGGATGGCACCAGCTGAAGCTCAGTTGCCCTGTCTCTTATGCACCAGTGCATCTGCCCCAGAAACTCTTATCTGGGGCTCAGTTTGCCCCCATGTGGTATAAGTCCCTCCAAAGATTCCATTTCTAGTTACTCGTCTCAATGTCACAATGAGAAATATTTCTGCATATTTCCTGCAAAGCGTCTCATTAAAGAAAGTATTGGTTTGATTCAGAAAATGCTATGCTGTTCCAGCTTCACTTTGGATCTATAGTTTTAGAAAGTATCCAACTCTGCTTCTAGTTTAAGCTGCCCTGTTAAAGAGTTAATGGAAAAAACCCCACTATGGTATGAGGAAGGGGTGGGAATTAACGTTTGGGTCCCATTCTGTGCCTAAAACACTGGTTCCCTCTATGTTTTGAGCCTGAAATTGAGTCGTTCTTATGGAAGGCAGATGCTAGAGGAGCTTTCTTTGGGATTCTCATTACCCGTTTCCATCAGACCAGGCCATTAGATGGTTGCTTCTAGAAGGATGGTGCAGCCCTGAGTCTGCAGGGGGCAGACCGGTCACAAAAACCAGAGTGGAGCTGGGGGTCAGACTGGAGTTCATTGGGTAGGTTCAGTTCACACCCTGGTGCACAGGGTCCACGAAGGCACAACAAGGCACAGGTGAGAGCCAGGAGGGCAAGCAGGGATCCAAGTGTACACAGCCCAGGGAGCAAGACAAGCAGAGAGGCCTGGAGCCAGAAGGAGGCTCGGAAACAACGATGCCAGCAGTGAGCTCACGGGTCAGAAGCTTCTGGCCCAAGGCTTTATGGAGGCCATGCCTGAGCTGAATATTGGTGGCTGAGCAGCCAATAAACGGAACACAGATGGGGCCAGGGCAGGGAATTCCAGGCAGGAGGAACAGCCAGAGAGCAAAGGCAGGGAGGCTGGAAGCTTTGCTGTGTGAGGATCTGTGTACACACAGGGAATGCTTCACAGGCTGTAGAGACAGTGACTAGCTTCTGAGATCAGAGTAGGCTGGGCTGAGTAATGGGAAGGGTGGAGGGGGCAGAGACCCACATTACAGCCCGTGGCCCTGAACCCAGGACAAGCCACGGGGGTGGAGGAGCAGGCAGGAGATGCTCCACCACTGCTGGCAAGGAGCAGGGCAGCCTGCCCAAGGGGGTACTGCCTGGAGCATCACTGACTTACCCCATCTGCTGGCGAGGATACAGAAGCTCAGCCCACAGGGCCACCATGGATGGCCCTAAAGGTTGTGTCCTATGCAAGGGGACCACAGAAGGCTGGTGCCCTGGACAGTTGGCAAGAGGCTGAGCGCAGGGCAGTGAGGGATGCTCGTGTGCCTGGGGAAAGCTTCCCTGGGCTTCCCTTTTTTTTCTCCATCTTCACCCTCTCACCCCTCACCCCTCCTGACACCCTGTCCCTTGGGGGAGCACCTAACACCCCTGTGTCCACCTGAACCACACCAGCCCTAACGTGCTGAATCCCCGCTAAATGAGCCCAGTGCTCATCCATCCATCCGCGCATCCGTTGTTCAGTGGGGAAAGTAGCACGTAGCAGGTCCGAGCACAGGCTCTGCAGCCAGAATTCCTGGGTTCCATGCCTCACCCAGCCACGTATTTGCTGTGTGACCTCAGGCAAGCTACTTAGCTTCTCCACGCACGTGTGCTCATCTAGAAAACGAGGCTGATGCTCGTGCCCACGTGGCAATGTGATGAGTAATGCTAGTACTCATCTCTGAGGGTGGATGGGAGAGACACGCAAAGTGTTTGCAAGGGGGCCGGCACCTGGGAGCACTCATACATGTTGGCTGTCACTGTCATGGAGCACCACCGTGTGCCGGGCTCTGCTTGGTGCTCCTGGGCTGCTCACATGAGCAAGGTGCTGACTCTGCCAAGGAAGGGTGCTTTTTTTTTCTTTTGGAGAAAGAAAAGGGATGCTTTCTGCTGCTCCCGCCCTGAAAACACTGCGTGCCCCTCTGCTCTTCTCCTACTAGGCTTGAGAAGCAAGACCAGCACACCCTGAGTTGGGGTGTTGCCTCCTAAGCCACTGGCCAGCAATTCTGGGGGGGGGGGTGGGGACGCTGAAGAGAATGCGGGGCTCTGCTGGTGCAGCATGGACCCTCCTTGGTCTGGTGAGCTGGGAGAAGCAGGACAGCATGGGGTCCAGTGATACTAACCGTGTGGAAATAGAACTCCTCCAGATTACAGGGCACCTGAGAATTTCTTACTGACTTTTGTTTAATAATTCAAAAACACATCAAATCAAACTTAATCAAGGCAAAAGCTGTCTCTGGAGCCTTCTTCGTGCTTCCTGGAGTCAAGCTCTTACAGAATCACGGCAGCACCCCCCTCCCTAGCTCACGAAGGAAGCTGGAGGACTCCACAGCTGCTTCAGGAAACAGACTGTCCCCAGGGAACCCTTCAGAGATCTTGGGACCAGACAGGATGTACCTGGACTCCTGGAATTCCCTCTCCAGCCTCCAGGTCCCGTGAGGATGTGAGCTGGAGCAGTACGGGCTTCCCTGATCCTTCCTGTGTCCAGGTGAGCAGCCTCCTGCCACAGAGCTGCCCTCCCAGGCAGGCACAGCGCACAAGGCCGTGCATGCTTCTGTCCGTGTTCCGTTCCTGGCTCCTCGGATCTTCCATTTGTGCCTCCCGTAGTGTATAGGGGCACATAAACAAATCAAGTCCCAGCGTCAGCTGTCAATGTGTGGCCCAGGGTTTCTCAACCTCGGCGCTACCGACATTTGGGGCCTGATGATTCTTTGCCGCAGGGGACTGCCCCATGCGCTGTAGGGCGCTCAGCAGCATCCCTGGTCTCTACCCACTGGTAATACTCCTTCCCCAGCTAATGACAACAGCAAAAGTCTCCAGACATTGCCAAATGTCCCCTGAGGGCCAAATCCAGCCAGGTTGAGAAGCACTGGTATAAATTTAACTAAGGTAATTGTTCTATGGTACTCTCGGAAGTACCAGAAAAAGATGAAACTACTGCCCTCAGTGTGGGGCTGGCACGCTCCCACGGGTTCCTGCTGCCTCCCAGGTGTGCTTTGTAAGACAGCGCACGCCCACACCTTAATCAGGGGATGTTCACCAAGCATGCCTCTACACTGAGCATGCACCAGGCACCGTGGAGGAGTGTGCTGGTCCCCATGCCCAGAAGCTCACAGTCATTCTGGGGGGACAGTGGTAACACCTGAAACAAAAGCAACTGATACAGGGCAGTGGGGGAAGTTGTGCCGTTCATCCAGTGGAGACCTACACCCAGGAATCATGCAGCAGGCATGCGGAGGGACACGGAGGCGGAGCCCCGCCTAGCTGAGGAGAGAAGGGGCAAAGCAGAAAGTGCTGGTGTCAGGAGACAGCAGATGACACGCTGCAGGCATTGGAGGGCAGGGAGTAGCCATCGCTGCTACCTGGCATGGCTTAGTGGAGCCATGACTGAGCTGAGCTGGGTATTGAAGGACAAGGAGGCACCGGCTTTCCAGGCAGTTGGGGACGGAGAGAGCAAAGGCCTGAAGGCTAGATGCCTGGCCTGCATGAAAGGAGCTTCATAAAGCAACACGAGGGATGTTTCTCCGCTTTGCAGACAGCCAACATGTGCCGCGGGAGCCCTGAGATGATTCCGATGCACGGAGGGAGCCGGGAAACGCTGGGTAAATGCAGGGTAGCGGGGCAAAGGTGGATTTGTTGGCATCTGTGCTGTCACACAGCTAAAGGCCCAACAGCCCGGCCCACTGCCCGGGAGTTCTAGCCAGCCTCAGTGCGGGATCCAGATGAGCAGGGCTCTTGGCCTGCTTCCTGGGGCTGTCACACCAGGAGCCGTGACTCAGGGCCTCCCCCACCCAGGTGAGTCACACACCTGCAGCCCTCCCGCTGCGGAAGCTGCTGCCTGGAGCCAGCAGCTGGGGCCACCCAGCCTCAGTCCCTTGAAGTCCCAGGCCAGCCCCTCGCTCCCCTCCCAGGTGTCCTTACATGCTGGAGCCCCTTACTCGGGAGGCTGTCCCCACACCCCTCACCCCTGCCCAGCACTCGCCCCCCCCTCCTCCTCACCCCTCCAGCAGGTCGGTAGCCTGTGTGATGCCTCTGACCGGACTTTGCAGCACTGGCGGGTGCTAACAGCCTGCCATTAAACTTAAGCGGTGAGGTTGTGTCTCTCCCTTCCCATCCTCCCTGTTCCCCACCCTGTCTTGAATAGCAACCAGGGCAGGGACTCCCAGGGGAGCAGCGTGACGCTGCCACCTCTTCAGGACTATCTTCTGGGCCTGACTCCCAGCCCATGGTGGTAATAGAAGGAAGGTGGTGAGATGCCAGGATGCAGCCCTCCCTGCTGCCAGCGGCCTGGGTCTCCCGTTCAGTTACAGACGCTGCAGCACCTCACTCCCTCTAGGTTCTGGGCGGCAGCAGGGAGTCGGCCTGTGCACCACAGTGGGAGGGGAGGGCAATTTGGAGCCAGCGGGAAAGGCACCCATGTCAGAGAGGAGCTGTGGGGCCCAGCAGTGCGGGGGTCTGGGAGAGCCCCTGGGTGCGGGTGGAAGCAGCCACACTCTGTCTGATGGGCCAGGCGGCTCCCAGGAGGGTGAGTGCTGGGCTGCACCAACCGCACCTGCCACTGGCTGACAAGGACCACACACCTCATGCTATGGGACCTCAACTTCAGGGAAGTCAGGAGGCAGGGCAGACCACTGAAGCCTGTCCCTCCCACCACTTCCCTGTTGGGTGCCCCCATCCACTTGGGGTGGGCAGAACCGGCAGTAGACATCTTCCCCATCTGCTGATGAGGACAGGGAGGCACAGCCCACAGTCAGGGCCACCGTGGATGGCCCTAAACGTTGCGTCCTATGCAAGGGGACCAGAGAAGGCTGAAATGCGGGCCACTCGACTCTTTCTGAGCCACATTTTTTCTCATTGGAGCACATTTTTCTAATTTACACCAAGGCACTAGCAGCCACCCGACTGGAGTCAGCAGATGGTGGAGACTAGACCCAAGGCCAGTTCATGGGCATCTCTGCCAGCCTCCCTTGGCATTCAGGCCCTACTTTTCAGGGGCTCCCCCAGCAGAGGAACCATCCACAAACCCTCGTCAGCCTCCTGCCTCAGCTTCCTGGGGATACCACTCAATACCACCCACAGACCCAGGCAAGCGGGGCCTTTGCCTGGGCCGCACTCAGCCCTCCTTCCTCCACACCTCTCCCCATGGAGCGGAAAGTCTGTGGGGCTGAGAGATGTCCCTTTGTGGAACCTGCGGCTCCCTTTCCCCACTTCTAGACCTCCTCCCAGGAACCCAGGAGCTTGGAATCCTCTGTCCATTCAGCCTATGCATGCAGCATCTGCACAGGTGTCCTGGAGCTGACGGGACCCCTGGGACGTGCCCCTCTCACCTGTACCCACACAGCACCACACCCAGCCCTCTCCACGGGCTCGGCTAAGGGGCATCTCCCCCTGGGGGAGGGCGGACAGGAGGCCTTTCCTGGTGCAGCATAGAGCCTGGGGTAGAAAAGGAGTGAGGTAGGGACCTGTTTCATAGGCTTTGCCTCAGGCCCTCAAGTGATGGGGGCAGGCCTGACACCGTTATTCCGAGACGGAAAATTCCCCCGCTATCCCCACTGTTGGCCAGCTCCAACGCTGGGAGACAACAAATACGGCGCAGTAAACTTGGAGCAGGGGGCGAGTAACTCGCTTCATTTAAAAGCCTTATTCTTGGGCTGAGGCTCTTTCCCTGTATGAAGAAATGTCCCCTCTCCTTGTGTTCCTTAAGCCCTGCTCATACCAGGCTCCTTGCCGAATGGTGCAGGAGGTGATTGGATAAGCCCCATGGGCCCCTGCACTGGCCTTGCCTCTGAAACTGGCCACAGCCCCAGTCCATCCTAAGGAGCCCCCCACCCCCAACTGTCTCCCTCCAGCCCACCCTCCTTTCCCTGCTGGGTGAGCCCTAGAGCGTCAGGTGTCACCCATAGCCTGGGCCTTCCCTAGAACCCAGCCATCCCAGTGACTATGGGCAGCTACCCTGCTGTGGCCAGAGGGGTGGGCAGTGCCCAGGGGCAGCTCGGGGGGAGGTGCTCATGAGTGCGGCTGAACTCCCCCAGGGCACGGCCAATTTCCATCAACAGTCCTCCCCCGTCTTCTCTCCTCCCTTCTCTTCCCTTGTTCCTGCCCAGTGCTCCTCGGTTGCCTGAACTTATCTGGCTTCATCCCCCTCTCCCTGCCCCCTCCAGCCCAAGTGGGACTGACATGCGTTTCAGACCTGTTGGCTGCTGCAAGAACACGCCAGGGTCAGGGTGGAGCACGAGCCTCCCTGAGGTGGAAAGCCAGCTGGGAATGAGGAGGGTCACACCTTCCCTGCGTGTGTGCATGGCCAGGAAGTCAGGCAGTGGCTGCAGCGGGGCCATAAAGCAAGAAGGGCAACCCCAAGCCTAGAGGTGGCCAGGCAGCGGTGAGAGGAACTGAGAACCCCTGCGGGGCCACGCAGGACAGGGAATGGGCATCGGGGCTGGAAGAGGACACACGAATCACCTTTCTGATTTCTGCCTTTGCTTTTTCCTGAGCCTTGGTTGCTGCTGCCCAGCCCTGCACTCCAGCCATGTGGGCGCACTCTGCTCCCTGAACACAAGTGCCCCATGCTTTCCTCAGGCTCCAGGCTTTGTACGTGCGCTCCCGTCTGCCTGGAATGCACTTCCCTCCTTCTTCGCTTGGCTAATGCCTGCTTGTCCTTAGAGATGCCCCTCAGGTGTCACCGCCTCCAGGAAGCCTTCTCTGACTGCCCTCCCCGCCAGGAGCCTCCCATCATTTCTAGGGCTTAACCCACAGTTACACTGATAGCAATTACATTGATTGTAATCACTCACCTGTCCTCCCCACCATTAATAACTTTGAGGACAATAGTTGTCTTACGCTACTTGGCACCTGGCATACAGCAGGTATTTATACATATTGGATGGGTAGGTGGATTACTGAATTGCTGCCAGTCCAATGAGCAAAGGGATGAGTAGGAAACTCGCTGCCAGCAGCCAGCAAGGCTGGGATGTCCAGAGCTGCTGGCGAGAGAAGGTAGATGGCACAGGTGATGGGGGTCCCTAGCAGCTATCTCTACCACCCCCACCACGTTGGGGAAACATCGGTCATAGGCGTGTCCTGATCCCTGGTGGTGACCCTCTTCTCTCCTTGCTCCTAGTATTTCTGCCTGTCACTTATTATCTGGTTGAGCTGGTGGCGGGAGTCCCGGCCCATGTGTGTTACCAGAGGGTGAGTGGATGCTTCCTCCTCCTCCATTCTCTGTCTGTGTCCCGATGAAGCCATGCGCGGGGATAAGGGGGGTGCATGGTGATGGGGGAAGCTGCGGCAGGCACAGGGGTGGTCCCGCTTTCCACCCTGGCAATCTTCCACACATCTGGATCCCAGCTGCTGGCCCTGGCTTCAGCAATTCCCTGACTCCACTGATGCTGATGTCTTCTGCATGGGAGTTGGGGAGGGGGGCTTCCCGTGGGAGCTTAGGTCATCCCTCTCCCCTTTCAAGGATGGTCTAGAGAATGAATCCATCTGTCAGAGGCATCCAAGAAGAAAGGCCTGGGCCAGGATCACATGGAAGACCCTGAAGACAGGATCGGGTCTTGCCTGCCTGGATTGAACAGAGACGCAGTGACCAGTCCCATCTGCTCCCACCCTGCTGCCCTCTGAATCGAGAGTTTGAGGCCATGACCAGGGTAACGTTCAGCTGGTAGAGACAACACAACCCTGCTGGCTGTTTAAGCCATGCTGGAGTGGTGCTCACAGGGTAACAATTGTAAGTATTTTGAATATCACCTCTTAATCAAAATTAAGATCAATAGACATTTCAGTTTCTGGTGTCTAGCCTCACCTCCGCCTCCCACCACCTCTGGCTGCCACCCTTTACCTGAGCCTCCCAGCCTCCCTCAGCTCTGCCCAGTGCACCTGCGCCCTGAATCAGGGCCCAGCTTCTGTAACCTCCTCTTTATGGCCATCTTCTGCCCTGTTTCCCACTGATAGTCATCGCACCATCCACAGGCCACAGTGCTCTAGAGTTAGCTGGGGAGGCCTGGCAGCAGGCCTGGGTGGTAGGCAAGGGTGGGGTGGTCCCGCTGATGCCATCTTATCACTCCTCAGCTGAGTGATGAACAGAAGCAGCACTTGAGCCAGACTCTGACCAAGAACTGCGGGCAGGCTAGAGCCACACAGATCCCCGCCTCAGTAGACCGGCTGCAGCAGGAGGTACACCATGCCCTATGGCCTTGAAGGCCAAGCAGACACAGGTTCAAATCCTGACTCTCTTCTTTCCTGTCTGTGTGGCCCTGGCAAGTTACTTACCCTCTCTGAGCCTCGGTTGCCACATCCCTAAAATGAAGCCTCTTTAGGGTATGTGAGCATTAAATTCGGTCACACCTGTAAAGTCCCTACCACCGTGAGAAGTGCCTGCTGAAGCCTGGTTCCTCTCCCTCCCTCTCCTTGACTCCCTCCTCCAAACCCACCCCTGCTGTCTTCCCGTTCTGGGTCCTGGTGGGCAGGAAGCTGGCAGTACCAGGAGAACTCCATCTCCTGCCAGGATCTGGGCCAGGAAGCCTCTCTCCGGGTTTCTCCTGTCTGTAAGGCTGCCTTCCTTCTTCCCTGGGGAGCGGGGAGCTGAAGCCCCATAAAAGGGAGCGCTACCCGACGGGGGTATTTCAGCTAAGCCACCAACAGAACTCCCCAGTTGTGAGCCAGCAGGCAGGATGCTGAGGGACAGAAAGGTGGTCTCCTTTCCAAGAAAAGATGCGGCAGATCCCTCCAGCGAGGCCCACCATCCTGCCAGACATAGGGGGCGGGCAGTGGACCTCAGAGCTGTGCTGTCCAATACGGCAGCCACCGCCCACATGTGGCTATTTACAGTTAAATTAAACAAAATCCAGTTCCTTGCTCGCACCAACCACATTTCAGGCACTCAGGAGCCCCAGATGGTGAGTGAACGCGGAGCTGGGCAGCACAGATGCAGGACGCTGCCTCCATCGCAGAAAGTTCTCCTGGACGCCACTGTTCCAGATCCTGATGGGTTTGTGTCAGAAAATCCAAGTCTGCTCTACCCACCTGCTCTGGTCCCCCTCTCTCTGCCACCCCACTCCCCACCCTCACCCCCTGGGCCTGGGGCCTTGGTCTTGGCCCAGGGAACGTCAGGCAAGTGGAAGACATAGACGTCATGAGCTCCAAGATCCAGGGGCATCATGGCTCAGTGCGGAAGCCCTCACCCCATCTCCCCAAGACTCAGGCTCAGCTCCCAGTTGGCAGAGGGGTCTCTTTTCTGAAATAGTGGCCTAGGGCACACGTGTATACACAGGTGCACACCCACAGGCACACGTGTACCCCACAGACTTAGCCCTGGACTGGGATGGGGCAGCACACACCACTGGTCAGCCCTGTGCAAGACTAAGTGTGCAGTCACTGGGCCGCGCCTGTGAGGACCTGGGCGAGACAAGAATAGGACAGAATCCCACCCGCGGGCTCGCTCAGAAAGCCAGACACACAGCAGGCAACGTGCAGACAGTGTGAGGCTGGGGCACCCCCAGAATAGGGAGCAGGGGAGGGGGGGAGGGCTCCGTGGGGCAGGGGCAGGGTTTGCTTAGGTGGAGGGGTGGGAGTGGCACGAGGAAAGGTACCGCTAAGAGCAGAGGCGGTGTCACCGACCAAGACCTGCAGGGCACCAGTGCACGCGAACGCAGGCCCTCACACAGGCCGGGAACAGTTAGAACCCCAACCTGCATCTCAGGCAGGAGACCGACCCCCAGAAAGCAGTGGCTGCAGAGCCAGGGCTAGCGTCAGGCCTCCCAGCAGCACCCCATGGATGTAAATGACACGGGCACGCGCACCTGCATTCACACGACGATGATCACAAAAGTGTCTCTCATTAACTGCGGGTGCTGCGCCAGGCTCTCTTCTAATTGCTTTCCATGAATCACCTCTTTCAGTCCGCACGATGGCCCAGGGCGCAGGTCCTTTTGTTGGCCCCATTTTACAAGCAAGTGGCCCAGCAGTCGTGCGGCGCCAGCACACACAGACAGAGACACAGGGATGTGTGAGGCCGCGTGACTCCCTGCCCTCGCTGCGCCAGTCCCTGCCCTGTCTGCTGCAGTTATGTTCGGCCAGGACGCCCAGCACCCCCGTCCATCCCTGTGGACGTTTCCTAGCCCTGGACAGAGGATTCACCCCTTCCTTCTCTGGGGTTCACACACAAGCTTCCATTGTCTTCTACTAAACTACAGTAAATGCTACACTACTTCAGGGCAGGACTGGTGCCTGACTCATGTTTGTTCACTCCAGGCACATGGCAAACCTAGCAAAACGCTGGTAGCTGAACTAATGAACTAATACCGCTCCGCCCACCCAGCCCCATTCCCACACCAGAGACAGCCTCCCAGCCGCTGTGTTCTGTGGCCCGTGTAGGGACTTGGAGTCTCAGGGCCCTGACTCAGAAGGGCAGGAAGTGGCCTGAGTCCGCTGCCTTTGAATTGCTTTCCACCCTGGCTGGCACTTTCCTGCCCTGGAGTGGTGCCGACGACCCCGGGCCTCACTCAGCATTCACACCGGCCCCTCTGGCCAACACTGACCTGCCCACACCGTGGACTCTGGGACACCCTTTGTGTCCCTGCATGTCTGGGGCTCTGAGGTTTCACCTGGGAACCCCTGGCAAGGCTGGTCCCTGTCCCCGTGTCCTGCCTCCTGGATGACCAGGGCCTCCTTGCCCCTTGTGGCTTGTCACCAGCCTGCGTTCTGTCAGGCAGCAGTACACAGCCCCCCTCTCTGGGGACCCCCCCCTCCATCTTGCCCACCTCACAGACCTACCCTGCCCCCAGGACACCCAGCATAATCTCCTTAAAGGACCTGGGTGACTGCAGGTAGCAGATAGGTGTCCTGCGGGCAGTGCTGGCCCCCAGAGACCAGCTCTCTGCTCAAACAGGGAAGGCAGAAATCGCAGGGAGAGCAAAGAGGGGTTGGGTATTTGAATCCTGTGTCGTCGGCCCTGGAACCCCACACAGGCTTCTCACCTCCAGCCTCTGCCTCCCCCTGCAGTTCAAGTGCTACGGATGCAATAGCTCAGCGACTGGCAGCGCAGCACGTACCTGCTGTCGTGGGAGGTGAGAGCCACCAGTGCCCGACAGCGGCTGCAAGGCAGTGGTGGCGCTCTGCAGCCAGCCGGCCCACCCCTCCAACATCTGCAAGGGGGTGGTAAGTGCCCCAGCGCAAGCTGGGGACAAGGAAAGGGCCCCAGCCTGGCCTCCAGGAGCCCCCAAAGGGCTGGGGTCAGGCAGATGGGTGTGGGAATAGCAGAGCACACATGATTCTTGGCCATGAGCCCACAGTGCCAGGCCCCTCAGACGCTCTACAAAGCCCTGGGACAAGCAGCTCCTGCTGAGAGAGTCCAGGGCACCATGGCATGCTCCTGGGGCCACCCACGAAACCTGTGAGCCACTCAAGGCCAGGTCCAGCCCATGAGTCCTCTGGTCCACCCTCTGCCTCTGCCATATGCACCGGGACGGCCAGCCCTTCCTCCCCACCTGTGCCTGCTTCTGAGCCAAAGCCATGACACCTGCCCTTCCCTTGCAGGGAGGCTGCCTCACCAAGCTACCTGCTACTCATGGGGGCGATGGGCATCAGGGTGGCCTGCCTGGAGGTGAGTTGCAGTTGGGAGATTAGGAGGAAGGTATGTTGCAGTTGGGAGATTAGGAGGAAATACTCACTCGGGATATTAAACTAGGCTCTGAACCCGTCTCCAGCGGCAGATATCTCCAGTAACTGGGCTGGCATGTCCGTGCCCTGCGCTGCTCTCTTCTCTCAGCTTCCCTTTGCAACCAAGGCTGATTCCCACAGTCAGTCTCTCCCCCAGAGAACATGAAGGAAGATGCCTGAGGGACAACATTAACTTGTCAGGAACAGGGGCCTGGGAGGAGTGTGGATGTGGGCTCAGGTACGGGCATGCACCTTGAGTGTGTGCATGTGGGGGTCAGTGTGCAAGCCTGCCGTGGTGTGTGTGGGTCCGTGGGGGTCCCCATGTTCCCGGGTCTATGTGGGTGGGGTGGTATGCACTGTGTGTGTTTAGGGTGCTTGTGCATGTGTGAGTGTGTACATATCTGCATTCATTCCTGTGTGTGTCTGCGTCTGTGTCTGTGTGTGTGTGTCTGTGTCTGTGGGTGTGTGTGTGTGTGTGTGTGGGTGTGTGTGTGTGTGTGTACCATCAGCCCTCCATATCCACAGGTTCTGTATCCTTGGATTCAACCAACCATGGAATAAAAGTACTAACAAAAAGGATGGTTATGTCTGCACTGAACATCCTTGTCATTACCCCCTAAACAATACAGCGTGACAACGATTTACATAGCATGTGGATTGTATTAGGAATTACAAGTAATCTAGAGATGATTTAAAGAATGTGGGAGGATGTGCAGACGTCACATGCAAATACTGCACCATTTTATATCAGGGACTTGAGCATCAGTGGATTTTGGAATCCAGAACAACTGTATATAAGTGCGCGTGTGCGTGTGTGTGCGTGCGCGTGCGTGTGCGTGTGCTTGTGCACACACATTCCCCTGTGTACATCCAGCTCTCTCCCTGAGGATAAGCAATGCCCTTGGCTCCCATTTCTCCCTTCCACCCAGTCCCCCTGCTGCCACCCAGGAAGTCAAGGTCACTCTCTCAGGCTGCTGTAGTCAAGGGTCCAAGGGAGGGGAGCCAGGAAGGAATCCTCAGAGGTGAGAGCCCCCGCAAGTGTAGGCTGTCCTTCTAGAAGGGGCCCAGCAGTCCTGCTGTCCTACCCAGCCCTTCCCCGTCCAGTGCTATGAGCACCGTCTAGGGAAGAGGAAGAGTAGTGCTTAGGCCTCAGAAGACCTGAGTCCAGTCCTGGCTTTGCTCCTGTGTGACCTCGAGCTACTTAACTTCCCTATCCCTCAACCCTTCATCTGCAAAATGTGAATAATTTCTTCAACCTCCTAAGGTCTAAATAAGAATAAGGTGATGCCTGTGACCCACTTACAGCACATGGCACAAATGAAAGCCTCCGTAAGCCTTTATCCAGCTGTCCGCAGACTTCAGAGGATTTCCGATACTTCCTCTCACTGGGTCCATACAACAACCTGAGACCCAGGCCAGACAACGAGTAGCGTTCTCACTTTACAGATCAGAAAGTTGAGACCCAGAGAGGCAACTTGCCCAGGGTCTCACCCCCTGAAATGGCGCCCCGATCTCCTGATATTGGCCCTTCGCTTTCGCAAACTCCCTACCCCGACTCAGAGGTCTGTGGGAAAGAGAAGCAAGGGATGGTGGCCTTGGCTGGCTTGGAGAGACTCCCAGCATAGGGTCCTTTCAGATGATGGTGCCAGCTACCCACATGGTCTGTGGGCCTGGAGGGTCCAGCTACAGCCTAACATGCTGGGAGGAGGGTCTCTAGCCTTTGGAGGGACACTCACCTTGGTTCTGCCACCTGCAAGTTGTGTGACCTAGGGCCATTTATTTCATCTCTGAGCCTCAGTCACTGATTTGTGAAATGGGGCTGACCGGACCTCATCTGGTAGCTGGTGATGGGAATTAGCAACACCCATGGAAGTGTCTGGCTCACTGCTGAGCAGATAGCAGGTGCTCAACATGTGACACCATCATTTGTATTCTCTCTGCAAGGGCACACTGTCTCTCAAAAAAAAAAAAAAAAAAAAAAAAGCCCCAGTTTCTCCCTGGCCAGACCAGCCTGCTCCCCTTCATCCTCACTCACCTGCAGGGCCAGGGAGCCCAGGTGGCGTTAGCATTGCCGCTCTTTTGCACCTCCCCAGGGCAGGTCTTCTGTCCCATGTGCTGAACCCCAGAGGAGTCACCACTGGGAACTGGGGCAGGGCTGCTCTGTGCCACTGCACCAGGCTCAGCTGAGGTTTCCAGAAATCTGTGACTCCCCGTGCAGAGGGGGCCTGCTCTGTATGGACTCCGACCAAGCCTGGCCCACTCTGTCTATTTCTTCCTGACCTCTCCAGCCCCGAGAGCACATAGAAGCTGCCAGATGAGGGCAGTGAGGCCGAGGGCCGGCAGTAGGGCTGCAGATGCCCTGAGCCCTAAGGTCAAGGTGGATGGAACTGCTGTGTAAGTCTGATGCCGAGGAGACCAGGTCGTTGGGCTTTCAGGTGAGTGGACGCTTTCTCCCCACTCACAACCCCCACCATGCAGTCTCTGCTCCTCCATGGTCACTGTGGAATGGCTCCTGATGGCGCTCAACCCCTTGCCCTGTTTTCTCCCCTGCGGTCCACTGAGCCAGCCCTGCGGCCGCCAAGTCTCAGGTTAGAGCTCCCTCTCGCGGCCGATGCTGGGCACTACATTGCCCAAGACCCAGGTGGGCCGAAGTCTTGAGAAAGGGCTCGCAGTCATCGTCGCCAGCAGGCAGACACCAGGCACCTACCTCCCCGACATACCCAGCCTGGTACCTCGAAGACCAGTAGCCTTGAGCTACACTTGGGATTCCCAATACAGTTTCAAAACCGTCTAGCTCATCTTTCAGGAACCTTCCAGGGTTCACATTCTGATTTTTCAGTAAGGTTCTCACCTCTGTGACCAATTACCTTGAGACTGATGTCCTGCACCATCCTGGAGTGTTGGGATCTGCAGGTCGTGAAAAGGGAAACCAAGCAATCACTTTGGAATGACTTCCTGGAACTTCCCTGGCCCCTCCTTCGTGTTCTCTGATGACAGCCAGGAGCTGACTCAGAAACCTCATAAGAAGCTGAAGGCATGACGACTTCCCTGTTAAAAAAAAAATGTCCCACGTGTGGCCGAGTGCCACACCCAGGCAGCTGCCGAAAAAAAGCACCAGACACCATGCAGCTGGGCCCCAGGGCCCGGCCCAACCCGGTTGGCCTTCTCCGGCACCTGCAGGGAACTTGTCCTGTCTTGTCTCTGCTCGCCCCCTGCTGGCTGCCTGGAGCCATTCCGTGCTGGTTTCTTCGCGTCTTCTGTCAGGAGAGAGATGCTGATGCTTACTCAGGGATCCGGCGGGTCAGTATCCTGTGCCCTCTGCACGATTCAGGGTGGGGGTGTGCGCGTGTGTGTGTGCATGTGGACCCACATTGATGAGTCTGGCCCATACACCTCCACCCTTATTGGACCTCTCCTGGGAGCACCCTGGGAACACACATCTCATGCAGAAGTGTGTCTCTTGAGAGCCTAGCTCCTCCTGTCCTCCCCCAGCATCAGATGTACACTGTACGAGACGTGAATTTTGCTTACAGCACAAATCTGTGCTGGCCTAACAGCTCCCTTCTGGCCTCCCCCTTAGCATGGATCAGAAAGATCCAGAAAGTGCACAGGAAAATCATCAACCCATGAGGTGGGGACAGGGGAAGAGGGCATGCCGCATAACACCTACGTGGGTGGAGGGGCTGTGACAGCCACTTGCTTAAGCTGGTGGGACATGAAATAACCTCCTAAGCCACATTTCAGCTGTGACCCTGAGGCCCCGAGGTGGATTAACAGAGCCCTCAGCACCGAGTCTCCAAGCTGAAGGCAGTGGTCACACTCCCTGCTGCCCTCCAGGTTTGGAGGGATGGAGAGGAGAGAGGAGGGGAAGAAGCTACCTTCTTCACTAGCCTTGCTGAGAGACAAGTGGGTACGGCCCACAGGCACCTCCACCAGCCTGCCCTCTACATCCAGATTCGCAAGGTCAGGGCGGCAGCAGCAGCTGGAAACATTGGGGAAAGTCGGGGTGTTGTTTCTATACTTAGGGGAATCTACTGTCACCCCAGGTGGCACGGGACATTCACGGGGCTGCTCTAGCCCAGTGCCCCTCTCCTGCAGACAGAGTCGAGACCTGACAACAGGTCATCATCATTATCAGGATCATGATGACATTATCCCAGTGCATCCTTGAGTGGGAGGGAGGAGAGGAAGAAGAAGGTGGCGGGGGGCAGGGGGTGTCCATGAAGAGCAAGGTGGGAGAATAAAGGTCCTCTGTGTTTTAGAAATGGGAAGTGAGACGGGGCGGACAGCGACCTTCCCAAGCCTGCGCGTGCTTTGGGTAGGATGCTCCAGCCCCTTCCTGTTCGGCCCCTGGTTGCCGACAGAGGGGCTGGCAGGCGGGACTCCTGCGGCTGGGCTTGGCGCTGCCTTCTGTGCTCACTGTCAGAGCTGATGACAGCTCTAGGGGCTCCTCCCAGAGTCTCCGTTTCCCCCATGGCTCTTGCACATGGCAGAGCATCCATAACGGACCTGAGTTTTGTTCCGGAGTCTGAGGGCAGCAAAATACAGGCCGTTTCCCAGAGAAGAAGGCGGCTTCAGACAGCTCTGATGAGGGAGCAGAAATACTCACTCGGGATCTCATTAAACTAGGCCATTTCTGGAGAAGCCCTAGGACCACAGACCCACAGCATCGACGGGGAGCTTGTTAGGAACGAAGACCCTTAGGCCCCCACCCAGGCCTGCAAACTTGTAATAAGGGGGTCCCCGGGTGGTTTATGTCCATTAAAGTGTGTGACACCCTGCTCTTGGACAGTAGTTCTTGGAGTGCGGCTCCCCCACTTTCACGGGCATCACCTGGGAGCTTGTTAGAAGTGTGGAACCGCAGGCCCCACCCCAACCTAAGCGGGAAGCTGCCCTTTCTCCAGGCCCCAGGGGACTCACATGTGCACTGGGCATGAGCAGCACTGCTCCAGAGCCCTGATGGCTGACAGCCTCAGGGAGTTCTGATCTCTCTTTGCTCCTTTGCCCTCTCCACCTGCAGGATGGGTCTCATCTGCTGCTTGCACCGAGGCTCCAGCGACATTTTTACTCATGGTCAACTGCGTCCCCTGCCAACTGCCCTTCGAAGGACAGGCGCCACATCCACCTGCCAGGCCTGCAGCATTAGCACCAGCTCCACTAGGGCCACAGATGCCCCCTCCTCTGTGTCCAGCCCCTGCAAATGCACCAAGTGCCTTAGACCATGGCTCCCCACCTAGGCGGGGACCCTCAGCCCCCTCCCCTCCATTTCTGAGCCCTCACAGCCAGAGCCTTGGCAGGAGAAGGACCCTCACCAGGCACGGGGGTGCCGGGGACCACAGGAGGGTGATATTTGGGCCCTCTGCTCCCTCCCAGCTCCCAAACCTGGGACAAGGCTGAAAACCCGGGTCCCCTGGGATGCCTGCATTCTGGGCAGGATCCCCACCAGTGCTCAGAAGCCCTCGCTTTGCTGTCCCCTCTGGGAAATGCATGGGGTGGGACAGGTAGGAGTGGCTCTTCCCCTAGATGACCTAGCTAGCCCTTCAACCTGCCTACTCCCCACACTGCCTCACCTGGAAAGCCGTGTCCTGCTGGCCTCACTCCTTCCTGCAGGGCCTGGAGGTGGGGAGGCCAGAGGCAGGGCAGTCACAGGCTGGGTGGAGCTGCCAGGGCAGGGATGTGGGGTATGCTGGCCACACTAGCACATGCTGCACCAGGAGCAGAGCCCTGCACCCTGCCTAGTGGCTTTCCCAAGAGAAACCCCTCTGGGAGACCCTGGCTCCAAGCCCCGGCCTCTATAGTAATATGCCCCTCGGGGATCTCCTGGTCTGGGGCCTGATTCTCAGGAATGCCAGTGGGTTTTTTGTTTTTGTTTTTGAGGCAGGGTCTTGCTCTGTCATCCAGGCTGGAGGGTAGTGGCGTGACCAGGGCTCACTGCAGCCTTGACCTCCCAGGCTCAAGCGATCCTCCCAGCTCAGCCTGCTGACCAGCTGGGATGATAGGCAGGCACCACCACACCTGGCTAATTTTTTAAACTTTTTGTAGAGATGGGGTCTCCCTATGTTGCCCAGGCTGGCCTCAAATTCCTGGGCTCAAGCCATCCTCCCACCCTGGCCTCCTATAGTACTGGGGTTACAGATGTGAGCCACTTCGCCCAGCTGAGGCATGCCTGGTTTCAAAACTATCTTCAGCTCTTAATGTTGGTGGGTGTAAAACTCATCCCAGCGTGGACTAAATCACAGGCCCTGCAGAGTTGGAGGGCTGAGAAGGGGCAGCTCTGAATACAGGGGATCTGCCCGAACCTCACTTTTCCTGGGGCCCCTCTCCCCAACCCTGGGGCCACCACCGTGTTGCTTCCAGAGGGTCTCGCTCTCCTTCCCTTTTTCCGCCCGTCCCAGGCTGGATAGAGTCCCTTCCTTTGGTCCTGTCTTGCATCTGTCTTGAATTAGGCAGGGAGTTTTCAGGAAGAACTTTCCCAAATACTAAGGGAGAACAGAGAGGAAATCCTATGAAATACAGAGTATTCATGCTGGCAGTCTCATGAAGGGTAGGTATCAACTTTTGCGACAACCATAGGTACCCCCCTAAATGGCTATTACAAGTGGGCACCTTGAGCATAACACGGGAACCCCACGCCTGGCCTCCATACCTCCCAGGTCCTGCACTTCTCCCCAGAGGTGGGCCCTCTTCCCCCTAAAGCACAGCGCCTTGTGATGCGAAGGCCGAGGCTGGGAGAGGTCACACCTGGTCTCTCCACATGTTCCAGCTCCCAGCCTGCTGAGCACAGCCCTTGCTGACCTGGGCTGGCCCTGAGGAGGGGTGTGCTTGCTCCCGTACACAGGAGTGACCTGAAGGCCCCTCACTGTGGTCACAAACACAGCCCTAAACTGTCCAGAAACTGTATCCTCAGAGCGGGAAGTGCCCACGTGGACAGAGAGAAAGCCAGCCTCTCGGGGCAGATTGCCGCCTCTACTGTGAGGATTCTCCAGGGGCTACCGAGAGGCTGGGCTGGTTTATCTCCTCTGCCTAGAAAGGCCTGGGGTGGCCAATGTGAACTCATTAAAAGGAAAACCAGCTTTCCCAGAAATGACTGCTCCACGGCCAAGAGAAACAGTGTGACGTGATTATCCTTGCTGCCCTCCAAGCTGGGCTTCGTGCAGATCATCGAAAACTGATCGTGACTCCCCAGAGCTCTGAAGTGCTGCATATCAACTGACAAGACCTACAGACTGAGGGCTGAGAAAGAGGGAGCGTGCTGGGCCAGGGTCTTGTTCTTCCTGGTGGGGCACCAAGAGAGGCAGCAGTGGGTAGGAGGGCTATGGTTTGACCTGTCTGCCCTGGCAGGGATGGGAGACAAAGGTGGCAGCCCAGGAGAGCCTGCCCCGTCGGCCCCAGCCCCATGTGTTGGGTTGGGCCAGCCTGACTGGAGGCAGGATTAGCTGTGATTCCTGCACTGGCGGTTGTCCAGCCCAGATTTCCGTTGGGGAGATTGGCTGGTCCAAGCTGCAGAAAGTGGTAGGACAGCCCAGAGCTTCTTGGAAATACGACCTCCATGTCCAGGCCAGCAGCCTGGGAGATGAGACAGGGTTGGAGGAAACAGAGGCCCAAGACAGGGCAGGTTCTGCCTAGGAATGCACAATGGCTGGAGTCCAGAGCCCAGGATGCAGCCCCAGCTGGGTGTAGCCCTCCTGCTGCCCAGGGTGGAGATGGATGCCCAGGGCAGGTCCTCCCGGGCCCCTGCTTGGAGGCCAGCAGTCTTGAGTTCCTTGGAGAGAGAGGACATGCCTGTGGAAAGTCATCACCAGTCCTGTATAGGGCAAAAGCCTCCTGCCCACCAGGGCCTGGGCAGAGAAGCAACAGGTACTGGGATCCCACACAGCTCAGGCCAGCACGTCCACACCCTGCACACGCCATGCCACCATTCCCCAAGGGGCGGACACCAAGACAGAAGGGTACGTCCGTCCCTGTGTCCCCCGCATGACGAGTGTTGGTGGGAGGCAGGGAGTGGACAGGGATGGAACCTGGCCTTGGGGGAGGGGATGAAGTGTGTGTGCCCATTCCTCTCTTTCCCCCGCCACACTCCCCGACAGTCTAGCCTCAACCCCGGGAGCCCTCCAGGCAGGGCCACCTGCGGGGTGTCTGGCGAATGCCTTGTACTTACTGAGGGCCTGCTGTGCACTTAGAACGTGCTACTTGCCGTCAGTACATTCGCTTGCAGTTACTCCAACAAAAAGGTATTTCCCCCATTTTACAGGTGAGGAAATTGAGGCTCAGCAGGGTTAAGAGGCTTGCTGGTCAGCAATAATGGCTGTTGTCTTGCCACCCCAGCCGGGTAGAAAGAAGCAAAGCTGAGCTGGGAGCCCCCTGTCCTCCGCGTCCCATGGTTCTCCATCTCTGTAACAAGTGCTCAGGCTGAGGTTCAGAAACAAAGTGTCCCTCAGGGCACCATCCGATAGCAGCAGCTTCGGCACCCCCTCCCACCAGGTTGAACGGAATCTGGCATCTGGGCCAGGTGCCAGCTGCCCTGCACATGTGCGTGGTGCAGAAGCCTAGCTTATTTCAGGCTGACAGCCGGGCCCCCCTGGAGCAGGGGCTCAGGCAGCAAGCGAGCCTGGCAACAGCCCGGCCCATCGTCTCAGGTGCCAATGCTGGCCCCGCAGTGAGAGCAGGGACTGGCCCTCAGCCCTCGGAGCCTTCACACAGGGTGTGGAATCTCATGCCCGTGTGGAGATCACTGGGGGTTGGAGAAAACCTCAGGTCACGCCCCCTGCCAGAGCCAGCCTGGGCAGGGAGGGGACGCCTGGGGGTGTGTTGACCACCTCCCCCTCAGGCGACACCCCTCTCTGCCTTCTTTCTCCATGCTATACGAAGCGCCTGCTGCTGCCGGGGCTCTGGGGTGGACACTACTTTCTGTTTTGGGAAGTTCACCTTGTGCACGGCCAAAGGCCCTGACAGCCAGAAGGGCCCAATGTGGCCCTGGGGGCAGGGGGGCCATGGTATGTCAGTATGATGTGCCCGGGACCCTCCAGCCCTGTTGCCAGCTTTGGTCTCAGAGTCTGCCACTCCGGGCCCCTCTTCAAGGATTTCAGGCAGGGGCAGTGAGGTGGAACAGTCACCATCACCACCACCCACCCTAGGACCTGCCTTGAAAACATGCTCCGTGTACTGGCCACTCTGAGCCTGAGGAAGGAAAGGGGCTTTGACTGGCTGCAGAGACAACCAGTCTCTGGTACCGCCGCTGGGTGGTGCTTACATCTGCTGAGAACGTCGTGACCAAGCGTCTAAGCCAGGAGTGATCAAACTTGAGTCAGCATCACCTGGGGGGGGATGCTTTTCCAGATTGCTGCCTCCACCACCAGAGTTTCTAATCAGGAGAAGCAGAGCAAATAACTTGCATTTCTAACAAGTCCCCAGGGGCTGCTGCTGGCCCTGGAACCACACTTTAAGAACCACTGCTTTAGACCACGCCCCAGGGACACTGCCACCCCCCTCAGGGTTTAAAAGTCCCTCAGGCTGCCCAGCTGCAACTGTCCCCCTACCTCCATCGTGGGGTTGGGGATGAAGCATGCCGCTATGGTCGCTCACAGCCGACCAGGAAAGCCTTCGCACTGTGCATCTGTGCGGCGCCTGCCCTGCCCTGCCCTGCCCTGGACGGCTCTTGGATGGTCTGTGGCCTTGGCCAGGAGACCCGGTGGCTGGGTCCCTTCCTGGAAGGAGACAGATTACACTCCCCAGCCTGCTTTCCCACCACCTCCTATGTGCCCTGGGAGAGGCACGACAACATCCTTGTTGCTCCCTTTTCCTACTTTTTTAAAGTTTTTTGTAGAAACAGCGTCTCCCTATGTTGCCCAGCCTGGTCTCCGATTCCTGGGCTCAAGTGATCCTCCTGCCTCAGCCTCCCAAAGTGCTGGGGTTACAGGCATGAGCCGCTGTGCCCTGCCTCCCTTTTCCTGCTTCAGCACATGGCCCAGCCCATGCTCCCTGCCTCCCATGGGCCTTGCCTCCTCCTGCTTATAAACCCGGGACTCCCCTTCCCCAGCCCGCCCTGTGCAAGTGCGGCTAATCCTTCAGGCAGCCCAGTGTCAGCAAGGCCAGATGGGCTCCTGGAACCAGCTGGCCCATGGATGTGGGTCATCACAGTATTCCAGAAACAGAGACGATGGCTTAACCTACTGCATATAGAGAAACTGCTCTCATTGTAAACACACCCCTCTCCATAGCTGACCTCAGTGTAAGCCCAGCTTCACGTGCTAGGGGCATGGTAATGAATAATAAAGGATTCTATCTAGACTACCTCTGTTGATTTTTTTCCCTCCACTGCGAGGAAACCCCTGCCATCAGTTCACCAAATGTATGGTGACATCCTGAAGCCACGTTAGCTGTGGCTTCCCCCTGAGTAAACCCGCTGGCCACATTGCGCAGGGTCCTGCTTACCCTTCTGTCAGCTCTGGTCATGATTTGTTTGAATTGACTTCTTCTGCTCACAAGTGTCATTAGCTCCTGGCTGTCAGCGAGAGCCAGGCTCAAACATGTGTACTTGAATTGTGTTCCTTGTAAAGCTTTCTGTCTCTGGTCAGTCAATATCTTCACACCGTTTACCAGGATGCGCAACCAGCCTGTTAAGAAATCTGCGGTGAGCCTTTCCCCACTTCGTGCACGGCCCTCTGCCTGGATGCAGGAGAGGCAGAGTGTGGGGAGAGGTCACAAGCAATGGGGCTCCCCCTGGCTGAGACACACACTCCTACTGCCACCTGGACCCCCAGACGACCTCACTCCACAATGACAGGGTTTCTCCACCTTGGACCAGCTGGTTCGTCCTCATCCCCAGATCCAGAGTTGGACACCTTTTCATCTCAATGCAAAAAGACGAATCTTTGCTGAGGCCATCAGGCTGCCCAGCGCAAGGAAAAAGAAATACGCTTTCCCTTCTATGACATGGACACTCATTCTCTCTCATTCACTCTTCTGTCTAGAAAACTTGCTTGAGGTGGGGTGGGAAGCCTGAAGAGTACCCGGGTAAGCGGAACTCAGGGGATCCCCAGACAGAGGGGTGGGGGTGGCCTGGGAGGCAGCTGAGAATGGAACCGCACACCTGGTGTGGTGTGAACCCGACGCAGCCTGGCCACGTGCTGTGTGAACAGGTGGATCCACCCGAGGTCCAGCGGGGACCCGCTTCGCACGAGAGCCCCAGCCCTGCCCCGCTCTCCTGTGTCTTCAGGACCTCCTTGGCCAATGTTCAGTCGTTCACTCAACGGCCACAGCAGCAGCCTCTGACTGTCTGGATGTTGAACAGGGGAAGGAAGCCAGCCCAGGGCACGCTCACCGTCATCTGTCCCATTGGACCTGGACATCTACTCACCTCCACCATCACTGAGAGTGTGTGTGTACCGAGGAGGAACAAGTACCACTCCAGGACCCTCCCTGCTGCACAGCACTGTCAGTGGTTGGTGACTGCTGTCCCCACAGCCCTGGGCCTTGTCATCCGGGCAGGCAGCAAGAAGCTGTGCTGAAGCTGTGCCTTGGTGGCTGCCGGCTGGCCTGTCAGCTGCCACTACTTCCTAGCAGGTACTGATGCCTCATGTCAGCCCCAGCTGGGCTGTCACTGCTGCCTCAGGGTGCCTCGAGCTGGGGACCCTGGTTCTCATTCTCTCTCCACAACTGAAAAGAGTGAGGCTGCTGGTGGGGAGGCGAGGGCACAGGGGCCAACAGCCATTTTCCTCTTAAAAGCAAACACATGAGGCCGGGTGTGGTGGCTCATGCCTGTAATCCCAGCACTTTGGGAGGCCGAGGCGGGCAGATCACTTGAGGTCAGGAGTTCGAGACCAGCCTGGCCAACATGGTGAAACCCCATCTCTACTAAAAATACCAAAAATTAGCCTAGCATGATGCCGGGTGCCTGTAATCCCAGCTACTCAGGAGTCTAAGGCACGAGAATCGCTTGAACCCAGGAGGCCGAGGTTGCAGTGAGTCAAGATTGCGCCACTGGACTCCAGCCTGGGCAACAAAGTGAAACTGTATCAAAAAAAAAAAAAAGCAAACACACAAGAAGCTCCTACTTCTTTTTCCTCCTGCTTCTGCCACTGGTCAAGCCCTATCTGGCAGTGACCTGAGCAGGAAGGAGAGGACCTGCGGAGCATCCGGTGGGAGGCTTTGCACCAGACCAGGGGAGAGGAGGGAAAGAGTGAGGCGGGAACCCAGCCCTTTCCATTAGCAAGGTACGAACCATGCCACTGCACTAAGGGCATAACACAGCCATCCAGACCCAAAGGGTTTATGTTCCCATGATGGGGGTGAGGAACAACTTCGCTGGGACTTTTAAAATATTGAGAATAGCTCAGGAATCTCTAATCCTCCTTTAGAGAACCCTGAGTTGGAGGCCAGAGGTCAAACCCAACACACTCTCTTGGAGGGGCCATCTGGTAAATAAGAAGGCTGAGTCCTTTCAGGAACTAGGGTCCCTTGCCAGAGAAAAGAAATATATTGAGAACATGTAGACACTCCCTGACTTACGAAGGCGTCACATCCCAATAAACTCATCATAAGTTGAAAATACCATAGGTCAAAAATGCATTTAATACCCCTAATGGCCGGGCGCGGTGGCTCACTTCTGTAATCCCAGCACTTTGGGGGGTCGAGGCGGGTAGATCACGAGATCAGGAGATCGAGACCATCCTGGCCAACACGGTGAAACCTCTTCTTTACTAAAAATACAAAAAATTAGCTGGGCGTGGTGGCGGGTGCCTATAGTCCCAGCTACTCGGGAGGCTGAGGCAGAAGAATGGCGTGAACCCGGGAGGCGGAGCTTGCAGGGAACCCAGATCACGCCACTGCACTCCAGCCTGGGTGACAGAACGAGACTCCGTCTCAGGAAAAAAAAAAACCCTAACCTACAACATCACAGCTTAACCTAGACAAACTTAAATGTGCTCAGAACACTTGAATTAGCGCACAGTGGGCAAAATCATCTAACACAAAGCCCACCTTACAGCGAAGTGTTGAGTATCTCATGTCGTTTATGGACTGCTGCACTGAAAATGAAAAACAGAATGGTTGTATGTGTACTCGAAAGAAAGAGATAAGCGTTTTTACTGAATACCTATGACTTTCACACCATCATAAAGTCAAAAAATCATAAACTGAACCATTATAAATTAGGGACCAACTGTATTCTGATTCCAGAAATTGAGTGGAGGAGTTGAGGTGGGAGTAGGGAGGCAAAGGACAATGAGCTTCCTGAGGTCATTAAATCAGAGCATGTGGGCTGCAGTTCCCCTCGACCACCAAAGCTAGCCTGGCCTTGCTCTGGACACTGCTGTAGGCTGTTCCAGAACTCAGTAACCAGAAGAAAAATCTCCGGGCAACAGGTGCTAACCGCAAGACCCGGCCACAGGCCACTGTGCGGCCTTCATGTCCCCGTTCACCTCTCTCCTCTGCACATAGGGCCAAGGAAAACGAGGCAGTGCCCAGCTCTGCCCCAGCTGGCTCTCAGCTACCTGGTAGTCTCTGGGCTGCAAAGGAGAGGTTCCAGGGCGTCAGCTTCAATCAGGAGGGCTTGGCTCCAGCGTGCCCTGTGGAGTGCTGTTACTCTTTTTGTTAGCTTTAGGAGACAATAGTCTATCTCGCTCCTGTCATTAAACTCAGCAAAAATGAGATGGCTAAATCAATAGCCTACCAAGCTTTGCTGACGGCTTTAAGAAGGGACCATCGCAATGTCAATATTTTTGTGTCCAAAATGACATTTATTTAATCTGGCTTCCTTCTTGCTTCTGTGGAATATTGAGTGTTGCTGCTGAGCCAGCCCAGGGCAAAACAAAGGCATGGGGAAACCTGTTCCCTGAGCCCCTGCGGGCAGCTCACTCTCCCTTCATACACCAGCACCCCTTCCCAGACCGCTCTCCTGTGTCCTTGGGCTGAAAGCTGCTCTTCCTTGGGGTCCTGCCTTTCATGTGGCGACCCAGGTTCAACCAATTTCTTGCCAAGCACCTATCCTGCTCCAGGAACAAGCCGGATGCCTCTACATACATGTCTCTATTTAATCCCCACAACAAATCTATAAAATAGGCATTATCCTCATTTGCAAATAACAAAACCAAGACAAGTTCCGAGGCTCACAGGGACACCAAATGCAAACTGGGAGTTTAACCCGGGTCCTCTGGCACCCACATCAGTGCTCCTCCCATGCACACCTTGGTGCATCTCTGATGGTGAAAGTTTAAGCACAGTGACAGCTGATAAGACCGTTTTGGTCAGGAGGAGCCTAGATCACATTTATGGAAGCATTTTGCAAGCTGTGCAGCTCAACACAAACAAAGAGATTTAATTGCACCATGCTGATCTCTGTCATCTCCTGCACAGAAGCACCGAGCCCAGAAAACACATTCATCCATCCATTTGATGCAAACAATTAGTCATCTGCCTGTCTGGGTTGAGGGTGTCATGTTGGGCGAGTGGCAAGAACGCTCCTTCTCTTTGCATAAATCTAATTAACCACCAAGGCTCGCAGATTCTCCTGTGCATCTCTCAAATCTTCCGGCTTCATCTCCATCCCACTGCCCTTCCCTAAGGCTCCATCGTCTGTCACCTAAATCACTGCGGCACCTGTGCCTGGTCCCCCGGTGGCCTCCCCTGTCCCTGAAAACTCTCCACACTGCAGCCACAGCCAGCTTTCTAAAGGCTACATCTGAGCCTGTCACACCTGGGCTTAAAGCCTTTCCACAGCTCCCACTGTTCTCAGCCTGAACTTCAAGTTCCTTGGCCTGGTTCTCAAGGTTGTGATCTGGTGGTCACCACCATCTCCAGACCTTCACCTTCACCCTTTGTGCTCCAGCTCTGTGGACCACAAGCATCCACAGGACACATCTCCTGCCTCTCTTTGCCAGGTGAACACCTCCACCTTCAGCTCTTAGCTTTGACATCACCTGCTCTGGAGACCTCACTTCCCCAGGTTCAGCCAGTGACTGTCCCCCAGGGCTTCCCAGTGCCCTGTGAACATTGCTGCCACTACTTACTTGCAATCACAGGCACTCTTCTGGGGTCCCCACTAAATGGTCGGCTCTGAAAGTGCAGGGACTGGGTCTGTGTCGTCCACGACTGTGTTCTAGGTGCCTGGCACGAGTGAGTATTCAGTAAGTCTTTGGGCAAACAGACATTTGTCTGTGCAAGCGCCACTGTTGGCCCCATGGAAAGCTGGCGGGGCTCAGAAGCCACCCTTTCTCACTTGCCCTTTGCTGAGCACCAATGGGGAGGCAGTTCCATCACAACACACAAGAATGGGGGCGCAAAGGAGGGACCCCCCCCCCCGGGTCATCTCAGCCACTCCCTAGACAGAGGAGCCCAGACCCAGCCCAGAGGTGCTAGCCTCGTCACTAGAAGTCCCAAAGAAGATGCTCCTCTCCCGCACAGCCAGGGCAACCAGAGCCGAGGGTTAAGAGAACAGCCAGTGTGTTCCATTGCCTGGAAGCCCCAAAACACAGCACAGTGACCCAGTGGGCATCTCAACAGGCCTGGGGGCAGGAGCGAGAGTAAGAATGAGCAGAGACAGGGTGGCATCCACCCAAATTCCTATGAGCTGGTTTGTCCTCCGCAGACGATGAGGGGGTCACCTGCTCCTCAGCCACGATCAATCCTGACCCTACAGCCACAAAGTCTCTCTCGGTAAATATCCTGGGGAGGTTCCCAGGGACATCACTCCAGCTGGACCTTAGACAGAGGGTGGCTCAGACTCAAGGCACCGTCTCTGGAGGCTCTGGGACACAGCAGCTGCAGGAGGGGGCCCCAGAGGTTGATGTTTTGGGATAATTCTGTGTGGACCTGGCCACTCCCTTGAGAAGGCGGGAGATGGAGTTCCACAGGCAGAGGGGTTTCAAGATGCTCACCTCCAAACCTCCAACTGCTCTCAGACCCCCATGCACACTCACCCTCACGCCTGCCTCCACCCTGGGGACATGAACACAGTGAGGACCAGCAAGGGGAGTTCTGAGCTTCTCATCTGCAACTTGTCACCTTGACTGACAGCCAAGGAAACCCCACACACCAGGACCCCAACCAAGGCCGCGGGAGACTTCGACTGCAGGAAGGCGGCAACGTCAGTGGCCCAGCCAGCAGCTCTTCCTGCTCGCGGTTTTAATGGCCTTCCCTGCTGACCATCCTCATCCTGATTTTGTTCCTTCTTTGAGGCTGTCCCAGTCACCCTGAAAAGGCCAAGACACACTGTGAGGCCCCCTCAGTCCGAGACATCAAGGTCAAATGAACCCCGGGAACATCACAGGGATTGGGAAGAAGACTGTTTCTGAAACTGACAGCCCCCACCCCTACAGGAAGCCCCTTACCCTACTGGAAGCTGCTAGTGGCTTATTCCATACCCGCCCCACGATACACTTCGGGGCCTGGCCACAGGACTGGCCATGTGTGATGGGTGATTGGTACGGAGACAGGACTTCAGCCTCTCAGGCAGAAGGCCTCGGGCACTGGGACTGCCCCCTGATCCAGCCTGTTTCGAGGGGGGATGTTAGGATTCCTCAGGCACCCAGAGAGGACAGAGACCCTCCCCACGCCAGCAGATCTGTGACCTGGGCCCCAAAAGAGAGATGAGGTCCCCCTGGGGGTGTGTCTTGGATGAAGGGTAGGAGTGGTATCTGATCCCTCTGGGTCCCTCACACCAACCACGACCTAAGTCACAGTTTTGGCTGAGTGAACAAAACACACCACTGAGAGACAGCCTGCTGTGCTTTTGACACTTTATCCGTTTTTATTTAAAAACATGCTAAAAACATGGTGTTCCATAAAGCCAGGACCAGGATGAAGGAACGCACAGATACGGCAATGCAAGCAGAAAGTGCATCTGAAACCAACAAGCGTGCTCACCCTGCTCTCCCTCCCGTGCTGCCCGGGGGCAGGCAGGTGGGCAAGGAGGGGGCAGGAAGCCCCCCAGGCCTCACCTCCTGAGTCCCCAATCAGGGCAGGGAGGCCAGGCCCCACCCTGGACTATTGACTCACTGCAGTGGGGAGGAGGAAAGTGTGGGGCACGGGAACACAAGGGCTGGCCGGACTCTGAGAAGCTGAGGGACAAAGAATGGACCCCAAGCACCTCACGCCCAGCTCCCATCCTATGCCACGTCCCTGCTAGTTAGCACCTCCACCAGTGGGTGGGCAGGGGCTGGAGAGGAGGGGACAGCCACTTCCATCCACCCAGACTGCTCTTGGGCCACCAAAGCCTGGAAAGATGGCCATCTAGTTCCAAGTCAAACCAGGACACCTGCAAGAGGGTCCGGGGCAGGGCCACCTTCCAGAGAGCCTGAGACACAGGCCCATGCTGGAGGGAGAGGGGGGTGACACGGCTCAAGCTGGGGGAGGGGTGCAGGGGGAGACTTGCACCGTGACACCTGCTTCCACCACCCAAGAGCAGTTCTCAGCCTGTGCCCGCTCACCCCCACTGCAGGATGGCTGCAGAGAAAGGCTGAGTCTGCAGCGGATGCCCCCCTGCAGTCCTCTACAAACCCTGAGGGACTTTCTGAGACAAGTGTGTAAATTGCTCACATCAGACCTGATTGAACTGACTCTGGCAAAGGGAGCCGTGAGTGAGGGAATTCTCTCAGGGGAATTCTACCCCAGTGAGATCACAGTCAGGAGAAACTGAAGAGAGGCTGTGCCACCTTCACTGGCATCGCTGGGTGTGGCCCTCTGAGTGGAAGGGGCTCGAAGGAACACCCACTCTGTGCACACAGACTTCCGCCCAATGTAGACTAAGCCAAATAACAAAACGGCCAAGCGCAGAGTGAGTAAAGAAGGCAGCGTGGGGACCTGTAGATGAGGCTCTGCAAACAGACGGATGAGGTGGGGGCTGGTGGGAGCACTGTGGCAAAGGCTCTGGGGCCAGAGGCCACCCCTGAAGTACTCCAGAAACAGAAAAGATTTTCAGGGAGGTTGCACATCTCCCAATGCACTAGGCTTTTGCTGTTGATATTAACAAAAATTAAAAATTGCATTGATAGGCATAAACCAACCCACCCACCCCACCCACAGCAAAAAACGCACGAGGCCCCGGGTCCCACCGTGCAACTGCAGCACTTGTCTGCTGAGTCTCTCCGCCCGGATGTGTCTGCTCCGGAATCTGCACTTTGGGGGTTCCTGCGGAGGCGGCTGAAACTCCTTACCAGGAAGCCAGGCCAGGGGACAAGGGCAGGGCAGCTTTGCTCAAATGTGGGCCTCCCCCACATTCCATCAGCACCACTGCCCCTGTCTCAGGGAAGCGGTCTTCACCCTGCACAACTCACAAGACCACCCTACTCTCCACTCCCACCCCCACAAAACACGAATCCTGATAATGCCAACGGTTCTGTCCTCCTGTTCCCGATTTGTGTGTTACTTAAGGTGAACAGAGGAGTGACTGGTGCTGGGTGGCCGTGTCTCAGCTCTTGGATCAGACAGGCAGGTGGAGGCTGGAGAAGAGACCTGGCCCCAGTGGGAAACCAGGGTGACAAGACAAACTGTATAGGAAAGGCAGCCGCCCACCAAGGCCCCACCTGATCAAGTGCAGCAGACGCTGGCTAGCGGGTGAGGTCCCCGTGCTCAGTCCCACGGATTCGCGACCTTTTTGAACGGCAAAACAGTAAGCCAGACCAGCTGCAGTTTGGAGGGGGCGCCCTGCTGCAGCTGAATCCCACTCCTGGCCTCACTCCCCAGCCCGTTTCTCTCCCATGCCCAGCTCTGCACGTGCGTGACTCCGGCTGCTTTCTTCCCGTGGCTCCGGTAACAAGAGCCAGTCTGACCTCTCTTGGGTTTTCTGTATTTCTTCTCCTTGGGATCACAGATGATATAATCGCCACCCAACCCACTGCTGATGTCCGTGGCCCCAGGGAAGGAGGCGAAGATCTTGGGACCCAGGTGGACGTGATTCCCTCCTTCCCAGCAGGGCAACCCACAGCTGAGCAAGGCTGGCGGGGAGGACCGTGGGTCCTCACCCCTGTGGGTCCCCTGCCACTGTCCCAGCACAGCAAAACCTAAGGACTGCTTCCCCTTCCAGAAGCAAGGGGGAAAGTGAGCAGCATCCGAACTAGAGAGGTATTTGTCTGACAGTTTCTAGCAGGAATGTCTGTGAAATAACTGGGGTGTGCAGAACCTGTTGTGGGAATACCCACATGGGGTGGAAGGGGAAGCCTCGCGTGCCAGCAGAGAGCGGGAGGAAGGGAGAAAGAAAAAACCAACAACTGCTCATCAGTGAAAAGTCTAAGGACCCCTCTAGCTCTGCCACAGCACCGTGGGGCCCCCCTGCCCTGGCATTTCCAGCTCGATTGGTTAGCAAACGCCACCTCCCGTGCAGGGGCACCTCCAGCCTGCTTCACGCTCCACCCGCCTCTCCCAGGCTCCTGTCCTCAGACACCAGGCCTGGCAAGGTCCCGTGTCCTGTCCACGCCCCCTCCTTCCCACACGTTCTGAGGGCGCAGGCGCGCCCCATCCGAGAGCCTCCTGGGTGTCGCACGGTGGTCTGTCCTGATTGAGACTGGACAGATGTCCTCTCTTCCCACCCATCCCTCACCCTCAGGGAAAAAAAGTCAAACCATTAAAGAAATCAACACAGTAAAAAGTTACAAATCAGAAATCTAACCCTAAACTTATCTGAGAGATAATATTCCTGAATAATCATAGAGTAAAATAAAATAAAAAAGTTACATTGTAAGGTATAAAAAGCCTGGGCGAGATGCTCCAGGGGCCTTGCCCAGAGGCCGGCAGACCCCCGCCCCGCCAGGTGCCCCATGGTGGCCATGGATGTCGCAGCCCCCGCTGGGGCGGTATCTCCACGGGGCGGGCACTCTGCTCCCCACCCCATGTGGGGACAAAGTGTCAGTGTGAGGAAGGGCAGGGGCAGAAGCCCATCAGTGCCGGGGGTTCCTCCGGAGCGCACCCCAGCCCACCCTGTCGTCTTTGGCAAATACGCATATGCAGATGCAGGAATCCAGGGGCCCCGAGCCCCAGGTCTCCGTGTGCCTCCTCCTCCCTGGCACTCCACCCACTGAGAAGTCCGAGGCTGAGGCAGGGTAGGTGGGGTAGGGCAGGCTGTGGGGGGTGGGTGCAGGGGTCATATCTGGAGAGCGCAGGCAGGTGACACAAAGCTCAATCCTCTTCCCTCCACAGGGCAGCAGGGCGGGGTGGGCACTCCCGGCCAGCCCGCTCATGCGTCGTACTTCTTACCAGTCCGGTGGATGTGCTGGAAGAGGGTCATGGAGAAGGCCATGCCCAGGATCTGAAAGACACGGGGAGGGGCCTGAGGCAGGAGCTGCAGCAGCCTGGACCTGACCTCAGCCCCGAGAGGCTTGGGATGTCACAGGGCACCTAGAGCAAGCGGGGATGGCCACTGGTGTGCCAGGAAAATGCTTATGGAATGAAGACATGAAGAAAACCGTGAACAGAGGTCACCCTGGAGACACACACAGGTGAACTCTGGCTCAGCCTCGTGGGGCTGTTAGACCAGAAGCCATCGAACCTCTGCAGGATGCATACGTGTGCCTACTCAGAGGGGCGCTGCAGGCACGGAATGCACGGAGGACCTGGCTCTACGTGGGGGCTCACAGGAGCCAAGGTGGGGAGTGGGAGGTGGCAGGGATCATTCAGGACTCAGGCCAGCCGGGCACGGTGGCACTTTAGGAGGCCAAGGTGGGAGGATGGCTTGAGATCGGCCTGGGCAATAGAGGGAGACTCCATCTGTTTTTGGAAAAAAGTTGTAAATCATTCAGGTATGGTGGTGTATATGCCTGTAGTCCCAGCTACTTGAGAGGCTGAAGTGGGACGATGGCTTGAGCCCAGGAGTTTGTGGCTGCAGCGAGCTATGACGGCGCCACCGCACTCCAGCCTGAGCAACAAAGTGAGACCCTGTCTCTTAAAAAAAGAAAAATAAAGGACTCCTGTCAAGCCTCTCTTGTCTGCTTGTGGAACACATGGTGCGATGTCTTGGCAGCAGCAGGGCTGTCTTTCCAGTGATGTGTGCTCAGGACCACGTCACTACTCGTTTGTGCCCCTTCCCTCCTGAATCCTCAAAGGAGCCGGGGACCCAGAGGAGTGCAGGAGGCAGAAGGAAGCCCGGTGTGGTCTCACGGTCACCACAGAGAGTGTGCCATGTGCACAGGCTGTAAAGATGGTGACCGGGGGACACCGTGTGTGTCTTGCATGGCTCTCTGAGCTCAAGGTTTGGGCAGAACTGGGGGAACCCACGGGGGTTGACTCCAGCTTCAATATCCCAGCCTGGGCCTGGCCACAGGCAGCCCTGAGCACCACTCTCAGTGCTGAGTAGACACGTGCTCTCATATCAGAGCTCTGCGGAAACGGTGGCAGGCACAGCTGCTAAGCTTGAATAGCTGTGATGAATTCCAGACCCTCCGCCGTGTACCAACACTGCTTTCACTTCTCTGTGCTTCCTTCCCTCTGAGGCTGAGGCCAGCAGGGTGGGTGAGGCTGCTGGGGACGCCCCTCTTACCTGCATGATGAGGATGCACATCCCCACCGTGCCCAGCACGTGCTTATTGTCATCGAACCACATCTTCACCTTTTCATAGCAGCCCTGGGGAGCGAGGCCCACGAGGTTAGGGTCCCAGCCCAAGCATGCGCTCCCTGCAGCCCAGCCCCCAGCTCACTCTCTCCTTCCACCTCGTCCTCGCTCTTACCTCCCAGCCCTCCCTGGCCTCAGCCCTGTCCCCATCCCTTGGCGCAGCCTCCGCCCCACCCGCAAGGCCAGCTGCAGAGCCTCAGACCCCATTCAACCCCTCGCCCTCTGACTCTCCCAACTGTGGGTCCAGCCCCACCCCCCATTTTCCACCTGTCTTTTGGCTTTATTTTTGTGAGCCCCCCACCGCCACATTCAGCCAACCTCTTAGTGTCCCGGGCCCAGCCTCCCCTATAGGGCTCCCCGTGCCGGGGCATCCACACACGGGCTCTTGGACCCAAGCGGTCCATCCCCAGCCTCACCGTTCTCCACAAAGGCGTGGTGGCGTTGCGCCCGCAGCCCTGGGAGTTCTCCATGCAGCAGCGGTCGGGAACCGTGTTCTCCCCCAGCACTGGGTACCAGTCTGTGTAGTCAGTGACACCACAGCATCGCATCTGGCCAGCAGGAATGGAAGGGGCAGTCAGACATGCCATGGCCCGCCCCTTCCTCCCCAGGGCCTTCCCCTGCCCAGGCCAACCCCAGTCCCCGCAAAAGTGGCCACCCTGCAGTTAAGGGAGGAGACAAAGGGCTTGCTTCTTGTCCCTTCTTTGGGCTTCAGCCGGGCCCACTGGAGAAGTGAGTGAGCACTCCTTCCTGGAGACCAGAGCGGGAGAGGGCAATGCAGCCCACCCCTCGGGCTGGGCCCCTTGGCTCAGCCCTGTGCTTGCCCACCAGCACCTCTGCTCTTTCTGTAAACCGTCCCAAGCTGACTGCCACCCAACCCCCTGCCGGCCCCTCCCCAGGGCTTAAAATGGGAGCATCTGGGACTATGGACTTGTTCTCCTCCTAGAGCCAGGGCCTCCTCACCTAAGCCAAGCCCCATCATGGAGGCAAATCTGTTGCTAAAATAAATTCAGTCATTCATCCCAAAGCTCAGCCACAGCTCTCTCAGGCCTGCCCCTCCTGTATCCTCATCCCTCCCTGGCTGTACCTTGCTGTATCACATCTGACTCAGCAGTTCAGGCAAATGCCCCCGTGGGTACCACTCCACTCCCGGCTAAAATCCAGAAAGCACAGGTGCCCGGCCAGGTCACCGGGGAAGGCAGCTAGAAGTACCGGCCGCCACCCCTCCTCCCTGCCTGGCCCCACCAGGGCGGCCCAGCCCGCACCTCAGCCTGGATGATGTTCCAGGCGTTCTTCAGCCCCACGTTGTTCTCGGTGTGGTACAGCAGCAGGCCTTCCTTCAGGTCCTTCTTGGCGTTCTCGTTCACCTGCCAGGCGGAGGGACACAGTGAGACGGTTGGAACCAGGACGCAGCTCGTCTCTCCAGCCCACCTCAGGTCACCCAGGATGGTGGGTGACAGATGAGGAGTGAGGAAGGCAGGGAAGGCAGCTGGTCTGGAAGGCCCTGCCCACTGGGGTGGGGGCCTCTGCTGGCCCAACAGAGGTGCGGGGTTAGGCACACACTCCCAGTTTCAGAATACAGCAGGCCCTGGTGCACCCACCGCCTCCCGGCAGAGCTAAACTCAGGGCCAGGGCTGTAACACCCAGAGGCAAAAAAACACACCACGTGCCTCCACTCCCCCATCCCAGGACCAGCCACACACACAGGCCACTCTGCCACCCCCGCCCCCCACTACACAGCTTCCCCACAGACTGCCCCTCTCAAAACACACCCTGGGAACTAGAGGGAGGAAGACAGGTCATGTGACCTTCACCTCCCTCACCGCTGTTCTACCCGATGTTGAACAGCAGCATCTACTCATGGCGCTGTTGTTAGAATTAAGGGAAACAATTCTCATAAAAGGGCCAAGAACAGGGCTGGCACAGAGAAATCTCTCAACATTGTTCTTTCTTCCTTTTCACGAGTGCAAAACTAAAAGATTATTCTTTCTCATCCTAACGATGTCTCTAACTTTCAGTGTGGCTCAGGCAGCTATTTCAAGAACTGCTCCTTACACAGTTCTGGAGTGCATGGTACCAAAGGGCCTGCCACGCCCCAAGAGACTGAAATCCCGGCCAACCTCGCTCTTGACTGCGAACTGCCCAGCCTGGCGAGGTTACAGGGGGTCACCCACCATCCTCCTGAACCCAGGAGCAGCGCCCGTCCTCAAGGGCTCTAGTGCAGGAAACAGAGCTTCCCTGTGCCTCAGTCCTGCTCAGCCAGCGTCGCCCAGAGAGTTCCTCCTTGTTTTTCATGGTTTGCTCTCAAATCACCCAGCCCAACCACCTGATGAGGTCTGAATCCCTTCTCCAAGTAGCTTAATTCCTTCCAGTGAGAGGGAGCTCACTAGCGCCAGAGGCAGCCCACTGCCATCTCTGGTCATGCAGAGGATTCCACTTCCTGGAACTATACAAAGTCAACTCTCCCATCCTCCAAATTTGCCTGCCCCATGCTGCCCCCATCAAAACCTTCCATCTGCTCTTTCCTTGGTAGCTTTCCCAACCCTTGGTTCCATGTTCCTTTCTGCACAGGTGCTGCTTGCCAGCACTCTTCCTCTGGCCAGGGAAGGGACCCTGGCCTGCTTGGCCCAACTCTAAGGGCAGTGACATTCCATATGCCCCCTCCCATCTGGTAAGGCTTACCTTGTCCATGTAGACAAAGAAGAGGATGAGTAAGATCAGCTCTGCTAGGAGGATGACCAACAGGACGATGAAAAACTGGAAAGGAAAGGGCCAGGCATGGGTAGGTGGTAATGGGCAGGGCTGAGGACAAGGAGGGTGTGGAAGGCAGGGACAGGCGGCGCCTAGGTGGGGCTTCCCAGGTCTGGGAGAAGCCAGCTCCTCCTGAGGAAACCCAGATAGCTAGGACAGAGACATAAAGGAGCTGACTAATCAGGGAGTGGGAGGGACAACCAGGGGTAGGCATAACCAACCATGAGGAGGAGGGGTGTGGTCAAGCCTAGAACGTTCTAGAAGCAGTTTCCCTGGGCTCAGGTTGGACACCCAGGTGGCTAATATTCCAGGTCTTGCCTGTCCCAGGGGTCCAAGTGCAAGGAGATCAGGAGTTGGAGGGGCTGGGGATTTGGACAGAACTTACGCTGAGGAGGAGGCACTTGTTTTCCTTGATGGCCCCCAGGCAGCCGAGGAAGCCCGTCACCATGACAATGGTGCCTATGGCAATGACCAGGTTGGCTGCAGACAACGAAGGGAAGCTGGGGGAGAAGGTGGCAAAGTTGCCTTGGGACACGGAGAGCCAGATGCCCACTCCCAGCAGCCCACAGCCACAGAGCTGGAAAGGAAGGAAAGCCCATTAGCCTGGCGCTGCTCTCACATTCGTCCATGGACCTGGGAACAGTGCAGGTCCCCACCCCATGCTCTGAGACACAGACAAAGTGAGAACCGACAAGGTGAGAACGGGACTACCGTTGGGCTGCAGACCCGAAGCATGTCGGCTGTGTGACCCAGACAGTCCCCTAGCCTCTCTGTGCCTCAGTCTCCCCATGTGACAACGGAGACTGTGCCAGTTTCAAGAGCCTCCCAGGTCATTCTGAGGATGGATTAAACCACACAGAGGCAAAAGTGCGTAACAAATACGTGGAAGGTACTGGACACATGTGAGTGGTTAGGTTACTCTGCATGATAGAGAAGAGGCCCCAGTGTCCAAGACGGAGGCCTGGTGAGAGGGGAGAACTGGGGTCAGGAAAAGCAAGAAAGACTTCATCTCTGGAGGTGGGAAGGGACCCTCGGAGTCGGGTTTCTTGGAGCCAGAACTTCCAGCGACTGTGTCCTGTTACTCTGACCCGAAGGGCCATTTGTCCACTGGAGTCTGAAGAACAATTTCCCACAGATGGAGAAAGGAGGCAGTCATCGGCTGGCTGGGGGCCTGGCCAGTGTGCGGGACGTGGGAGTCCACGGCTGCCTTCACCACCCATCCAATAAGCTGGCCTCTGGCATGATCGGCCCCCAAACCGAAAAGCAACTCTCCCCAACAGCACCCCTGGGGCTGCCGGCGCCACCAGCTCCACCTGGGGAAGCTTCCATTTCACCGGCTGCAAATCTCCACATCTGTCTTATTTTATGCTCGATATAGCTGGCACTCCCCGACTCCCTCCGCCAGCTCATGGGAAGTGTGCTGAGTCTGAGGAGCCAATCAATCAGTGAAACAGTATTTACTGAGTGCCTACAGCATGCAGTGTGCCATGCCAGAAAAGCTACAACCACTTTAAAGACCTGTTTTCCAGGGGCCTCTGTTCTGGCTGGATGGGAGCAATCAAAGTGCAAAATCTACCACTCCCAGGTGGGATGGACTGGTGCCCAGTCAACGCTACGGGCGCTCAGAGGAGGCAATCACTGTCGCAGTCATGGAAGCCAGTTGAAGGAGGCAGTCCCTAAAGGGTGGGTGGACTAGGGGCAGATGGAGGACGAGAACATTCTATGCCGGGTGAAAGTGCAGGTGGTAAGGGCTTGGGAGTCACAGACCCAAACAGGACTCCCGGCTCCAGCTTATCCTGGTGGTGTGAGCTTGCAAACCTCTCGTATGCAGAGTGAGAATATCATCCCCTTCCTATTGGACTGCTGTGAGAATTAGATTGGAATAAGCTACGTGAAGTGGGTGGCCAGCTCCGGGCACTGCTTGCTGGAAAGGCACTTCCCGGGCAGCTGTTCTGTGCCAGGGCCTGTGCAGACTATGCTGACTCCAGGAATCAGCCCAGCCCCTGCTCTCAAGCTGCTCTGGTTCCTGGGAAGAAACAGAGGCTCAGGGCTGAGACAGGGCAACCCGCAATTAGGCAGGGTAGGGATGCCCATGGGAAGGTGAGGGGAGGGGACAGACGCCTCCCTGAGGAAGGGCATCTCCTTCGCTTATTCCTCCACAAACCCAAGTGAACACCTGCGTATTCAGTGCCAGGCCCTGTTCTCCAAGCTGGGGAGACAGTGGTACACCTCACTGGCAAAGACCCTGCCTTCACGAAGAGTAGATTCTTACAGGAGACACTGACCTTATGTAAGCAACAAATGACGTAACTGCAGTTGCTGACATGCGCCACGAAGAAAAATAAGGCAATGTAAAGAGCCAGAAAATAACTGGGGAGGGTGTGGGCAGCGAAGGTGTCTTGGAAGAGGTGGTGTTTAAGCAAAAACCCAAATAAACAGGGGGAGGGAGCAACATAACTATCTGGGGGAAGAACGTTCCAGACAGAGAGAACAGCAGGTGCAAAAGCCCCGGAGTGGGAAGGAGCCTGGCCAGCCAAGGAGGAGCACGCTGGCCGTGTGCTACAACAGTGAGTGAGGTGACACATGGTAGGAGACAAAGCAGGCGGGGTGGCCGGGGGCCAGGCCAGCTGGGACCTCGCAGGTAAAGGAAACGTGCAAGTGTCCTCAGTGTGACGGGAAGGTCCCAGAGCTGGAGAGTGACATGATCTCACTGAGGTTTTCAGCAGATCACTCTGGCTGCTGTTTGGAGAAGCGACCGCGGGAGGGCCCGAGGGAGGCCAGGAGAGCAACTGGGAGGCTGCTGTGATTAGGCTTGGGTTTGTGGAGGAATAAGAAGGAGATGCCCTTCCTCAGGGAGGCGTCTGTCCCCTCCCCTCACCTTCCCGTGGGCATCCCTACCCTGCCTAATTGCGAGCCTCTCTTTCTTCCCAGGAGCCAGACCAGCTTGAGAGCTGGGGACGACTCATACCAGGAGGCTACGGAGGAGCGGTGAGAAATGGTCCAATTTGAGATGTTTTGAAGGTGGCATTGACAGGCCTTGCTGGGCTTTGAAGAATGAATAGGATTTTGATAAATGGGGAACCAGAAAGGTGTGCATGAAGAAAAAGGTAGGAACAGACACCGCCACGTATTACTAACCAAGAGACAGTGCAAGGAGCTGCAGGGGGGTCCGAATGATTTACGTCCAGCAGCTGCCTGGGTCCTTCACACTGTGGAGAGTGGGCCTGTGCCTCCTGTCCCCTGGCGCAGCCCCACATGGAACCACGTCAGGGCTCCCAAAGAATGGGCACACTGAGACCCACAGCATCGCCCAACTGGGCCATCACAAAGCTTCGCCAGGGAACGGGGCTAGCCCCGCCTACGGCCACTAGGTGGCGCTCCAGGCTGGTTCAGAAGCTCTGGGTTCGCCAGCGATGGCTGAAACTTTCATCCAAATAGTCACTCTGACTTTTCTTCAATCTGGTCAGTTTCTATGCTGCCGTCTCAATTTTTCTTTCATTAATCATACCATGGAGAATTTATGATCTTCATGCTGAAGATTTATGGCTCTAAAAGCCAGACCCTGGAATGAGTAAGCGGAAACCCCACTGCCGCAGGTACTCGCTGCAGGGGAGCTGCAGGGCGCCCCCACACGCTGCAGCTGGAGACACGCAGGACCCCAGAGCTCAGAGCCCGGACCCTTCTCGGGCCTGGAAAAGTTCTCAAAGCACAGCCTTCTCCTGAAGCGGTTTCCCACTGTGGGTGTACCTGCAGCGGGGGGCCCCTTCCGAGCCCTCTCTCCACTTCCCTCCTGGGATAAGTGCTGGGATGCTCAGGTACCTCTACCTAGGAAAACCTCTTAGGTCAGAAACTCCAGGACCTGGTCACCTCTCTTCAAACTGGTTCTCTGACTTCACACTCCACATCCTTTGATTTGGTCTTGCCAGACCCACCTGGGAGCCTTCTACCTCTCAGGGAACACAGCTGGTGCCCTGTCCCCAAATCTGCTTCCTTTCCCATTTCCTGTCCAAAGTCCTCCAGGCCCCCAGGAAAGATCTGCGGCCTACCCTACGGGGGCGCAGTCTGGACTGGAAGGCTTCCTCTCCAAGCCCTCAAACCTGTTCCTGCCTCCATCACAGCTCCCGCCTGGCACAACTCCACGCATGGTGCACGTCTGCCCAGTGAGGAGGCCTGTGCAGTACAGCGGGTGCCACGCACATCCCCACTGCCACGCTCCCATCCTCAAGGGGCTCCTGCCGAGATGAGCTCTCTGCTCCCATCTTCTGATGGCCCAACACTAACAGAGCCTCCCGGCAAGAAGAAAACACAAAGGTCACGCCTCGATTTTCCAGGAAGCTAAGCGGGGGGACAAGGAAGTCCCCAGTCACACTGCTGGGCTGGGACAAAACCTTGGTTTCTGGCATTTGGTGCAGAAGCCTTCACTACCTGCTCCCAGGGGACCTCCGACTGACAGGTGACAGGCACCAACACTGGGCCTTCGCCACAGGTCCCATGTCCAGATCACGGCCCCCACTGCCCTCCCTGCCCCTGGCCTCTAGTTTCCAGCCCAGCCTGCATAGAGCTGCCTGATTCTTTTCCTAAAATGCCTCTCATCATGCTGCTCCCTAGTGTGACCTTAAGATTCTTTAGCTCTCGGAGGCCCAATTTCCTTTAAAACTTGGGATTTGGACGAGATCATTTCTTAGGTCCCTCTGGCGCAGTCTTAGCCGAGTCTGAGACATGGTGCTCTCAGCCCTCAGCCCAGTGGTTCCCAATCAGGAGCAATTCTGCTCCCCAGGGAACATGTGGCATGTCTGGGGACGTTTTTGGTTGCCACAATGGGAGGGGCTGCTCCTGGCACCTGGTGAGTAGAGGCCAGGGGTGCTGCCAAACACCCCGCAGTGCACAGGACAGTCCACACAGTCAAGAACTGTCTGGCCCCAATTGTCAATAGAGTTTGAGAAACCCCGCCCCCTACCCTATCCCCCCACGCCAGGCACCCACCCTTGGGCTGCCAACATCTTGAGAACAGCCATTGGAGAAAGAATCTGATGTGTTCCCTCCAGCGGTGGGGAAGGGAGAGCCAATGACAGCGATATGCCCAAAGATGCCAGCTGGTGAGCTGGGGACAGCCGGGGCTGAGATCGGGGAGGGAGCAAGGGCAGGAGGGAGGAGGTGATGGCAGAGACAGGTTGGCCATGAAGTCTTGGTGAGCCAGGCCTGCCCCGCACAGGCAGGAGGGCAGGAAGTCAGGAAGCTGACCTCTGAAGCCAGTGCAGCGGGCAGGGAGAGGGTGCGGCAGGAGCAGGAGAGGGAGGTGCAGGGCAGGGGAGCCGCCTCTGGTGGAGGGAGCCCAGCACATAGCACAGGAAGGAGGCAAGGCCTGTCTGTGGTGGCACAGCCAAAGCTCAGGGCCGGAGAGCTTAGCTGGTGGCATTTGGGAAAATTCCCTTCCAAAACCAGGGGTTTGTCTCAGCTGAGATGACTGAGCTATAATCTAGCCCACGATGGGACAATCTGGGGTGAGGCAGGGTGACTCAGGGGATTGGGCCCCAGGCAATGCTAGCACCAACCCGCAGAAGGTCACCAGCCACTCCTGGTGTGGTCCAGGCCTGATTGATGCCCTCCCCGGAGCAGGTGCAGGTCCAGGGGCCAGCCTGAGTACCAAGCCTCCCCTGCCCCTTCCCCAGCCGAAGGCATTTCAAAATAACTTCAAATCAGGGCTACAAACAAATCCACATCCAAATTTGAGAAGACGAATCCCATCCTTACATTTGCCAATGGCCTCCTTGAGGGCCAGGATTTGGGTCTGTTGTTTTTGTGGTTAAATCCGCAGAGCCTAGAGCAGGGCTGGCAACGCCTTCAAATCCCACAGGGCGATCTGGTCTGGGCCGTGCCCTGACTCCGGAGGAGGGAAAGGGTGCAGGCCCCCAGCACAGAGAAAAGCCTCAAGTCATCAGGCTGTATCAGGATCTTCTTTGTCACCAGGGGCCCATCCACAATACGCGCAGCAGGTAAACTGAGGCCCAGTCAGGCTATGGCCATACAGTGAGCCCACACTCCAGCCTCACCTCATTTGTTAAGTCTTGTAGTTAGCTAATATCCCCACGGTGTCTTCCTTGTCTTCAGTTTGAACCATGCTGACTGTGGTTTAAATACAGGCTTCTGCCACGTGTCGTTACGTATGTTTCACGCAGGCATCCTATTTCTCTGGGGGTGAGGGACACAATTCCCCCTTCGGGCTTCCCCGTCCTGAGCTTCTCCACCCACTTCCATGCTGCTTAGATCCTAGGGGCAGCCACTGCCCATATCTCATGGGTCCCATCGGTCTCCCACTGGTGGGAGCGGCCCCTCGCCAGGGATGACTCCTCTGCCAGCGCCGGGCCCACAGCAGAGGACACACCTAGGACCTCTCAGGCTTCTGTGTAGACTTGCTGCCTACCCTCACTAAACACACACACACGGCCGGGCGCAGTGGCTCATGCCTGTAATCCCAGCACTTTGGGGAAAAAAAAAAAAAACACACATGCACTTCCAGGACCCAGGTTTGTGTCTTATCCATTTTTCTTCCATTGTAGGGCCCAGAACATGCCTGGATTACTAGATAAATATTTGCTGGAGGAATGAATAAATGAATGAATGATGGGGATGGATGGAGGGGCCTGAGTGGGCCATAGCTGGGGAACAGGACCAGACCCAGACATGCAAATCCTCCTGAAAAAGCAGCCTCCTCTTCACCCCGTCTTCCCCACTCCTGGAACCCCCAGTGCCCTCAGGTTGCTCCCACCTCTGCTGCCCTATTTTAATCCCCACTGCCTCATGTGTCTGCAGAGCCCCACAAGGCACCTGGGCTTCTGGCATCAGATGTCACTGGTGGCCCCTGACCTGGCCCCCCTGACACCCTCATCCACTTTTTGCTTGCAGGAAATTTTCAAATGCTAGGACTGAGTGCTCCCTAATGTTTCTATGAGCCAAGGCCAGGCCCAACATTTAATGGCATTTAATAAATTAGTGGATGTGGAGAATTTTTAAAAAAGAAAAAAACCAAAACAGCTTTAATTTCACAGCCTGACATGCTGGCTAGTAATGAACCTGCCTGGCTCTGGAAGAAGCCGACCTGCCAAGAACTTCATCATGGGGAGCAGAGACAATACATCGGTGCCAGGAGCGCAGCCGCTGCTTTGTATTTCAGACACCCCTTGCCTCCAAGGGCCCCCGCAGCTCATTCATTCTCACAGCCATAAAGGGAGAGGCAGGAGGGGCAGGGAAGGCAAGAGAGCAGACGATGCCTCCAATTCTGCATGGAGAGAAATGAAGGGACAAAGTCACAGACACATCTTTGCTGAAGTCACCCAGCAGGTAGGAGGACCACAGCACCTTGGAACCATGGGGTGGGATGCAGCCACACGGGTCTCCCAGGGGCTGAATGCTCACCATCCCACAATGCACTCCATTCTTCTTTTTTTTTTTTTTTCTGCATACCTCTAATCAGCCAGGAATTCTTTCTTATTAATGCAAGAATCTACTTCCCTGTGGCTAACATGCATCAATCCTAGTTTTGCCCAAGAAGCCCACTAAGAACAAGTAAAACAGGCCTGTCTCAAACTGAAAGTTAGGCTCCAGCTATGGTAGGACCCAGCTCTTCCCCTCCTACGTTCTGAGCTCTATACTTCTAGTAATTCAGCCTAAGGCCCCATTGGCTTGAGTGGCAGCCATAGCACAGTTTAGTCTCACACTGAGCTGGTGCATAACTTCAAGCCAGATGGCATGATTCCTTGGTCATTACTGTTGGACCCCACACTTTCTCTCAAAGCCTCCAATTCACCTTCATACCTTCACTTTGCAGCCCCTAATCTCACCAACTTACAAAGGTGTCAGGGAGATGACACCCATATTTTTGTGCCTAATTTTCCTCCAAATAAACATTACATAAAGCATTTGCATATCTACAACCCAGTTACATTTTGATTATACCAGAATGGGGTTATTCTCCATGTGAGACAGTTCTAAGAGAGAATGTCTACCCACGGCCAAACTTAAGGGGCATCGTGTTTGGGGGCTGCAAGCCTCTGCAGTTATAAAGCTCCTGAATTATGTTTCAAGACTGTCAATTCTCTCCAGCCAACTTTGTAACCCTTCCCCAATTGACCAAAACCCCTAGCAGTTGAGAGTGAGTCCTGTTACAATACCTACACCTCTTGCAATCTAAAATCCCGAAGTGTATATTGGGGTGGAAGAGTCCACGATGAAGGAGATTCTATCCGAGACTTTGGGGACAGCCCCTACCCCCCTCCAGGGGTGTCAGGGCCCTGCGTGGTGGGATAAATGCCCAGTCACCAGCAGTCCTGGCCCCCAGCTCCACAAAGGGCTTGGTGTCCTCTGGCCCCTAGCTGGGAGCAGGGTTGGCCCTGTTGAAGTGCTACCCATCTGTTTGGGCTTCCTGGCCTAGCCTCAGTATGGGGGGCACCTGCCCTGCCTGGGGGCTTGCTCCAATCAAGGCATCTGTGAGACTCTAGGTTGGTATAGCCCTGGGAGCAGGGAGAACCTGAATCTGTTCCGGGCTTCAAAGATGAAGGCATGGGTGAGAGATGGCCCAGTCCCCAACACGGCGATGCCTAGATAGCAAGGACCAGAGAAGGGGAGGGATGGGGGCATCTATCATGTGCTGTCCCCACACACCCCATTATAAGCTATGCCTCTTTCTGGGAGAAAGGCTACAGGACGATGCAGGTCACCTCCCGCACCTCCATCTATACCCCATCCCCAGGCCACCTGACAGCGGGCCTTAAGTCCACTTTCTTGGGTGCCAGCATCTTTCTACTTCTCAAACTGACCCACAGGCCTTCTTCCTCCATGGGGAACTGGAAAAGAAGGTAGAGGCATGTTCAGAACCTCCTAGGGGGCCCGGTGTAGGGCCGAAGCTGTCAGAAGGAACAAAGTCCGAGGAACAGCCCTCAGAAGGACCACAAAATGACGTGTGGCCGGGATGCCAAAGAGCAGCAGATAATAGAGAGCACCTGCCAGCCTTGTAGAAGAGGAGTGATCATTCACCAGTCCATAAACATCGATTCCCGCTGCCGCCGCAGCCCTACCAGGACAGGCTGTGCACGCGGGGCAAAACCACATCTTCTTCCCAATCAAGCCCATCCTGGGCCTGGGCAGTGGGGCCAGGGGCTCTTCCCAGACAGAGGATGCACAGTGCAGCCACGAGAGGGGGTGCGGGTGGGTGCAGCGAAAAAGGGCCACACAGGGAGCGCTTGTGACTCAGCAATCCCAAGCTCCTACCAGCCCGTGCAGCTCCTGCTCACTTTGGGCATGGAAGGATGTGGCCTCTAGACTGCAAGCCTCTGCTGCAGACCCTGGGCAGATCAAGTGAGCAAGAGGGCACAGCTGTCTCCCATCCCTATGCAGGAACACAGAGGGCAGGCTGCAGGAACACAGAGAGGGCAGGCTGCAGGAACACAGAGAGGGCAGGCTGCAGGAACGCACGGAGGGCAGGCTGCAGGAACACAGAGAGGGCAGGCTGCAGAAACACAGAGGGCAGGCTGCAGGAACGCACAGAGGGCAGGCTGCAGGAACACAGGGAGGGCAGGCTGCAGGAACACAGGGAGGGCAGGCTGCAGGAACGCACGGAGGGCAGGCTGCAGGAACACAGGGAGGGCAGGCTGCAGGAACACAGGGAGGGCAGGCTGCAGGAACGCACGGAGGGCAGGCTGCAGGAACACAGAGAGGGCAGGCTGCAGGAACACAGGGCAGGCTGCAGGAACACAGGGCAGGCTGCAGGAACACAGAGAGGGCAGGCTGCAGGAACACAGAGAGGGCAGGCTGGAAAAACACAGAGGGCAGGCTGCAGGAACGCACAGAGGGCAAGCTGCAGGAACGCACAGAGGGCAGGCTGCAGGAACACAGGGAGGGCAGGCTGCAGGAACACAGGGAGGGCAGGCTGCAGGAACGCACGGAGGGCAGGCTGCAGGAACACAGGGAGGGCAGGCTGCAGGAACACAGAGAGGGCAGGCTGCAGGAACGCACGGAGGGCAGGCTGCAGGAACACAGAGAGGGCAGGCTGCAGGAACACAGAGAGGGCAGGCTGCAGGAACACAGGGCAGGCTGCAGGAACACAGAGAGGGCAGGCTGCAGGAACGCACAGAGGGCAGGCTGCAGGAATGCACGGAGGGCAGGCTGCAGGAATGCACGGAGGGCAGGTTGCAGGAACACAGAGAGGGCAGGCTGCAGGAACACAGAGAGGGCAGGCTGCAGAAACGCACGGAGGGCAGGCTGCAGGAACACAGGGAGGGCAGGCTGCAGGAACGCACGGAGGGCAGGCTGCAGGAACACAGAGAGGGCAGGCTGCAGGAACGCACGGAGGGCAGGCTGCAGGAACGCACAGAGGGCAGGCTGCAGGAACACAGGGAGGGCAGGCTGCAGGAATGCACGGAGGGCAGGCTGCAGGAACACAGAGAGGGCAGGCTGCAGGAACACAGAGAGGGCAGGCTGCAGGAACACAGAGAGGGCAGGCTGCAGGAACACAGAGAGGGCAGGCTGCAGGAACGCACAGAGGGCAGGCTGCAGGAACGCACGGAGGGCAGGCTGCAGGAACGCACGGAGGGCAGGCTGCAGGAACACAGAGAGGGCAGGCTGCAGGAACACAGAGAGGGCAGGCTGCAGGAACACAGAGAGGGCAGGCTGCAGGAACACAGAGAGGGCAGGCTGCAGGAACACAGAGGGGGCAGGCTGCAGGAACAGAGAGGGCAGGCTGCAGGAATGCACAGAGGGCAGGCTGCAGGAACACAGAGAGGGCAGGCTGCAGGAACGCACAGAGGGCAGGCTGCAGGAACGCACGGAGGGTAGGCTGCAGGAATGCACGGAGGGCAGGCTGCAGCACCTACGGAATAGGCATGGGGAAGAAATTCCCAAGAGGGAGGCTGACAAACCAGTCATGGCCTCCACTGGAGGCTTCGCTTCCCTGAGCTGGTGGAGGGGACTGCCCTTTGCTGGGAGAGTAGGGGGTGAGGAGGACCCTTCGACATGCCTTTTCCCCAAACTCTGGAACTTGTCAGCACTGGTCAGAAGGCAGCGTGGAGCCTCAGGCCGCCCGCACCCAGTAACACTGCATGATGTGCAGGGTGGGCACTCTACGTTGGGCAGGAGTGGGGGATGGTCAGGTGGCTCTCATGACCTGCATGCCCAGAGCCACGGCTGCCCAGGGAGGAACCACGAGGAGGCAGCCTGAGGCCCCGGCACACGGCACTGTCTCAACTCCCAAGGTCACTGTAAAGTGGAAGGGAAGGCACCAAGAACTCAGAATAGCTTGTCAGACGGGTCTGAGAAAGGATTTTCCAACCACCAGCATATTTTTTCCTTCCTGCATTTGTTTTGTTTTGTGCTTCTGGGGAGAAAGGCATTTCTGACAGCATCAAAGCACACAGTAATTGTGAAGCCAGGGCTGCTGTGAGAGGCAAGATGGGCTTAAGAAACCAACCTTCAAGGATGGCAATGTAACTGGCAGCTACCTGGGCTTCCCAGAGAAGGCAGAACCATGGGCAGCCCAGACCTCAGGACTTGGAGCCCAGGGGAGCAGGAGGTGCAGTGCAGCTCTGGCAAGCCACTTAACCTTTCTGAGATGTTTCTCTGATAAACCAGAGAGAGAAGAGCACCTCCCCAGCACTCAGGGACACCGTGGGGATGAACAGGGTTCCGCCTGCCGAGCACTTTGTGTTCCTCAGAATATAAATGCTGTACAAGGTGTTATTACTCAAACTCCTTGGAAAATGCAGGGAGAACAGGACAAGGATACCATCTTCTGGCAAAGAGCTCCAATCGTCTAGGAGACTGTAACTCATTCTTCAGGATGGCGAAGGGGCTGGGGGCTCCATTCTCCCTGTTTTGGGAAAGGAGGTGCCCCCAGAGGTGAAGAAAAGTCACACAGTGAAGACTTCATGACTGGGTGCCTCTCGTTCGGCAGAGCTGCCTCGGCTCCACCCATGGCAGGTCGGAGGCCCTTTCAATAATGTAATGAGGGTGATCTTCCATGGCTCTAGCTCAGCAAGTAACACCATAATTACACAAATAGGTATCAGGAAAGACTGCCTGACAACCAGGTCCACCTCTGGCCCCAACACAGCCACCCACACACTCTCTAGCTCTAGCCCTTTGACAGGGCCCACATGTGGAGCATCTTCTCCCTGGGGATCCTGTGCCCACAGCCTGATTATTTATACTGCCAGCCGGGAGCCGCGTCCACCCACGCCAGCATTTTGGCATTTCTGACATGCTTCATGGGGGACACGGGATGGCTCAGCGCAGGTCTCTCTGCCAGAGATGGTCTCAGCACCAACTTAAGTGACAACCTGAGATCCCTCCCTGCCCCGTGCCAGACTGTGCCCACTTCAGGGCTCTCCTGGTCACACAGGAGACTGTGACCCATCCTGTTTGCAACATGTGCATGGCAATTCAGGTTACTCCGTTGAAAGCTGCTGGCCTGTCCACAGTTTCCCCAGACAAACGTGTCCCAGGTCACGGAGCTCTTCGTGGTACAGCTGCACCTGCTCCCAGTGCCCACGGCCCGCCTTCCCTGCCCTTCCTCCTCATGTTCTGTGGCTGTGGACGAGTGCCGATCGTGCACCAGTGCTAGTCTGAGTGCTTTGCCTCTATAGCCTCATTTAATTCTCCCAACCCAGTGGCATCTTTGTCCTCCCCATTTTGCAGATGACAGAACACAAGCATAGCGAGGTTCAGTGAAGAAACCCAGGACATCTGACTCCAAAAACCACATTCTTACCCACCACCTCCTGCTGCTGGGATCTGGGTCATCTGCCTGGCTCTTTCCCATGAAAGCCAGAAAGAGTGTCACCCAGACACGTCCCTACTCTGAGAAAGGAAGGCTAGCTGTGATAGAGTGTGCAGACACAAGCCTCTGGGCCTGGAGTGCTCCTTGTAGCCGAGGAGGACGGGATGAAGAAGTAGTGTTGGTGAAGACACTAGTGGGGATGGAGGCAGCCAAGCAGAGGAGAAAGCTGGCATTAACCGAGCCCGTATCACACACCAAGAACTGAGTCCCACCCTTTCCACAAATGCCATACAGGGCAGTCACTATCATTTTCTCTGACTTTACAAAGGATCAAGGAGGTTGAGTATCCTGTCTAAGCTCACACATGGAGCTGACAGAGCTGGGATTTTAACCCAATTTGCTATGACCCTTGTGATTATAACCTCTACCTGCCTCCTACAGACCTGAGAAAGATCTAAGATTCCATTTTATCAAACATGTTCGACAAATTTCTAGCCCAACCTGAGTTGGGGGAGGTGACACAGGCATGCCAAGAAGTGGAGGGACCCAGACACACAGCCCAGGTGGTGGCGTGGGGAAAGGAGGGGGCGCACGGCCACAGCAGGCAGGGGCAGCGGACAGACGCTCAGTCCAGCCGAGGGCGACTACCTGCTTTGCTGATTCTGCCAGAGCTGTGAAAGCTGTTGGCTCCACCACTCTCCAAGAGGAAGCAAGGAGGAACAAAATAAACAAATTTGCAGCTCAGTGGACCTTTTTGCACCTGTATCTCCACAAAACAGGAGCTCATGGAAATAATAACAATGCTTTGCCATTTGTTTTCCAGAGGGCGCTTTCATGTACCGTGTCTCTGCAAACGGTGATGACGATCTTGAGTGGAGCCCATTTTACAGGTGAAAACACTGGAGCCCTTGGAGTTGGACCCTTTTCCACGCGGTGCCTGTAACTCACTGATGTAGTGAGCAAGAATGTTGAGAATTTCCTTATTTGACCCACAAGGATGCGGAGTTTCAGAGGAAAGCATAGAAGCCACTGAAAGGATTTCTGCTTTTTGGAAAAGAGTAACCTGCCCATGGGATCCTCCAGCCAGTTAGTTACTCAGCAGGTACCTTGCACACATCTGCCCTGAGCCCAGCACTGCGCTGGCTTCTACCACACACAAGATCGTGAGACAGGGTCCTACCCTGGGAATAGCCGGGCCAGCTGGACCAACACCACCAGGCTGGAGAGGTGGCTGCAGTGTGAGATAGGACAATGGCCAGAGCTGGAGTGTGTGGGTTAGAGACAGCCGTGGCTGACTCTGGCCTTGGGTCCAGGTAGACCCGGTTAAAGTTCCAGGTTCCCTCGTTTACCAGCCAGCAGGACCGCAGAAAACGACTTTTTCTCTGGTGCTCATGTTTTAAATGGGAATTAATGGTACCTACCACATAGAGTCGTCGTCAGGATTAAATGAGGTTCATGAAAATAAACTTCCTAGCATGGCGCCTTGCACACAACTATAAATGAAAGCCATTATGAGTATTTATAGCCTGCAGCCATCCTTCCCTAGGTTACGGAGGCCAGCCGTGAGTCGGGAGCCTGTGGTGGAGAGAGGCAGGGAGGTCCTGCCACTGCCCGCACTGCCCCGGCCCCAGCCGGCACACAGAGGCTGCTCCTGGGCCTCTCCGAGCCCTGTCCACCCAGGCCTGCAGCAGCGTCTGCCCAGATGGGCTCTACTCCCTCTGCCGTCCTGCCGGTCCCCAGCCACCCATCTCCGGGAGGCGGCTTGCTTTCCCGATTTGCAGGCGTGCTTTCTTTTGGCAGGGAGCTGCTGCCGTCTGTGCTCTGGACCGTAAAACAAGTTTTCATCAATAAATTAAGATAAGCGGAAAGCCAGCTCCAGAGGAGGTGGGTTGAGGCGGGCTGGCGGGCGGGAAGCTGTTCTGTGACCCAGAAGGGGCCGAGGCAAATCCAAAGCAAGACTGGGTCCCCACCCCCTTCCCCGGGTCCCCTGTGCCCCATTCGACCCAGGCCTCTCAGACAGGGGGAGGATTGGGAGGTCACCTGCCTCCCTCTGGCCCCATTACATCCTCGAGGCGGGTGAGCCAAGTGTCACAGCGACAGGTACAGTCAGGCTCTCAGCAATGCTCTGAGCCAAAGTAACGGTCCCAAGTGCTCTGCTGGGTGACCTAAATCACTGAGACACTTGCCTGCCCAATCACTACCTGATAAAAACTCTGCAAATAAAAATGCTCCTCTCACAGAGCCTCCTTGCTCTTCATTGTAAACCCGGTTCACAAAATGCACCTTCCACACCTCCACCTCCAGACCCGCTCACGGCATGTCCCTCTACCTAAAAAGCCTTCCTCTTCCCTTTGCACTGTTCTCGGTCCAATCCAGAGCCATCAAGGCCCAGCTGAAGCCCCACCTCTTCCTCCAGGCTCACAATCCTCCCTCACCCCCCAACACTCTGCAGTGGCTCGACTGGCCGTCATCGGCCCCAGAACGTTCTCCTGCCTTGTTAGTACTGACTTTGCCGGGTGCCTGTCCTGCCTCCCTTCAGACCTCTCTGCACAATTCCCTAGTATCAAGCACAATGCTGGGCACAGAGAGGCCCTGGTTTTCATAAACAGACATATATGGATTGTGGGAGCCCGAGTGAAGGAGGGAAGTGGGAATGCTGAAGCAAAGAAGTTTTCAGCTCAGCAACAGGAGCGCCTCCCCAGGCCGGTGCGTTGCTACACCACCTCCTTCAGACCCTCCTGCTCATACAGGCCAGAGCATATGGAGGAGAAGGGCCATCTGCCCGTCCACCGCCACACGTGGAGAGGTGCGCCTCTCCGCATATGCTTATGAGCTGACAGACAGGTAAGCCTTTAGACGAAGCGATGTCATGAAGCCCAAACAACACGGCTCACTGACTATGTGCTGCCAACGGGCCAGGTCATCCTGGGTGTCACTCACTCCTCTGAGCCTTGGTTTTCCCACCTATAAAACAAAAGGTTGAAACTAATAATATCCAAAGCCCTCTCCAGCCCTAAGAACCTATGACTGTGCTTCTGCTTAGTCCTCTCCCTGGCTGTATGAGACAGGTAAGGCAACTGCTATGAGTCCATTTCACAGGTGAGCAGGCAGAGGCCTCCGAGGCTAAGTGACTTGCCCACAGAGCCAGGAGGCTGGAACCCAGCACATCTGCCTCCCTAAGAGTGGCAGGAAGTGATGTCCAAGTGTCACGTGAGCTGGGCCTGAGACGTGCTGCCATTTACTGCTCGCCCCCTTGTGAGACGACATCATGGTCAAAGGCCCTGGTTAAGGAAACCGAGGCTCGGAGATGCGACTTACTCAGGGTCCCACCATCGAGGTCTGATGCCAATTTCCTGCCTGCCGAGGGAAATGGCCATTTAAATACAAGGGAGGAGATGGCAGTCTCAGGCCACAATGCCATTAAATCAAGACTGCTAATTACACCCCAACCTGGATATCAGTCAGAATCAATTACGTCTGAGTCCAGGCGCTTTACTCACCTGGAACGAGCGGAGCTGTGCGCGGCCTCTGACCAATTACAGGCTGGGGGAGGCTCTTAAGTCAGATCCCAGCAGGCCCTCCCTCCGCTCCTCCCACCCCTACACGGTAAGGATAAGCATTCCCACCACCAAGACCTGGAGGGGGAAAGATGCCATTTCATAAAGGGCAAACGGCAGGGTGGAGGGATGACCTATGTGATAAATAGTGAGCTGGCAAGAGGCACCGAGAACAAAGTTCAATGAACAGAACAGAAATATATTGAAAATAGCAAAAAGAAACGATTACTACACATTTTCATATGAGATCCGAGGAATACATTTGCTCTTGCTTTTGCTTATTCAACAGAAAAAAAAAAAAAGAGCAGCAGCCAGAGAGAGCCGAGGAGGGCACGGCAGAATGCAGATGCCTGCACTTTGTGGCTCTGCGTTCCCTTCAGCTCTCAAAAGAGTGACTTTTGAGATACAGGCTGGCACGGGAGCCAAAAGAAATAACACTGCAAGTGGAGGGATTTAGGGTGCTGCCTCCAGGCACCCACAAAACAGACACCCACAAACAAACAGGGAGCAGTGCCACTGCCATCCACGTGGCGGCTTTGCATCTCTGGAAGTAGAAATTATTCAAGAGAAAAAGAACCAGATTTTACTTGGAGCTAGAACCTTAAGGTTTCTGGCACCAGCTGCTCAAGGGAGCTAGAGTCTGGCTTCAGTTCAGGAAACTCTGACCTCTGTTGCAAAAGCAAACCTCCAACGATGTAATCCTGCAGACTCTGCCCCTTCCGCAAAAAGCGGGTCACCAAGTCCCTGAAATGGGGATGCTTAGCCAGTGCCACCCAGGCCAGAGCATCCTTGGGGGAAGGGCAAGGCTGCGTCAGGTGCCCTCACAGTCACACAAAGCCCAGTGTCCTCAGTCTGTGGACACTGGACATGCAGGACGGGTCAGGGTCTTGCTCTTGCACCAGGTGCAGGTACCCCTCAGGGCTTCTTTTCCCAGTTCGTCATGAGGGTGAAAACCAAGGTTTCCTGAACAGGGTGCCCACGTTGCTTCTCAAATCGCAAAATGCCCGAAACTCCCTGCTTGCACTGAAAAGCAGTAGGCCCACTTCCTGTGTGTCATGCATGCCCCGAGTCACATCTTCGGAGGCAAAGTGTCTGTCCTAGTCTTTTGAACATGCTTCTCCGCCTGTGTCCCCTACTTTGGAGACGCAGTTCTCCATCTATTCTTCCAGCCGGGAGTCACAGCTTGGACCTGGGGCCCATGGTTGAGAGCGTAGGCTCGAGCCAGCGCCTAGGTTCTGAATCCCAGCTCTACCCCTTGCCAGATATAACTCTGGGTGAGCTGACCTCAGTGACTCCAAATCTTCATCTGTAAAATGGGGATAATAATGCTATCTCCTCCAAAAATGCATACGGTACTTACCATATTAAGCTGTTGTGAATATTAAATAGGACAAAACTTCTAAAGCTCTTAGAACAAGAACACAGCCTAATGCGGAGTCAGTACTCATACAAGTTAACTATCACCATCACCACTATTACCCTCCACATTTCATCCACCTGCTAATCCTTAGGCCACATCCCCGCAAATCTCCTGCAGCCACCTCTTCCTTTCCACTCTCCCGACCTGGTTCCCAGTCTCATCCCTTTGGCCAGAACACAGGGTAGGAGTTCGGGTTGGTCACCCCACCTCCTCTCTGTCACCACAATCCAATCACTCTGCCCAGAGCACATCACACCTTCCAGACCCGAGAGGGCTCCTACAACCCAAGGGATATGGCTGATCATGGCGTTCCTTCAAGGCCTCTAGAGGCTCATCATTTCCATATTCTTTTGCAACTATACCTGCAATCTAGGGTCCTCATCCCTCTGGGAACACACCCCCTGTCTTTGGGGCTGATGCCTCTACTCTGGGAGTCCTCCACCAGCCACGCCCTTCCCTCCACCCTCCACCACTCAGCAGTGCCTATCATTTCCATGAAGGGCCCATGGCCTGCGCCCTCCCTGCCCCTCCACCTCTGTATTCCAGGAGCACCTGACTTCCCTCACTGAACACATTTTGCCCTGCAGATATTCACTGCTGTTGGACTTGCCCCAGCGAACTCTTTGAAAGCAGGCCTGGATCTTGCTCATTTTGCATCTCCTACGGTGCCTCGCGTAGAGTAGGATCCCGAGAGATATTTTCTGAGCTGAACTATGTTTTCACAGAAGGCCAGCTCCCAGCAGCACGGGACTATGAGGGTTCGCCCTGTTCTGTGTAGCCCCAGCTGGTTCCCTGGGGAAAAGTTTCCACTTCTGCTGTCAAGAACCACAAGGGTCAAGCCCCATCCCTACAAATACCAAGTACATCCAAATTCTTCACTGGCACAGAAATGGTGTTACATCCACTGGGAACAAACCTGCATCCCCACCCCAAGGCATGTGACAACAGGGACTGCTAATGAGCTTTGTCCGGGTAACTCATTCACGCCATCATCTTGCTCTTTCCATAGTCACTTATTAAGCACAAACTATGCCAAAAACTATGTCCAGCACCGCACAGGATGGTAAAATGCCCTGAGGGGCCACCCCCATCTGACTCCCGTTGAGCGGAGTGGGCAGCCCTGCCTGGGAGCTCCAGCCTCCTGCACCCACGTGCCCCCTTGTTATCTCTGCCTGGATGCCTCACAGGCATCTCACGCGTACTAGGTTCTCAGCAGAAATCTTCCTGCTCAAGCTACAGAGAACCAAGTGACTCTTTCATCCATCAGTGAGGCCTGCCAGCTCTGCCTCCAACTCCCATCTCCAGTCCATCCATCTCTCCCCACCTCCACTGCTACACTGCTATCATTTTCTGTTTTCCCAGCAGCCCTTCTGGCTCCTCCAAACCCATTCCCCACAGAGCAGCCAGGATGGTCCTTGTTCAAATTTCTCCAGTGGTTTTTGCTCACATGTGGAACAGAGTCCTTCCCACGGCCGACAAGACCTGGCCTCTGCCTTCCTCGCCACCCCCGTGCTGGGTTCCCACTCACAGGCCTCTGCTGGGTCCGAGGCCCATCACTCTGTTTTGCCTTTGGTGTTCCCTTTTTCCAGAATGATCTTCCTTAGGTAGTCACATGGCTGGCTCATGCTTATCCTTCAAGTTTTCCTTGCTTCCTTTCCGTTTCTTGTGACAGTCTGTTACTACTTCAAGTGTTTATTTATCATTGTCTGTCTTCCCTGCTAAACGTGAGCTCTGTGACAGGAGAGATCCTGACTTGCTCCTCATGCACCCCTACGGTGATGCACTGTGCCAGGCACATGGTAAGGGCTCAGTAAATACCTGTAGAAGGAGGGATGGAGGGAGGGAGGAGACCAGGGATTGGAAATCTGTCCTTGAGAACTTTCCTCTAAAGTACCATTTAGTATATGATGAATAAAGTTCTAGAGCATCACCAGGATCCTGGGAGTGGTAGCAGGGTACTGAGTTACGGCAAAGAGAAAATGCTGCAGGCTGTGAAAAGCTCTGTCAAAGAAGAGCAAGAAGGAACTTGGGCTATGAAGGCGGTGGACTCCAGTGAGGCGAAATACCTGTCCTGGCTCTGCAAACTCAGGAAAGTGACTTAACTTCTCTATGCCTTCATTCCTCACATACAAAATGAAAATGATAGCAGCAAACTAATAGGCTAAATAAGCACCATGCTCAGTACAGAGTGGACATTCATGTAAAATTCCTTCTTTCTGGATACTGGCTGGGGGCTCAGACCCACACTCTATTTCTAATTAAATCAGCCCAACCTCTAGCTCCACAGGTGTTGGGCTGCCTAGAGGCACCATCACTGGGGTATCAGCCATCTCATCTCAGGATCCCACCTTAAGGACAAGAGACAGTGGGGGGCAATGTAGTCTGGCTGCCCTCTGGGCACTCTTGGTCCACTGAGACCATGAATACATTCGCATTGTGCATTGAGATTTCAATAAATCTCTGCTGGAAGTAACCAAGGGAAGTCTGGCCCCAGGTCAACCCACCATTCTCATGGCTTGGGAGAAGATCTTGGGAGCCGGCACTTGAGGGCAGGGGAGTGGGTCAAGGAATGATGTTATTCAGCGCTGCTTGGGTTCTAGAGTTACCCCAAGCTCCCTGCAGCCTTGGTGGGAGGAGGAGGAGGGAAGATAAGAAATGGTGTCCACAAGATTGCCTGACATTGTGGTCTCAAATGCCAAGCAGCAGCTCAAAACAGGGTTAGTCAAGGCTCCCACGACCACTCTTCATTGCTGCCAGAAGACAGCAAGCTACATGACCCAGGCCAGAGACATTCACTGAGGTCTCCCTCCCCACAGTAATCTAGGGCCTGCCCTCTCTTTCCCCATCTCAAAGGAGAGGACACCAAGGTGATTCTGGGCCCCAGAATATATCCCTGGATGGAAAGGACATGTCTTAGACCCACAGGACTCAGACACAAAATGAATCTCGCCAAGGCTCTCCCTTCTTGAACCCCCAGAGCCTGTGGACTCAGCCCGAGACTGAGCAAGCTGCACCTGCAGACGAACCAGCCCTGGAGACCCCTACACTGTCAAAGCCATCCCTGCACCTCTCTCCTCTGCCACCCCCTCAATCATTCTTCCTGCAATTGCTTTTCACCATGCCATGTCCATGCTCAGGAGCTTCACTGGCACCCACTGCCCATGAGTGGAGCCCAAATCCTCTGCCCTGCACTCAAGGTCTTCCATGAGCTGACCCCAGGTTTATCTCCCAGGGAGCCCCATTGTGAACATCTTACTCCACAATACAGGGAGGGAAGTTTGTCATCCCATAAACATGGCTTTGCTCAGGCCACACCTCTGCCTGGGGGGAAGGGCCTGCTTGTCCTGCAGAACCATCTAAGATCCTCCTCCTCTGAGGTCTCTTTCTCTGATGAACACAAAAAGAAACAGAAGGAATGAATCAGACCCTCACCACCTCTGGGCACCTGCTGCACAAGTCGCCTCCCCGCCGCCCCCCTACCCCTCCCGCCCAAAGTCTCTTGACCTATCACACTTGTGGTTAGAAAGAAACCATCACAGTAGGTAGAAAGGGTGTGAGAACAGGACAGGCAGCAGGCTGCCTCTGGGAACCCTGCTGAGATGCCAGCGAAGAGGGGGCAGGAGGTGCAGGAGACAGGCCTGGCTTTTCACAAGAGAGCTTGTTGGGGATAATTTATTCCCACAGTGTCTCAGCAGGTTTCAGTCAGTTGAGTTTGTAATAGGACAAGCAGCCACTGTTGTTCTTGGATGCTGCAGAGACAGCAGCCATCAAGCAGAGGATGGCTCGTCGGGGGCTGGGACACTCCATGGGAACCAGATTTCACAGTCCTGGAAAGAAGAGGTTCCAAGAAACCCATAGTATGGTCTATAAATCCCAGCAGGAAGTAGAGCAGCATCCTCCACTTGGGAGGAAATGGGGTAGGACCTGGAAGAGAAAACCAGGTTGAAACCCCAAGGTGCACGAAGGAAAAAGAGCAGAGAACTGCCCACATGCTTCCTCCGAGACCCCTAGGAGAAAGCAGGACTAGAAACCCACCCTTACTCCCTGCAGAACTGGCGAGATGTCATGCCACCAGCAGACTCAGGTACAAAAGCCCAAGACCCACAGAGCAGCACTTTCTGCTCTTGCCTATAAGGTTGGAGAACAGTACAAGAGTCGCTGGAAACTTGGTGGGGAGCGGTCTCCTAACTCATCAGACTGTGAGAAGGGTGACAGGATGAGAAGAAAACCCAAACTTCAATGTCACCTGCCTGGTACCTGTCACCCAACTCACCCTCGATATTCAACTAAACCAGGTTCTCCCTGGATCTAAGCTACTCCCCAGGGCGAAGAAGCTGATTTCTTCATTTACTACAGGACTATCCCAGGACAGTCCTCCCCAGGGAATGGACTCGTCAGAGAGATGGCCATATGGGAGAGTCGCCGTGTATTTCAGGAGCCAACCCACGCTTGGATGGACCCTCTTGAAGTCCAGCTCCATGATGGCTCCTGCTGTCTTGTAGGCAATGCGAAATAGTCGTGACTTTGGGGTTTTCTGTAGTCCCCCGAAAGAGTTAACCCAGCTACCAAAGTCAAGATCAGGGGCGCCGCTGGGGAGCTTATCTGACCTCCTGAAGAGATTAGCACCCAGCTCAAGAAATGCCAATCAGCCAACAAGGCCGAATTTAACCTCATCCGGCCCTCCCAGCCCTAGCCGGGCCGCTCCCGAAATCGACGATTACGCTAGAGGCAGCTCTCGCTACAGCCCGTCATCCGCTATTTATAACCCACTCGCCTTCTGGGGGGAACCAGACACCTCCCACCCCAATGTGGTGCCCGGCGCCAGGCCTGTGGCCTTGGCCTCAGGGCCTCCGTCATGCTGGCTGCGACTGCCGGACCCCTGCGGCAAGTGCCTTCCCTGGTCCTAAGTGGCTCTGTCCTGTCATCTCTGATGAGTTGAGTGCTGCGCTCAGCGGGGCCCGGCCTTTCCAGGGCAGCTCCTTACGAAGCCCCCAGGACTGCTATCGGACGTGGTTTGGCTCCTGCAGCCTCTCTCACCAGCTCACCACTGGGCCTCGGGACCCCGCCCCCACAGCTCTCCTCCCTCTTTCTCATTCTTTCATCACCTCTCTGGCTCCTGACAACCCAACAGTCTGAAGAAAGGCCAAAGCAGCAAAGGGGTGGGAGTGGGGTATTTATGGCAATGGGGGACCGGCCTAGATCTGGGTGCAGGAGGTACCTCCACCTACTGCAAGAGGCGGGTGACCAGCTAACAGCCCTGCCTGAAAGACATAGCAGGCAAGAGAAGGGTTGCTTTCAACTCAAGAAAACTCACAAGCATACATCCTGATTACTGGGACCTCCCACACCAGAGGTACAAAGGGGTGTCCAGCTTGTTGCCACACGATCTACGTCTCTACCAAATCATGCTCTCATCTCTGTACGGATGAGAATGCTAACAATTTCCAACAAAGCCAAACCCTCATGGGTTCATTTATTTGTCTACACAAAGGCTTTGCCTAGAGCATGTCTGTTTGAAAGATACTCACCATATTCTAAGGGTAACCTAAAAGAAAAAGCGTCTATGGCTTCTGGGTTACTGAGCTAGACACCCCAGTTCTTTCTAAAAACCAATTACCCTATGACACCAAACAAGAAAGAAATCCCATTGGTGCTTCCATGGAATTGACACAGGCCCCCGTGCCGTCCTCCCCACACCAGCTTACAAAGGCCATGTGCCTTTGGGGTGGCACAGGGACAATCTCAGGAATATGGTGGCAAAGGGCTGAGTGGGGAGAAAGTGCTGGAGAAAAGTTTAATAATAGAGCTGGGTTGGGCTCGGCCCGTTTCCTTTTTCAGTTGCCCTGATCGCTGCTCCCATTACGTGATGTGGCCGTGGGCAGAGCCAGTCAGCTGCTGGGGAGATTCAAACCCAGGTCAGCCTGGGGGCCATGTCTCCTCAGGCCACCTCTGCGAAGGGTCCACATGCCACAGTCAGATGAGGTCCATGCACAGCTCACCCGGGCTCGCCTAACACAGCCTCTCTATAAAAAGCCCGGAGCTGGCGGGACAGACAGAGTCAGGCCGGAAGGCCCAAGGTTGACTGTCCCTGCACCCATCAGCCCTCCTGCTCAGCTGCGTGCCTTGCTACTCATTGTCTCTCCTGATTGTGCATTGCTATTTTGGGCTCTGGGGGACAAAGGGGAGCTGAAGACTGCAGCAGGAAGCTCACAGGGTGGGGAGATTGGCGTCAAAGCCAATCTCTTGGCGACAGGGCAGCTGCTGCCCTCCTTCCAGCCTCTCCCCTGTCCCCTGGAAACCGACAAATACAAGTCACTCAACAGTCAACACACATGTGTGCATGATGCATCCACCCCATGCAGTGGTCACAAACCGTAGACAGAAATGTCCACATGAAAATACGTGGTGCATGCTGGACATCATTCATGGATCATTAATGGAAACTGACTTGGAATCAATATTATAAGGACAGCACTGGGGAAGGCATACTCATAAACAGAGCCCTTGACGACCCACAGTTCATGTGCAAACCATTTTCTATATATGTTAAGCGGGTTTACTAAGAGTATGCCCTTCAAGGTCACCAGAAAGCAAAAATAAGTTAATACACAAAAAGCACTTGAAGCAGTGCCTGGTGCCTGGTGAACGTTCTACAGGGCTGGATACTGCTGTCATCATCATCATCAGAACGGACAAGACAGAACCCAGGAGTCATCCATTTTAGCTGTCACTTTGGTGAAGAAATGTCCAGCATGTAGCTGGAAACCTGGATCGGGCACAAGGTTGGTGTAGAAGGTGCCCACAGGCCTGACCCAGGGGAAGGGGCAAGGCTGGGCACTCGCGTCCATTTTCTGTTGACTTGTGGGCAGTTCTCCCTCGCTTCTCACCTCTAGAATGAAGAGACTCCCTCAGCATTGAGGGGGTGGGGCAGGGGCCAGGGATGAGGGCAAGGAAGAGAGCGTCTGAGCATTGAAAAGGTCAGAAAAGAAGCTGGAGTCCTGAAGGTAGTAAGCACCTGACCCCAATAAAACAAAGCAGGGCCTCACAGAGGCATGGGCCCCTGCCCAGCCTGTGCTGCAGGAGTGACTACTGTCAGCACCATTTACAGAACCAGCCTGTGCTCCAGGCTCGGGGCTGGGTGCTCCGGATGCATCATTACATTTCACTTCACACCAGTCACAGGAGGTGGTGTTGATAACCAAGACTCAGCAGGAGGGCCAGGACTTGTTCCCAGCCCCATTTGACGCTATCATCCTTATCCCTCCACTCCCCTGCTGGGCATCAGAATCACCTGAGCATTTTCACAGGCTCCACCCTGGACCTCCTGTTGCACGAGAGTCTGCAGGGCTGCAGCCACGCACCTGGGGTTCTGGGGCTTCCAAACATCCACAGGTGCTGCTGATGCCTGGCCAGGAGGGCACACCACCAGGCCCACGCACAGCAGACAGAACATTCCCAGGGACACACTGCCCACATTCCCTCCAGAACAAACACCCTGTCACCACCACCACCAGCCTCCCACCCTCAATAAAAGGGGTCCAAGGGCAGTCGCCAGATCCCAATTCCCACCTGTCACCCTGTGGACCTTTAATGAAGATTGCCATTTCTACCCGAGTGGACCTGGGCTGATCGCTGGCCTGTGCTCTCTGAGCTTCATCATCGCAGGGACTGTCTACAAGGATGTTCTGCAAACCCCATGGCACTGGCCGAGCTCAGCGAACACTTCCTGCGGCAGACACCCTTCCTTTCCACCAACTATCTCACTGCATCCTCACCACAACCTATGAGGAGGTGGGTGCCACTGTCACCCCCATTCACAGATGAGAAACGAGGCCCAGAGAGGTCAAGGAACTTACCAGGGTGAGAGCTAGGCAGGTCAAAGCCAGAATCCAAAATCTTAAGCACCAGGCTCCACTGCATCCTTCATGAGTGATTGTTATTACTTTGTTCACTGAGCCGGCAGGCAGCCTCCTAAGCAATTTAATGATCTTTACTGCATTTTTCCTATCGTCTTTTTATTTGGTTTTCTTAGGAACGCGGGCCTGCTTAGGGCAGGCTTGGGCTGGTGGGAGAGAGAGACTGTAATACATGAAGCAGTACGACAGGCTCTGTAGCCATCCCAGAACGTGTTGATCACCACCCCCGAGGACACAGGAGCACTTCTGAGAGGTGGGTCAGATCCACATGAGCCCCTGCTTTCCAGGTGGGAGAGAGTAAACAGGGCGGTGCAGTGGCTCACTCGGACACGCCACGCAGCAGTTCAGTGGGAGGGCATGACAACCAGGCCTCCAAATGTGAGTTTAGGGCCTGCTGTGCAATCGTGAAAACCTTCTTCCAGACTGCCCTGAAATAGCCCCATTTCCCACCTTCTGCACCCCCTCCCCCTAACAGATGTCCACCGGCCCTCAAGGGAGAAAGTGACACGCCCCCAGCAGCCCGCTCACTCAGCCCTGCAAAGGAAGGGTCCTCAGCTTAGCCTGAGAGGCACCTCTTTCTGTTCCCTTCAGTTTAAAATAGGCCACACGGATGCCTGCCAAGATCCCATGCTCTTGGCTAACAGGAGGGTTATATTTCTGGCTGCGCACCGTGAAACATTGGACCAGGGAAGGCTTCCCAAACCAACAGCTGACTCCGGCTGTGATGACAAGAGGATCTTGCAAGAGTCGGCCCAGGCCCAGCTAGCGGCAGGCTCCCCGCATGTGTACAGTAGGAGGGGGCTCCGTCCCCACCCCCGGAGCTCTGGGAGTGCAGGGACGGCTATATAAGGGCATGGGGCTGGGGGGAGCCCAGGGGCTGGGATTTCTCCCTGGCCCCGGAGAGAGCACCCGCTCACACAGGCCTGTGCACACACCTGCCACGGATGAACATTCCTGCGTGCCATTCCCTGGCCTGGAATGGGCTTCCCCATCTCGCTGCCATCACCATACCCTCTAAACGCCATTCCAGTCTCACCTGCTCCACGAAGCCTGGCCAGAGGCTACACCTCTCCCTGGCCACACCAGCACCAGGGAGTGTGGAAATCATATTCCCCACAGGAACTGGGTAGGAACTAGAGGCGTCTGGTCTTAGAGAACTTGAGGGACACGGCAACTCTGAACATGGAGGTATGCAGAGTTTTAAGTGCGGGGGGCGCTCCATGGTTCATGGGGTCTGCCCCATGAGACTCTAGTGGGGCAGAACAGGGACCAGGTGCTAGAAGCTACAAAGTAAAAAACGACCCCTCACCCTCACTCACGCAGGGACCCAGAGCTGGCCGATGTGGTGGCTTAACCATGAGGTCCCCACCATGAGAAGTCTGGGTGGAAGCCCAGTGGCCCCCTGCCAGGACTCTGCTTCAGGCAGGGGCTGTCATGTGAGCTGTTGGTCCCAGCCCCTTCTGGCTCCGTATTTCTCCACTACACTAGGGGCTCCCTGGGAGCCGGGTCCCCTTTCCAGCATAACACTCCTATCCCAGCTCTGAGCTCAAGCCGGTGCCGACAGGCTGCCCATTCCTCCAGGGGCTGACAGCTGGTGCCAACAGTCAGAGGAAGGAGGCCCAGGCAGCCAGAGGTGCTGGAACCCACCGTCCTGTGTGTCCCTCTGTCCCTTAAAACTAAAGATGTCCTTTGCAACAAAAGAACCTCTTCCCACACATACAGCCCTAGAAATTCACCAGAAGCAGAACGGTGGTTATCTCTAGATGATGGCATTGTGAATGACTTTAATTTATGCTATTTTCATATATCTCTATTATTTCCAGTACTCTCCAGTGACTATACTAGTTTTATAATCAGAAATCAACTTTTGAAAAAAGAACTTTTGAAAAAAGAACTTCCTTCTCCCCTCTCAGACATGACCATCATTAGTCGAGATCTGCCACTCAGAGTCCCCAACCCTACCCCTCCTCCTCCCCACACCCCCAGCACCCTTCCACCAGGGAGGATGCCACCAATGCGAGGGGATTTCATCACCGGGGCAGCTCACTGCTGGGGCCTGTGAACAGCCTGCGGCACACAGCGGGTGCAAGCTGAATGCTTAGTCATGGAGGAGGTCTCTGCTGGGGCTCTACATGCCACCAAGTCTCCCCAGCCATCTCCAAAGACAGCCTTTGATCTTGAAAATGTCCACAACTTCTAAGTAGCCCACAGTGCCACAAAGTCACCAACTGAAATCCTTCAGACACTAACCTGGGGAGAGGGTAGTACTAGATCATGCCTCTGACTGAGATAACTCCCAAAACACAGGGGTAGGGGGAGGAAGAAGAAGATAAAGATGAGGAAGAAAGGCAGAAGCGGGAGGAGGCAGAAAGGAGAAGAGAGAGTGCATGGAACAGAGCCCAGTGCCATCCCCATATGCCACCCTGTCACCCCGGTCCAACCTCAGTCCCTCTCAGGGCCCGAGGCCCTTCCTCAGGGCAGGCTGCTGTGCCCATCATGGCCATTCACCGGGCTGCTCCCCGGGCCTGGCAGCCAACAGTCACCCGAAAGCCAAGCTCTGCATACCTCTGGCGCTCCGTCACAGGACCAGGAAAGGGTTCTGGTGTCATGGACACTGCACCCTGAGCCAGCCAACCTGAGATGGGTGATATCTGTGGCTGCTGAGAAGCTGGCCTCAGCATGGGCTGGCCAGGCCTGGGAGTGGGAGAAGGACAGGGCGTCTTGGGCTACCTGTGCAATGAGAAGGTCTTCCTGTGTGTGGAGCTGTGGGCAGGTCTAGAGGAAAGGGAATAATGGCCCTGCCCTCAGGGCACCCCACTCTTCTGGGGAGACTCATTCTCACACATGAAATACACCAGACACCCAAGAGGCATGTGAAAAAGTGAGACATGATGGGTGAACCCTAAAAAGGCATGAACTCCATTCTGGAAAAACAGGGCTGATGGGGTTGGATCAGAGTCTGCAAAATCATGAAGGACAGTGAAGAGGGCCAACACAGACCTGCCTAACAGATCCTGAAATAGAACCCCAGGCAACCCTTGAAGCTCGAAAGCATTATCTGAGGACAAATAAAGGGCGTCTGAGCTTTACGCAATGGGTAAAGGCAAGGGGCTCGTTACCATGCAGGGTGGCACAGGATAAAAACATGGCTAAGATCCAGAGGACTTTGATAAACTCACCAGGGAGAGAGACACAAGGGCCATGACAGGAAACAGGGGCACTGGACGCTTCTGACCTTCAAAGACAGCCCTGGAGGAAACATCCCACCCCACCCACCATCCATGCCCGATGGGTGGACTGCTGACCCAGCATGGGTAGTCCTAATTTATTCAAAGAAATGGAGGAAAGTTTAATTTCTTTGAAATAAAATCCTTTAATTTTAAGGGATTTAAAATGAAATCCTTTAAGCCAGCACTGCCCTTGTGCATGGTGAGACGACAAGGGGCAATCAACCCCACTCATCAACAAGGTGCAGCATTGCAGGAGGAAAACATGCGGGATTTGGAGTCTGACATCCAGAGTTCAAATCCTGGCTCCATCATTCACTCAGAGGCTTTGAACAAATCACATAATCTCTCTAGGCCTGTTCCCTCATTCATAAAACAAAGGTAAGGATGTCTGCCCTGGAGGGATGATGTGGAGATGAAACCAAACATATGTGAAGCCCTAAGACAGCACCTGCTATATGGAGGTGCTCGGAGAGCAGCCCTAACCACAGTCCATTCCGACCTTGTGGACAAGTCAGACATGGGCTCGGCCCTCAGGAACGTCGGGCATGGGCACAGACGACCAAGGTACGAGTGAAAAGCACGAAGGATTGTAGGAGGGAGGCAAAGCCAAGAGGAATTCAGAGGTTCTGCCTTGAGGAGAGAGCAAAGTTTTCATGGAAGAAGCAACGTTTGAGACAGAAACTTTAAGGAAAAGGGGGAGGGCTGGTAATGAGCACGGGTAATTGATCTGGAGAGAATGGTGGGCAGGAAGGAAAGCAGGAGCCATGCGGGCAGGAAGTGGGACAGGAAGTGACACTTCCTGGGAGGCTCCATGTGTGACTGGTTGGAACAGAGAGCAGTGAGGTCTGACCACCCGCGGGGTGCCTGGAGTCATTGAGAAAGACTCGCAGCTGGAGGGTCCAGGTGACAAGATGGAGGAACATGAATTCTACCGGCTTCTGTGGTGGGGCCTTGTGCAGAAGCAGAGAGAGGGCTGTTAACATGGCTAAGGCCCTGGGAAGCAGACTCTGGCAGGCCTGTATCGAATGAACTAAGAGGAACTAGGGACAGGGAGATCAGGGAACAACCGAGTGACTGGGCAAAGTGAGGCCTGGCCTAGGGGCATGGCAGTAAAAATGCACAGGAACGGGTGGGACGGACAGGAGGGGCCTCAGGGAGGCGGCATGGGTACGGAGGGGGGCAGACAGAGGTTTCCAGCCTGGGAGCTGGGCAGGTGGTGGGATCCATTACCGAACCAGAGGACCAAGGAGGACTTTTGAAGCAAGAAGTTGAAACAAGTTTGAAAGACCAGTGGAAGATGTTTATGGAGACACCAGATGTAGCTGGAAACGTGGTGAGGGAGGGTCCGTTCTGGGCTCAGCCACACACTGTGTGACCTCAAAGTCAAATTCTTTTGGGGAGCAGGGGGCATAACCAAACTGTGGCTTTAATCATTCTGTGCCTCAATTTTATCCTCCAAAAAAAAAAAATATGATCTATTCCACCTCCCAGGCTCACTGTAAGGAATGAGTGTAATGGACGTAAAAATGCTCTGTAAACTACAAAGGCACTTAATGTAAGAAGTTATTATCAGAATCCATAGCTGAAACCAAGAGGCTGGGCAGGTTTGTCAAGGAAAGAGAGAAGAACAAGAGAGGGCAGGAGATCAGGAGTGTAATGTTCAGGAACATTAAGTCCAGGGCAAGAAGGCAGAAGGAAACTAAGAGAGCACACATTTTCATAAAGAAACAGCAGCAGCCCCAAGAAAGGGCTACACCCCAGTGGTCCTCTGCAGCCCTCACAAACTCTATCCCATGTCTATCCCACAAGGAATGACACCTCCAATCTGTTCAGAAAAGGCAGGACAATTTCAAAGCTAAATAAGTAGAGAGTGTGCCTAGGGGGGCCACAGCACCTTGAAGGAAGTCTGGAAAGTACCTAGGGAGTATGAGTGTCATGTGAGGGCAATCTCATCAAAATCCCCAGGGGACAGACATTGCCAGGAAAGAGGCATTCAGGGAGCCATTAGCTCCCTGATTAAAATGAAGTGGCTGTTGCTCTAATCCGGAGAGGTTGAGCACATCTCTGGGAAAGGGGCAAGCAGACAGTCAGTCTGTCATTTGATTAAGATGCAGTCTTCTAATCCATCATCCTCCATGCCCCGCTGCGCTTCCCCACTGGCATGCACACACAGAAGGTACATGCTGCCCTGTTCTAGCAACAGAAGCGACAGGCAAGGGGTCAGCATTTCTGCAGGATGGTGGGGGAGCTCCTCCTCTCAATAGTGAGTCTGGGAGCCCAGCAGTGGGAAACAAATAGCCCAGGGGGATGTTGACAGGGAAACCACAAGCACAGCCTGTGCAGCGAACTGGCATCAACAGATCCATGGAGAGGAGGCTGGGCTAGACACCAGCATGGAGGAGGCTGACCGAGATTTGAACCGCCCAGCCTATTCTCAAAACCAGATGGCCAACGTCAAAAGGAGATGACAATGGACGTGAAGTTAGACTGGCTCACAGGCAAAGTCACACCTACTCAGTGGGTACTCCCTACGGGTACTCTGTAGACTGGAAAACTCCATTTCTCTTAAGGTGTCTTCCCTCGCCCATGTCTGTCTCCGAAGAGGATTTGAGACCCTGCAAGTCTTTCTGAACTGACGCTCTCTCGGCACTCCTGTGGTTTCTCCTGCCCTGAAGACTTAGAGTCAAAGGCAGAAAGGACCCCCAGACATCTTTAGGTCCCATCTCCTGCCCCAAGCTGGCTTACACTCCAACCATCTGGCGACTGGCACTCACTCTACTTGGGGACGCGGGTGGCGGGGGGGGGGGGGCTGGCCAGTAATGCTCATCAGCCACAAGCAGCTGTCACCGCAGCTCCTCTCTCTGACTCTGCCTTTAGTAAGTTTCATGGGCCTTTGTCAAGTCCTTTCTGCTATAACCTTAACTGCTCAGGGCCAGGCCTAGGACATGCTCACAGTCATTCCCAAGACACCTTCTTAATAAACCCGACGATGCTCGACACAGTGAACGTGTCCTGGGTGCCTTCCATGTGTGCACAGTACGTTGCTCCTCTTCTCTGCCCTGAAAAACAGGCACCCTCCCTTCCACCCATTCTCCCAGGCTGTGCTCTTTTCAGACCACCCATCCTCCCAGCGGCCAAAAGCACATTGCAGAAAATCTATCCTGGAACCTGCCCCACTTCACCCAGGACGCCACTATCCCCTGAACGGTCCTGGTCTTGTTCCCTCTGCCCCAGGAAGCAAGTGAGGCTACAAAGCAGAGATGTCTTCCCCCCTGGTCCTAGGGCAGTTCCTCTGAGCCACCTGGATGGCAGGCTGGTGGGATGGTGGGGCGGTATTCAGAGAGCGGAGCTGGGGAAGATACCAGATGGATCTGAACAGCCACAAACTCAAGTTTTGCTCTGCCCTACCCCAAAAGGGGCTATTATTAGGCCCAGGAATGGGAGTGTCATGGTCAGGAGGGATGTAGGCACACTGACCCAGAGAACACGGGTTTGGAACAATTGGGCTACTGTTCCCTGGCACTGAGGGAGGAATGGGCTCGGAATCCCAAACTTCTCAAGTGGGAAATTTTGCCAGATGTCCATCTGCCTCTTTCCCTGCCCAGGGAAAGAGGATGCATCCTCAGGAAGGAAACAGTGTTCAGGGCCTTCTGCCAAGGCAGCCAAAGTTCTCCTGACCTCAGCGAAGGCTGCAGAGCTCTCAAAGAGTGGGGTGGGGAGCTGGAGCTGGGAAAAGGTGGGGAAGAGGGTGATAGAGTTTGGATATTGGTCCCCACCAATTCATATTGAATTGTAACCCCCAATGCTGGAAGTGGGGAGGCGACTAGATCATGGGGTAGCACCATCCCCTTGATGCTGTCCTCACAGTCGTGAGTTCTCACAAGACTGGGTCGTTTGAAAGTGTGTGGCACCACCCCCCGCCCCGCAATCTCACCCGCTCCTGCTTTTGTCATGTTTAGTGCCTGTTCCCCTTCATCTTCCACCATGACTGAAAGCTCTCTGAGGCCTCAGCAGAAGCCAAGCAGATGCCGGCACCATGCTTCCTGTACAGCCTACAGAAACATGAGCCAATTAAACCTCTTTTCTTTATAAATCACCCAGTCTCAGGTTATTTATTTATAGCAATGCAAGAATAGCCCAATATAGAGGGAGATACTGAAGAATCTTTGCTGGGCAGATTTGGGCATTCTCTTGCCCACCCCACCTTCCTCTCTGCGCCACAGTCAGAAGGCAAGGCGGGCTGGGCAGGAGAATGCCCAAATCCGCCCAGCAAAGACTCTCCAGTACAAGGAATTGGAGACCTCCACCAGTTACCAAAAATGCAGATAAGATACAGCATCCATGCTGACGATGGCTCCGTGCCACGGGCCGGTCTGCCCACCACACCCAGGTGCTGTGAGCAAAGCGTGTTGGGGGTTGGGAGATGCAGCCAAATGCCTCCACCACCCCCTCTTATGACTGTTTTGGTGGCTCTGATTCTTCCGATATACTGCAAGGAGGCCAGGCAGAGAGGACACGGGGCAGGCAGGCTTCTCCCTCCTCAGTTTACAGGTGGCCCAGGCCCAAGGAGATGTTCCGAGGTCATATGGCAAATCAAGGGGAAACTTTGCCCCCGCCTCACTCCCTTCCCCTGGGCTGCCAACTCAACTTGCTTCCCTCCTTTGCAGCACACAAAAGGGGGCTGAGAAAAAGAACACTGAAAACCATTTCTCTCCCTCGGCAAGAGTCAGCCTTCCCTTTCCATGGTCAGGGTGGAGACCCAGGAGTGGTTCCAGGGTCATCCTTCCTGCATCCCCTGGGCACCACCCCTGGCCAAGGCCCGAGAGCCAGAAATGGGCTTGGCACCTTCCAGGGCTGCTCCACCGGCTGGCAGGTGCAAGAAACGTGCTTTGGTCCAGGCACCTGCTCACTCGCTTGGATGGTCTGGTCAGAGCAGTGCCGAGTTCCAGAACCAGGCGCTGCCAGAGAGAAGCAGAGGGAATGCACCTGCCTGGGCTGGAGAGGAGTGTGGCTGTACCTGGGGACGTGGTGGTCTGTCTTCCTCTCTTCTTCCCAGGAGCACTTAGCACCTAGATAGGCTGGGCTGCTACAGAGTCCTTGGAAAGACCGGGATGCCCACAGAGTCAAGAGGCTAACGCACAGAGTGAGAGAGAGAGGTTGGCAGAAGGGGGCCCCTGAAACTACCACAGCACAATACTGGATGCTGAGAGATGAGGCTGTGTCCACTGCCCCAGGAGGAGCAGGGGAGGAAGAGCCTCAGCAGGGAAAACCCTCGAGGCTCCCGACTCCACCGAACCTGGCTGGGGCAGGCAAGCCTAGTGAACCACACACCCTCCCTTCTCTACTGCTGAGCTCTGGCCCCCACAAACCCTCTCCCCATTACCCGGGTCTCACACCGTGACTAAAGAGACCATCTACCACATGGTCCCCTTTAGGGGGGTGGCTGGGGGATCGCCATCTGGTGGGACCTGCTGCTACTGGCGCTCGCTGTCTGCCTGCAGCGCGTGGTCCGGTGGGGCGTGAGGTGGCTCGAGAGTGCGTTCTCCTAAAGCAGACCTCGCCAGGCCATTCTTCAGAGGCCCCAGCCCACGTCACCAGCTGCCTCTGCCCCCATCTGCGCACCTCACGCCATCTGCAGGGGGCTGGGACCTGGCTCCAGGGCTGCGGCTGGCAGAGAATAAGGACATGGCCTCCTTCCGGCTGGGGTGGAGCGGGAGTAGGTGGGGCTTCCACACACCTCACCCCGAGATGTCCACAGGCCTTGAGGGAGTGGCTGAAGGGCTTTGGAGGTCCAGAAAAAGAAGGGAAGTGCAGGGGGAGGATAAGGCCAGCCAAGACCCGCTTACCTACTGGGACCAGGGCCCATGTGGCTGGCAGTCTCTTGGGGAGGGGACAAGAGTCTGGGTCAAGAAGGCTGCGTCACAGACATAGACACCTCCCTGCCTCCAAGAAGACTGTTGGGGTCAAAAACAGCATCGCTTAAGCACCCATCACCCTGGAGTCCACTGTGGGGGACAAAGTGCTCCCAGACAGGCCCTGCTCCTAAAGCTTACACCCAGCAGTCCCAACGGGCAAGCTGAAAGGGCAGCCTTGGCCCAGGTGCCAGGCACCAGAGAACTTATGACTGACTGCCAAGACCCTGCGGGTAAGCCCTGGTTCCCAGGAATGCAGAACTAAAGGGCATGTGGAGGCAGCAGAACCCCAGGATGACTGCAGGGGGTAGTACAATAAGAGAAGTCTTCTCAGAGGTGGCGGCCTTGAGGTCAGTCACCTCTCGCTCCCCTGCTGCCTAGAGCAGCTGGCCTGGGCTCTCCACCTGCCTGACACCCCATATCAGAGGAGACAGAAAATCAATGGGGCCTACATGGCCCTCCTCAGCCAGCCTGGGCAAGACCAGACCACGGGCGTCAACCCCTACGCTGTCACCCTCCCTGAAGAGGAAGCCAGGGAGGGTGACAGCAGGAGGGCCGATGCCTGGCTGCTTCTCCACCTCATCGGTCCCCACGACTGAAGCTTCCTGTGCCGTGATCTGGCTGTGCCCTAAGCTGCTTAGCCAACAGCCCTATCTCCTGGGCTCAGGGCTTAGCCCTGTGGGGATGAGGGGATCGGTGCAGCCTGATGGGAAGAGTGAGGGGCTTGAGTCAGACAGAGCTGGTGCACCACAAACTGCCGTGAAACCAGAGCAAATTACTTAACTTCTCTGAGCCGCCCTATGTGCAAAACATAAGTTAAAACAGGAGCCCCTGCCTCCTGGGGCTGCGGCAGGAATTCAATGAGGTGGTAAAGCACCCAGCTCCGTGCCCGGCCCATGAGAAACACTCCACATACAGTGGCTGCGATGGTGATGGTGGAAAGATGATGGGTGAGTCCAGCAGACAACGAGATGGGGAACTCAACCACGGACAGTAACTCGGGTACAGGGAAGGCGGTAGAAAAGCTCAAGGGAAACCAAGGCATCCTATGATGCTTGCAGGGATGACTCTATTGGGTTGTTTTCTACATTGGATTTTAAGGTCCATTGATGGCATCTTCCCTGCTCCTTCATCCCTCCAAATGTACCATCCACACCCCAACTTTCTCAGGCTGATTCAGAGACTGGTTAGGAGACCTGGAGACCCAGTTCTCCCACAGAGCTCCCGTCTGGATGCCCTGCCACAGGGTCCCTCTATGACAGGCCCACACATCACTTCTGCACAGCAGGGAACACGTGTGAGGTGTGGTGCAGCCACCAGAGGGAAACACGATGCCTGGCAGTCAGCACAACTCAAAATCCTGGGAGGAAAGAAACCAGAATAGACATGAGTCCTTGGGAGATCAGCAGGTGGCTAGGCCCTGAGAGGGGGCAATGCGTCCAAGGCTCCACAATATGTTCAGGGCAGAGCTGGGGCTCCCCACTGTGGCAGCTGCCCCTCCAGCTGAGGCCTGAGTCACGCCCGGTGACCGCTGGAGCCCCTTGCTTGTCCATTACATCCTCCACACGCAGCCCTGAGCTGTCAGCTGGGCTCCGCAGAGGATAGCAGGGACAGTCCCCATCCTCGGGGAGCTGGCAGGCAAAGGGGAAAGAAACACCTGGCCACCAGGGGACCCAGTTTCTACTCTGGGCTCTGTTCAGAACTCACTGTGGGAGCTTGGACTGGCCGTGTCACATGTCCAGGCTATTGCTCTTCATCTACAGAATGGGAGCTGTGCTTGCTGTTGGCTAGAGGTGGGAGGTGGGGCTGGCTGGGTGGCATCCCAGGGCTCCAGGCATCGGGCAGAAGGCATGTCCAGGGCCTGGGCCACACCCACACCAGCCTAGAGCAGGGCGGGTGGCAGAGCCACTCCCAGGCTGCTGGCAAGGGCCTCCTTGCCCTGAAGCAGCTCAACCCCATCCCAACCCAGCTCATGACTTTGAAAGAGCAGCTTCTAGATGCTTGGACCAACTACACACACAGGCTTCTCCCTGCTGGGAACAAAGTTAAGAATAATGTCACCCCCAGGGGTCCAAGGAAGCCCTAACCGGGAGACCCCTGATGCTGGCCTCAGGAACATTAGAGGTGGCAGGGTGGGCGGGGAGCAAGAATGTTCTCTCCCCCGATTCGCTGACCCCACTCAGAGGAAAAGGAAGAATTCTCGGTCTTTGGGAGAACTAGTGGACTTCTCTTTCTCTAGGGCGAGTGGCCCCCTGTGTGCTGGAGCCCCAACTCCGAAGCAGCTGCATGGCAGAGACGGTGGGGAGGGGGCAGGGGAGAGGACTTTGCCCTCCACTGATCTTCGGCCAGGACACGGCCCCAGTGAGCAGCATTCCATTCTATACTGAGCCCAGTGACACACACCGGAGCCCAGGCTCGCTGTGCCCAGCCGCCTCCCCAGCCCCACTGGGCACACTGGCAAGGCCGGGACCTCCACCCAAGGTCAGCGCCTGTCACGGCTCAGAGCCCACACCCACCATGCTGACCATGACTGGGATAAGGGCACTCACGGAATGTCGGGGAAGAAACGAGCCCAGAAGGAAAGTGCTTGTTTAAAATTATGCAGGCTGTTTCTCCAGGGCCACTTAGTTTGATCACTCTTTACTGATGTCCTTCTGGTCATATGAAGTTGTATTTGTAGACATATATGTTTTTAAAAATTAGGAGCATACCATATACCATTTTTCCTCACCTAAAATTATATTGACACATGTATGACTGTGTTTTTCAAAACTCAGCTGTACACCAAAAAGAGCAAACTTTACAGTATGTATGTTCATAATATATAATTAGACATCTATAATACATAGTATATAAATGCCACGCCACAGTGTGAACACTTTCCCCCTATCATTTAATCGTTCCCCAAACTCATTTATCCACACACATATCATACTTTACTTAGCCATTCTCCCTAATGTGGGACACCTAAATTGCTTTTAATTGTCCTTTATTATAAATTCTTCCTTAATGAGCACCCTAACACATAAAATCTTTGACAGCATTTCTGATTGTTTTCTTAGAATGGAGTCTTAGAGCTGCAGTTACGGGCCAGAGGATGAGCCTGTTTTCAAGGCTCTTGGAACCCTCTGCAAAGTGATTTTCCTCAAAGGTTTTAACACCTTACACCCAACCAGTGCTGTAGTAGAAAGCTCCATCATATTAGCAATTATCCGTTTAAAAATCCATGCACATGTGAAAGGCAAGAAAATAGCATACTATTGTTGGCATAATTTGGATTTCTTTGATTACTAGTGATATTCCCCATTCTGTCATGTTTACTGATCGCTACTATTTTTTTTATACAGACCTAATTACAGCAACAGCCAGCAAGCCACAACTCTCCAACGTCCACGCCATCTCAGTGCTATTGTTGTAATATATAAAATCTACATTAAATCACAGAAGTTCATATTATGCTCGTATTTAACACCACAGTGCAGCAGAGACAGGCTGGTGTAGTGTAAGGATCATAGATTTGAAGCCAGACAGCCCTGGGTTTAAACACCTACTCCCTCAAGTGCCAGCTGTGTCTTAACACCCCCAGAGGTAGTATAGCGACAGACAAGACCAGGACTTTGGAGTCCTGAGACCCGGATTCAGATCCTGGCCTCCTCACTGCCCAGCTGTGTGAGCTCGAGCACGTCACCAGACCCTTCTGAGCCCACCATTCTTAACTGTGCTGAGGAATGAGTACCTGAAGTGTGTGAAGTACCCAGTGCAATGTCCCACCCGTAGCAAGCACTCAATCAGCGAGAGTGACTGCTGGCCCCCTTGGCTGAGCACGCCTCAAGGACCATCCACGATGCTCCCGGGCTGCTCCCCCACCTGGCCTCACACTCTCCCACCTCGTCCACACAACTCTCTCTCTCCCCGTAGCCTGCAGCGGGGCCTCTGGACTCCAAACGCACCCCTCAAGGAGCTGGAAAAGTAGCTGTGGGTAAAATGACAGGATGTCTGGGACCTGCTTTAAAATACTCGAGGAGGAAAACAGGGGGTGAAAGTAGAGGAAATAAAGGAATGGAAGGTTGTGGAGGCCGGGTGAGGGTTACGCAAGGGTTCTCTACATTATGTGCTTTATTTTTGTGAATGTTTAAGATTTTCCACAATAAAAAGCTAAAAGGAAAAAAAAAGGGAGTAATAGGGACAGGAGGACTAAATAAGGTCATTCGTTACACCTGGCCCTTCTTTGTCAGGCCTCTCCTCTGCACCTCTGGTCGTGGCAATGCCCTCCCTCGTCCCCCCCCTATATAGTCAGTGTTTTTTTGGCTTTATTCCCTTTCAAAATTTCCACATCCCCAGCTGTTTTCCTCCCCTGCACTCAGCTCCTTCCTTATTCCCCATCAAGGAATCCCTTTTCCACCCTTCCCCATCAGGACCCTGTCGGAAGCTCCAATGACCCTCCCAGAAGGATAAGTCCAGGAGGGCAGACCAGGAACCAGCACTCCTGGGTTTCCACCCCAGCAATGCCACTGTCTGTGCTGACCTATGCAAGTAACCTCTACCCAGTTCAGACCAAATGAAAGCTCAGCAGACCCGGCAAAGAGACTTTCTACTTCTAAAAGGCAAAAAATGAGCTCCTCTCTCTCTGACCTCGTTTGCTGGGATCCAACTCGGGCAGTGGAGCGGGGAAGGTGGCGGCTGCCTGGCAGACACTGCTCGCCCATGGAGGTCTTGAGGAAATGGGAATACAGGCACCATCATGATCATGTTAATGAGGGTAAAAGTTAAGACCAAGAGGGGAAAGAAGGTGCTGCCCTCTGTGTAGGTGTGGGTGTGCCAGCGTGTGCTTTTCAGATGACAGGCTTGAGTCAGGGAGGCAGCATTCACGGGCAGGCCTGGCTCAGAGAGGGGCCAAGTCCCAGCCAAGCAGGCTCCTGCCCAGCGTTCCCAGCAAGAACGTGACAACAGAGAACAGAGCCCCACCACTCACTACCCACCAGGCACCCCTCTACGCCTTGCCTCTCTCCCTCTTTTTCACTACCCACCAGGCACCCCTCTACGCCTTGCCTCTCTCCCTCTTTTTCACAAGGGAGGAATGTGCACTTGCTCTCTTCCTCCCAGGATGATGAAGTCAGGCCTGGAAAACAGAAGGCATGATCAGGGGATGAATCAGGGCACCCTCAGGTCTAACGCCATGCTGGGTGCCAGTGGGAACTCACCTACCCCTCTCTGGGCTGAGATGGCGGCCACCCGACCCTCCTTTGGGAGGGCCTGCATGTTCTCAGGGAAACCAGAGAGAACATGAAGCAAGGAAACAGCTTGGGAATGAAGGTGTTACACACACAAAGGGCGGCCCCACCACCCACCTACGTATGCTGCATGCCCATGGGTGAGAGGCCCAGTTCAACAGACGCCAAGCACTAAACGGTGCATCTGCTGCTGCTGTCAGATGGCCTCTGCTGACTTTCCCAGTGCACCTTCCTGCTGCCCCAGTAGGGACCAGGGTTTAAAGAGAGAATCTTTACCCCGTTTTTTGAGTGGAGAAATGAAGGCATGAGTCTTTCTCCTCGAACAGGGAATAAAGGATAGCTGGCTTTGGAATCTAAACCCAACAAGCCCCAACTCTCAGCCAGGGCCGTTCCCGTGAGGCATGGAAGGGTCGGCGATGTTTTCTGGGTAACAGGACCATGTAGGGTTTGGTATTCCTAGCTAGCAAAGGAGAAGGAGCCGGACCTAATAAACTCAATGACATTCACGAAGGGCATCGTGGGAAGAAATAAAAGCCACAAACCACAATTCAGCACAAAGCTGGCCCCTGGCAGCTGCGGACTGTGCTCAGGACACATGTCCCCAGGGTGGGGCAGGAGAAGACTTTGAGAGATGCACAGGGAGGGCGCCTGTCATGCCAGCCAGGTCAAAGTTGCTCAGCAGAGTGGGAACAGCAGAGGACACAGATGCAGAAGCAGGGTTCAAGGCTCAGCTCGGTGGCTGTTAACCATGAGCCTTGGGCAGATCACGTGGTGTCTCTGACCCTCGGTACTGTTACCTGTAGAATGGGGATAATGCATCTTCTCTACCAGAGAGAGAGAAGGGCTTTGTAAACAGCATGGGAAAATGAGGGAATAGTCTCGTCCTTCTCTTGAGGATGACTGGGGAGGGAAGAGGAGGGAAGGAAGAGGAGAGGAAGGTAGAGAAGGATCCACAATGAGGCTGGATTTTGAAACCCAACCTGCTGGCTTTATAACCAAGCTTTCCATCATCACGGGAAACTCAACCTGCAGCAAATGTATGCTGAGTTCATAAACATGATTAAGAAGGTTGTTTGCAAAATTCACACCAGGGAAATGAGCTGCAGATGGTGGTGGCAATGCCCTTTCGCAGCAGGCAGCAGCTGGCTGTGTGGACTCAGGGACAGCTGGAGGGAGCTAATGCCCACCTCTGGCTTCGGAAGGGAAGGGGGCAAGCTGACCCTGCCCTCTCTGTGCCTGGGGAGGGGGAGACTTGCAGAAAGCTGAAACCCTACATCATAAAACTGCCATTTGTTCTGGAGAGATCAATCAGGTTTTCGATTCCAGCCCAACCGGGAGGGCAGGCCAAGCTCAGAGAAAGAAGAGTGGGCTAAGAGCACTGCCCCTTCCACGGCAGCCTGCCTCGGGTGGGACAGGGCTGCAGAGGCTCTGGCTGTCCACTGGAGTGTCCTTGGTGAGGGAGGAGGGAAGGAATTTGGCAAAGCCAACTTGAGGTCTCTCCCGGCCAGAGGGACACTCTGTTCTGTGGCCAAGAGGTAGCCCTGGTATAAGGAGAATAGGTGGGAAATACAGGGACCAGAACGGCCTCACAGAATGCTTTGCAGGTCACATTTCACGTAGGTGGGCACCAGCCTGTCTTTGATCGTAAGTCATCAGGAGGCAAGCCCATCAGGAGGCAAGCCCAGGAATATCTGTGTGATGGGCTTCCTATAGAGCCGCTGACACAGGAGACTTTAAAAATGTGACAAAGGGGATGACATCGATCAGGATAATACAATGACCCCGTGGCCCAAATTTGGGATGAGCCTTCTCTTTTGATGTATCTCACAGCCCCTCCTCTCTCCTGGACACATTCTACCCATGCTTCAGCTGCCGCCCCACCTACTCCAGGAGGCCCTCCCTGATGAGTCATTCAAAGCAATGGCCCCTCCCACAAATCCTCACACCGCACTGCTCACTGCCTTGGCTGCTGCTCGCAGTCATTTCACATGTGTGCTCGTTTCTATCTGACAACCAGGTGCTCCCTAAGGGCAGGGCCACATCTGTATGACATTGCTCAAATGTGCCCTACAGTACTAGGAACCCAGAGGGTGCCCAGTGATGACAGGATCTGAGCCTGCAGAGCTTTTCATGAACTTGCAGAATGAGCTATATCCCTGTACGTCACTACCCACCCTCTCCCTCCTGCTGAACCTGGAGAAGAGTCATGAGCCTGCTACCAAAAATACCCCACCGCCTGGACTCTCAGATGATTCCCCTACAAAGGCTGGGAAGCACAGACCCAGGCTTACTCGTCTCTTCTCTACCCCCGCCTCCATTTTTTCCAGTCCCCAGAAAGCCGCAGTCTCTCAGCAAATTCCACGGGCTGGGTGAGACTCAGATCCGGCCAACAGCATGCCGGGCGTTCTTTACATATCATCTTATCTACTGGAGGAAGCATCCTGGTGGCAGCGAAGGGCACGGGCCTCAGAGGCAGGCAGCTGAAGTGAACAGGCTCTGCAACCTACCAGCTGTACAGCCCAGGGCAAGTTACCTAACCTCTCTGAGCTCCAGCTGCCTCATCTGTAAAAGGGCATAACACCTTCCTCTCAGGTTTGCTGTGGAAATCATGCCTGTAAAGTGTTTACCAAGTGTTTGTCACTCCCAGAAAGTACTAGATAAATGGTAATTAACATTAAATTATTGCACCATTCCCTCAAGGTAGAGATTATTGTCTTCTCTCCACCAGTGAGGAAGATGACGCTCAGAGACATTAAGCAACTGGCTCAGAGTCACAGAGCTGCTGCTCAGGAGGCAGAGCAGGGGGTTCAAACCAAGGCCTTCTGACTTCAGGTGCACTGTTCTTCTCCAAACACCACAGGCTTGCAGAGGACGCTAAAGGAACAGAAACAACAGCAGAGCCTGCCCCTAGCCCTGCGGAAGTTTGCAGCCTCAAGTCACAGGGACAGAGCTGTGGAACCCTGAATCAGGATCCCTCATGCCGCCCCAGCGGCAGCAGGTCCAGGGGAATCCTGGAACATGAGCCATGGCTTCAGCAAGTCCTCATTTGAGAAGATTGGCTGGACTCCCCCAAATTAAGTGCTGTTGCAGGCAAGCTAGGCCAAAGCCCCCAGAGCTAATCATATTGGCACCTGCTGTCCCCCCACACAGGCAAACTGGGAAGGTGCCACTGGCTGGAGTCAGCCCTCAGCCCTCACACAGTCCAGCTCACAGGGAAAGCACCAAACTGGCTGCAGGACAAGCCCAGTTCACAGAGGCACCGCCTTCCCCATCTGAAATAACCAGCCATCATCAGAGGGTGGGAGACAGGATGCAGTCGACACCTTCCAAATTCAAACCTACTCAGTGAGGGAATCACACACGCATTCGTCACACACAGTCTTGTTGATCCATGTAGCCCCTGGTGACATTAGACAAGGACTCAAGGGAAGTGGGAACTTTCACAAACATGATCTCCTCTGATCCTCTCAACCACCCTGGGGCATATGTACTTTTGCCCCATTTTACAGATAAGGAAGCTGAGAAGACATTGGGCAGTTTTTCCAATGTCACCCAAAAAGTAAGGAAAATGCTAGCGTGCGAACCCCATGGCTCCAGGCTTCCGGCCAGGCTTCTTGCCACTACAGCACGCTGTTGGTCTGTGCTCTCGTTCACTCATTGCCGCTTCACTCCACTCATTCCTTCATTCACTTACATATATATATATATATATATATATATATATATATATATATATATATATATATATTTTTTTTTTTTTTTTTTTTTTTTTTTTTTTTTTTTGAGACGGAGTCTCGCTCTGTCGCACAGGCTGGAGTGCAGTGGCGCAAGCTCTGCTCACTGCAAGCTCCGCTCACTGCAAGCTCCATCTCCGGGGCTCACGTCATTCTCCCGCCTCAGCCTCCCGAGTAGCTGGGACTACAGGCGCCCACCACCACGCCCGGCTAATTTTTTTTTTTGTATTTTTTTAGTAGAGATGGGGTTTCACCGTGTTAGCCAGGATGGTCTCGATCTCCTGACCTCGTAATCCACCCACCTTGGCCTCCCAAAGTGCTGGGATGACAGGCGTAAGCCACCACGCCCGGCCTCACTTACCTATATTTTTTTCCTAAACAGCGACAACTCAGGACCCTCTGGGTTGTTTACTACTGCCTTCTGCTGCCTGAGAAAACCTGGGATACTGAGATGATATTTTTCTTCTTTCCTGTAGAGTTGCTAGGATTCAGCCCTTCTCCAAGCCCTGCCATCAGCAGCTGATCCTGGAATGAGTGCTGAGAGCAGCACAGACCACTCCACGCTTCCACTCTGACTGCAGGCCTGGCCTAGAATGTGCCCCTCACTGCACAGTGCACCTGAAAGCCTTTTTCAAAACAGGTGTCTCAGCCTCCCAGAAATACAGCTCTTGGGATGTTACTTTTGGAGGTAAGGAACGGGAAAGATGATAAAGTAGCCTGTCACCCAGTTTGCAGGCAGGTCAATCAATGCTTGCATTTAATGAGTACCTACTACTATGTCAGTGCTGCAGGGTGGCCGGAGCAGAGGGAGGGGGTCATGAAAGAGTAAGAAACAAAGGCCCTGCCCTCAAGGCCATAGTCTCAACTACAACATAGCTGTTAAGTGCACCTGAGAAATTCAGAGGAAGGTAAGACGCCTGCATGTGAGGACAAAAAGATTTCATTCAGACCATGGAATTTCAACTAGACAATCAAAGGATGGCCAGGATTTAAATCTGGGATGGTGTAGAAGAAAACTGCCCAAACCACCTTCTCAACAGCATGGCCAATGTGAAAGTCTGCCTTGATTCTTCCTTCCCTGATCTTGGCTAAATATTTCATCTTTTTTATAGGCACTTGGCAGAGGTTCCAGGATGGGAAAGCAGGGCAGTAAATTAGATCTTCGAGGACGTCTCAGCCCTACACACCCACGTTTACACAAGCTCCATTCATCCCCGCTCTGTGTAAAGTAACTCTGCTATTCTCTGCAGCCTGTGGGGGCTCCGAGATGGGAGTGCTGGAAGGAACCTGGCTCTTGCTACTCAGCTTGGGAAATATTCCCTGCAGAGACCTGGCTGCTACTCAGGCTAGGACAGACACACCTCTATAGCCCACAACCCCTGCCAACAGGACTGCTCTTTTCTTTGAGATCTGATGCATTTCTCAAAAGAGGAAAACTCCTTGCCCCGTGATGCAGGATTTCACCAGTGTATGCCATAGAGGAACTATTATTCATGTGCATGAAAGAAATGTACACAGTCAAAGATGCTCACAGCAGCTTTGCTCGTGACAGCAAAAAACTGGTAACAATGAACACACAATGAAATATTAAAAAGCAGGGAAAATGAATGAACTACAAGTACAAACATTACATGGATGAATCTTAGAAACACAATATTTAGTAGAAGCAATGCAAGCTACAGAAAGCTACATGTAGCACAATACCATTTTACACAGCTCAGAAGCACATGCAACTATAGAATGCATCGTTTAGGGAAACATCTGAGGGGCAACATTACATAAAAAGGCAAAAGGCTGATAAAAATGCCCTCAGGAGAAGGGTGCCCTCCGCCAGGGGATGGGACAGGGACGGAGCAGGGCTAGAGGTGATGTGTTGTGACAATCCACATTCAGCTAGGTGGTGGATTCCACAGTGTTTCTTACAACTTTGTAACTTACATGTATTCTTTTGTATTTATCAAATACCACTTAATAATTTTACATGCTTGTAACCTTACTAATTTACATAATCCTGGAAGCTTGAGAATTCAAGCTTTGGTAGCTTCAAGCTGAAGCTACCAAAAGAGACAGAAAGGAATGAGACGACAGGTGGCCCTGGAGGGAAAAAATCGGTTTGACCTAGCCAGCAAAGTCTCAAGTTCTCTGTCCCCATTCCTGGGTGGCTTTCCTCCCCACACCTGTGATCAGCAAAGGCACCTGAAAAGCCTGAGAAGGAATAGAGAGTATGTAGACAGAGGTGACAAGACTGGACAGGTGGGACAGCTGTCCTCCTGTGAGAAGGCCAGACCCCAAGTAGGGAAAGGAAAATCTTTCTGTGTGGCTCTGAAAAACAGATCCAGGCCCAGCAAGAAAACTTCCTATGGCTAAAACTTCCCCAAATGGAGTGAGCAGCCTCTGGAGGCAGGGAACGTACACCTGCAGGTGCCCACTGAGAGTGGCTGGAGCTGCGCTTCCTGTGTCTGAGGAACGGGAGAGCCAGGGCTGCGCCAGACCCATGCACCAAATCCCACTCCAAGGACAGGGAGGGCTGGATGCGCCAGCATCACTGGGGGACCTTGTTAAACAAACAGCCCAGTCTCCACTCCTGACCAACAAACTCAGTCGCTAGAGGTAGGAACTGCAAGTCTATAGTTCTGCAACCTTCCCAGGTGATTCCGATGCAAAGCTGGCCTCAAAACCACCCGATTTAATGTCCTCTAAGTTTTCTTTTAGTTCAAAGTTCCATGGACCAATTGCAGGGAGCAGAAGGCAGGAGACGGAAAGCATCAGGGCAGGGGATGGGCTTTTGGTCCTCAGTTACCCTGATGATCCCACCCAAATCCTTCTTGCTGTGTCCATATCCCTCCCTCTGACTCCTCCTTATCTCTTAGTGGGGTAAAAAATTAAACTGGTTTCATATCCTCTGGTTATTGGAAGCATTCTTAAAAATAAACATATCTCACTGTAGGAAAAAAAAAAAACATAACAGAAGCCAGCGATCAAGAGAGGAGATATTTTTAAGAGAAAACTATACACATTTCTCAGGATTTACCATATAGGAGGAACGGGTACTTGGTCATAAGGGCACCTTGGTAGCTGGGAATTCTATGCCCACTTAAATTCCAAAGTTTGCCATCCTCAGGCCCATAAGAATCATACCAAAAAGAAAAATCCAGGACTGCAGTTCCTAACCAGACAGAAGGGACCTCTGGAAGAGGCCCGTGGTGAAGGCCCTACAGACTCTTAATCCCTCCAAGGGCACAAATAACCGTACTGCTGCAATCAGGATAAGCAGGGTACTTCCAGGGAGAGGGGAGACGCTGCCCTGGCCTGAGACAGCCCCACTGAGAGCCAGGCCCAGGCACAGGGAGCTCAGAGCGTCAGGAGCAAGGTGGCCAGCTCTGCTGGCTGGGCATGCACGCGACAGCGGGTGAAAAGGCAGAGGTGGGAGGAATCCTGGAGGCCAGACAGCCCCCAAAGTGAAAGGCCCTGCCCAGAGCCAACAAGTAACCCGAGCCGGGAGATCATCTGAAGGCGCCGCCCGCCCACAACCTGGAGCGAACCCCATCCAGGCTCCAAAGCGAACATCTGTTGCCCTGGCATGGGGACTGGCCAATTCCATGTGAATTTCCACCCACCCCGCCCCTGCTGGCTCAGTCCTCTGCCCCTTGAGGTTGACCTCTTTAGGGTGGGCTGGCATGGGGCATGGGATGGTCAGGCTGGGATGGCTGGATCTGACTAGCTCCCTCTCAGTCTCTGCCGACGGCATCTCTCCGTAGTGACGCGGGGCTGATGCAGGACTGTTCGGGCTGGGGCCAGGTCCAGCCTGGAGTGCTGTCTTCGCTGACTCCCCATCTCAGAGCATGTTTGATGTCTTCAGTGGTGACAGCAGGACCAGAATTTTCTGCCTAGAGGTATCCTAGGGCTCAAGTGAACTGACAGGAATTCTGAGGCCCAAAAAGGGGCAGTGCCTGGCCCAAGGTCACAGAGTTAGGGAACTTGGGACTGCCCCGCTTCCCTTCATTCTCCCCTGCCTCTCTCATTTCTGCACCTGCTGTTCTGTTGCTTTCTGCGGCGATAAGAGACTCCACAGGGTAGAAAGAAAGAATGTATGGCATTCTCTGGCGAGAAATTAAAATTATTTTTAAAAAACCACAATCCTTACACACCCAGGCAAGCACTCTCTCGACTAAGCACCGTTCCCAATTAAAGGCATCCTTCACTTCCCAGGCAGAAGGTTTATGTAGGTCACGCTGGGCCCTTTATAGCATACACCCCCGCCCCCAGCTCCCAACCCTATCTCCGCACCTCCAGGCAGGAAGGTACGCACTGAGATCCTACTGAATGGGGGCCTCCAGATGGGGATCAAGGAGGCCCCAGGGAGTCCTGCAGGGGTCTCCAGGGGGGCCGAGGACAGGTGAGCCTTCCAACAACTTGATATCTCCTCGGGGGAACTGAGGATCGGAGCAGGGGCTGCATGTGGATGAGAACGGGGGTGTGCTGCCGATGGAAGGAGATAACTGAGGGCAGCTGGTGGGACAGGCCGGCATGGACTCTTACCCCTCAGTTCCCAGAGCAGTGTGGGGAAAACCCCTGGGTATGAGGCAGGGTCTCCAGGGGCTGAGGAAACCTTGCCACCCCCACTTTAGAAGACCACACTCCGAAGTGTTGAAGAGCGCTCCGTGGGCACCTACGCTTGCAGAAGCAAATGACTTACTGTTTTCTAGGGACGTTCAGTTCCAGGACATGAAAGAAAAGTCCCTATGGGCGCCACCCTACAATAGAAAACACTACCTTCTTGGTGGTGGGGTGAAGGCAGGCAGGGAAAAAGGAGACGGTGAGATGCAGGCAGGGGAGTCAGGCTCACAAGGGAGGGGGAAGCCTGGCTGTGAGACTATGCCTCAGGAAGACCTGTCTTTTCATCCACTCTTCCAGCTGAACACCAGGAAGTCCTGGAAACTAAACTTGGGTCCTGCTGACCTTCAAAAGCATTCATCCTCCTGGACAACGTGTGATGCCTATAACCGGCACCGGCCTTCCAAGCATCTCCACCCAGAGTCCCCCATAGGCTCTGGGCAATCCTGGGGAGAGACCAGTGATGGGGACGCCTCCATAGAGTGATGCAGGACACAACCAGCTAGTAGGTTTTCTGCTTCGTGGAGAGAAGTCCCAGACAGATGATGGGAGGAGAAGAAAGGAAGGGGGAATAAACAAAGAAAAAGAAAAGTATCTACACACTGCTCCGTTGTGCTCTTGTCTCTTGATGGGGACCCAGCCCTGGATTCTCTCCAACCCAGGGCTTAAGAGGCAAATGTATCCAGCCCAGGGGAGCCAGGTCGGACTCTGGCTTCCCACACAGCAGCAGGGTCCCTGAGATGTCTATGCAACGGAAGCTGGTGCAACCATGCCTGCCTGCCAGAGAGAAGGCTGCTGGGCAGAGAGATGGCTGGAAGGGGCTTCATTTGCATTCAGCCCCAGCTGTGTCAGCCCCAGCTGTGCCTGGCAGGTGCGATGAACCGCTGCAGGCCTTCTTCCTCTCACTCTGGGTTCAGCAAAACCCAGCAGGAAGATGGCACACAGCCCTATCTTTGAGGCATCCTCTACCCCCAGCCAGCCCTGAATCTAGGGCCTTCAGTTTGGCCACAGCCCTCAAATACACGGATAGGTCCTGGTGAAAGCTACTTGCCAGTAAGCCCCAGACAGGGATGCTGCAGAAGGCGGCCAGGCCAGAGGCAAGGGGAAAGCCTCTGATCCTGGGACGACAAGGGAGAGAGAATACATGGGATTTGCTGGGAGCAAGATAATTAGGAAGCCACACAAGAGTGAAATGAGGACGGATGGAAGGAAAGAAGGCAGAGTGAGGGCCACATACCCAGTGCAGGTTCACAGTCAAAGGCACCTCGAAGGCCAGGCCACGAGACCAATGAGGTTGAGACCCAAGGCAGGGATTCATCTTCTTGATTCTATTTGCTGCCCCTTGGTAGGAGGCTGGTACAGATTTGTGGCCCCCACAACTCTCTGGGCCCGAAATGGGACCAACCCCCCAACCCCTGTCCCCTGTGCCCACAGTAGCTGGGGATGCTCTATGCCATGGGTTGAATGGTGGCTCCAAAGATAACTTCATGTCCTAATCCCTGGAACCTGTGAATGTGACCTTATTTGGAAGAGGGTCTTTGCAGATGTGATTATATGAAGGATCTTGAAATAAGGAGATCATCCTGGATGACCTGGGAGGGCTAAATGCCAACAGGAACATCCTTATGAGAGAGAGGCAAAGGGAGGTATACAGAGGAGGAGGAGATGAGGGATTGCAGTGATGCAGCCACAAGCCAAGGAATGCTGGCAGCCTCCAGAAGCTGGGAGAGGCAAGGAAGGATTCTTCCCTAGAGCCTTCGAAGGGAGCATGGCCCTGCAACACTTCAATTTCAGACATCTGGCCTCCAGAATGGTGACATAATAGACTTCTGTTGTTTTCAGCCACCAAGTGTATGGTAATTTGTTACAGCAGCCCCAGAAAACCGACACACCCTGGAAGGGAGCTGTGCCAAGATACCTCCCAGCAACATCAACTGTACCAACATCAACTCACGCTGAGACTGAAAGGAGAACGGGGCGCTGCTCTGCAGCCAGGCAGCACAGGGCTCAGCACTAGAGCTAGGAGCACTCACTTCTAGGCCTGCCTGCCAATAGTGGGGCCTTTTTCATCCACCCCATGGGGTGGGGAGGGCATGAGCAAAGCCTCAGAAATGATTGCCTAAGCTAGTCCTGGATCTTCCCCCTAGTGCTTGTGTGACTGGTCCCCCAACACCTCTGAGATTTAGTATCCTCATGCGTGAAATGGGGACTGAAAAGCAGGATGTGAGGAGAGCTTATTTATTTCTTTTTTAAGAGAGAGGGTCTGGCTCTGTTGTTCAGGCTGGAGCGCAGTGGTGCAATCACAGCTTACTGCAGCCTCGATCTCCCGGGCTCAAGTGATCCTCCAGCCTCAGCCCCCCAAGTAGCTGAGATTACAGGTGCATGCCACAGGTGCATGCCACCACATTTGGCTAATTTTTCTATATTTTTTTGTAGAGTTGAGGTCTTGTGATGTTGCCCAGGCTGGTCTCAAACTCCTAGCCTCAAGCAGTCCTCCCATCTCGGCCTTCCAAAGTGATGGGATTACAGACATGAGCCCCCACATCCGGCCAAGGATTTTTTTAATACAGACAAAGCATTTAGCATAGTGCCTGGTACATAGTAATTGCTCAATGAATTTTAGCTGCCTTTCTTATTTCCTTGAAAAGGACCACAAGGACCAAATGAGAGACGTATATGAAGGCGTTTTCTGAGCCAGAAAGCACCCCATGAACACCAGTCATCGTTAGATCATTATTATAACCTCGGCAGAAGTCAAACCTGTACCACCCCAGCCTACCCGAGCAGGACCAGCCCTCCCTGGGGCCTGCCAACCGGCTTCCTCCTGTCTTCAAGCCTCCCATGGACACCAAGTCCCAGCTGCAAGTGAGCACACCTAAGTCCCCTGCCTCACATGGAGAGGACGTGGCCCGACTGGAAGAGCCAGAGGCCAGTGGAGATGGAGTGTGAGTCCGTGTGAGAAGGGGAGGCTGGGGCCGGGCCTGGCACGCAAGCCTGCCTGCCACACAAACACTCCCTCATGACCCATTTTCCTGTCCACAGGTACCTGCGGCTTCCTGGTGCTGCCAGGAAGCATTAACTTGCCACTCTCCAAGCACGCAATGCAAATTTCACCCTCCACGGGGAGTCTCCCCACTAAAAACAGCTTTGTCCCTTCAGGCGTCTGACCTTAGTGTCTCAGAGGGCCAGGAAGCACAGGCCATGATGGGCTGCCCTAGAGCTGTCAGAAGCCAGCCCTTGTCAGAGGGTTAAAGCTGCTCTCCAAAGCCTGCCCCCAGCAGGGCAAAATGGCCCAGGCTGCGCAGCCCTGGTGGACACATTCAGCCCAGGACACATGTACAGCCGATGACTTCTGATGCTGCTCTGGGGCTCTTAGTCTCCCTGTGTTCAATGAAACTGCTGTTGGCTTCAGCTCTTGCATTTAATTTTTTACCACTAAACAATCATTTGGATTTGCCCACTGTGGTGTTTACTGCCAGCATACAGAGGGCCAGATACAACACAGTACAGAGTGCAGTGTAGGTACAGGCAGAGGCCCAGGGACGAGGATTCAGTTCCAGCCTCAGCCACCCAGACATGCAGGTAAGTGTCAGGTCTCCCTCTCTGCACTCAGTATCTCACTAACCAATGGGAGGATAACCTGGCCTCTCTCTACCATCAAGGATACTGTTGGAAACCCTTCGGGCTTCTTGGGAAGGATTCAGACCACATATTAGGAGAAGCCAGGCACAGTGGTGTATGCCTGTTGTCCCAGCTGCTTGACAGGCTAAGGCAGGAGGACTGCTTGAGCCCAGGAGTTCGAAGAGGGAAAAAAAAAAAAAAATATATATATATATATATATATATATATATATATATATATATATATATATACACACACACACACACACACACACACATACATACACATACACACACACACACACACACACACACACACACACACACACACACACACACACACATATATATAAAATTTTTTTAAGAGATGGGGTCTTGTTATGTTGCCTAGGCTGGCCTCAAACTCCTGGGCTCAAGCAATCCTTCTGCCTCAGCCATATATATACACCCTCAAATCCAAGCACACCTACAGAGGCTTAGGACCCTCCATCCCTAAGAAATCAGCAGTCAGCATTTTACCCAGAAGGAGGGAAAAAAGATTACATGGCCCCTTAAGAATGCTCACGGCCAGAGGATTCAGGAGTAAGCCCTCCTAAGGCTTCTTGGATGTGAATCTGACCTTTCAAGAGCGGATCATTCCCTAATACCCAGGCTCGTCCCCTTGAACTTGTGAACAAATTGAGAATACTCCTTTCCAAGCACAAAGACCAAGAATGGCAGGTTATCTTCTCTGGTCTTTAAAGGAGTTTCTCCCGCTATGTGCAACTAGAGGATAAAAAATGTCTGCCTTCCTAACTCTACCAGCCCCTCACGACCGTCCTCCCCTCACCCCATCACACCCCATCTCCTCCCTCTGCACTCAGCCAGAGCAATCCTGTCCCCTCCTTTCCCCCAGTCTCCCCTCTAATGTCACCTCTCCCTACAGACTTCGGCAGGAGAGACAGCAGAACCACAACTCTGACCCCTCTCCCTGAGTCAGGCTCAGAGTATCAACAGGCCCTGTGTGGTTTACTGTGACTTCAGAAGGAAAGAAAAAATGGTCCCCAGCTGGCTCCCAGCTTGGCCCAGCAGGTAGAATGTGTGCACATGGACCGTCCCTCTGGGTCCTTCTGGCATGGCTTTGTTCTTCCAGCTGAGAATGAACCTGTCCACCTCTCTAGGGAGTCCACCTCTCTCAGCCTGGTGGCCCACGGGTAAAGATGGGCCCTAGTCACAAGACCCTCTGATATACGAAACCTATTTGAAAAAAAAAAAATCCCTTCTGCTTCCCCAGGCTTAAGGCAATTACTCGGCCCCTGGCTTCCTGTTATTGTGGAGGGCGGGGGGCCGTCTGCCCACTTTCTTAAGCTCCGGAACCAAGCATGAGTCAGGCACTGTGCAGGGGTACATTGCTCATCTTCCCACGAGGATGCAACAACGGTCCCCCATCCCACAGGCATCAGGCTTGGTTGGCAGCTGCCTGAAAACTGCCCCCAGACCAGCGCTTCTGCACGTGCATGACTCCTGTTCTGCCCAGAAGCTGTCACTCCCCACCGTGAGTGTGACAACCTTCCCTCCAAGCGCCTTCAGTCTCTGCAGGCCTCACTTTCAAGAAAGGTAGAGAAAATGCTGTGACCGCCACCGCACAGGACAGGCTGTCCTGTGCGTGCACATGTGAGAGGCAGTCCTCCAGGCCCCCTGGGCAGGCTGGGGAGTGGCGGGTGCTAAGGGTACAGAGACACCAGGAGAAAAAGCCAGGCCTCGCCTGAAATCATTCACCTCTGTGCGCTGTGGGTCGGATGAAAGCCTTCCCACGGTCCCCCAACTGGAGGCTGGGGGCCCCTCCTGGGTGCCCTTACGGCTTCCTGTGTTTACCTCCAACCCAGCTCGGACCACAGGGTGCGAGGATGATTGATTCTTTGTCTCTGTTCCACTGTCAAAGAGAATGGCAGCTCTTTGACCGCATGGGCTATGGGATCCTGTGCACCGCAAAGGTGCCCACCACCAGCTGCACACACAGTGGAGTGGCTGGATGAACCTCTGAATGAATTCTGAAGCTCTGGCTGCCCCATCGGGATGAGCCATGGGAGCGTGGCCGCCCTGTAATCCTGACCACAGCTCTGTTCCCTGCAGCAGCCCCCCACAAGCCCCTCAAGAGGGCCGATCTCACACAAATCTGCTTTTACCAGACAGGAAGAGCACTGCTGAAGCGAAGCTGACAGAACCGGGAAATCTGTCAGGGGGCCCGTGCTGACGTCAAACCAGACCCGACAGCTGTCATTACCCCCGCCCATCACGCGGCCACCCTGGCGCAGTACGTGCATCTGGGTATGAGCAGACGCTAGGCCTCATCGGAGATCCCAGGCTGCTCGGCATCAACCACGCGGATCCTGCCCCTCTGGGCACAGCTTCCCCAGATACACGGTCCAGGGGTCGCTTCTCCCAGCTGGGCTGCCCCAGCATGGAAAACAACCCTGAACGGGAGCCAGGCCTGGGTCCTGATTCCGCCTCTGCCCCCAGCTCACTGGCATTTCCCAGCCAAGCTCCTTTCCTTCTGTAGGTTCTTCCTAGCTTCCTCGTGTGTGAAAAAGGGAGGGCCAGACTCGCTGCATTCTGCTCTCCCCTCTCTGACGCTCCACAGATCTCCAAGGGCTCTTACTCCACTTCACCAGCCCGTGAGGGCGCCTAGCACAGTGTCCAGCAGAGCAGCACCACCCTCGGTCATCCACAGCCTCCCGGTCCCATCTGTAAGTGCACAAGGGTCCCAAGGGAAACCAGATGCTGCCTGACACCTACTACACAGAGAGATGGAAGGGCCACCTACCCATGTCTCAGCTAACAAAAGAAGGAGTAGGCTATGTCTGAGGCGGTAAGGATTCTGACTTGATGGAAGGAGGAACTTCCTGCTTATCAATTCAGAAAAAAAATTTTTTTTTTTACTAGGATGAGTCCTACCTAAAGAAGCACAAATCCATCTGAAGAGCAAGAAATGGACTAGGAAGCAGCTTCAACCTTGGCTGCACAGGAGACCCTGCTGGGGAGCTTTCCCGTGTCCAGATGCCCAGGACACTCCTCAGACCAATGACACAGAATTTCAGGAGATGGAACCCAGCATCCCTATTCTGTTATAAATCTCTCACATGACTCCAGCATGCAGACAGAGAAGACTGGATGCCATCCCGACGCCTGGCCACCCCATCAGCCCCTAGGCTGATCGCTCTCCTAACAAGCTGCCGCCGCCACGGCTGAATTCATGCCCCTGTGTTAGAAAACACTTGTAGTCCCGGTCTCTCGCTCAATACTTGAACCAGCTCCATAAGGAGTGTTCCCCTTCCCATTTTATAGGTGAGGAAATGCAGGGACTGCTGGAGAGGCAGGTGCAGACTGATGATCTGGCCTCAGATTCACTTTTTTACTCTAAAACAAGGTAGACACACAGACAAACCAAAGCACAGACACGCACACGTGCAGTACTGCAGGACGGTCTTGGGGCTGTTACTCCATGCCCAACGCATCCTTGCAGCAAACGGCATAGAAAACATGCCACAAAAGCCAGGGAGGGTTGGAACAGGCTCTGGAACAAACGAGGTCCCTGTCCCACATCTCCACCGGGCTTCAACATGACAGTCCCCAGCCCCATTCCCGTCAAATCCATTCGTGACGATCTCTGCCCAGGGCTGGCCATGCTGGAGGAGGCCTTGGCGGTGAGCTGTGTTCAAATTAGCCGGGTAAGGGGCACAGAATTTCACTGTAATTGGACGTGTTTGTTCCAAGGATGACGACTACAGCACATTTCTCATGTTAATGTCATCCAACTACCCATGTACTGCAATTACTCTGCATCGATTTTAAAGCCGACCTAGCACAATAGCGGCTTCTAATTTGTAAGCAAAACCGCAGTGGCATAAATCAAACTGATAGAGGCAACGGCACTGATGCATGCTAATGGGGAGTTAATAGACAGGGGAGGACAGCTCAGGCACTCGGCTCCTGCAGGTCCCTCACCTGCCCGGTGGGCTGGCACAGCCCGCCCACACCCCACCCCTCTGCCTTAGCCTGATAGGCACTTTCCAGTGATGGCTCCCCGGGTCTGGATGGCCAAAGCTGTGACTTAGGGCCCCCTCGGGATCTCCGCCATAGGACAAACCTGCTGTGAGGATCAGGGTCAGCTGGTCTTTCATCCCAGGGTGGGACCTGGGGGGTGGTTTAAGGAGAGGGCTATTAGTCATGGTAGAACAAGGACCTGAAGAAGCCAGCACGGGTGAACCTCAGTCTCTGGTCCTCATTACCAGTTAATATTTCTTGAGGACCACTGCAGAAAGGGCCCTGCATCAGGTATGCTCTTGGCAGGAATGTGGGCTGCAGACCCAGGACACAAAATGAGCCATCCATCACACAGGCTTCCCCACACAATCTGATCAGCGTCACCTCTGGGCAGCATCCAGAGAGGCAGCCGGGTTTAAGGAACAGAGATGAGGCTGAGAGCCAAGACCCCTGTAAATCCATCCAGATGCAGTGCCATGGGGTGCCAGGGGTGGCCCATTAGCCTGGCAGACAGAAGGTCTTACGCCTGGAGACGTGTGCTGATAAATGCCCAGGAAGCACTTGCTGCTCATCCCTCTGCTACCACCACCGTCCAACCTGGACGAGGTTTCCAAGCCTGCCAGCATCTGCTTCCTGACTCTGAAAGTACAAGTTATGGACCCAAGACCAACCAGGCCTCATCTGTGACGGAGCCAGGGCCCTGTGTATAGGAAATGGGGATCCCCTCCACATGCCCCCCTCTTCCCAGGGCAGCTGTGGCCACGTCCCCCCCTTCTGCATGCCAGCAGGACCAAGCCCTGTGCCTTGAGCATAGTAAAAGTTCAATAAATGCTTATTGGAAGAATTTTCAGGAAAAGACAGTTAGAGAACCCTGTGTGGGTCTAAGGAAATACATTCATAACAGAGCACCTAAGGTAGCTGGCCGCTTTCTTTCCAATACACTCTTGTCCCGTGTTCCTTAAACAACATGGTTTACAACATCGAAAGGAAAGCTGTAATTAGGTGCTCAGGTATCTTTAAAACTTCTCTTTAGGCTGGGCACGGTGGCTTATACCAATCATCCTAGCACTTTGGAAGGCCAAGGCAGGAGGATTACTTGAGACCAGCCTAAGCAACACAGGGAGACCCTATCTCTACAAAAAATTTAAAAATTCACTGGGCGTGGTGGTACATGCCTGTAGTCCCAGCTACTTAGGAGACTGAGGCAGGAGTATCACTTGAGCCCAGGAGTTCAAGGTTGCAGTGAGCTGTGATTATGCCACTGGATTCCAGCCTGGGTGACAGAGTGAGACCCTATCTCAAAAAAAATTTGTTAGGCTGAGCACGGTGGCTCACGCCTATAATCCCAGCACTTTGGGAGGCCAAGGCAGGTGGATCACCTGAGGTCAGGAGTTCAAGACCAGCCTGGCCAACATGGTGAAACTCTGTCTCTACTAAAACTACAAAAATTAGACGGGCTTGGTGGCATGCACCTGTAATCCCAGCTGCTTGGGAGGCTGAGGCAGGAGAATCACTTGAACCTGGGGGGCAGAGATTGCAATAAGCCAAATTCACACCATTGCACTCCAGCCTGGGCGACAAGAATGAGACTTCATCTAAAAAAAAAAAAAAAAGAGAAAAATATTTTAAATAAAAAATAACTTATCTTCAATGGAAAATAAACTGTTGTAATATGTTGCACAGTCTAGCCATGACAAGGCAAAGACTGTTTCATCCTTGCTTTTGTCTTTCCCAGTATAAGCAGATATTTGAATGAATAAATGAATAAGGGAAGGGACCAGTAAAGGATGGGTGCAAAACCTAGAGTGTGGTCCCAACAAGAGGACTGCCCAGTCAGGACAGCCTGGAAAGTCTTGGCCACCTGCTGAGGGTGGCGACCCAGTCTCCCGGTCCCTGTGGCTTCTCTCCCCTCCTCCCCGTACCAACAGCCAGCAGGCTTGCAAAAGTTCAGCCTGATGCTGAGTCTCCAGGGCTCTCCAGTCACCGAGCCATAAAAGGAGACTGGAAATATCTCTCTGCATCTTTGGAAAAGAGCAACGGATGAAGGATGGCCCCAGAGTCAGGAACCACCTCACAGGGAAAGGCCAATGTGTTCCTCATCCAAGGTCTAAGATAGGAAGGGCCCTGTCCTCTGAACGGAAGAACCCAGAAATGACAGCCCTCCTTGGGCCCGCCTTCCCACCGAGAGCCCTCTGTGCTGGGCGGTGTGGTGCACTCTTCCCCGGCAGCACAGGAAACAGGTCTCATATTATCTTGAGACAGCCCCGGCCCAGCACACCAGTAACATCCCCCACAGGCCAGGGCAGCAGGACTAAGCCTCCGGGCTTGGGTCCTCCAGTGGGTCCCAGGAAAACATATCAACATCGGATTCCTCTGCAGACCTCTCCCATGCCTCCACCTCCCAGCCAATGGCCCGGGTGCAGCAGAATCGACGAAGCTTCACCTCTGCCTGCTCCAAAGAAGCATCTCGGCCAATATTTGTGAGCTATGCTGTGCCGCAGACTATGCAGGCACCGCTGGAGAGTCAGGAAGGTGACGGTCAGCCTCTGGGGTGCCCACCCATGCACCCTAGACCCACGCCTAACCCTGAGGGTGCTTTACTCCCAGTGAGACACCTCGGTCTGTTACCAGCCTGGGACAGTAAAGGGCAAAATAGTGGTTAAGAGCACGGAAGTCTTTGGAATCAGTCAGACATAAGGTAGCACAGGTTCAGAGCCTGGGCCACGGCACAGCACGGTGTCAGCTTCAGAAATGGTAGCTGTTACAGGTAACTACTAGTAAGGTCTCTTTGAAGAAACTTCCTAGATTCATTCCTTTTTTTTTTTTTTGAGACAGAGTTTCGCTCTTGTCACCCAGGCTGGAGTGCAATGGCGTGATCTCGGCTCACTGCAACTTCCGCCTCCCGGGTTCAAGCAATTCTCCTGCCTTAGCCTTCCAAGCAGCTGGGACTACAAGCATGCGCCACTACTTTTTGTATTTTTAGTAGAGACAGGGTTTCACCACGTTGGCCAGGCTAGTCTCGAACTCCTGACCTCAGGTGATCCGCCCGCCGCAGCCTTCCAAAGTGCTGGGATTACCGGCGTGGGCCACAGCACCCAGCCTCATTCCTTTTTTTTTTTTTTTTTAATAGTTTAAGTTCTGGGACACATGTGCAGAATGTGCAGGTTTGTTACATTGGTATACATGTGCCATGGTGGTTTGCTACACCCATCATCTACATTAGGTATTTCTCCTAATGCTATCCCTCCCCTAGCTCCTCACCCCCCGACAGGCCCCAGGGTGTGTGATGTTCCCCTCCCTATCATTCCCTTTTTAAGTCATCCCTTCCACCTTCCCTCCATTTTTCTCTACTCATCTATATTCTCAAATCCCAGAGAAAGATGTACAAACAAATCTTTATAGTCTTCAAAGGATCTCCATTTGAGAGAGCTGCCTGTCTGGCTGACTCTTGGCTCCTGAGGCAGGAGGTGAAGGCGCCCTCCCTCCATCCTCACAGAAGGTCCGCCTTGGACAGGTGCCCGACCCACACCGGGAGATGGGGGTCGGTACTGCGGCTGAGCAAACACAGCTCCCGCAGGAGGTGCCACTCAACAGAGATAGGATAATGATGGTGACAAACTAAGGCAGTGGCCACCCTTCCTTGAGTGTTGTGCTAGGACAGTCCCTGTGCATCCCACTCAACAACCGCACAGGGCAGGTTGCATGTCACTGTCATTGTTCACAAAAAGAAACAAAACTGAGTCTAGAGAGGTCGAACATTCTTGCTAGATCACACAGGCAACAGTGACTGACACCCAAGGCTGTCCAACTCCGAGCTTACACACACAGCCCCCATCACAGCCACTACACCGTCCGGCCTCCCCCGGCCGCCCACGGGTGGGAAGGGCCACCTGTAAGCCCTTGTCTCTGGCACATCGCTCTGTATTTGGGGCCTTCACTTCACAACAACTCAGACACAACAGAAAACAGACATCCAGCAAGAGTGGCTGGCTGGCTGCCTGAGTGGCCCTGACAGCTGACATGTCCACCATGGTTTTCTGCGACCTCTGACCTCTCTTTGGGGGGCTCCAGCTATATTCCAGAGGATGGATTGCCGGGGGGTAAAGGAAAAAGAGAAATATCAGGTTGTTTTTTTTAATGACCCAGATTCCAGCCAGATGCATTTGTTATTGGCAGCGGAGAGCCAGCGGGGCTAAGAACACAGGCAGCTGGTGATGTCTTAATCACTGCAGAGAGGAAGGGAGGCGGCCCGAGGCACCCAGCCAAGCGGGCTCAGCCCCCAGTGCTAGAGTAGCTAGCCTTCCTGGTGCCTTCTCCTTCCTTTCCCCTTTGCGTTTTTCCTCTCCTCCTCCCCATTCCCAGGTCCTACTTTTATCTTTTACTCCATCTCTGCCAAGGCCCTCAGGAAGGCAGCCAGGCCCGCTCCTACCGCCATCACCCCTGGCCCACCCAGGCTTGCCTGAGAAGGCCAGGTGAGAAGTCCTGGCCATCATAGCCCCAACCAGATCCCTAGCTAGTCTGGCCACTGCAGGCCCCAAAGGTCTCCTCCTGGCAGTCCTTTTGAGAGCTCAGTAAGAGGTTTCAAATCTAGTTTAAACATGCAGTCTCAAGGGAGCATCCTAAAAGCAGAGAACACGCCTCCTCCTCTTTCCTCCCTGACCTCAGCTGTGATCTCAAAGCACTCAGAGCTGTGAGCTCACTCCCCATCTGTCCTTTGCTCCCTGCCCCGAGGAAGTTGGGGTTGGTGGGAGACACAGAACACCTCATTCTGCTGAAGAGAAAGCCAAAACAAAGCCTAGAGAAAACCAGGGCCCACAGAAAAAATGGGGGCTGAGCACAGGACGCAGGCATGCACACCCAAAATCTGTACACATCCCATATTGTCCTGCCAAGGAGCATGGCTATGCCACCCCAGAGGGTATCATTATCCCATGCAAAACTCAGCTGGCCCCAACACACCCGCCACACACCACACAATGACCTGAAACCTCTTCATACAGTGTTTCAGTTGCTCCTTGAACCCATCTAGAAAGTAGTCTCATCATCAACCCATTTTATAGATGAGAAGGTCAAGGTTCTAAAAGTTAAGCACCTTGCTCTGTACTGTACACACAGGAAGTGGTGACACCGAGAAGCAAGCTCACCCATCCCTAGAGCACGTGCTGTCTTCCCCATATTACGTCTCACTTTCCAGACCAGGCTAGAGAAGGCCTGGAAGCAGGGAAGGGACAGATGATCAGATGCTGGGGTGAAGGGGTGAAGGGGTGAAGGGATGCAGGCAGCAGACAGCTGAAGCCAGGGGAGTTGAGTCCCTGCGGGTTCTGGTCATCTTCTCCCCCTCCCAAAGGGAAAAGTCTCTGAATTCCCTGGGGAAAGTGAAAGGGAGTAATATGGTCTGGGGTGACTCAACTTCCTCCTCTCCAAGAACAAGCCCAAACAGGGCCCTCACCGCTGCCTCAATGACACGGGGCCTCTGGACATCACAGACCCAGCATGACAGAAGAGAAGGAGTGGCTCATTCCCAGCAACACTGGGCAGGATGGCTCATTCCCAGCAACACTGGGCAGGATCTTTCCAGATGACACTTCCATAGCTAGACAGATGTCAGAGAAGCTGAGGGTGTCTCTGACCACCTCCCTTGCCGGTCACGTAGAGTGCAAGATCTAAGCCCAACCCCAGCCAACTCAGGGGACATTGCCATCAGGGACCCCAGGATGCTACACCTCAGCCCCTGGCATCCAAGGTCCGGGCATGAGGCCCAGGGGCAGGTGGAAGGCTCAGCTCCTCAGTTATCTCCTAAATACAGTGACGTGAAGAGAGCTCAGCAGGGAAAGAGCCACGAATAGCAGCCTGGGAACACCAAAGAAAGGGAACGATGAGGAAAAATAACTCCAGTAAATTAAACAGCCGGGCAACAGGCTGCCCTCTGAGCAGTCTCTCAGCCAGTCTGCCACTTCTCATCTCCTCTCCAGCCCTTCCTCCAACTGCAGTTCAGGGGCCTACTCAGGAGGCTCAGCTTCCCCCAGGACAGTGGGCCCTTGGGGTGGTGGCCTGGCCTGGACCTTCACCAGGACCCAGGGAGCCCTCAGAGCCCTCCAAAGCAGGGGCCTTGGGGATCTGTGTCTGAAGGCTAGAGATGAGGGCCTTGGCCAAGGAGGTTCCACCTCCCTAGGGTGCCTGCAGAGAAAAAAGCCCACGTGGACGTTTTTGGGAAGCAGAGAAAGGCAGCAGGTGACCCCTTAGGGGATCCACATGGCTGAATCTGGAAGCCAGAACCACCTCCGGACCACACCTGTGACAAACGGGCTTCCAGGCCCATTAGGGCCACTCCGGGTTCCAGTGGGTTCCACCTCAGCCCTGCAGGCCCTGTGCCCAGTGGGACCTGGACACCAGGCACCCCATCTCCCTCTCTGTATAAGCCTCCCCACTGACGAGATGTGTTTGAGAAGAGCTTTGGGTGCTTTGAGACGGTACGAAAATCCTGGTAAAAGGGAGGCTTGATGCTGGAGAAGCTCCCCATATCCTCCCAAGCCCCGCCTCCAGAACCCCAACCACTCTGACCAGCGAGTGCCCAGTGTGAGCTTGGACATCTCGGGGGAGCAAAAGAGATGTGGACCCAGGGCCATGTGGGCACGAATGAGCACCTCCAAAACCTACTCCCACATCTGGAAGGTCCCAGCAAAAGCCATCTGGCTGCTTAGTCAGTAGTCGCAGGATGATCCAGCTGAGAGCCCCACAGGCAGATAGCCCAAGCAAGCAAATCTGTCCAACTCCTGCCAATCACAGCACAGACTCCCCAGCTCCCAGAGGGCCCCAGGGCTGGGGTGGGGGTGGGGTGGGGATGGGGTGGCTCTGAGCATGGACTGAGGTTACTTCCCAGCCCAGGACTCCAGGAGGGAGCAGAGGCCAGAGCGACTGAGAAGGAAGCAGGGCGACCAGGGATAATGGATCAACCGCTGGGAACATGGAGCCGTGTCCCTGTGATTCCAGGATGCACAGGTTTTCATGCTCATCCCCGTAAGTCCCCAGACAGAAGAAATGAGCCTGAGCAAGCCAGACAGAGAGGTCCCGGTGGAACGTGCTCTGGACCAACCTACGTTCTCCACTCTGATACAGGCTCCAGACGGAGAGGTCCCGGTGGAACGTGCTCTGGACCAACCTACGTTCTCCACTCCGATACAGGCTGTGCCGGGCCCACCACGGAGCCTGGAGAGAGCAGCAAATGGCAGCTGGAGGGAAATGAGGGGCCCCTCCCACCCCCACACTTCCCAGACAGCCCACAAGTGGGGTTCCCCAGGTGTCAGACGCTGGGGTGCCTCAGCAGGCAACTGCAGGAGCCAGCAACATGACTTGGGGCTGCCTGGTGGAGAAATTCCCCAGGGAACAAATCATTGCACAGCTTTAGGGCCCTCTAGGAAGGCTGAGAGATGGGATGGAAATAGATACAGAGAACAACAGGAAGTCATGAAAAGAAAAATAAGCTGGCGATCCTGATTCCAATCAGCAGAACCCTTCCTAGGCCTCAGAGTACTTTCAGGATCACCATCCCATTGCAGCCCACTGACAAGGCTCCCAGGTTGGCCAGGCAAGTTTGATTAAGATTTGATTCCCACCTTACCGAGGAGAAGCTGAAGTCAAAGATCCTCCCAGGGAGTCAATGGCAGAGCAGCAGGGTAGCCCAAGCCTTCCCCCAGCCAGCTATGGCCTGCGGCGCTGGTGCACGGACACCCCCTAAATGTGTGCAGTACTTTCCAGTTTAAGGCACCACCCTTCTCTTGGTTTGGATTCTCACAACCACCAGAGAAGCGGGTAGGACAGGTTCTTGAATCCACACACAAGGTAAAGCATCCCTGGCTTTGAGCCATGAGTTTTAATGGGGAGACTTGGGGATGGGGGTGGGAAGGGTATGTGTTTGTTTCCTAAAGAGGTAGCAGGTGGGAGCGCAGGCCAGGGCCAGGGGATAAGGGAGGTGGGCTGTCAGGGGCTGCCCTGGGTAGAAGGGCACAGTGAACAGGGTAGAGCCGGGTGAGAGGCAGGCAGCGCCAGGGAACAGCCCTGAAGACGTGTTCAGGGGGATGGGGGGAAGGAGGAAGAAACAAGAACGCTCTTCCTAATGACGATCGCTGGAGGGAGGAATTGGAACAATAGTAATTAAGGCTTCTAACAATAGGAAGGAGCCGCGACAGTTCTGTGTGTCAAACAAGGTGCAGAGCTTCTCCCCAGCGTAGCCAGGGTGCTTAATACGGCAGCCCGCCCCCTCATTACCTGCTTAGAGGGCGTGAAGGCCCTCCCCTGCAGGGGGGAGGGCGTGTTCAAATCAACTGACTGCTGTGGCTGTGGCCCCATCTCCTGCCCAGGCCCAGAAACGACTTCCATTTCTTGCTACCCTGAAGTGGGAAATGGGCTAACAGGGAAGATTCTCCCCCCACCACTAAGCAAGGAACTGGAGGTCCGAAGAGGCAAATCCAACAGGAGTTCGTCCACCCTGGAACCCAGCGCTCCTGTCCCGACCCAGCCCCGCGGCAGGCAGCCGCTCACTCCAGGCCTGTGAGCTCCAGGAATGGCAAAATCTAGGGCAGCTTTGTCCAGGCAGTGAGTTCCAGCACACTGAGCACACACGTAGTCCAGGTGAGGCAGTCCCCTTTCAGTGTCACCACCTATGAGACAGAAGAAACTCATCCGTGGTCCATCACTCTACCGACGCTACTATGAGGATAAGGAAGATAAAATATCTCAATAATCATCAGCTCCTTAAAAAAGACAAAGGGAACAAAAGAAACATATACAACCACAGAATGTCAGGGCCCAGAGAGACCTCAGAGATGAGCTGGTCCAAGTCTATCATTTTCCAGATGTGGAAACTGAGGCCCAGAGACAGAAGCAGTTTGCCCAGGATCACACGGCTAGTTAGCAAGCATGCCGGGGACTAGAACCCAGGTCTCTGGGATCAACTCCCTGCTCTTTTCCACTCTGCCACTTTGATCCCAGATACAAGCGAGAGTTAACTGGCATGCATCTTCCAAGAAGAGCTGCACACCTGCATTTGTAGGAGTGGGGAGGAAATGCAGGATGCATGGCCAGGCACCCCAGGATCCCGCAGGCTGTTTGGGTGGCCACCCAGCCCAGCCCCTCCCTGCCCCAAGTTGTGAGAAGTCTCCATTTAGGTGGGAAGACAGAAAGCTAATCGGCAATGCAGAGAATCTTGTCAATATTCCTCCCACAGCTCCTGAGTAAGACCCACAGCCCTCTACGGAGTGGCTTTTGTGAAATATGCACTTTTCAGACTCCCCTCCTCCCAGCAGGCAGGCTGAGAAAGGGACAGGTGAAGGGGGGCTGGAAGGGGGAGGGGGGCTTCGCTGCAGCTCTCTTTAGCTGCCATAAATGGGAACAAAGTGAGCACCTCGTGCACTCAGTACCACATCAGCATTCCTCCCTCCACCCTTGCTCTCTCCTGAGGGTCCCTGAACCTCCTCCCCAACCAGGCCTCTGAGCCCCAGGGACTGGTCACGATGAGTGTCCTAAATGGCTCAGACATAAAGAGCTCCTGCCCAGAGCCCAGGCTTATCGGCCTGACAAGCTGTCGCTCTGATTTGGGTCCAATGAGCTCTTGCCAACAAGCGGGGGAAGCCCCCCTTGAGAGGGCAGGGGGCAGAGTGAGGCTTCAGAACACACCCGCCCTCACTGTACAGAGAACAGAAGGCACAGGATCCTCACCGCCAGCAACTGCCGTTTGCTTAGAGACCCCTGCAGACAGACTCCCCAGGTTGCCCGCCCAGCCACAGTCCCATGTCCTCCAGACCTTCCTCCACCTGGCGTTCTTTAATGCCCTTCCCCGCATGATCCAAAGTGCCATTGCTAAAAGGGGTCTTCTGCAACCAGCACACCGCTGTACCCAAGCAATTCCTAGCGCTCCACAGATCTGTTTGACACCCTTTGCATTAGCCCCTTTCTCTGGCTTCCAATATCACCATGTTTTTCCTGCCTTCTCCTTCTCCACCCTCCCCACTCCCTCTGCTTGTCCACAATCCCTTCACCGGATAGGCATCCTCCCACGTTGTACATCTTCCATCCTCCAGATCCTCGAGCCCTCTCCTTTTCACCCTTCTCATAGTCCCTGGAGAGCCTGCCTCCTCTACAAACCCTGTTCTGATCAGAAGACAGATGGCAGGTGCGGGACATGAACACAGACACTAGGCCCCCCTTGCTAGGCAAGAGCACTGAGCACCATACCTGGTGCTCACCCCTGACCTGCACCCACTAGAAGACTAGCTGGCTAGCGGGCTCCTCCATCCTCTCACCTCTGGGTGCCCCATTCCCTCATCAGGTCTGCAGTGCGTGTGCACAAGAGCTCAGCTGAACCCTGGGGGAGGGTGGCAAAGCATGGAAGATCAGAAGTCTCTAGGCTAGATGCAGTGGCTCACACCTGTAATCGCAGCACTTTGGAAGCCAAGGCAGGATTGCTTAAGGCCAGGAGTTCAAGACCAGCCTGGACAACACAGGGAGACCCTGTTTCTACAAAAAATTTAAAAATTTAAAAAATATATAAAAAGAAGTCTCTATATAACATAAGATGTATAAAACCTTCATGAAACTTTACAGAAAAACATTAAAGAAGACCTAATGTATGGTGAAATATACCATGTTCATGAATAGAAATAGATAAGTAGAATACTATTCATATTCATGAATAGAAATATAAAGATAAGCCGGTCATGGTGGCTCACGCCTGTAATCCCAGCACTTTGGGAGGCCGAGGCTGGCAGATCACGAGGTCAGAAGTTCGAGACCAGCCTGGGCAACATAGCGAAGCCCCATCTCTACTAAAAATACAAAAATTAGCCAGGCATGGTGGCACACACCTGTAATCCCAGCTACTCGGGAGGCTGAGGCATAAGAATTGCTTGAACCTGGGAGGCAGAGGTTCCGATGAGCTGAGATCATGCCACTGCACTCCAGCCTGGGTGACGGAGAAAGATTATATCTCAAAAAATAAAAGAAAGAAATACAAAGACAGCAATTTTGCTTTCCGGTGGTGACGACCTACGCACACGAGAACATGCCTCTCGCAAAGGATCTCCTTCATCCCTCTCCAGAAGAGGAGAAGAGGAAACACAAGAAGAAACGCCTGGTGCAGAGCCCCAATTCCTACTTCATGGATGTGAAATGCCCAGGATGCTATAAAATCACCACGGTCTTTAGCCATGCACAAACAGTAGTTTTGTGTGTTGGCTGCTCCACTGTCCTCTGCCAGCCTACAGGAGGAAAAGCAAGGCTTACAGAAGGATGTTCCTTCAGGAGGAAGCAGCACTAAAAGCACTCTGAGTCAAGATGAGTGGGAAACCATCTCAATAAACACATTTTGGATAAAAAAAAAAAAAAAAGACAGCAATTTTCCCTAAGATGATGAATGAATTCAATGAAAGGTCAACCAAAATATCAAAAGGGTTTGGGGGAAGAGGCTGGCTGACTGATTTTTGGTGAAACAAGACAAACTAATTCTGAAATGTATGCAAAAGAACAAAGGGCCAAGAACAGCAAAAATACTCTTGAAAAAGCGTAAGAGGAAAGGATTTGCCCTACCAGATATTGAGACTTATTATAAAGTTGTAGTAATGAAGACAGTGCGGCATCAGGATAGACAAACAGTCCAGTGGAAAAGACCCAGGCATACACAGAAACACAGGTGGCGGTACAGGTCTGTGGGGAAAGGTGGACTAGTTAATCAATGGAGCTATGGAGGAAAAATCAGAGCCCTATCTTATATACAAATATAAATTCCAAATATACTAAGGACTTAAATATAAAAAGAAAAGCTTCCAGAAATCAGTCCAGGAACTCATCTTCAGTCACTTACTCATTCATTCAACAATTCACAGGCACTGATTATGTTGCGACAAGCACTGTCTTACTACCAGGCTGTAAAGCTGAAGCAGGGCGCCGTGGCTCACGTCTGTAATCCCAGCACTTTGGAAGGCCGAGGCAGAAGGATTGCTTGAGCCCAGGAGGTTGAGACCAGCCTGGACAACATAGGGAAACCCTACCTTTACAAAAAATACAAAAATTAGCCAGGCTTGGTAGCACGTGCCTATAGTTTGAGCTACTCAGGAGGCTGGTATGGAAGGATCACTTGAGCCTAGAGAAGTCAAGGCTGCAGTGAGCCATGATTGTGCCACTGCACTCCAGCCTGGCTGACAGGAGTGAGACCCTGCCTCAAAAGGAAAAAAAAAAAAAAAAAGACATCCATGAGATAGCATGTATTTCTTAAATACATAAAAAGTACAGTCTAACAAAGAAGAGGCTGAAAATTTGACTACATTACAATAAAGAATTTCTGTTTACCAAGAGACCCCATGAAGAAAGTGAAAAGACAAACTATAAACTGGAAGCTACATACTGTTTGCAATACATTTAATTAACACATTAGTATTCAAAACATAAATAAAACTCCTAAAAATTGTTAGAAAAAACGCAACTCAATAAAAAATGAACAAAAGACAAACATGCATTCACAGAAGATGAAAGAATGGCTAAGGAACATATGAAAAGATGTCCACTAGTGATCAAAGAAATGCAAATTAAAACCATTATAATATAGCATTTTACATCCACTGTACTGGAGAATGCCAAAAACCATTCCCCATTGACTCTCCACTGGTGGGAATGTCCACTGATACATCCTCACTGGAAAACAATCTGGCATTATCTAGGAAAGGTGGCAGGTACATATCCTGAAGCTCCACGGTGCCATTACACTCCTATATACCCAGAGCAGTGCTCCTCAAGGTGTGGTCCATGGAACTGCTTCATGCTTAGAAACTTTTTTTTCTTTTTTTTTTTTTTGAGACGGAGTCTTGCTCTGTTGCCCAGGCTGGAGTGCAGTGCGCGATCTCGGCTACTGCAAGCTCGGCCTCCTGGGTTGATGCCATTCTCCTGCCTCAGCCTCCCAAGTAGTTGGGACTACAGGCACCCGCCACCACACCCGGCTAATTTTTTTTTTTTTTTTTTTTTTTTTTTTGGGACAGAGTCTCACTCTGTCGCCCAGGCTGGAGTGCAGTGGCACAATCTTGGCTCACTGCAAGCTCTGCCTCCAGGGTTCATGCCATTCTCCTGCCTCAGCCTCCCGAGTAGCTGGGACTACAGGCGCCCACCACCGCGCCCGGCTAATTTTTTGTATTTTTAGTAGAGACGGGGTTTCACCGTGTTAGCCAGGATGGTCTCGATCTCCTGACCTCGTGATCCGCCCGCCTCGGCCTCCCAAAGTGCTGGGATTACAGGCGTGAGCCACCGCGCCCGGCCCACGCTTAGAAACGTTTATAGCAATCTGACATTGCCAGAACATCCCAGCACACCATCAGCTGACTCACTCAGGTACAGCTGAGCTCGTCAGGCGAGTCACGTGTGCTCTCAACCGTGTACTAGTCACATGCAGCAGGACCACCTCTGAGAACTGAAAACTTAAAAGATGGTCCTCCACCACAGATACTTCCAGAAGCACTGTCCTAAAGAAACGCCTCCACATGTACACCAGAAGACTTATACGAGAATGTTTACAGAAGTGTTGTTTAGAAAAAGGAGGAAATAACCCAAATGTTCATCACCAGAAGAATACACCTGCAGCACATTCATGTAATGAAATACCAAGAGCCATGGAAAGGTGTGCACTATGGCCACGACTATCAACGTGCGTGAATCCAGAAACACAACGCTGAATTTTTAGTTTTTTATTTTTTTTTTTTTTTGAGATGGAGTCTCACTCTGTCGCCCAGGCTGCAGTGCAATGGTGTGGTCTTGGCTCACTGCAACCTCCACCTCCCGGGTTCAAGCGATTCTCCTGCCTCAGCCTCCTGACTAGCTGGGACTACAGGCACCCGCCACCACACCCGACTAATTTTTGTATTTTTAGTAGAGACAGGGTTTCACTATGTTGGCCAGGCTGGTCTCGGACTCCTGACCTCGTGATCCACCCACCTTGGCCTCCCAAAGTGCTAGGATTACAGGCATGAGCCCCTGCGCCTGGCACAACGCCGAATTTTTAAAACTACATCCAGAACTATTCTGTTTACCAAAAGTTGAAAAATCAGTCAAACTAAATGATGCCGTGTTTAAGAATGCCAATACATGTGGCGTACACTTCACACAAGATTCAAAGAGAATGGTGCTCTCTCAGGCAGAAGCTGGGGGTCACAGAGGCTCATGGGCATAGAAAGTCCTCTATTTCATAAGCTAGGCTTCTAAGTGGGCAGGCGTTTGTTTTATGATTTTTTTAAGTACGTGAATTTACATATGATGTATTTTACAACTGTCACTTATTTTGGGTGACGGTGTTTCTGGTTGGGAAAGTGACCCGGACCTGGAGCCCTGTGTGCTCTGTGTCCTGGTCAGCCCAGGTCACAAGCCAAGCTGCCCAGTGGAATCCAACATCCACCAAAGGGCCTGTGGGGGCCCCGCACTGTGACCACCAGCCCAGCTGGCTGGGTCCAGGCCCCACTTGTCACCCCTAGGACAAAGGGAGGCAGAAGAAGTATGTGGAGCTGCCCCTTCTGGGAGGCCCAGAGGCATGGCAGGTGCAGCTGCAGGCCTTGGGGTCAGAGACCACATCCTTCTCCACTGCCTTCTCCCTACCTATAACTCTCATTCCAAGAAACCCCCCTGGCCCTCCCAGCTGCCCCCATTCTCCCATATACCCCGAAGGCCCGAAGACATTCAGAGCAATCCCCAGCCCGAGGGACACTTGGGGATCCTCCCAGGGCTCCAACCGCCCTTCCTGGCATTGTCATCCAAGCGGTCCATACTCCAACCCGTGGGCACCTAACTTCCTGTTCATACGCTCTCACCGCAGGAGCGACAGTAATACTAACAACCACAGCTCCTGCGCACGAAGTCCAAGGCGCCAGGCCTCCTGCTGAGCAGTACACCTGCATCATGCACACAGCACCTCCTGCAGGCCTCAGCACGGCCCTACAGGAGAGGTGGTATAGTCCAAGGTGAGGAAACCAGATAGCAAGAGGTTAAAGGAATACCTTCAAAACACAGCCCTCACTTCTGGAGGCGCCCACTCAGGAGGGGCTTTGTTCATGTAAAAGCTGCCTGGCTGATGCGAACATCCACTCTAGTGAAGAACCCCTGGAGTGGAAAGAAAGCTACCTGAAAGCAGGGCCCTGTCCCTCTCCTCCTTGGCCGGTCACCCACCCCCCACCAGCCACTAAAACAGGGCCTCTCTGCGTGGTCCTGACGCAGTGAGCTAGCCACTGCAAGGGAGATTTGAAATCCTGCAGCCTCCCCTGCCCAAGGGCTTCTCCAGTTCTCCCGGGAGCCTCAAAGTTTGCTGGGGCGCACAGGAGAGGAGGTAGACCCCACCTGAATCAAACCAGGGACTCACTAAGTGAGAAGAGGTTTCAGATCTCCCCTGATGTCCCATGGCTGGTTAAAGAGTCGAGTTAGAAGCCACATCTCGACCTTGTGCTGCTCCCCCGCCTGACCGTGTGCCATTTTTAACATCCCTGCCAGGATCAGACCCCAACCCCCCACCACTTCTACTGGCAGATTAGCTTTCAAATGTGAGCAGAGACAAAGCTGGCTCAGAAGACTTAACTCTGCCCGATGGGTTTAGCTCAGCTTCAAAGCTTCCTAACTGGAACCAAATAAACAGGCATATCACAGCTGGATGGGAGAGGCTGGAAAGGGGGGAGAAAACAGGGGCATCTCTCTGAAGCTGGATTACCTACAGTGACAGCTTGAGCCCGAGTGACACAGCAAGACCTGTCACGGTGGTCTCTGCCAGAAAAACAAAACAACCCTGTCCTAGGAGCCCTGGAAAGCCAGCATCCCCAGGCACTGCTGCAGTGCCCCTCTACTTCGGAACCCACTCCGAACTCTCCACCCCCAGAAGCCATTCCTGAAGGGTGCCACCAGACTGGCACGACCCTTTGTTTCTCTGGGTTCAGCCCATTGCATGTGTCCAGCAGGTGCTGTCTCCCCCTTGGACTGCTAGCTCTCCCCTGGCATAGGCTCTGGACCAATGTGTTCTCTCTTCCCACCCTTCTCCCTGCCCTGGACCCTCTAGTCTGATCTAATCAGCAAGCTCCTATTCATCCTTCAAAACCCAGGTGTCACTTGCTCTACTCTGTTATCTCTATATCTTGTCTCTAATACGCAGTATTAGTTACTCCATTAAGGAGCTCTATTAAGCAGCTACCACTCAGAACTGTAATGATCTGCTTATGTGTCTGACTTCTCCATGCAACTCTGAGCAGCTCAAAGTCCCGGCTTACGGCAGGTGCTCAACTAGCCACAGAGCATCTGCCAGCCTTTTCAGTGGAAGAAACAGAAAGGCCACAGGATTCGCTGATTCTTTTTTTCAAACTAAGGAAAAAAAAAAACAAAACAAAACAAAAGGAAGGCTGTTTTTCTTGCCTCTCTTACTGACAGGAATAAACATTTCAGAGCAGGAGAGTCAGAAAGTGGCTGTGTGGGTGTAGAGGGGAGGAAAGGACAAGTCAGGCCACCAGGGCTCTGGGTGCAGGCCTGCTGCTGCCTCACCCTAGAATGCTCTCACCTCTCCCTTGACAGCCCTGTGTTCAAATGCTCAGCGCAGGACGAGCCAGATGACCTCCCGATTCCACGACTTCCTGGCACGAGAAAACTGATCCGCCCTCTGCGAGCCCAGTCAGCCCATTCTCACCAACTGGAGGATCCTGTGCACAGAGTGGGCATTCAGTAAATAGCTGTGGCATGAGTGAATGGACCCAACTGGGACCCCAGCACCCTGATAAGCCACAGGAGGCCTCTGGCCACAGAGTCTGCCACCAAGTTCAGCCAAGGGCAGCCAGGCACATGGAGATAGGAGCAGGCCGGAGGGTGTTTTCTGTGCTCTTCACAGGCCAGGGTGGAGGGCCCAGCGGCCCCTTCCTCAGGCTAGAGCGAGCTGCTTACCCTTTTTCAACTGGGACTTTCTCTTCTCTACCCGCCTCCTCCCCACCCCCTCCTGATTGACACCAATGCTTGCTCTGACAAGATTTAAAAATAGACATTAAGACAAGGAAGTTTAATTTTTAATGCTGTGGAGAGGAAGTGAACACAGACCTGGCATTCCCTCACGGCCACATTCCAGGAGTCTTGGGGTATCTGCCAGGCCCCGCACCTGTCCCCCTTCCCCCAGCAGAGGCCAGCCTGACCCACCCTTAAGATCTACTTGTTGCAGCCCCCTAGGAAGACAGCCTGAACCCCTCACACCTGAGCACTCTGGGGGGGGGGGGCCTAAGTGCCTCTTGCTGCCCAGGTTACCCTGTGTCTCCTCTGCCTGGAGATGCCAGGTGAGGCCAGGTCTGAACCCAAGCTCCCTGCTGGGACCCTTGAGCCCACTCACTACTCCTGTTTTCAGACAGAAGGCACCCCATAGACTCCTTATGACACTCTAGGCCACCCAACACTGACCATGCACAGACCTCAGCCCGAGCCCACAGAGGCACTCGTGACATGGCCGAGCCAGTACTAAGCACGTGCCACCAATGCAGCTGGAGAGCCCGACCATGCTGCCTGCACCCAAAGGCAGCCAGCGTCTGCGAGGGCCCTGACCTCACTTAAGGGAGTTTAATCAGGGCCCCATCAGCACTCTGCCCGGGGCCACCCTGCGCCAACCTTTTCCCTGTTCCAGCAGGCTGGCTGAACACGGCCTCCTCAGCTAATTAGCCTTCATTAAGGGAGCGATCCACAAGGAATAGGCTTTCCAATGGGCCAGAATGTCACTGCTCTGCCAGCCATAATTTAAAGTGATGGGACAGCTCTGCTGGCAAGCATGAAAAATGACCATTATCCTAAGTAGCAATTACGCCAGCAGCCCCAGCCCCGCCCCCACCCCTCCACATCAGACAGGAACTTGATTTGGGCTGGGAAGAGCTGGGCGGGATCAGGACTTGCTGCCCCAGGAAGGGTACACATGACCCCAGCATTCAGAGGTCCCTTTTCCAGCCCACCCCTATACGCTCTTCTCTACTCACAGTTTGAAGCTCCGAGTCTCCTTTGCCCCCTGGGAGGGGCTTAGAATCATTTAATCTCTACTACCAGTATTCTACCAGATGGCCCCAGGAGGACCCAGAGATGGGGCTGACTGAGGAAAATGCCCAGATGGTTTTCACTGCTAGGAGAAATCCCTTAGGGTGAGTGTGCTTACTGGAGAACAGGATCCTCAGTATGGGGAAACTTTTGTCCCAATTCAAATCTCCTATTCCCTATCCACCTAGAAGCCAGCATTGTCTTTAGCCCTGAGAGTCGGGGCAGGGGATGCAGAAGACAAAGAGGAGATGGGACTCAGTCAGGAGTGACCACTGACTCCCTCTCCTCTACCCTCACCTTGCTGCCCTCCTGGAGGCCCCAGATTCCCACAGTGCACTGGGCTGCCAACATGGCTAGAACTGTCTGGTTGAAGTCGCAGTGTCAGGAGCAGACCTGGACCCCCACAGGCAGGCAGGCACCCAGCAGCCTGTGAGGCACCTGCCCTTTTCTTAGTAAGGAGGAGGACCATGGGCTGTGTGGCTCCACCTGCCAACCTACCCCCAGTGATGTCACCCAGCCCTCACCAATACTAGTACCCTAGAAGCTCCGCCCAGTGGTGAGGAACCTATGCACGCCTCTGAAGGGTTGCAGTGTACGACAGCTGCACCTCTCTTCCACATGGGAATCCTCCCAAGCGCTCAGAGGCACGGGGCGGGGTGGTGTGGCGGCAGCGGTGAGTTTGGAGAAATACCTGGTAGGCTCCGGGATCTATGGGAAGAGTTCTATCTATTGATCGCAGCCCTCAGGTTCAACTCTAATCCTTCAGAAAAGCCTCCTTTTTGGATCTGAGCCACAAGACTACAACAAGTTAAGGCTACAAAATTCCTAACAATTGCACCCGGTCCCAGAGGGCTGGGCTTGACCCAGCCTGCATGCTCCCCCTGCCCCCCTGCACAAGACAGCAACAGAGGCCTCCCAGGGACCCTGACTCATCAACACCCCACCTGCCTTTGATGTTTTCCCTTCCCATTCTGCTCTTTCCTCTGCTCCTTCCCCAGTATCAGGCCAAGCACCAGCCTGCAGGAAGCCTTCATTTGAGTGGAGCACAGTGACCCACAGCCCCCACATCCTGGCCAACACCCTCCTGCACCTGCTCCTCCACCTCCCGATAAACACAGTGGCAAACACTCTTACACACAAGCATGAACTTGTCTTCTGCTAAATTCCCCATCTTACCTAAGGTCTATGTCTTATTTAATCATCTCATTTGCTACTAGCATACAAGAAGTGGGTCTTGGAGATTCAATTTTTCCCTGCTTACAGCATGTCATGGGAATTCTGGAAATATTAAGTAATCAGAAAAGTCAGAATCCAGGAGAGAACAACTCCTTGCCTGGTAAAGAGAATGTAATCAGTACCTTCTAATTAGGAAGCGACAGCAAGTTCTCTCGCTATCAACCGTAACGAAAATATATTCCACCAACTAGCTCATTAACCTCTGCCAAGGTTTTAAGGGAAGATGGGAAGAATTGCTTGTCATCCCATAGCTATGGCGCTCGGAGAGCCTTTATCAGAGGCAAGTGTGAGATCTAACTTCTCTTCCCCATCAAGTGGAACTCAGGAACCACTACCACATGACAACATGTTGTGGATTTACAGCTCTGGCCCTCCATGCATTCATTCACAAACATATAATGAGGGCCTACAACGTGCAGGGTACAGATCACTGTACTAGCCAGTGAGGAGGTCACCAAACCACGTTGGGCTCATCCTGGAGAAGAAAGGCACCGCAGGCAGTTATACCAACTCCGGCCAGCAGGTGGCAGGGTGGGGGTGGGGAGGAGTGAGCGCAGCTGAGTGGGGTTACAAGCCCCAGGGTCTGTCTTCCTAATAAGGCTTAATATAGGCAGGGTGGGACAAAACAAAAAGGTAAGTTGAGACTACAAAAAAGAATGGAGAAGGAAGCTGTGAACAATGAAAAGGACAGCATTCGTGTGAATCCAAAGGCACCAGGGAAGCACACACCAGTACTTGGCTGACAGATGCTGGCAGATGGGTCACAGGACCAGGAGGCACTGGCCCACAAGGCAGCCAGAGACATTCCAGTGGTGCTTGCCACCAGAAAAAGAATGAGACTATCTGCCCCAGCTTCCATAAAACTCTAGGCACATGACAGGTAACTTCCTACTAGGGTGGCTGGAGGGCCCAACCCATGGTGACAACTAGGGGAATCCAACTCAAGTCACTTCAAACCAGTCTCCTTGGAAAAGCAGCCCACACCCCAGGCAGGGAGGGGGGCTTCTCTCCCCAAGAGAGAAGATGAGGATGCCTGCCCCCACCCCAGATGGCATGTAACTAGTGACGTGAGGACAAGCAGGGAGACCATCACGACAGCCCCTATTGGACTGGAAAGGAAGCCCAGTCCTTCAGGGACCAAGTGATTTGCCCAAGGTCACACAAGAAGCTAATGCAGAACCAAGACTAGAGCCCAGTCTTCTTCCTGCGCTTGTCATTCTATGGGAAAAGTCACCCCTCCACACACACCCCCACCCTAAAAAGTGTTTCGGCTAATGTGGATCACTCCACACAAAAGCTGAATGCCTCTTCGGCACAACTGCTTCTTCCCAACTTCACTCTGAATGACTTTCTCCTGCCCCCAGTGCTCCTCCTGGACCACGGGCAGTGGGCAGCTGACAGCCTCCAGAGGGCAGGACAGACTCTGGGACTGAGCCAAACATCTGTGCTACGTCGGGGCTTGGGTGAAGAAAGGCAGAGACGGCAATTGGGATGAAGGAACGATTCGAGATGAATTTAAGAAGTTTTCAAATGTTCCTAACCAGTATTTCTTATGCACGTGCACATATGTGCGCACAGCCTCCAGAGTCACACAGAGGACAGAGAGCAATTCCCAGCTGCCCTACCCATTCATACCTTCTCTACAAAAGTGCCTCTCACCAAGGACAGGGGCACCCTGCTTGTCTCCCTTTGTCCCTTCCGGCCACTGGGGCTCCCAGAACCTGGAAGCACGTGGCCAGCCAGCTCCCTGCCCGGTCCACTGCAATCCCTCAAAAGCAGCAGCCAGCCACCCGATGGCAGCATGCCCCCACACCCCTCCTTTCCCACCCAGGCCCCAACTCGGGAGCATATCTGAGGACTAGCAAGCAGGTCCATCGGCTTGAGCCAGGGGCTCCTCCTCTTTTTCCTAGGATTCACCGAAAGGAGTGGGAACATGTGGCCTCTACACCCCGCCCCCCTCCAACCCACTCCCATAAAATGCTGCAGATTGTATTCTTGTGCATTCAGGAGGAATACAAGAAGAAACTCAGAAATACATCCTCACTTGTGCCTATCTCCAACTCAGGCTCACAGCTGTTACAAATTCTGAGCCCACAGCCATTACTGCAGGCTGCCCAGTCGGAGGCACTTCCAGCCTGGGTTTTCTTATAGGGGAAGGAGGTGGTGCCAAACTTTGCCAGCCTCCTAGGAGTAGAGCAAGTCTCTCCTGAAGACAGGCAAGCTGGAGCCCCCATTCAGCCACCAAAGAGAGGGAGAAAGGAAAGACAAAGGTGCATGAAAGGGGGGCGGGGGCAATTTTTTTTTAAAAGCACACTTACCACTGTGCAGAGAGCAGAGCAATGCAGCACAGAAGAGGGAGAGGGTATTCACGCTATGGTAAGCCAAGAGGAGGAGAAGAGGGCGAAGGGAGAGAGAAACGGAAGGACTTACCCAGAATATCAAATTGAAGAGGAACATCATGTACTTCAAGCAGCAGAGGCAGCCCCTGGCCATGTTGCACTTCTTAAATTCTAGGAGGAACACAAAGGACAGGTCCAGGTAAAACACCACGTACTTGCTGCCTTTGGGTGCATTGCACTTGTCGGTCTTAACGCCGGCCTCGGCGCGGCTCTGGCCCCGGGAGCCCGCGGTGCCGTAGAAGGCGCCGGCCGTGAAGCCGCGGCCGAACGGGCGGCCGGAGGTGGACGGCTTGGCAAAGTCCGAGTCCTTGCTGTCCAAAGATGGACTCCGATGGATCGAAGAATCCTCGCTACTCGACTTCTCCATGCTCGCGGCGTTCCCGGGGGGTGCGAGGAGCGGGGGGCATCGCTCCCAGAATGGGACGGAGGGGGCGCCCAAGTCGGGCGCGGGCTGCGGGGGGGCCGGCGGAGCCTTGCACGCCCCCTCTCTGCACAGGGGCTCACTCGCGGCCGAACCCCGCGCCCAGGGGCTGCTGCCTGTCGGACGGCGCCCCGCTTCTGGCCGGCGGCCCCGGGAGGGCTCTGCGGCGCGGCGCGGCTCTCTGCGCGCTCGCGAACGATCCCCGGGAACCGGCTCGCCCGCGTAACTCAGCGTCTTTGGGGAGGCTGCAATTTGATTTCTCTTTCCAGGCCGTCAGCTCGCCTCTGGCCGCACTGGCCGCTCCACACGAGGGAGAAGGGCACCGGGATCCAGGCTCCCTGGGCACACCTCTCCCAGCCCAGCCCAGCCCCAGCGCTGAGCCCCACCACTTGGCCGGCGCTCCGCCTCCTCTCGTTCCGCGACTTTGCGGAGCTGCCGCCGGCCCTGGGCTGCCCCGGCGCGCGGCGGACAGTGCCGAGGGATCCGCCGCAGCTGCAACCGCTGGGCTTTCCCTGCGAAATCCCGGCCCCGACTCGCGACTCTGAAATCGCCTGGAGCCCCCTCCCCGGGCCCTCGGCCCCGCCCCCTGCTTTGCATTCGACCAATGGGCGCGAGGCCTTCCCGGCCCCGCTGGGGAGCCACCCCCTCCCCAATGACACACTATCTTTAATGGGATTAGCGTTCTGCTGTGTGCCTAAACAAGTGCGCCGCGAGCACTCGCTAAATGTCAAGGGCTCTGCAGCTGAGGGGTGAACCAGAACCTTCAACGGAAAGCGCTGGTCTCTTTTACCCGAGCAAGGGGGCGGCGAAAGGAGGGGGATGGCTGGAGGTACCCACGGCCCAAGCAAGCCAGAGGAAAGGTCTGGGGAGAAGGACTGGAGGGGGACAGAAGCGCGGCCGCTGTCGAGCTGGCCGCCGCCCCCTATGCACTTGGGGGCCTGTCCGGCCAGGGCACGCGGTCTCCCGGATAGACCTACACACACTCTCACACACACGCCCCCCTCCATGCCTTTGCACACGTGGGTCTGGCTAGGGCGCACAGGGAGAAGGGACCGCAGGGAGGCGCGAGGTATCGGAAAGCGCCGGGGGCCTCTGCGGGGTGCGCGCCGCCCTCCCCGCCCCCTCGGCGCGCACGCACGGGCGCGCACACAAGGCGCTCCGCCAGGCTCCTGCAGCTGCGCGAACCCTTGCCCCGCGTTCTCGGTTGGGACGCTGCGGCGGCTGGAACCCCAGGCAGGCTGACAGGGACAGGTGGACGAAGCGGGGTCCTACCTTGCCTTTCCTCACCCCGCCTGTGCCAAGAGTGATGTAGGGGTGCCCTTGGCCACTGTCTGGGTGCTCTCCCGTGAGGTCAGAGAAACGAGCTTTTGCTCGGGGCTTGGGAACATCCTACCGTAAAGCACTGCAACTGGGCAGCCTCCCTTGGGCTAGTGCAGAAGTCTGCATTGCCGACCGGGACACCACACTTTGCAAATGATGAGGATTAGAAGACTTGCGGGTGGGGAGCCCACCTCTCTTTTCTGCTACCCTTCCAGTCGCTCAGGAAGAGAGTACTGAGAGCACCCGAGGGCAAGAGCCACATTTTACCAGGTTCTGTAACCCCATCCCCTACCACAGGGCTTGGCCTCTGGGAGGTGCTCAATAGGGATGGCTGGATGGAAGAATTCATGTCCTACCTGGGGCGGTGGGTGTGAAAAGTCCTCCCTGGATCCCAGCAGGTATTCATGTCACACCTAGAACTGTGTGCTAAACCCTGGGCCAGGCCCTCGAAGAAACAGATATGAGAAGTGGGGCTCCCTGCCCTTCAGGGAGCCACAATCCAGTTAGGAAGACAGGAGGGCATTAATCACCAAGGCAGCACAAATGGGCAGACACAGAGCTACCACAACAGGCATGGCCATGGTGGGAGGGGGACATGAATTCCAGCCAGAGGGACTTCCAGACCCTCATCACAGAGCTGTGGTAGTGACCTGTGCTGATGGTGACCTGTGCTGGTGGTGGCCTGTGCTGGTGGTGACCTGTGCTGGTGTGACCTGTGCTGGTGGTGAGCTGTGCTGGTGTGACCTGTGCTGGTGGTGGCCTGTGCTGGTGGTGGCCTGTGCTGGTGGTGAGCTGTGCTGGTGGTGGCCTGTGCTGGTGGTGAGCTGTGCTGGTGGTGGCCTGTGCTGGTGGTGACCTGTGCTGGTGGTGGCCTGTGCTGGTGGTGAGCTGTGCTGGTGGTGAGCTGTGCTGGTGGTGGCCTGTGCTGGTGGTGACCTGTGCTGGTGTGACCTGTGCTGGTGGTGGCCTGTGCTGGTGGTGACCTGTGCTGGTGGTGGCCTGTGCTGGTGGTGGCCTGTGCTGGTGTGACCTGTGCTGGTGGTGGCCTGTGCTGGTGACCTGTGCTGGTGGTGGCCTGTGCTGGTGGTGGCCTGTGCTGGTGTGACCTGTGCTGGTGGTGAGCTGTGCTGGTGTGACCTGTGCTGGTGGTGACCTGTGCTGGTGGTGGCCTGTGCTGGTGGTGGCCTGTGCTGGTACGGTGAGCTGTGCTGGTGGTGGCCTGTGCTGATGGTGCTGGTGGTGGCCTGTGCTGGTGGTGAGCTGTGCTGGTGGTGGCCTGTGCTGGTGGTGAGCTGTGCTGGTGGTGACCTGTGCTGGTGGTGACCTGTGCTGGTGGTGACCTGTGCTGGTGGTGGCCTGTGCTGGTGGTGAGCTGTGCTGGTGGTGGCCTGTGCTGGTGGTGACCTGTGCTGGTGGTGGCCTGTGCTGGTGGTGGCCTGTGCTGGTGGTGAGCTGTGCTGGTGGTGACCTGTGCTGGTGGTGGCCTGTGCTGGTGACCTGTGCTGGTGGTGGCCTGTGCTGGTGGTGACCTGTGCTGGTGGTGGCCTGTGCTGATGGTGACCTGTGCTGGTGGTGGCCTGTGCTGGTGACCTGTGCTGGTGGTGGCCTGTGCTGGTGGTGACCTGTGCTGGTGGTGACCTGTGCTGGTGTGACCTGTGCTGGTGGTGACCTGTGCTGGTGGTGGCCTGTGCTGGTGACCTGTGCTGGTGGTGGCCTGTGCTGGTGGTGACCTGTGCTGGTGGTGGCCTGTGCTGATGGTGACCTGTGCTGGTGGTGGCCTGTGCTGGTGACCTGTGCTGGTGGTGGCCTGTGCTGGTGGTGACCTGTGCTGGTGGTGACCTGTGCTGGTGTGACCTGTGCTGGTGGTGACCTGTGCTGGTGGTGACTTGTGCTGGTGAACCTGCAGCCTCACTGGCTCCCTGGCAGGCCCGCCTCCTAGAGGTGAGAGCTCTCCCATTCTGAGTGGAGCTCTCCCATTCTGAGTGCAGCTCCCCTACTTTAAAGGAAACTGCAGTGGTTTTACCATCCTGAGCCCCTTCCCAACTCAGATGGGGAGCCCAAGAATAAAACCTAGTGTGTATTACAGCCACCAGCAGCTACTCTCTCTGGGTTCGGCATAGCAGTCCCACCGATGCTGTCTGGAGATGAAGGGGCAGATGTCTAGTCGCCTCCTGATGTAGCATCAGGGCTGCCTGACTGGCATGGCTAATGCCTTTTGTCCTCTGCAGCCTCACCTGGCCGCTCCTGAGGGGCCCACGGCTGCCGCTTCATTCTCACAACATTACTTCTTTGATGCAGGGATAGATCATTTACCAGCTGGACCAAGAGTCAAGAGACCTGTTTTTCACTTTGAGCTCTTTTTAGCTGTGTGATCAAGGGCAAGGCAGTTTGCTTTTCTGAGCTCCCGTTTCCTCTTCTTTAACATGGGGATTAAAAGAGCCTACCCCCTAGAGGTGTTACAAGCATAAAGTCAGTTGGTGGATGTGAGGAGAGTCTGAGGACATGAGACTGAACAAATTGGAGGGGCTGATCCTACCAGTCTCAGATGGGGGCCTGGTGTCACGGAGGGCCCTCGCAGGGTGGCCCCCTCCACTTCCTAACCCTTTTTCATCTCTTCTGCCCAGCTCACACTTTGTCCAGGCAGAATAGTTGCCTCATTGTCCCTGGATCTTTCCATCTTCATTTCTGATTATAAATGAATTTGTGCCACTAACCATTTCCTCAGAAGTCTGAGGGCCTTGGGGTTGGGATGGTCCCCAGCAGGTAGGGGAAACAACAGGCAGGTAGGAGAGGAAGTGGAGGCTGCAATGCAACAGTTCTGCCTCCTCTGGTCACACTTGTCAAAGGGCACTGAAGTCACACCTGTCAGTCCCTGAGCAAAGCTGTAGTGAAGTCCCATCAGGGCACTCAGCTTAGTCATCAGAATCATAAAAGCAACTTTAACGTATAAGTCTTTATTTACCCCAGGGACCCAGCTTCCCACAAAGTAACTCACTCAATCTTCATAACAACCCTACAAGATAGGTACACCCTATTATCCCCATTTTACAGAAAAGAAAACTGATTTCACAGCCCATGCACCACACTCTCTTAGACTCTACAAGTTTCTGCCCTTAAGAATCTTCCAGGCTAACAGACTCTTAAAGCACAACGGGGAACCTGAAATATCATGTCCTGATGTGATGTCATTAGATGAAAGGACCCTGAGGAAGGGGCAGTGCTCCTGGACTGCTAATAAGAAAGGCGAGTCATCACCCAGATGGCCTTGAGTTACCTGACACAGGCTGGAAGAAGGAAGCTGGTGTGGGGAGACGCAGCGTAATCTAGTCCTATCTTAGGGGGAAGGTGGTAGAGCAGCCTCAGGAAGGCAGCTCTAGGAACACGTCCCTCCTCCTCCCTCTCTCACCATGAGCACACCATCCATTGGTGCTGGTTTGTTCAAGATAAGAGGACGCGGAACAAGGACCCACGGAAGACACAAAGCTGAGCTGAGTAAGACAAGGCGTGGGCCTCAAGGAGCTCAGATCTAGCTGAAGCGACCCACCTTCTACCCCCACTCACGACTGCAGCTAGAGAAGCCCAAAGCAGACTGATGCACAGAGCACAGACCGTGGCAGGATGGGCACCGAGCTGTCCCTTGCAGAAGGGCTCTCTGAAGTGGGTGGCCACCCTAGAAAGGCGTGAGTGTGGTACCTTCGGGAGGCAGGGAGGGGACAGGCCTGACTGAAGCAAGAGAAGGTGCTTAGAGGTCAAAGTGAGCTACCCTGTGAAGCCTTGCATGGCATATGAAAAGCCTGGGCTGCATCCTGCAGGGTCCCAAGCAGTGGGGCCCATGATTAACCGGTGCCCTAGGAAGCTGGGCCTGGCACTGGCATCGGGGTGGAGGAGAGGCAAGAGATGAAAAGACCAGTGGCTGTGGCTGCCTCAGTTCCTTAGATTGGGGGTACAGATGGAACAATCAGATAGAAATGGTGCTGTGAGACATCATCCCTCTGGCAGCTCCCGATCATTCTCAGCTTGCCACCCAGGCAAGCTGGCAGGTGCAGGCTGCCCTTCAGGGGGCTCTCTGAGCATGTGAACAAGGCAGCCTGACTTCACTTTTCTTTTATTTTTTTTTTAACAAAAAAAGTGAAGTAACTACAGCATTCTCAGAGGGGAAGAAGAAAAGTGAATAAATGAAATCAACATGCCACATCTCTGCTGGTTGGCAACTGGGGAGATGTGGGCTTTGGAGTAAATGCCAAGCTCTCTCTGCCTCTCTGTGAATTCCTCAGGCTGGCAGCATGAGACAGGGCTCAGTCTTTGGTCTCTCCCTCACCCACACACAATCAGAACCAATGGGCCAGCCCACAGCCCCTTTCTGACCCATGCTGAATATTCCCACATTTGACACAAGGTACAGCTTGTGAGGCACCCTGTGCCTTTAAGCCTCAAACAAGGCAGCCTCCCACAAAGCCAGGGTTCAGGTTAGACACAAAGCGCTGACTGCCACCCAAAAGAGCCTGTGAGACGGGCACCATTTTAGAAGGGAGAGCTACTCACCTCCCCCCAATTTTTAAACTCCAAATTTGGGATCTTCTTCCACTGTACAGTACAGAAAATGCTTTCGTTGCCGAGCAAACCATTTAGCAACCGTGCCAAAAGAGAACAATGGAGAGATCCCTAGCAGGGGGCCCACATGGTGGGGGGAGGCTACAGGGCAGGGGCTAGGAGATTGGGTGTTACCATACTTGGCCGTGATTCAGGAAGGACGGTAACATCGATGGTGAAAGGGTTGGGGTAGAAAAGAAGGAATGGTACTGTTACTTGTTTTTAATCTGTTTGTTTTTTTAAGTTTCTGAGACTAGTAAAGAAAAGAAAGGCCAGGCATGGTTGCTCACACATGTAATCCCAAAACTTTGAGAGGCCAAGGCAGGTGAATCGCTTGAGCCCAGGAATTCGAGATGAACCTAGGGAACATAGTGAGACCTTATCTCTACAAAAAATACAAAAATTAGCTGGGTGTGGTAGCATGCACCTGTAGTCCCAGCTACTCAGGAGGCTGAGGCGGGAGGATCACTTGAACCCGGGAGGTCGAGGCTGCAGTGAGCCATGATTGTGCCACCACACTTTGCTTGGGTGACAGAGTGAGACCCTATCTCAAAAAAGAAAAGAAAAAAACAAGCAGGGTTTGGCTTTGGTGGGAAAGTTCACAGACAGAGGGACACAAAGGGTGGCCAGGGTACCTCCCTCTCTGGAGAAAGGTCTGCTCCTCCCTCCTTCTTGGCCCTTTGTTCAGACTCCAACTACAGTTTGCCCACCTGCCTCTGCTCCAGTCACTGAGCTTCTATAAGAAAGCAGAGGCTGTGTCTGGGTCATTTTACCCCACCCCTCAGTGCCTGTCAGTGACCACCCCACAGCAGGTACTCAGGAAGTGCTGGAGGACGGAGGGGAAAGGCAGACCAGCGTGCCTAAATCTTGAGCTCTCCTCAAGGACAGCCTGACAGCCTTGAGTTCATTAACTAAAGGATGGGGCCCAAGCCAGAAATCTATGGAATTGTTCCTGGAAAGCAGGCTATCCAAGGGCGTCTGAACCTGACAAGCTGAAACACCCAGCTACAGATAAGAGTGCAAATGCCATGCGGTCAGCTGTCTCACTCACAGCCATATCCCCAGCACGTGGCACAGCCTGGAATGGATGGATGGATGGACAGACAGAAGGACAGATAAACAAATGTATGGAGGAAGAAGTGGGAAAGATCTGAGGTAGAAAAAAGAGAAGACTGAGACAGGAGCAAGTCAGGGACAGGCAGCCCCTCGACCTCTGCCCATTCGGAGTGGGCTGGGCCTCTTGGAGGGGCTCCACGGAGCACAGCCAGGAGCACTGCTGCCCCAGCTCCAAGTCTCTGGTGAACCCTTACACATTCCCTAGTGTTGCGTGTCACCTCTCAAAGCCCAAGAGCAAAGCTGCCCCCCGGCTACGGTCAGCCCTTGTCAGAGGCCACTTCTGGCTACCAGAAAACATGGCCATGCAGAGACCCTTGGCTGTGTGTACAGTCTACCCACGACAGGTGGGCACACTGCTCAGAGCATGTACTGGGGCCTTCGGAAAGATCAGTTAGCTTAGCGCCGAGGAAACACGGGCACAGCTATAAACCAGCTACAGCAATCCTGCCCCAGCCAGGAGTACTGAAAATGTGGCTTCTGGACCATGAGGAGCCAGGCAGGTGGTGTGGATTGTCACAAAGCCAACCTCACTCCCACTGTCCCCGAAATCGGCTCACACCACATGCCCTGGTTACTGTGGGTCAGCTGGGCTCAGATGCCTTCAATGACCCCTGTCCATACCACTATCCAACTCAACCACAGAGAACAAAACTCTAGTAAAATAACAAAGGGGGAACACTCTGGGCCTTGGGACTAGATGAATCTGTGTCCAAATCCCATCTAGAGTGAGTTACCCCACTGCTGGATGCCTAGAATGACCACTTAATTGCTCCATATCTCAGTTTCTTCAGCTAGAAAATGGAAATAATATGCACCTTCCCCAGCACTATGTAAAAAAATAAGGAATAAAGGTTACGAGGGAACACAGAAGCTGTTCAATGGATGGAGGCACTATTATCATTCCCAACAATACTTATTATAGTCAACATGGAACCAGCTCCTGTCTAGCTACAGTGTAGCTGAACAGAGAAAGAAACATCATCAATAGCTAATGTTGTGTGGCTGAAATTCTAAGGGAAATGCTGGCTGCCCTCCTCCTCCTCCTCAGGGAGGCCCTCAGCTCTGAGCCCTCTTCTCTTCTGCCCAACTTTCCTCTATATGACCATCTCCTCCGTTCCAGGGCCATCTGCATGCTGTTGACCCCCTAAATGCACACCTGGACCTGACTTGTCTCCTGAGCCCCAAGCACAGGTCCCCAACTCCTGCTTGTCATCCCCCTGGCTGTCTCCCAGACAGCTCCAGGAGGGACTGACCTTGCCCCGGATGTGCTCCCTGGCACTATCCGCTCCTTCTCAACAAATGGCTTAAGTTTTCACCCCACTGCTTATGCCAGAAGCCTCAGACTCATCCTTGGCTCCCGGTTGTCACTTGCTCCCACCTCGAAGCAAACACAAGTCCAAGCCGCAGAGCCTCCCTGCACCTGGCATCCTCCTCGTCCCCGCCCTTGTCCAGCCCTGCTTCATGGCTCGCCTGGGGTCCTGCGGCAGCCCCTGCAGCCTTCCATTCCCTCCTGCGCCCACCCATTCACCAAGAGCAGCCAATGCAATCTTCCCACTCATGTGCCTCTCCACTGTAACCTCATCAGTGGCTTCCCATCTTACTTGGATTACAATTGTGTGTGTGCCTGTGTGTTTCCTAGTCTACTTTTCTAGTACAGTCCAAATCCTTAGAGCAACCCTAAACGGCCGGCATGACTGATCCCTGCCTTTCTCTCCAGCCCCCGTCCAACATTCTCTGCTCACCCATTATTGCCACAGCCGTGAACTCTCGGTGCTCTGACCTCCTCAGAGCCTCCGCCCATGCTGTTCCCTCTGCTTGGATGCTCTTCCTGGACCCACTGCCTGGCTTCACTCTACTCACCCCTGAGCTCTTGTGAATTATTGAAGAAGGTCTATTCTAGTTTTCTGGCTGCCCCCCACTGTCAAAACTAAAGCCCCCTTTCTTTCAATACAACTCCTCACAGCACCATTTGCCCCTTTTTTTCTCATAGCAGTCACCATCATTGGAAAATCCATGTTTGTTAGGGTGACAATGTTACTATCTGATTCTTCTACTAGACCATGAACCCCAGAAAGGCAGAGACTGCCTATGTCTCCCTCACTGCTTTACACCCAGTACCCAGTACTATTCCTGACCTACATTAGGGGCCCAATCAATACCTGATGAACACATGCAGAGGAGCTCAAGGGAGGGCAGGCACAGGGCAGGCAGGGCCAGCAGGGAGGGCTTCCGGGGCTTTCCAGGTGTCTGATCACCTCGTGCCACCTAAGGAACAAAGCCTGAGGACACTGATGACCTGTGTGGCCTCTAGTTGCTCAACCTCTGGTTCCTCAACTACAAAACAAGCAGACTGGACTAGTTGTTTCTCTAAGGTTCCTTGGAGCCCTGAAATCCGCACCCTATGAAATGGCACTGGACAGGCAGGGGGGAAGGGGAAGAGCACCCTGGCAGGGGGGCAGCTGGGCAGAGCCAGGGCACAGCAGAGGGCCCAGGACATTTGGGAGGCACCCACACGCTCCACTGGAATGAAGCTTTGCAGAAAGGGAGCCTGAAAGGAGGGTGGGCCAGAGCACAGATGACCCTGGATGCCAGTTTAAAATCTGTACAGGTGCTTGCCCACCCCACTCCTCTCAGCAACTCCCTCTCCTATACCTTTCTTGGCCTACACTCCCACCAAATTAACCCACATCAAATTCCCCCTCATCCCCTGGCCTTTGCACTGGATGCTCCCTCCGCCTGAAACCCCCTTTCCCCCACACCCCGAATGGCTAACATCCACAATCCAGTTGGCATCAGGGTGCTGTCACCTCCTCCAGGAAGCCTCATTGGTATACCAATAACGCATAGTTAATCCTGCCATGATGCCACCTGTTCCCTGACCTTCCCCCGCTCCCAAATTGTGAGCTCCTTGAATGCAAGGACTGTGTCCCTCCTCTTTGTCTTCTAAGCACTTGGCATTTGTCTAGCACACTGGTGCTCTAAAGTCACTGCTAAATGCATGAGTAGCAACAGGAAGAACCTTTGTGTGCACCTTAAGGTGAGAGCAGCTCTTTAGAAAAATCAGCCTTTGCTTGGAGCAGGGCAAGCTTTACAAAAAGAGTTAGAATGGCCACTCCTGCAGGACAGGCATCTCCTCTTAGAGAAGGTTTACCAGATAAGAGGGGGCAGCAGAGATTGGGCCCTAGAAGAACGGGGCTGATAGTCTGCCTGGACAAAGAGTCACCCACTCTGGGCTCTCAGGCCCTGTTTTGCAGGAAAGTTCCAAAGCAGCCCATCTTTCATCCTAAGGCCAATCAGCATCCCTGTCAGATCCTCAAAAGGGCCTGGAGTAAGAGCCACTGTGCTGGACAGACAGATGTACCTGCCCATACACATATGCACACACTGAGCCCACTGCTCCTGGAAAACAGGAGAAAGAAGGCATTTGTTATTAGTACTTATCAAGGAAGGCAGGTGGCTGCGGGGAGGATGAGATAAGGCAGACCGCCGGGCACACGGAAGTGTGATGAAGCCTGCGACTTATTACCATGCACCAGTGGAAATGGACTGACCCAGCAAATCCAATATTCCTAAACCACTCCACAGAGGGTGCTGACTTGCCAGCTGGGACGGCGCTCTGCAACCTCACATCCAGCCTGACTGTGCAGCTGGGACCCTTCTGCTGATTTCAGGAGCTGCTGCCTGCTGCCTCCCTCGGCCCACTCTCCCTCTACGGGGCTGGTACTAGAGCCAATGTGGAAGAAGGCAGTGTGTGAGCAGCACTTGGGGGTGCTGTAAAGTGAAGAAGATGGAGAAGAACCAGCGCCCCAGATTCCACACTGCTCTGCAGCCCTCATGGGAGGGAGCCTGTGCATGTTCCACTCTCGCTGATAGAGTGAGAGGTGTCTGGATGGGTGGCAGGGACAGACTTGGGCATCCCTAATGGCTGTCTTATGGCTCGAAGGCCCGCAGTGCATTAAGTCACTTGTGGCCTCTGAACTGCCATCGGCTGCTCTGTAAAGTAAGACAGGAGCACTGGCTGTCGTCTCACTCCATCTCTCTTCCCTCCTCCCCATCAGGCTGGCCCATAGCTATGGGGCTGTCATTCAAGGTGCCTCCCACTGAAGGGGCCTCCTAAAGGCATCCAGCCCGTCTGAAACCTGGAGGCATCTTTTCTCATTTCAAGGTACTTGAGGTGAAAATAGTCACAACTCACACCCTCGAATCAGCCATCCAGGCTACCAAGCCTCTTACAGTCCCAAAAGGTGCTTTCAAAGGCTCTTAGGTTGCTCCAGCCCAGGTCTGTTCCTGTTGTAACCCAGTCACACGTGACTGGGCTGCCTCCTGTCTGCCAGTCTCCTGACCAGGCTCCCTGCACCCTCTCCCTCTGTAGTCACCCTGCCACATGCTGCCACTAGTACTGGCCCAAGGCAGAGCTTGGCACATGCCATCAGCTCAAAAACTTCCCCAGGGATTTAAACACAAATACTCAAGCTTGTCACTGGGGCCCTTCTACATGGTACTCTGTCAGCCTTCTTCCCCACAAATCCCAGAGCTGTGCCCTCTGCTTCCAGCAACACCAGCCCCTCAAGGTGCAGCCCACCCCTGTGCCTGCATGCACCTGCCCTCCACCTCCGAAGCCTCCCCCATCCTGCTCAGCCTTGAGGAGATGTTTCAAGGTTCATCTCAAATGCCACATCCTCCAAGAAAGATCCCCCAAAATGAAGAGGCACTCTTCTTGTTCTAGTCATCTCTTTTGGACACTGATTTTACTCTGCATTGCATGACAGCTATTTGCATAAATGCTTTTCCTTTGTACAAGACTAGAAGCTCCAAGCGGGGAGAGCTCACCCGCGCTCCTCTGCGGCAACCAGCGCAGCCCCATACATGGTGCACACTTAGGAAACTAAAGAGAAACTGAGTCCCTCCCACAATGCACAGAGCCCCCGAGCCTCACCCCCACCTTCACCACACATACTCACCTCAGTGTATGTATCGGACACCCTCTAACACTGCCCTCGGCCTATCTGGGAGGTATTCACCTTGATAGATCACCACCATGAGTCCTCTCTGGAGGCCCTCTCTGGAGTCACCCACCAGATCCAGCCATCTACAGAAACCACCGGGGGGCTCAGATGTCCAGCCTGGAGCTCTGAGAATGTGGCTGGGCTCCGTGAGGCCCAATGTGTCCAGGTGGCTGCACGTCACTCATCCCCCAAGCTCCGGCCCCAAGAGGCGCTTCCACATCCCAGCCAGGCCAGGCGCCAGGGCACACCTGCTCTTCCCCTCCCCCACACTGCTGCCAGAGGAAATGCCAGCCCGAAGCCACGGCCAGCCGGACACAGCAGGGACACACCCTGGGCACTGATGCTGCCCCCTCCCTTCCTCTGCCACCCAGGCCCGGGTACCTGACTAGCACCCTGGTGCAGCCCCCATCCCTCCATGAATGCATATTCCCCCTGCCGCTCTGTCTGCTTCCTGCAGAGATGAACACACAGCAAGCACAGTAGTACCGCAGGAGCCTGGCAGGGCACAGAGCAGGCCACCCCAGTGCTGTGGAACCCGGGGAGACACTGACAGCTCCCTGAGTGCAGGACACATGTCTTGAATGAATGAATGAATGAATGAATGTGAGCATGCCTCTGTTTCCTCATCAGTATAATGGGGTTAAGTGTGACCATGAGGGACAGATGAGGCAGTGTCTGGGAAACTACTTTATCAAGTGGGAGGCACTTGTCTTTGGAACCTTTCACCCCCACACACCACAGCCAGCCATCACACTTCATAGGAGCTCGATAAAAGCGAGACACCTATGCTGATGAATCAGTCCCTGCAGAGTTCCCCAGCACCCATAGGTACGCCACCCTGGGTTTGCCACTGCAGATGCTGCCAAGGAGAATTAGCATTACAGAGCAAACGCTCCATCTGCATCTGGGCAAAGAGCAATCAAATGAAAGGGTGGGACAGAAGTACCCCTGAGTACATGCAAGGACTGGAGGTTCAGCCTGGGAGTGCCCCGAGGACCTGCCCAGGGAGAGTCTGGCCCATCAGGAAGGGCTTCTTGGAGAAGGGGTACGTGTTGGGCTTGCATGGCATCCAAACAGAATGAGGACAGAGGAGAGAGAGGCCTGCGTGCCTGAATACCGCAAGCCAAGACCTGTTCATGGTGACTCTTGCAGCTTTTTTGAGGGGCTCTCACACTAATGATCACATCTGGCCCTCACCCACCCCTGCAAGATAAGCAGGGAAGTTGTCTCCGTTTGTAAAAGAGGGAACAAAGGGCCAAAGAGGGGAGAGCACTCGTCTAAGCAAGTAAGGAGAGCTGGGACTGGAACCTATGTCTCCTGACTTCCAAAACAGTGAAAACAGTGATCTTTCCTTACACCAAGCGGCCTTACCTGGGTCCAGTGCTGGGCCCTGCTTTTATGGACGAAGCTGGCCACTCCTGGACATACACGTACCCATGCCACCTGCACAAAGGCAGGCAGAGGAAGGAAGGAAGCAGGCTGAGAGGACACTCATGCATTTAGGATTACCCAGCTAGGAAAAGCAGAGACGCCCCACATCACAACACCAAAGGACAAGCCCTGCCAATCCTGGAAAACACACCACTGCCCCGCCAACCCCAACCTTCATCACCCTCATCCAGTGTCCCCTGTGCTCTTTCTGACCACACGGCATGAACACAGGTGATCTGCCAAGTGAAAGAAAACAGAGGCCCTCCCCTCTGAAAGCACAGCACAGGTAGAGTAGAGGTAACAATCCAGTGGTGGGCTGGCAGACGTTCAACAATCAGCTCTACAGGGGAAAAGCCCCGATTCAGAGCGCTTGCCAATGCCATGGTGTAAGTACTCCCACCACAGCCAATTTCAAGCTACTGGCAGGCAAATGTTCTAATTACTTTCTAATAGGCTCTCAAGAACCAGTACAAGTAGGCTCCAGCAAACAACTGTAACAAACCCATCTCCCTCCCTCCAAAAGAAACTCCAGGCAGAGAAAAGAAATCCAGCACCATCCTGCCCCCTCCTCCCCAGGAGTAAAAGTCTCAGGTCAGAGCTTGGGGAATAGAAACAGAGGCTGGACGAGTCATAGGGAAAGGATGGGGCAGCCCCCTGTCTGGTCTCCTGGGGCCTCCCCAAGAAAAACACAACTGAAATTAGCTCTTATACTACAGTGATCGTGTCTCTTAAGTGAGACCATGCCACTGATCTGTGCAAAACCCCCTAATGCCTTCTCATGTCTCTCAAAGAAAAAGACAAAGTTCTTAGAAGAACTTGTGTGTATACACACACACACACACACACACACACACACAAACAAACTCCTGGCCCACTCACTCCACTCCAGCGACATTGTCCTCTGTGCTGTTTCTTACATTGGAGACTTTACATTGGCTGTCCCCTCTGCCTGGAACATTCTTCTCCTAGATCTCAGCACTGCCACTCCTCTCAGCTCCTGTAAACCTCCACTCAAATGGCATCTTCTCCATGAGGCCTTCCCTGACCACCCCATTCAAAACTGTACCTCCCCCAGCACACTCCATCTCTCTTCTCCTGCTCTGCTTCACTTACTGCTGTATTCCCAAAGCTACGAACAGTTTCACACAAGACAGGTGTAAGTATTTTTGAAAGAATGTATGAATGCCTGGGAAAGGTCTCTCCCAAACCCCTAGGTGCCATCTTGGCTTCCCAAGAGCAGGCAACTGGCGAGTGAGGGAGCCCTGTAGTTAGCGCCTGCCCAGCTGAGACTCAGGATACCTGCGTTCTTGCCCTGGCCCTGACATCTGTGACCTGGCACAGCTGCATCCTCCATCCCACCTTCGCACTTCATTTAGCCTCTAATGGGACCCTACATGGCTAACCCTGGGCAGTACCGAGGGCCGGAGCTAAGGCCAAACAGAACACCAAGTCTGAAGGCCCCTGAGCTCCACAGTGAGAGCCTCCAAGGTCAGGTTCGAGGCATTCCCTTTATTCAAAGGTCTAGGAAAGACAAGCCCTTTGCTTCCCCTCTGCACCAGCCACACCCGAACTCCAGCTACATCCATTCCCCATTCTCCAGCTCTGGGCCTAGAAGAAACCCCCCAAAACACTCTCTACCCCAGTGGTTAAAGCCAGTAGAGCCCCAAGCCCAGGCGGCTGCCCCATCAGGCCTCAGGCGGGCTCCCCACATGCCCAGCGGCCAGCTCACGCTGCTATTTTAAGCTCTGCGGGCCCAGCTGCAGCACGTAGAGCCACAGCAGGCTGGCAGCCGGGGTGGAGGTAGGGAAGCAAACTCACTAAGGAGTGCTGACCTGAGGCGCTCCGAAGGGGGAGACTGGTCATCCCCTTACCACCACCCCTTCTCTACACAGACTGGAAACTCCCAGGCCCACCCTCAAATCCACCAGCCATGGGGAAAGTGAGTCAGGAGCTGCATTGGGCACGCCTACATTCCATTTCTGAAAGTGACCCCCTGAGTTTCCACAGCAAAATGACTCCTAGCCCCACCCTGCCAACCCCTAGAAATTCCAGCAAAGCTAGAACAAGCACAGCACCCATCTTCCAAGTGCTAACAACATGAGACAGATACCAAAAGCACAGGCCAAAGAAAGGAGCTAACCTGCTACTGTCTGAGATAGCTTATCCGCCGAGTCCCCCAACTCCCTTCTCCCGCCCCGTCTCCCCTCAGTGACTGTGCACAGTGCCAGGCACACAGCCACACTCAATAAATACTTGCTGATTAAATGACTGCTTCCAAATGCATGCTGAAACCAAACATGATGGAAGTGGTCTAGGGAGAACACAGTCTTCACTACTCTTATCATGAGCCTCGTTATTATCTGTGTTTCTGCTGACCTCATTGCACACTGAAACAGAATAGAGACTATAGAACCAAGGAACCAGCGGAGTTTAGTAACAAAGCAAGGATGCCTCCCTGCTGGCCAGGGAGGAAGTCTGCCATTGCACCACTCCAGCAGGACAGTTACACTGCATTCCCTGTGAACTGTGCCCCCTGAAGGTGTGCAACACAGAGGCCCTGTTCCAACCCTGCTCTGCCATGGACACCCAAGCCTCCGAGAGCTGGCTTGAGAAGGAACGCACAGAACAGGAACTCCGGGTGCAAGCTATTCCCATCCCCAACCTCATGCCGCAGAACGTCAGCAAAACCATGCAGGGCAGGACGGGTCACACATGCCCGGGGCTCCCGGCAGCATCCCGTGGCTCTAATCGCTCAGCTGAAGCAACATCAGCACCAGGGAAAGAGGAAGGAAATCCAGACGGTGCTATCATCGGGGAGCCCTGCTACCTTTCCCCTTGCTACCTGTCTCTCTCAAGACCAAACCAGCACCCACACCTTAAAGAAATAGATTCACTACCTGGATTTGGGGGAAGAGGGACATTCCTTGGACTCTTTCTTTTTTTTCTCTTTCTCTTTCTCTCTTTCTTTCTCTCTCTCTCTTTCTCTTTCTTTCTTTTTTTCTTTTTTTAATAGGGTCTCACTCTGTCACCCAGGCTGGAACACAGTGGCACAATCTCAGCTCACTGCAGCCTCCACTTCCTGCGTTCAAGTGAGCCTCCCACTTCAGCCTCCCAAGTAGCTGGGACTACAAGTGTGCACCACCACGCCCAGCTAATTTTTGTATTTTTTCTAGAGATGGGATTTTGCCATGTTGCCCAGACTGGTCTCAAACTCCTGAACTCCTGAACTCAAGCGAGCTGCCCACCTCGGCCCCCCAAAGTGCTGGGATTACAGGTGTGCACCGTGCCTGGCTGGATTTTCTTATTGAAGGAAGATCCCAGAAGCTATGGGCCGTCAGAGATCATTTGGTCTACTTCTCCCTCCCCCTCCCTTCCCTGGCTTCAATCAATCCAGACCCTTCTGGACATTTCTATTATAACTGTAGAAGCAATGACAACAGCCTGCAATTATAGAAAAATGTATGCTGTTCAAAGGGATTTCACATACGCGACCATCACAAAAGCCCTAGGAAGTCACTGCAGCAGACATCATTGTACCCAACTTACAAAAAGATTCCAAAGGTGAAGTGGCACACACCTGAGGCCAATCACCGAGTAGACTGGAACCCGGGTCTTCATACATCTAGTCCAGTGTTCTTTCCCAAATGCCGAGTTCCCTCTAAAACTACTTCTCCAAGCGTGGGTCCCAGGCCAGTTGCTCCAGAATCCTTGGGTATTTGGTGATGAATGCAAATTCTGGGGCCCACTCTGGCCTAAAAGTATCTGGAGGCAGAATGTTGATAACCTGCCCTGTGAATGCTCTGTGGGGGATTCTGAACTGTGTTCAACCCTGAGAGCCCCTGCTTTCTTTGTTGACTGGATCTGACTGGCTCATCCTTTCACTAACCAAGCAGCAGCTAATCTCCTACCTCCGCCAGCAACTCTCCCCAAACTAGAGCCTCTCTGGGTATAAAACCTCCATTGCTGTCCTTGGGTTCATCTCCCTGAAGATACATTTGCACCTAATCGCCAAGGTAACCCTTACACATTTCTGTCAAGAACTGGAAGTCACGCCAGCTGCGGAGAAAATCCTGGCCAAAATCTCCCCTCCCCACTTTGAGAGGGGACAGATCTCAGATCTGCCTAAATCCCTCTGTTCAGCCCAAGCCCATATTCCAGATGTGCCTAGCACAGAGGGATGCAGTGGAAGAGAAAGGAAAGGAAGAAGCAGCATGAAATCACTCCAGAGTGGCCTTTCTTTATGGCACCCTGGGGCCCCCACCCCTCCAGAAGCCTTCTCTGAGCACTTGGCCACCGCGGGTGCTCCTACTTGCATGTGTCATCAGCAATGGCGCTAGCTCTGCCTTTGACTGTTCACTTTCAGGTACGCCCTAACCCCAGCAAAGCCGACAGAGCAGATCCCCAGTATTCCGAGCCTCAGTCCCGGAGACAGCTCTCAACCTGCCTCGGGCATCTGTCTCCGACCATGCGGCCCTGACCCTGTCTCCGCCACTCTGTGTTGTGCTCAGCTCCTGACTGGCTGTTGCAGCCTCAGGGAGGGCTGCGTGGCCTGGCTCACCTCTCTGCCTGCCCCAATTCTAGGCTCCAATTAGCCTCCCCTCCCTTGGCATGGAGGCTTCTCAGGCTGATGGCCCAGTCACAGATCCCCGCCTGGTGGTCCCAACACACAACTTCCTCCCACTTTCTCCCCCTCACTGCCTCTCAATCACATGGCCTGGCTGACAGCCTGAGGGGCAGGTCTCTCTTTGCGGACAGACCTGTCAGCTGCAAGAGAATGGGGTGCCAGTTGTATTCCTGCTGAGTTACCTTTAGCATCTCCCACAACCTAGTCGTGTGCCAGTTGCTCAATAGCACTGTTGAATGAATGAATGGGCAGACGAATGAATGAACTGCAGCCCGGCCAACTTTTCTGGTGGTATCTAGTGAAAAAAAAAAAGGTAGGAAGAGGGAAGAAAGTCATAGGAAGAGAAAGAGAAAAGAGCTCCCTCACCTTAGGCCAAGAACAAGGCCATCAGCTCAGAGGAGGCTGTGGGCCCCAGGCAGCCTCGGGTGGGCGCAGCAACAGCCTTCCTACCTCCAAAACCCTGAAGCCCCCCACCCTCCATCAGTAACCAGAATTAGCAAATTAGCAGTTTCTTCATTCCATCAAGCAGAGCATCCCCCAAGCAGAAAGCCAGTCTGATCTGGGTGAATTAATCGAGTAATTAACTTCCCTGATCTGCTCCCTCCCAGCCCACCTTTCAGAAAGGGTTGGTAGCGCCCCACAGGAGGGTTGACTGGGGGCCGGGGGTCCAGGGGGCTACAGCCTTCTCCACCAGCCCCAACTTGCCAAAAATTCCTGTCTACCCTACATCACACACGGGCCCTCCAAAGACCTCAAAGCCCCCTCCCAAGGCACACAGGCCTCCAACACACAAACACAAGCACACAACACATGTGCACGTGCATGTCCACACACTGACTGTGGGAACACCTCTCAGTCAGCTTGGATTCTGGCTGTGGTTCCAGTTTTGAGCTCAGGCACCCATGGGACGCTGCAGGTGGCCTGTCAGATACAGCAAAGGAGCAAGGAGAAGCAGGTAAAATGAATCTGGAGAAAAGACTGATGAAGTGAATCACAGAAAGTAAGAGGCAGTGCAGGGCAGAGGGAAGGGCACGAGGGCTGGGGTCAGAAGGCCCAGGTGTGAGTCCCAGTTCTATCTCCTAGGGACAATGTGACTTTGGGCGTGTCACTTAACCCCATGAGCTTCATGGGGCATAAAGCCCACCTCCCTTCTGGGCTGTCCTAGGATGAAATGAGCTCATTAGGTGTTACTTATGTCCAATCTCCTCCCCTCTGCACAGGCCAGAGGTCACCAGGCAGCCTTGCTGTCATTTCTCAGCTCTCACTACCATGGGCACTGCCTTAGCATTCTGGGCCCCCACCTGCCTACCTCCACTTTCTGCCTGAGAGATGCGGATGAGGTGGTAGGGAGACATGGGTCAAATCAGTCCTATCATATTCAAATCCCAGCTCTGCCCCGTGACAAGGCACTTTCCTTCTCTGCATCTCAGTTTCCTTGTCTGAATTATGGATACAATAAATGTCCAACCACACACAGTTGATGATCTACGTCCAGGGCCCGATTCCGTGCCTGGCACACACCACACTTCATACACAGTAGATAATATTTCTTTTAATTATCATCCCCATCATGATTCTGGCTAATGCAATTAGTCTTCCCCTCTGGAGTAGTAAAGCAGAGGCCTAATTCCTCTCCCGGGCGCCAGCCGCTCGCACATAAGATGGTGCCATGGGCCCCGAGTCTTCTCTTCCCCAAGCAAACATCCCCCCCACCCATCTTTCCACTGTGACTCATGCCGAAGCCCCCTGTCCAGTCTCCTCCTTGACCCTCCTGGTCTACCAGTGCCCTCCCTAAAATGCAGGGCCCTGAACTCCTACATCTGAGCCGTGCGGTACCTCTAGCACCACCTAAGCGCCTGGCACACAGCAGGTGCACAGAAAAATAGAATAACTTCGTGGATTCACAAGTCAGAGCTCTGTTTATCATTTTAGTATGAAAAATAATCCTGTTAACCTAAGATCCTAAGACCTCTGTCTCAAGATCAAATTTATTTTAGAAAGGTGATGTTAAGGTGATGGAGACCTTGTTAAAAAGGGCCCATCCAAGCTTCCTAGGTGACAGGCACTTACTCTGGAAACATGGACGAAAATAAAGAAGGTGAAAATCCAATTTCAAGAAATAAAGCATCTGAGTTATAACAGATATTTAACTGTGAGCCAAATAAGTTAACCTGTTAATTGTTTCCATTTGCTTTCATCTGTAGCAACCCCTCAATCCATGCTTTTCAAACTGCAGGCTGTGACCCATTATTGGGTTATAAAATCGGCTGAGTGGGTCAGAAGACTTTTTTTTTTTTCTTTTAGATACAGCATCTCGCTCTGCTGCCTGGGCTGGAGTGCAGTGGTACAATCACAGCTGACTACACTCTTCAACTCCCAGGTTCAAGTGATTCTCCTGAGTAGCTAGAACTACAGGTATGGGCCACCATCCTGGCTAATTTTATTTTTTCTGTAGAGACAGGGTCTCACTATGTTACTCAAGCAACCTTCCCACCTTGGCCTCATGAAGTGCTGGGATTACAAGTGTGAGCCACTGTGCCGAGCCCAGAAGAGTATTTTTTAAAAATAAAACAGAAAACACCAGAAGGTATCTCACACAGTAAAGATAAGAATTAATTAATGAAACGTTTTCTCAGGTGTAGCTGTGTGTGCGCTGAATTACAATGTTTGGAGAAACAATGCCCTGGGTCTTTAATGGTGACACGAATGGCCCACAAGTCTTGGAACATGGGTAGACCGCCCATGAGAATTCGCACTTTCTAGGTATGAAACTCAGAGCTGCTTACTTTCTGCAAGGAGCTGCACCTGGCCAGGAAGCTTTACCAGCTGCAGGAAATACACTGGGATTCACTCTCAAGATGGAGATGTGCCAAAACGTTACGTGTACCGTGAGAAGAGACGGTGCACGTCTTGTCAGTGGAAATGTGTTCTGAGTCCGTCAATCTCACCACTATCTGCCAGATAGAACTCTGGCTGAGAATCTGGATTTAACATGCTCGCCTGCAAAATGGGGAGAATCGTGCCCCAAATCTGGAATGGACAATATGTAATGTGGACTCTTTATTCATGGATTCATCACTTGATTGCTGAAACAAATCAATGTTGGTTTAAAAAAATGCATGATGTTAGCTCAGAATACAACTATACCTTCCTAACCTATTAAATTAGAGAAAACCAATTGTAAACCAAGCCAATATCTTACCCGTTACAAATTCTACTCAGCTGTCTGCCTCACATGTCTAGAGTAGACACCACCTCCTGCTGGTTCTCCAAAACAGAAGGAAAACATCACGCCCTCACGCATCTGAAGGCTCCAAGCAGGGGGACAGTGGCTTCCTCTCTTGTTTCACTTAGGGCAGAATGAGAGGAATGGGCTTAAAATGCAACAGGAAGCCTGCAGAAGACAGAGCTGTTAAAGACGGGAACAGGTGACTGAAGCAGGTGCTAGCTACCACCCTGGGCCGGTTGAACCCCACCCCACCTGGAGTCAGAGTGGGGTGAGTGTCGGGGTGTGTAATGCACCCAGCATGGTCCCTTCCTTCCTAGATGACTTTGGGAGGTGCCTTCCTGTCTGCGGCATCCATGGTTCCAGGATGAGGCAGGATGATGAGTGTGGGGTTGCCACAAACAATGAGCCCTCTCGGCCGGGCCCCGCAGCCTATTTCCAGCTCCTGATAGTTCCTGTCTAATGCCAACATTGACAGAGGAATCCAGGGCATCCTGGGCCCAGCATTGTTCAAATCACACATTCCTCTTCAGAAAAAGCTACAGAATAACTCTCATTCCTCCGCCCTCCCAGGAGAAACCACATCAGAGAATAAGCAACCAGATCCCCACATGTGATGGGGACCAAGGGGGATGGGCGCGAGCCACAGGGTGTCTCCACCATTGTCCATCAGATCCCCCACAGCAGATGCACAGAATGCCCAGAAAGCTAACCTGCCTGACCCACAGCTAAGCCCACCCTCAAACCACACAGCCAAGGGCAAGTGAGCGCGACCAGAGGCCCACCTGTACCCCCACCCAGACACACCACATTCTAAGTGTTAATGTTCTACACCACCCGTCTCGTTGACATTTTGTGAAAACTGCAACTAAACTCTCAGGAAAGGGAAGAAGAGATGTTTATGGAGTGCCTACTAAGCGTCAGGCACCGGGATAAGCACGAGCATCAGAAACCCCTTCATCTGGCAGGGCGCAGTGGCTCACGCCTATAATCCCAGCACTTTGGGAGGCCAAGGCGGGCAGATCACCTTAGGTCAGGAGTTCAAGACCAGCCTGGCCAACACGGTGAAAACACATCTCTACTAAAAATACAAAAGTTAGCCAGGCGTGGTAGTGCATGCCTGTAATTCCAGCTACTCGGGAGGCTAAGGCAGGAGAATCGCTTGAACCCAGGAAGCAGGGGTTGCAGTGAAATGAGAGCACGCCACTGCACTCCAGCCTGGGCAACAAGAGCGAAACAACTCTGTCTCAAAAAAAAAAAAAGAAAAAGAAACCCCTTCATCTCCATGGGTCACCGGCCACAGCTGAAGACAGAAATGCAAATGGAGGGAAAAAACAAAGCACAGCTGTTATGCTAAGCACTGTATGGGGAGTGGATACGTGGGTAGCGGAGACGGTGAGGAAAGTTCATAAAAAAAGATAAGAATGGCAGATACAAAAGCATACAGCGGGGAAAGGCCAGCACTACCCATCCCTGATCAATACCACCACAGGAAAACACCACTGCCCTGTGTGCCCATGACACCATGCCACCTGCAGAACAGAAACCTGCACGACTGAGGGCCAGGGGCTAACCATCTGCCCAGAGACCCATCGGCGGGCAAGACACGGCCCAGACACAGCCGACAGGACCTCACACCCTGGCGGACGAGGACACTGGCCGTCACCCGCCTGTCCTTCTTGAGTAAGAGGGCTCTGACTGAATCATTCTGTGATTAGGAATTTCACTTCTTTGTTTCCTGGTTGTAAACTTGGGAATATTACAAATCATGGAAATCCAAATTAAAACAACCAAGCCATCACTGTTTACCTAGCAGGTTAAGGCTGGGTGCGGTTGCTCACACCTGTAATCCCAGTACTTTGGGAGGCTGAGGCAGGCAAATCACCTGAGGTCAGAAGTTCAAGGACAGCTTGGCCAACATGGCAAAACCCCATCTCTACTAAAAATACAAAAACTAGCTGGGCATGGTGGCAGTCACCTGTAATCCCAGCTAGTTGGGAGGCTGAGGCAGGAGAATCTCTTGAAACCAGGAGGCGGAGAGTGCAGTGAGCCAAGATTGAGCCACTGTGCTCCAGCCTGGGCAACAGAGCGAGACTCCATCTCAAAAAAATTTTCTTGGCCGAGCACAGTGGCTCACGCCTGTAATCCCAGCACTTGGGGAGGCCGAGGCGGACAGATCACAAGGTCAGGAGATCGAGACCAGCCTGGCTAACACAGTGAAACCCCGTCTCTACTAAAAATACACAGAATTAGCTGGGCATGGTGGCAGGCACCTGTAGTCCCAGCTACTTGGGAGGCTGAGGCAGGAGAATGGTGTGAACCCAGGAGGTGGAGCTGGCAGTGAGCCGAGATCGCACCACTGCAGTCCGGCCTGGGCAACAGAGCGAGACTCTATCTCAAAAAAACATTTTTTTAAGTGACAAAATACCTATCAGCTTAAATTTTTTTTTTTATTTAAACAAGGCTACTCAATGCTGGCAAGAGTGTGGCGCATCTCCTGGGGGTCCCACCACCTCCCCACTCCCCCGGCCACCTCTTGCTCATGGACTCCTAACTGGCCTCCCAGCCACTCCTCGTTTTGCCCTGCTGTCCATGGTACTCTTCCCGCTAATGCGGGGCACCTTCCTAATACTCGGCTCTGTGCATTTCACTCGCAGCTGACACACTTCAGTGGCCCCAATTTTCATGGAATATTTAAAGACGGGCTCTGGTGGGTAATCAAGGAAAGACCAGGCAACTCAGGAGGGCCTGAAAGGTGCACGATTCTCAGCCAGGTGTGGAGGCAGATGATGTAAAGATGGGAGAGCTGCTTTCGGTTTTTCTTGGGATTTTCCCTAATGTAGGACAGATACTTTCTTCGCTGAGACGAGGGCCCAGAATAGAGTCTGAGCCACCAAAGGAAAAGGAAGGAAGTCTCAGCAGCAGCTATGTTCTTAAACTATTTAGTCTTCTTTCACAGCTAACTTTTAAATTGTGATTGGACCAAGAGACAAAAATATCTTAATCAATCAACAGATGTGGACGGAATGTCCTTCATTACCACAGGAGGCTAAAAGAAGGTGGCAGGCAGCACACGGATGTGACAATCCCCAGCCCACACTTAACTAGCAGCCATGAGGTGCCTGGTATATGCCAGCTGCTTGCACACAGCCGCGTGGTTCCTCATGCCTTCGCACATTCTGTTCCCTGTGCAGAGCACATGCCCCTCTCTTGGACGCTCAGTTTTCTCCATGAAGGCTCTTCCTTCCCCAGCCCAGGCAAAATTGGACCTTCTCTTCTCCAATCGCTGGGCTCCCCCCATTCAGACTCTCACTCTGCACACTGCTCCGTAAGGCTCGATGCTGAGACAAGAGGAGAAGGGGCACTGGGGTGATTGTTGTTCATCTTTCAATCCCAGAACCTAGCACCGTCCCTGGCTCACAGCAGGGGACAAATGGATGAACAAGCCAGGGAACAGAAGCGCGTGAGAGCCACTTCAGGTAGGGAGCACCCACAGAGGTGAGGGCTGGGACGAATCTCATTCCCGTGGCTCTTCAGACCCTCTGAGAGCTTGGATGGGCAGGGCTTGTACTGGGAAGGAGAAAGGCATACAGGCAGGGCTGAGCAGTGCCCTGGGAGCCAATGTGGGTCTGTTTAATATGCAGTGTGCCGATTCCCAGAAATCAATGCTCATTTTTAAAACTCTGCTCCCCAGAGCCACCTCCCTGTTTGATTCCAGGGTCGGTGTTAAGTATCTTTCTATTTATAAAGCAACTCGGCTGCAGTGGTGCGATGCCGGTCCCACACCCAGCCACGGAGGTGGGGCAGGGTAGCACAGAAGGAGAAACTGAGGCCTGGAAACAAGACACCAGAAAGGCCAGGTACTTACTGCAACAGCGAAAGAAATCTGGGCTAGATGCACTCCCTCCCGCGACCCTGGGGCCTGCTCACTTAGAGGCCTCCAGACAAGCTGGGAAGTGCAGCTCTTGCTCTGGGCTCCCGTGAGCACAGCGAGAGAGGCTGGGTCTTTCAAAGTTATTCTACAAGTACCAAAGGAAATGAACCCAGAGAGATGGGAAGGACGAGGTGCCTGGCTTTCCCTTGGCCACGCTTCTGACCTTCCTGGTGTCTGCAGCTCTCTATCTCACACCTCCTGCAAGGCAGCCCGTGCCACTGCAGCTCACAGGGGCTGCCACAGCTTGGCAGGCCCCTGCCGGGCGCTGACCTCCACCTCCTTCTCTGCCTCTCTGTCTCACTCCCACCTCCAGGAGCCCAGACACCCTGATGTCCTCAAGGTCAAGGCCGAGGAAGACTGACCGCTCTCGTGCCACTTCTCCCTCCCAGTTCTGGTTGCAGGCTTAGCGCACTCCTGCTTGCCAGGTCTCACCCCAGGTGAGATGCTGCCCCTGCTCCTAGGTCCTGCAGGACAGCACATTCATCCCAAATGATGCCCCCAGCCTCGCCCTGCAGGGGTCGTGTGCACAGCACTCAGGGTTGTGTCCGCAACACTTCATATCACACAAGGCGCAGAGCTGCGGACAAAAGCCTCACCAGTTCACCTGGCCACCTCCTCAGAAAATAAGGAAGAAAAGAAGACAGGCAGGGCAGGGGGTGTAAGGTCCGGGCGGCCTTCTCACACTACCAAATCAGGAGCTCCTCAGGTATTAATCATGTCAATTAAAACCACAGCTGAGGCCGGGTGCGGTGGCTCACGCCTGTAATCCCAGCACTTTGGGAGGCCGAGGCGGGAGGATCACGAGGTCAGGAGATCGAGACCATCCTGGCTAACACGGTGAAACCCCGTCTCTACTAAAAATACAAAAAATTAGCCGGGCGCGGTGGTGGGCGCCTGTAGTCCCAGCTACTCGGGAGGCTGAGGCAGGAGAATGGCGCGAACCCGGGAGGCGGAGCTTGCAGTGAGCGGAGATCGCGCCACTGCCCTCCAGCCTGGGCGACAGAGTGAGACTCCGTCTCAAAAAATAAAAATAAATAAAAATAAAATTTAAAAAAGCCACAGCTGAAGGCCAGGTGTGCTGGGCCTGTTACAAGAAGAAGCCCCTGGCCCCAAACACAGCAGAACACACAGGCTCCTGGAAATGAACACACAAACCTCTCTTCATTTTCTAACACACAGAATCCCAGAATGTTAGAATTGGAAGGAAATCTAGAAATCATCAGCTGTAAACTCTCCTTACAAATGAGGGAAATGGCCAGATGCAGTGGCTCAAGCCTGTAACCCCAGCACTTTGGAAGGCTTAGGTGGGAGGATCGCTTGAGGCCAGGAGTTTGAGACTAGCCTGGGCAACATAGTAAGACTCTGTCTGTACAAAAACTAAAAAACTAGCCAGGTATGGTGGCATGTGCCTGTAGCCCCAGGTACTCAGGAGGCTGAGGCAGGAGGATCGCTTGAGCTCAGCAGTTCAAGGCTGCAGTGATCGTGCCACTGCACTCCAGCTTGGGCAACAGAGTAAGATCCTGCCTCAAAAACAAACAAACAAATGAGGGAGAACGAAGTTTTGGAGGATAAATGAATTTATTCAGGGTCATCTAGCAAGGTCAGAACACAACAAATACAAACATCCCTTCCTGGTCCACATCCTTAACACCACGCTGTAGTCATTCAACAAACATTTATCAGGCAGAGATCTGCTGGGCATTTCACTTGGTAGATGGGCTCAACTCAGCTGGTTCCTGTTTTCAAGCAGCTTATAATTTAAGGAGGAGGAGGGAGGGAGGGAGGAAGACAGAAAGGAGAGAGAGAGATCTTTAAACAAACGGCAGAGCCAGGCACAGTGGCTAACACCTGTAATCCCCCAGCAACTTGGGAGGCCGAGGAACAGGATCACTTGAGACCAGGAGGTCAAGACCAGGGGCAATATAGCAAGACCCCCATCTCTACAAAAACTTAAAAATTAGCCAGGCATGGTGGTGTCCACCTGTAGTTCTAAGTACTTGGAAGGCTGAGGTTGGAGGATCACTTGAGCCTAGGAGGTCAAGGCTACAGTGAGCCATGATCATGCAACCGCACTCCAGCCTGGCCCTCATCTCTAAAAATAAAAAAATACACAAAAACAAACTCTTTCAACAGCACAAGCATGTGGTAAGTGCTACAATGCCAGTATGGGCATAGATGAGGAGGTGTCCCATGGGAGTACCTGTGCTACGCCCAGCGGGTGAGTACAGTCTGCCTGGCAGAGGGAAGAGAAAGGGCATTGCAGGGAGAGCAAATAGCACAGGCGAGACCCAGCGGACGGCAAGGACGTGGCAGAATCAAGAAAGCACAAGAAGAGTCTAGCGGGTGGTCATACAGCTCGTGAGGGCCACGGGCAGGGCTGCAGCCACACAGACTCTGGGCTTTCCTCGGGAAGACAGGGAACCACTGAACTCATCCACCCGGGCACAGTGAGCACCCTCCACATGCCAGGCACAGCCAACCAGGCACAGCCGACCAGGTCAGTGGGCACAGCCACTTTGCAGGACAGCAAAGGACAGCTTGGAGAGACTTGTCAGGAAGCTGTGGTAATGTTCAGGTAAGACGCCTTGAGCACCTGAACTGGGAAAGTGGCATCCAGAGACAAGGCAGAGGCACAGTCAGCAGAACCCGGGCGTGGAGTGAGAGAAACCTCTGAGTGCGCTTCAAGGTCAGGTGGTGGGAGGGCCCAGCGGTGGTAACAACCTGCGCTGGGACCAGCCTCTCTGTTTAATAGACTCGCCTGCCGCGTGCGGTTAGTTACCTTTCCATGCCTACGTGCTTGGTATTCCCTGCAGGCTCAATCAACACCTACAGGGTGACGCTGATTACGAAGCCAGCATGCCTCCAAAGCTGAAGAAAGCCTCGCTAAGCGACATTGCTGATGGATCTAGTACAAGAGCTGGTCAACGAACTGGCCCATCGCACCGCCCACCCCATCGCCCATCTCAGTCCTCACTTGTACCAGGAGTGGCTCTTGGCCAGGAGTGGGCCTCGTGAGCACCGCTGGCAGGGCCAACCAAACGTCAGTGAAAACACCCCAGACCAGACCCCCGCGGTTATGATTCTATGCGCTAGGGTGGGACTCAGCAAGCGGCGTTTAAGTTCCCCCGGTGAGTGACACGAGCACCCGCTCGCGCCAGACTAAGAACCACCAGTTATTAATCTCTCTCGTTTTAGAGATAAAGAATCAGGTCTGCAAAGCTAAGCACTCGTCCACAACTGAAAACAGCATGACCCTGACCATGCCGGCTCCCCGGGGCTGCCTCCAGAGCTGGGCGGGGAGGCAGAGGGCCGCAAGACAGAGAGGGCCGCCTGCACCAGGACCAATCTGCATCCCTCGCTCCCCAGCAGTGCGCTGAGAGCTGAGGCTGGGGTGGGGGCGGGGGAAGGGTGACGGATGGATCCTGCTTTGCTGGCTGCTACCAGAGGGCCAGGGAGGAAGAGGAGAAATGAAAAGCCTGGGAGATATTTTCCCTGTGATTTGTGCCGCTGGAGATGCCCTGTAGCAATATTTATCCTGCAGCTCTGTCCCACTTTCGTTTATCATCCAGCTCAGCCTGAGTTATCACAACCAGGATGGGACCCATAAACTAGCTACCTGACACCGTGGGGACCATGAAGCGTATTTTAAAATCTCAAGGAGCAGTTTCGACCCTCCATGGAAATTTAAAGAAATAGGTGCACCCTTCATCCCCTGGGGACTGCGGCCACTCTGGATGCAGACACAGGGAGAACGTGACACACGGAAGAAACTGCCACGCTCCCAGAGATTCACTGCAAACAAGGACCACACCCTACCTACGAGTGCAGAACCACCATCTGGTCACAGCCCCTTCTTCAGGCCAGTAGGACACACCTTTCAAAGGCCCAGAATATTTCTGGGATTGAATTTTAATCATCTGTCAATAGCAGTTCATCAAGAAATTTGGCAGTAAATGAATGAATGCTGAATTTACTGGGCATTTTCTATTACATACTAGGTCTGTGCTGGGTAAAGGGGGTTAGAAGTATAAGACCAAGTACTCGATTATCTTATCTATCAGATCTATTCACAGGGACACACAGGGATGGGTAACTAACAACACAGGAAGGATAGGTGGGTCTGATGAATGAGAGAGGGGACAGCAGGGGCTATCAGGACATCCAGGGTTAAGGGATCCTCAAGGTTGGGGCTGGCATTATGGAAAACATGAGAAGAGAGTGGGCAATCATTTGCAGACTGATAGCAAACAGTTTCTGTGGATTACGGATTAGTCATGTGATCTAGTTACTGGGTTTACGGCAGTGCACAAAACCAGGAGGAAAAACAAACAAGCCCTCCTATAGCTTGCATTCCAATTTGAGGACATGAGGGTGACAAATAAAGAAAAAAGAATATATATATCATATGCTACGTAGAAAAATAAAGAGGGATAAGGAAGATAGGACTGGGCAGGGGCAGCTGCTTTAAACAGAAAAGTCAGAAGGTCTCGGCGCGCGTCGGGACAGGGCAGCAGCAGGGAGATGTGCTGGGAAACTGTTCCCATAATCCAAGCACGAGGTGACGAACGGTGGCTGGATCAGGGCTATAGCCACAGAAGCAGCAAAAGGAGGAAGAATCCTGGTTGATCTACAAAGGAACACAGGAGTGGGGAGGCAACGAGTGTGCTTTTCAGTACATTAGGACGTCTATTAGTCATCCAAGTGGAGACGCAGATGCAATGCTTAAGAAATGAGTCAAAGAACTTTAGAAACAGAAGCGGCTTTAGAGAGCGCCAACCCAGGAGTCCCTGCCCGGCAGAAAACGAGGTGATGGTGGACCTCGAAGCCTCAGCCAGCAGCCCCACAGGTGCCACAGCTGTGCAGGTCCTTCCGCTCTACCTCCTGCCATCCTCCCCAACTCTCCTGCAGTGTTTTCAGCTGGGTAGGCCTGATCTCTGCAGCCATCTCATTCTACAGATAAGGTGCTCTGTGGCCAGGAGAAGCCACATGCATGACCAGGGCCATCTGCTCCCCCATCACGACCCCCCCACACAGAACTGACTCAGTGATCTCTTATCTACGCCACGCACATCCACCAGATCAGATTTTGTTTCCAACAATGTAATTTTGACAAGGAGGAACAGAAAAACAAAATCTCTGCTTCTAAAAGTCTTTTAATTATAAGGTTTGCCTTTGGAGTCTGAGTTTCTTCCCACAGATGTATATTACATGTGGAATCCTATGCTACATGCTATCTGGAGCAAGCTAGCCGTAGATTGGTGTGTCCAACGCAGGAGTTTGGGCTATAGGTATAAAACTGGAGTAACTGCAAAATCTGTCTCCATGGAAAAGGAAGGAAAATACTGAGCCCTGGCAGGGATCAGTGCAGAATATTCCCTGTAAACACCATAAACGAGATGGATGGGAGAGAAATTCAGATGTAAGTGACATTTATTGAGCACCCTCTATTTACAGGCTGTTTGCCTCACTCAATCCTCACAGCAACCCAGTGAGACAGGTATTATTATTCCCAGATGAAGGACGTGGAACAGAGAGAAGTAAAGGGACTTGCTCAAGGTCACGGCAGCCAGAAAGTAGCAGAGATGAGATTCAGGATGCCCCCACCCCCACCCCAAGACATTCTGACTCCTCCATCAGGGCTCTTTCCTTCCCCATGCTGCCTAGCAAAAATGAGGAGAGAAGGTGCCCCATGGTTGGGTTCAAGTGGATGGCTTGAGTCCCACTCAGGGAGCTGCATACACCTCTAAGCTTCTCTGTACCCTCCACCTCCCCCAGGCTCCAGGAAGCCACCCTGCCCACCCTGACACCTGATACGATCTTCTTCCTGCCTTCAAATGTCATTCAAAACTGCCTCCTTGATAAGTCTTCCAAACTCACTCGCATGGTTCCCACTCCTCCAACAAGCTCACAGGCATGGAAGCCTTTCCCAAATGCCCAGGCAGGGATCTAGGCCTTTTCTAGCTGTGATTCCCACATCCAGACTGATGCCTAGGGTGCTGAGTGTTCACAGGGTTTGTTATTAATAATGGATCACATTACTTTTATCAGCATTTTTCACTTTTCCCAGGCTGTCATACCATTAACTCATGTGGTCCTTATGGCCACTCTGGGCGGTAGGGAGGGCAGGTACACGTGTTGCCCATTTGACAGGTGGAGAAGCTGAGATCTAGGGGATAAAGGACTTTTCCCAGGACACCAAACTAATATCCAAACCAGAATTAGAAATCAGAGCTTCTCCTTTCTAAGCCAAAGGTCTTTCCACCAGATCACATGAACTCCCTCTCTCTGCCCTGACTTCTAAAGCAGGGGCTTCTTCCACTCCTCTCTCAGAGAATGCCAAAGCCAATCAAACCTTCCCCCAGCCCTGAGGTCAACCTGCCCACACCCACCCGAAACAGAGTTGGGTGCGTTCTGCAGACTAAGGAGGAAGACAGAGCATTGAAGGTGGGCTGTGCAGTGACGGCCTCTGCCCCTCTCCCACACTCCACGTGCAGAAGATAGAATGGTCCCTGAGAACTCACAGGCGGGTGAAAATGGAGCCAGTTTTCTCTCCTCTGGCTGCCCCATAGTCTCATCCTGGCAGACTGTTGCCAGGGGGTCTGGAATGAGGAGAGAAATGACGAAAAGAGAAGCGTACACACACTTCATGTTCCCAGCTCCGTTTAATGCCACATGAGATCACCACCTTGTATTTCCCCACTACCTTCCTTCTGAGTCACGTCCAAACCTGAGCTCATCCATCTGCACGCCCACACTGGCCGGGAGGGAGGCGGGGCCATCGAGGCAGCGCATCTGATTCATTCATTTACTCAACGAGTACTTTATGGTGGAGACACAGAAAAGAGAGGGGGCGGAGAGTGGCCTCAGCTTCCCAGAGAGACAGGACCTGGTCTGGGAAGAGAATTAAGATTTATCAAATCCTCTCCATCCAGAGCTCAATTTTTTCCCAATGCCTGTAACTGCTCTTGAGACATCCATTCGTAAAGAGATTGGATGCAGCACTTCACAAGCAAGTGACAATGACTCACACATAGAAATAGAGGGGGGCAAAGAGAAAGTAAGTCAGCTCCCCACCGCCCCCCAGCTCTGGCACCTCCCAGCTTGTGACACTCTCTTCTTACCCCTTGCAGCCTCTTCTTAGACTCTGTCCTGAATTCATTCTGTCCTGTGTGCTTGACGCTGAGCAGCTGCAGACAGGCCCAGTTCTTGTTCACCCAGCACCCCTACAGCACCCGGAACATATTGCGAAGGCACAGATTTTGGCTCCCCTCTGGGTCTTGAATTGAAGGAAGCAAAAAGACGAGCGCTAGAGGGGAGATTTTATGAAGACCTTAGCAACTAAAAAGGTTTGAAGCATCTGGAAAGAGCTGGCACAGTGTAGAGGGATGAAGATTTTTCCCATGATAGAGAAAAGAGCGAATGATTCTCTGCCAAGGATGACCGGTGCTACTCCTGCCTTGCAGGGCACTGAGCTAAACGGTGGAACGGTGGTGTGGTCTCCCCCGGCCTGGGCTTCTGTGGCACAGAATGAGTGACATGGGAGGGTATCTCCTGCTGCTGCTTGTCCGCTGGACCCCAGGACATGCTTTTATCCACAAAGGCCTGCAAACCAAACTGACCCCAATCCTCCCAGGAGGACAGGCCCATGACCTGACCCTGCAGAATAAGACCCAGAGCTCCCAAAGGAGCCAGTGGGATGGGCCCAGGAGGGTGGTCCAGGCAAACAGGCACATTGCCCCAGATGGGAACTCTGCAGGTGTGGTCTAAGGCTCCCCCACCCCCAGCCAGACTGATGCCAGCCAAAGCCCCCGGAGGAAAGTCAGTCAGCCCTGGCCCCTGCACACCAGGTCAGCAGCCACATCTGGCCCCCAGCAGCTCCTAGCCCCTGCCATCCCGATCCCAAGCGGGAGACCATGCTCACAGCACTTAGGCAGCAGTTGCCTGGACTTGGAGCCACATTTGTGAGGGCTGTGCATGCCCCAAATCCAGCTCATCACGAGCTAATGACTCCACATCCACCCCAGCCCATCACCATCATCCCTTCCAGCCCAACCTTGGGCTGACCCTCCCACTAGTTTTATTAGCACCTGTACACCAAGCACCATCCTAATCATTAAGAAGAAAGGTGTGCAAAAGTACACAAGAGATAAGCCCAATCTCCAGGGGCTCACAGTTTTTTCCTAAGCTGATCAATACTGCACTCAAGTTATATGTTTACCTATCATCCCTAAAATGTGTCGTAGTCTCTCTGTGTCCTCATTGGCTGGCACAGAGTAGCTAACTTAATGGAAGAGCTAAAAACCTCCATCTATGTTCAAAATCCCATTCCTACTGCTCATCTTCACTGGCCATCAGTGAAATCAACAGTCACAGTGAGATATCTCATTAGTGAGAGATCATCAATGAACTACAGCCACTTGCAGCTACGTGGATGAATCTTATTTTTTTTAATGTTGAGAAATAGAAGCTAGACAAAAGAACGCAAGCTGTATGATCCCATTTACGTAAAGGCCTTAGTCTATGGGCCGGGCGTGGTGGCTCATACCTGTAATCCCAGCATTTTGGGATGCCAAAGAGGGTGGATCACCTGAGGTCAGGAGTCCGAGACCAGCCTGGCCAACATGGTGAAACCCCGTCTCTACTAAAAATACAAAAATTAGCCGGGCGTGGTGGCGCATGCCTGTAATCCCAGCTAGTCAGGAGGCTGAGGCAGGAGAATCACTTGAACCTGGGAGGTGGAGGTTGCAGTGAGCCGAGATCGCGCCACCACATTCCAGCCTCGGTGACAGAGCGAGACTCCATCTCAAAGAAGAAAAAAACAAAAACAAAAAACAAAACACTAATCTATGCTGTTAGAGATCAGGTTAGTGGCTACCCCTGAGCAGGAGTAAAGTCTCAAAAGGGGAATGGGGGTGATGTGCAAGGTATTAGTAATGTTCTGTTTCTCAATCTGGATGCTGGTCCCACAGATGTGTTCACTTCTCTATAAAAATTCATCAAATGCTGCATTGCATACATATGTTATACTTCAACAGAAGGTTAGAACATTTTCCATTTCTGTCCATTTATTCATCCCGGTAGCCCTTTCATATAAAAGGACAAAGCTGTTCATGTAAAATAAATCACTGATCATCTATATGTATAATACTAGTCTTTTTTCATCTCTAAAATGAAGAATATGAGATAATCTCTAAGGAACCTTCCAGCTTTAGATAGTATGATGCTTTCATCCTATTCTTAGTAAAACCTCATTAATCAGTAATAACAAATCCTTTCTAAATTAGTGGAAAGTGCAAAATATGGAACGTTTGTTTAAAGAAAGGCAGCGTTACTGCTTGCAAGAACTAAGCACATCACAAATTAAAATATAAATGTCTATTAAATTAAAGTTAATGAAAAATATTACAATATACATTAGGCTTACATTACTTAATACTGCTTGAATATTGTTAGAATTCTGTGTCTTTCCCATGTTAGGTCCTCATTTCAACCATTTTCATCAAGAGGAGTCATGAATGCCAAACTATTACATCTGCTGTATCATTAGTGACCAAATGAGAGCGTTTAGAGAGTAACATTGACTCAGATGCCTATAATTCCCACACCTCGGCCACTTCCCTCCATGGCCCTGTTAGACCGACGAGTTCCATCCACACCTGGGCAAATCTGAGCCTGGCCTGAGCCTCGGTGCGGAGCCACTCCTTGAGGCCCGTCCCCTGCATGAGGCTGCCTCGAACATGGCTGAGACACAGATTACTTATGAGACTTAAGACACCCCTGGGAGCTCGGCAACTCCAATGATGCAGCAGATTCTAGGAGGCAGCAGGACGAGAATACTAGGCGCCATCATAAATTAAACCTCTGCTCAGTGGCTAATCTCACGGGCGCCTCACAAAGACACAGACGGACTGCCTACAGCTCACTCGCGGCCTTGAGAGCTTACAAGCAGAGGCGCCTCCCTCCCAGCTGCCAGCAGACCCACAGCTTTGCGAGCAACTCTCTCTGGGCCTCAGTATCTCCTTCTGTACAATGGGGAGAAACACTCCGTGACCCTCGCCTTGCAGTACGGCGGCAGCAACAGAACTCACTCACTAACATTTTAAATACTTCTGGACTCCCCCGTGAAATAAGACAGCATGGGGTATGTCTCAAAGGAAGTGATTTCCTGGCGGTCATCTCCAAGTCCAAAGAGCAGATTCTGCCCAAGGAATTGACACTTCATAAAGTTTACTGAAAAATCAGCAAATGAACCCTGATTCCTGGCAAACCTCCATTAATTAGCAATAAGAAATCCCTCTATTTTCCCCACCAACAGAGAGGATGAGCAGTGGGATTCGTGGCCAGTACTTCCTGCTTCTTTGCTAAGATCTAGATGCACTGAGGACTCAGGTCCAAAGACCTTCATTCCATTAGGAAAAACAGCAGCTGAGTTAGGCCTCCCTTCCCCCAGCCTAGGGCTGTGAGTGAACTTCCCCTCCTCTAGCTCCACCACCTGTCTCTGGACCAAATACAGATCACAGAGAGGCATTTCCTGAGCTCTGCAAGCTTGCTGACCCCAGAGGTTAATCCTACCCCTCTACGGCCAGGCCACCAGACGAGAGCCTCTTTCCTCCCAACCAAAGGAACCACAGAATCCTAGAATTTCAGGGCTTGAAGGGACCTGAGAAGCCCGCACGTTCAAGGCTCTGAAATGTCCAGGGATTATCCCAAGGTCACAAAGCAGAAATGGAGAGGCCAGGATTCAGAGCTAGGTCCTCTGACCCTCACCCTAATGCTCTTTACTCTACCCAAGACAGGACCTCCTTGCCATCCGAAATGCCACTGTGGCCCATTGGTGGCAGCAACCTGGAGTGCTATACCGAGAAGGCTCAGCAGGCTCAGTCTGGTTGCAGAGTTAACAGTGCTGTGATCAAGTAGCAATATCCACCTGCAGCAAAGGAGGAGGGTTTTGCAGCCGGCACTTGCCAACCTACCACGACACTGCTGGCTCCCAGGAGTCACCGCAAGATGCCTCTGCATCACCACGATCCAGCAACCTCTGGGTGTCAATCTCCCCTCGCAGGCCTGGGACAAGTGCAAGGGCCAGGGAGAGGAGCTAACCCAACAGGGAAGAGAAGAAACAGCCAGAGAGTAAAGAAGACCAGAGTGAGCTGGAAGCAAAATCCAGAAAAACTTTTATTTCAAATCAAGGATGATTTGTTGAGTGCCTGCTATTCATTTATTGGACAAACACATATCAAATGCCCACTGCATGCCAGCCATGGTGGCTCCCTGATCAATGCTACGTACCACAGAGTGTAAAGCAAACTCCTCTTTCATTTCTGCTGTGCATCACCTTCTTTTCTGCTTTGTAGACCCTATGTCTGAAAACAGAGATAAACCACCTCCCAGGACTGTTTTGATAATAGAAAGCAAAAACTCATACGAAAGCACCTTAGGAAAGAGAAAGCTCATCTAAATACAGAGCAGGCCACCGTTTCCTTCCTTCCCTTTCCTCTCATCAGGGACTTTGCACCTAATGAACGGTCCAGCCTCAGTACCACTGGTCTATCCCAAAGGACCTCTATAGCTTGGCCTTCTAAGTGGGTCCCCTCCTGCTGGCCCTCCTGCCCCACCCTCCAGATCAGGAACTGGGGTGAAGGAGTGGCCTCCTCCCTGCAAAGAGGAGAGAACAGAGAGAGCTGCCTAATCAATTGGAGAGGGAAATCCAGCCTCTACATTAATGACAGCAGGTGAGTCTCTAATATCCACAGGCAGTAACTCACACCAGAGGTTTTCTGTATCCTCCAGGGCAGAGCAAGGGATTACCACTGATGTGTTATCTGCTCCAATTCTTCCTGCCAGGAGTCAAGCATAATACCTTAGTAGTGTGGTCTCACTGATGCTAGCTGCACAGAGATATGTAAATTATACGCAATGGATTGGGAACACCACACGCTGACATCTGTCTCTCGTAAATACCTCCTACTCCAGGATGTGAAACCCAGGAAAATCCTCTGAGTGGCAAAAAGCTGTAGGCAGAACAGTAACCCGGGAAAAAGACCCAGCACCAACGATGTGTGACCCAGGTGCTATAGTTAAGCAGACTTTGTTGAGTGGCAAAGGTCTATGAAACACCATCCTAGGTGTAGCGGGGTGGAAGGGAGGAGAAATGACATAAAATGAGAACAGAAAGCCATGGTCCCTGCCCTATACAGGGTGTTTCAATGCTGGGGTTAAAACAGACACACAAATATCTTACCATGGGGTAGAGTGTGGAAAGTGCCAAACAGAGGTAGAAACAAAAGAGCGAGAGAAGCAAAAGATGGGATTGTCATATTCAATTATGGGGCTTATAGACAAGACATTTAAGCTGGCCCTTGAACAGTTGGCAGGCTTCTGAAAACAGCCAGAGAGCAACGGGGAATGAGGTGAAATGAATAGCTTGAGCTCAAGGTAGAAAAGCATTCATTCATTCAACCACTATTGATCATGCCAGGCAGTGTCTAGATGCTGGGGACTCCACAGAGAGCTGCACGAACAAGCATGGGAGTGCTCTGTGTGGACCGCAGCCAGGGACCATGGAAGGGGATGGGAATACACTTGGAGAAGAGAGTTGGGGCCCTACTGGGGAGATTCGCCAATGACTGGCAAGACTCTCCCTTCCCATGCTGTCCACAGTGGGAGGAAGGAGAAGACGTGTCCCTCCGACGTTCTGCTGCCCCTACCTTGACACTCTCTCCAATAGGCTGCCTGGGGCCTCCAGGGCTGCCTCAGCTCTCCCGGCAGGGGAGATGGTACCTTGAGCCTCAGCCCTGGAGGCCTGGGAGAGAAGGGCGACATGTAGCCTAGAGCCTGGTATAACCATAACTTGTTTCATTAACTTCCCTTAAATCTACCCGGGGGACCTATTAGCTCTGCTGAGAAAGAGCTGAGGGGAAAGAAAATGGTCTTCTTCTGGCCCAAAAGCAGGGTTAGATTAAAGGAGCCAAAAAGCTGAAAATTACTTTTTTTTTTTCTAAACATTCATCACCTCTGGTCTTGGCTGTCACTATCATCTTTTCCCTGGCTTGATCAACAGCTTCCAAGAGCCCCATCAGCTGGACCTAGGGGCCCTCAAATACCTCTCCAGGTAGAACAAGAGTTGATAACCTCTCTGCTGTTGGTTCCTGCAGGTCTCTCAGCCAGGGACACTCCCCTGCTATGATGTAAGCCCACATCCTCCTGTTCTGACCTTCACCATCACCTGAATCAATTATTTAGCATGCAGCTGCATACAGCACTGTCTTAGTCTGTTTTGTGTTGTTATAAAGGAATACCTGAAGCTGGATGATTGATCAGGGAAAAGGTTTATTTGGCTCACGATTCTGATGTCTGAGCATCTGCTGAGGCCTCAGGCTGCTTCTGCTCATGGTGGAAGGCAGAAGCGAGTCGGCATAGGCAGATATCACATGGTGAGAGAGGAAGCAAGACAGTGGGGGGAGGTGCCAGGTGCCAAGCTCTTAAACAATCAGCTCTCACAGGAACTATTACAGTGAGGATGTACTCACTCGCCAGGGAGGACATTAATCTATTCATGAGGGATCCGTCCTCATGACCCAAACACCTCCCATTAGGCCACACCCCCAACACTGGGATCAAATTTCAACCTGAGGAGGCCAGGCAGGCACCATGGCTCATGCCTGTAATCCCAACACTTCGGAAGGCTGAAGCGGGAAGATGGCTTGAGCCCCAGCATTCAAGGCTGCAGTGAGCTGGAGTGCACCCACTGCACTCCAGCCTGGGTGACAGAGTGAGACCCTATCTCTAAAACAACAGACAGACAGATAGATAGATAGATAGATAGATAGATAGATAGATAGATAGATTTCAACCCAAGATTTGGAGAGGACAAATATTCAAACCATAGCAAGCACCATTCTGGGTCTAGTGAACAGCAAGTTACACACACACAGAATTGTACAATATCAACACAAAAGGCTGAGAAGCAGGGGCTGGGGAGCTGCTCACTGGTGCTCTTCCAGCAGGAAAGGGCATTTTCCAAGAGCACTTTCCCCAGGCCAGGCCCCACGCTAGGTGCTCCACCTACCTCCTGCTCCCCAGGTGGTGGGTTTTAAAGGGCTCCAGGTGTCCTTTAAGATCCTATTTATGTCAACAAATGGTGCTGGGACACCTGCATACCCACAGGAGAAAAATGTAGTTGGCCCCCTACCTCACACCATACACAAAAAGGAACTCAAAATGAATCATGAACCTAAATGTAAGAGTTAAAACTATAAACCTCTTAGAAGACAAGATAGGTGTAACTCTTTGTGACCTTGGGTTTGGCAATTATGCCTTAGATATGACACCAAAAACACAATAAAAGAAAAATTAGATAAATTGGACTTCAGTAAAATTAAAAACTATTTTTTTTTTTGAGACCGAGTTTCACTCTTGTTGCCCAGGCTGGAGTGCAATGGTGCAATCTCGACTCATCCCAACCTCTGCCTCCCAGGTTCAAGCGATTCTCCTGCCTCAGCCTTCATGAGTAGCTGGGATTACAGGTATGCACCACCATGCCAGGCTAATTTTGTATTTTTAGTAGAGACAGGGTTTCTCCATGTTGGTCAGGCTGATCTAGAACTGCCAAACTCAGATGATCCACCTGCCTCGGCCTCCCAAAGTGCTGGGATTATAGGCGTGAGCCACCGCAGCCCAGCCACAAAATTAAAAACTCTTATGTTGCAAATAACACCATCAAAAAAAGTGAAACCTACAGAATATGAGAAAATATTTGCAAATCATATATTGATTAAGGGGCTTATAACCAGAATATGTAAAGAATTCTTACAACTGAATAATAAAAAGACAAATACCCAATTTTAAAATAAACAAAGTATATGAATAGAAGATACACAAGTGGCAAATAAGTATAAGAACAGATGCTCAACATCATTCATCACTAGGGAAATGCAAATGAAAACCACAATGAGATACCATTTCACACTCACTAGGATGGCTCCAAAAAGACAGAAATTAACAAGTGTGGACAAGGATGTGGAGAAATTGGAAAAGAGTCTAATTCCCAATTGGAATACATTACTGGTGGGAATGTAAAATGGTATAGCCACTTTGGAAACCAGTTCGGTGGTTCCTCAAAAAGTTAAACATAGAGTTACTATATGATCCAACAATTTCACTCCTAGATACCTGAAATAAATAACATGTCCACACAAAAATCTATATACAAATGTTCATTGCAGCATTATTCAAAATAGCCAAAAAACTGAAACAACCCAAATATCCATCAAGTGATGAATGGATAAACAAAACGTAGCATACCCATGGAATGAAATATTATTGCGTAATCAAAAGGAATGAAGTACTGGCATATGCTACAACATGGATGAACCCTGAAAACCTTATGCTAAGTATGCTAAGAAGCCAATCACAAAAAAATCAAAACCCGTATTACATGATTCCATTTAAAATAAGCATCCACAATATAAGCAACACCACAGACAGAACACAGATTAGTGGTTGCCCAGGGCTGGGGGAGGAATGAGGGTTGGGAGGATATAGAGAATGGCTTCCAGTGGGTATGGGGTTTCTTTCTGAGGTGATAACATGTTCAAAATATAAATTGTGGCAGTGGTTATACAACTTGAACAGATTAAACCATTGAGTTGTATATTAAATATACAAATAGGTGTATCAGTTTGCTAGGACTGCCATAACCAAAGTACCACAGGCTGGGTGGCTTAAACAACAGAAGTTTATTTTCTCATGATTCTGGAGGCTGAGTCCAAGATCAAGGTGTCAGCTGGATTGGTTTCTTCCATTTTCTCTGTTCTTGGCTTGTAGATAGCCGTCTTCTCCCTACGTCTTCACGTTGTCTTCCCTCTGTGTTTGTTTCTATCTTAATATCCTCTCTCTATATATACAGTTTCTTAATTGAGATGAGGGGTCTTGCCATGATGCCCATGCTGGTCTTAAACTCCTGGACTCAAGTGGTCTTCCTGCCTCGGCATCCCAAAGTGCTGGGATTCTAGGTGTGAGCCATGGTGCCAGGCCCCTAATATCCTCTTATAACGGCACCAGTCATGGTGGATTAGGGCCTGCCCTGGTGACCTCATTTAACCTCAGTCACCTCTTTAAAGATCTTCTCTCCCTCCAAATACAGTCACATTCTGAGGTATGGGGTTAGGATTTGCAGGGGCAAAATTGAGCCTGTAACAATGGGAGAGTGTGATGGTGTACAAATTATATCTCAGGAAAACTGTTCTTTAAAACCCCATCCACAAATCCTAGAAATTAGCCAGCCCACCCCTTGTATTACAGATGGGGAACTGAGACGGACCCAGACAAGGTCAGCTGCTTGCCCCAAATCACAGCTGGTGAGAGGCAGAGCTGGGAGGAGAAGCCACGGCTCCTGCTCTCAATCTAGTGTGCTTTCTACTTCACCCTCCTGTTGCCGTAGCCTCCGAGGCTCAGAAACAACAGACAATAATGGGAAAAGTAAGAGAACTTTAAACTTAGAAAGAAAAATGCCTAAGAACTTAGATCATGTACAATAAAAGTGTAAATAGGCTCCCTGGCAGGGGGTGGGGAGCGCAGACAATCAAGCTCTGAGGAGGCCCTGGAAGAGACCTGCACAGTCACAGCAGAGGGCCCTAAGCAAAGCCAACATTAATTTCATATCTGTGACGTGCCGGGCAAAGGAGGAGTACGTTCCCAAGCAAGACGCACTTTACAAAGGAGCTGGCACTCCAGCTAATCCGCGAAGACTGTGCCTAATTCCACTGGGGTGAGGGCTGTCCAAGCAAAAGAGGCTAAGTGATCAAAAGCACAAAGGCAGGTGGCTTCCAGACCTGTCAGGAAGTAGCAAGTTGGCCGACACAGTGGAAGCCTATGCTTTTTTTTTTTTTTTTTTTTTTGAGACAGAGTCTTGCTCTGTCACCTGGGCTGGAGTGCAATGGTACGATCTCGGCTCACTGCAACCTCTGCCTCCCAGGTTCAAGCAATTCTCCTGCTTCAGCCTCCCAAGTAGCTGGGACTACAGGCGTGCGCCACCATGCCCAGCTACTTTTTGTATTTTTAGTAGAGATGGGATTTCACCATGCTGGCCAGGCTGGTCTCGAACTCCTGACCTCGTGATCCACCTGCCTCAGCTTCCCAAAGTGCTGGGATTATAGGCGTGAGCCACGGAAGCCTATGCTTTATGCAAGGAACAGTGGAGGACGGCAGCACAAAGACAAGCTGAGGTCAAGTTCTGCAGAGCCTTGCACACTATACATGGAAGCACAGATCTGAGATAGGAAAAGGGAGTGTGACATGACCTGTGGGGTGCTGGGGAAAGGTAGCTCCATCCACAGGCAGCAGACAGACTGAACAGCCACTTCCACAGATCTTGTAGGAGGCATCCATGGGGCAGGGGAGAGTGCTGACAAAGCAAGCCCCAGGGGATGCTCCTCCGGGACACAGGGAAGCAGGAAGCCCTGTGCTCCGAGGGGAGCCCTCAGATTTATCTCAATTAGACTTGGTCGAGGAAAGCAAGAAGAGGAAACCCCGCAGGCACTGAAAAGCCGCCAACTCCTGGAGCCCGTGTTGTGATCTGGTGCTGACAGTCCTTCATCTTTTCCATTTCTTTTTTTTTAGTAGATAAAGGGAGGGGTGGAAAAGGGGAGAAAGACACAATGGAGTTGCTCAGTGAACAAAAGCCCGGGTGCGTTTTCGCTCATCGTCTTAATCAGGGGGTGCTGTTTTTGTCAGCACCCTATAATCATGTCTGAGGCCAGGCACAGCCCACAACTTACAATTCAGGCATAAATGCGTCCTGGACAGCGGTGGTGCCTGCCTGCCAGCGTCTGCCCAGCGCCCACCTGATCAGGGAAGGGGAAAGAAGTGTCCCGGGAATGGAAGAACACGGCCTACAAGGTCTGGGACCGTGGTTCCAGTCCTGGCTGTTTCCCTTGTGACCTCCAGCAGGACAGATGACCTCTGTAGGTCTGTTTCTTAGTTTACACTGACAGCAGTAGCAGCTGCTATTCACTATTCAATGTCTACTATATGCCAAAGACTATTTTAGGTTTTCATCCCTTACAAAATACCCAGTGAGGCAAGCATTGGTCTCCCCATTTTACAGATGGAGAAACTGAGATTCAGAGGCTAATGAGGTTCGTCAAGGTCAGAGGGCTAAGCTTGAACCCACATGTGTCTAGCTTCAAAAACCCACATTCTTAAAATACACCACATTCAGGCTGGGTGCAGTGGCTCACGCCTGTAATCCTAGCACTTTGGGAGGCCGAGGTGGGGGGATCATGCGGTCAGGAGATTGAGACCACCCTGGCTAACACGGTGAAACCCCGTCTCTACTAAAAATACAAAACAAATTAGCCGGGCATGGTGGCGGGCACCCGTAGTCCCAGCTACTCGGGAGGCTGAGGAAGGAGAATGGCGTGAACCCAGGAGGCGGAGCTTGCAGTGAGCTGAGATCGCGCCACGGCACTCCAGCCTGGGTGACAGAGCGAGACTCCGTCTCAAAAAAAAAAAAAAACACCACATTCAGCCTGAATTAAGTGGAAATAATAAAACCTGCTCTGCCCTCTCTGGCCTGTTTCTATGAGGCTCAGCGGGGGAGAATTTGTACTCAATACTGCAAAGGTACTGTCCTTATCAATACTATAGTTACTCAAGGTCAAAATGCAGTGGCCCTCAAGTTCATCAGACCTCACCTCAACCTTAGCTCTCAGCCCTTGCCCCCTGCCCTGGGCCCTTCTCCTGCTCCACAGCCTTCCCAGCTAGCCAGCTAACCCTCCCATTCATCTCCAGATTCCATTCAACTCTAAGCAGGCCGGGAGTGGTGGCTCAGGCCTATAATCCCAGCACTTTGGGAGGCTGAGGAGGGCAGATCACTTGAGGTCAGCAGCTCGTGACCAGCCTAGCCAACATGGTGAAACCCCATCTCTACTAAAAATACAAAAATTAGCCAGTTGTGGTGGCGCATGCCTGTAATCCCAGCCGCTCGGGAGGCTGAGGCAGGAGGATCTGGGAGGTTTGAATCTGGGAGGGGGAGGTTGCAGTGAGCCGAGATCATGCCACTGCACTCCAGCCTGGGTGACAGAGTGAGACTCCATCTAAAAAAAAAACAAAAACAAAAAAACAACTCTAAGAAGCAAAGTCCAAGTCTTGCCTAGATCCCAAACTCCAACACCTCCCCTATCAAGAAGACAGGAGATGCCTCTATCAGCACCCTATCTCCTGGCCCCCCGACTCCCCACCTGCTGCCCCTCCCTCTCCCAGTCCTGGAGGGGGCTACATGGAGGGAGGACACAGATAAAAGCAAAAGGCCCAGCACTGGAAGGCAGCTTGCTTTATTATTCACAACGAGATCCGTCCTGGCCCTGCACAACCTTCCGGGTCTTCAGTACCATTTTCCCTTCCTCTCAGGGAATCATCAAATGCCAAAGGTGCACCCAGACCCCAGACACACTTCTCAATGCCGCTGACACAGGCTGGGGAGGAGGCTGGCCTGTTATTAACAGAGGAAAACTGGAGCTGACATTGTCACTGATCTGAAACCTCCCAGCTAAGAAAAGCTTTGTTTTTTAAAGAACTAATAAATAACACTGGGTGTTTACTTCCCTAGCAAGTCGTATCTCTTAAGTATCACTAGGCTCATACGTCATGGCTGTCATCCGGGAAAACCATGGAGCAACGTCTTCAAGTCCTTTCGGCGTCCTGAAGAGTTCAAAGCACTTCAGACAGACTCCCCTTTATCTCCCCCTAGAGATCTCGGAGGGGAGGAAGAGGGGGCCCTGGCAACTCCGCCTCCAGTGTGCCTACAATAAATACTTGCTAACTGCCCAAGGGGGACAATTTTCCTCACTGCGTGATGGGAAAACGGAGAAAAGGAAATTTACTCGGCACCCACCTAATCCAGTCTTCCCAGTTCCAACTCCATGCTTCAAGCCGTCTCTCACTCAAGGCCTAACTCCTCCCAAAGGGACTAGAAAAGGAAGACGTGGTCTTGCTCTCGCTCCCTCTTTATTTTTTTTTTTTTAAAGAGACAGGGTCTTGCTCTGTCATCAGGGCCACAGTGGCATAATCATGGTTCACTGCAGCCTCAAATTCTTGGGTTCAAGGGATCCTCCCGCCTCGGCCTCTCAAAATGCTGGCATTACAGGTGCGCACCACCACACCAGGCCTGGAAGATATGGTCTCTTCTAACAGCTATTCAGGAGAGGCCTCCTCGTGCTGATTTCCTAAAAGCTCAGAACACGATCAACAGTCTCTGCCCAGCATTCCCGGAACAGCCCGCCTTCGGTTTCACTTGCGTAGCCAACTGTGTTATGCTCTGTGTGTGAGCTGCCTCTCCCACACCCCATGATTTTTATTAATTTCATCACTTTATGCTCTTTATATTCCCCAAAGTGCCCAGCATAACACCCTACCTTTAATACATAAAGCAGGGGTCACAAGCTGGTACCCCCAGACCAAATCCAGCCCACGCACAGGTTTTATTTGGTCCGCATCACGTTTTAATTTTTTTTTAATTAGCTGCCAATAGTTAAAAATTAGGAGATTTTACCCAAAAATCAGAAGTTCAAATTTTCCTTGAAAAATGGAAGATCTAGGGAACCAAGAGAACCATGTAGAATGCTTAACTGTTACAGACCACTGCCCTTTGAGAAATTCCAGTTGTCTCTGTCCTAGCTAGATCATGTCTGTAGGGGGCTGGAGAAGTCGCTAGAAAAGGGGCTCACTGTGATCACGTTCAACCACTGGCACCCTAATGCCATGTAGTGATGACTGGGCATGCAGGCAGTCATGGAATCATGGCAGGTCCATGTGAGAGGCAGCTCAGCTGCTCAGGCCTGGAGTGCAGATGCTCACAGGACCGAAGTCAGGCTAAGTATTTACTTAAAACAAAAGAATCATGTCTCCCATTTGTACTTAAGCACTAGCTCCTCTTTTGCACGGCTGAACATGTGCATCATGTTCTATGCTGGTCAACCTGCTGCAAAACAATGAAAGCAGGACGCTGAGGAAAAGGGAGGGAAGGAAGAGAGGGAGGAAGGGAGGAACACGCTGATGGGCCCACAACCCTGGGCTGTTATCGCTCATCTGAGTTTGCAGGCTTGCATAAAGTTGATTGAATATAATTGAATGGGTGAGCCCACGGTCATTTCAGACTGCAAGTTCCCTAAGGGTGCGAGCGAGACCTATTTCTCTTGCTTTGAATGGGGTCAGATGGGGAGTGCACTTAGGAATTATTGAATGAGTGAAGCAACATACGCAAAATCTATGTACCAGGCCAGCGGGCTTCGAAGCTGGAGATAGGATAAAAATGCAGAGTGAACAGCCTTTAAAGCAGGACCTCTGCTACCTGACTGCCTTCCCAAGGGCAGTGTGTGAAAACAGACTTGGGCCAAGATCTCAGCTAAACCCTGTGGCTGCTCTCAGGCACCTGACTTCCGGCTGGTATTTAATAACCCAGAATGAGATACCTCATTGCTCTAGGAAAGAATGCTTGGCTTCTTGAATTGTCCTAAGGAAATAACGCAAAAGGGGGAGCAGACAGCTAGACAGAGAAACAGATAGAGATACATCCACAGACACACACACACACACACACACACACACACATATATATATAATACTAATATATTAATGTATTAGTGCAGTTTCTACTATTTAGGTAAGTTAAAATTGTGAGCTGCACATTCAACAGTAGGAAAGGGGAACAGACAGCTAGACAGAGAAACAGACAGAGATACATCCACAGACACACACGCACACACACACACACATATATATATAATACTAACATATTAATGTAGTAATGCAGTTTCTACTATTTAGGTAAGTTAAAATTGTGAGCTGCACATTCAACAGTAGGAAAGCGAAACAGACAGCTAGACAGAGAAACAGACAGAGATACATCCACAGACACACACGCACACACATATATATAATATTAACATATTAATGTATTAGTGCAGTTTCTACTATTTAGGTAAGTTAAAATTGTGAGCTAAACATTCAACAGTAGGAAAACGGATAAATAGGAAACATTTCCTATGTAACCACTTGAAAGTGTGATGATGATGATCATAATTGTGATGATTATGTAGCTTATAGTAAAATGTTAAAGAAAGCAAATAGAATGCAAAATTCTTAAAATGTTAAAGAAAGCAAATAGAACACAAAATTCTATCTACATTATTGACTATAACCATGTAAAAAAAAATTATGTTTGCAAGCAAATACAGACTGAAGGCATCATGGAAAATAAAAAACTGATTTGTCATGATGGCAGGTTTGTCAGGTATTTTATACCCCTATTTCTTTGATTTGTGTTCCTATTATACGGCATTACTTATATGATAAGTATTTTTTTAAAATGCCCAATAGCTCCTGACCCTGAAATAAACTAGCACATGATGATAAGGGCTAGGCAGGAAATGTCTGCTTTGTTCAGGCCCTTCCGGGACTGCCACAGGGGTAAGGCACAAGGAAAAGGTGTCACAAATCAGTCTGAAGAGGGCTTCAAGGAAGGCCTGCCCTGCACCACCACCACCACCACCACACCCCACACACGCGCAGGCGTGCACGCACCATAAAAGGAAGCTCAGCGTTCGCACTGAGCACAGATGCCGTCCTGGGGCCCCCACCCGTCAGGTGTGTGTGCGCCTCTGCTGCTCTGTCATTTCTGCTGTGGTTTCAGAGTCCCTGTCTTCTGATGCAGCATAAGAAAAGAAGGGGGCTCAGCTGGGCGTGGTGGCTCACACCTGTAATCTCAGCACTTTGGGAGGCCAAGGCGGGTGGATCACCTGAGGTCAGGAGTTCAAGACCAGCCTGGCCAACATGGTGAAACCCCATCTCTATTTAAAAATGTAAAAATTAGCCGGGCATAGTGGTAGGCATTTGTAGTCCCAGCTACTTGAGAGGCGGGGGCAGGGAGAATTGCTTGAACCTGGGAGGCGGAGGTTGCAGTGAGCCAAGATCGCGCCACTGCACACCAGCCTGGGCAACAGAGCGAGACTCCGTCTCAAAAAAGAAAGAAAAGAAAAGAACGGGGCTCTGACGACAGCCTCTAGGCTAGAAACAGCCAGTCCAGCATTCTCCCCCAAGACTGTCCTTCCCTCATTCTTTTCAATACATGTTTCACTGTGTCCATCGCTGGGGACACTCAGGAACTAGATCTCAGGGGAAGGCTGCTTGCCAAGTGGGGGCAGGTGTGTCAGAAGGACAGAAGGACTGCCACAGGACCTTCCAAAAAGAGGGGCCGGTGGGATGCCAAATCCCAGCCCACCCTGGCATCAGGCCAAACCCTGTGGCAGGTGAGGGAGGAGCTGGGTGCCAGGATCCTGCTGACAATCAGGAGGGCTGACCCCGCAGCAGCCTCCCTGGTGGCCAGGCAAGGAGGGCTGGGAAGTGGCAGCTGCTTCCCTATGAGCTATGACAGAGGGGGGTGCCTTGGAAAACAGGAAGCCCTCCTTGCCTTACCTCCTTCCAAGCTGGTCAGACTCCCCAGGGAGAGATTCCCCGCCATGAATTCCCCAAGGGAATGAGAGCTGGAGAGGAAAAATTCCTCAGAGTTGTCTGCGCCAAGCAGCAAATCACAGCCCCCTCCAGCAGGCATCCCATTTGCAGGAAATTTACTTACGCCTGATTGTTGGGCTTTTACTTTTCAATTCCAAAGATCGGCTGTGTGTTTTTTTTGTTTTTTTTGAGGTGGAGTCTCACTCTGTCGCCCAGGCTGGAGTGTAATAGCACGATCTCGGCTCACTGCAACCTCCGCCTCACGGGTTCAAGCGACTCTCCTGCCTCAGCCTCCCGAGTAGCTGGGAGTACAGGCGCACACCACGGTTGTTTTGTTTTGTTTTTAAGAAAGGAAAAAAGGCTGGAGGGAGCAAGGAAGGGAGAGAGTAAGAGACATTTCACGTTGGAGGCTGCCCTATTCTGTTTCATATCTGGGTTTAAGGAAGAAGACCCTGGAAATGGGCGCCATGTCCCACCAAGCATGGGCGGGAAGAGGCAGCCAAGTCTTGCAGGCCATTAATCACTGAGGGGGCATGCGCAGCCCCAGTGCCCACCCAGCTGGTGGCATCTGCCTTGAGGGGAGGTGGGAGGGCAAGGCTGGAGGGGGCCGACAGGGGCCAAATGTGAAGGCTGGTGGCAGGCAGCCGGCCCCTCCTGTAAGCAATCCCCACCACAGGGTTATATCCAGGCACTTTTTCCTGTGAGAAAAGAATGGGAGGAATGCAGCCCTGCCATTACCCAAATCCACCCCACCACGGGCTTCGTGCCCAATTACATACAGTGCAGGGGAGCCCTCCCGAGCCTGGAATCAGAAAATCCGCCTAAGAAATGCAAACTGGCAGCCAGAAACTAGCAACATAGGTAATGCAATATGAGAGCCTCCCTTAAAGCCAAATACACATGCATGCATGCACCCACTCACACACATGCACACACGTGTGCAAACACAAACACACACATGCTCTGCAGGCGTGTGTGACTGACAGTGCACTACAAACCACATGGAAAGGTGGCCAGAAACACCGCTGGATTTTTATAGCTCTTCAGGGACCTGATCTCCAGGAAGTGCTAGAAATTGCAATCCAATTGTGTCCCTGGCTAGCGAAGCTGGCTGGAGGCTGGGGACGCTGCAGAGGGAGGAAGAACTTCATTGGGAAAAAATGTTGACAGAGTTTAACGTTGAGCGGAAGGACAAAGGCTTGGATGAAGGGGCCTTATGAGAAATGAGGCGTTCTGAGTGCTCTAGCAATTTGCATGGGGCTGTCAGGGAGTATTGAGTTAAAAGGCACAGGACAGGGGAGGGCTCCCCAAGGCCAGGCCAGGCGTGGGGTGAAGAAGGGGCAGCATTCGATCTCCTGCAGGGCCTGGAACTCAGCACCCTGAAATCAGCTCGTAAGTGGGAATTAGCTAAGGCAACCCCCAGCTAGAAGGAGGGCTCAGAGAGTCTGAGGCCCCAAAAAGCATACTCTCCTCACTTAAGACACCAAATACAACGGCAGAGAAGAAAAGCTGGCATTCATTGAGCACCTAGCATGGGCCAACCATACCATATCTCTAATTCTAAGAACCAGCAGCAACGTGCGTATATATCAGCCTCAGCATGTAGACAAGAAACCAAAGATTCACACCGGGCCACAGACTGAAACCAAGACTGACACCATGTCTGCCTGCCACCTGCAGAGCCCATATATACTACAATCCATTTAGGGGTTTTATGACACAGATTTTTCAAAGGAAACCCTCCCCATTCCTGCCCCCCATCAACAAAATACTAACTCACTGTGCGGCCTTAGTCAAGCCCCCTAATCTCTCTGGGCATCAGCATCAAGTCAGCTATGTGCCCTATTCTGTTCAAATACACATAAAAAGGGTATTAAGCCTATAACTGGCAGAGGGGCGGAAACAGACCGAGGGAGGCCGAGACATATTCTCTGAAGTCCAGCCAAATGTAACGGGCCCAGCGGGCATCTCCCACACCTCACCTTTCATGCTACATTGTCACTGCTGGTGCTGTCTGTCTCCCAAACTGGACTGTGCCCTCCCTGAGGGAAGAACACTCCACCTAATCCTGCCCACACCCCTCTGCCCAGAGCTGTGTCTGGCACGCCATGGGCGTTCACTACATGTCTGCTGGCTGGATGAATACATCAATTAACAAATGCTCCCAAAGTCAGGCATACTTCAGAGAAAAGCACTTACGAATATCTGTTCAGCAAGGGATTTCTCCTCAAAGGGGCAAACCTACCTTTGCATCAAAATCATGTGGGAAGCTTTTCGAAATACAGCTTTCTGCCCCCGTTCCCAGAGCTTCAGACTCAGAAGATCTGGGATGGGGGCCCAGGAGCCTGAATTATTGAAAAGCTCCCCAGATGTCTCTAACTCCAAGCCAGGTCTTGAATCACTGGTGGCTATTACTTGGCTAACACCCATCCTGTCCTGTGTTGAGATCAGATAAAGCTCAGAATAAAAACAAAATAAGTGCCTCTCCCCTAGGGCCTTTTTTCCAAAGGGCTCAAATCAACTCTTTACACCATGATGCTGTTGTCTGTTGGACTGAGACAGGTGGCAATGCTTCTCCATTCTTCAGGCTGGCAAACTGAGGTCTGGCCAAGAAAGAGGACCACTTCTCTCTTTGCATCTCTCTTTAGCTTCTGAAGAATGCAAGGTTGTTAGAGACTTCAAGGACTCTGCTGAATTTCAGGTAAAAAAGAGAGAAGAAGGCAAGGCATGTATCTGGCTGCAGAAAATGGTAATGCCAGGATGGGCATCTCCCTCCTTCCTGCCACACTTGGAGGACAAAATACACCCATCCTTACAGCTCACACTCCCCAAGTCCAGCCCCTACACACAGGGCCTGACCATCATCAAACCAGTAAGCCGGAAGAAACAAAGACCCCATCTCCCTACCCTGGAGGCAGGTGAGGAGCCCTTCATTTATTCATTCACAAAAACTACAGCAAAGCTAAGAAGTGCCAAAAGAACTTGTTAGATGTAGATGAAGGAAGAATTCGACCATTTCTATTCTTTTCAATAAAACACTGGCCCTCCCAGAGAGACAAATGGCGGGGGGCTGAAAGCTGAGCTACCCACACCCCACAATTTACCCAGGATCCAGGAGGCAGCCACCACCCTCCCCTCTTCCCTCAGCAACTGGAGACCTCCTTAGAGGCAGGAGCCAAAGTTACCTCGGCCAGGCACGCCCGAGAGGCCCCCTCTTCTCCTCATCCCCTCCTCCCACCCAGCCTTGGACGTGACTGATGGAGCTGGGACAGCTGCAGCCGTGGGGAGGCTGGGAGGTGGACAACAGCTGGATGGGGCAGTCCCTCCCCCGCCTGGGCAGCTTCCCAGCCGAGCTGGAGAGGATGCAGAGACTCAGGTCTCCTCTGAGTGCTGCTCTGTAAGGAGTGGAATATGAGCATTCGGCTCCACTCTGACCTTGCTCCCTTGTCCCTCCTGGTCCCTTTCAGGCAGTCGTCTCTGGATTCCACAAAGAGCAGGGCCACTTGGCAGTGTGGTCATGTGCACGCTCTAGGCCCTGGAGCAGACAGCCCCACACAACCACGGCCACGCTCCCTGCCCACGTTCCATACCCTGCCAGCCACAGCCCCACCGCTGGCCACCTCACAGGCCGCAGGTGCTGAAGGAGGAACCCCAGCATCCTGAACCCAGCCCGAGCTGCTGGAAAGGATGCCATGAGCTGGCAGTGTGGGTGTTGGCCTGAGAGTCTGAGAAATTCAGCTTGTGACTCTGGACTGACTTGGGACCAAAACTTGGTTCCACTAAAATGCCCAATGGCTTTGATTTCCAGTTTCTCTGCAATTATCTGCTGCAAAATGAGGCAGATAATTTACTTTACAGGGTAGTTCTCAGATTCTGGTCCAATGTATGATGGGCCTCAGTTTCCTTATCTGTAAAATGAGCAGGCTACACACTAGTGCCTCAGGTCTCCTCCAGCCCCTATAGAATCCATACAGTGCTTTAGCCAATGGCCCTGGGATGTATGCCCTTCCTCCCTTTCTTTCAAAGGAATCACTGCTCAAAATTCCTTCCCTAGTTTTGCGCTTTGTCTCCAGGATGAATGAAGTGCTTGAGACTTCTCTCCTCCTTCTCCCCTATCCAGACCCTCCACTCAATCTCCAAATGTACCCAGATTAGACTTGCAGGAGCCCATCCTTTATCTGCCAAGCTGTGCCCCCCGACCCACCCGACTCCACATATGTGTACACCACTCACACAGCTTAGTAATCTCTTACTAAGAACAAGGCACTCACAACGCACCTCTCACCAAAGGGCACCCACCAGTGTGAGCCAACACTGCAGGTGAAAACTACTGGTCTAGAACAGTACCGTCCGACGTGGCAGCCACTAGCAACATGTGGCCACCTACATTTCCATTTTAAGTTAAAACTGAATAAAATTTAAAATCCAGCTCCTTGGGGCATTTTCAGTCCCATTTTCAATGCTCAACGGCCACATGTAGCCGGTGGCTACTGTACTGGGCGGTACAGAACAGAACACTTCCATCGTTGCAGCACTGGGCTGGCTGGTTCTCTCTCTTCGGGGGCAGAACAGGCCCTAGGTGGCTCAAACTGAATCTGGAAGTGGGCAGGGAAGGTGGGGGCGATCCTGAAGGAGGGAGAGGCCACTTCCCGTCGCGTCGGTGGAGATGCCACCAGGACTCAGGCTGCAGCATGCCCACCACCAACCTTGCTCCTCGGCGAGGGTCTCCCGGGCCCCAACACTCAGCAGGATGCAGCAGGCAGCTGTCACACCACACTGCATTTTTGGGATACATGGGACGCCTGTCATTCTCTCCAGCCCCTGGCGGGCTCCTCATCCCAGGGCAGGGACCGTGGTCCCTGCCTCCTGCTGCCCAGCAGCTCCTCCATACCTCACCTGGGTTCCAGGCTGGAGCGTGACCTGCAGAGGGCCAGGGCTCCCCTGCTTCCAGTCTCCACCCTAAACTCAAAAATATCTCACTACATACCCTGCAGAAAGGAAGTAAGGAGAAAAGGGGAGAGAATGCTAGTTTTAATCAAACACCTTAAAATCAAGGTACCAACAATGAACTTTCACTTACATCTACCCATTTGATGTCCAAAATACTACTGAAAGGTGAGTGTGGTTAAACCCATTTTCCGATGAGGAAACTGAGGCTCAGAGAAGATAAGGGACTTGTGCAAGCTTGTAAGTGTCACAATCTGAATGCAAACCCAAAAAAGCATGGCCCCAAAGCTTACAATCTACCCACACCCCTTTCAGGAGGCCACGGGATCCACCACCATTCTCCTCCCAGAGAATGTCCAGACGCACAAGCAGAAAGGTCAAGATCTATAGCTTTTTGCATTGCTGGCCTAGAGAGCACAGAATCCCAGGAAGATCTCAGCACTGGGTGGGTGGAGAAAGGCCATAGACACAAAGCAGGTGGAGAAAGATAAGGAGGCAGGAAAGAGGAGGAGAGTGGAGGCAGCAGAAAAGTAAGATCAAGGAGGAAGAGCAGAGCGCACAGAGGCATTTAAACTTATTCCAAGTGTAATTAACTATTTGTGAACTGTTTGTCTAATGCCTGTCTTCATCAATCGGATCTTGGATTCCATGAAAGCAAGGACCTTGTCTGTCTCGTGCACAGCTGTGTTCCCTGCACAGGAGGTGCTCCACAGATACTGGTAGGAGAGACGGAGGGTAGACAGACAGGTGGGCAGAATGAAAACCAAACTGTCAGGGGACTATGGAGGAAGAAAAGCCCTCTTTTCAGAGACCACCATCTCCACACAGTCTCCCCACCCTAAGCTCCCCGAGGGCCTTGAGACACCCAGGGGAAGCTGTCCTCCTCCAACGGGCTCCATCCCCTGACCTCGCATCCCAGCGCCCTCCTGCCCCTTTGCCATTGACCACAAACCTAGTCACCACTCCCCTGATGGCCACGGGTCATAAATCTAGGCTGTCAGGGCCAGAGAGACCTCAAAGATCGCCTGGCCCAATCTTCTCATTTTACAGATGACAAGACTGAGGTCCAGGAGGGGAGTGGGCTTGCCGGGGGAGCTCACAGCCTCAAAGTGGGAAAGCGTCCTCGTGCCTGTGCCTGCGGGAGCCTCGTGGTGGAAGGCCACCGCCAGGCCCCGCGTGCCCCGTGGCTCGCTCGCAAGGCCAAGCCAGTGCCTGCAGCCCATCTGTCTCTTCTGCCTGCCAAGAGGCCTTCCCTCCCCTGTGCCCATGCTAATGAAACCCACCACAGGTGATTTCGGAACACTGCACCAGGAGGAGGTTTTGCTGGCCACCACGCCAGGCCTTTCATTTCCGATTTCCCAGCCTGACACCCCAAATGGTCTGAGCCCTCTCTGCTCTGAACCCCATGTGTTCATGCATCACCTTGGCGGATGCCAGCCACGCCTTCCCCCAGCCATCTGGACAGAAAAATGAGGAATGAGCAGGACAGGATGATCCTGGCAGAGAGGACTGCTGGGAAGCTCTGGACACCTGGTCCCTGTTCTTCTGCCCTCACTGTGTATGTGCTATTAGAATTCAGGGTGACGAGTGAGTTTCTCTTCACCTGGGACTCAGTTTCCCCATATGCACTTGAGTCTTCTGCCCCAAACTCAGCAAGATGTACTGAGGTGGGTGCTCCTCTGCCCACGGGTATCAAAAAGGAGGAAATCCACAGCAAACCCTAGCTGAACACCTCCTAGGGACGGGAGGACCCTGGCCCTGGAGGAGCTCTTCATCAAGCTGGCACGTCAAAACAAGTTCACACAAAAAGGTCATTTCCCAAACAAGAGCACTGCCAAGGAAGAACAAGAGCACCATGGACTGGCAGTCAGGGAGGACACAACGGGAGAGAGCCTTGAGCTGGCACTGAGAGCTGTGCACGTGCTCAAGAGTCTAGAGGTGAATGCAAGGGCAGTCGCGGTCCTGACCGGAGGGCCTCACGGTCCAAGCAGTTGACAAACGCGTCATCCACCAGAGGACGCCGAGGGCTGCTGCACGCACTGTGTGCTCACAAGGGAGTGGGGGGAAGAAAAAGGAGCCCTAGGAATGACCTTGATGTGTGAAATCAAGGAGGGACATTTCCTAGGAGGTGCCCTTGAGCTCTCTGCACAAGGAAACAAAGCAATGCAACTGATTTGAAGTCCAATTAAATGCTAAGAAACACAATTTGATGATCAGATTATCCTCGTAACATAAAGGTCTGGGGGAATAGGGAAAAGGGACAAATATCATCAGCAGCTATGGTTTAAATGCAAGCTTTTTGGGTTCTAATTTTGCCCAAACACAAGCCTCACTGAAGGGGCACCTGGCCATGGCTGACATGCTAGCACTAGCCTCTGTGTTCACTTCTCAGGGCGCAGCCCAGGGCTACCCAGATGTGAGAGAGGATGATCTCAGGCAGGAGCCTGACAGAAGCTGCCCGCACCTGCAACCCCCACTAGAAACCACTCCATGTGATTCCCGGAGCCACTGCAGCAAAGTACCCCGAGCTGGGAGGCTTCAACAGTAGGGATTTACGGTCTCGCGGTTCTGGGGGCTGGAAGTGCAGAATGGAGGCATTGGCAGAGGCTCCCTCTGCAGCCTCTAGGGGAAGATCCTTCCTGGCCTCTTTCTAGCTTCTGGTCATTGCTGGGAATCCTTGGCAGGAACATTGCTCCAACCTGTGCCTCCGTCTCTGTCATCACATGGTGCTTCCTGTGTCCCTCTTATAGGGATACCACTCACTGGCCAGGCACAGTGGCTCACACCTGTAACCCCAGCACTTTGGGAGGCCAAGGTAGACAGATCACTTGAGGTCAAGAGTTCAAGACCAGCCTGGCCAACATGGTGAAACCCTGTCACTACTAAAAATACAAAAATTAGCCGGGCGTGGTGGCAGGTGCCTGTAATCCCAGCTACTAGGGTGGCTGAGGCAGAAGAATCACCTGAACCTAGCAGGTGGAGGTTGCACTGAGCCAAGATCGCACCACTGCACTCCAGCCTGGGTGACAGCAAGACTGTCTCAAAAGAGTAAAATAAATAAAAAATAAATAAATAAATAAATATATCAGCACACACTCGTGATTTTGTAAATATAAACACAAATAAACAGAACAACAGAGATACAGATATGTGTCCATGCCTGGGTTGACATATATCTATTTCTTAGTTCTATTCTCTGAGAGGACCTAGAAGCAATGACACCCCAGTAGCAATGAACGCACCTAGCACCTAGATCTTGGTTTCTAAACACCATGCTCCAGCAAAAAGAAGCAGAGCTCCTTAGAGAAGTGATTGATTCAGGCCTGGGGCAGGAGAAACATAACACGACCCGGAGCATCTTGTGCCAGAAAGTAAGGAAGAGCTCCAGAAAAGACAGGAATACACCAAAGGGCACAGAAGCCCATCTGAAAGTGCTCCCTAGAGCTTCCCATGGCCAAGGCTGCAGCAAGTTGAACAACAAAATAAATATCTATTGTGCTGTTCCTGTAACTCTAACCTATAGGATAAAATATATATCCTGATATTTATTATATATCCTATATCCATACATTTATACTTTTTATCTGTGAAGTAAATAAATATCCATGAGTCTGTAATGATAAAAATAACTAATTGAATAAATAAGTGGGACAGAAGAAATAGCTCTTCCTTCTTGGAGAATTCCAATTAATAAATGCAGAAGAAATGAGGGAAACAGAAAATTACCATTAGGCAAACACCACAATTATAAGAGCTGCAAGCAAAAACCCCTGATGGATGCTAAAATTAGTGAGCAAAGGTTTGAGAAAAAACCAGGACAGTTTCAAAGTGCCTGCCCTCAAGACATTAATGGTGTATTAATTATAATTAATATAATTATAAATATTATTAATTATGATTAATATAACTATAAATATTATTAATTATAAAGAAAAAGGGGCCACTTTATATACGGGAGATACCTGGCAGACATCACCTTCTCCAAGTGAGCAGGGCATCATCACCAGTAATAAGACACACAGACATCACATTCCCCTTGATGCCACACACCTAGAAGGACACGTCACCATGCCACAGTGGTCTCTCCAAAGACAAAGAACCTCAGTCTAACCATGAGAAAATGCCAGACAGAGCCAGAGTGAAAAACCGTCCTGCAGAGTGACCGAGCAGCACTCCTCACCACTGTCAAGGTCATGAAAGATCTGGAGAAACTAAGGAACTGTCGCAGGACGGAGGAGCCTAAGGAGACAGGACAACTCAACGCAATGGAGGCTCCTGGTACAGAAAAAGGGCGCTCGTGGGAACAGTGAAATCTAAATAAAATCTATTGTTAATAACGCTATTCCAATGTTAACTTCTTGGTTTTGACAGTTGTCCTATGATTATGTAGGATGTTAACAACAACCCAAAAAAGCAAAAGCAAGAGCACATATGCACAGGTGCAGCACGCACACAGGGAGATACGCACCGCAGGCACCCGGGGGCAGGGATGCGGGGCACCAGGAGTAAGAGCATGGCGCAGGGGGCAGGGGCGAGCAGGGAGGGAACGTGGCCTTTTGCTGTCTCAGGCGGCTTGCTGAGCCTCGGATCGGATTTTCACAAAAGGATTACTAGATTAGATTTTTTACCACAGGCAGCTGTCCCTGTCAAATAAATAATCATCGCCTTACATTTATATATCACCTTTCATCCCACAGCCCTTGTCCCACATCTAGGGCCAGCCTGGGAATGGTTTCAGCCCTTCTCAGGGAAGGGAGGAGGCGAGAGGCGAGGAGGGGGCCCACACAGAGGGGCCAACGTGAGCCCCATTCAGTTTCCAAGGAAAGGAGGAGGGGTCCCCAGACAGAGAAAAAGGGGAAACTCAGTTGCCAAGTGGGAAGCCCAGTGGTGTGGCTGGGTGGGGACACTCCATGGTAAAATAAAGGCTGCAGTGAGGGAGGACAGCAGGCAGCGGGCTCCCTGGAGGGCATCTGGGCCCAGCAGCGTCACCCCAGCAGCAGTCAGGCAGAGCGGTGACAATCTCAGTCTGTGTGACACTGGGCAGCTTCCTTAACCTCTCTGTGCCTTGGTCTCCTCCTCCATAGAAGGCACCTGTCACACAGGATTCCTGTGAGCACCTGGCCATGGTAAGACACTTAGCGCAATGCCTGACACCAAGCCTTGCTATGCACCTGCTGGCCACATGGGAAAGCGCCAGACAGAGGAAGTCGGCTTCCGGGCACAGGAGAAACTTATAGGGACAACTTGGGATGGGGTCCTTGCATCCAAGTCTGAGGTGGCTGCCACTGGGAGGAGGTGACTTGTTCTGATGTGGGGCTATTCCTGCAAAGGGGAAAAGCAAGAGCAGCCCACAGAACAGGTCTGGGCCAGGCTTGGTGGGTGGGGACTAAGCATGGGTGGCCCCAACTCAGAGAAAAGCCTTTAGACCAGCGGCCTTGCATTTCCCCAGCAGCTAAGATACAACACAGAGGCCGCGCAGCCCAGCCTCTGGGGTGCCACCATCTAGGACTTGGAGAGACACGTGCACACCGAGGAGTCAGGGCAAAACACAAGCGCAGCTGCAGCCGAGACACAGCCAAGGGCAAATGAGGGCACGGAATGAGGGACAGGCCACTGGGTGACGGGGTCACGCACGGCCTCCTCAAAGACACAGGACTCCTGCTGGCCCTAGAAAGATGTGTGGGCCTCAGAGGAGCAGGGCCCGGGGCAGGAGGAAGGTGAGCTGGCAGAGACCAGGGCATCACCGTGCGCTGCAGAGGCCGGCCGGATAGCCATCACCACCAGGCTGGGAGACCGAGGCGAACAGGCTGGAAAAGCCACTGGGTGTCACCCTGAGTTAAGATCCCTGTGTGCTCTCACAGCATGCCACAGCTGCCTTTGTGTGGAGAGAGTTGGGGAAGCTGAGGGAGGAAGAAGGTTCTGGCACCAAGGAGCAGGTCTGAAGGGGACAGGTTAAGATTCCTTTAGACTTCCTCCTGACACGGGGTATTTGAGAGCCGACAGAGACTGTGGAAGCTGAGCTAACCCTGGGAAAGGCAAAACTCAAACCTCTCCTTTGGCGAGGACCTCAAAGCCCCGTGGTCCTCGTCAACTGAATCTCACGGCTCCCCTCTGGCCCCATGCATGGAACCCAAAAATTCCCCCTCCCTCCCCTACTATGAACCCCAACACTTCCCACAGCCCTTCCCCACCCAGCCTTCCCTTCAGCCTTCTCCAATAACCCAAAACACCCTTGGTCCTTAATCTAGACACATCCAAACGCCCTTCCACCTGGCAAGTAAAACCCCAAATCTCTCCTCAGCCTCCCACTGTCACCTCCAAACCTCCCCTGGTCCACACTCCTGAACCCACTCTTCCCCTGGGCTTTCCCAGGAACCTCACAGCATTCTGTGCCCTCCCTGAGCCTTCCCTGTGGGCCCCCACACCCCAAACATCCCTGAGTCCTCCTACCTCAAACTCCAAACTACCCTTTGACTTCCCACACCAAACTACAAATCTTCCTCATTCCAATTCCCCCAAGAAATCCTGAACTTTCCTTGGGCATTCATCATCGAACCCCAAACGCCTCCTCACCACCCCATACCAAATCTAAAAATCCCTTCAGCTGCTCCTAAGAAACCCTCTGAACTTCCCTGCAGGGACTCCTCTGCAGGCCTGGGATGCAGAGGGCAGCACTTCTCAGCTGATCCGTGGCCAGTGCCAGGCTTTCTATTTCCCGTCCATCCCGGGCCAGTGCATGATCCTACTGTGACCTGTTTCGCACCACACATGACTCTCCTCCAGATTTCAACAACACCCAAACTGGCCCGTATCTTGTTCGATGAGAGAAGTCCTTCAGTGTCGACTAAAAATCCCTACAAGTTTCCTTGGTACCAACCACCAAATTCCGAGACTCCCCTGGAGCTACCCCTGGGAAACACTAAACAACATAAAATGTCAGGGCCAGGTCAACCGCTACAGCATTACTAAATGCACGCTTTCCACTCCAGGACTTAATTCCTTACAGATAGCCCAGGTCCACGGGCCACACTCTGGGTAGTAATCTGATGATTACTTGCACCCGACTGTCCTGGTGGCTGCCCTGAGATACCCTTCCTAGGCCTAAGCAAGCAGGCTTCCCCAGGTGTGTGGATGAGCTAAGGCGATAGTGCAAAGCAAATTCTGCAGCGGGGAGAGTGGATCTGCCCAGGGACCAGCTGGAGCTGATGGTTGCCATGCTCCTGGGGAGGCCACGTGGGTGCAACGGCCTGAGCCCCTGACGGTCAGCTGCAGGGGCTAGAGAGTCACCTGCTGTGAAGGAACATAAAAGCTATCTGAGGCCAGGCACGGTGGCTCCTGCCTGTAATCCTAACACTAGGGGAGGCCGAGGGAGGTGGATCACCTGAGCTCAGGAGTTTGAGACCAGCCTGGGCAGCATGGTGAAACCCTATCTCTACCAAAAATACAAAAAAATGAGCTGGGCATAGTGGCTCACACCTGTGGTCCCAGCTACTCGGGAGGCTGAGGTGGGAGAACGACTTGAGCCTGGGAGTCACACCACTGCACCCCAGCCTGGGTGACAGAGCAAGACCCTGTCTCAAAAAAAAGAAAAAAAGGAAAAGTTATCTGAGGGGATGCAGGGAGTTGAGGGGACCCTTGAGGCTGAGCATTAGGCCAAGGGCCAGGTCAAGAAGGAGCAGAGGGCAGCGCAGCCTGAAGCGAATCCCACCATCCCCAGGCTGGCCGACTGCAAGCCCCTCCACTGCACGGCAGGGGACACTTGGGGAAGGCTGGCCACTGGCAGGGTGAGGGGAGGAGGGGGAGGGGGAGGTGTGAACAGAAAAGGGGGAAATCTAATTAGAACTGGTTCCTACTCAGCCACCTGCTGAAAACCACAGCTCACCAACACTTGGACGGAAGGATCGAGAACAACCCTGCCAAGGATTTCTCTCCATGGTCTCAGACAGAGGAAGAGAGGAAACAAGTTGAGCCTTCCCTGGACACCGCCCCCCACCAAAAGCAAAACAGCCATGAAGCTGAAACCTGAGAGGATGCCAAGGGGCAGCGGGAGGCAATTTACAGCCCAGAAAACTGAGCACTTGGGCCAGATGTGGGTTCTGGGGAGGGGCTGGGGCACAGCGTGTAGGGAGGGTGGGGGAGCAGGCCCAGAGAAACCCTCCTCAGGGCGTCCACAGCCTGTAGCCCTGGGCTCTGAGCTGGGAAGCAGGGTACAGCTTTCCGCCTGCCTGGAGAAGAACAGAGCACGGGCTGAGGGGCGGAGAACAGGGTCCAGGACCCACCCTGCCCACAGGGCTTGGAACCTTCGGCCAGCAGTCAGATAAGTGCAGGGAAAGAAAGCCAAGCAAAGGGAAGGAGGTAGATGGGGCAAAACAAAGAAGAAACAGGGTAGCCCGGATGCGATGGCTCACTTTGGGAGGCTAAGGTGGGCGAATCACTTGAGCCCACGACTTTGGGACAAGCCTGGCCAACATGACGAAACCCCATCTCTACAAAAATACAAAAAAAGGAAAAAAAAGTCCTTTTTTTTTTTTTGTATGGCGGATATGGTGGCACGTGCCTATAGTCCCAGACACCAAATACTTGGGAGTCTGAGGAGGGAGGATCACTTGAGCCCAGGAGGTGAAGGCTGCACATGACTACCCCACTGCACTCCTGCCTGGGTGACAGCACGAGGCCCTGTCTCAAAAAAAAGAAAAAAAGAAACGGGAGGAGAGAGCCCAGCGAGGAGACAGGACTGGGCAGAGCTGGGCACTGGGGCCTCTTCCCATCCCACCAATTCACCCTGGACTAGCCCCCTCCTCTAACCGACTCCGGGAGGTGGTGAATGACCCGCAGTGAGGAGACTGAGCTCGCTCTCCTTCTCAGCTGGGCCCTGCACTTCCCAGCCAGCCCCAGGGCTCTCGTCTCCCTGGCACTAAGGAGATGCCTCATTCCTAACAGGTGTGCCAGCTACACCCGCCCCAGGCAGAGGGGCCAGCCCAGGGGTGGAAAAATCACACTACCAAACCCACGGGCAGAGCCCTCCATTCCAGAACGGGCACCGCTGGGCACTGCCCCCTCACCACCCATGGACGACAAATGCAGTCCTAGGCTCCTGAAGGGAGTGCTGAGGCCCAGAGAAGGCAAGGATGGTCCTGGGGTCACACAGCCAGTGAGGGGGACAGCGGGACCCAGACACCCGACTCCTCACACGACCTTCCTCGGAGGCTCAAAGCCAGCAGCAGCCCCTGTTTAAGGAAACAAAGCTGCCCCTCTCTTGAGCTTCAAGGGGCCTGGGATAGGACGAGGGAAGGAAGTCAAGCCCCTGAAGAGCTGCATGCAGAAATCCGTGTGACAAGAGGTGGAATTATTTCCCCTAGAAAAAAAGAAAAAGCCCTCCCTTGGCAGAGCCCAGGGGTACTGGGCTGTAGGCTGATGTAACAGAGAGAGGAGAGGCCAAGAGGAAAGGAATCCCCCTTCCCTCTCAGCAAACCTACTGCCAGGAGCACAACAGGGAGGACGCAGCTGGAGCAGGGGGTGGGGGAGATGAGCCAAGCAGGATGTTGGAGCCTGGGATAGAGCCCTCCTCCATCTGGCTGGAAAGCAGAAGCCTTTGAACTGCAACCCAGGGGGTAGCACTCCCTTGGGGCCCAAATCTGGGCCTGGCATGGATGTGGGGTGCCCAGAGCAGAGTATGTATCTACAAGGGCTGTGTCAGCTGGAAAAACCCGCAGGATGTGAAGCCACATGGGAGGCAGGCAGCAGGAGGCGGGGCTCTGGGAAGGGCGAGGAGTCAGGACAGTGGCCTGGGCTCCAGGGGCAGGCACTTATGTGTTCCAGTGAGAGAGTGGTGAGGCCTGGGGCAGCCAGGAGAGCGTGGCCCGGGGAAACGTGGGCAGGGCCCAGCTGCGGGAGCTCCAGGGAAGCTGACATGCCCAAGTGGGCCCTGTGTCCACACCCCAGAGAGGGTGGGATGGGGGCGGAAGCCCAAGGCCTCAAGAACACCCATCCCAGAGAGGAGACGACAAGGAGCCCAGGAGCCATCCACTGCTGCCCCTTAGTTTGGAAGGTCCTGCCCCTGAGAAGGTCCAATTGGAAAGAGGGTCCCGGCCGCAGTCCCCTGCCTCAGTTGATCCCAGAGTAGCAGTGGTAGCTCCACAGGCCAACTGGGATTCAGATCCCACCACAAGCACACAATGCCCTTCCACACCCGAAGCCTTCACAGCAGGACTGGACGGGGCAGGGGTTCTGGCAGCTGGGACCACCTGGCGGCTCCACAGTGCACAGTGGGGGCTGTTTCTCCAGCCCTGCCTTAGAGGGGTCCCCAGCCAATGTGCCCCCCACCCCTGCCTCCAGCTGAGGGGTACACTATGGCGGGAGCGGATGGCTGCGGTCACCACCTCCTCATTCTCGCACACTCTCTCCCTCCAGCTCCTGTTTACTTACTGGCTGGGCAGGAGCTTCAGCTTCCCACGGGCACCTGAACATGTGTTCCTCTTACAGAGGGTTTGGGAACAGAATAGATTTTCTGACAGTTGCCCTGACCTCAGGCATCTGAGGGCTCCTCTCCCTCCTTCCAACCCTACTCATGCAAACCCGCTTCACGACAAAAGGAGAGCCACCCCGACTCAGAATCTAATGACAGGGTTTGGTGTCCTGTCTTTGCAATGCTGGAGGCATCCTTCACTTCTCTGAGCCTCAATTTCCTCATCTGCAAAAAAGAGGATCCCCCAGTACCTGACACAGGGGCTGTGGGGGAGATCAATGAGACAAGGCATTTGAGGAAGAGCCACGTGAACTGTAACACAAACTGTCGAGCCCCACGCAAAGGCTTAAGAATGCCCACGATGAGTGGTGCGTGACTTATCCCGGGACTCTGGAGCCAGCCTGCCTGCATTCAAGGCCCCGCTCAGCTGCACCTGATTAGGAGGGATTCAGGGCTGCCCCTCAAAGAGGAGGAAACCAATAAATGTAAGCAAAGGAGTCAGGGCATCCCTGGCTCACGAAGTGCTTCCTACATGTTTGCTGTCACTGCACGTCACTGCTGATGTGCAGCATGCCCTTGCTCTTACGCTGTTGTCCCTCCCAGGCCAGGAGCACTGTGTCCCACCACCACAGTGCCCTCAGTAACTGCACAGGCTACCAAGCTGGGGACTCCTCGGGGAGCAACAGGACTTTCCTCGGGGACACTGGGTCTCGGCTTCTGGACCCTTTAAGACACTGAAAACCCAGCCAGCACACGTGGCAAAGATTTTCCCAATGGTGGGAACTCTACTAAAAGGGTATCTCCCAACCCTGGGACTACCTGAGCTGAGACAGCCGCTTCTCAAGAATGTCACAGGAGAGTTGGACACAGGGTACGTCTGAGAGGGCTGCCTCGGCTTCATCCCAGCCTTTCCTCAGACCCATCCTGGAATCAGTGAGATGTGGAATTTGAGTCCCCATGCCATCAAGGGGCGATGGCTGATCCACCCAGACCAAAGGGCTTGACTTGAATACGATGGACCTGGGGGAGAAATTGATAGGTTTCCTGCTGCCATCTAGTGGTCAACATCAGTAAGAACAGCAACAAGCCAGAAGGCCACCAAGCAAGCCTCAGGGCCACAGCCCCTCAACCCTGCAGGCCTGGACCAGGGCTGAATGATGAGCTGGCTGAGGCAGAACCTAGCAGGAAGCAGAGGGTGTAAGAAGGAGAAAACGTGTCAAAAACCCACAGAACACCAAAAGCCTGCTGCCTATCCTCCCAGGGATTAAGGAAGGAGTGTGCCTCATACACCCCTGTAACAAATAAAAACGTGGTGGCCGGGCACAGTGGCTCGCTCCTGTAATCCCAGCACTTTGGGAGGCCAAGACAGGAGGATCACTTGATGCCAGGAGTTCCAGACCAGCCTGAGCAACACAGTGAGACCCCATCTTTACAAATCAAATTTAAAATTTAGCCAGGTGTGGTGGAGTGCATCAGTGGTACCAGCTACTCAGGAGGCCAAGGTGGGAGGATTGCTTGAGCACAGGAGGTTCGAGGCTGCAGTGAGCTCCGATCGTGACACTGCACTCTAGCTTGGGTGACAGAGCAAAACCCTGTCAATCAATCAATTAATAGTGTTGCCCCAACTCTAAAGCAATGCAGTGCCTAGGCACTGAGAAGGAACAGGCAAACAAGATGCCAGCCCTGACTGCAGGCACCTCCGAGTGGTCTCTCCCCTACTCCCCCATGTCCTCCACAGCTAGCCAGCCCCTGCGTTTGCCATGCTTTTCCCCACATTGTTCTTCTTCCTCCCTTCTATACATGGATGATGTGCCTGTACAAACGTCACTGCCTCTTCCACGCTGCACGCCATCACCCTCATCCACCCTGGACTGTGATCGCCTGACTATACGTCCACCTTCCCCAGCAGAGCTAGCCCCTGCTCTCAGCTCACAGTCACATTCACCAGCAGAGCAGCTGGCTCTCCAGGCCTGACCAAACTGGATCCCAGGGCCCCAAATGCTTCCCGCCTTCTGTCTCAGAAGTTGGGCGCCCCAAACAGCCATCGGCCATGCCACTGTCCCCAAACTTCCCTCCATCCCTCCAGAGGGCCCATCTGCCTGTGACCCAAGGCCCTCTGACCCAAGCGACCTTCCACCCCAAAGCAGCAGCCCCGAGCGGAGGCAAGCAGACCCTTGCAGATATGAGGCAGGACAGACAGAATGAGGGGAGCTGGGCTCCAGCCTTGACCATCCCCTAACTGGCTGTATGACATGACTGGCAAGTTTCTTCCCTCCTTGAACCTTCAAAGTTCCCCATTTATACAATGAATGATCATCTCGGGTCCCTTTCAGGTCAAAATCTCTATGACACTAATTCCTGCTAAAGTGCCAGTGACCTTTAATTGTGTAACTGTTCCCACAATACTCTCATCTTCGGAGAGGAGAAAGTCTCAACCCATCACCCATTCATTCACACAGTAAAAACACACTAAACACCCAAATCCTGGGAGTGGGGTGCCTGTTTTTAGCAATGCGACCTACTGAGCTCTGCTTTAGCCACAGTCCACGGCGGGAAAGGCTGACGAGGAAGGCCAAGCATCCATGCTGAGCTGACACAGGAAGCAAAGCACCAGCCTGGAGCCTGACACCCTGCAAGATCGGGACGGCAACCCTTACATTACACACCTTCTAAGGGGCTGTTCCAAGAATCAGTCCCTCACAACAGCCCTAAGCGCTGACCCTGTTTATAATCAAAGAAACTGAGACCCAGGGGGGTTCAATAACTTACCTTCACCAAAAGATGCAAAGCCAGTGTCAAGCTAGAAACTGCGCCTGGGTGGCTGTCTGGCCATTACCCCGTGCCATGGTGGGTGATCAAGAGGTGATGCTAATGCCAATTTCCTCTCCTCCCCGTCATCCATCCATTTTCACAGGACCTGTTTCTTTGGAAACCTCCACCCTCTGCACTCTGGTTTCCTTCCCCAGTCACCCCTTATTCAAGTTTGCACACCAGAGTTGAGCAGAGCCACCTGGGGAGAAAAAAACCACCTGCTCATCCAACTTCAAGCAGCATCATTTTAGGGCACTGACCTTGTTTTCTTTGGTACACTCAGCCTGCTGGTGTTGTCTGTTTTGGAGCTGCCCTTAGATGAGGGTGGGGGGAAGATGACTGCATTGGAATGAAAGGCCTGGAAGGATTCTGAATACATACCAAGGCTCTCCTGTGATTTCCCCTGGGAGGGTCCCTGGGGCTGGGAGAGGGGCATAGGAATGGGGCCTCACATTTTACTGATACTTTTATGTTATTTTATTTTTTACAGCAAAAAAAAATTATATAATAATTGAGTCTTATTTTAAAGTAAATAAACACTTTAGACAGACAGACTGCTGGCAGATGACCAAACTGTGTACTTGTAGGAAGTGCCTGGTGAGACAGACCAGGCCTCCCGGGACAGAGCCCTGAAGTGGGAGGAGAGGACCCCTCTTTTTCCGGGATGGGTGGGGCCTGTGCACGGAGGCAGATGGTGGAGTGGTTTCTGGAGCACAGGGACAAACTCTCTGCCCCCAAAATACCTCACGCATCTGCTCATTCGTGCCTGAAATTCCTTCACCGAGGGACAGTCTTTGATTCCAGTTAGAAATAGGCCTGAAACCGTAAACCCACCCAAAAGACATAAAATGGTGCCTTCAAGTCATACTCCAAGGGAGCAAGCTTGCTGGTGTTGGGGAGTGAGGCTCTTACAACGCCTCTCGAGACAATCTGGAGGAGGCAGGACCTGACCGCTTCCTAATGGCCCCAAAGGTGACGGGGAGGAGCTCTGTGGCGGCCTCAGGGTGGCGCCTGTCCTCACCCTGACCTACCTGACAGGCGGGCGGTGGGGACGATGAGGCTGAGAGCCACCGGTCCACTAGGGATGGGAGAACCTGAGCCTGGGAAGCTTCATGGGCTGGGGAGGGGTGGCGCCTTTCAGAGGAGACTGAATAGGAAAAAGTCAAATATCTGGAACCAGGGAAGTGGGAGTCGTCCACGCCAGGCTTCGCCCAACCTAGCTGGAGGCCTGCCCTGGGGCCTGGTGTTTTAAACAGGATCTAGACAAATGGGGCCACATGTTGAGAAGCATGAACAGAACAGTGGGAGAGACTCAAACCGGGTCAGGAGAAAACAGGAATGCGGGAACTGAAGGAGAATGCTCCATGTCATGGTCCATCAGGGAATGCAAATCAAAGCACAGTAAGATACCACTTCACATCTAGGATGGCCATAATTTTTTTAAAAAGGAAAATAACAAGTGTTGGCAAGGATGTGGAGAAATTGGAACCCTCATGCGTTGCCGGCAGGGATGTAAAGTGGTACAGCCGCTGTGGAAAACAGTTTGGCTGTTCCTCAAAATGTTAAAACATAGAATTACCATATGATCCAGCAATTCTTCTCCTAGGTATATGCTCAAAAGAATTGCAAACAGGTGTCCAAACAAAAGCTTGTGCATGAATGTTCATAGCAGCTCTATTTACAACAGCCCAAAGGTGGAAACAACCCAAATGTCCATCAACAGAAGAACAGAAAAACAAAATATTGCACATAGGTATAATGGAGTAGTATTCAGCCTTACAAAGAATGAAGTACTGATGCACACTACAGCATGCGTGAGCCTTGAAAATACGCTAAGTGCAGGAAGCCAGACACAGAAGGCCACATACTGTATGATTCTATTTACACGAAATGTCCAGGAGAGGCAAATCCACAGATAGAAAGCAGATCAGTGGTTGCCAGTGGTGAGAGGCCTGGGGGGTCACAGGTAAGGGGTGCAGGATTCATAGTCAGGGTGATGAAGAAGCCATGGAAGCAAGTAGTGGTGATGGTTTTACAAACACGGTGAACGTAGTAAATGCCATCGAATTACACACTTTAAAATGGTTATAATGATATATTTTGTATGTATTTTACCACAAGAAAAAAAATGTTTTTAAAAAATTGCGAGGACTTTGGGAAGGACACAATACCTGGTAACAAACACCTGAGGGCCTATCCGACGAGGGTCCAAGGACAGGACCTGTCCTGCAAGTTCCCAGAGTATGGAACCTCCCGGAAGCCAAGCTCCAGCATCACAGCACACATCACAGCCAGCATTCCCTGCACACCTGCCACGGTCAGGCCAGAAGCTTTCATCAGCATTAGAGGATTTTCTCACTTCATACCCACAACAGCCCTAGGAGGTAGATGGGACTGCCCCCAGTTTCGGGTGAAGAAAATGAGGCTGGAGAAGGTAGGTAACTGGCCCACAGGCATCCAGTAAGTGCAGGGGCTGAGATCCTAATGGGAGCACCTGTGCAACTGGCTGCTGCTGTACGCCACCATCAGCGCAGAGAACGTGGGCCGCAGCTTCGGCATGTCCAGGCTCAACCAAGTCCCACTGTCGCTTGCTTGCATGTGACCTCTGGCTATTTACTCAACCACGCGGTGCCTGGGTAAAAACTGCAATTAACACCACCAACCTCGAAGGCCGGCTGGGACAATGAAATGAGATGACTGTGCCCAGCAGCTCCTGGCACGTAAAGGGCTCCATAAACATCCGGTTTCTTTTTTTTTTTCCCCAAAAGTGGAGAAAATGACAAAGATGGAGGAGACTGTCTCAGCAGGTAGAGCGTGTGTACCCCGTCAAAGGAGGCGAGGAGATGCAGCACAGCAAAGAGCCGCTCAGCAAAAACAAATACCACACGGGCACTGGCCCCAACGACCTTGAAGGTTCTGCCCTTGAAATCCGATGCGGCTACAACGTAAGACCCCTTCCCGAGAGTGGGCTTTGCTAGAAGCAAGAAGGGAGTGATCCAAGAGCACTGGGATCCTAAAGGAATCAAGGTCGCCACAAAAAAAGAAAATGTGCAAAGAAACAGAAGGCTGGAAAACAGCAAAAATAAAGTTTGCCGGTAAAAATAGAAGTAACTCACATTTTTAGAGCACGGCCGTGTGTGCCAGACACTCTGCTAAGCGTTTTGTGTAGGTTATCTCACTGACTCTGCACATCTCTGTGGGCCGGTACTATTATTATCCCCATCTCACTGGTGAGGCAGCAGAAGCCGAAAGAGGTTCAGGAGCTTGCCCGAGGTCACGCAGTTAGGAAGGGCCCACTCTGCCACCCTGCCCCAGGCCAGTCCCGAGAAGCCCTATCACCTGGATGCAGTCACCTGACTTTGGGGTGTTGCCTCCAGACACCATCTGCCCAGCTCCCACCCTCTGCTGTCCGTCACACCTGGAGATGCCTTTCCAGAGCAGAAAATCAGCCCCAAGCAGCAGCAAACCTCTCCCTGCCTTGCTGTGGCCAGCAAGCGGAAAGCTAGTAGCTGACGCGAACAAGAAAACATGAGAGGATCAAGTAAACATTTGGGGAAATGTTGTTAAATAGAGGGGGAAAAATGGGGAACTTCCGTTTTCACCAGCTCGATCAGCTTTAGGGCGAAACCGCAGGCTGCTTCAAGCGGCTGCCAAATGCCCAGCCAGATCCTGCCAGTGCGCTGGCACTGAGGGCAGGAGGAATCAGGTTTCCCAGGCTGGTGGGGCAGGGCTGGCCACCGGGGGAAGCGGAAGTAGAAGGGAAGCGACCCTCTGGCCACCCCAACAGCACTATCCTGGAGAGGGCCAAAGAGGCGGTACAGCCGCCCAGAGACCTTCCCAAGTTGCCAAGTTTGTCCCACACATCGGTGATCCACGCAAGAAAGAGGATGCAGGGAGGGATCAAAGAAGACCCAGGGGCCTGGGCACCTCCAAGTACACCTGATATCTGAATGCACAGAGGGCATGGAGGGGTTGGTCAGGGATGAACAATAAACAGGGTTCTACCTCTGCCAGGCTCCCGTCACTGCTTCCCCGAGGGACAGCTGGCCCCAGGGACGCCACTCCACACGGCAGGAACCGTTCATCCTACCCTTGAGCTGCCCAGCAAGGGAATTATGAAGATGAAAAAGGCAAATGCTGAAAGGAAGCTGAGCTCTTAATTTTTGCTTAAGCTAACATTCAAGGGCTTACAATGTATCAGACACTAGGCCAAGTCCTATACATGGATTATCTCATTTAATGTTCTTAACAGCCCTACAAGGTAGTTACCACCAACATCACCATTTCATAAGTGGACAAATTGAGTGCCAAAGAGTTAAGGGATACATGTGATGACGAGCTTGTGTGTGGTGGAATTAGGATGCAAACCCATGTGGTCTGACCTCACAACCCACACTCCTAACCAACATCCTTTACCACTTCCTGAAACAGACTCTCAGGAGGTAGTAGAAGGAACTATTAATCTTAGCTCCTAACCTTTGAGCATTTACAGCTTCATAAAGGGGATGGATAGACGGATCCAATGCATAGAAAAACTACCTCGGAAAACACATGTCACATTACTAACACGTGCATCCATTTCGGTTGTGCAAAGTCCTGTGGGTGGGTGTGCAGGCAGTGGGGAGCCACTGGAGTGACTGGAGAGGAGAAGAGTGGGCACTCGATTTTAAAATACGATGCTGCACAATAGCCAAAAGGTAGAAACACCCAAATGTCCATCACTGGGTAAAAGGGCAAAAAAATGTGGCATATACACACAATGGAATATTACTCAGCCATAAAAAGGGAGGAAATCTGACACAGGCTACAGCATGGATGAACCTTGAGGGTACAATGCTAAGTGAAGTAAGCCAGTCACGAAAGGTTCAATATTGCATGATTCCACTTACATGAGGTACCTGGAATAATCCAATTCATAGCCAGAAAATGGATGATGATAACCAGGGGCTGGAAGTAGGGGGAGAATGGGAAGTTATCATCTAATGGGTGCACAGTGTCAGTGTGGGATGATGAAAAAGTTGTGAAAAGAGATAGTGTGATGATTGCACAATAATGTATATGTACTTAATGTCAGTTAAAAATGGTTGAAATGGTCAATTTTATGTTGCGTATATTTCACAATAAAAAATTCCAAAATATAATGATGGTGATGTGATGAGGTGCTGAATCTCAAAGTGTTTAGTCTTTCCTTTTAGTGAGGAACAGAGTGGTTACCCAGGCAGCCTCGTGCAGAGTGCAGGGGTGCCTGACTCACCATAAAGCCAGGAAGGTATTTCTTGGGGGGCTATGGGTAATTCAGCCTTTCGTGGGGCTTTTGTTGGGGCAGGGGTTGAGACAGGGTCTCACTATGTTGCCCAGGCTGGTCTTGAACTTCTGGGCTCAAGCAATCCTCCTGCCTTGGCTTCCTGGGTAGCTGGGACTACAGCTGCACCACCACGCCCAGCCTCCTTTTGTGTGTAAGGCCCCCTTGAAGACACTCTGAAATCACGCCTTCTGTGTTTTGAAAGTTCATTTCCCACTGAGCTTGAATATCCAAGAAAGTCAGTGAGATTAGCCATTTTGTGTTTGCAGGCCCAAAAGGAGGGCATCCTACAGGTGGAGCTGGAGAAAAAGTGGTCAGGGCCCTGGATCTATGAGATAATGGACACTGAACCACATCCCTGGCTCAGTCTGCCACCCCAAACAACTTGAGAACAGAGACAAGAATGGGAAAAACCTCTCTGCCAAAAATAACAATATTGTAATATCGGTAGTACCATCATGCACCACATAACAATGCTTCAGCCAATGACGGACCACACATACGACAGTGGTCCCCTAAGATTACAACGGAGCTGAAAAATTCCTACCGCCCAGTGACATCATAGGTGTCGTAATCCAACAACACACAGTCTTGACGTGTGTGTGGTGATGCTGATGTAAACAAGCCCACTGCACTGCCAGTCGTGTAAAAATGTCTACCACAAGGTGGGCATGCCACCAAGCCTGTAGTCCCAGCTAATACGAAGGTGGAGGTGGAAGGATCACTTGAGCCCAGGAGTTCGAGTCTAACCTGGGCAACATAGCAAGACCCCATGAATTTTTTAAAAATATGTCTACCACAGCACATACAATTATGGACAGTACATAATACTTAAGAATAATAAACAACTATGTTACTGGTTTATGTATTTGCTATACTATACTTTTACCATTATTTTAGAGTATATGCCTTTAATTAATTTTCTTTAAAGTGGCTGGGTGCGGTGGCTCACACCTGTAATCCCAGCACTTTGGGAGGCCGAGGCAGGTGGATCACAAGGTCAGGAGATCAAGACCACCCTGGCTAACACGGTGAAACCCCATCTCTACTAAAAATACAAAAAATTAGCCGGGCATCGTGGCAGGCGCCTGTAGTCCCAGCTGCTCGGGAGGCTGAGGCAGGAGAATGGCGTGAACCCAGGAGACGGAGCTTGCAGTGAGCCGAGATTGCGCCCCTGCACTCCAGCCTGGGCAAGAGTGCAAGACTCCGTCTCAAAAAAAAAAAAATTTTTCTTTAAAGTTAAGTAAAACGGCCTCAAGCAGGTCCTTTACAAGGTATCCAGAAGGCACTGTTGTCACAGGAGACGACAGCTCCGTTATGTATTGCCCCTGAAGACCTTCCAGCGGGACAAGATGTAGAGGTCTCACTATGTTGCCCAGGCTGGTCTCCAACTCCTGGGCTCAAGTGATCCTCCTGCCTCAGCCTCCCAAAGTGCTGGGATTATAGTCGTGAGCCTCCACACCTGGCCAGAAAAATATTTATATAAATTTATAAATTTAGTGTAGTCTAGCACAAGTTGGACATGCTACCAAGCCTGTAGTCCCAGCTACTTGGGAGGCAAAGGTAGAAGGATCACTTGATCCAGGAATTCGAGTCCAGCCTGGGCAACACAGCGAGACTCCATGAATTTTTTTTGCTTCCTGTATCACCTGCAGAACCATGAGTCAATTAAATCTTTTTTGTTGTTGTTTTGTTTGTTTGTTTGAGACAGGGTCTCACTCAGGTGCCCAAGCTGGAGTGCAGTGGTGCAATCCCAGCTCATTGCAGCCTCCTCCACCTCCTACACTCAAGCAATCCTCCCACTTCAGCCTCCCAAGTAGTTAGGGCTACAGGTAGTTTTTGTAGAGACAGGGTCTCACTATGTTGCCCAGGCTAGTCTCAATTTCCTGGGCTCAAGGGATCCTCCTGCCTCCGCCTCCCAAAGTGTTGGGATTACAGGTGTGAGCCCCCAGGCCTGGCCCAAATCTCTGTCCTTATAAATTACCCAGTCTCAGGTATTTCTTTATAGCAGTGCAAGAACAGCCTAATACAGGGGTACCACTTTAAATCTTTTATACTGTATTTTTAGTGTACACATAGAAAAGGTGCGGTAAAGGTACACATATCCAAATCACTCTGGCAGCTCCAGCGTATAGACACACAAACACTCTTGTGTTAGAATTGCCTACAGTATTCAGCACAGAAGCATGCTGTACAAGTTTGTAGCCTAGGAGCAAAAGGCTCTTCCCTAGAGCCTAGGTGTGCCGTAGGCCATACCATCCAGGTTTGTGTAAGTGCACTCTGATGTTCACGCAACAACAAAATCACCTAACAGTGCATTTCCCAGAACACAGCCCAGTCGTGAAGCAACACGTGACTGTATAGTTATCGATCCCTTATTAAGCATTTTGTAAGTACTCTCCCTTAACCCTCACAACATCCCTGTGAGGTCTTATGCATTTGACAGAGGAGGAAAGTGAAGCTGCAAAAGGTTAAGAGAAGTGTTCACAGTCACTACACTAGTGAGCCAGGATCTGAATCTCTCATCCAAAACTTACTTTCTCAACCACTATAGGAGAGCATTTTCACTAGACACTTGAACACAACAAACGCAACAGAAGTCTCTATTGTTGGGAGGGAATATTGCCACAAAGGCCAGCATTCATCCAAACAACAGGTTTTGAGCCCTCAAATGCCAGGCGATGTGCTGAGTCCTCGTTCATAATCCATGAAACACAAACAAAAAGGCTGTTCTTGGGCTATGATCACAAGTGTTCTCTGGGCTCACTTGAGGGTCAGTTTCAAACGTATTGTCAGCCACAGAACCATTCCTCTGTGGTGACACCAGGCTGCCCTGGTGTCACCCAGCAGGCCACAACAACAAGGCACTATTTTACATTGGGCTTTCAAAGGCCATTTAAGGCAGGAGTCGCAAATTCTTCTATCTGACAAACATCATCTGAACCACAGAGAAAAAAAATCAATTAAATTCCATGAGAAGAAAGAACCTTAAATTAGGGTCTTCTTATAGAGTGAAAAATATGAAATGTCTCTCTCATCAGAGTATTCGGAAAAACAGCCAATAAGAACAGTACCTATTTTTTAAAAATAATTATTTAGTTGTAAATTTACATCCAATTAAGGGAGAAAACTGCGGGGGGAAGAATGTGTTAGAGGAGAGGAAGAAGGAACTCCAATGCAGAGGCCTCATCTCCCAAGTACACTTAAAGCCCTGTTCTGGAAAGTGCTGGAGCCTGTTTTGCAATGAAAGGTGCTGTGCTGAGCACGCAGCAAAACACTCTGCAATCCTCTGAGACACCAAAGCACTTCTGATGTTTTTGTTGTTGTGGTTCACTAGAGAAATGTTAGCAAGTACATAACATAAAAAAAAAAAAATCACTAATAATCACGAACTACCATTAGCATTTTTGGTGTATTTCCTCTAACCTTTCTTCTTTTTTAAAAAAAATTAGGATTTGTAGTGTTATATCTTACAATATTTGCTTGACATTTTTTCATTAATGTTATTTTGTTTTGTTTTTTCAGAGACAGGGTCTCACTCTGTCACCCAGGCTAAAGCACAATGGCATGATCATAGCTCACTGCAGCCTCCACCTCCCAGGCTTGAGTAATCCTCCCACCTCAGCCTCCTGAGTAGCTGGAACCACAGAGGCACACCCCTATACCTGACTAATTTATTAAAAATTTTTTTGTAGAGACAGGGGTCTCACTATGTTGCCTAGGCTGGTCTCGAACTCCTGGGCTCAAGCGATCCTCCTGCCTCAGCCTCCCAAAATGCTGGGATTACAGATGTGAGCCACCACACCTGGCCTATTTTGAGTCATTATATATAATTCTTGAAGACATAATTTTTAAAAGCCCACACAGTGGTCCATCAGGCTGGGCGCGGTGGCTCACACCTGTAATCCCAGCACTTTGGGAGGTCGAGGCAGGCGGATCACCTGAGGTTGGGAGTTCAAGATAAGCCTGATCAACATAGAGAAACCCTGTCTCTACTAAAAATCCAAAATTAGCCACGCGTGTTGGTTGTGCATGCCTGTAATCCCAGCTACTCAGGAGGCTGAGGCAGGAGAATTGCTTGAACCCACGAGATCAAGCCATTGCACTCCAGCCTGGGCAACAAGAGCAAAACTCCATCCAAAAAAAAAAAAGAATGTATCAAAATTTATATAACTAATTTTCTATTGTTAGACATTCAGTATGCTTCCAATTTTTAGCTACTATAAATAGTGCTGCAATGAAAAAATATAACTACTTTGGTATAAACTCCAAAGAACAGAATTATGAATGAATGTTTCTAAGGCCTTTGATATAAACTTCCAAATAATTGCACTAAAAATAATTCTAAGCAATGTTGCATTTTTGCAACTCTAGACATAAATGGGACTATATCTCAGTATTTTCTACATGGACAGTTTAAGTCATGCTGACAGATAAATCCGTTCTGTGCGCCAGGAATTTCTCACTTCTGTTTTGAAGTGTCTTCTACTAGTTGCTCATATACCAGCTGAAAATGTGCTTCCAAACTACCCTGGCAGCTCCACTGCTAGCACCAACCACATTGTATCTTACATCAGAGGCAGCTGGTGGCCTGCCTGCTTCCCGCACTCCAGGAGTGCAAGGACCAAGCCCGGCTCACCTCTGCCTCCTCCCTGCACAGCTCCTTTTAAACCTCTCATCCTTCATCAACAGTTCTCAAACTATTTTTTAAACTCTTCCGCACATCCTCATCCCTCCCTAACTCATGTGTCACAGGATACGAAGTGGGAAGGATCTGAGACCTTGGGCAAGCTCCCTAGCCTCTTGGACTTCAGACTCATCTGTAAAATGGGAGTAACCATCCCTCTCCCAGAGAGTGCCTGCAAGGATTAAGGTAGGTAATGCATGCAAAGCTCTTAGTAACCATGACAGGAGCCTTAGAAAATACTCAATAAGTAATAATTTTTCCCAAAAAAAAAAAATACATAATAATAAACCCACCAAAAAATTGTTTAATCCTCCACACACTGGAGGAGATTAATGAATCATACAGCTGTCTCTCTCATCTGAAGCTCGCCCAGGCCCTGAATGCCTGGAGAGAGACTCAGAACCTTCGGGGACTGTGCCAAACCCACTGAGCCTCAGGCCAAGGGCAAGGGAGGTCTGGCAATGCCAGGCTTGGGACGGCAGGCGGGCAGCTGGTCAGCACAGAGCCACAGAAGCTCTAGGTCAGCTGTGCACAAAGAAGGGTTAAGGACAAGCTACAGGGAAATCAAAAAGAAACAGCCTGAATCAATCCAACTGGGACAGGGCTCTAGGGCACCAAGAGTAAGCAGGGAAGCGGTTCAAGGAGCAACAGGTTCCTCCCAACTAGCAGCTTGGATGCAGGTGAGGGATGCAGACGCCACTCCCGAGCTAACCCTGGACAAATCTCCTGTTGTTCGTCGACGGGGCTGGAGTTGAGTCACTGTGGCATTGTCCAGCCACTCTATCAGGAGGAAACAGCTGGACAGACCAACACTAAATGCAGGAAGCCTCAAGCTCCACCAGGGCTCCCTGTGGGGCCGCCTCCCTGTTTGGGAGGCCTAGCATCCTGCCTGCCTCTCCCCCAGGGACCCCTGACCAACCCTGAAGCATCCACTGTCCAAACAGACATCCCTGTTTCCTGCCTCCAAGTGCCTGGGGCAAAACGCAAGCTCTCTGTTTGGCATTTTGGCAGCCCTCCTAGGGGCAAGGAGGCGGGGTCACCTGCTTTCAACCTGCCAGTAAATAGAAACCAAGGTGTAGGAAAACAAGTGGTAGAGAAAAAACAATGACATTTAATTAATTCAGAAAGGACATACTGTGTAGCAAGAGGACAGTTTTTCTCTGGACTAAAACATGAGCAACATCCAAAAGTGGACGCCACCTCCCTGCAGGAGCACATTCAGACAGATGCGGGGACTCAAACCTCTCTGTTAAGAGGGGTTCTTGCCAACTTCCTTATCTATGGTCTCCTAGGCTCAGACAAAAGATTCAAAATCCCTGCTAGGATTTAGAAATAACTCAGGGCCAGGTGTGGTATCTCACACCTGTAATCCCAGCACTTTAGGAGGCCAAGACAGAAGGAGACCAGTTTGAGACCAGCCTGGACAACATACAAACAAAAAAAATTTTAATTTGCCAAGCATGGTGGTGTGTGCCTGAAGTCCTAGCTACTCAGCCGATCAACGCTGCAGTGAGCTATGATTGTGCTACTGCACACCAGCCTGGGTGACAGAGCAAGACTCTATCTCCTTTTTTTTTTTGAGATAGAGTCTCACTCTGTCGCCCAGGCTGGAGTGCAGGCTCACTGCAAGCTCCACCTCCCGGGTTCACGCCATTCTCCTGCCTCAGCCTCCTGAGTAGCTAGGACTACAGGCACCCACCACCACACCCGGCTAATTTTTGTATTTTTAGTAGAAATGGGGTTTCACTGTGTTAGCTAGGATGGTCTCGATCTCCTGACCTCGTGATCTGCCTGCCTCGGCCTCCCAAAGTGCTGGGATTACAGGCGTGAGCCACGCGCCCGGCCAACTCTATCTCTTTTTAAGACAAAAAACGAGGGGAGGGGAGGGGAGAACTCAGAAAAACAGCAGGATGGTTCACAGTTTAAAGTCAGACAGACTCAAGCTGGAACACTGTCCCTAACAGTAGCTGTGTGACTGATACAGTATAACATCACAGCCTTCAGTCAAGGTTTGCAAACTCAAGTACCTACAAGGTGGAAAACATAAATTCATGAAGTTACTGTGTACAAGGGCAAGTCCCAGTACTGTGTCAAGACTGAGGGGTCAGGAAAGCACAGCCCCATGTGGAGGTGGTGCCTGAGAGCCAGATCCAGCCAATTGTTGCCACCGGGCAGCACAGGCTCAGTGTAACTAGACCTTCCAACTTTAAAAAGCCAACATCAGCCAGGTGCAGTGGCTCATATCTATAACCCTAGCACTTTGGGAGGCCAAGGCAGGAGGATCACTTGAGCTCAGGAGTTTGAGACCAGCCTGGAAAACATAGTGAGGCCTTGTCTCTACAAAAAAAAAAAAAAAAAAAAAAAAAGTTTTAATTAGCCAGATATGGTGGCATGTGCCTGTGGTCCCAGCTACTCAGGAGGCTGAGGTGGGAGGATCACTTGAGTTTGGGAGGTCGAGGCTGTAATGAGCTGTGATCACACCACTGCACTCTGGCCTGGGCAACAGAGCAAGAACCTGTCTCAAAAAAAAAAAAAAAAAAAAAAAAAGCCAACATCCCCTGTTTTGAAAAATCTCTCCAGTATGTCAGCTGCGCCCAAACAAAACGCATCTGTGGCCTGGATCAGACCTAGAGGCCACTGGATTGCAACCTCAGCTCTAAGCCTGAGATCTGCAAAATGAGGGCAAATAAAAGAGCCTCGCTCTGGGAGAATGAGATGGGATTAGGTCTGTCAAGCATTTCACACCGCCTGACACACAGAAAGCACTTGATAAATGGTGACTATTAACTATGCAGAGTTGGAAGGGACTTCAGGAAGACCCACCCCAACCTTCTCATTCCACAAGATGAAACTCAGACAGGTCCTGTGACTGAGCCACAACCTGCAAAGGAGCCAGTGGCCAGTGGCAGGCTGGACCCAGGCCTACTGACTCCCACCTGAGTTCTGAAGGCCCAAGCCGCCTCTCTGACTTACAGAAGCAGTTTATCACCCACCACTCCGTAAGGGTCCCTCCTGGGGGCTGGTCTACCCCATTATGGGTAGCTCCCCCAAGGGAAGTGCTGTGTGTACATCTTTTTCATTCACTGGAAGAGCTCGGCCTCACCTCGGGCAGGTGATGGGGGCTTGGTCAACATTAACTGACTGACTGATCAGCGGCAATGCTCCCCTAGCCCTCCCAGCCCCACAGTCCAGTTTACACTGTATGTGGTCCCTGGCCCAGGCCCGTGCCAAGCTCAACTTCCTGCCCTAGCCCAACCTGGGCTAGTGGAAAGGAAACGCTGGGCATAAAAGGAAAGAGGTGACATCAATAGGTAGAGAGATGAGGAGGGGACAGGGAAGGGCTGAGCTAAAGAAGGCAAGCCAGAGGGACATGACGTGTATTTGGGGCAGGGCCAGAGTGAGGGCTGGCACAGCTGGGGAAGAGAGAGTGACGGGCTGGCACAGGAGTGGGGAGAGCAGGCTCCAGGGGAAGGCTGTGGCTGCTGGTGGCACAAGGGTCCCCAGACAGAGGAGCTCTGGCCCTGCTGGGTTTCTGTCACCCAGGTCCTGCCAGGTTTAATCAGCCAGGTTCCAAAGAGCCAGCTGTGTTCCCTGAGGTGAATGAGCACGCCAAGGTTGTGTCCTGTCCCCAGGCCCCCAAGATCCTGTTCGAACTCGTTCTTACTAAAAAACTTTCCACGCTTGAGGGCTCAGGGAGTTATGGCCTTGGAATTCCTCCCACTCATTCCAAAGCATACATTAAAGCTTTCCAATTAACACCAGCTGAAAAGTAAACCTTCATTTTAAAGAGGCAACAGAGGAAAGGAAGAGGGAACGAGTGGGCAATGAATTTCCCAAGCAGGCATCTGAAACCGCGGAACTGCTGGGCTGAAAGGACCTCCAGGATCATCTGGCACGAACTCCTTGCGCTACAGAGAGGCACCCAGGCCCAGAAAGCAGAGTGACGTGCACATGGTCACACAGCCAGCCCATGTGGAGCAACACCAGACTCCGGGGCGCTGGCGGCCAGGCCCGTGCCCTTTGAGTGACAGGGCACCGTACTTCCCCTCCTGCCCTAGCCCAACCTGGGCTAGGGCATATTCTCACCTGGGAAGAGCCAACACCTCCCCACAGGAGCAAAAGCCCAAAGTCACCCACACCTTTCAGCACAGGTTTCTCTCACCTGCCAATGGCTCACTCCCTTCCCCAAATCAAAGGAGGTGACCTGAAAGAAGGGAGAAGCGGGGTGCACAGGATGTGGTCAGTGGAGAGGAGCGGGGGTGCATTCACAGCAGAGAGGCCCTCCAGTGAAGCACACAGCCCTCCGGGCAGGGGCAGGACGGGCTGAGAGGATGGGGAGGGAGAGAAGGCCAAGACTTCCTGCAGAAAAAAGCACACACAAACATCACACGGGCAAGGGCATTTCACAACGGAGCTCCTGGAAGGCAGGGGCTGATCTGGGAGTCCCAGCAGGCCTGGCGAAGCTCAGACCCAAGTTTCCCCACCTGGAAAGAACACGGACTTTGGAATGCCCCAGATTTGAGTTTACATCCCTTTTCTGGCATCCAAACTGGATGACCCTGGGGAGTCAGTGAACCCCCCGAGCCTTGTTTTTCTCACCTATAAGTAGATGTCTAGTGCAGCACCTGATGCATCAAAGGTAAAGCAGGAACTGCTGGTTATTCAAACCACTGAGACTTCCCTCCTGGTATCTTATCCACCCTTGGCCACTTTATAAGCATCCTGAGGGCAGAGAGCATAGCAGCTTGTCCAGTGTGGGGTCAGGGAACCAGCTTGGAGAATACCCATTTGTGGACTGACTTTCTAAACAACATTCCCCTACCTTCGCTGTCGGGGGTACAGCCCAAGGGGTTGCATCTGCTGATAGTGTCCCAAAGGCGGTGCTAAGCTCCATTTTCACCCTACTCCATCCATACTCCAGGGTCCCTGTGGACAGGGCGATCTCGGTCCTGCGCCCACAGCTCTCCCACACTGTCCACCGAAGTCCTGCCTGTCTTTGCAACCTGCGTGCCAGGCTTAACATGTCACCTGACCCTCATCACATCTCTGGAGGGGCCGGAGGGAAGAAAAGGAGGCGTAAATGTTTTCCACAGGTCACAGATGATGAAACTAGGCAGAGAAATTAGGCTGCTGCTACCTGGCAGTCAGCATAAGCCCAATTCACACCATGGCTGGGAGTGGGAGAGACCCACTGGGCACAGCTGCAGGGAGGGAGTGCCAAGGAGGCCAAGGGCTGCAGGTGCAGTGGGGCTGAGCTGAGAGGAATGTTTCCCCATGTTTGTCAATAAATATAAAATAAGTATCCCTGTTCCATTAAAAAAAAGAGCAGAGAGGGGTCTGGCCAGGAGCGGTGGCTCATGCCTGTAATCCCAACACTTTGGGAGGCCAAGGCGGTCGGATCATCTGAGGTCAGGGGTTCGAGACCAGCTTGGCCAACATGGTAAAACCCCGTCTCTACAAAAATACAAAAATTAGCCGGGCATGATGGTGGGTGCCTGTCATCCCAGCTACTCGGGAGGCGGAGGCAGGAGAATCACTTGAATCCAGGAGGCAGAGGTTGCACGAGCCAGGATCATGCCACTGCACTCCAGCCTGGGCAACAGAGCAAGACTCCATCTCAAAAAAAAAAAAAAAAAAAAAAAACGGCGGGTGCAGGGGCGGTGCGGAATCAGGTAAATGTGATAATGCAGCTGTTAGTGCTGGAAATGAGGATGAGGATTTTCTACATGCCGGGGGGGTTCTACATGCTTCACGTATCAACTCACTTCACATTTGAATAACCTTGTGAACTAGAGCCTTTATAATCCCCACTTCACAGGCGAGAAAAAGAGTCTTAAATAGCTTCCCATGTCACATAACTGGAGAGTGGCAGGCCCAGGAGGGGAACCTGGCATGGGGCACTAACCACCTCCCTGCACTGCCTCTTACCACACATGCCTCCTCCACCTTCAGGCCATTCCCTTCACCTCCCAGCCCTGAGGTGACAGCTCCGCAGGTCCCAGGACCAGCAGCCACTGCCTCCCAAGGTGCTTCCTCTCGCTGGAGGGGTCCGGGACCTGGATCTGCTCAGGGGATTGGACAACTGCTCCAACCCCCTAAATCAGGCCAGAATTCTCCTGGGATGTGCTGTTCCCATAGTCTCAGGTTCCCAGAAGAACAGATGGACAGGAGAATTTCTGAATGAGTAACTAACCACAGAAAAATAAAGTTATGTAAATCAGCCTGGAGCACAATTACAAAGAAATTAGGGATGGCCTTTCCAAAACTCAGCCTGAGGAAGTGGGAGATACCCAGAATGTGTGCTGCCTGCCCCGGGGCAGAGCTGGGCCCACGGTGGGTTTCCAGGCTGCCCCTCTTTACAAAATGATGAGGTTTTTACCCCACGGGCAGCAGCAGAGGGACCGCTAAGCACTTGGATTTCTCCCACCAACGGAAGAGACAGGCCCTAGGATACAAAAATCGGGCAAATAGTCCCACCACTTCCTCTCCCCTCCCCTTGTTCTGTTTCTGCTGAAGTGCTTTTATTAATGAGCCACTCGCCACAATCTCCCTCCTGCAGCTTATAAAACAGAGTCCAAAAAATGTACCACCGACTCTGCCCTATCAGGATAGGAAATGACGGCAGGAAAACTCAAAACCCTCCCATCACAAGCCCTTCCAGCAGAATGGGTCACCCTTGCAACACCCATCAGGAAACCTGGATGACGAGGAACCGTCTGTGCAGCCACCCAAGACAGCCTGGAAAACAGGAGGGGAAATGGGGACAGGCCTTAGCTGGAATTTTATGTTTTCCATAATTTAGAATGAGACTATCTATCCTGCTCGACTACTTCCTTTCCTAAAGCCATCCTGCTTGTAAAGGTGAAGATCTGTCACCCTGAAAGGCTTAATAACTCTTCTGACACTCAGTTTGTGTCTGTCCCCTATGGGGATGTCCCTCTACCCCTCAGAGCCACCTCGGGCTGAGGATGAGTCCAGGAAACAACAAACAACCACCAAGCCAGAATGCGTCCAAGGGCGGCCACAGAGGTAGTGGGGTTTAGAAATGAAGTTATCTGAGAAACAGCTGATGGAACTGGAGAAGAGACAGAGGGGTTCTGTTGTCAAATACTCCCAGGTTGTCATGCGGACGACAGGGCAGGCGCGCGCTCCCGGGCTCTGACGGCAGAGGCACGGCCAAAGGATGGCTCCGGAAAGGCAGGGCTGAAAACCTGAGCTGTGCAGCAGCAGGGGGCAGTTCTCATCAGCAGAAACAGCCAAGCAAATGCTGGCCACATGACGGGAATCCAGTGTGAGGGTGACCTACGGGGACCCTTCCTCCTCCAAGGGCCTCTCTTTACCTTACAACAATCACAAGCCCTGCCGAGCTGCGTGACCTCAGGACGGAGGGCTCTTTCTCGGTTTTGAGTATCGTTTATTCTAAGTGCTCAGGAAGTGCATTATCCCCAGCACTTCACAAGCATTGCCGTGTTTCATCTTCATCAGAACCTAGTAAGACAAGTACGATGCCTGTCATCACATGGTAGGTACCCAAAAACATCCCTTTTACCAATGAGAAAACTGTGACTCAGAGAGGATTCGCAGCTTGCTAAGGTCAAATGTCCAGGCAGCAGCAGAACTTGTTTGTGAACCCCAGTCTGAAGCCCCAGGGCCTGCATCCTGATCTGCTATGCAGCTTATAGGGGCAGCAGCCTTGGTCTTGAGAGACCTGTTAAAGAGTTGGCAGGCTGTGATCAAATGCAACAGGGACATCACTAGCAGGGATCAAGTTGTTTTCCCAGAATGCTCAATAAACATACATTGCTTTTACAAAAGAAAATAGCGAAACTTTTATCTAAATGATCAAGTTCAGCCCACTGTCTTGCAATCAGAAATGTGTCCGCTTAAGAAGTAGTTAGCCAGTCAAAAAGACAGACAGTAAAAAGGGTTGTTAAAAAAATAAAAATAAAGGTTGTCTGCAAGGATGTGGAGAAACTGGAGTCCTCACACACTTCTAGTGGGAATGTAAAACGGTACAGCTGCTTTGGAAAACAGTCTGGAAGTCTTTAAACAGTTCAACACACAGTTATCGTATGACCCAGTGCTACAGACTGAATATTTGTGTCCCCAAAATATTCTCATGTTGAAATCCTGGGCCCCAAGGTGATGGTATTAGCAGGTGGGGCCTTTGGGAGGTGATTAGGTCATGAAGATGGAGACTTCAGGAATGGGATTGTGCCCTAATTAAAAGGGACCTCAGAGAGCTCTCTTGCCCTGTTTCCACTGCATAAGGATATAAGTTTAGAACCCAGAAGAGGGCTTCACCAGCACCTGACCATGCTGGCACCCCGATCTGGGACCCCCAGCCTCCAGAACTGGGATAAATAAATGCCTATTGTTTATAAGCCACCCAGTCTGTGGGACTTTGTGATATACAGCAGCCTGAGCTAAGACCACCTGCAATTCCACTCCCAGGTATTTGCCCAAGAGAACTGAAAACATATGGCCACACAAAAGCATGGCACATGAACTTCACAGCCACATTATGTCTAAGCCAGAAAAGGTGGTAATAACTCACAAGTCAGTCAATGACGAATGGGTACAGATAAACAAAATGTGGTCTGTCCGTATGCTGGAATATTACTGAGCCCTAAAAAGGAATGGAATTCTGACACGTGCTACAACACAGATGAACCCTGAAAACCTTATGCTAAGTGGAAGAAGTCAGTCACAGAAGACCACATATTGTATAATTCCATTCATATGAATGTCCAGGGTAGGTAAATCATGGAGACAAAAGATACATTAATGGTTGACTCAGACAGGGAGAAAAACTGGGGGCAGGGAAGGGGGGCATGGGAGTGATTGCTAATGGAGTTTCTTTTGGGGGTGATAAAAAGGTTCTAAAATTGACAGTGCTGATGGTCACACGCTGAGAATATAGTAAAAACCACTGAACTGTCCTCTTCAGATAGACAAACTCTATGGTATGTGAGTAACATCTCAATAAAACAAACCTGTTGGCCTTCTTCCTTAATGTTATCAGATTACAGGGAATCTTTTTTTTTTTTTTTTTTTGAGATGGAGCCTCACTCTGTCACCCAGGCTGGAATGCAATGGCGCAACCTCGGTTCACTGCAACCTCCACCTCCTGGGTTCAAGCGATTCTCCTGCCTCAGCCTCAGGAGTAGCTGGGCTTATAGGCACCCACCATCATGCCTGGCTAATCTTTGTATTTTTAGTAGAGGTGGGGTTTCACCACATTGGCCAGGCTGGTCTCGAACTCCTGGCCTCAGGTGATCCACCCGCCTCAGCCTCCCAAAGTGCTGGGTGTGAGCCACCATGCCTGGCCAGACTGCAGGGAATCTGATGAAGGAGAGCGATTATGGTGTTAATGAGAAAGACAGCACCCCACAAATTCACCACCTCCTGCCAGTGTCTAAGGTGTCATTCACTCACTCAACAAACTCATTAAACACATGCTATACACCACGCACTGCCCTACATGAGGAGTCAGCAAACTACAGTCTGTGGGCCAAATACAGCCCATCGCCTGTCTCTGTATGGCCTGCCTGCTAGAAATGGTTTCTATACTTTATAAGGTTGAAAAAAAATCAAAAGCAGAATATTCATGGTGTGGAAATGACATGAAATTTAAATTTCAATGTCCGTAAATACATTTTTTGGAACACAGCTGCATTCATTTACGTAGTGTCTGCAGCCACTTCTATGCTGCAAGGACAGGGTTGAGAAGCTGCAGCAGAGACCATATGGTCTGCAAAGCCTAACATGTTTACAGTCAGGTCCTTGACAGATGAAACTGGCTGATCACAGAGCTAGATGTCAGAGATGCAGGAGAGGAGAAGGGATGATTAAGTCCTCGTGGGGTTTATGGCCCACTGAGGATGACAGTCAGGGTCTGAGGATCACACAAGTGAGTACACAATGATAAATGGGGGGAAATGCTGCTGGGAGGGGAAGAACCTACTGCCCAGTGAGCACGTGGAACAAGGGGACCTGCCCAGGCCAAGGGTCAAAGACAGCGTCCCTGCAGAAGGACTTGCCTCTGGACCTGGGGACATGGAGGGAGCCACATTTGCAAAACCTCAAAGAGGGAGGGCGCAAGGCCCAATAGAAGAGTAAAAGGACACTGAGGCTGCAGGGCAGAGTGAAGGGCAGGGCATGCATGGCAGCTGGCACTCTCGAACTGGCACACCCCTGAGGGTCTCCCGGGGTTCACAGCTCCAGGTCTGTGTCACTGGAGAATGTGGGAAGGGGACTGAGAACCATCGGATACACCTAGTACAACCCCACACCAGGCAGCCTAAGATGATAGAAGATGGAAGAGTTCATCAACCAAAAAAGTATCTATTGATCACTTAACAAAGTACACATCACTTTATTTACCCAATATAGTACAGGACACAAAATAAGAAAGAAGCCATCTTTTGACTTCAACAGGAAAGAGCAAGTTGAAGAAACAAGCCCAATTTCTCATCATGGCCTCAGGACCTGATCAGAGCCGGGTCCCACTACTCAAACATAATTGCACTTGTGTTCCCAGTGCCTGGAATGAGCCTCCCCAGGCATCCACCAGGATGCTCTCTCCATCCTTTGCAGGGTCCATCAGATGTGACTGACTGGAGATGCTCTCCCTCCCCACCACACATGCCCTCTTTTACAGCCCCTAGGCCTTTACCCCATCCCTTTCTCCACCACACTTCCCGCTACCCAACAGACATGTATTCCCTTGATGGGCTCTTACATTAGAATGTAAGCTTATGAGGGCGGTAACTTCGTTTTTCTCACTGCTGTATTCCCAGCACTATGACCTGACATAGAGTTAGCTCTCAATAAATATTCATCGAATAGCTCCTGAACAATCAGTGGGTCAATATAGAAGTTAAGAAGGAAATGTAAGAATTTCTGGAAACAGGCTGGGCACAATGGTGTATTCCTATAATATCCACACTTTAGGAGTAGGAGGCCAAGGCAGGAGAATTGCAGGAGCCAGGAGTTCGAGACCAACCTGGGCAACAGTTAAACCTTATCTCTACAAAAAAATTAAAAATTAGCTAGGTGTGGTGGCATGTGCCTATAGCCCCAGCTACGGGGGAGTCTGAAATGGGAGGATCACTTGAGCCCAAGAGGTCGAGGCTGCAGTGAGCTATGGTCATACCACTCACTGCACTCCAGCCTGGGTGACAGAGTGAGACTCTGTCTCCAAAAAAAAAAAAAAAAAAAGCAAAAATAAATGAGATTGAGAATAAAAAATATATATGTAAAAGATCAATGAAACAAAATCAGTTTTACAAAAATTTTTTAAATAAAAAGAGAAATAATTTAATTCTAGAAAAAAACAAAATTGACAAACTTTTAACCAGACTAAGGAAAAAAAAAGAAGACCCAAATAAATAAAATCAGAGATAAAAATGGAACATTACAGGCCAGGCGCGGTGGCTTATGCCTGTAATCCCAGCACTTTGGGAGGCTGAGGCAGGAGGATCACCTGAGGTTGGGAGTTTGCGACCAGCCTGACCAACATGGAGAAACCCCGTCTCTACTAAAACTACAAAATTAGCCGGGCATGGTGGTGCATGCCTGTAATCCCAGCTACTAAGGAGGCTGAGGCAGGAGAATTGCTTGAACCCAGGAGGCAAGGTTGCAGTGAGCCGAGATCGTGCCATTGTACTCCATCCTGGGCAACAAGAGTGAAACTCCATCTCAAAAAAAAAAAAAAAAAGGAACATTACAATTGATACCACAGAAATTCAGAGGCTCATTAGAGACTACTAATAGCAACTAGATGCCAATAAATTGAAAAACCTAGAAGAAACGGATAAATTCCTAGACAATAAATATTCACAGACTAAATACAAACACAAAACACCTAAAGAAAATGTAAAGGCGACCTGTCCTCGATTTGTAACCTTGAGGAAATTACCTCTTTACAGCTCAGCCTCCTCATGGTGAGATAAAAATAATCAATGTGAGTAAAAAAGGTAATGCAGCTGAGTGCAGTGGCTGAAGCCGGTAATCCCAGCACCTTGGGAGGCCAAGGCGGGTGGATCACCTGAGGTCAGGAGTTCGAGACCAGCCTGTTCAACATGATGAAACCCTGTCTCTACTAAAAATACAAAAATTAGCCAGGTGTGGAATTACACCTGTAATTCCAGCTACTCAGGAGGCTGAGGCACAAGAATTGTTTGAACCAAGAAAGCGGAGGCTGCAGTAAGCCAAGATCGCACCACTGCACTCCAGCCTGGGCGGCAGAGTGAGAGTCTGTCTCTGTCTCAAAAAAAAAAAAAAAAAAAAGGTAATGCACGTAAACACTGATCATTCTTATCATTTTTTGTGTTAGTATCTATTTTGTGTCACACAGTAAAGGAGAGCAGTTTTAAATACATATCTCATTTAATCCTCACATAAACCTCATCAGGTAAGTTTTATGATAAATTTCTTTTAGATAGATGAGAAAAGAGAAGCTCAGAGATACTAGGTGAGTTTTCCAAGGTCACACAGTGAACAAGTAACAGAATTAAAATTCAAACCTGGCACTGTCAGGCCTCAAGTTCTATCCTCCTTCCTCTATATCCAACTATGAACCAAAAATGTCAAAGGAGGCTGGCGAAAGGGGACGGGCATCTCCTGGAGCAGCTGAGAAGTGTTACGAGGAGGTAGGATCTGGACTATGTTCTGAAGTGGTACAAGAATTCAGAGGAGGAGCAGAAGAAAGGTATTCTGGCCCAGAAAAGTGAAGGTACAGCAGTTCTTTTCCACAGGAGACTTACACCGTTGTGCCACAAATGAGAGAGGACAACAGCAACATCCCAGCACTCGCACCTGGATGAAACCTTCGATGCAGCCGGTCCAACCACTTGTTTTACAGAACAAGAACTACGGTCTACGGCGACAGAGTGACCTGCAGAAGGTTGTAAAAGCTGTAGGACTGTGCCTGGGTTGCTGCTTCCTTTCTAAACTGGATGCTTTTTTATTTTTGTTCATTTAACTCCTGGTTAAAAATTGAAGAATCAACACATGTTCACTACAGCCAGAGAAAATAAACCAGGATGAAGAAAAAGTCAACAGTGTCCCCACCGCTAGCCAGAAACAATGCTAAATACTTGCATATGTAACATGTTCAGAGTTACAGTAAATGACTGGCACATCAGAACAGTCTGAACCTGGGTGAACTGTGCTTGTGTTTGCATTTTTGTTTCCAAGTCGGTTTGCAATTCATTCATGTGTTCACTCATTCAGCCAGCAAGGACTGAGGACCTCCTATGTAACCAGCACAGCTCTAGGCACAAAGGATCCTGCAACAAACAGACATAAGGAAATGGACTTTTGTTCCTTTCCCACAAGGCTGAAAAAAAACACCCATTGGACTGTTAAAAACAACAGATGAAGGCAAGTAAATGCACCAGCTATGTCCTGGCCAAAGATCTCCAAGAGAATGGGTACACTTACCTCCACTGTGCCCCATACCTCACTAAATCAAGAGAAAAGAGACTTTTGGCCAGCATGGTGGCTTTAAGAGACCCTGTCTCTTTAAAAAATTTGTAAATTAGTATCCTAGGTATTTTGTATTGAGCTGTTAATATTTCCTAGAGCAGAACCTTCTAGTCTACCAGGGAGATCTAAAACGGAATTCCTGTGCCCAGGAGCCTATGGAGGAAGAGGGCAGGGTCTTGGCCTCTGTACTTAAACCTAACACCCTATCTTCCCTGGGCCTGGTTTCCTCAGTCCACAGACTAAGGACCTCCTGCTTTACCCCCTCCACAGAAAAAGCCCACTCCCGGTCTTGTGCTGAGGTGGAGGAGGGACACTTACCTGGCTAAGGGAAGCGGGGGCAGAGATCTGGGGAGTGGGACTGATTCTTAAGCAGACATTTAACCTGACCTCCTGTTTTCAGCCCCTCCTGGTGCTGCAGATTGCTAAGCCTTTTGGGGGTTCTGGGGTGCTCATAGGGTTGCTGATGCTTTAGGATTCAGCTTTCACAAGCCAATTAACATCTGTCCTTTTACCTACAGTCTCTAAGATTGTGTTGCTATCATCAACTCCTCTGGTCTCTTTAAAATTGTAGTTTTATGCCCTAAAAAGTCTTTTTTTTTTTTTTTTTGAGACAGAGTTTTGCTCTTGTTGCCCAGGCTGGAGTGCAGTGGTGCGATCTCGGCTGACTGCAACATCCGCCTCCCAGGTTCAAGCAATTCTCCTGCCTCAGCCTCCTGAGTAGCTGGGATTACAGGCGCCTGCCACGATGCCCGGCTAATTTTTTGTATTTTTAGTAGAGACGGGTTTCACTATGTTGCCCAGGCTGGTCTCAAACTCCTGACCTCAGGTGATCCACCCTCCTCGGCCTCCCAAAGTGCTGGGATTACAGGCATGAGCCACCATGCCTGGCACTAACTTACTAGGTTCCTAACAAAACAGGCCAACTAGGTCACCCTACACAAGGCCCAGAATCCACAAGCGACATACACACACAAGTTCCAATCACCTTTTAATGCCTCACTCAAAATGTAAAGACTTCCAAGGATCACTAGACTTCTGAAGAAAATGTTCACAGGAAAGACAGAAAATACACACACAAACACACACACACACACACACTCTCTCTCACACACACACACACACACACACACACACACAGACTATATGAAACAGTAAAGAATCCTTCCTCCTGGCCAGGAGCGGTGGCTCACACCTGTAATCCCAGCACTCTGGGAGGCCAAGGCGGGCGGATCACGAGGTCAGGAGATCGAGACCATCCTGGCTAACACGGTGAAACCCCCGTCTCTACTAAAAATGCAAAAAATTAGCCGGGCGTGGTGGCGAGTGCCTGTAGTCCCAGCTACTCGGGAGGCTGAGACAGGAGAATGGTGTAAACCCGAGAGGCGGAGCTTGCAGTGAGCGGAGATCGCGCCACTGCACTGCAGCCTGGGCAAGAGCGAGACTCTGTCTCAAAAAAAAAAAAGAATCCTTCCTCCCAAAATGAAACTATCATTAATATCCTTAGACAAATAAGATAATGATATTGTACCCATGAAACCAAAACCAAAAGGGTGCTATAAAAGACAAATACTTCGAAAACAAAATTTCTTGAAATTAAAAATCTGCTAACTAAAATAAAAACCCCGATAGAAGGCCGGAAGATAAAGTGGAAGAAATCTCCAGGAAAGGAAAGGAGGGGGATAGGAAAGAAAATAAAATTGTAAGACCAATCCAGGAGATTTAATATCTAAATTCTATGAGTTCCAAAAGAAAGGAGAAAACGGGGGAAGGAGACCATCAGTGAAGTAACTCAAGAAAATTTCCCTGAACTAAACAGTGGGTGTTTCAAGATCGAAAGGATCCACAGTGGATGAAAGTCGAGCCACACTAAATCACGTCATGTGTGACACAGCAGAACACTAGAGACAGAGAGACTTTTCCACGGGACACCAGAGACTCCAGAGAGAAAAGCCATGCTACCTTCAAAGGAATAAAACTGGAATGGCATTAGACTTCTTGAGAGTAACCCTGGAATTTAAAAGAAAATTAAGCAATGCTTTGCACAGGACGGGGGGCTGGAACCTAGCTGAGATCCTATACCAAGCCAAAATATCAAGGAAGTGTGAATGCAGAATGAATAGTTTTTTCAGATTTGCAAGACCAACAAATATTCACAGAGTACCTACTATGTGGTCCATTGCACTGTCCCTGTGATACATTTATCACAGCACATTGTAGCATCCGATGACTCACTGTCTACGCCACAGACTCTGGAGGAGAGACTGTGTCTTATTCCTTTCAATACCTTCAGCACAGGGGTGAGCACAGGTGCTATGGGGTTACACAAGAAAGGCACTCCACCCAGAGGGGAACGCTTAGTTAGTGGAGGGAGGTGACATCTAAACTGAGTACACAAGGAGTATCCAGAAATGTGAGGATCAGGTATGGAGGTTTTGGGGAGTTTCTTACTGGGTTTAGGAATAGAGTTGAAAGTATAAATAGCACGAGGTTGGTCCAGGGAGCAGGAATATGTGCAAAGGCTTGGGGGCCTGGACAGAGACAAGAGTCCCAGTTGACATTTGAAACTCAAGCCAGGAAAAAATGAATTCATGCCCAGGTAGCACTAGCGATATCACCAGGTATCTGGATTTGTTTTGATCACCTTTTCTGGAACAAGGTAATTTACAAATAAATAAAATACAGCCCATCTGAGCCTGAAGAATGAGGACACTGAAGCAAAAGGCTGTCTCTGGGCGTGACCTAAAGGTCCTTGCAGCAGCTTGGCAGTCCCACAGGGAAGAGGCCACCACGAAGCCAGTGCCCCAAACAGAAAGGGAAAGCCAGACCTAACAAGAGGCATGCATGGCCCCAGATGAAGGGCACAGGGATAGGGGGGCTGGACTGGGGGTCTGCTGTCCTTGGTCCCTCTCTCCTCACCCCAGCCTGTGAAACCCAGAGATTTAAGGCTCAGAAAGATCCCAGGCCCAAAGACTGGGAACGAAGGCCCTGAGTCAACCCATCAGGCAGCCAAACAGGCTGGGGATCTCATCTCAGCCTCCAGGCCACTCCCGCCCCCTGCAGTGCCGCCTGGCAGACCTCAGGTTTTCACGCAGATTTTCACTCGCTGGATTTCGAGGTCAGAAGAAACAGTCAAGGATGAGTAACAGTCTGGCCCCTCCACCACTCTAACTCAAATTTATGGAGGCAGCTTTCTAGATAGAGCCTCCCTCCCCCACTCCCCACGGAGGGGGCCGCCGGCGGCTCAAGTCTAATTGGATTTCCACAGCCCCGTGATGATTTCGTGCTCTGCGGTGGCAGCAGTGGTGGTGGTGGCGGCAAGGTTTCTGAAATAGAAACAAAGTCAGGGGCCTGTTTGCTTTGCTTCTGTGGCTGGAAACCCGCTGGGATCTGAGCAGCCAGGAGGGAGCCTTTCCTTCCCAAAATGGTCCTTTTCCACCCTACTGACCAATGCACCCTCCATCCCCAGGGCCCCAAGAGCTCTGCAGCCAAGGTCTTGGTTTTGCTGATGGTACATATTCAAGGTCGGTGAAGACAGTCAGCCTGAGCTTGAGAAGCCAGCTGCAGCCTGGCGCTATATAGCCAGGAAGCCTAGGGAGGGGCACCTCTTTTACTGTTTTGTTTTGTTTTGTTTTGTCGAGACAGGGTCTCACTCTGTTGCCCAGGCTGGAGTGCAGTGGCACCGTCACGGCTCACTGCAGACTCGAACTCCTGGGCTCAGGTGATCCCCCCACCTCAACCTCCCAAGCAGCTGTGACTACAGGCACATGCCACCCCGTGTGGCCAATTTTTTTATTTTTTGCAGAGACAGGGTTCTCATTATGTTGCTGAGGGTGAACTCAAATTTCTGGGCTCAAGTGATCCTTCTGTCTCAGCCTCCCCAAGCGCTGGGATTACAGGCGTGAGCCACCAGGCCCAGTCCCATCTTTCTTTTTAAGGACCTCCTCCACTTCCCACCACCAGTTTCTGCCTTTGTTAACTTTACATTTTACAGGCATAATGCCTCCCAGTCTGCAGATCTCAGAACACTCAACCACCTGTGTCTCCTGTGTCCTCAGTCTCTCCAAGCTCTCTCTATTATACAAGAGGGGTAAACTGAGGCACAGGATGTGGTAAGCTAAAAGCCATTATTGTGGGACTCCACCACTGTCAGAAACTCCCATGCCAAGTCAGCTGCCAGCTGTTGGTGCCCGTCTCTGACATGTGTCCCCCAAACACCTCCCTGTGGGCATAGGTGGGTATATGCACAGGCGAACTAACCAATCACGCACGTGTGTGTGAGAGCCACAGCATGGGCAGGCATGTGTGTGTGTGCGTGCGCGCACAAGAGCGAGTGTGCATGCTATGTGTAGGTGCACATGGGGTGAGGATGGAGTGGGTGAGGGGTAAGGGGGTATATGAGTGTGTGTGTGCAAGACTGAGTGTGCGCTGCACATACGAATGAGCACGTGAGGGTAAGGGAGGCGGTGATGAGTGTGGATGGGACCAAGCACACCTGAGAACATGAGTGCCCGTGACCATGTGTGCATGTGTGTGTGAGCGTGTGTGTGTGAACGTGTGTGAGCGTGTGTATGAAAGTGTGTGTGCGCGTGTGCGTGTGTGCGCATGTGTGCGTGAGTGTGTATGAGCGTGTGTGCGTGCGCGTGTGTGCGTGTGTGTGAGTGTGTGTGTGCACGCGCGTGCACACAAAGCAGGCCCTAGGCCCCCAGGGGCATGTACACTCCTTGAGACAGCTACTAGGTAGGGCAGGGACCCTCACCCCACCGGGATTCAGACACCAAAGCACATGGTTAACAGAAAAGGAAGCACCCCCAAATCCAGAAGCCCCTGTTTCCCGCTCAGCTCGCCTCTTCCCTCCCTGCCCCTCTCAAGGCAAGCTGCACAGAGGCCTAGGCTCCTGGGTTCCCTCCCTTGCTCCACCCCAGCCTTACTCTCTGACCCCAATTTTTCCAGCCTGTAGCTTTTTTTTTTTTTTTTAAGACAAGGAAAAATATCTTCCTTACTTCCTCAGGGAGCAATAAATATAAGGATTATGGAAGTGACGTTCTGAAAGTGATCTGAACTACTTAGAAGGAAAGGGATAGGTAAAATACGGGGCATGTTGGCCCAGACTTCACTCGGAAACAGAAGGAGCTTCCCTCCCCTGGGAGAGGACGGCACATCTGCCGCACTCCTCCATCTGCCTGCCTCGGGGCACTGAGCCCAAGTCGGCGGCAGAAAGCTCAGGCCTCTACACAGCAGGGCTTGTCTGAACACAAAGACACAGGGTCCTGTAGGCCCAGAGAGGCTGCTGTGCGCAGACGGGGCACAAATTCCACTCCCCAGGCAGCCTCCCCTCATCTGGAAACAATTTGCTTTTCCTCCTACCACACAAGTGAGTTAAAGCAGAGGGCCTGCCCTCACCCCTCTCCCAGGGTGACCAGCTGAACGCCTGAGAGCAGCCAAACAACAGGAACAGGGTCCCCCTGCCCATCACCCCCACACGCCTGTCCACTGTTGTCCTAAATGACCGGCCCTTTTGCTCTGGAAATATGGACAAGAGTCCAGGGCACAACCTTTGGAACCTGCCTGACCTAAGCTGACAGCTGGCTCCACCACCTTTTAGCTCTGTATCCTCGGACAAAATGTTTACTTTCTCTGAACTTCTTGCTAAGTAAATTGGAGTAAAGTTGCTGGGCGGATTAAATGAGGTGCCACAAAGAGTCTGCACCGAGCCAGGCACACGATAAGCACTTGGTAGCTAACAGTGATTAGAGGCCAGGCGCAGTGGCTCACGCCTGTAATCCCAGCACTTTGGGAGGCTGAGGCAGGAGGAATGCTTGAGCCCAGGAGTTCGAAACCAACCTGGGCAACATAGCAAGACCCCCATTTCTACAAAAAATGCAAAAATTAACCAGGCGTGGTGGTACATGCTTACAGTCCCAGCTACTCAGGAGGCTGAGGTGGGAGGATCTCTTGAACCCAGGAGGTTGAGGCTTCAGTGAGCCATGATCATGCCACCGGACTCCAGCCTGGGTGACAGAGTGAGACCCTACCTCAAAACAACAACAACAATTAAAAAAAAAAAACAGTTATTAGTACTGCTACTGTCACTTACCGATTTTCTACCGAGCAGCCACAGCAATCCTTTTGAAATGTATGCCAGCTCTCCCACTCCTTTGCTCAAAGCCCTCCATGGCTCCCATCTCTTCTGCCATAAGAGCTAAAGCCCCTAAGATGGCCTAGATAATCCAAATCCCATGACCTTCCCCTTGCTCACTCCCCTCCAGCTGTACCAGCCTTGAACAGGCCTCATGTGCTCCCACCTCCTACTCCCGCTGCCCCAGGAGGCACCACCCCAAGATGTTCACAGGTTCACTCCCTCCCTGTCTTCCAGTCTCTCCTGAAATGCCAGCTCCTCAGTAACGCCTTCACGGCTCCCTGACCCCGCCTCATCCTCCCGTCCCGCCCTGCTTTACTGTCCTCCATAGCATTTGCCACCTCCTGATATACACCAATTTTCATTGTCTGTCTCCTCCACCAACATATGAGCTCTTGAGGGCAGGGATTTTTCCTCACTCCTGCAGCCCCAGAGCCGGGAGCAGTGCTTGGCCAGAGGAGCCCTTCAAATATCTGTGGGATGAGGCTGAGGACACTTAGTGTGAACCAAGCAGAGGCTGGGACCAGAAACACAAGCCCTAAGCCCACTTTCCCACTCTCCAGGTGCTAGTCCTTTGAGGCTGGTGGCTGCCTCATCCCAGCCACTTCCCAAAGTCACAGCCAAGAGACAACAGGAGCAGTGTCTAGGAATACATGTTCGTGCATGGCATGGTGGGGAGCCCTACAGAGACAAAGACCCCAAAATGATTTCTCCCAGCAGCATCCCCCAGGCCAACTTGCAGTCCCAGTTTAGGGACCTTTGAGGTCCCCAGGTGGGCACGTCCAGTCCGATTCACCACTGAGTCCCTGGTTCCTAGAGCCTGCCTGCACACCAGAAGTGTTCAATGAGTGTTCAGCTAAAGCATAAGTGAGCAAATCCCATACAGATAAGCACGTGAGGAATGGAAAGATAACCAACATAAGAATCCTCAGTAAAATATTAGTTGACCTAAAACAGCATGCAGACAACAGCTACCGCGGACGAGGCTGACAAAAATAGTGAATATATTTTCATCATAGTCACATTGAGGGCAAGTGTGTTCTGAGGCAGGAACTGGTGACGGCAGCCAAGGGGAATAGAGAACAGGCTCAGGAAATCTCTTTTCAGTGAGTGCATTTTAAGAAGTAGGACAAAACTCTGCACATCACGACAGAATGTACTTGGTCAACGCTGACTGGGATTATATCATGTTTTTATTACTGTCTTGACATCCCCCAAGGGAGCCAGCTGGAAACTAGGAGGCAGAACATGTAGGTTTCTAGACAGGCTCTCCCACCTAACAGCAAGTGGCCTGGAGCACATGGCTTCACCTCGTGAGTTCATCTTCCTCATTCAAAAGATGGGCAGGTTGGGTGGAACACTGTCCTGGCCACCTGGACACTGGGATGTCCCTCTCTGGGGCTCACTCATTCAGTCCACAAATATGGGTTAAGTGACCTCTGTTCCAGATCCAATTTTGAAATATGCAACATGTTATTATTTACTGTAGTCACCATGCTGTGCAATAGCTCTCAAAAAAACATTCCTCCCTGGGGCCAGGCGCAGTGGCTCACGCCTGTAATCCCAGCACTTTGGAAGGCCGAGGCGGTCGGATCACGAGGTCAGGAGATCGAGACCATCCTGGCTAACATGGTGAAACCCCATCTCTACTAAAAATACAAAAAATTAGCCGGGCGTGGTGGCGGGCGCCTGTAGTCCCAGCTACTCAGGAGGCTGAGGCAGGAGAATGGCATGAACCTGGTGGGAGGCGGAGCTTGTAGTGAGCTGAGATCGCGCCACTGCACTCCAGCCTAGGTGACAGAGCAAGACTCTGTCTAAAAAAAAAAAAAAAAAATTCCTCCTTGGCCAGGGTAAGCAGCTTATACCTGTAACCCCAGCACTTTGGGAGCCAAGGCAAAAGGATCACTTCAGGCCAGGAGTTCGAGACCAGCCTGGGCAAAATAGCAAGACTCCGCCTCTACAAAAAAATTTTAAAAATGTTGGCAGGGCATGATGGCATGAGCTTGCAGTCCCAGCTACTTAGGAGGGTGAGGCAGAAGGATCGCTTGAACCCAGGAGTCAGAAGTTGCAGTGAGTCATGATCACACTACAGTAGTCCAGCCTGAGCAACAGAATGAGGTCCCAACTCAAAAAAAAAGAAAAAGAAAAAAAGGCAGGGGGAAAGAGCAGGTGCGTGCAAGATTCTCTCAAGAGTTCTGCCAGCACCACTACTAACTGAGCCTCTACAATGTGCAGCAAACCATCCTTGACCCAGTGGGGTGACACCTCCTCAGGAGCTTCCAGTCCGAGGAAAAGAAAGACCCTAGGGGAAGAGACATGAGACCCAGAGAAAGGAGCGGATGAACAGATCAAGGGTGACAGTATCCATTCAGAGCCATATTCCTGAGCAGTGGAATGGCTGCAGCAAGGCCGCCAGGCTTCGCTGGGAGCCTCCCAGCCACCAGGGAGCAGGGAAAACAACGGGCTAATCAGAGCCATCCTCTGTCTCAAAGGCACTGTGTCTCCAGACACAGGAGACAATGGGACAAGGTGCTGACAGAAGGGGCTGACCCAGATCAATGGGGTGCCAGTCAGGCCGAAGTCAGAAGGATGGAGATGAGCACAGACACCGCCCAGGGGTGGTAGCAGCCAGTCCGTGAGGCCCGAGAAGAATCCACTTTAGGCAGGAAACAAGGGGTGCTTGTTTCATAAAACAGTAGTAAGGAGCACATTCCAGGTGTGTTTTCTGGATGTGTGTGTAGGCTGGGGATGGGAGGCTGCCAGAGGATGAATCATGGGGCTCAGAGGAGGAGTAAGATCCAAAATTGTGTAGAGTGGCATCTAAGAGATATCTCATGCAACATCTTGGTTAACTTTACAACTCCAAACACAGCATCCCTAAGCAACAGACGTGGGTTTGGCTTAAATCCCAGCAGCAACAGGGAGCTCACTATCTTCAAGGTACCCATTTCTCTGCTGGATGGTTCAATTTTCAGAAAGTTCTTCCTGGACCTAGACCCAAATCTAATGGCCTAGAATCCTTCACCAAGAGTCCTAAGTTCAGTCCTCAATCCTACACATGTTGGAAAACTGTTATTATGCCCCCCTCCAATAGTACTCCATAAAAGACAATTTCCCAACAGAATGAACATTCCCAAATCCTTCATCCAATTCCTATGGAGTGTAGTTTCCGTTCTCCCAGTCACCCTCCTCCAGATGACTTCAGACTTGCCAATGCCCCAACCAGAATTAAGTAAACCCAATGCTACAGGTGTGATCTGAGCTCCTGGGAGCCCAAGCTCCACACCCGGGATGGTACTGTTCTTCTTAGTAACCATGAAGCATGGTTCACTTATATTGTCTTCCATTTATTCTCATTTACTTGTTCAATCAACAAACATTGGCCACCTAGCACTGAGCTAGGTACAAGGGATAATGAGAAAAACACCATATCATCTTTGTACTCAAAGACACAGCCAACTTAGAGAGATAACAACAAAGCTAGATAAATTAAGTAAGGGGAAAAGAACATGCTGCTTATGGGTTCTTGTAGGAGTGTTTCCTAGAGGCACCCACCCCAGTGCAGAAGGATGACACCAGGAAATGAGGTGATGCCTGGGGTGAGTCTTCAAATAATGCAGGACTCCCGGGGACAGCCCTGGTAAAGCCACAAGGTCTGGACTTACCGTCCCACCTAAAACAACTGAAAAATTGGACAGAACACACGAAACTACTTCAGACATCGGGCAACAGGCAACACAGGACTGCAATCCCTGACAGACGAATGGAACAAAACAGGCAAGTCCTCTGATTGTCCAGCTTACTTCCTGGAGGCAGCTTCCACGCAGCAGTTCAGACAACAGGAATCCAAATGGAGTCCAGAGGTCTCACCAAGTTGAGGAGACAGGAATTAGAGTTCATGCAGCTAAGATTCTTAGGGCAGAATACCAGAGAGGAGAGGAGAGCAGAGAGTGCGAAGAGACTTCGAGAAGAGTACCCAGACTCTCTGGCTGATCTGCACACCAGTGGGGTGAAATCCACAAGACTGAGAAAAGAACCACTGGAAAGCAACAGGCCCAACAATCTGTGGAGCACACACAGGGCCAGACAGAGTTCACATTCCCACCAGCAAGAGTGGACAGACCTTGGCCGGGCGCGGTGGCTCAAGCCTGTAATCCCAGCACTTTGGGAGGCCGAGGCGGGCGGATCACCATGAGGTCAGGAGATCGAGACCATCCCGGCTAACATGGTGAAACCCCGTCTCTACTAAAAATACAAAAAATTAGCCAGGCATGGTGGCAGGCACCTGTAGTCCCAGCAACTCGGGAGGCTGAGGCAGGAGAATGGCATGAACCCGGGAGGCAGAGCTTGCAGTGAGCTGAGATTGTGCCACTGCACTCCAGCCTGGGCGACAGAGCAAGACTCCGTCCCAAAAAAAAAAAAAAAAAAAGAGTGGACAGACCTCAAAAACACAGGGTATTCGGTAGAATCCTCTGAAGGGTGTTGCCTTAGCAGTGAGGCTAAGTGAGCCCTAGACTAAAGGCTGGTCTGGGTCTACCCCAACAAAGCTTAACAGCAAACCTCAAATGTATGAAACTGAGCCCAAGCAATTTAAATGAATGCCAGAATAAAGCCCAATACCACTCAAGGAAATATAACAAAACCCAATACCCATCAACATTAAATTTACAGGATCTGGCATCCAATTAAAAATCAGTAGACATTCAAAGAAGCAGAAAAATATGGAGGAGAAAAATCATAAACAGAAAAATCAGTCAACAGAACAAACCCAAAAATAACAGAGATGATGAAACTAGTAGATAAAGATGAAATAAACAAGTATTGTAAGTACGCTCCAAAGCTCAAGAATGCAGAGGAAAACATCAACATGATGAGACAAAGATACAACAAACACTCAAATGGAATGTCTAGAAATGGGAAATACAATGTCAGAAATGAAAAATACACCAGAGGGAATTATTGAACATGAGATTACCCACTGCAGAAGATCCGTGCGCTTGAAGACATAGCAATAGAAACTATTCAAAATGAAGCACAGAAGGAAAAAATACTGAAAAAATAACATCAGCAACCTACAGGACAATATCAAACAGTCAAATATCCATATAATTGGGGTACCAGAAAGAAAGGAGAGGGAAGTGGAGATGGAAAAATACTTAAACAACAGCTGAGCAAATTTTCAAATTTGCTAAAACAATGCAGTTAAGAGATAAAATAGGCCAGGCACCATGGCTCACACCTGTAAACCCAGCACTTTGGAGAGCCAAGGCAGGTGGATCACCTGAGGTCAGGAGTTCGAGACCAGCCTGGCCAACATGGTGAAACCCCATCTTTACTAAAAACACAAAAATTAGCCGGGCGTGGTGATGCACACCCATAGTCACATGGCTACTCAGGAGGTTGAGGAGCAAGAATCACTTGAACCCAGGAGGCTGCGGTTGCAGAGAGGCGGGATCACTCCACTGCACTCCAGGCTGGGCAACAGAGTGAGACTCCATCCCAAAAAAAAAAAAGAGAGAGAGAGAAAAAAAAAAACAATGCCATATCCGGGAAGCATTTCAAGCAAGGTAGATCACACTGAGAACAATGAAAAATGAAACCTCATGACTGGGAAAGGAAGAAAGAGCTACAAGTAATTTGGCATTACAGAAACAATACGGACAAAGTGACTCTAAGCAAAGAACGAGGCTGGATGGGAGCAGATGTCAGTCCCCAGCAGGCTCTGTGGGTCTCAGGCAGTCACTCAGCCCTCCCTTGCAGGCCAAGGATGAACCACCTTGTTCTAGACAGGTGCAACTGATTTTCTGAACCTAAAGGCAAATTTGGCAGTTTTCCTAACAGGAGGGTCCAGAGAACAGAAGCGAGGTCTGGGATCCGAGTGTAACACCTGAGCCCTCAGCCTGCCCCCTCTTCATGGGAACAACCCAGCTGAGATGGGTCCAAGGGTAGACCCAATTTGGAACAAAGACAGAGGCAATGAAAACATTCTACCCATCTTTAAGGCTCTTCTCCCTGCAACTCCTGGAATCAGGTAACTCTTAAGCCAGAAAGGACTTCAGGCATCATAAACCCCTCACTTGACAGATGGAAAAATCTGAGGCACCAAGAAATGACATGACTTGCCCCAGGCCAGCTGGGGGCCCTGACTCCTACTGGGCAGCTCTTCCCACTGACCCGCTCTGCCTGTCACATCCGGCTGCACTCTGCACTCTGCACTCTGGCCGACGTCCTGCATCGGTGCACATCTACACATGCGTGTCTCCACACGTCCACACTAGCTCCTCAGGGGCAAAGACAGACCCCGGCATCACTGAGCTCCTGAACTTCCACGGAGGAGGTGCTCACATGTCTCCCTCATGTGCACTGAGTGAAAGGGGCTTCTCTGCCTGACTCTGGGGAAGGGAGAAAGAGATGAAGACTCCCCAGTCATTTGAGATCAGAGCTGTCCCTAGCCTGATGTGGGAGAAGGATAGAGAAATTGAAAGAGACATTCAGAGAGGCAGAGAGGCTGATGCACCACCCCAGCCAATGGCTGTTACCAGGCAACTCCCCCAGAGGCATGGATTGCGGGGGGAGCCATTCCTCTGGGCTCTAAGTCCTGCTACCTTATCAGATTGGCCCTGGGCCAGCACTGTACTTGCCACCCCTCCTCCAGGAAGTCACAGAAGAGGAAGAGGAAATCGTCTTGAACTTTCCCTCTCTTCCCCTGCCCCCTCCCTGCCATAGTCCCTTCCCTCAGCCCCATTCCTCCTTGTGGGTTCCGGGGTGAGCACCTCCTCCCAGAGGTAAAGAATGAGCAAATTCTTGGGCTGCTCCTGGAGCCTCGCTTTTTAACATCCTTCCATTCTGCTCAATTCTCAGAAGCCAGTGGCTGGGAATGCCAGAGAGATCTGAGCTCAGCCCACCAAACCCAAAATAGCCACACACGTGCCTCTCTCAAGTCCTCATGGATTTGGCCATTTTGGGCGCATGTTTTCCTCCAAAGCTGCCCACAGACTCTGCTGGGAGCTCTGAGGTGACCCTGGGTCGAGCTGACGAAGACGGAAGCAGGCATGGGAGGGGGAGAGAAACGACAGAATCTGGGTCACAATCCAGAAAGCCTGGCTCCAGCCTCCTCTGCTCAACTGCCCAGACACCCAAGGAAAGCCAGCCTCAGTATCCTCAGCATGAAATTCTGAGCAATGGCCTCCTCTTCCCTCAACGTCCTCGCCACCTCTTTTGGGAAAGGCAGCATAACTCCCCTCCCAGAGCCATAGACACTTTAACAAGGAGCTCCTGACTTAAGAAAGATCCTCTGTAATCCCAGCACTTTGGGAGGCCAAGGCAGGCAGATCACGAGGTGAGAAGATCGAGACCATCCTGGCTAACATGGTGAAACCCCGTCTCTACTAAAAATACAAAAAAACAAAATTAGCCGGGCGTGGTGGCGGGCACCTGTAGTCCCAGCTACTCGGGAGGCTGAGGCAGGAGAATGGCGTGAACCCGGGAGGCGGAGCTTGCAGTGAGCCGAGATCATGCCATTGCACTCCGGGCGACAGAGCGAGATTCCGTCTCAAAATAAAAAAAAAAAGAAAGAAAGAAAGATCCTCACTGCCTCTCCTGAAATGTTTGAAACCCCTGCAATATGAAGATGGGTGGTTTTAAAGCAAGCAAGTGTCTAAGTGTCCTGGGGAAATGGATGAGATTAGGGCCACATCTCTTAGATCACAAGTGCAATATTCATTCATTCATTCATTCAAAAAATATTTCTGTGTCCACCAGGTGCCAGGCAATGAGAAAACAGGGAAAGCACCAGTGAATGGAAAACCAAGGCCTCTGCTCTTCAGAAGGAATAAAGAGACAATGCACAAGAGATACTTAGGAGAGATGTTAGAAATGTCCCTGCCTCTAAGAATGCCAGTGAGGCCGCAGAAGTCCCATGCCAGTAAGTCAGTTCTCTAGCAGGCAGTGCAGACCCTGGAGTCGTGGGGAATCGGGAGGTAGAGGTGGCTGCAAGGTCTCAGAAACACCAGGGTGCACAGACCAGTCCCTACAGCACTGGGTTTAGGATGTGGCAGTATCTATGTTTTAGTTCCTGACTTGAATCAAGACTGTATTAAAGATTATTGATTTTGAACATTTAAAACTACACAAGCGGCAGCCGCCGCCGCCCGACCGCCGGGAGGATGGAGTTCAGCGGGCAGCGGAGCTGTCTCAGTCTTTGCCGCCGCGCCGGGAGCGCCGCCCGGGAGGCAGCGGCTGGAGGAGCGGACAGGCCCCGCGGGGCCCGAGGGCAAGGAGCAGCCGCCTGCCTTGGCCTCCCAAAGTGCCGAGATTGCAGCCTCTGCCCGGCCGCCACCCCGTCTGGGAAGTGAGGAGTGTCTCTGCCTGGCCGCCCATCGTCTGGGATGTGAGGAGCCCCTCTGCCTGGCTGCCCAGTCTGGAAAGTGAGGAGCGTCTCCGCCCGGCCGCCATCCCATCTAGGAAGTGAGGAGCGCCTCTTCCCAGCCGCCATCACATCTAGGAAGTGAGGAGCGTCTCTGCCCGGCCGCCCATCGTCTGAGATGTGGGGAGCGCCTCTGCCCCGCCGCCCCATCTGGGAAGTGAGGAGCCCCTCTGCCTGGCCAGCCGCCCCGTCCGGGAGGGAGGTGGGGGGGGTCAGCCCTCCGCCCGGCCAGCCGCCCCGTCTGGGAGGTGAGGGGCGCCTCTGCCCGGCCGCCCCTACTGGGAAGTGAGGAGCCCCTCTGCCCGGCCAGCCGCCCCGTCCGGGAGGGAGGTGGGGGGGGGTCAGTCCCCCGCCCGGCCAGCCGCCCCGTCCGGGAGGTGAGGGGCGCCTCTGCCCGGCCGCCCCTACTGGGAAGTGAGGAGCCCCTCTGCCCGGCCACCACCCCGTCTGGGAGGTGTACCCAACAGCTCATTGAGAACGGGCCAGGATGACAATGGCGGTTTTGTGGAATAGAAAGGCGGGAAAGGTGGGGAAAAGATTGAGAAATCGGATGGTTGCCGTGTCTGTGTAGAAAGAAGTAGACATGGGAGACTTTTCATTTTGTTCTGCACTAAGAAAAATTCCTCTGCCTTGGGATCCTGTTGATCTGTGACCTTACCCCCAACCCTGTGCTCTCTGAAACATGTACTGTGTCCACTCAGGGTTGAATGGATTAAGGGCGGTGCAAGATGTGCTTTGTTAAACAGATGCTTGAAGGCAGCATGCTCGTTAAGAGTCATCACCAATCCCTAATCTCAAGTAATCAGGGACACAAACACTGCGGAAGGCCGCAGGGTCCTCTGCCTAGGAAAACCAGAGACCTTTGTTCACTTGTTTATCTGCTGACCTTCCCTCCACTATTGTCCCATGACCCTGCCAAATCCCCCTCTGTGAGAAACACCCAAGAATTATCAATAAAAAAATAAATTTAAAAACAAAAAAAAAAAAAAAAAAAAAAGATTATTGATTTTTGCCGGGCGTGTTGGCTCACGCCTGTAATCGCAGTACTTTGGGAGGCTGAGGCTGGAGGATCACCTGAGGTCAGGAGTTCGAGACCAGCCTGACCAACATGGAGAAACCTCATCTCTGCTAAAAATACAAAATTAGCCAGGAGTAGTGGCAGCCACCTGTAATCCCAGCTACTCGGGAGGCTGAGGCAGGAGAATCGCTTGAACCCAGGAGCGGAGGTTGTGGTGAGCCGAGACTGCACCACTGCACTGCAGCCTGGACAACAAGAGCAAAACTCCGTCTCAAAAAAAAAAAAAAACAACAACAACAACAACAAGATAATTGATTTAAAACAACCACCCAAAAAAACAGATATTCCCTTAGGTGTTTCTTTAAAGCCACGCCATCATCCTATGAATGCCTATGAGGACTGCTTGGCAATAATTTTCTTGGAGAGGCATGGGGAGGTCCCTGGAGTCTTCTGCTCTGCTGCAGTTTCCACAGAAAGAAAAGGTTTGGGAATTTCTCTAATAGAGGCAATGTTGGGAAGGTGCGCAAAGAAAGCAGGAATCTAGGGGTGGCTTGACCCTACCTCTTAGATTTCATCTCCAAAAGGCCATGCTGATCTCCTGCCACGGCTAGAAACAGGAAGCCTCTCCAAGAGGCTGTGGCATTTTAAGAGAAGACTCCTGGGCTGGGCGTGGTGGCTCACTCATGCCTATAATCCCAACACTTTGGGAGGCAGAAGCAAAAGAACCCCTTAAGGCCAGGAGTTCAAGACCAGCCTGGGCAACATAGTGCGACCCCATCTCTACAAATAAATAATAATTAGTCAATCATGGTGTTGCACATCTGTGGTCCCAACTACTCAGGAGGCTGAGGCAGGAGGATTGCTTGAGCCCAGGAGTTGGAGGCTGCAGTGAGCTATTATTGCGCTACTGCACTTCAGCGTGCATGACAGAGCGAGACCCTGTCTTTAAAAATAAATAAATAAGTACAAATTAACAATAAAACAAAGCAAATCAAGAGAAGACTCCTGAAAACCAAAGAGCCTCCAAAAGAACAAACATCTAACGGCAGGGGTTCCACCAGCTGGCCAAGCTAGTGAAGAGGCATTTTAAGGTAGGATGGGGTCTTTCCCTCAATCCCTCAAACTGTGATTGGCCTAGTTGAGTTTCTTTCCATAGCTGTAACTCACTATCCCCTTCCTATCTCCCATCAACAAATATCTGTTAAGGCCTACTCTGTGTCAGGCACTCTTCTAATGGGGGATCCATTCGATCTGCCCTCTGTTCCCTGCAACAGAAACTTGTGGCTGGTTGGAGGTGGCATGAGGTAGTCCGCAGCCCCCATCCACGTTCTGTAGCAGAATCAGGAACTGCAGCTGATGCCCTCCCCACAGACCTGAGGACACTCGGAGACTCACCAGCTTTTATGGGTGAGCTGGAGACCAGACCCTACCTCTCCACTTTTCTTCCTGTGGTCAAATTCACCTTCTCCCTTGCCCCAGAATCAGGATGGGGGGCTCACACTCAAGATCCCTACTGCCCCCCACGCCTGGCCCCCAAAGACAGGGTCAAGTCCATCTACTTCGGCTGATGGGCACAGCACAACCAAAGCCAGCTGGAAGGTGGGCCCAGGAAACCAGACTGCCATCCCATCTCCCAGAACTGGGGGCAATTCTGTGGCTTCCCTTCTTGGCCTAAGTGTGTCCCACAATTCGTGTCAGCATCCCAAAGGCCAGCGGCCCCAAAAGCTTTCCCAGAGAAGACAATGTGTATGATTCAGGACAACGCCAGGACTCTGAATGCTTTCCGTGTTCCAGGTTCAATCTGAACATCAGAACGTGAGCTCCTCGCAGGAAGAGGCCCAGCCTGCAGTGTCCAGGCCAAGAGCAGGCTGGAAGCACTCGCCAGCTCCCCCAGCCCTGGGCGTGGTGGCAGGGAGGCCTGCCTACTCATTTCTAACCTCCCTCTCAGCCAGTTGACTGCGGCCTCTCTGGGAAAGCCACACACTGGTTCCAAAGATGTTGCTACTGTGCTCCTGAAGAACAATCCTCAGCGCCCAGGGAGTCCACTGAGCATCCTCAGGGAAGGACCATCCTTGTCCTTACGGGGACATCCAATGTGCCAAACAACTGAGACCCATTTGGATAAGCAGTGGGTAAGGTGGATGATGAAAGTGGGTAGCGTCATTTTTTATGTCAAATTAGGTGTGTCCATACAGCAGTGAGAGCTCCCTGCTGAGTCAAGGCAGGCATCTCCTCTCAGGGGGCTCTGGCTGTATCTGTAGCAATCTTATCCCTTCCTACTTGTCTTGCTGCCTTCAGAGCCCACTCCTGGGTGTTATAGGTGCTGCAGGACTGGGCCCTCGGGAACTATGAGGGAACTGGGTAAAACAGAAATAGACATTTGTAGCCATGAGCAGAAAGAGCTGGGGACTGACCTAACTTTACACTTGGCTAAAGCTCTCTTATCACACGGAGCACCTGGGCCAAAAGATGCCTCAGACCCTTGAGGAATCAAAGCACACAGTAACGACTTACTGATTCACTGACAGTATGACTTGAATCCATCCTCACAGCCATGGAGAACAAGTAACGGAGGGGTGGAGTGGGGACCTGAGCAGAGAACTAAGGAGTCAGGGAGGGCCTGGCAGGTCTCCGCTTCTGGGGAATTTACCTGCTACAGGCCTCAAGCTAGCGAGCCCTCAGTTGGAGCAGGCTGAGGAGCTCTATCCAGTTTTTTCCAATTCTATGGCCAAAAGCAGTTGCTGAGGTTTCTTTTCTTGTCCGTGATGCCAGATTTCTCAAAGGTTTGCACAGTCAGCATTGCATGTTTTTGTCAACACTGAGCACTGATTAATATAAAACCTGTGAGCTGATCAGCTCATTAACCCTGCAACAGGAGCACAATGCTGGCACCCCCAAGTCACCCAGAGGCACTGGGAGCTCCCAAGGGTGCTGCAGTGCTAGGCCATACTCCCTCCTCCAACACAGTCTTCAGCAACTCCTCTCCCACAGCACAGTTGAAGAGGCCAGGCCAGAGGCGGAGTTGTGGAGGTGCAGAATGCTTTCACAGTGAACCTTTTTCAGCTACAAAACATTTCTTTACTAAAAGCTGCTGAGGGGGAGCAGGGAGACAATAAAACACCAAGGGGATTTCAAACGCGTTAAGCCCACTCTGCCTTTGTTCTTATTTGATGAATGCAAAAACCACCCAGCAGTTGACAGGCAAAAGAACACTGCTGCACGAGAAAGTGCATTTCATCAGGTCCAGCCTCGGATCTCCAGGGAGAGGTAAGTTTGATGAATGATTGGTGCTGGGGAGAACTCTTCCACCAGCAGCTCCACTGTAGCATCCTCTAAGCTGGGGTTTGGGGATGCATTAATGACCCATCACTGGCTCTTCCCCTGCCTCCTCCTGCCTCCCTGCCATTGGTGACATTTCACAGGAAGGGAACAGCCACTAAGGCAGGTGATGAGAAAACTAAATATAAAAACGAACACCTTGCGGGAAGTCACGGTGTCGAGTCCATTGTGAGTTGCTTGAGAAGGAAAAGTGAAGTCTGTGAATCACATAGGCCTGGGCCCTCTTATTTCATATCCGAGGTTATGAGCGGATGCGGAGGAAGCCTGGAGCGTAGTGGTTGGCAAATGAATGAATAAAATCCCAGCAGACGCCTGGGCCTGGAAGGCCGGACTAGCTTTGTTAAAGACCTGTCGCTCACTGACACATTTTTCAGAGATGCCATGAAAATCAGCAGGGAGTACCAAGAAGACAAGCTCTTGGCAGCTTGCAGAGGGCAGGAAGGTTTGACTTCTACAGCTCTCAGAGCCATAGGGCAGGAGACACTGTCTACTACAAAGTCCAAGCCTCTGCCAGCGCTAGCCGCGTGCACACACACAACACACTGACTCCACTTCAAAGGACACCCAACATGAAGATCGAGTGTTTGCCAGTTTCCCTGGATGACCCATCTGGGGATGAACAGTGATCTGGGAGGAGAAGGGGTCTGCACTATCTTCCAAAGATCGGTGGGGTCTATTCCTCATTATCTCTGCGGTCTATTCCTCATTATTCCTCATTACCTGTGGGGTCTATTCCTCATGCTTCTGGGCACAGGGAGGGATCGCACGTCCGCGTCCTCCCCACCTGGAACACACATACCCTCCTTGTGCCGTGGCCAGCCTTCCCACCAAGAGGTGGAGTCTGCCCGCCCCTGGAGTTCTGCTGGTCCCATGACTTGCTGTTACCAGCAATCAACAGACAATGCGTGTGTGAGGCTTCAGGGCCTAGATATTAAGAGGTCTTGTAGACTGTTTTCACCTGAAAGGCTAGTTTCCTTGACAGTGAGAAACCACGTAGCAGGGGAGCCCAGCTGACAGCCAGCACCAACCACCGGATATATGATGAAGCTTCCTTGAGCTGTCCAGGGCCTGCAGAGCTACCAGCTGACTGCTACCGCATTAATAAGCCCAGGCAAGACTGCAGAGACCAGCCCAAAAGGCTAACCCGTAGAACTGGAAGCAAAGAAAATGGTGTTTGTGTTAATCCACTATATTTTGGGGTGGTCTATGCAGCATAGACCTCAGTGATGAATGGAACAAAATCCATTCAGCAAGTCTGCGCCAACTACGGAAAAGAATAAGGTTGTTCTGAATGTACTGATGTGAAAAGATGCCTAAAGAACGGGCAAAACAGTAAGTTGAATTCAATTCTATTTATGGAAATTGAGAAGATAAATAGGTGGACGGCTGGATGCTAGTCTATCCAGAAATATCTGGAAATAATACAAACCAAAGTATTAACAGTGATTATCTCTGATGGGTAGGATTAGGGGAGATTTTCCTCTTCTATAATTTATGTAATGTTTGGATATTATAATGAGTTTTTATTATTTTGCAACAAAAAAAAGGATGCTTTTATTTTATTTATTTATTTATTTATTTTGAGACAGGATCTCACTCTGTTGCCCAGGCTGGAGTACAGCGGCGTGATCACAGCTCACTGTAGCCTCAAACTCCTGGGATCAGGCAACCCTCCCACCTCAGCCTCCCGAGTGGCTGGGACTACAGGTATGCATGCCTGGCTACGTTTTTTAATTTTTTGTAGAGTCAGGATCTTGCTATGTTGCCCAGGCTGGTCTCAAACTCCTGAGCTCAACTGATCCTCCCACCTCGGCCCCCCAGAGTGCTGGGAGTACAGGCATAAGCTACCACACCCAGCCAAAAGGATGCTTTTTAAAAAAAAATTCACCTTGAGACCAGGCGCAGTGGCTCACACCTGTAATCCCAGCACTTTGGGAGGCCAAGGAGGGCGGATCACGAGGTCAGGAGATCGAGACCACCCTGGCCAACACGGTAAAACCCCGTCTCTACTAAAAATACAAAAATTAGCCAGGCGTGGTGGCACATGCCTGTAATCCCAGCTACTCGGGAGGCTGAGGCAGGAGAATCGCTTGAACTAGGGAGTGGGAGGTTGCAGTGAGCCAAGATCACGCCACTGCACTCCAGCCTGGGGGACAGAACAAGACTTGTCTCAAAAAAAAAAAAAAAATTCACCTTGAATTCTGCTACAATCTAATTTTTCCTATAATGTCCCTTTTCTTTTTTTTTTTCTTTTTTGAGATGGAGTCTCGCTCTGTCACCCAGGCTGGAGTGCAGTGGCGCGATCTCAGCTCACTGCAAGCTCCACCTCCCAGGTTCATGCCATTCTCCTGCCTCAGCCTCCCGAGTGGCTGGGACTACAGGCGCCCGCCACCACGCCCGGCTAATTTTTTGCATTTTTAGTACAGATGGGGTTTCACCGTGTTAGCCAGGATGATCTCGATCTCCTGACCTCGTGATCCGCCTGCATCGGCCTCCCAAAGTGCTGGGATTACAGGCGTGAGCCATCACACCCAGCCTATAGTGTCCCTTTTCATCCTGTCATTCCACTGTTCAAAGACCAACACTGGCTCCCACCACCAGCCTCCCGCGCCTGAGCTGCTCCAAGCAGTATGTCAGGTGCCCCAGACAGAACAGCTCACCCTCTCCTGCAGGCCACACCTGTCCCCACCCCAACCAAGCTCCCAGCCAGCATTACAACCCCTCAGAGACCCTTCTCTTCCCTCCCTAAATCCCAGCCCTCCCTCAAGGCCCAGCCTGATCCCCTCTGAGTTTCTCAAATGGATGCCAAGAAAAAGTTCCACCAACCCTGCCCTGAATTGCATGGTCTCCAGTGTTCTCCCTGCACTGCGGGCACGAACTGCTCCGTCCAGGAGACCTTCACAGACCACCAGCTCCAGCTTCTCTGGCCAACAGTGGGGGCAGGCTGAGCCAAGACAGGTTGTTCCAGCCCCCTCCCCTCTCTGCCGGCCACAGCCTGGATGATGGGTGACAGCCAGGCCTGGAGCTTCCCCCCCAGCCCCACCCATCCCCAGCAGCAAGTCAGTGGAAGCCAATTTGAAATGGCTGCTAATTTGGAGTGACTCACACCATGGGTGATGCTGTAAGCGCCTCCAGGTCCCACATGCTGCAGACAGCACTCAAAATGGTCGAACAAATCCAAACTCTGGCTTCAAACCTAATTGTTTTCCTGGGGGACCCAATGGCTCTTCCTCACTCAGGTCTTTGCAATCTGCATGTCCAGTTTTTAAACAAAGCTGTTTAGAATCTCCCAGGATTAAGACAAGTGGAAAATTGCAAGCCCAGACCTCTACCTCATTTTCTCTAAAACAAAACATGTCATCCTGCATGTTCACACACCCGGAAAGACACAGTTCATTCAAACTCAGCTGGGCACCCTGCCCCTCTGAGCCCTCCTGTAGAGCCTGGCCCTGAGACGGGGCTGGGGACTTGCTGAGGCAGGATCTTCTCCTACTGTCCCTGGCACTGCCACCCTCAGGGCTTGTCGGAGAGCTTTGGGCCCCTAAGCCTCAGTCTCCACACTGGCAGGTGGCCAGGGGAGAGGCCGTCAGCAGGGTTCCCAGGTACCGTGTCCAGGTTTTACCCTGCCATCTAAGGGGAAGGCACTCACATCACAGGTATATACTGACATTTTTTTTTTTCCAAGATGGAGTCTTGGCTCTGTTGCCCAGGCTGGAGTGCAGTGGCCAATATTGGCTCACTGCAACCTCCGCCTCCCAGATTCAAGCAATTCTCCTGCCTCAGCCTCCCGAGTATCTGGTATTACAGGTGCGCACCACCAAGCCCGGCTAATTTTTGTATTTTTAGTAGAGATGGGGTTTCACCATGTTGGCCAAGCTGATCTCGAACTCTCGACCTCATGATTTGCCTGCCTTGGCTTTCCAAAGCGCTGGCATTACAGGTGTGAGTCACCATGCCCGGACCCTTTTCTTCTTGAGACAGGGTCTCACTCTGTCACCCAGCCCGGAGTGCAGTGGTACGATCATGGCTCACTACAGCCTCAACTTTCTGGGCTTAAGCAATCCTCCTGCCTCAGCCTCCTGAGTAGCTGGGACTACAGGCACACACTGATTACCACACCTGACTAATTTTTTTTTCTATTCTTATTAGAGACGAGGTCTCACTATGTTGTCCAGGCTGGTCTCAAGCAATGCTCCCGCCTTGGCCTCCGAAAGTGCTGGGCCTACAGATGACAGCCACTGTGTCTGGCCTATACTGATCTATTGAGAGTGCACACGTGGGCCCCTCCACTGAGTGCCAAAACAATGCAGAGTGCCCTCCCACACAAACCCATGCAAGCACACCCAACACACATGTAAGGCAAGTGTGCACATAGTCACTAACACCCACACATGTGCATGGCTGCACCCTGTTTCAATCTTGCTCTGAGAATCCCTCCCACCCCAGCTCACTTCCCTCACCTGTTCACTGTCCTCAGAGGCCCTCTCCCTGACTCTGAACCTGACACATTCCCCACATTGCAAGGGGAGGGACCAGACTGTGTGTGTTTCCAGCAACATGTGCACCCCATGATTGGAGGCGGCGTGCCTCCAAGTGTGCGCACAGCCAGGGTCACTGCCCACGAGGGCTCAAGGGGGTTGCCTCAGACACAGTTGGACCTTGTTCCAGCTGTACAATAATATATTCACTTTAATTTTTGCTTGTAACCTGAAGAAGGGCCATTTTTCAAATTTCGCACAAACGTGCTGTGAGAGTTAGCAGCAATCCTAAGCTACTAAGGCCAAGGCCAAGGCCTCACCAAGATCCTGTACCCCAAAGGCCACAAGACCCTCCAGCCTTCCTGCAATAACAGCAAAGCCTCTCCAGCAGGTGGGAGGATTTCAGGGGGCACTTACTGAGCTTCCTGACTCTTCGGACCCCCTGGACTGCTCTCTACCAGATCTTTTCCTGTTCCTAACACAAGATCAGATGTTCTAAAAATGATGACCATTGAGAGTAGAAATGGTCACAAGACTCTCAGAAAGTGAGTGAATATTCAAAGTATCATCAATTTCCAGCCATCCACTGTGAGGGAGCCTGAGAGAAAACAGAGGGCGGAAGGGGTGTGGTAAATCAAAGCACAGATAATACTAAACAATAGGCCAAAAAAAAAAAAAAATCTACATTTGGCTCCAAAGTATCGGGTTGAAATGCAGATAGGATCGTGCTCCCAACTCCAGATGCCAGCAAAGGGGTTCTTCTATCTCCTTCCCATTCTGAAGAGCACCCTCCTGGTTCAGGCTAAAATTCTGGTTACACTTTTGGTTTGAGAGCAAGGAGAGAGTTTGGAAGCTAACCTGCTCCAGGCAGATATTCTCATTTCGTTATGCTGTGGCTATGATTGAAGTTGAAATGATTAACATGCAGGGCTGGAGTCCAGCAATGGAGGCTTACTCCTCACTGCCTCAGGCACGGGCACGAAGAAGAGAGTTTAAACCAAATCAACAGCAGAGCCGTCTACACAGGACAGAAGTCAGGCAGTAGGACCCCGCCACTCGCCACTCACGGGGCAGGGGACCATCTCCGCAAACAACTTCCACCCCCAGTCCGCTCCTATCAGAAGTCAGCATCTCCAGTTTACTCATTAACTTCACTCTTTCCTCCTCCATCCACCTCCAGGTCAGAGGCCGGGAAGGCACTAGTCAGAGGCAGAAGGCAGGCCCAGGACTGGAAGCCAAAACCCAGGCATACCAACTCATCCCACCTCAGAAACCACCTCCAGCAGAGCCAGAAAGAACCTTGGCAGTGGGTCACCCAACCTGCCGCTTTGTAGGTGAGGAAAATGGCCTGAAGAAGCCAATCGACTTGCCCAAGTTCGCACAGCAGTTACAGGTAGGAGCAGGAGCCAGGACAAGAACCTCCCACCCCAGAGCTGGTCAACATCCCAGAGCATGGCTCCAGAGCATGACGAGAAATGCAAAACCAAAGCCCCCTGGAGCCACAGCCATCAGAGAGGATCAACGTCCTGTCTGCTGAGGCCTCCACTCACATCTCCCTCACTTGGGTTTCAACGCAGATGCACAGAGGAAAGACGGTCATCTAGATAGACACGGCTGGTGACGTCAGGGGCTATCTGTGTCTCCCCAAGGCCATACAGGCCTCCTGGGGAGCCCTTCACCAAGTTCTGTCTGGCAGGGCCCACCAGGAACAGGCCCCACGGGATGTGGGGGACATGCCGCACAGCAGGACGGTCATTCCCTTGTCCTTAAGTCCTTCCCTCTCTGCCGCCCGGTCTTTTTTTTTTTTTAATAGGGACAAAGTTTCACTATATTGCCCAGTCTAGTCTTGAACTCCTGCCTCAGCCTCCCAAAGCACAGGGATTCCAGGCGTGAGCCACTGCACCTGGACGGTTACTGCCTGATCTTCACCAGACTGATTTTCCTCCACCCAAGCCCATGTGCCTAGCGGCACTGCACCATCCAGTGATACGCGGTGCCTCAAATCCCAGAGCTGCAAGAATGAAAGCAGACACCCATCCGGGCCCCAGGGAGGCGGGAGGAGGACTTAAAATGGGAGCTCAGGCATTCCTGCCACAAGCAGGCTCAGGGAGGGACCTGGAGCGGATTCCCAGAGTCAGTTAAGAACAGCCGCAGGTCTGCATTAGAAAAGGCAGGCGCTGCAGGGTCATAGCATCTGGGCTGGAGCCCCTGCTCCGGCTAACACTATGTGGGCCTTACCTGCTGCCGCTGGTAAAGGAGGAGGACATGACAGCTACCCCACGGGGCCTTTGTGAAAGTTAAATGAGATTTAAATTATAACTTCATCTGATTAAGTTAAATTGGTTGTGGACATTTGTAAAGGGTCTAAAACTGAGTCTGATCATGATGACAAATATGAATACTGGCATCCTAAGTATAACGTGCAAGGCATGGCAGGACAATAAGAGGTTCCTGGCCACTCTTGGGACACCAAATAATCCCTGCTGGAACTCACAGACAAGAGAATCTTTGGCAAGATGAGCCACCAGCCAGCACCATTCCACCCCCTCTCCCTGCTCCACCGACTACACCATTGGGTTCAGGGAAGGTAAGATTTTACAAATCACCCAGCAGGGAGAAGCCGCAGGAGAAAACACACATAAATTAAACATAAAAAGGCCCAGGTCAGTAAACAGCACCCCAAGGGAACCTGAATCAGCACCGTCCACCCCCACTGTCTGGCTGCCTGGTCTGTAGTCTGGCACAGCGGAGGCCTCGATGCACAAGTGCTAGGAACAATGAACAAACCATCAGCAAGACCCCCAGGAGCCTGGAGGATCAGGGAAGAGGGCCCCGTAGGGGTCCTGGTGGAGGGCGGTGGGCAGAGCAAAATGGAGACACTAAGGACTGGCCAGGACTCCTGCATCTTCTCTTCTGGCCTGTTGTGGGAGGCCCCTCCACCCTGGCTCCCAAGCCTGCTGGGAGGAGACAGGAAGCAGGAAGTTACAGGCCTCTCCCTAGGCTTCCTCCACACAAATGGGGTGGCCAAGAAAGAATCTAAGAGTACCATCAGCCACCAATCAGAAACAGTGGGGAGGAGATCATTCTTGCCTGGCCCCCAAAGCCCAATTTAAGGAGCTTAGAAAATCAAAGCCAGGAGTCAGGGCACGACAACTAGAAAATGTCAGCATCCTCTTCTATCCTGCCCAACCCACAGTTAAAGGGCAAGAAAGACCTTGACTTCAGACAGAGGTTATAACACACAGACGTTCAGAGGCCCTACCCCACAATGGACCCGGACCAACACTGACCTGTTCTCTCTGAACTTCCTGGAAACACCTTGGCTGCTGACAAACAAAAGAAGGTTCCAGGATATTCCTGCAGGAAGGCAAAAAATTAGGTCATCACTTTGGTAAGAAGCCACTCCAGGGTGAATTCTGTCCATCAAGGACCACTCTTTGGGGCAGCAGTCCCCTACCAAGAAACTGCTCACTCAACAAATGGAGAAAGCCAGAAATGGCAAACAGGAAGGCAGTGTGCTAATGCCACTCAGTTGGCGGTGGGTACCCAAGGCATTATGAGCAGAACCCAAGCCCTGGCCCAGCAGAAAAGACAGCTGCGATTGATTAGTGATGTCTGCCACGGGCAGTTACAGAAGTAACAGAATCCTCACCATGTATTTGTCATCCCTGGGGTAGACCTTTGTCATCCAAGGATTTAATATTACAATTTTGGCCACTCACAAGTGACCCAAAGTTTCAAGATATGTAAAAGTGTGTAAACTCACTGAGATGTGTTTGCATCGCGTACGCTATGAGGTCAATATAAAGGAAAGGGCCACCTTGTTGTTTTCATCTCTACCACATTCAAAGTTACTCTTATGGAGCAATAAAAACTTGGTGGAAAATGGCCATCAAGTGAGAAATAAAACTGCAGCAGAAACTGAAAGGGCAGTTAACTTGGGGTGTGAGGATATATACAGGAAACATTTGACTCTGCAGAAACATGACTCCGGAGAAAGCCAGGCCCATGAACAAATATTGCTGTGGATACAAATTTGGGATGCCAGAAAGTGCAAGCTTCATTTCTTGAGATCGTGAGGGGTCCACTGTGCCTACTCTGTTCTGTGCCTCACAGCAGTGATTTCAGGGTCAAGGAGAACATCAGAGGGAATTAGAATCCATGCCCTGAAGGGGCTTGCAATCTAGTTGACGAAACAATGCCTACCGGAAACAGCAAATGGCATTGCATTTTCACAATCACCCAGCACAGAATCAGCTTCAATCCCCCTTCAACTTCATCCTTTCCTCACCTCCCCATCCAATCAAGTTACAAATGATCCTGATCCTACTTCCAAAATGTCTCAGGTTCATTGCCTCCTCACCATCCCTCACAAGTGCCCAGCCACTCTCCCTACCATGACGTCCCCTCTTCACAGACCTCAGATTCACCCTCCTTAAGCCCAGCCCTGCTTCTCTTACCCTTGCTCAAAACCTGCAAACTTCCCAGGGCCTCCCAAGGTTGATGGCTATCTCCACAGCACCAGTTTAATGCTGGCACACGGTGGGCACTCAAGTTCTCTTGGAAGAATGAATGGACAGATAAAGTTCTTGGCTGGTGATTTGAAGGCCACACACAATACAGCTGTTGTCTACCTGCCCAACCTCTCCTCCATGGCTTCCCTGCACACATGCCACACCTGGCCCACCTGCACCATTCACAAGCACCATTCAACTTTCTCAGTGCCTAGCCCCAGGCTGATCCTTCCTCCTTCTGTTGAAATGCAAGCTCCCCTCCGGGGTTCATGTCCACCACCACTTGCTGCATGCAATGGTGCTCCTCAATCAAGGTGACTGAACTGTTTCAACCCACATAACATTCTGCTCTCAGAAGCCATTCGCCTTGTCCTTTGAACTGTCATCTTTCGAGCCCATTTCTCAACTCTTTACTGGCTTATAAGCCCCATGAAGATAAGGACGTTTATCTTTTTTATTTTTGCAGCATCAGAACTTAGCACAGACTTTTTTTTTTAAGAGACAGAATTCTCGCTCTGTTACTCAGCCTGGAGTGCAGTGACACAATCATGGCTCACTGAAGCCTCGAACTCCTGAACTCAAGCGATCCTTCCACCTCCAGCTGGGACCATAGGTCCACAGGTGTGTACCACCACACCTGGCATATATATACACACACAGACACACACACACACACACACACACACAATTTTTTAGATACAGAGGCCTCACTATGTTGCCCAGGGTGGTCTCAAATCCCTGGGCTCAAGTGATCCTCCCACATCAGCTTCCCAAAATACTGGGATTACAGATGTGAGGCACCGCATCCAGCCCAGCACAGACTCTTATACATGTGACACATACACTGTTTGTGGAGTTCACTAGAGAACCACCCAAGGAAGTATATAAAGGCCAGGAGCAAAATGAAGACAGAAAATGCCACCGGGGTTCCCAGGAAAAAGAGGTTCATTTGGGATGGGATGCCAGGGTCTTGAGAGGAGCTCAGACATGAGAAAGGTCTTGAAAGAGGAGAGGGATGGAAGAACCAACCAGGAAGGTGGAAGAGGATGAACTAAGGGGCCAAGAAGGAACGCGCAAAGCATGCTTGGGAGATAAGTCTGGCTAGAACCAAGGGTTCCAGGAGGGAGGAGAGTGGCGATAAGGCTAGACAGGCAGGATGCTGAATGCCAGGCGAATGCACCGGGATTAGATCCACTCCCTCTTAGTCAGTGAGGATGACAACCACTGCAGGCTGGGCCCTCACGGCAGAGAAAAGAAGTCTTGTCCTCTCTTGTTCCAAGCATCTTAGTCCAGTCTCCTCCACGAGGTTATAAATAACAGCCACCGTTTACTGCACACCTGCTGTATATGAGGCCCTGAGCTACGTGCCTCACATACATCAGCTCATGGCTCCTTCCCAACACCCTGAGTACTTGGTATTGTTATCCTCATTTTGCAAGCAAGGAGCTGAGACTAAAGGAGGTGAAGGCATCCGCCCAAGTCCCAACCCACTCACTCATTCACTTAACAGTGCTGGCTGGCCCTGGGGTTACAGGCCTGCGAAAAGGGGGCACTCCCTCCAGCCACCCCAGGTTCAAGGGCTTCCCACCTAAGCTGGGCTGCTTCTCCACAACTCTCCCGATTAATTCCTCAAGGTCAGCATTTACTAAGCACACAGCAGGAGCTTAATAAAGCACACTAAACAGACAGAATAGTGGCTGCCAGAGGCTGGGAGGAGGGGGAAACAGTTGTTTCAAGAATATTAAAGCTTCAGTTTTACAAGGTAATTTCTGGAGCTGTCGCACAACAATGTAAATAGACTTAATGCTACTGAACTGTACATTTAAGAATGGTTAAAATGTACACTTAAGATTTTACATTTGCCAGGCGCGGTGGCTCATGCTTGTAATCCCAGCACTTTTTGGGGCCGAGGAGGGTGGATCATGAGGTCAGGAGTTCAAGACCAGCCTGGCCAACATGGTGAAACCCCGTCTCTACTAAAAAAAATACAAAATTTAGCCGAGGGTGATGGCGGGCGCCTGTAGTCCCAGCTACTGGGGAGGCTGAGGCAGAGAATTGCTTGAACCCGGGAGGCGGAGGTTGCAGTGAGCTGTGATTATGCCACTGCACTCCAGCCTGGGCGACAGAGTGAGACTCCATCTCAAAAACAACAACAACAAAAAAAAGATTTTACATTCAGTGTTTTTTTAACCACAATTTTAGAATTTTTTATATAAAGCACACTTCCTAATTGATTGAGTGGCTGCCAATATCTTACACTGTTAATTATCTGATGCTGGAAGAGACTCTAGAATATTTCTAATCCAATATACCACCAAAACAGAGAGTTGGAAAGAGGAGGTAAATTGCCCAAGGTTGCACAAATAGGTGGTGCCAGGTGAAGACAAGGCTCAACATAGAGGAAAGGGGCTGGGCGTGGTGGCTCACGCCTGTAATCCCAACACTTTGGGAGGCCAAGGTAGGAGAATTGCTTGAGGCCAGGAGTTCAAGACCAGAGACCAGCCTGGGCAACATAGCACAACCCTGTCTCTACCAAAAAAAAAAAAAAAATTTTTTTAATTATCTGAGCATGGGGCCTGTACCTATAGTCCCAGCTACTCGGGAGGCTAAGGTGGGAGGATCACTTGAGCCCAGGAGTTGGAGGCTGCAGTGAGCTGCTTGTGTCCCTGTGCTCCAGCCCAGGCAACAAAGCAAGACCCTGTCTCTAAAAAAAAAAAAAAAAAATAGAAGAAGGGGCTAAGTACGGTGGTTCATGCCTGTAATCCCAGCACTTTGGGAGGCCAAGGCAGGCGGATCACCTGAGGTCAGGAGTTTGAGACCAGTCTGGCCAACATGGCGAAACTCCATCTCTACTAAAAATACAAAAATTAGCCAGGTGTGGTGGCGGGCACCTGTAATCCCAGTTACTTGGGAGGTTGAGGCAGGAGAATCACTTGAACCCAGTAGGCAGAGGTTGCAGTGAGCCGAGATAGTGCCATCGCACTCCAGCCTGGGCAACAAAAGCAAAAGTCTGTCTCAGAAAAAAATAAATAAATAAAATAGAAGAAGGGCAGAGAGGCAGATGGCAGAATAGATGGCACAAGGCAGGAAGGTCAGAAGCCAGGGTTCAAGTTTTGCTTCTTTCACTTAATGAGTGTTGTGACCTTAGATAAGATACTTATTCTCTCTGAGTATCATTTTCTTAACCTATAAGAAGGCAATTAAAAGTAACAAACTTCAGCCAATGCGGTGGCTCACGCCTATAATCCCAGCACTGTGGGAGGCCAAGGCAGGTGGATCACTTGAGGTCAGGAGTTCAAGACCAGCCTGGTCAACATGGCAAAACCTCATCTCTACTAAAAATACAAAAATTAGAAGGCGTGGCGGCACGCGCCTGTAATCCCAGCTACTCGGGAGGCTGAGGCAGGAGAATGGCTTGAACCTGGGACGCGGGGGTTGCAGTGAGCTGAGATCCTGCCACTGCACTCCAGCCTGGGCAACAGAGTGAGACTCTGTCTCAAAAAAAAAAAAAAAAGTAACAAATTTCACAAGATTACGTATGAATTAAATAAAATTATATACAGCTAATGTAACGTGCATAGAAAAAACTTGGCCAACTATAAATTACTTTATCAACACTAGTTATTGTTATTAATATTAAATATCTGTTCATAGGTTTAAAAAGCTCTGCCAGAATATTAAAATCTGATTAAACCAGACCAAAAAAAAAAAAATCCTACTCTCACCTGTTCAGGGACTTGCACACAGGGCGTCTTCAGTGAGTGAGAGTAGAACTGAATTACACTTCAAGTTTTATCTACCCCAATCCTCTCCCTCCAACCCACAGCCCAGCTGCATCAGCCATGCCAGGACCAAGCCGAGGGTAGGAAGCCGGTGTAATTGTCTGCCTCTCTGGCTGCATTCCTTAGCTAAATATAAATGATTTGTCCAGGCTATTGTTTGAAATTATCCATAATCCCTCTCCTCCCCTCCCCATTACTTATGATGGCAAGCTGGCTGCGTATCTCTATAGCAAAGCATATATTCAACATTCTCTGTGGCTATTTTCAGTAAAGAGAAGGGAGCTGGCAGGTATATATAGGGATCCTCGCATGAGTCTTCAGTTTTCTCCACTAGTCCAGGAAAGCTTCCTGGAGGAGGAAATACCTGAGTCACCCCAGGGAAAAGGACAGCTGCAGGTCAGAAGGGCACGCGCACATAATGAGAGACTGGGTCTCTGAACTAAGAGTTACCAGGTAAGGCAGGTAAGCCCCTGCCTTCTTACCCCCCGTTTTGGTGATGCGAGAAAAAGGTAGCTCAGGGGATCCCATACTAGCCCAAGCTTCCCCAGACAAAACAGGCATTTGGGGGAAGATGAAGCAGTGACTCGTATATTTTTCAAAGAGGGAGGAGATCCAAGACTCCAGTTCCAAGATGTACAAGTACAAATATTGCTCTTACAACAACAAGCCGGTTTCTTGTTTGGATCTTTTTTTAAAAACCACAAGAAAGTTTTTTGAAGTCCCAAACTTGAATGCACAGATGGGCTAGATCTCCAACTTCGGGATGTGCCAGAGTCCTGTCACTCGGAGTGCTGATCTTCCAGCAGTGGCCCAGGGAGCGGTCGCGGGTGCCGGGGGGCTGCAGGCCATATCCCAGCCCTGCCCGAAGGCCCCCTGGCCCTCTCTGGGGTCCTTGTATGGACTGTCCCAAGCGGTGCACGGGGTCACACAGTCGGAAACCCTTGCCGGCCCCGGGTTACTCCCTTTCTGAAACGGTCTTCCTCGGAGCCATCCCCTGGAGGACCCCACTTCGCTCGGTGCCCGGGCCCCGCACCCACCCTCCCCTTCCCGGCCCGCTTCCCGCACGGCGCCTACTCTGTTCCTCGTCCTCTCGTCCCACCGCCGCCCTGCCCACACTGCCTCCCGTGGGCGCCCCCGGCCGCTCCCCCTTCTCGGGTCTCGGCCTGGGGGTGCCCAGCCCGCCCGGCGCCGGCTCAAGGCCGCGCGACTCCGCACGCTCTCGAGACCCGCCTCGCCGCCCGCCGCCCGGGCCGCACTCACCGCGCCCGCAGGACCTGGGGGTCTCCGCTCTGCTCGCGCTCCGGCACCGCCGCCGCCGCCGCCGCCAGCGGAAACAGGGGGCGGGGCCTGCCCGGGAATGGCGAGCCTGCGGGGCGGGGCGGCCCGGGGGCGGAGCGGGGAGGGGCGGGGCGGAGCGGGGAGGGGCGGGGCGGAGAAGGATCGCAGGGCTGAGCGGGGCGCCAGCGCCAGTGCCCGGCACTGCCCCGGGCTGGGTCCCCTGCGTTAGAGGAAGGGGAGCCCGGGGACGGGGCACGGGGCCCGCGAGGCACGGGTGCTCTCTCGGGGTTCCGGAAGCCTCCCTCCCCGCCCCGCCGCCCGCATGCCCGGACCGGCCGCTCCTCCGAGGTGCTATGATCCCGCCTTCCCCCTGCGGCGAACGGGCCTCTTCCCGGGGTAGGGGCGGGGAGGTCCGGGCCTGGCAGTGCGCTCTCCTGGGCTCTGCGCCCACACGGCACCCAAGGGCCTTCCTGGCCCAGGCCTCGGCTCTCTCCCTCGCGCCAGGCTGCCTGGCCTCGCCACCCCACCCCCACACCTACGAACCCCTTCCCTGGTGTTTCGGGCGGACTGTGCGAGATGCTGACAGCGCGGGTGTGTGTTGGAGCCTGCCTGAGACACCTCCCGCAGAAAGGGCCATGCCTCCCCAGGAGCTGGCGGCCTCCAAGGGCGACTACAGGGCACCGTGTGCCTGAGGGGTGCGCTAAGGCAGGAGAAACTCCAGCTAGGCATGTCTGGCCCGGGCGCTTTTTCAGGCCTGGATTTTATGTGTTTTTTGCTTTTTGTTTTGTTTTGTTTTTTCTTGAGACAAGGACTCACTCTGTTGCCCAGGCAGGAGTGCAGTGGTGCGATCACGGCTCACTGCAGCCTCGACTTCCCGGGCTCAAGTGATCCCGCCTCAGCCTCCAGAGTAGTTGGGACTGTAGGCGCGCACCACCACGTCCGGCGAAGTTTTTGATTTTTTTTGTACAGACGGTGGTCTCCCTGGGCCCAAGCTGGTCTCAAACTCCCGGGCTCAAGCCATCCTCCTGCCTCTGCCTCCCAAAGTGCTGGGATTATAGGCCCGGATTCTTAAAGCTAGAAGGCCTAAACTTGTTTCCAAAGAGCACTAAAACGCCATCTCTTCTCATCATTACTGTCATCAAAAATGTCTTCTAGGCCAGGTGTGGTGGCTCACGCGTGTAATCCCAGGACTTTGGGGGGCCCAGGTGGAAGGATTGCTTGAGCTCAGGAACTCAGGAATTCAAGAACAGCCTGGGCAACATAGGGAAACCCCATCTCAAAAAAAAAATGTTTTAATTAACCGGGTGTGGTGGCACACCCCTGTAGTCCCAGCTGCTCCGGAGGCTGAGGCTCAGGCGTTGGAGGCTGCAGTAAACTAGGATCATGCCACTGTACTCCAGCCTGGGCAGTAGAGGGAGACCCTGTCTTTAAAAGTGAAATTTTTTTAAATTTTAAAGAAACTGTATGCTGTGCTTCCCACGTGCCCTACCATTGCACTAAGCTTGACTGGGGACAAGTTTTTAAAACCTGGCTATAATCACTAGGGTCACTTTTGCTTTCTGCTAATTAGACTGGAAGTTTCCACTCATCTTCTGGGCCCCTTTCCGTCACACACATGCAACCTTGTTTTTGTCTATTAGACTAAACCCATAACCCATTTCCTTCTGATCTCCCTTTCCCCACAAGGAAAATATTCTCCTTCTACATTTTGCTTCATCCAAAGCCCTGTTCAATGCCCCTATAACAAAGTCTTCCCAAGGAACCCCCACCAGCCCCAATCTCTCCAGTCACTGCGGCAGAGTTGGGTACATGTACCCAGAAAAGGAAACTGGGTCTCAGACAGGGAAAGAGATATACTAGGATTGTCTGCCAGCAAGCCAACTCACTGGCAGACCATTGGACGCAGCCTGGTGAGGGAGTAGCCGCAGGGCTTGGGAGCCAGACACACCTGTCTGAATCCTGGCTCTGCTTTTATCGGCTGGGACCTCTTCAGGCCTGTTTTCTCACCTGTGGAATGGGGCATAAGAATACCAATTATGGGGATGGGCATGGTGGCTCACACCTGTAATCCCAGTACTTAGGGAGGCCGAGGCGGGTGGATTACCTGAGATCAGGAGTTTGAGACCAGCCTGGCCAACATGGTGAAACCCCGTCTCCACTAAAAATACAAAAATTAGCCGGGTGTGGTGGCACATGCCTGTAATCCCAGCTACTCGGAGGGCTGAGGCAGGAGAATTGCTTGAGCCTGGGAGACGGAGGTTGCAGTGAGCCAAGATCGTGCCACTGCACTCCAGCCTGGTCGACAGAGCGAGACTGTCTCAAAAAAAAAAAAAAAAAAAAACCAATTCCACAGGGTTGATGGGCTGACCAAGATGATGGAGTAAAAGCACAACATGTGATGTGTGGTGACTGCTCTACAAATGCTAGCTTCCTCCTGCCCTTTTTGGTTTTTGTTTTGTTTTGTTGTTTTTGAGACAGGGACTTGTTCTGCCACCCAGGCTGGAGGGCAGTGGTGCCATCATGGCTCACTGCAGCCTCCAACTCCTGGACTCAAGGATCCTCCAACCTCAGACTCCTAAGTAGCTGGGACCACACGTGCATGCCACCATACCCAGCTAATTGGGGTTTTTGTTTGTTTTGTTTTTGTTTTTGTTTTCGTTTTCGTTTTGTTTTGTAGAGACAGAGGCCTCACTATGTTGCTCAAGCTAGTTTTGAACTCCTGGCCTCAAGCAATCCTCCCACCTTGGCCTCCCAAAGTCCTCCTGCCCTTTAAAAAAAGATAGGCGGAGCACAGTGGCTCACACCTGTCATCCCAGCACTTTGGGAGGCCAAGGCAGGTGGATCACTCAAGCCCAGGAGTTCGAGACCAGCCTGGCCAACATGGCAAAACCCCATCTCTACTAAAAATACAAAAATTAGCCAGGTGTGCATGGGCGTGGTGGCACATGCCTGTACGGGAGGCTGAGGTGAGAGGATTGCTTGAGCCCAGGAGGTCAAGGCTGCAGTGAACCATGATTATACCACTGCTCTCCAGCCTGGGTGACAGAGTGAGACTCTGTCTCAAATTAATTAATTAATTAGAGCAAATCTGAAATAATGGAATTCTGAAGTCTTAGAGATAGATGAAATCTTAGAAGAAATCCCTCAGCAATAGCCCAGAAAATGGCTTCACTGCTCACTCTCCTTCACCACATTCAGAGGTGAATGCCTCAGTGCCTCTGAGGGGCTGACAGTTGGAAGGAAGCTCTGAAGAAAAGCTGTAGAGGAGATGGGATTATTCAGCATAAAGGACACAAAGGTGACTAGTGGTCTGTGAAGCAGACACACTGATAGTGTCCACTGAGGACTAAACGCAAGTAAACCTGACAATGACGCACCACCCTCTTGGGGAAGGGACTTACAAACGCATGAAGTCACTGCTTATCATACCAGGCTTCTGAGGAAATGTCATTGCATTTCCCTTCTGGAGGAGATTCTGAAAAATGCTGAGGTTAGATATAGGTAGGGTGACTGTATCCAGGTTTCGGGGGCACATCCTACTTACTCCTCTTGTCCTGGCATAGTTCCTAAGTCCCCTTTCACTCTCGAAATATCCTGGCGTGGATGATAAATTATATGCCATTTTAACTGTGAACAAAGGCAGGACTCCAAACAGCTCCTTCCAGGCCTGGATGTCAGCAACTCTGCTGGAATTTCTGGATCCCCAGGGACTTCAAAGGATAGCATGTCAGTTTATCCCCTTGAAATCACCAAATCAAATCAAAAATGACAATAGGCTAAAATTAAAGTCCCAGCCAACCACCCCAAGTCAAGCTTCAGGACTGTGCCTGCTGAATTGCGACACCTAGTGGCGAAAGTGCACGCTGCCGGAGCGGGGTTCCGCCAACACTTCACATTCGGCCATAGGTTTCAAGTGACTTGCAAAGCAGCTAACAGCTAACATGTACTGTTTATGTGCCAGGCACAGTTCTAAGTACTTTACATGTTCTAACCCACTGATCCTCACAACAACACCATGAGGTAGGTAGTAGCATCACCATCCCGACATTTTTACAGATGAGGAAACTGAGGCTGAGACAGGTTAAGTAATTTCTCCAAGGTCATTTCACCAGCAATTGACTAAGCTAGGATATAACCCCAGGTTGTCTGGCTGGAGGGCCTGCACAGTTAACTACTGCTCCATCCAGAGTGTAATGCACAAAGTTACTTCGGAGGAATCTTCCACCTGAAGAGACTTCCACCACCCCTCTGACATGGAGATGACCTGAGGGTAGAGTGAGAGGTAGAATGTATGAAGAGTTCCACTCTCGGCCAGGCGCAGTGGCTTATGCCTATAATCCCAGCACTTCGGGAGGCTGAGGTGGGTGAATCCCCTGAGGTTAGGAGTTTGAGACCAGCCTGGCCAACATGGTGAAACCCCGTCTCCACTAAAAATACAAAAATTAGCCGGGCCTGTAATCCCAGCTACTCGGGAGGCTGAGACAGGAGAATCACTTGAACCTGGGAGGCGGAGGTTGCAGTGAGCCAAGATCGTGCCACTGCACTCCAGCCTGGGCAACAGGACGAGACTTCGTCTAAAAAAAAAGAGTTCCACTCTCATGTCTACCAGTACAGAATAGTAGTTTCCACATCTATAAAAATCGCCTGGGCCTGGCGTGGTGGCTCACGCCTGTAATCCCAGCACTTTGGAAGGCCGAGGCGGGTGGCTCACCTGAGGTCAGGAGTTCCAGATTAGCCTGGCCAACGTGGTGAAACCCTGTCTCTACTAAAATTACAAAAATTAGCTGGCCGTGGTGGCGGGCGCCTGTAATCCCAGCTACTTGGGAGGCTGAGGCAGGAGAATCGCTTGAACCCGGGAGCGGGGGGTTGCAGTGGGCCAAGATCATGCCACTGCCCTCCAGCCTGGGCGACAGAGCGAGACTCTGTCAAAAAAAAAAAAAAAAGTCGCCTGGGCACGATGGCTCATACCTGTAATCTCAGCACTTTAGGAGGCCGAGGTGGGCGGATCACCTGAGGTCAGGAGTTTGAGACTAGCCTGACCAACATGGTGAAACCGTGTCTCTGCTAAAAATACAAAAAAAAGTTAGCCAGGCGTAGTGGCGAACGCCTGTAATCCCAGCTACTCGGAGGCTGAGGCAGGAGACTTACTTGAACCTGGGAGGCGGAGGTTGCAGTGAGCAGAGATCGCACCACTGCACTCCAGCCTGGGTGACAGAGCAAGACTCCGTCTCACAAAAAAAAAAAAAAAAAAAGGAAAAAAAAATGCTTTCCCAGGCGACCGGGGAAGACGGCGGAGGTGCAGGTCCTGGTGCTCGGTGGTCGAGGCCATCTCCTGGGCCGCCTGGCGGCCATCGTGGCTAAGCAGGTACTGCTGGGCCAGAAGGTGGTGGTCGTACGCTGCGAGGGCATCAACATTTCTGGCAATTTCTACAGAAACATGTTGCATGTTAAAGCACCTGGCCTTCCTCCACAAGCGGATGAACTCCAACCCTTCCTGAGGCCCCTGCCACGTCCGGGCCCCCAACGCATCTTCCTGCGGGCGGTGCGAGGCATGCTGCCCCCCAGGACCAAGCGAGGCCAGGCCGCCCTGGACCGCCTCAAGGTGTCTGACGGCATCCCACCGCCCTACGACGAGAAAAACCGGATGGTGGTTCCTGCTGCCCTCAAGATCGTGCGTCTGAGGCCTACAAGAAAGTTTGCCTATCTGGGGCGCCTGGCTCACGAGGTTGGCTGGAAGTACCAGGCAGTGACAGCCACCCTGGAGGAGAAGAGGAAGGAGAAGGCCAAGATCCACTACCGGAAGAAGAAACAGCTCATGAGGCTACGGAAACAGGCCGAAAAGAACATGGAGAAGAAAACTGACAAATACACAGGGGTCCTCAAGACCCACAGACCCTGGTCTGAGCCCAATAAAGACTGTTCATTCCTCATGCTTGGCCTGGCCTGCCCTTCCTCCATCATCACCCTGGAATGTGCGGGACCCGGGGGCAGCAGCAGTCCGGGTGCCGCAGGCAGTCTGGGACATAGGAAGCTGGGAGCAAGGAAAGGGTCTTAGTCACTGCCTTCTGAGATTACTTGAAAGCACTTGGAGAATTATGCAGGTGTAATTTATCTATGACCAATAGAAAGAGCAACCAGTTACTATTAGCAAAAGGGAGCCGGAAGACCAATTAGAGGGGCCCTACCTTGTGAGTGGAGCGTCTGTTTAACTTTCCACCTGGTCATACAACTCTGCAGCTGTTAGAATGCGCAAGCGCTTGGGGACAGCATGAGCTTGCTGTTGTACAAAGGGTATTTATAGAAGCATAGACTGGGAAGATGTGCCACCAAGGGGCTACAGGCATTGCCCGTGCTCCTCAGCTGTATTTTGTAATCAGAATCAAATAAATTACTTTTAAAGAAAAAATAAAAATCAGGGCATTGCCTGGGCACAGTGGCTCACACCTGTAATCCCAGCATTTTGGGAGGCCCAGGCGGGAGATCACTTGAGCTCAGGAGTTTGAGACCAGCCTGGGCAACATAGTGAGCCCTTGTTTCCACTTTTTGTAGCTTTTTTTTTTTTTAAGAAAAAGAGAAAAAATGATAATTTTTTTAAAAAAACAGGGCAAGAAACTAGACAAGGGGAAAACTTATAAACCATCAGTTAAATGCCCACTGGAGCTGCTATTTTAAAGAAGCACATGCCAGAGTGAGGAAACAGTTCCTTCCCCACTTCACCTCCTTGACCACATTCGCTCGTGCAATTTGTAGGGTGGTTACTCGTCACGGACACCTACCAGGCACCAAGAGGACCTCAAACGCTGGAGCTCCCACAGTCGTCAAGGTGAGGCAGGGAAGAGTGACCAAAGACTGTTCTTCTGCTTCCATCCCAAATGCCCTCTTCTGGCGGGTGCACATCATCCCAAGGGCCCCTCCTTTCTTCACCTTCTTTCTCCTCCAAGGCTCAAAGTGAGGCAGGTGGCAGGATTGAGAGGACCACAGGGTTCTTGTGTAAGTCTTTGTTATATAGGGCTGCCGTGTGATTGTTGAGACATGCTTATTCTTTTTAAAAAAAAAACGTATTTGTTGTTTATCTGAAATTCAAATTTATATTCTGTGTTTTTAACTGCTAAATCTGGCAACTCTACTTTGTTACTGATTGTTGCTAAGACTATTGGAAAACATAGATTAGAAGAGGCCAGCAAACTTTGTCTGTAAAGAGCCGGATAGTAAATATTTTCAGTTTTGTAGGGTATACAGTCTCTGTCCCAACTACTCAGCTCTGCCATTGAAGCAGGAGAGCGGTCATAAAAAATACATAAATAAATGAGCATGACTGTGTCCCAATAAAACTGTATTTACAAAAACAGGCATCAGGGACCATACCAGACTGTGTGTTTTTCAAATTGGGGCCTTCAGACTCCTGGCTATCCTCAGATGTCTTGTGGGGGTGAGAGTGGGCTGGATCCAAGTTCCCAAGAGTAAAAAACAGAAAGATTGATCAGAAGCATTGAGCGTAATGAGTGCCGGTAATTCTGTGGGTGGGTGTGTGCGTGTGTGTGTGTGTGTGTGACCTGAGATGGGTCACTGCCTACAGAAAGCATGCACTTCTGGAGTAGGAGGGTGTCTGGAGCCACCTAGGTTTTACAAGGTCGTGGTCTGAAGAAGAGCAGATTCTATGTCTGGGATTGCTGATGGTCAGCATGTACTCTGTAAAGACAGAAATGCACAGACAACATTGTAAAATCAGACAGTAAATACAGAGGCCAAGAAAAGCAGAATGCCCCTGCAAAAGGTCTTCAGGTATAGCTAAAGCTGTTGGCATTCGACAACCTGATGTACAGTATTCAGAAACACATGGGAACTATCTGCAAGTGCTTCTGTGTGTGCGTGTGCATGCACACACGTGCTCACACGTGGACATGTACACCATCTATCTGAACAGGTGGGTAACAACTGAGGAATTTGCATGGTTGGTTGGAATCAATAAATGTAATAGTAATAGCCATATCAGCTACATTTGTATCAGCTTTCTTACTGAACTTACAATATTCCTATGTGTTTATCAAGGGCAATTCCATGGTTTAAAAATCACTTTAAATTCTGCCCTACAGACCAAAACCACCTATAAAAGGTCTGACCTATTAAAAGCATTGAACCCAAACACAAACTTCCCAGCGCACAGAAAATGTTAATATGTCTACAGCAGAAGTTGTGGGGATCACAGTGTGAGCTAAAGACAAAGAATTAGATAAGCCTCAGCCTATGGCAGGCCAGGTAAAAAATGTTGGCATGTATATAAGTAAGTCATCAGTGAAGTGTTTTAAATAAGAGAGTGACGTGATTAGATTTGCACTTTGAGGGCCAGGCGCGGTGGCTCACGCCTGTAATCCCAGCACTTTGGGAGGCCGAGGTGGGCGTATCACGAGGTCAGGAGATAGAGACCATCCTGGCTAAAATGGTGAAACCCCATCTCTACTAAAAATACAAAAAATTAGCCAGGCGTGGTGGCAGGTGCCTGTAGTCCCAGCTACTCGGGAGGCTGAGGCAGGAGAATGGCGTGAACCTGGGAGGCGGAGCTTGCAGTGAGCCGAGATTGTGCCACTGCACTCCAGCTTGGGCGACAGAGCGAGACTCTGTCTCAAAAAAAAAAAAAAAAAAAAAAAAAACGTGAAATTTACATCAGCAATGAACATAAGGAATAAGAGAAAGGAAGGTGTAAACAAAGACACATTGGCCAGGTGCAGTGGTTCATATCTGTAATCCTAGCACTTTGGGAACCCGAAATGGGAGGATGGCTTGAGGCCAGAAGTTTGAGGCCAGAAGTTTGAGACCAGCTTAGGCAACATAACAAAACCCCCATCTCTATAAAAAATACAAAAATTAGCCATTCATGGTGGTGTGTACCTGTGGTCCCAGCTACTTGGGAGATGGAGATGGGAGGATCACTGGAGCCTAGGAGTTCAAGGCTGTAGTGAGCTGTGATCATGCCACTGCACTCCAGCCTTTGCAACAGAGCAAAACCGTGTTTAAAAAAAAAAAGGACTCATTATATTCTGGCCAGTGTAAGAGGATGGTTGGTGGAGTAAATAACTGAGATAGAAACAGTGGAAGAGGACTAGATGTAAAGGGAAACGTGCTGAATTCAAGGAAGATTAGAGCTAATAAGTGTCCATCAGATTTAGTAAGTTGAAGGTCACTGGGGAACTTGGCAAAAGCCATTTGTTTGTTATGATGAGGCAGAGACCTGTGTTGGAGGGGCTGAGAAGGGAGTAGGGACTGAGGAATAAAGATGGTAAAATGATTCTTTCAAGAAAATTGGCTGTGGATGGGAAGACACATAGGGCAGATTGCTGAAGGAGATTGGAAATCAAGGGAGGGTTGGGGAGTTTTATGGGAGAATTGAGGCCACTTAAAACTCATGGGCAGAGTCCTATTTCTGATATGGAGAAATCAGTGCCTAGCTGACCAATCCCCCACAGATAAAATCTATACATTCTGGACAAAATATATAAACAAACAGAAAACCTACCTACCTAAGGGCTCTGGAGAGTAAACCCAAGCAGGTAGGTTTTGGAGGGGAATCAATATGTTCAGGAAGCACCTGGCATGAAATGGGTCCACGACTTTGTGGATTTTCCTTGTGTTGGCCACGGTCACAGCACAGCATAGGATGGCTATGCCAATGAAAAGAGTCAAACTCTGTAAAATATTTGAAGAGGTTTATTCTGAGCCAAATATGAGTGACCAAGGCCCAAGGTACAGTCTCAAGAGGTCCTAAGAACACATGTCCAAGGTGGCTGGGTTACAGTTTGGTTTCACACCTTTCAGGGAGGCATAATGTTACCGGTGGAAGGTATCCCAGTTACCAGCAGTGAATCCATACAGGTCTGCAGCAATCTCAGTTCTTGCTTCCTCAGAAGAAACAATTCGACTGAGGGGCATAAGGCAGAAAAAGAGACTGAGGCAAGTTTCAGAGCAGGAGTGGAAGTTTATTTAAAAGGCTTTAGAACAGGAAAGAAAGGAAAGGAGAGTGCACTTGGAAGAGACCCAAGCAGGCACCGAGGTCAAGTGCAGTGTTTAACCTTGATCCTAGGACTTTATAGGCTGGCCCCTGTCCCATGATTCTTCCCTTAGGGTGGGCTGCCCTTATGTGTGCTGTCCCCCTTACCCTTGGGAAGTGAGCACACACAGTGTGTTTAGGAAGTTGTACGCTCACCCCTCCGAGGCTTTCTTTGATTTTCCAGTGGACTGCCCCCGGAAAGTCATACTCTGCCATTTTGTCTGTTGATGCACCTGCCCAGGAAGCTGCTTCTCCCTGGCGCCTGCATTCAGTTAACACTTTAGTGCAACAGGTGTGGACCATCAGGAAATGGCCTCTCCCTGGTGCCAGCTGCCATTTATCACTCTTAGAGAGGCAATGTGATCATTGCCAAGTCATCATCTGACATTCCTAGTGGGTGGGGGAGCCCCCTCCTTCCTCACTCATGCCTAACTACCCATAACAATAAGACATCAGTCCGGCTGAGCACAGTGGCTCATGCCTGTAATCCCAGCACTTTGGGAGGCCGAGGCGGGTGGATCATGAGGTCAGGAGATCAAGACCATCCTGGCTAACACGGTGAAACCCCATCTCTACTAAAAATACAAAAAAATTAGCTGGGCATGGTGGCACACACCTGTAGTCCCAGCTATTCAGGAGGCTGAAGCAGGAGAATCACTTGAACCCAGGAGGCAGAGATCGCCGTGAGCCAAGATCACGCCACTGTACTCCAGCCTGGGCAACAGAGCGAGACTCTGTCTCAAAAAAAAAAAAAAAAAATAAGACATCAGTCAATACATGTGAAGTACACATTGGTTTGGTCTGGAAAGGTGGGACAACTTGAAGACGGGGAGGGGAGCTTACAGGTCATAGGTGGATTCAAAGGATTCAAAGATTTTCTGATTGGCAATTGATTGAGTTATTATCTAAAGAACTGGAATCAATAGAAGGGAGTGTCTGGCTTAAGGGGTTGTGAGGATGAAGGTTCTTTTTTTTTTTTTTTTTCAGACAGGGTCTCACTCTGTCACTCAGGCTGGAGTGCAGTGGTGCAATCATGGCTCACTACAGCCTCAACCTCCCAGGCTCAGGTGATCCTCCCACCTCAGCCTCCCGGGCAGCTGGGGCTACAGATACGCACCACCACACCCAACTAATTTTTTGGGTTTTTTTTGTAGAGACAGAGTATTGCCATGTTGCCTAGGCTGGTCTCAAACTCCTAGGCTCAAGCAATCCACTCGCCTTGGCCTCCCAAAGTGCTGGGATTACAGACATGAGCCACTGTGCCTGGCTTTTTTTTTTTTTTTTTTTTTTTTTCTGAGACAGAATCTTGTTCTGTCACCCACTCTGGAATGCGGTCATATGATCTTCTCTCACTACAACTTCTGCCTCCTGGGCTCAAGCAATCCTCTCACCTCAGCCTCCCAAGTAGCTAGGACTACAGTCGTGTGCCACCACACCCTGCTAATTTTGGGGTTTTTTGTAGAGATGGGGTTTCACCATATTGTTCAGGCTGGCAAGTTTCTTATTGCATCAGAGAGAATAGATGGGAAATGTCTCTTATCAGATCTAAAAAGGCACCAGACTTGGAGTTAATTCTCTCCTGGGTCAGGAAAAGACCTGGAAAAAAAGGGGAATTCTCTATAGAAGGTAGATTTCCTCCACAAGAGACAGCTTTGCAGGACCATTTTTAAATATGTCAAAGAAATACGTTTTGGGGGAAAATACTATAATTTATTTCAGAGACTGCTATGTCATGTGATGCTATACTAGAGTCAGATTGGAATTTGGTGTCTTATTGCACAGAGTCTTTTTGTCAGTCTTAAGATCTCTGTTTTGATGTTGATGCTGGTCAGTTGTGCCTGAGTCCCAAAGGCAGGAGGGTATAATGAGACATGTCCTAACACCTATTCTTATCACTGCCCAAACTAGTTTTTCAAGTTTACTTTGGAATGCCCTCAGCTGAGGTGGCAGGGGGCCTTCAGTTGGTTGTGGGGGCTTAGAATTTTATTTTTGGTTTACAGCTAAAATTCCAATAGAAGCCCGCTGGCTTTCCAGTGAGAGGAACCCGAGAGTGGAGCCCAGAGTAATCAAAGTTATTGAAGAGTGAGGGGTGAGTCTTGGAAAGGGGAAAGCCAGAGAAGAGAAATCCAGAATTCTGTATATAAACTCTGCCTAAGTCTCTGATTCCTGCTGAACCTCACATGCACAGGGAAACCTGCAGGCAGCCTAGCTAAAGATAAAAAAACTAAACCGAGGCCGGGTGCAGTGGCTCACACCTGTAATGCCAGCACTTTGGGAGGCCAAGGCGGGAGGATCACCTGAGGTTGGAAGTTCAAGACCAGCCTGACCAACATGGAGAAACCCCGTCTCTATTAAAAATACAAAATTAGCCAGGCATGGTGGCACATGCCTCTAATCCCAGCTACTTAGGAGGCTGAGGCATAAGAATCGCTTGAACCCAGGAGGCAGAGGTTGCAGTGAGCCAAGATCGCACCATTGCACTCCAGCCTGGGCAACAAGAGCAAAACTCCATCTCAAAAACAAACAAACAAACAAACTAAACTGAGACCCAAGCTCCTGCCCACTGAGGATAAAACCAAGTTTGCAACTGGTTTTATTGCAAACTTGGTTTGCAATAAATTGCCTGCTAAAGAAAAAAGATTAGTGAATTGCCTGCTAAAGGAAAAAGATTAGCCTTTTTCTGAGGAATTAAACAGAATCTAGAGTCTCCTCAGCATAACCTTCAAAATACTCAGGATATGATCCAAAATTACTAAGCATACAAAGAACCAGGAAAACATGACCCATTCTCAAGGGAAAAACAGACAACAGAAGCCAATCTCAAGGTAACTTGGATGTTGGAATTATCAGACAAGGATATTAAGGCAACTACTATCATTATGCTGAAGAATATAAAGAAAAACACACACATAATGAATGAACAGATAGGAAGCCACAGCCAAAAAATACAAAATATTAAAAAGAACAAAATGGAAATTTTAGAACAAAAATATATAGAATAAAAAATTCACTGGCTGTGTTCAGTGCAGTGTAATCCCAGTTACTCAGGAAGCTGAGGTGGGGGGATCACATGAGCCTACAAGTTTGAGACCAGCCTGGGCAACATAGCAAGACCCCATCTCAAAACAAAAACAAAGAATTAACTGGATGTGCTTAATGATCATTCCACCATCTCAGTGGAAAGAGCAAATGAACTTGAATAGAGATCAATGGAACACTGGAAAGAAAAAGAGACAACAGAGCCTCAGAGACCTGTGGAACAATATGAAAATGTCTAATGTATGGATAATTGGAATTTCAGAAGGAGAAGAAAAAAGAAAGGAGATAAAAAATATACACTTAGAAGCTTTTGGGGAGGTCCACAAATGGGTTCATAGAATTCACAGTGTAAGGGTAGGGATTTGGCTAAGGCAGAAAATATGACAGCACTTGCATCGCAACAGGAGGTATAACCACTCAACAGGTTTATTTTGCCCACTGCCCAGATAGAACAAATTTATCAAGACAGGGGAATTGCAATAGAGAATTTTTTTTTTTTTTTTTTTAGATGGAGTCTCGCTCTGTCACCTAGGCTGGAGTGCAGTGGTGCAGTCTTGGCTCACTGCAGCCTCTGCCTCCCGGGTTAAAGCGATTCTCCTGCCTCAGCCTCCCAAGTAGCTGGAATTACAGGCATGTGCCACCACACCCGGCTAATTTTTGTACTTTTAGTAGAGACAGGGTTTCACCATGTTGGCCAGGCTGGTCTTGAACTCCTGACCTCAGGTGATCCACCTGCCTCAGCCTCCCAAAGTGCTGGAATTACCATGCCTGGCTTTGAAAGAATTTAATTCATACAGAGCTGTCTTAACAGGAGACCAGAGTTTTATTACTCAGTCAGCCTCCCTGAAAATTCAGAGACAAGGGTTTCTCAAGGATAGTTTGGTGGGTAGGGGGACAGAGTTTTATTACTCAAATCAGCCTCCCTGAAAATTGAGAGACAAGGGTTTCTCAAGGAATGTTTGCTGGGTAGGGGGACAGGGATTGGGGAGTGCTGATTGGTTGGGTCAGAGATGAAATCATAAGAAGTCAAAGCTGTTCTCTTGTGCTGAGTTGGTTCCTTGTGGGGAGCGGTGGGGACAGGACTGGTTGGCAAGTCCAGGCGGAGCCACTGATCATCAGAAATGCAAAAACCAGAAAAGACATCTCAAAAGGCCAATCAGATTCTACAATAGTGATGTTATTTACAGGAGTAATTGGGGAAATTCCACATCTTGTGACATCTGCAATAATGACTAGGAAGCGTTTCACTATGCCCACACCTTAGTAGAATTCAGACCCCTCTCATCCTCCTAATGCAATGGCCTTTCATTAGCGTTACAAGGGCAATTTAGTTTGGGGGCTATTATCATTTAAATTATGAACTAAATTTCTCACAAAGTTAGCTTGGCCCATGCCCAGGAATGAGCAAAGACAGCCAGCCTGTGAGGCCAGCAGCAAGATGGAGTCAGCCATGCCAGATTTCTCTGCAGTCATAATATGGCAAAGGCTATTTCAGAGGGAAAAGAAGTATAGGATGAGAGCAAATACAGGTGGATTTATAGGTTCGAGATGGGAATTTTTATTTGGTGGCTTCTATTTCCCTGTAAAAGTGAAAGAAAGAAAGAGAAAGGAAGAGACAAAGCCGGGTGCATTGTTTCACACCTATAATCCCAGCACTTTGGGAGGCTGAAGAGGGAGGATTGCTTGAGCCCAGGAGTTTGAGACCAGCCTGGTCAATATAGTGAGACCTTGTCTCTACACAAAATTTTAAAATTTGCTGTGTGTGGTGGTGCTTGCCTGTGGTCCTAGCTATCTGGGAGGCCAAGATGTAAGGAACACTTGAGTCTGGGAGGCAAAGGTTGCAGTGAGCTGAGATCACACCACTGCACTCCAGGCTAGGCCACAGAGCAAGACCTTGTCTCTAAGTAAAAAAAGAAAGAGACAAGGTCATCTGCAAGTGGAGGTTTGAAGGAAGGGCCAGGGGCTTGGGGAGATCGACAGGGGTTTGAAATAATCGCTGTGGGAAAGTAAGTTAATCAGACACTTATCGGGGTTCCCCAGGTGTAGTGAGGGTACCTCTGGATGTAGTAATCATGAATTTATGTAGAACCAGTATGCCCTGTTGTGTGACTTTCCCAGAGGCTGCCTGAGAGCAGGCACAGTAATAGGTAGTTGGGTCCATACACAGTTGGGATTTTGCCAGATAGGATAAAAAAATGACAAAGGATCCAGATTAGGGCTTGACCAACATTGTTAGAGACATGGACTCTAAGCATGATAAAGGAGGAAGGAAGGGAGAGAGACAGCTGATGGTATGGGGATAAGTAGAGACAGCCACAGATCAGAGGTGCTGATGATGGTGAACAGGTGCAGTGGGGGTACCCGCACAGGCCAGCCATGGGGAAAGGAGCAGCAGTCAGAGAAGAGGAGAGTGAATAATCAGTGATTTGGAAGTGGAAAGTCTCAACTTCCAATAGTGCCAAAGCCCAAACTGTGACTGTGGAAGTGGGTGGCTTAGTGACAGTAGAGGTGATCTTTAGGGAAGAGGGAGTCAAGAAGCTGAGAGCCCAGTTGGACTGTTGACAATTTCACCCAAACCAGGGGTGAATTGACCTAGGATGACAGCAGCACACAGGTGAGGAGGAAGTGGTGAGACTGATGCAGAGATCTTTGAAGAAGGAGGGACCTGGAGGTCGGTGGATGACAGAGGCTTTCAGGAAGGGAAGAGGGTGGCATAGCTGTATGGTTGAGGCTCAGAAAAAGCCTAAGGGAAATGGAAAGCAAAGAAGACAATGACCTTACTGCCCAGCTTTTAAGCTGTGGCACGGAGAAAATGACAACCACCACTGTAGGAGGGCTACAGAAGACACAGTGTGTGCTGGGGTATGATTTTATTTATCTATGGCTGCAGAACAAATTACTACAGATTCAGAGGCTTAAAACAACACACACTTAGTATCTCACAGGGTCTGTGAGTCAGTCTCAGCATGGCTTAGCTGGGCTGTCTGCTCAGGATCGCAGGAGACTATAATCAGGGTGTTGGCCACAGTGCCATCTGGAAGCTCCACTAGAAGAATCTGCTTCCAGCTCACTCGGGATGCAGGAGAATTCGTTTCCTGATTCCTCACTGGCTGTCTGCTGGAAGCTGCCCTCAGTTCTTAGCCACGTGAGCCTTTCCAATGTGCTGCTCATTTCACTGAGCCAGCAAAAAGTCTCCAGAACAAGTCTGTTAGCAAGACAGTCTCATAATATCACTCCATCACAGTGTGACATCCAACCCCGCTGCATATTCTGTTCATTAGAAGCAAGTGACAGGTGCACATGTACTCAAGGAGAGGGCATTACACAGAGGTGTGAGCACCAGGAGCCAGGGATCATGGTGGCCTCTTAGGGTGTGTCCTCTTCAGAAGGTGCGAGGATATAGGACGTTTGCTGGTTACGTCAGGGCAGCATGGTGGAGGAAGTGGGATGTGGGGAAGGTAGGAGCTGAGTCAGGACAAGAAAGGCTGAGCACTTGAGATGAGGGTGTGCTGGGTGACAAGGAGAGGGGCTTGGACTTTGGGGACAAGCTGATGGAGATAGAGTTATCTGCTTTTCTCCATTGCATGCACTATGAAAAAGAAATCTGCTTATTTATAAAAACCCATGTGTGGCTGAGCGTGGTGGCTCACGTCTGTAATCCCAGCACTTTGGGAGGCCGAGACAGGTGGATCACCTGAGGTCAGGATTTCGAGACCAGCCTGGCCAACATGGTGAAACCCCATCTCTACTAAAAATACAAAAAAATTAGCCAGCCATGGTGGCAGGAGCCTGTAATCCCAGCTATTCGGGAGGCTGAGGCAGGAGAATTGCTTGAACCTGGGAGGCGAAGGTTGTGGTGAGCCGAGATCGCGCCATTGCACTCCAGCCTGGGTGACAGAGCAAGACTGTCTCAAAAAAAAAAAAAAGAATAAAAATTGTTAAAAAGGTTAACTTTGTTAGATGCATGTTAATTATATTTCCTCCGGAAGCTCTCTGAAGAGCAGGTCGCAGAGACCGTCTGAGAGGAGCCCTGAAGATAACAGGGAGAAACAATGAGAAAATGACATCCCCGATCTCCAGTACCAAACGCAGGGAAGAGTCAGAAGGCGTGATTGCTCCTGGACAGCAGGAACCCATGCCGATGGTTTGAAATTGAAATCAAAGTCTCATGAATTCAATAGAGTTGGGTGAAATGAAATTGTGTGACTGTCAATAAATGACCAGAGGATGATGGTTGATAAGACACACAAGGAGTATAAAAGTGAAGATGGCACATTTGAAGCCCTTGCCAGGGTGTCTGGGATCTAAGTAGGTATACATCCATTTATGACATTAAAAAGTTCATTAATGTTTTAATTGGAATACACATATGGGGGGAAGGAGGTAGAAAAAAATATATATATATAGTTGTTTTTATAAAAGAAGAATAAGCTGGAAGTTTAAAAGGGGAGAAAAAAATGAAAACCTTTTATAACAGGGTGTATTTTTTTAAAGGACTTAGAGTTGGAGTTGAATTGGACACATCAGCACGAACTCATTTCCCAGCTCCCACTGGAGTGCACTAGAAGCAGACGCCTGCCTTTAGTTCTCACACGGATAATGTGATTCGCACCATGAGCGCCCAGACATAACATTCAACTGATAACATTTGCCACTCAAAGAAACAGGGCTCCTTGGGGAATAGCTGATTCCATACCTTGGTGCAAGAAAAATCAGAGTTGGCCTGAGCAGACTTTGCTAGAAGTATGTAAGTTAAAAAACAAAAATGTTTAAGGTAGTGTTAAAAGGAAAAAGGACGCAGCATAAAAAGTCAAAGCTGGGCCGGGTGCGGTGGCTCACACCTGTAATCCCAGCACTTTTGGGAGGCCAAGGCGGGCGGATCACGAGGTCAGGAGATCGAAACCATCCTGGCTAACACGGTGAAACCCCATCTCTACTAAAAGTACAAAAAAATTAGCCGGGTGTGGTGGCGGGCGCCTGTAGTCCCAGCTACTCGGGAGGCTGAGGCAGGAGAATGGCGTGAACCCAGGAGGCAGAGCTTGCAGTGAGCCGAGATGGCGCCACTGCACTCCAGCCTGGGCGACAGTGCAAGACTCCGTCTCAAAAAAAAAAAAAAAAAAAGAAAGAAAAAAAGTCAAAGCCAGCCAGGCACGGTGGCTCATGCCTGTGATCCCCACTCTTTGGGAGGCTGAGGCAGGAGAGTCACTGGAGGCCAGGAATTCAAGACCAGCCTGGACAACATAACGAGACCCCACATCTACAAAAAATAAAAAAATTAGCTGGGTGTGGTGGCGCGTACCTGTAGTCCCAGCTACTTGGGAAGCCGAAGTGGAAGGATCCCTTGAGCCCAGGTGTTCAAGGCTGCAGTGACATTGTCTCTAAAAAGAAAAGAAAAGAAAGGAAAAAAAGGCAAAACTGTGATCATCTGATTATCAAAAAGAAAACAAAAATGTAGTGAAAAGCTTGAGTCCATAATGGTACTGGATATGGGTTATACTAAAAGTATATGTGAGCTCCTGAAAATGTCAACTGGTTTTTGGTTGTTTTTGTTTTGCCAAAGCCAATTGTTCTGAAGTGTCCACTTTTAAAACACTGTGCATACCATAGCCAAGTTTTGATTCATAATTAAGCTATGAATTTCTTGTACTTTTTTTTTTTTCTTTTGAGACAGAGTCTGGCTCTGTCGCCCAAGTTGGAGTGCAGTGGCGCGATCTCGGCTCACTGCAAGCTCCGCCTCCCAGGTTCACGCCATTCTCCTGCCTCAGCCTCCCGAGTAGCTGGGACTACAGGCGCCCGCCACCACGCCCGGATAATTTTTTGTATTTTTAGTAGAGACGGGGTTTCACCGTGTTAGCCAGGATGGTCTCGATCTCCTGACCTCGTGATCCGCCCGCCTTGGCCTCCCAAAGTGCTGGGATTACAGGCGTGAGCCACCGCTCCCAGCCCGAATTTCTTGTACTTATGTATTTATATCAGGTAATGAGATTTAAAGGACACTCAGGGATGAAAGATGCACTGAGTTATTTAAAAACAAAAAACAAAACAAAACAAAACAGTGAGAGTTCTATGAATCTTGTTAATTCGGCAGGAAAAACTTGACCAAAGGAAGCCACCCACACTGATAATTGCCAGCCTGGGAGAAATGACTGTAGAAGGCACATCCAGGCCCCACTCCCAGACCCAGTGCCCAGGCTCCAAGCATCTCTCCATACTGGAACAGCACGGCAGCTCCAAATCTGGAACTCATACCCCGATCTGTAACCGTACCTCAGACCTACATCTTCAACTGATTTCAGCCCAACTGTGAGGCTAATTCTGCTTTCTTTCTTTGGATAGAGGCTTAAAAATAAATATAAAGAAGATGATGGACACGAACGTACATTAATACTCTTGTAATACCTTTAAGGAGTAACTACTTTAATAGCTTTAGGTAATAACTACTGCAAACACTGGGATGATTTGGGTTTTATCTGCTTTTAGTTGAGGTAAAATTCACGTAACAAAATTAACCACTAATGACTTTAAAGTATAGAATTTTAAAATCTGCTTTTTAAAGTGTTGGAAAAGTGTAAAAGCATGTGACATTAAACTTGTGATATTAGTTTAGTATTTAGGTAGATTAAGTTTGGTGGTTAAATGCTTAAATAAATCTAATTGGGTCTATAAATTGAGGCTATGTTTTGTGAATAGTGTTTAAATTATTAGTGCTACATGCTTAGTGTCTAAGATTTTGTTAGATTTGTATATCTGCCTTGTTAGATGTTTGAATATTAATATTAATATAGTTTAAACAGCCTAAGCTAATTTAATTAATCAAGCTTATAAGTAATATTTAATGTTTAGAGAATTTATAAGCTAATCAGGCATTAATCAAAGAACAAGTGATAGAAATACTAGATTTATGAGCAAAGTAACATAAAAATACTAGATTTATGAGCAAAGTAATAAATTGTATGAGTTGAACTTAACAAAACTAGTCTTGAAAATGTACAACTTTGGGTGCAGTGGCTCATGCTTGTGGTCCCACCATTTTGGGAGGCTGAGGCAGGAGCATCACATGGGACCAGGAGTTGAAGGCTGCAATGAGCCATGATTATACCACTGTGCTCCAGTTTGGGTGACAGAGCGAGACTCTGTCCCCCCAAAACAAAGTAAAACAAATAAAAATGAAAATAACAATAAAATGTACACCTTCAATAAACTGGAAACATAAGTAAAATACACAAATAAATTTGTTCCTCTCCACGCATAAAAGCTTCCCTCAGGCATTAAAAACTCAACTGACCATGACTTAGTAGCTTATAAACTAACACAAAAGTATAGAAAGAGATTTATTTGTTGAAATTTTGACAGTTAAAAATATTACAAGTCAAATTAAAAGGAAGCACCTCTTTCAAATTTAATTTTCTTTCATTCATTTTTATTGGTGTTTTGTTTGTAAAGAGAAAAGTCACTAATTTTTACAAACGGTGATGAATATGCTGCTCAAATGCATACCTTTCCATGGAAGGAAGTCTCTGTATCCCACTCATATCCCTACTCCATCTCCATGGGGGAGAGGAGTTATCATGGATTGACCATGGCTTTGGGGTGATCAATCTGTACCTGGTCAAAAAGTCTAGCTCTGTTGTTTCTCAAACTTCAGGAACCCCCTGAGGATTTTGACTGGGAAGGGCTGGAGTGGGTGGGGTGAGGTTTGCACGTGCAGTGGGCTCCCAGATGACGCACTGGCACTCTTCCGGGGACCACGCTCTGAAGCCCAGAAAGTAGGTGCTGTTCACAAGTGAGCACCTGTGCATGTGGCTCCTTCCGTGGTCCCAGTGACCACAGGCTGGGGCTGCTCCCTCAGCCAGGTCCGCCCTCTCTCTCTGTAGTGTTGTTTTGTTATAGATTAGGGGTCTTGTTATGTTGCCCAGGCTGGTCTCAAACCCCTGGACTTAAGCAATCCTCCTGCCTCAGCCTTCCAAAATGCTGGGATTACAGACGTCAGCCATTGCACCCAGCCTTCTCTAGCATTTTCTTTCACACAGCAGCGGTGACCTTGTGTCAGGAGGCTTTGGGGCACCTGCCGCCTCTCACTTCTGCATCTCACACTCCCTCTGTTGATCTAGTGTGTGTGTGGCCTTGCCTCTGTCACGCAGATCAGATCCAAGAGTAGTTTGGGTATGGCTGGGAGGGGGAGAAATAGAATAGGAGGCCTGACACAACTCTTCATTTGTTATGTGACTCCCCCCAGTAGAATATAAGCTCCTTAAGGGCAGGGACTTTGATTTTATTCACTGCTGCATCCCCAGCAGACAGAACAGTGCCCAACACACCCTAGGTGCTTAGTACATGTTTATGGGATGAATGAGGCCTGTCTGGACTCTAGGCATTCCTAGAATTCCTACTGGAGGCCCTGGGAGGACACAAACCCAGAGGAGGGAGCAGGGCAGAGGGCTAACAGAAAATGGAGGCCACCCGGGGAATGTGATGAGTTGCCAAACCAGGAGAGCAAAAGCAAATATCAAAGCCAGGGACTCCAGCCAGGAATCCAAGCCCCAGCCAGATGAAGAGAAAGAGCAAGTGGGCCAATTATAAGCCGGGAGGGGCTCGAGGCCTTCCCAGGAGCAGGCATCTGAGGCGTGCTTTCATGTGTCTCCAGGGCCAGTGCTAGGGTGGGTCCGTCAAGATGAAAGGGGCACAGGGATGTGATGGACGGAATGGTGTTTCCTGGGGGCTCTTCCTTTTCCAGAACTAATGCTGGGAGACAGCGTGTGGTCTAAGAAGTCACAGGCTGGCTTTGAGTCCCAGCTTCCACTCTCCGACTGTGTCAACTTGAGCGAGTTACGTACAAGTCACTCACCTTTGCTTGCTGTTAAGACGGTGCAAACCCCTAAACAGCTTAAAATCAGAAATCTGTGTGTCCCCGGCAACTTCAACATAATGTTGGCAGACACCAGCCCCAAAGGGTCTGTGCAGGATTGGTGGGGATTTAGAGAAAGAAATTGGAAAGAAGTCAGCAAAGTAGTTACTGACAAGGAAAAGCAGAATAAGAGAATCATGCCAAACTTCAAAACTTCTCAGCTTGGCCTCTGAGGGAGCGAGGCTGTGAAGAGAAGCAGATCCCTTTGATTCTGAGAAAACATTGATATAGTCACAAGACACTCAGCAGACTCTTGGTCTGAACATCTGATTACTCCCTGATTACTTCTAAGATGGGATTGCTAGCGCGCCAGCTGGCAAGCACATTTCCCTCTCGTGGTGCTTGTCTAATGTTTACTTCCCTCTATTCTCCACAATCTCCTGCACCCCACATCACCCCTATAGAAATATTTTACTAGCCTGGGCAACATGGCAAAACTCTGTCTCTACAAAAAAAAAATAATACCGAAAAATAAGCTGGCCGTGGTGGCGTGTGCCTGTGGTCCCAGCTACTCTGGAGGTTGAGGTGGGAGGATTGCTTGAGCCTAGGAGGCAGAGGCTGCAGTGAGCCAAGATCGGGCGACTTCACTCCAGCCTGGGCAACAGAATGAGATCTTGTCTTAAAAAAAAGAAAAAAAAAGAGAGAGAGAGAGAGGAAAGGCAGGAAGACAGGAAGGCAGGCAGGAAGGCAGGAAGGAAGGTAGGAAGGCAGGGAGGCAGGGAGGCAGGGAGGCAGAGAGGCAGGGAAGGAGGGTAATTGTTGCACCAAAAAGGGATTGCTTTCTCCCTTAATGCTGGTGCTCTCTGGGGCCTTCAGGGCCAGCTTCCAACTCTCCTACCTGGCCTTAGGCAAACCCTGCACATGCGTCACCTGCTGTCCACCTCTTTTCACGAGCACTGTGGAGGCGCCAGGACTTCCAAGTTGAAGTACAGTGCAAGATCTGCAACCTAGTAACCAAGTGGCGTTGAGTTAGTGATTTCTCTGAGCCTCTATTTCTTCATCTGTGAAGAGGATGTCTACAGTATCACAGTGTAGCTGTAAACGGCAAGAAAGACGTTGTATTTGAAAGCGCTTTGTAGGGGGCCAGGCGAAGTGGCTCACACCTGTTATCCCAGCACTTTGGGAGGCTGAGGTGGGCGGGCAGATCACGAGGTCAGGAGATCGAGACCATCCTGGCTAACACGGTGAAACCCCGTCTCTACTAAAAATACAAAAAATTAGCCGGGCGTGGTGGCGGGCGCCTGTAGTCCCAGCTACTCGGGAGGCTGACGCAGGAGAATGGCGTGAACCCGGGAGGCGGAGCTTGCAGTGAGCCGAGATCGTGCCACTGCACTCCAGCCTGGGCGACAGAGCGAGACTCCATCTCAAAAACAAAAAACAAACAAAAACAACAACAAAAAAGAAAGTGCTTTGTAAACTGAAAAGTGCTGTAGTCAGGGTGGCTGGGCACAGTGGTTCATGCCCATATCCCAGCACTTTGGGAAAACAAGGCAGGAGGATCACCTGAGTACAGGAGTTCGAGACCAGCCTGGGCAACATAGTGAGACCTCCATCTCTAAAAAATAAAATGAAATAAATTAGCGGGGTGCGATGGCATGCACGTGTAGTCCCAGCTACTCAGGAAGCTGAGGTAGTAGGATTGCTTAAGGCAAGGAATTCTAGGCTGCAGTGAGCTATGATCACACCACTGCACTCCAGCTCAGACAACCAAGCAAGATCTTGTCTCTGGGAAAAAAAAAAAGAAGAAGAAGAAGCTGGGCACAGTGGCTCAGGCCTGTAATCCCAGCACTTTAGGAGGCCAAGGCAGGAGGATTTCTTGAGCCCAGGAGTTTGAGACTGGCCTGGGTAACATAGTGAGACCCCTGTCTCTACAAAAAATTTTAAAATTAGCCAGGCGTGGTGGCGCATGCCTGCGTCCCCAGCTATTCAGAAGGCTGAGGTGGGAGGATCACTTGAGCCCAGGAGCTCAAGGCTGCAGTGAGCCATGATCACGGCACTGCACTCCAACCTGGGCAACAGAGTGAGGCCATCTCTAAAAAAGAAAAAAAAGTTTCCAGGAGTAGTGGTCAAATGCTATTGACAGAGAGTTAAGATGAGGGCAGAGAAATGCATTTGTCGTAGAGATCCCTGGTTTCCTCTACTTCCTGAGTAATAGGATTCCTCCATATGGCATATGGTCACTCAGAATAAAAACTATATTTCCTAGGGGCTCCTGCAGCTAAGTGAGGCCAATGAAGGTAAGCAGAAATGCAATTTCCAGAAATTCCCAAAAGGGAGGGGCATGCTCTTCTTCACTCCTTTTTCTTTCTTTCTTTCTTTTTTTTTTTTCTGGAATCTTAAAATTTATTTTGCCATTTTCCATGGAATATAATAAGAACACCATAAAAATGTGTATCAGTACATTATAAAATTGTAAAGCTTATATTAGTAAAATCTTGAAAAGTAAACTATAGAAATAGCATAAAACAGCAGAGTTCGACATTTGAGCAACCCATTGTCTAAGAAAGCATTGTCTTAGTCCTTTTGCGCTGCTATAACAGATATCTGGGACTGGTTTATTTATAAAAAATAAAAATTTACTTCTCTCAGTTCTGAAGGCTGGGAAGTCCAAGATCAAGGTTCCAGCAAATTCTGTGTCTGATGAGGGTCCAATTTTGGTTTCCACAATGGTGGCTTGAAAGCTGCATCCTCCAGAGGGGAGGAACACTGTCCTCACTTGGCAGAAGGCAGAAGGGCAAAAGGGCCAACAGCCATGGGAAGCCTCTTTCATAAGGGCACTAATCCTGTTCATGAGGGGAGAAGTCCTTATGATATAATCACCTGTTAAAGGCCCCACCTCTTAATACTATCACATTGACAACACCTGAATTTTGCAGGGGACACATTAAAACCATAGCAGCATAGATCTTACTTTCTTTTTTTTTTTTTTTTAAACTGAGTTTCGCTCTTGTTGCCCAGGCTGGAGTGCAACGGCCCAATCTCGGCTCACCGCAACCTCCGCCTCCCAGGTTCAAGCAATTCTCCTGCCTCAGCCTCCCGAGTAGCTGGGATTACAGGCATGCACCACCACGCCCAGCTGATTTTTTTTTGTGTGTGTGTTTTTAGTAGAGATGGGGTTTCCCCATGTTGAGGCTGGTCTCGAACTCCTGACCTCAGGTGATCCGCCCACCTCAGCCTCCCAAAGTGCTGGGATTACAGGCATGAGCCACCGCGCCCGGCCGCATAGATCTTACTTTCTTACTCGATTTCAGACATTGAGGTGTCAGCAACATACATAACTACCAGATATTACCAGAAAAAGATGATAACAGAAATTTTGTTAACAGATGTTAGGAGAAAAAAAAAAAAGCAGTCTCCCTACCACAAAATCTTGTCAGGGCCTTCAAAAGCTTCACTCCTTTTTCTTTTCAGTTGAATGGAATGTTATGTAATGGTCTTGGATTTCCTGAAGCTCTTCTGGACCATGATATTACCTTAGGAATAGAAACTACCCATTGTAAAGCAACAAGGTAAAATGATCTTGGAGCTAGGTATGGTGGCTCACACCTGTAATCACAGCACCTTGGGAGGCCAAGGGGGCAGACTGCTTGAGTCCAAAATACTCCAACGTGGTGAAACCCTGTCTCTGTGGAAAATACAAAAAATTTGCTGGGCATGGTGGCACACACCCAGAGTCCCAGCTACACAGGAAGCTGAGGTAGAAGGATCCCTTGAGCTCGAGAGGCACAGTTTGCAGTGAGCTGAGATCGTGCGACTGCACTCCAACCTGGGTAATAGAGTGAGACTGTCTGAAAAAAAAAAAAAAGATATTGGGTCCTTGATACCATGGAGTACCTTAACAATAATGGACAGATTTCATGAGAGAGAAATACTTTTCTATCTTAAATCACTTATATCATGCCATTGCGCTTCCAGCCTGGGCGACGAAGCAAGACTCTGTCAAGGGAAGGGGAGAGGAGGGGAAGAGAGGGGAAGGGGGAGAGAGAGAGAGAAAGGGAGGGAGAGAAGGAGGGAAAGAAGAAAGAAAGAAAGAAGAAAGAAAGACAGACAGACAGAAACAAAGAAAGGAAGGAAGGAGAGAGAGAGAGAGAAAGAGAAAGAGAAGGGAAAAGAGAAAAGAAGAAAGAAAGAAAGAAAAAGAAAGAAAGAAGGAAGGAAGGAAGGAAAGAAAGAAAAGAAAGAAAGAAAAAGAAAGAAAGAAAGGGGAGGGAGGGAGAGAGGGAGGGATGGAGGGAGGAAGGAGGGAAGGAGGGAGGGAGGCCAGAGTGTGGTGGCTGAAAGGAAGGAAGGAGGAAGGAAAGAGAAAGAAAGAAAGAAAGAAAAGGAAGGAAGGAAAGAAAGAAAGAGAAAGAAAGAGCAAAGCCAAGCCAGAGTGCAGTGGCTCATGCCTGTAATCCCAACACTTTGGGAGGCTGAGACGGGTGGGTTACTTGAGTCCAGGATTTCAAGACCAGCCTTGGCAACATGGTGAAAACCCATCTCTACAAAAAAATGCAAAAATTAGCCAGGTGTGGTGGCAGATACCTGTAGTCCCAACTACTCTGGAGGATGAGATGGAAGGATCACTTGAGCCGGGGAGGTGGAGCTTGCAGTGATCTGAGATCATGCCACTGTACTCCAACCTGTCTCAAAAAAATAATATTAATAAGAGAAAGAAATAAGAAGGAAAGCAAGCAAGGAAACAAGCAAGAAAGGGGCTGGGCATGGTGGCTTATGCCTGTAATCCTAGCACTTTGGGAGGCCAAGGCGGGCGGATCACTTGAGGTCAGGAGTTTGAGACCAGCCTGGCCTATATGGTGAAACCTCGTCTCTACTAAAAATACAGAAGTCAGCCCAGCGTGGTGGTACACGCCTGTAATCCCAGCTACTCGGGAGGCTGAGGCAGGAGAATTGCTTGAACCTAGGAGGTGGGGGTTGCAGTGAGTCGAGATCACGCCACTGCCCTCTAGCCTGGGTGACAAAGCGAGACTCCTTCTAAAAAAAGGAAGGAAGGAAGGAAGGAAGGAAAGAAGGAAGGAAGGAAGGAAAGGAGAAGGGGAAGGAAGCTGAATCCTAAACCAGGGAAAGCCACAAAGGAGCATGACTCATACCACCAAACCCTTCAAAAGTCATGAACTGGTGGCACCAGGTATCTCTGGAAGTAGAGGTAGAGATGGGGCCAAAGACAGAAGAATTGACCAAATTGAGCTCAAGAAGAGATAGATTCCCCAAATCTCTCCTCAACCCCGTGCAGTTGGGGGACTTCCCCTGCACAGCTCAGGCAGCAGCTGGGAGTTCTCTCCCTGGGGGACACCAGCTACAGCTGAACGCGAGAGCACACAGTGCATGAAACAGGGGGATTAGTGAAAGTTTCCATACTGCAGGTTGAGACATTCCAGCACTTGGTTCCCAGAATGCTGGTGGCCACATGCTCTCCCCAGCAAGCAATTGAAGAAACCCCATCCATGGAATTTGACCAGGCCAGGAGGAAATACCCTACAGAAACTCACTTCCTAAAATAAGAGCCCAGTCAGATGGTCACAGAGCGCGACCCAGTCTCCAGCACCTGCTGCACAGTCAGAGCCTCTCATTGGCTTTTAGCGCCCAGTCTTAAGTTTGAACAACTAGGACTGCTGGGCTTCTGAGGAAGGGCTCTGCCATGAATGGCCAAGACCCAAACTAACCAAGAGAAAGCCAACTGGGAGGAAACAGATGGAGCGGGAGAAAAAACCACCTCCCGAAACCGCTACTCTCCTCTAGTAAATGATTAAAGATACACCCTGTGGAGCAGGACCAGGACGTCACTCCAGCCCTCTTTCTCCACCTGAACATGTGCGCTCTCCTGCCTCCACACACTTGCCCTGGGCTCCTTCCCCAGGTCTTCACGTGGCTGGCTGCTGTATCGCCTCAGAGAGGCCTTCAAGGACCACCCACTCTGAAAAAGCCATTCCAGCCACCCCCTAATGCAGGAGTGGGCAAACTTTTTCTGTGAAGGGTCAGATAGTAAATATTTCAGGTGCTGTGAGCTGTATATGGTCTCTGCCACGACCACTCAGCTCTACCACTGTGGCATAGAAGCAGCCAGAGAAGATCTGTAAACAAGGGACTGTGGCTATGTTCCAATACAACTCTATTTATGGCCGGGCGCAGTGGGTCACGCCTGTAATCCCAGCACTCTGGAAGGCCAAGGCGGGCAGATCACTCGAGTCCAGGAGTTCGAGACCAGCCTGGACTACATGGCAAAAACTCGTCTCTACAAAAAATACAAAAATTAGCCAGGCATGTGCCTATGGTCCTATCTACTCTCGAGGCTGAGGCAGGAGAATTGCTTGAGCCCAGGAGGTGGAGGCTGCAGTGAGCTGAGATAGCACCACTGCATTCCAGCCTGGGCAACAGAGCAAGACCCTATCTCACAAAACAAACAAACAAAACTCTATTTGTGGACACTGAAACTGGAATTCCATATCATTTTCCAGGGTCACAAATGTTATTCTGCTTTCAATTTTTATTCAATCATTTTAAAACAAAATCCTGCTGGGCATGGTAGCTCACACTTGTAATCCTAGTGCTTTGGGAGGCTGAGGTGGGAGGATCACTTTGGGCCTATGAGTTCGAGACCAGTCTGAGCAACATAGCAAGACCCCACCTCTACAAGAAATTTTAAAATTAGCTGGCAAGGTGGCGCTGTCCTGTGGTCCCAGCTACTCGGGAGGCTGGGACAGGAGGATCACTTGAGCCCAGGAGGTTGAGATTGCAGTGAGCCGTGATTGTGCCATTGCACTCCAGTCTGGGCAACAGAGCAAGACCCTGTCTCCAAACAAACAAATGTAAAAACCATTCTTAGCCAGATGTGATGGTGTGGGCCAGTAGCCCCAGCTACTTGGGAGGCTGAGGCAGGAGCATCACTTGAGGCCAGGACTTCAAGACCAGCCTGGGCAACAACAGTGGGACCCTGTCTCTAAGAAAAACAAACAAAACAGGCGCTGGGCTGGACTTGGCCAAACCCTACTCCAACACATCATCTGGTTTTATTTTCATCAAAGCACACATCACCTCCTGCTGCTTTCTTGTTTACCTACCTTTTTTGTTGCTTGTTTCTTGGAAGTCCCCTGCTAGAAGGGAGGCCACAGGAGATTGAAGACCTCTGCATTCTGCCCCACTGTATCCCCAGCACCTAGGACTGTACTTGCTTCTAGCGTTTGCTCAGGAAATGCAGCCGTTGGCTGTGGCAGAATAGCACTGGGCCGCGCCAGCCACCCTCACCCCGCTCATCACTGCTGGCAGTGCCTGAAAGGACAACTCTCAGGGACAATAACGGGACTCCCAGCCTGGCTCCTCCCACATCCCTTCCACTTGTGTTTTCCTGTTCCTTTCTCCTTCCTTGCTTTCGTCAGTCTCAAATTGTAAGCCTGTCTGTGATGCCCAGCACAACCCACAAGCCTGAACCAAAAAGAACTCAGTCTAAAGCAGACCCTCCTCCACCCTCCCAGCCCTAAAGGTGAGGGGTCGTGTTGGGTCACTGGTCCAGCCTACAGTCTGAAAGGAAGGTGCTGAGCATGCGACCGGCAGGCCTCCTGTCTCTCCGCCCAGACGGGGAGAGGAAGCGGGGAGAAACTGCTCCAGGTACAAAGGAGGCTTCGGAATGATCCCCCTCTGAACCCTAAACTACTAAAAATGAGTGTAGTCGAGCAGCCAACTCTCAGGTGCTCAGTAGTGTTTGGGGAGTGACCGCTGGCTGCGTACTGTACCCTATTCAGCAGCATCGTCGCTTTCTGCATGATGTAATGCAGCAGTCCCCAACCTTTGTGGCACCAGGGACTGGTTTCATTTAAGACAATTTTTCCACGGATGGAGCGGGGAGTGCAGGTGGGATGGTTTGGGGATGAAACTGTTCCACCTCATATCATCAGGCAATAGATTCTTTTTTTTTTTTTTTTTTGAGACAGAGTTTCGCTCTGTCGCCCAGGCTGGAGTGCAGTGGCGCGATCTTGGCTTACTGCAAGCTCTGCCTCCCGGGTTCACGCCATTCTCCTGCCTCAGCCCAGAGTAGCTGGGACTACAGGTGCCCGCCACCACGTCTGGCTTATTTTTTTTTCTATTTTTAGTAGTAGAGACGGGGTTTCACCATGTTAACCAGGATGGTCTAGATCTCCTGACCTTGTGATCTGCCCGCCTCGGCCTCCCAAAGTGCTGGGATTACAGGCGTGAGCCACCGCGCCTGGCCAATAGATTCTCTTAAGAAGAGCGCAACCTAGATCCCTCGCATGCACAGTTCACAGCAGGGTTTGTGCTCTTGTGAGAATCCAACGCCACGGCTGGACAGGAGGCAGAGCTCAGACGGTAATGCTTGCTCTCCCACCTGCCGCTCACCTCCTGCTATGTGGCCTGGTTCCTAACAGGCCACGGATGGGTACTGGCCTGCAGCCCAGGGGTTGGGGACCTCTGATAGAATGGACTTGTGGTGGCAAAAAATGTTGTTGGGCACGGTGACTCATGCCTGTCATCCCAATTACTCAGGAGGCTGAGGTGGGAGGATTGCTTGAGGCCAGGAGCTCAAGACCAGCCTAGGCAGTATAGTGAGATCCCATCTCTAAAAAAACAAACAAAAAGTCATTGCTAACCAATGTCCAGAAAAAAGGATTTCTCGATTCTCGGATGGGAGAATTCAGGTCCCTGTAGTGGACGCAGGGGCACCAGGTCCTCAACATCAATGGCCTGCAATCCTTTAAGGTTGGGCAACTCCGTGCGTAAGCACTGGCACAAGCTACCGTGTGCAAGTGATCTGGTGTTCCATGGAGGAAGGAATGTGCTGACAGGCAGATACAAGCATTCCCATGTGCTGGGAGCGGTGCTGTTCCGTGTGAATTAATGAAGTGGCACTTGGGCTTATCAATCACGCTGCTCTGATTTTGGCTAGCAAGTCAGTCATGTGGGCTGCTAGTAAGCCTGCTTATTCCTGAGCCAAGTGCTAGACTCGAGTTCCTAGGATGCCAAGCTAGGGATCACATCTTGCCGGCCCCTGCCTGAACCTCTCCCTTTGACCACTCTTCAAATCCAGGGGGTCCTGTGTCCATTTAGTGTTGCTCCTAAAGGTGCAGTGCTCACAGAACCTGGTGACAGAACTCCCTCCTGGAACCTCGCTTGGGGACAGTAAAGGACTGAGATAACCAGATAGCCATGGAGACACTTGTTCCTGGGGAGCCCAGGGATACTGGCTTGAACCTGACCCCAGGCTGGGAGGCGTCCCTGAGTGCTTTTCATTCTCTGGGTGGGGGGGGGGTTGGGTGGGAGGCTGGGCAGCTTGCACGGCTGAGTCCCCGCTTCCACTGCCTTGCTTCAGGCTGTGATGGCCTCGGTGGCTGCGACCTGCTGCTGCCACCTCTGTGTTCTGTGGACAGGTGTGCACCTGTCATTTCCAAGAAAAAGATCACGCACACAAAGGCCTTTGTGTATGTAGCAGACTTTACTGAAGATTTGGAGAGATGAAGGGGTTTTACATAGCAAAAATACAAAAAAAACTGAAGGTTGAGTATTAGACATCCATGAGCTGAAGAAGACTCAGCCACTTCTACCAATGGGGCTCCCGCCTTCTACGAAGGCACCTGACCACCTCTCCCTGCTGTTTCTCAGGAAGCTGAATGAAAGCCAGATTTCCTGACAGTTTCTTAGAGTATTTTAGTCCTCCATTTGCTCTGCCCTCCCCCCCTTTTTTTTTTTTTTTTTTTTTTTTTGAGATAGGGCCCTGCTCTGTTGCCCAGGCTGGAGTGCAATGATGTAATCTCAGCTCACTGCATTCCTGACCTCCTGTGCTCAAGCGATCCTCCCACCTCAGCCTCCCAAGTCACTGGGACTACAAGAGCACGCCACCATGCCCTGCTAATTTTTCTATTTTTTTGTAGAGATGGGGTTTTGCCATGTTGCCCAGGCTGGGCTCAAGTGATCCTCCCGCCTCAGCCTCCCAAAGTGCTGGGATTACAGGTGTGAGCCACAGCACCCGGTCTGTCTTTCCTTTCTAGACCTTCCCTTGGGACCTCTTTCTCCCCTTAATGGGCCACAAAGTTATCTCCCCGATTTAGAACACTCCCTCCCCTTTCCTGACACCCAGATGAGGACGAAAATCTAAAAGCACAACCTTGCACGGGGCAGTTTTCGCTAAACCAAGACTCAAGGTCTTCTCCTCACCTTCTTTGAGGGACATTAGAGCTTTTTTTCTCTAAAAATAAGTATGCGTGCATGTGCGTGTGTTTTAGGGGCAGGAAGGGCGGAGTCAGGGGACATTTTTACACACCCACATTTCACATTCCCTGAGCTCGCCGTGAGCGAGGGGTGGCCCTGCTCCTTCACACACCATGACCTGTCCTCCTCCCAGTGGCAGTCCCAAGTCGGAGCATTTATTCCCATTTCACAAATGAGATTATGAAGTTCCCTAGAGGGTGTCTGTCCAAGATCACATGACTTGTAAGAGGTCAATTCAATCACTGGCCTGGCTTAACTTTAAGTTCTTTTTTTTTTTTTTTTTTCTTTGGGAGACAGAGTTTCGTTCTTGTTGCCCAGGCTGGAGTGCAGTGGCGCGGTCTCGGCTCACTGCAACCTCCACCTCCTGGGTTCAAGCAATTCTCCTGCCTCAGTCTCCCTAGTAGCTGGGATTACAGGTGCCCACCACCACACCCAGGTGATTTTTGTATTTTTAGTAGAGATGGGGTTTCGCCATGTTGGCCAGGCTGGTCTTGAACTCCTGACCTCAGGTGATCCACCCACATTGGCCTCCCAAAGTGCTGGGATTACAGGCGTGAGCCACTGCACCTGGCCAAGTGTACATTCTTAAGAACAACGTACATAGATTGGGGAAAAGTATCTCGTTTTCATTCTGAGAGCTAATACAACAGAGAGTGTACGAAGAGGTCAAACACAGGGACTGCTGGGTGGAACACACTGCCACTCCCCCTCCCCCTCCCCCTCTGTGCCACACACCTGATGTGGCCCCACCCAACACAGCCACGACCCTCCTACCCCCCACCACCTGCCCAGTGTCCTCTGAGTCTCAGCCCAGCAGAGGGAGCAGGTGCATGCTCTAGGCACACACAGGGTACAGGAGCTGGGCGAGGCCAACCATGCCAGCCCCTCGCTCCACACCCCACCGGCTTCCATCCTGAAAGGTAATACACACACGCACACACACACCAAATTCCTGTGTGGGTTTCTTTGTTAGAAAGATCATCCCACTCTGAAAGATGGGGGCCAATGGGAAACAGTCTGCTGGCTCATGGCTGGACCCGCTGAGAGAGATGGTCTGTCTCCCATCCCCATTTCCATCTGGACAGTGCTGCCTGCTAACTCGGATCATGTCAGAATGGTGGAAGAGTCTCTATCCCCACAGGGCTCAGGGACCCTTCCTCACCTCACAGGCCCAAGGGACATGACCGCCTGCCATGTGCATTCGCTCACTCATCAAACAGAACCAGGAAATGAGGTCTCACTGTGCAGAGCCGAGTTTCGTGGGAAGAGCCCGAAACACACTATCACACATGCCTCTCTGAGGTCCACAGCAGCCCACTGTCGTTTTCTAGAAAATCTGATCAAAAAGACTCCCCTGCTTAACACACTTCCAGGACTTCCCATCACACCGGGTAAGGTCCAAAGCCCTCGCCAAAAGAGGTGGTACCACCGGGCCACCTGCTGCCTTTCCCCACCTGGAATGCCCTGGCCCCCTCCTCTCTCCTGTTCACTCTGTTCTCTGTACCTGGGACACATCTGTCACCTCCCTGCCCCCAGCACCTGCTGTTCCCTCCACTTGGAATACCATTCCCCCAGACCCCCAGGGCTGGCTCTTCTTGTCCTTCAGAATCAACTCAAGCCCCACCACCTCAGAGAGGCCTCCCCCAGCAACTCGATCTCAGCGCCTGCGCAGCCTCACCACGCCCGCCTGTCTCCTCACTTGCTTACTCTGCTTCCCAAGGAGCCTGTCTGTCGTCTTCCTCACTGCCACATCCCCACTGCCACATTCCCACTGCCACATCCCCACTGCCACATCCCCACTGCCACATCCCCACTGCCACATCCCCACTAGCTAGCACAAAGCAGAAGTTAAATAAGTATTTGCTAAGTGAATGGATGGATGCATGAATCATCCAGGCAAGTTAGTGGAGCTCTCCGTGCCACGTTTGCCTCATCTGTAAAATGGGGCTAGCATAGTACCCATTGGGTGAGGATGAGAAGAGACCACAGAGGCACCTGTGTTCAGGCACCATGCTTGTGACAGGGGTTCTAACAGGGCATAAATGCAATGCTTTTGACACACAAGGGCAGGCATGACTGTCTTCTGCATGAGAAGAGGGGATTCCTCTTTGGCTCTGGAAGAATGAGTGCCAGATCACAGATGGAAGACGGGATGAGAACCACGGGCTGGGGGTGCTGGGAAGTAGGTGATTCAGGGCGGCTAGTGGGGAGGCAGCAGGGGAGCCTCAGAGGAGGCTGCAGGCGAGGTGGGGCCAGCTCACCCATTTGCCTCAAGGGTCATGGTCTGCACCACACCACAGGGAAGGCAGCTAAGTCTGCCACCTGCTATGGTTGACTGGCTTGGATTTTACACCTGTAAGGAGGTGACTGTCCACTAGGCTGCTGAGGTCAGTTCATAGAGGAAAGGAAAACTCACAGCCAACACCTGGACCCAAAAACATCTGCACTGACCTCTTTCCCAGCCAGGACACAAAAAGGTTATCTCTTTAAATGTGCATTTGTCCTGCGGCCAAGAGGCTGCTGGCACAACACATCCTTCCGTCACAGCGCTGGTGCTGCCAATCAAGCTAGAAGGACGGCCAACCCCAGCTTCCCTTATTCAATCCCCCAGGGACAGGGGAGGGGAGAGAGTGAAGGCAAAGGCTGTGCTGGTGCCTGGGGGTGGGGGCAGGAGAGCCTTACACAAACACGAACCCACACTGGGACATGTAGGCACCTGCCACCTGCTCAGGGGCTCATCCGACCCCAGGTTCCCCTAGAGCCCATGCCCCAGCTTCTGACGAGAGCTGGGCCTCCAGACTGCATAGCTCTGCAGCCTGGCAAGAGGTGTAGCGGTGGTCCTGATGCCCAGAGGGGTTTGGTTAAAGCTGTTCTTTGGTAAGACAGTGGGGGCTGGGCCGTGGAGGAGACTAGGCTGCTGGCCTCTTCCCCACATCTGGGATGCCGGTCAACTTCCCTCCATCTGCTTCACTAAATGCTGCCCACCCTTTAAGGGCAGCTGCCCTCAAGACTACCCTTCCCTGAGTCTTCTGCACCTTGATCTCTCCAGTCTCTGAGCGCCTGTGGCTTTGAGGATCACTTAATAGTTTTCCAGTCGGCCCTAGTGAGACTGCAAGCTCCTATGATTAATAACGACGTACATTTAGTGAACACATTTATGTGGGGCACTATGCTAGGCACTGTAGATACGCGAGGTAGGTTATCGTTATACAAATTTTACAGATGGGGAAACTGAGGCACAGTGAAATGAAATAACTTGCCCCAAGGTCACTCAGCTAGTCTGTAGCTTGTCTGACTCCAGAGCCCTCGCTCCTAACCACACTCCAAGACACCTCTTCGATGCTGTCTTACTTATGTAGTCCCATGCACTATCTCCACGAGTGCCAGACACACGGTAAACATAAACACCCCTAGGTTGAATCTTCCTTCCCTTTCTGCTCTAGGCTACTGGATCTGTGGTTCCTATGAGGGAAGATGACCCCAAAGAGCCACTAGGTGGCAGCAAGCAGCCAGATTCTGGCCTCCCCATGGGAGGGAGGGAGGCAGGGAGGCAAGGAGGCAGGGAGGGAGGAGCTCATTGTTAGGTGTATTAGTACAGCTTGCACCAGGCGCTTCACAGACTCCATCTCTTCCCACTCTACAGAGAGGAAAGGATACTAAGGTTCAGACAGGTTGACAAATGCCCAAGGTCAGGCAGCTTAGAATGCTAGGACCGAAGCCAGGAATGGCAAAACTCAGAGCCCATGCCAGTTCTCAGGAGAAATAAACCCAGGAACCCCTTCAGCTGCATATCTAAGTCTAGGCTCAGGGTGGGGTCCACTCCCCTCCTCCACCCCCGGGGAGCACAGAAACTACCCCTCAGGGAAGAAGTTAGATGGTGCAGGCTGGCTCTGAGGAGGCCTCCACCTAACAGGCACCCTGGCTGGGACAGAGTTTGAACAAGCCTCACAAGCACCAATGGCTCTCGGGGACCAGCGGAGCACCAGAGACCTCTCATCAACCTCCTGGCCACAGCCAAGAGGACACTGGTGCACCCAACCTCCCGCCGAGACTCCTCAGGCCGGCCTCAGCCCTGCCGCCTCCTGCCCTCCCCGCTTCAGGGTCCTTTGATTTGAAACCAGTGCCCCCAACGTGGTCACGGAAGATGGTCATGGAATCCACATCCATTGAGATGGACGGAAACTATCCAGAGAGTTCTGACAGTGTCCCCGTCCAACAACTGTCACCGCCACACCTAAAACCCACCCCCCAGGGGATGGGGCCTCTCTGTGTGAACCGTCCTGGGAGTGCAGCAGGGGCGCACGTGGCTGTGGGTGCGTGGCCCATGCATTCATCGGGCCTCACGGCGTGGCCAGCACCACAGTGCAGGGGCTTGAGAGGTAGCACAGGGACTGTCACATCTTCAGTTCCAGGGTCCGGCGATGTTCCTGGCTGAGTCCATTGGGACGCTGGCTTCAGAACTGCCCGGGGTACGTCTCTGAGCACTGCTTCCGGCCTGCCTCCCAGACGGCCCCCTTGCTCCCCCAGTCCCTCCCGAGGCTCACACAGCCAGACCAGGTCCTCTGAAAATACACAGCATCTTGGGTTTATTTGGGGTTGGGCACCTCAGGTTCAGGCACAGTTTGTTCCTGGGTAGAGTCACAACTGCTCCTCTCAGCTCTCTTGGCACTTCAGGGGGCTGCCCCTGCAGGTCCCCTCCCCACGTCCCCGTTTCCTGCACACACGTCTCTTCCCCCCTCCCTGCTCCCCGAGTCTCTCATTCTTTCACCAGCCTGTAGATGTGGTGCTGAGCCCCGTGCTCACTGGCTGACACCTCAAAGACATAGGCAATGCACAGCAAGGTCTCCTGTGTGTCTCTGTTGGTGACCACCTGTGGGAGAGAAAAAGACAAGGGTTAATAAGGCCCCAGAAGGGGCATGCCATGGCTGCTACCCACACACAGACTCCAGCCACACCCGCAGCACCCGCCGCACACCTGCAGGATGGTGAAGTTCTCCAGCACGCTGTTCATCATGTACTTCTCAGGGAGGTGCTTGAGCTTGTGGATGAAGTTGATCATGTACTCACAGAGCGGGGACCGGTGGATGCGGTAAGAGTAGTGTCCATTCTCATAGCGAGCATACTCTGTCTGCAGGACCCGGGGAGAGCAGGGGCTTAGAATCCCATTCTGACCACCTCCAGCCCAGACCCAACTCCACGGGAAGGAAAGGCAGAAAGCCTGGGGGCCCTTAAGAAAAGAGTCACCCCCAGCCAGGGGCAGTGGCTCACACCTGTAATCCCAACACTTTGGGAGGCCAAGGCAGGCGGATCACCTGAGGTCAGGAGTTCAAGACCAGCCTGGCCAACATGGTGAAACCTTGTTACTATTAAAATACAAAAATTAGCCAGGCACGGTGGCGCGTGCCTGTAATCCCAGCTACTCTGGAGGCTGAGGCAGGAGAATCGCTTGAACCCGGGAGGCGGAGGTTGCAGTGAGCTGAGATCGTACCACTGCATTCCAGCCTGGGCGACAGAGTGAGACTGTCTCACAAAAAGAAAAAAAGAAAGTCACCCTCTTAGGTTGGTGGACATTAAACAAGACCTCCTTTCTCCATGGGTGGCCAGCAGGAACCGGGGATGGCAGGAGGGGAGCTTAAGGAGACACAGGAGCAGTGGTAGGAGCCTCTCAATCCTGACTGTACATGAGGACACCATGAGGGGCACACAGGGACCCCTGGGAGTCTGGTGGTGATCATGCAAATTTCCCTGTCTACACACACGCATGCAAGCGCACATAGGAGTGCCGATAAAACTGGTGAAATCTGAACCAGCTTGGTGGACTGCATCAACGTCAATTTCCTGGTTGTCCACTTTACACTCTAGTTATGCAAGATATGGCCAGGGCAAGAGCTGGGTAAAGCGCACATGGGATTATGAGCCCAAGTGGATCCACCATTATCTCAAAAGTTTTACAAGTTTAATTAGAAATAAATAATTTGAGGAACTTTTTAAAAACCACTAATGCCTGGACTCTACCCTAGAGACTGAGGGGTGATGAATGGGTTTCAGGCACTGGTGTGTTTCCAAAGCTCCCAGGAGACTGCAAGGTGCAGCCAGGCGGAGAAGCACTGTGTGGAGTAATGTCTCCTCCCTGGTGCTGGCCGGGCATCTGGCTGCATTTGGCATGAGGAAGGCTATCAATAACTGACAGACTGTGAGAGTAGGACTTCATTAATTCAGACCAATCTGGGGAAGGGGTGAGGAGAGGGACGAAGACTGGCCTGCACGGTGAGGAGGTTTAACAAGTGTGTGGGCGGCACAGGGCCCCGGACTCTCAGAGTCCACAGGTGCTTTGGGTTGGAGGCCTTCAGTCCCAGCTCCTTGTCACTGCCACTACGCAGCGGGCCCAGAACACAGGGTGCTGCAGGAGACCGTGTCACGGACAGTGAAGATAACTTGGCCCTTGTTTAGGGCCAAAATACAGAGGATTTTATCACAACCCCCCAGACACGCACCGGAAAGCAGGGTGCCTGGGTGGGGATTCACCTGCGCTTATGCTCCTCACCACTGCCCTGCACTGCCCTTGGCCGGGGGTTTAGCAGAGTGGGAGAAACCATAAAAGGCAGGCCTGAATTTTCTGTAACTTCCATTAGAGCAGGGTCTCCAGGGTACCCATAAGCAGAAAATCAGGGAAGGAACAGTTTTAGGCATTCATGGAGTTCAAAGTGAGCAGGGGACAGAGATCTTAGCCCTGCTTCTGCACTAATGAGCTGTGTGACCATGTGCGGGCGATTGGTGGGAGGCCTCCGCTCTCTCTGGGCCTCCACTGTGAAGCCAGAGGGCTGGACTAGGTAGATGCCCAGGGCTCTGCCTGTGCTGCGGCTCTGCTCTTGGAGAGGACCGGGGGTGCCTGCAAGGACGTGCTTGGAAGATCCTGAAAGGGCAGCAATGGCTCTGGTTAGCTGGGCAGGACACTGGTGCCAAGGGGAGTGTGGGAGGCACACAGCACTGACAGCAGACAGGGAAGGCAACAAGGGATTATCCTGGCTCCCTAACGGAGGGCATTCCTCCTGAAAGCAAATGGAAGCCATGCCCAGCAAACACAGACCACTGCCACCGGCCCTCACCCGCCAGGGTGGCCTCCTACCTCAACTTTCTCCACCACCTGCTTGCCGAAAGAGCAGACCTTCGTGGAGCAGGTGATGATCATGTTCTCGGGGCTCTCATACTGGCTGGAGACCCCATAGAAGGAGCTGCCTTCATCCTCGATGTTGGTGTTGAGGTCTGCCTGGAGGGAGACAGTGGGAAGGCGAGGGAGTGTCAGCAGGTGCCATGTCAGACGGGAGCATCAAGGAGACCTCAGGGTCCCGGTCCCGGCTCTAGGGCTGGGAAGAAATCAGACTGAGGGTAGACAGTAGGACGCCAGAAAGCTTCCACATTCCTCTACATCTCTGCCTGGTACAAAATCAGGTCGTGTTGCCTAAATCATGGGAAAAGAGGACACTGGGACCCACACAGTTTCAGGCCACTGCTGCCTGCCCAGATATTAACACACCCAGCAGGTGGGAGCCCCAGATTCCATCTTTAAGATTTCAAGTTTCATAGTCTAAGACTTTGTTCTTGTTAAACTGCAAAGGTTTGAATCTCTACCAGTCAGCTCTATTTTAGTTTGAATGCGTCTATCAGAATTATTCCAGAGTCAATTTTGATAGTGCAGGAAGCATGAGAACAGAAAACCAGGGCAAGAGACCGGCAGTGGGGAGGGTGGAAGGGGTGAATGCTGCTCCTGTCTCATCCTCTTGTCTCGCCAGAGACCTGATCGATGCTCCCTCAGAAACGGCTCTGGGGCTGGCCTCTTCCCCCTCTAGGCACTGCTGGGTCCCGTCACCTTGGATCTTTTGACATCTCTGCTTCAGCCTCCAGAGCAATCTCCCCAGCACCAGCTGTCCCTCCCTTTGGTTCATTCTCTTAACTGCCCCGGGAATCTCTTCAGAAGTCAAGTCACTTCACCGTCTCATTGAGCCATTTAGCCACAAGGGACAGGAGTCTTGGTCCCCGGCCTGGCTCACAAGGCCCTTCACAGGCCCAGACACTGGTCCTCTAGGTCAGCTTCTCACCTTGCCTCAGACAGGCTGCTCTTCCTTCCCCTGATGAAAACAGAGCCCAGGGGGCCTCCTGCTGGATGTGGGGCTGATCTGAAACTTCCCTTCTAGAAAAGGCGGAGTAAGACTCTGTGCTGATCTCACACCCAAAACCACGGCCTCGGTTTTATCCATGAGGGGTCCTGACTGTTAGCCTTGCCCAACACCATCCAACTAGTAAGTGAAAGACCCCAGGTCTTCAGCCTCCAACCCCAATACTTGTCCCAAACCAGCAGAGTGCCACAGCGAAGAAAGGAAGGCACCAGATGAGACAATTTGGTGCTTTGGGGACTCTGAGGCAGGAATTGTATTCCTGAAGCCCTACGCCTTAGGGGTCCCCATGCCCAGAACTCCAGCCCCACATCAAATCACCCCATCTGAGCCAGGGGTGCTAAGAGAACAAGTCAAGACTCAGAAACAACGCACAGGCACATTACAAAGGCTTATTCTCAGGGGAGGCCGCTCCTCCCACCCACACCCCGGTCTGAAATCACTGCAAGCTGTGCCCAGAGCGCAGCCCTACGAATGCAGTAAAGCGTCAGGCCTTGGTCAAGGTTCTGACACCAAGGACTCTTCTGTGCAAAGATAAGGGGATCCCTAGAACCCCAGGAAGGTTTTGGTCAGATTCAGAGCCAGGCACCAAGCAATTCTACTACTGGCCATGAGGGGACACTCAATCGTTATTTTTCTCTCCTTTGGAGAAGTTTTCCCAGAGCAGGACCTTTCTCTAGACTGGCGGTGGGTGTTGATTGTCTATAGCACAATAGAAACATTATGTAGCCACAAAAAAACGCTGAGAAGGACCTGCATTTATTATCATGGATGACTACAAACACACTGAGTGGGAAAGCAGGCTACGGAGCAGAATGAGGGTGGATTACGTTTATGATGAGGAAAAAAAGGCTGTTTTCATGCTGAAACAGAATGGCATATGGTTCAGTGCACCTGCCTCGGCTTTGATGAGGCCTTTAGGGAAAAAAAGCATTCGTGTCAATGCTCAGCCTCTGAAACAGACAGCAGCATTTATCCTAAACACCCTCCACTACCACCCCTGAGCTGGCCTCAGTCTCCCCACTCTGTCTCCATCTGTGATGCTGGGAGGGAGGGGATGACACATTGTAGGCAGGGTGCCCAGGATGGCATGGCAGAGGTGGCTGAGGCCTCTGCCGGACTAGATTTAACTGTGGCTGTGACTGGCCGAAGGTCTTACAGGCAAATATAAGGTGAATGGGACCAGAACCCAGGCTTTCGGGCTCCTGTTTTCTTCTTCTTCTTCTTTTTTTTTTTTTTTGTTAAAGACAGAATCTTGTTCTGTCACTCAGGCTGGAGTACAGTGGTATGATCACGGCTCACTGCAGCCTCGAACTCCTGGATTCAAGCAGTCTTCCCACCTCAGCCTCCTGAGTAGCCAGGATTATAGGCATGTGCCACCACACCTGGCTAATTTTTAAATTTTTTGTAGAGGCAGGGTCTCGCTGTTTCCTAGGCTGGTCTCAAACTCTTGACCTCAAGTGATCCTCTCACCTTGGCCTCCCAAAGTGTTGGGATTGCAGGTGTGAACCACTGCACCTGGCCTGTCTCCTATTTTCTCGAAGTCACCTGCTCCTCCTAGGAGACTGACTTTGTCAGACTGTTCCTAAAAAGGGCCTGGGGGACAGTTTGTGTGCTCAGGACATATTCTGTAGCTGGAAGCACAGGGCAAAAATGTGAACAATGCCTGAAATGCCGCTGGCAGGAAGCCCAGCTGCCTGGGAAGGATGCACTGGACATGGTGGGGAACACCAAGAGGTGAGGCCAGGCATCAATGGTGGTGACCCTCAGATTTTAACCGCGCATGGTCCCTCTGATCAATGCCACATTCATGTGCCATCTACGACACATCCTGATTCTTTGAAATCAACTCACTTTTATTCCTTAATTCCATTCTAAGCAATAAATCCATGAAATCAAGGATTCTATTCTTTCTAATATATATGAAAATAACTATATAACTATTTTTTTAATTTTATTTTTTGAGACGGAATCTCGCTCTGTCGCCTGGGCTGGAGTGTGGTGGTGCAATCTCAGCTCACTGCAACCTTCGCCTGCCGGGTTCAAGTGATTCTTCTGCCTCAGCCTCCTGAGTAGCTGAGATTACAGGTGCCCACCACCACGCTCGGCTAGTTTTTGTATTTTTTTTTTTTAGTAGAGGTGGGGTTTCACCATATCGGCCAGGCTGGTCACGAACTCCTGGCCTCAAGTGATCCACCTGCCTCGGCCTCCCAAAGTGTTGGGATTATAGGCGTGAGCCACCGCGTCTGGCCTATAACTATTTTCCATATTTTCAAATAAAGTTATTTTAAAACACAGGGATAGGGCTTCGCCATGTTGCCCAGGCTGGTCTCGAACTCCTGGGCTCAAGTGATCCTCCTGCCTCAGCTTCCCAAAGTGGGGGGATTACAAGAATGAGCCACTGAGCCTGGGCAACTACTTAACTATTTAAAAAAATGCATATTCACGTGCCATCTTAGAAGAATCCAGTGTGCCAAGCTGGGAAGGACTGGCATCCACACCTCCCAGCTCTTCCAGACACACAGAGGCAGCGGCTGCCCCCAGCCCCCAGGAGCAATTGGCAGATCCCCCTCTATTACCCTGCTTGTCATAATCTGTCCAGATGTCCTTGCCCCCTTCCAGATACGATGCTCCCTGGAGGCAAGAACTAAGCTCTCCCAGGGCCTTAGTAGGGTGGGCCTTCAATCAAGGTTGCAGGCGGCTGTTCACCCTCTCACCTCCGGGTGGCACCAGTGGGAAGAGCAAGGTCCCTCAGGCGCAAGCAGGAACCTACCCTGTCCTGCTCACCCTGAGAGTTCTGCGCCCCAGCTCCACCCCCATCTCAGATACACTCTTCTGTCATCAGCTCCCACTCCCTGGCTCTTCCCATCGCTCAGGTGCCCATTTGTCCAGCCCAGGCCAGCAGTGCTAGAGGCAGGGGGGCCCAGAGAGGTTGAGACATTGTTTCTGCTCTCAGGGAATTTATAATCGGGAGAACAAATAGAATGCAAGTGCTAGGGTTGAGCAATGGGTCAGGGGGAGAAAGAGAGATCCCACAATCAGCCCCAGAACTCATGTTCACACTGCATAAACCCGGAACACACCAGCCGGCGACACGGACGAACCGCCCCAGAGCACCTCGACTCGTCCTCAGTGCCTGGATCCTTCTAATTACAGCCTCACCCCTTCTCCTGCAGCTATACTCCTTCCTGACATTTCCTGTCCACCCTCATATCCCCCCACACTGAGCAACCACCCAAAACAAGCTACGCTTCTTGGCCTAAGAAAAAATGAGAGCTGCCCCGGTCCCCTGCCCTGTGAGTGCCCCCTTGCAACCCTCCCTCCGCCCTATTCATAGCTGTGCGTGCGGGTGGGCAGCTGTGCCTGGAACAGGTGTGGGGGATCGGGTGACTGACAGATGAGCAGAGACAGCCGCAGCCCGGGTGTGGGGGCCTGGAGGGGCTCAGATTCATTGTCATGTGCTGGTATGTGCCTGGGAGAAATGTCAGGGACTGAAAGGGAAGAGCAGGCTGAGATGGGAGGAAGGCCTGGGGTACTCTGCTGCCTCCACGGTGCAGCCCGGCTCTGCCTGGCATTTCCAATGTGCAGAGCGGCGTTAATGGCCACCAAAGGCCCCCTCTCACCGGCCCCAGAGACAGGTGGCCTCTGCTGGACTTGCGGGGCTCTGGGGGAGGAAGGGAGCTTCATCGCATCAGTCCCTCGCTCCAGGCCCCGTGGCGCTCAGCAGATAGGGCTGAGGCTGTGCACAGCCCTAGCAGCCTCAGCCCTTCAGGCTGGCAGATGCCACTTCTAGCTGGAAATGTGTCCCAGCAGTCCGAGAGTCTATGAATGACCACCACAGCGCCCTCAGTAAGAGCAGTAACTCAGGGGACAGGCAGGGAGGCTGGACTGGAGACGGACAAGTCCTCCTCCCACTCCAAGGGGGTTCTGATTGCCTCTCCAGCACACACATTCAGGGCCTGGGAGCCAGGACTGAGAAAACAGCCAGGCAGGAAAAGAAAGGCTCCGGGAGAGGCGACACCGTTTCCTTGCCTGAGCAGTTTTCCTTCCTAACTGTGTGTGGCCAAGTTCACACCAGCTGATGGAGGGGGAAGGCGGGACCAGGCCAGGGAGCAGAAGACAGGAGCTTCCCGATGCGGGGGGAGCCGGGGCAGCCTGTGAGGACCCACGATTGACGCAAAGTCTCATTGTCAGCAAACACGAATATGTACCTTTCCCCGTCACATATGTGTCTTCCTCTGGTGCCTCTGCCCGCCCCACACATGCGGAGGAGGGAGCAGATGACCGCCAAGGTGCCCTGGCCTCCGGCGCTCCCTCATCTCTGATTTCACCTGCCCAGGCCGCTGGCACTCAGAGGGCTCAGGCAAGGGGTGGGGCAAGGGCAGGCCACAGCCCCCCACTCAGTACCAGCCGGCCACATACACGGGGTCTTCAGCGACACAGCCCCTGGCAGGTCCCCAAGATCAAACTGCTGACTATTCACACAAAGAAGCAGAGGCACAGAGAAGCCAATATTTGCCCAGGACACAGTTCTCAAGTGGTAGAACTGAGACTCTGCCCCAGCTGGGGCCAACTGCTGCCCACCGTGCCCTGCCATGACACATCAGAAGGGCCTTGCTGGGGGGCACACCACAGCCCCCTGTCCAGCGGCTCCTGTCCCAGGACCCCGAGACTCGCGCTGGATCCTCCCATCCAGAGTGCGAGCTCCTGGAAGCCGAGGGCCGCGCTGGGTCCGTACAGCACACGGCTGGAGCACACGGTCCACAAGGGAACCTGCTGAATCCCATGTCTTTGGCACCAGCTGTCCCAACCCTCTCTTCTCCCATCAACCCCCACCTCCAAACTCCCCTAAGAGTCAGAAAGAAAGAGAGGACACAGGCCACTACCAAGTTTGGAAAAGTACCTTCTAGGTCCTCCTTCCTTCCTGGCAACCTTAGTCTCCACGCAGGGCCACTGCCCTATTTTCTGGAAGGGATATCTGAGGTCGAGAACGCCCAAGAAGCCCAAGGGGCTGGCTCTACATTGACTGCACAGAGCTAAGTCTGCTCTCCCCACGCTGCCACTGCCTGCTGTTCCTCAGGGGGCTGGGGATCTGTTTTAGACAATTCAGAGCCTTCTCCAGTGGGAGCAGGAGAAGCTCCAGGATGCTGCATGGAGGGCAGCCAGTGACTTCGCAAGGAGGACTGTTTAGTATGGTGGCTCCAAGCACACACCCTGGGGTCAGGCTGCTCAGGTATGGACCCGTGGTCTGGTATGGGTCTGGTACTATGAACTGGGCAACCTTTGGCAGGTGATTCTACCTGTCTGTACCTCAGTTTCCCCTCTGCAGATGAGGTTATCCAGTCTTGGCTGTGGTGAGGATGAGACGTGTGACTGTATGTAACGTGGTGAGAAGAGTGCAGCTGTCATCTCTCTCAGTCTATCTGGGCCCATCTATCTCACAGCATGTATCCAACAGGAGTGCCCACAGGACAGAGGTCACCCTGGCTGGGGGACTCAGGGCCAGGCCCTGCTTACTCCATGCCTCAGTTTCCCCTACTTGTGAAACAAGAGACCTAGGATGGTCCTTATCTGGAGGGTGGCTAGAAGAACACAGAATATCACCAATAGCTAAAGGCAGGAGCTAGTGCAAGAGGGTCCCGGACATGCCACCTCCCGCTCCAAGGCAGTGTTCCCATGAGTGCTTCCTGCCACTGCCAACTGGGTCTCCGCTCTGACCCCAACTGTATCCCCAGGGTCCTGAGCCATGCCGGGAAAGAGCCACAGATCAGCTCGCCTAAGCTCCTTCCGCTGAGTCAGGGCTGAGCCTGGACAGGCCGGGGGCGGTGAGTGCTCAAGCAAGGGTGAAGGCTTCTCCAGGGGGCTGGGGGCCCCCTCAGACTCACAGCAGGGTTGGGAAGCGCCACTGCCAGCTGTACAGGTTCCAATTCCCACAACCGGGGCTGGACGGGAGACTGGGAGATGATTTAAGCCCCTCCTGAGAAAAAGTGGACAGCATCCTGCCTCCCACGCCACACCCTGAAGCCAGCCTCTCGGCCGAGGTCCTCAGGAGGCACATGCGTCTTGCCTGGTCTCCACTGCAGGAGTCTCACACCTGCTTCCAGTCTGGGTGCCAGAGTTAACCAACTAAGCACAACCCTGGCCACGTCCTGCCCTGTTCGAAAACCTTAAATGACTCCTCATCGCTTAAGGAGAAGGGCTAACAAATATTTCCCTGGCTACGCACGTGGCCATGACCGTCCACCCAGCACTCCTCCCTGCTAGAGCCTTCTCAGCCCAGCACTCCAAACAGCGACTGCCGACCCCTTCGAAGTGGCACACAGGTCACCCCATCATCCTGGACACCTGGCTAAAGGTGGGAGACTGACTACCCCAGTTTATTTTTTCCCCTTCCAGAGACCCAGCTAGAAGGACAACAGCAAGTAACTTTAAACAATATGCAGCACCACAAAGATAAAGAAAACAAAGAGACCAGCTGACAAGAGAGCTGGGCAAGCTTTGGAGACTCAAAGCTGATTAGGACCACACTGGATTCCACGGGGTAGAGAAAGCAAAAAGAGTCACAACCTACCAATATCTTCAGGGGTGACAGATAAGAAGCTGAGCTGCGTGGCTCGGAGCTGGAGGGAACAGGATTTGTCCCCAGGAACTGACAAAAAGTCTGTACACTGGACAGTCCAGCCCCCAGGCCCACCCCTCCCATGCATCGGTAGAAGATCAAAGGGTCAGCCGGGTATGGTGGCTCCTGCCCGTAATCCCATTACTTTGGGAGGCTGAGGCAGGAGAATGGCTTAAGCCCAGGAGTTTAAAACCAGTCTGGGCAACATAGCAAGACCCTGTCTCTATGAAATTAAAAATTAAAAAACACACCAACAAACAAAAAAACTTTTTAAAGAGGACCAAAGGGTGACCATCTTCAGAAATTAAACAGGAGGGCAACAGGTCTCAGGGACACAGGGCTTATTCAAAAGAGAGGGAAGAGGGGGAGTAAGAACAGGAGAGTTAAGTGAAAGCCAGCATCAGAAATGGTCAGGGCCCCTACCCCCGACCCTTTATCCCACTACCAGAACACTTGTGACCAAGTATGTCCCTTCCAGGGAAATTAGATGAATCGTCTCTGGAGAAACTAAATCACCTCAGGGGGAAAAAAAAGTCCAGTAAACACACATATTTATTGATTTCCCCAATAAAACAGCTAGCTCCCCAAGCCCAATCACCCTAAAGCGAAACCCACCAGGTGACAAGTCCTACCTTGCACGAAGAGCTCCCAGTCACTACTAAATATAACCAGAACAAATAACAAAAGGAAAACTTGATAAACTGGACATCATCAACACTAGAAACGTTTGTGCATCAAAGGACACTACTAGGAATGTGAAAAGGGGCCAGGCACAGTGGCTCACACCTGTAATCCCAGCACTTTGGAAGGCTGAGGCAGGAGGATCACTTGAGGCCAGGAGTTCAAGACCAGCCTGGGCAACATAGTGACACCCTCTATAAAAAATTTAAATAAAAATAAAAACTTGGGCCGGGCGCGGTGGCTCACGCCTGTAATCCCAGCACTTTGGGAGGCCGAGGCTGGTGGATCACGAGGTCAGGAGATCGAGACCATCCTGGCTAACACAGTGAAACCCCGTCTCTACTAAAAATACAAAAAAATTAGCTGGGCGTGGTGGCGGGCGCCTGAAGTCCCAGCTACCTGGGAGGCTGAGGCACAAGAATGGCGTGAACCCGGGAGGCGGAGCTTGCAGTGAGCCGAGATCATGCCACTGCACTCCGGCCTGGGTGACAGAGTGAGACTTCATCTCAAAAAAAAAAAAAAAAAAAAAATTGGCCAGGCGTAGTAGTGCATGCCTCTAGTCCCAGCTACTCAAGAAGTTGAGGCGGGAGGATCACTTGAGCCCAAGTTCAAGGTTGCAGTGAGCAATAATCATGCCAGTGCACTCCAGCCTGGAAGACACAGCAAGACCCTGTCTCTGAAGAAAAAAAGAAAAAAGAATGTGAAAAGACATTCAACAGAATGGGAAATAATAATTACAAATCATATAACTGATAAGGAACTTTCATCCAGAACTAAGAACTCATAATTCAATAATAAAAAATAACCCAATTTATTATAAAAATGGGCAATGGGGTTGGGGACAGCGGCTCACACGTGTAATCCCAGCACTTTGGGAGGTTGAGGCAGGCGAATCGCTTGAGCTCAGGAGTTCAAGACCAGCCTGGACAACATGGTAAAACCCCGCCTTTACCAAAAATACAAAAATGAGCTGGGCATGGTGGTGCGTGCCTGTAATTCCAGCTACTCAGAAGGCTGAGGTACGAGAATCAGTTGAACCTGGGAGGCAGAGGTTGCAGTGAGCCAAAATTACGCCGCTGTACTCCAGCCTAGGTGACAGAGAAAGACTGTCTCAAAAAAAAAAGGGCAATGGACCTAAATTTCTGAATTGGCATTTCTACAAAGAAGATATACGAATGGCCAGTAAGCACATGAAAAGATGCTTACCATCATCAGTCATCAGGGAAATGCAGATAAAAACCACAATGAGATACCACTTCACATTTGCTAGGATGGCTACAATCAGAGAATATCAAGTGTTGGTGAGGATGTGGAGAAAATAGGATCCTCATACCCTCATACCCTGCAGGTGGGAACAGAAAACGGTGCAGCCACTTCGGAAGACTCTTGGGAGTGCCTCAGAAAGTGAAAGAGAGTTGCCATATGACCCAGTAATTCCAGACATAAGCATATGGAAATGAAAATGAACGTCCACACAAACACTGGTACGTAATGTTCACAGTAGCACTACTCCTAACAGCCAAGAGGAGACAACCCAAATGCCCATGAACTGATGAATGGATAAACAATGTGGACTCTCCGTACATTTGGCCATAAAAAGGAACGTACGTGCTACAACATGGTTGAACCTTGAAAACACTATGCCAAGTTCAAGAAGCCAGTCACAAAAGACCACATCCTCCACAAACCCTTTTATACAAAATGTCCAGAATAGGCAAAGCTTCAAAGACAGAAAGTAGATTATTGCACAGGGCTGGGGGGTAGGAGTGGGGAGTGACAGCTAAAGGGAACAGGGCTTATTTTCGGGATGATGAAAATGTTCTAAAATTGATTGTGGTGATGGTTGCACAACTTTGTGAATATACTTAAAAACTCGGAATTGTATACTTTATTTTTTGAGATGGGATCTTGCTCTGTCACCCAGGCTGCAGTGCAGTGGTGTGATCTCAGCTTACTACAACCTCTGCCTCCCAGGCTCAAGCGATCTTCCCATCTCAGCCACCTGAGTAGCTTGGATTACAGGCACGCACCACCATGCCTGGCTAATTTTGGTATTTTTAGGAGAGATGGGGTTTTGCCATGTTGGCCAAGCTGGTCCCCAACTCATGGACTCAAGCAATCCACCCGCCTCGTCCTCCCAAAGTGTAGGGGTTACTGGCACATGCCATCACGCCTGACTAATTTTTGTATTATTTTTGTGGAGACAGGTTTTTGTCATGTGCCCAGGCTGGTCTCAAACTCCTGAGCTCAAGCAATCTGTCTGCTTCGGCCTCCCAAACTGCTGGGATTAAGATGTGAGCCACTGTGCGTGGCCTGTATGTTTTAAGTAGGTGAACTGTAAGGTAAGTTAATTACATTGCAAGAAAGCTGTTAAAAAAATACAGACAGGCAGCTAAGAACTAAAGACACCAAAGAAAACCCTCCAGCTGGAAAGACAAGGACCAAAACAAACAGAAAAACGGAATTAAAAAGAAACAAAGACAAAGAAAGGAGCAGGAGGCTGGGTGTGGTGGCTCACGCCTGTAAATCTATCACTTGAGGTCAGGAGTTCGAGACCAGCCTGGCCAACATAGCGAAACCCCTCTCTCTACTAAAAATACAAAAATTAGCCAAGCGTGGTAGCGGGCACCTGTAATCCCAGCTACTTGGGAGGCTGAGGCAGGAGAATTGCTTGAATAGGGAGGCGGAGGTTGCAGTGAGCCGAGATCACACCACTGCACTCCAACCTGGGCAACACAGCAAAACTTAGTCTGGGCGTGGGTTGGGGGAGGGTTAGGAGCAGGAGAAAACTTAAGAAGTAACACTTACTTCATACCTTTAAGAAAAAGAGGAGAAAAACTACATCCATCAAACATCTTGATGCAATCACAGAACAAGAAGGAGCTCTGGAAAATTAAAATGTCAGAGCCGAAATTAAATATTCAACAGAAGGTGTGGCAGAGATGCTGCTGTATTCCACTCATCTAATTCACCCTTAACTGTAGGATGCACACTTTATAAACTACCCAGAAAAAACAAAATGTCATCAACTGAACTAAGATACATCCATAAAAGGATGTATGCAGCTTCTTCTACAGTATTACAGCTCTGATTTTATTCAGAACAGCAACTTACCCAACTAAAAAAGTACCTTTCCCGGGTTCCTTACGGCAAGATGCAGCCACACAACTAATTATGGGGCTTCCCAGCAGGCCCCTTACAGGGAGCTAAACTGGCTTCTTTTGATGGTTGGAAGATGGCTACAGTGGCTGGAACTCCAGCAGTCATGACCCTGAGTACAGAAGTCATACACTGAGGACAGCAGATAGAGAGAAGCCAGGTCCCTCATGATGTCAGGAGCACTGGGCCAGCACTGGACAGTCTTTACCTCCAGACTTCCTTGATGTGAAAGAAAAACTATTTATGCCACTGTTTCTTTGGGGTTTGTGTGATATGCACTTGGACACAACCTTAACTAATTCAGAAAAGAGTCAGAATACAAAATTAAGGAAATCGCTAAGAAAACAGACCAAGATTGAAAATAAATGGTAAAAATCGTAGAGGATAAGTCCAAGAAAATAAAGAAATGGTAAACATCATAGAGGGTTCCAACATCATAACAGAGATTCCTGGAAAAGAAAACAGAAAACAGAGGGAAATAAATTATCAAAGAAATAATACGAGTACATTTCCTAAAACTGAAAGACTCATCTCACAGTTAAAAGTGCCTACCAAGTACCTGGCTCAAGACGGGGAAGTAAAACAACACATATCCCAAAGCTCACCAATGTGAAACTGGCCATTAGGGAGAAAGAAGAAACATTACAACTTCCAGAGGAAAAAAAAAAGTTACATAATAAAGGATAGGGAATTAGAATGCTATCAGACTATTTATGTCAGAAGATAATGACAAATGCACTAAAGAATGATCCTCGAAAATCATTTCTAGGCCAGGCACGATAGCTCATACCTGTAATCCCAGCAATTTGGAAGGCCGAGGCAGGAGGATCACTTGAGACCAGGAGTTCAAGACCAGCCTGGCCAACACTGAAAAATCCCATCTCTCTTAAAAATACAAAAATTAGCCAGGCCTGGTGGCACACGACTGTAATCCCAGCTACCTGCAAGGGTGAGGCATGAGAATTGCTTGAACCTGGGAGGTGGAGGTTGCAATAAGCCAAGATTGCGCCACTGCACTCCAGCCTAGGCAACAGAGCGAAACTCCATCTCGAAACAAGACCCTGTCTCAAAAAAAAAAAAGTCATCATTTTCTAGGGAAAATGATGTATGATCTAGATTCTTTATCCAGACTACCAATACCAATCAGTCAAGTATAAGGATATAATAAAAATAATGACATTTCAAAGAAGCAAGGTCATTTATGTACCATGCATCTTTTCTTAGAAGGTACTAGAGGATGTGTTCCCACAAAATGAAGGGGTTATACCAATAAAGAGAGAAATGCAAGAGCTAGGAAATTGTATCAATATAGGGGAGGCTCAGGATGACAACTGTAGGGCAAGCCTAGAGAATAACATGCTCAGGCCGGGCGCAGTGGCTCACACCTGTAATCCCAGCACTGGGAGGCTGAGGTGGGCAGATCGCCTGAGGTCAGGAGTTCAAGACCAGGCTGGCCAACACGGTGAAACCTTGTCTCTACAAAAAGACAAAAATTAGCCAGCCATGATGGTGGGTGCCTGTAATCCCAGCTACTCGGGAGGCTGAGGCAGGGGAATTGCTTGAACCAGGGAGGTACAGGTTGTAGTGAGCCGAGATCGCGCCACTACACTCTAGCCTGGGCGACAGAGTAAGACTCTGTCTCAAAAAAAAAAAAAAAGAATAACACGTTCAAACTGGAGCAGAACAGAGGCAGCCAGGAGAAAGATCTCCAGAAGAAAGGAGAAATTGATAAATTATCTAACAGTTTTGAATATTTGGGGGAAAAAAATTTTAATTTTATATGGTGGTTCTGATGGAGCAATTTGTAAAATTTTAAGAATAGGCTTATTAAAAAATATGCAAGAGCCATTTATTTGCAGGAAAAAAAAGTTGTACAAGAGGTAAAAATGTAATCATAATACCCTTCTTGACTCTTTGTACTTTTGTTTTGTTTTTTGTTTTTTTGTTTTGAGGCAGGGTCTTGCTCTGTCACCCGGCTGGAATGCAATGGTGCGATTTTGGCTCACTGCAACCTCTGCCTCCCAGGCTCAAGCAATCCTCCTACTTCAGCCTCCTGAGTAGCTGAGACCACAGGCACACACCACCACACCCAGCTACTTTTTGTATAGATGGGGTTTCATCATGTTGCCCAGGCTGGTCTTGAACTCAAGTAATCTGCCCACGTTGGGCTCCCAAAGTGCTGGGATCACAGGGATGAACCACCACACCCAGCCCGTTCTTGGCTCTTTGGTGTTCAATCTACATTGTCAAAAAATGTGAACATTACTTTGGGAGGCTGAGGCGGGCAGATCACGAGGTCAGGAGATCGAGACCATCCTGGCTAACACGGTGAAACCCCGTCTCTACTAAAAAAATACAAAAAATTAGCCAGGCGTGGTGGCGGGTGCCTGTAGTCCCAGCTACTCGGGAGGCTGAGGCAGGAGAATGGCGTGAACCCGGGAGGCGGAGCTTGCAGTGAGCCAAGATCACGCCACTGCACCTCTAGCCTGGGTGGCAGAGCGAGACTCAAAAAAAAAAAGTGAACATTTTATGACTTTTACTAAATTAAATAACTTATTGGATATTATTACATTGGGATGATGAGGGGGAAAAGTGATGTAACACAGCTAATTTTTTCTACCATAATGAAATGAAAATATAATGTCTTAATCCTGACATCGAGATACAGCAATATAAGCATATTACTTAGAACTAAAGAGATAAAGCCCAAAATAAACAGCTGAAATTTGCAGTGACTACCTTTGGGGATTGGGATTTGGGTGTGGGGAGGAGTAGGACAAGAATATGATGCTTTTCACTTTTTTTTTTTTTTTTGAGACAGTCTCGCTCTGTTGCCCAGGCTGGAATGCAGTGGCCGCCATCTCTGCTCACTGCAACCTCCGCCTCCCACGTTCAAGCGATTACTCCTGCCTCAGCCTCTTGAGTAGCTGGGATTACAGGCGTGTGCCACCACGCCTGTCTAATTTTTTTTTTTTTTTTTAAGTAGAGATAGGGTTTCACCATGTTAGTCAAGCTGTTCTTGAACTCCTGGCCTTGTGATCTGCCCGCCTCAGCCTCCCAAAGTGCTGGGATTACAGGCATGAGCCACCGCAACTGGCCCTTCATTCTCTTTCGTTAAATAAGGCTCCTGGTATTAATTAACATTTTAACCATGAACATGCATTGATTTAAAAAGAAGACCAAGTAAAATAAAATACTACTTATTTTTCATTCCAGAACAGGTTAAAACTCAAACTTTAGTATGATCAAGACCTTCCAGAACCTAACTCACTCTCCCAGTTGTCTCCTCTTATTCCCTCTTTACCTACGGCTTCAACTTCACTCCAGAGCCCACTTCCTTCTGCCTTTACTACTCATGCACTCCCAGGCCGCAACAGCCTTTCCCATCTCTGCCAATAGATGTGCCCATCCCTCAGGCCAGGGTCCAACTTCCATTCCGCTGGCAGAGCGCAAATGCTAAGTGTCTTAAAGGTCAGGGGCCCTAGGTCTCAGTTCCAACACTTGCCCCTTCTGGAGACAGCCTGCCCCCATGTTCAGCTGTGGATGAGAGCCAGGCTGGGAGCTGCTCACCGGGAGCCGGCAAGCCATCTGAACGTCTATATAAACTTCGGTGTGAATATGCCTCTTTCTAGGAAAAGTAAAGCTTTGAGATTATGAAAGTGGTCTGGCAGTAAATAAAGGGTAAGAATCTCTGCACAAGAGGCATTGAAAAGAGCGTGAGGAGAGCTGAAGGGGAGTGGGGAAGAGGGATGCGGGCAGAGCCACCCAAGCCTCAGTCCGTGTCCTGAGAATACTGGAGGCCTCAGTCACAGAGCCTGATTTCCTGCCCTTCCTCACCGCTGGCTTCATTAGCACTTACTTGTCTGACTCTCTCCTCGCACCCCTTTTCTGCACACACTGGGCCCCCAGGAAGCTAAGCTCCCAGAGCAGCTACTGTACCTCCCGGCCTCAGACAAGACGTTTCAATGGAGGAGGTTCCACCCACAAAATACCTGCCCGGGGTGAGGTGGGAGGGCAGCAGAGGCCAAGTCTACAGGCTGAGCTATCTGAGAAGCTGGGTGGGTGTTTCTTGTGGGGTGGCCTCGCCCTGGGGCAGAGTCAGCTGGGTGACCCATCCAACACTTCCCTCCCCTTCTCCAAGCTCTGTTCAGCCCAACATGCCTTGGACGCGAGCACCGAAGGACCAGCTCCAGGCCCGGAAACCCATGCAGGACTTGTCATTCAAAGACCTGGGTGACAAGGGCGCTCCTAGTCATGTCTTCACTTATCCCCGCAGGGTCCCGTTTGTCTTTTTCTGGAACTACACCTCCTCACCTCCTGAGGGCTCCACTGTTAGCCCGGCTTAGCTGCCATCCCCACCCGTGAGACAAGGCCTCGTTCGACTAGGCCAGCTCTCTGGGATCACCGCCCCGCTCCTCGGCTCAGCTCCAACCATCCCATAGCCATGCTGGGCTTACTCTCCCCTTCTCACTGGTGCCACCTCCCCAAGTTTCTACTGTGACAAGGGCACACTCTGGGCACTCTCGCCCCGTTCTCACTACCACGGACACGCTGGTGGCAGGAAAGAAGGGGTTATCACAGGCTTACCCAGAACTTCACAAGAAAAAAGGCATTGGAGGGTCCCCGTTCGAAGAGATCCTTGAGTCCACCCTTTTTCTCCGGGAATTTGTCATAGATTTGGCGGATGTCCACGGCTTCGAGGTAGGGGTCGCTGTAGCTTGGGCTGGACTGGCCAATGTGCACGAACAGGTGCTTGTTGTACTGTGGAGAGAGTGGGTCTGAGGGAGACGGAGCACAGGCCAGACGGTCAGACAGACAACCCTGGCTCTGCGTGCCCACCACGTGACCTGGTGCAAGCCGCTTGGCCTTTCTGGGCCATAGTTTCCCCATGAGTAAAATAGAGATGGTAAAAGTCTACTCCTTTTGTTTTACATCCTGGACTTCTAAGTAAAGGTCTATTTGGTTCATGGGTTCCTCAGCTAAAAAGAAGTCTGAGCCGGGTGCGGCGGCTCACACCGGTAATCCCAGCACTTTGGGAGGCCGAAGTGGGTGGATCACTTGAGGTCAGGAGTTCAAGACCAGCCTGGACAACATGGTGAAACCCAGTCTCTACTAAAAATACAAAAATTAGCCAGGTGTGGTGGCAGGCACCTGTAATCCCAGCTACTCCGGAGGCTAAGGCGGGAGAGTCGCTTGAACTCAGGAAGTGGAAGTTGCAGTAAGCTGAGATCATGCCACTGCACTCCCAGCCTGGGTGACAGAGTGAGGCTCTGTCTCAAGAAAAAAAAAAAAAAAAAGAAGTTTGAAGATGTCAGAGTGAGAAGGGCCCTGGCATCCTGTCACCTTGGCCTCCTCCAGGTCCCCCTCTGACCTTTGCAGGTGACGCTGGTCACCCAGGACACTGGACACCGAAGGGGACAGGCTGGTATCCCATAGGATATGGAGCAGACACAGGAGACTCCTCAGCTTCCTGCCCGCTTCTCAGAACCAGAGAGAGGCTGGGACAGTGTAGGGGTGGGGCTGGGACCAGAGCAACCTTGGACTAAGGGTCGGTTGGGTTAGGAGGGGAGGAGGAACACAGGACAGGGAGGGAGGAGCGTGACGCTGACTGGGCGCTGGGACACGGAAAGGAAGCCAGGGAGGAGGGAAAGAGGGAAGAGGGGTGACGTGAAGGAGGAAAGGAGGAGTGGGGGGAAGGGCAGAAGGGAAGATCGGAAAGGAACAGGGAACTTGAATTAAGCCCCAGCATGGAGTGGGGCAAGACTGCCGGAAGCAGAAACAGAGGGAGAGGGGGTGACCAGGGAGCTGGACAGGCAGAGGCCAGGACCTACCGTGTCCGGGTCCTGCTGCTGCTCCAGGAAGGCAGAGAACTCCAACATCCAGAGCTTGGAGCTGGCCACGCTGCGGCCCTGCCATGGGGGTGCCGGGGGCGCAGAGGGCGATGGGGCGGGCCCTGCAGGAGACTCAAACCCTGCACAAAGTGAGAAAGGCACATGGAACCTGGTCACGGACACCCGCCCTGCCCGCACCCTCTGCAAGGACCCCAGGCCTCCTCGGACAGACCCGTGCTGCCTGGGGGGACCGCCTGTCTCCCTAAATGGACCTCCTAGCAGAGGTGGTGGAGGGAGTGCCAGGCTTGGGCCAGGGCATCCTGGAGCTGCCCTGGTGGGGAGGGGCTCGCCTGGTACAACTCGGGCCACTCAGCACTCTGCATGGAACCGCCGAGCAAGACTGGATTCTGGAGGGCAGCTGGGGCCCTGCAGGACCGAGAGGCTTCCAGAACAGGCACTGTTAAGTTCCTGCCCTCAAGCAACTTCTGTTCCAGTCGGGGAAATAACCAGATGAATCCACTATTACAATATGGCATCATCCCGGAGAGACGGGGACGTTTCCTGTTTGCATCACATGTGTCTCCCCCGCTCCCAGAACAGGGCCTGGCCCAGAAGAGCCCCTCAATCCAGCGTTGCTAACAGATGAACCTACTCCAGTCCTACTGTAGTTTAGATCGTGTCCTGAAGGCACCAGGGGGCCAGGAAGGCACCATAAACCTGGAAGCAACACCGTGAGACTGAAGCTCTGGTGAGTGACAGGGTGACGAGAGGAGGTGAGACGGGACAGCGAGCCGGTGGAGAGGCTGCTGCAGGAACGCAGGCAAAAGCCAGCAGGCCTGGAGTGAAGACATGGTCAGTGTGGACAGAAGACTGGCATGAGACAGAGGGTGGACGGGACCTGACGCTGTGACTTTGTTTTGATGTGTGAACGAGAGAAAGCAGCCTTCAGGACCTGGGGGACAGAAGGCAGCAGGGCTGCTCTTGGTGGCAGGGAAAGCCAAGGGGCCGGGCAGGCAGACTCCACACCAGAAAGGGCAGTTTAAGAGTGAGGAGCTGGTCTTGTCCTACAGAGTGGGAGGTGGTGAGGGCCCCTCCTGAGAAAGAGACGAGGACAGAGCAGAGCCTGTCAGTGAGAGGGCGGGGTGGGGGCTCCTGTCAGCACCGCTGGCTGCCTCCACCAGGTCTTCTCCCACAAGGGTCCCTCTTCTCGGGAGGGGCTCCAGGCTGGTGAGCTAGACACCCCTCGGCCCTCCCAGGACCAGGTGTGTGAGGCACACTGCAGTAACAAGGCCGGCCAAGTGGGGCAGCCGCCAGGGCACGGGCACTGCCCTTGGAACTGCACGTGCCCCACAAGCCCTGAGCACAGCTTTGAGGGGACAGGAGCAAGGCAACCCGAGGGGCATGAAGGGGCTTGGCACACGGCTGAGGTGTGCATGCTGGGGGAAAGGAATGGGGTGTGGCCAGGGACTAGGACGTGTGGTCAGTGTGCATGACGGGGCAGCATCTAACAGGGACACGCAGGCGTTCGGCTGCCGGGGGCCTGGACCCAGAGGCAGGAGCCACATGGCTGCGATAGAAAGGGGGCCACGCAGCGCCCACCCACCTGGCAGAGGCAGCGGAGGCTGGACAGCATAGGTTTGCTGAGAGAAAGGCTTCACACTGCGGGAGAGAGAGGAGGGGAGGTGTCAGCCTCGGGCAGGCCACCGCCCCGGATCCCTGCACTGGGTCCAGTGGTCTGTGTGGTAGGTCCTGGTGGTCTGGATTTCAGTGGTCCCGATGGGCCTTGGCCTCCTACTCCCGCCCCTGCCGACTCCCCTGGGTTTCGTGGCGGGTCCACAGACACAGCGTGTCTGCTGAAGAAATCCACCCCTCCCTCTCCTCCTCCCAGGCCAGCCAGAGGTCTGCTTCCCAGCCTCCTCCCCTGGGGGACCCCAGCTCTGGCCCTGCCTATACCCTGGACAGACTGGAGTTTTGGCAAATACCACCCTAGGGTGTAGACATCACAGATGAGCCCAGTGATGGCTGACAGTAGAAGAGCCCAATCCCTGAGCTCAGAGCCATCCTGAAAGGCCGACCCCAGCAGCGGCCCCAGCACACCCTGGGGCCCAGGCTTAATGCCATGAGTTTATGGGTTCAAGTTCAGTTCAGGGAGCAACTGGCAAGAGAAACCAGAGGCCATACTCACTCATGGGACGTTCCGGCTTGGCCTGGCAAAGCTCCTTGCCAAAACTGAGGAGGCAAAAGGCATGGAATCAGCACGGCCCCAGGTGCACCCGGGGCCCTGTGGTGTGGGGGTGGGGGTAGGACCGGGCAGGGCCTCCACTGGGAGGAGAGGCTGGAGCCCGAGGCCTCGCCTAGCTAGTGAATGCTAACAGGCCACAGCAGCACCCCCAGAGTGAGTTTCAGGGGGCTCTCAGGCCCTGTGGAGGAGGGGCTCCATGGGAAAAGCACCCAGGTGTGGTCCACACAGCACAGGGCAACTCCTGCAGAGTCACAGTGCAGACCTAAGGCTCAGAAAAGTCCCAGTGCCAAGAACCCACTTAATGCCAAGGGTCCCAAACTTACTCACAGAACCACTGTGTCCTATCTGTTTAACATGCAGATGGACTAGTGCTCTCTGGGACGCACTTTGAAAAATGCTGTGGCCTGGCACTGCCCCTTCCCCACGTGCCTAGGGCGGTGCTGCAGGTGCCTTGAAGACTCATTTAGTCCCTGGAGCCAAGAAAGCCCCTGTGAGGAGACAGCTCTGAAAAGGGGCCTTTCTGGATCATTCTGAGAGTGTGGCCAACATGGTCATGGCTGGGAAAGTTAAAATCTGACCAGGGGTTTGTTTTTGGGGCACCAGCTCTCCACCTGGCAGGAGGGCAGGAATGAGGCTGCGTGGCACGAGCTGCCCAGGTACATGCTGGTCTCAGGCTTCCGCTCAGCCCCCTTGGCTTCAGCTTCCTCATCTGTAAATTAGGCCAACATGGCAGAGCTACCAGGTGGTCAGCTCCTGGAAGCTCCCCCTTCCCCCTTGTGAAGTCTGTGGAGTCATTGCCGAGGACCCCAAGAAAGCCGTCCCAATACCAGCCAAGCCGGGATGTGTGTGGCCCTTGGGTCCTTGTTCCCTCCTTCCCTGACTGCCCTGGCCAAGAGGACTCAGGTGAGAGAAATCTGGGCTGGCCAATGCTTCTGGCTCTTCTGAACAGGGAGGAGGGAGGAGGAGAGGGCTGGCCTGGCCTCCAGCTCTCGGCAGCCCACTTACCCCTGAGACTGCTGGGCGGCCGGGGCCCCGGGCGAGGGCCATGCTACTGTGGAAGGCCGTGGCGGAGATGATCTGTGCAGACGACATGGCAGCCATGCTCTGCAGGGCCTTGTCCTTAGCTGCCTGGTCCTGGGGGAGACATTGCAAGGGAGGACCTCAGCAGGGTCACTAGTCAGGCTGAGGCCAGGCAGGTCCGGCCCTCGGGTCAGGGAAGCTGTCTCGCTGCCAGTGGCCAGAGCTGGGGGACCAGGCGTTAAGTCTGTGCCGTGCTATTAACTTGTTTTGCAACTGAGAAAGTCAGCTGGTTTCTCTGGTCAGTTTTCTCATCTGTCAAAGGGGCATGATACTTGCCCTGCTTCTTTCATCAGAGCTTACAGAGACATTATCTGTCATTTTATTAATTACGGGGCCACCTTCTATGCCTTGCTCACCTCTCTACCACAGGTGCCTAGCTCAGCACCTGTCTTGTGAAAACGATGCATGAATATCTGCTGGATCCCTCCTCGAGTGCACAGGAAGCATCATCCCTGGCCACACGGGCTGTCTGGAGGCAAGAGACCACCTCCTGTGGCCCCTCCTGCCTCAGTCCTGCCCTAAGGATCTCCCTGGGCACTGTAGGCACCTGGGACTCACCCATCTTTCATGTGTCAGAGTGTAAATACCCACTGTCTGCCCTCCAAAGGTTCCAAGACCCCAGAGGATGGGTTCACCCTGAATAGGCCCGGAACAAATAAGCACACAGGGAAAGCCACTTGGATGGCACGGGTAACAATAGTAATCGTTTGTTATATTCATATAAGCCAGTGGTTTCCATCCTGAGTGCCCGAATTCCAAAGGTCTTCAAAACCAATGACACAACATTCCCTATTTCAAGAAGCCTAATGGAAACTGTGTCTTTTTCTTCTTCTTTTTTTTTTTTTTTCCAGAGACAGGGTCTCACTCTGTCGCACAGGCTAGAGTACTGCACAATCATGGCTCACTACAGCCTCAAACTCCTGGGCTCAAATGATCCACCCATCTCAGCCTCCTGAGTAGCTGGGACCACGGGCATGCGTTACTGTACCCAGCAGGGATTATCCAAAATAAGACCACACACACACGGGCTGGAACAGCAAGTATTATTCACTGTCTGCAGCTTTATCGGGGCTAAATGGCTCGACTGAGTCAACTCAGGGGCTCTGATTAGAAATTTGATACCTGGCCGGAAGTGGTGGTTCATGCCTGTAATCCCAGCTCCTGGAGAGGCTGAGGTTGGTAGATCGCTTGAGCCCAGGAGTTCTAGGCCAGCCTGGGCAACTTGGTGAAACCCTGGCTCTACAAAAAATACAAAAATTAGCCAGGTGTGGTGGTGTGTGCCTGCAGGCCAAGCTACTCAAGGAGCTGAGGTGGGAGGATTGCTTAAACCTGGGAAGCAGGGGCTGCAGTGAGCTGAGATTGCACCACTACACTCCAGCCTGGGCAACGGAGCAAGAATCTGTCTAAATAAATAAATAAATATCTTTATGATGATTATTATTTTTTCAGACAGCATCTCATTAGCCCAGGCTGGCCTCAAACGCCTGGCTTCATGTGATCCTCCTGCCTCGACCTCCCAGTGCTGGATTATAGGCATGAGCCACCGCCCCCACCCATGAATTTTTTTTTAATGACAAAGATAAAACCATTATTGAATAACTAATAATAATTAACTTGGTAGACCTGGATCTCCCTTAAGTGATACAAAGGTTGAGAACCTCCCAACTACTTGGGAGGCTGAGGCAGGAGGATGGCCTCAGCCCAGGAGGTCGAGGCTGCAGTGAGCTGTGACAGCACTACTGCACTCCAGCCTGGGTGACAGAGTGGAGTCTCTAAAACACAAACTAAAAACAGAAGTTGAGAAGCAACGGTGAGCCCTGCAGCTCGCCAGCTCTTCCGAGGGATGCCTCCACGCGGTCCACACGCAGCTCCATGAGGTGGGCAGCACCGCGGCCTGGAGGCTCAGGGAGGCTCAGAGAGGCTCAGTGCTCCCCCGCCATCCTGGTGCCGTGCAGGTGTGAAGCCAGAACACAGCAGGCCCTTCCACTCATCCTCTCAAGGTGACCATTTCACCCATGTGGCATGAGGCAGCCCACGGAAGGTTTTCAAGAACACAACCTCACTGAGTCCTGTGAGACTGACAGGACTTGTAGGATCATTAAGATGAAGAAACTGAGGCTCTGAGAATTTGGGTGACTAGGGTGCTGAGAGTGGTGATGGTGACCAGGTGAGCTTGGACCAGACTGGCACACGGGGGGCCATGCAAACCAAGGGGTCGGGGGAGACGCACCATAGAGGGCGGTGGGGAGTAGGGAACTGTTCCGAGTAGTGGGTCATTGTCGATGTGGACAAAGCAGTGAAATAGATGAGGTTTGTCCCTGGCCCCCCTTGGCCCCCTCCCCACTGTCCTTTTGGGGCCAAACTTGGGCTTTGCTCTCAGAGGCTGTCTCTGATAACCAAAGAGGGAGCTAACTAGTAAGTCTAAGTGTGTGTCTCCTCCCAGGACACTTGGAATTTTCAGGAGGAAAGTGCCCAGGCCAGCCCCTGACCTCTCCCCGCAGGAGGGCATGAGGGACTTGGCAGGCGCACCCTTGCGAGCCCGAAGACCTCGGCACTTAACAACTCCATCACGAGGCCGGGGCTGCATCTACTCAGTGCCTGCCTTCCTGGATACTCGATCTAAACAAACGGCTGGGGCTCAGGAAACCGCGGCCTGGGCAGGGTGGGGCAGGGGTCAGAGGAAGTGGGAAGGACCCGATGGGGAGTGACAGCAGTAGCCGGGCAATGGAGCCAGGGAGCCACTAACCGGGGCCGGGAGGGGAACTTGGATGTCACCTTGCTCGCCTGTCACTTTACAGATGAGGAAACTGGAGCTCCAGGAGGTCCCAGTGACTCTGCCCAAGCACTCACGGCCACGGGGCAGAGCCAGGCCTAGGACCCAGCCTCTCACTCAGGGATTTCTATTGGATCACTGTCCAACCCAGAGCTTAATCACTTTGGGTTCTAGATCCTTTGAGAATATGACAAAATCCTCACAGCAATCTCTCCAAGGCAACTCACATATACATGAAAATTTGCATATTTTAAGGAGTTTATGGCTCCCCTTGGTGTCTGTCCAGCCATCCACTGAAGGCTGTCCTTGGGCCCCAGGTCAGAACCTGTGGACAAGGACAAGTACAATTCCCTGAAGCAAATGTGGGCCACACAGCCGGCCCCCAAGGGATTGCCCTAAACCCAGTAGTGGGAAGTCTGTTCACCGTGGTCATCTGCAGGGTCCCGGTGAGTCAGAGGCAGACGAAAGAGGGGAAACAGGGAGCAGGGCTGGGTTCCATGGCTGTGGAAGCTGAGGCTGAGAGGCGGGAGCAACAGCTGAGGGCTGGTCAGCTGTCCCAGGGAAAAAGGAGCGAGGTGCCAGGCCACAGCTGTGGGGCTTGGGGAACAGCTGGGCTGATGGCAGGAGGAATGGAACTGAGTGGGCAGTGGGGTGTGGCTTCCTAGGAGGCAGAAAGGTCTGTGGTTCCCACCCACTCGTTCTGAGATTCCAGTGTCAGGATCATGAACTGCCAGGGCCAGAAGGGACTTTCAAGGTCATCTAATTCAGTGGCTTTTCTTTAATATAAAAAATATTTTCAGAGATGGGGTCTCACAATGTTGCCCAGGCTGAAGTGGCCAGTCACAGGTGCAATCACAGCCCACCGCAGCCTCCAACTCCTGGCCTCAACCTCCAAGTACCTGGGATTACAGGCGTGCATGCCCAGCTAGCCCAGTGGCTTTTTTTGAGATGGAGTCTCACTCTGTTGCCCAGACTGGTGTGCAGTGGCACTATCTTGGCTCACTGCAACCTCCACTTCCCAGGTTCAAGTGATTCTCCTGCCTCAGCCTCCCGAGTAGCTGGGATTACAGCTGTGTGCCACCACACCTGGCTAATTTTTATATTTTTAGTAGAGACAGGGTTTCACCATGTTGGCCAGGCTGGTCTTGAACTCCTGACCTCAAGTGATCCGCCCAACTCGGCCTCCCAAAGTGCTTACAGGCGTGAGCCACCGCGCCTGGCCTCCCAGTAGCTTTTAAACTGGATTCTGAGGTCCCCTAGAGTTCAAGTTCCATGGGGTGGGAAAGGATGCGCGGGAGGAGAGGAGCTTTGCCAACCTAGCTTTGACCAGAACGGCTCCTCTGATAACACATCAGGGTGATATTTTGTTGGGGGAAGAAAAGAAAAGGGGCTACATTGCTAAAAAAAAAAAAAAAAAAATGTTTGCAGGCCAGGCCCAGTGGCTCATGCCTATAATTTCAGCACTTTGAGAGGCCAAGGCAGGAAGATCTCTTGAGCCCAGGGGTTTATGACCCGCTCAGGCAAAATAGGGAGACCTCATCTCTATAAAAAAATAGAAAAAAATGGCCGTGCAGTGGCACTTGCCTGTGGTCCCAGATACTCAGGAGGCTGAGGTGGGAGTGTGATTGGAGCTTATGAGGTCGAGGCTGCAGTGAGCTATGACTGCGTCACTGCACTGAGCGTGGGTGACAGAGACAGATCCTGTCTCTAAAAATAAATAAATAAAAATGTTTATAAATGGTCTAGACTTAATGCCTCAAATGTCAGATCTTCCCACCAACTTGCTGTGTAGCCTCTGTCGTCATCACCTCCCTGATGGAGAGCTCACTCCCTCCCAGTGTTCACCCAAAGGCCCCTGGTTCCAGGGTCCCAGAGGCCTGACTCCTGTGGGGAGCAGGGCTACCCCGAGGGGAATGCCAGCAACATCAGGCCCCCCAGAGCCATCACCTATCAGCAGAGGCCCTGCAAGACGGGGCTGACCCAGGGAAGGGAAGGAACACCCAGTCCCACAGGACAGGAAGCAGGAAGGAATTTGCCAGCTCCCACAGTACCATAAACGCCACCCCCACCCCCACAGCAGGCACCCCCCCATGCCCCTGCCACTCCGCATGCTCTGGTCGAGGGCACTGAGGGGCCCTCAAGAAATGAGGGCTGGTGGGTGATCCGGCTGCTCTGAGCCGTGTGAGCCCCTCTAAGCAGGAGCCAGCAAGGGGGGATCCCAGCAGGAGCCTGGCCTGTAGCTCCCAGGGTGTGGGGAGCCAGGCATCCACACACTTGGCCCTCTTGTGCGGATGGGAGAGAGGTTACAGGCCCAACCTGGCTCTCCTCAACAGAGAGAAAAGCACACTGACTTGCACACCAGCAGTGATGCCCTGACCCCAAAGGGAAGATATGCTGCTGGCCACCACTCCTGGCCACTCCAGCACCCCCACTGCAGTTTCCTTACCTTTAGCTTGGCCTGGATCTCGCGAGCTTTGCGACGAGCCAGCACCTGGATGTGGCTGGAGACCTGTGGCAGGGAGAGAGGACTCCTGTCTCTACCTCCCAACAACCTGTGTTCCCCAGCCTGGCTTCCTGACTCTCGCCCTCCACAGCCCTCAACCCACATCTGTGGACCAAATGAATGAATGAATGAAAGGGTCAACTGGTGGGCCCTCAGTCCTGCCTTGCCCAGCTAATCCAGAAACCGGCAGTATTTCAAAAGTGCAGTGCCGGCAGGGAGCAGTGGCTCACACCTGTAATCCCAACACTTTGGGAGGCCAAGGCAGGTGGATCACTTGAGGTCAGGAGTTCGAGACCAGCCTGGCCAACACAGTGAAACTCCATTTCTACTAAAAATACAAAAATTAGCTGGGTGTGGTGGCGCATGCCTGTAATTCCAGCTACTCGGAAGGCTGAGGTAGGAGAATCGCTTGAACCTGGGAAGCGGAGGTTGCAGTGAGTTGAGATTGCGCCACTGCACTCCAGCCTGGGCAACAGAGCAGGACTCTGTCTCAACAACAACAAAAAAGAAAAGTAGTGCCAATGTTTTACTGTCTGTCCTAGTGTCCTGGAGAAGGATGAGATGGGGGCTGATGACTTTCCAGAGAGGCGAGGGGTTTCCTCCTAAGTGATGGCAGCAGGGACCCCAAGAAAACTGGACCACCCGGCCGGGGGTGGTGGCTCACGCCTATAATCCTACCACTTTGGGAGGCCAAGGCGGGTGGATTACATGAGGTCAGGAATTCGAGACCAGCCTGGCCAATGTGGTGAAACCCCGTCTCTACTAAAAATACAAAAAATTAGCCGGGCATTGTGGCGGGTGACTATAACCCCAGCTACTCGGTAGGCTGAGGCAGGAGAATCACTTGAACCCAGGAGGAGAAGGTTGCGGTGAGCCGAGATCACGTCATTGTACTCCAGTCTGGGCAACATGAGTGAAACCCCGTCTCAGAAAAAAGAAAGAAAAAGAAAACTGGACCACCTGTGACACGCCCAACAGGGATAACTCATCCAGAGCTGCCGCCCCTCAAAAGCCTGCGTCTGGTCCTGGGAGGGCCTGGCCCACCTTGGGAGCAGACTGGTGCTGGGGTACCACCCCCGGGACCCCTACCCGTCTCTTGAGGCCCACCTGCTTCCTGGTGCGGGTCTTCCCTGTCCGGAGCTTGATGTAGCGGGCAATCAGCTCGTTCCGACCTGCAGAGACACCAGCAGCCTCTCAGTGGAGAGAAGGACAAAAGGCTGGAAGCAGTGAGGGGGTGCGGGGTACCTTCTGCGGAGGAGCCCTGCCCTCACTCTCTGCCCATCCTAAGCGGATTTGTGGGGTGAGGATTCTGTGGGTTCCCTCTCTGGATCACAGGGATCTCCCAGCAGCGAGAGGAAGACAAGGCCTCACTGTGGGGACTGAAACCCGAGAACAAGGTTAACAGGGCCCGTGGCCACCAACCACGCACAGCCTGAGGAACTTCCAGAGCCTCCCTTGACCCCCGGTACCGTTCCTCACCCAGCGCTGGCGGCCTCCTCTCCTCTCCCCACACTTTCTCCTGGGCCTTCTTCACACTTGGGAGGCTCCAGGGAGCTGCCCGGCCCTCGGCCTTGCCCTGTGTGACTGCCACCGTGCCCTCCGCCTCTGTAAACGAGTAGAAGCGTCCAGACTTCTTGTCCTGTCTGCAGGCAGCAGCGGGCATGGGGGGTGCAACTGCTGGAGACACTTAGTGTCCCTGGAGAGGAGGCCTGAGCCCGTCCGCTCATAAAGAAAAGCCAGTCAGTGCACATGTGCAGCCCCATGGCTGACTCAGACCCCTCAACAAGGAAGGTTGAGCACTCTCCATGGGCCCAGCCCCCGAGGGACTGCTGCTACGCCTGAAGCATCCTGGAAAACCCCAGAGCATCCATGGTTTCCAGTATTGAAAAAGATGATGGAAAGGGGTTCCTTATTTCAAAGCATTACCTAGTTCAGGAGCGGCATGTGCCCACACAATGGAATCCAGGGGTGCTACGGACAGGGACGTGTTCAGAGGACCGGGGGCCAGTTCGGGCTGGGTGGTCAGGCAAGCCCTTGGGTGGCCCTTCACCCCTGGCTAGTGTTAAACCATACGGAGAAGCATCGGATGAGGAGAGGCAGAGCAAGAGGGTTTGAGTGGGGGGATCAGAGGGAGCAGGTGCCAGCCCGCCCTGTGCTGCGGAACCGGGAGGGCTTGCGGCTGTCCGTGGGAGGCAGCTGCTGATGCCCGGGGAGGTGAGGGGAGTGGGCTGCCTGCCACCTGGGTTGTAACCAGAGTGCACGGCCAAGGCCAAGCTGACCCCCCAGCTGACCTTTCCCCAATGCCAAGGCCGAATTACGAGGCTACTCTCCAGAGGTACTGTCTGCCAGAAAAGGTGTGCTGGCCTGGGACCACTGCCTCGTCTGTGTCAGAGGAAGGAGTGGGGGGAGAATCGGAGTCTGGGGACACTGTCTGTGGTCTGATCTGCACCTGAAACCCTGAGTCCACAAGATGTCTCCTCTCAAAGCTTTCTAGGGAAAGGCTTTGGCGGTCCAGTGAACGGTCGACAGTTCTACCCCAGGTCTAACTAAAGCCACCCATGCAGCATCTCGGGTCTAAGTCATCACCGGTGGGTGAATGAAGTAGGGCCACAGACCTGGGAGCTGGTGAGCCAGGCTAGAGCCTGGCAGCTCCACCAATGAGCTTTGGGAGCACGGTAAGTCTCTTCCCTTTAAGGACTTTCACTCAGCCTTCTCTTCTTCTTTATTTTTATTTTTTATTTTTTTTAGACGAAGTCTCGCTCTTGTCCCCCAGGCTGGCGTGCAATGGCACGATCTCGGCTCACTGCAACCTCCGCCTCCCGGGTTCAAGCGATTCTCCTGCCTCAGCCTCCCAAGTAGCTGGGATTACAGGTGCGTACCACCATGCCCAGCTAATTTTTTTGTATTTTAAGTAGAGGCAGAGTTTCACCATGTTGGCCAGGCTGGTCTCGAACTCCTGACCTCAAGTGATCCACCCGCATCAGCCTCCCAAAGTGCTGGGATTACAGGCGTGAGCCACTGCACCCAGCCCAGCCGTCTCTTCTTAAATCTAGTTCCTTTAAGGTTTTTCCCGCAGATTCTTCCAAATTTCTACAGATGTAGGAAACAGACCTCAACGCTGGCTCAGTGAGAACACTCTGTGGCTCAGTATCCTTTTCGGTAAAATGAACATGCTCTAGGCCCAAGTAAGTAACCCAGCTCAGAGACTAGTCTACGGGCAAGGAAAAGCATGAGGGAAGAAGAGAGGTTCCCAAGAGCTGCGAAGTGGGTGACGGTGTAGCAGGAGGGATGGGGATGGCAGACCATCTGGGATACGGTTCTTGGTTGCTCCTCTGGCCCGTCCCTTGCACACAGGATATCGTGTGCTCATCAGTTATCCATGTCTGTCTTTCCTTGTTAGACTCTCAACAGCTCAGAGGAAGAGACTATGCCTCCATTCAAGTCTGCATCTCCAGTACCTGGCACCTACTCACTGAATGAATGAATGAGTCTGGTGTGGCTCTACCTCCAAAACATATCCAGAATTCATACAGCCACTGTGCACCACCGCACCCTCCAGGGTCCAAGCTCCCGCCATCTCTGACTTGGATTAGGATCATCACCTTCCACCTGTATTCCCTGCTCCAAGTCTATGCTCAACACAGCAGCTGCAGCGACCCTATCGAAATTCAAAAGCCCTCCAATGGCTTCCATCTGCCCCAGATTAACAGTGTCCAAGTCCTTACAACGGCCTGGAAACCCCTGCAGGATCTGGCCACCCCAGTTCAGTCACCTCTCTGATCTAGTCTACCCGATCCATCCTAAACTTCTTGCTGTCCTGAAACACACCAGGCCCACACCTGCCCCACTATGGTCCTTGTGCTTCCTGTTTCTCCTCCAGGGAACACTCTGCCCCAGAGTCCCACACCACCTGCACCCCTTGGGTGCCACTGTCTCTTCCCTGACCACCCCACTGAGGGCTGAAATCATACTCCTACCCGCCCACCCTGGCACCCACTGCCTTTACTTTCCTCCACAGCACCTTCTAGCATAATACATAATCTAACTTATTTCAGTACTGTCTGTGCCCTCACCCCCGTCAGAACCACAGTCCATGCGAATAGGGATTTTTGGTCTATTTATTCACTTATTTATACCCACCACCTAGAAAACTGCCTGCACATTGTAGGCGCTCAATAAATACTTGCTGCCTGAATGATGAGGGAATGAATGCTAAGATGCTGGTCAGATGTCCCGTAACTGTTTTAGCCTTCTAAGACAAAGGAGTAAGTTAAATACATGCAAATAACCTTTTACTTCTGATTAGTCCGACGTAACTCTTAAGGCGCTGTCCTATCCTGGTCTCATTGAACTTTTCTGTACATGAGCAAACCCAGACTTTTGTGAGGCCTAAGACATTTAGCAATTGGGAGGCTCCCTTTGGGAAAAAGAATTTTAAAAATACAAAATTAGGTTAAAAACTTGGGGGCAATGGACACATTCATTATCTTGATGGTGGTGATGGCTTCACAGGTGCATACATCTGTCAAAATGTATCAACTTGGCCACTTTAAGCATGTACAGTTTGTTGTAATGTCAGTTATACTTCAATGAAGCAAAAATTAAGTTTAGGGACTTGGAAGGGGCCCATGTAAGTGCTGGGTCCTAACGCGTAAACCTCATTAACTTCACAGTAAATCCACCTCCTCCCTGCAGTGGGCAGGTAATTATACCTATTTGCCAGAGAACTGCACCAGATCACCCACAGCAGACCTAGGACTAACTGCCCAGGTGTGACTCTTGGCTCAGGTGCTTGAATATGGCCCGAGGCCTGGCCAAGCGAGGATGCTTAGTTAATGGAACCTCCTCTCATCAGGCAGGACTGCCCCGTAACAGTGCTGCTTCCTCTGCAGCCTGTGGTGAGAAGCAGTAGGGAGGCCTTGGCCCCCATCAGCTGAGACCCTAACCCCAAACATCACAGAGGACTCAGCCTCTGCAAGGAGCCCCTGCCCACCACCCCACAACTACCCTCACCCTCTGCCACAAGGTTCCAGGGCTCTGCTGCTAGAAAGGCCGTCTCAGCCCCCGGCGAGAGGCTAGTAATGGGGCGGGACAGGAGCCACACCAAGGGGTCTAAGGCAAGCTCAGCCGTCTTCTTTTTTGTTTTGTTTTGAGAGGGAGTCTCGCTGTCGCCCAGGCTGAAGTGCAGCTGGTGTGATCTCGGCTTACCGCAACCTCCACCTCCTGGGTTCCAGTGATTCTCCCACCTCAGCCTCCCAAGTAGCTGGGATTACAGGCGCACACCACCACACCTGGCTAATTTTTGTTATTTTTAGTAGAGACAGGTTTTACCATGTTGGCCAGGCTGGTCTCGAACTCCTGACCTCAAGTAATCTGCCCATCTCAGCCTCCAAAAGTGCTGGGATTACAGGCATCAGCCACCACACCCGGCCCATCTTTGTATTTTTTTTCTTTCTTCTTTATTTTTGATTATTTTTATTTTTCACTTTTTTGAGACGGAGTTTCGCTCTGTTGCCTAGGCTGGAGTGAAATGGCGCGATCTTGGCTCACCACAACCTCCGCCTCCCAGGTTCAAGTGATTCTCCTGCCTCAGCCTCCCAAGTAGTTGGGATTACAGGCAACGCCCAGCTAATTTTGTAGTTTTAGTAGAGATAAGGTTTCTCCATGTTGGTCAGGCTGGTCTCGAACTCCCAACCTCAGGTGATCTGCCCACCTCAACCTCCCAAAGTGCTGGGATTACAGGTGTGAACCACCACGCCTGGCTTTTCTTTCTTTTTTTAAACTGTACATACTGGTTGACTAGCCCTTATCTAAAATGCTTGGAACCAGAAGTGTTCCAGATTTGGGGTTTTTTTCAAATTTGGGGGCTATCTGCACTATATACTTGCCAGCTGAGCATCCCTAATCCTAAAATCCGAAATCCAAAACGGTCCAACGAGCATCTCCTTCGAGGCACACATCTCAAAAAGTTTCGAACTTTGGAGTATTTCAGATTTTGAATTTTCAGATTTGGGATGCTCAACCTGTATTTATGGGGTACAAAGTGATGTTATGATATACGTATATAATCTGCAATGATTGAATCAAATAATTAACATACCCATCATTTCAAATACTTATCATTTTTCATGATGAGAACATGAAATTTACTTTCTTAGCAACTTATGAAAAATGCAATACGTTATTATTCGCTACAGTCACCATGCTGGGCAATAGGTCTCCAAAAACATTCCTCCTTGACTGGGCGTCATGACTCACACCTATAACCCCAGCACTTTGGGAGCCTGAGGCAGGAAGATCGCCCAAGCCCAGGAATTCAAGATCAGCCTGGGCAACATAGTGAAACCCACTCCATCTCTACAAAAAAATAAAAATAAGTCTGGGTGCGGTGGCTCACGCCTATAATTCCAGCACTTTGGGTGGGCAAGGCAGGCGGATCACGAGGTCAGGAGATTGAGACCATCTTGGCTAACACAATGAAACCCCGTCTCTACTAAAAATACAAAAAAAATATAGCCGGGCATGGTGGCGGGCGCCTGTAGTCCCAGCTACTCGGGAGGCTGAGGCAGGAGAATGGCTTGAACCCAGGAGGCAGAGCTTGCAGTGAGCCGAGATTGCACCATTGCACTCCAGCCTGGGCGATAGAGCGAGACTCTGTCTCAAAAAAAAATAAACAAACAAAATAAATAAAAATAATAAAAATAAAAATAAAAAATTAGCCAGGCGTGGTAGCACATGCCTGTAGTCCCAACTACTCAGGAAGCTGAGGCAGGAGGGTCACTTGAGTCCAGGAGATTGAGGCTGCAGTGAGCTGTGATCACACCACTGCACTTCTGCCAGGGAGGGAGAGTAAGACCTTGTCTAAAACAAACAAAACGGAAAAACAAAAACTAGAAACCAAAAACATTTCCCCATCTAACTGAAACTATATTCTTTGACCAACATCTCCCCGTCATGCCCGCCCCAGCCTCCAGTAACCACCATTCTACTCTCTGCTGCTGTGAGCACCACTGTTTTAGATTCCACCTCTAAGTGAGCCCTCTCGGCATTTGTCCTTCTGCGTCTGGTATATTTCACTTGGCATACTGTCCTCCAGGTTTGTATTTGTTAAAGTTGTGCTTTTCCCTGGCTGTCTGTGGAGCTTCCTCCTCCTCTCCCTTGCTGGCTCATCTCAGACCCTCCAGCCTCGTTGTGCTGGTCAGGGGTGATGCCGGCAGTTGAGAACCCCCCGTGAGGGAGTGAAGTGTGGGGTGTCTGTGGGTGTGTGAGCCAAGGGGACCCAAGCAGCTTCCTTCCTGCCACCAGGGGTGCTCTAGAGGTCAACGCAGCCATCTCCCTGCCTCCAGGCCAGCTGGCATCTAATCCAGGCTTTACACACAGAGGGAGCTGCCGTGGCCTGTCACTCCTGTGAAAATCTTGATGACAATGAACACTTGCTGCATACCTCATCAGTACAAGTATCTGTGCGGATACAGATATGTATCCTGTGACAGCTTTATCTGCATTCACCCTTTCGATCCTCACAACAGCTAAATGAGGGTGGTACTGTCATCCACGCTACAGACAGGGAAACAGCAAGGTTGAGAAATCTTCTCAGGGTCGTAGGCAAGCATGTGGCTGAGATTCGGGTCCATGTAGTCTGGTGCCAGTGCCCATCTGTGGCTACTGCATGGTACCACTCCGAATGAACAGGGAATTGGAGGTCACTTCTCTCAGAAGCAGGGCTGGACCACGTGACTCTAGAGGTCCTGTTTAGCCTGATGAAGATGAAATGGAAGCCCAGAGAGGGGAAATGACTTATTCACAGTCTCATGGCTTGCTAGTGTCCCAGGCACCACGAGAAGGTATGTTTTCCAAGGCTGCCCCAGTGCTTCGAGAGTATTACATGCTGGCTATTTCCCCCCAGGATATGCTCCCCCGACAGGGCTGAGCTTCCTCCGCAAGGGACGATGCTGCTCCTTCCCTTTGGATCAATCCCCCCGATTCCTAAGTCTCTGCATGAGGTAAGGTCCCGGAGGGAGATCCAACTACTTGGACCTGAGGTCCTGCCCACCACTCATGGACAGTGGTACCCACAGCTGGTGGGAGCCAGCGTATCCTGGATCATGTAGACACCAGAAGGCCCCCAGAGTCAGGGGCAAGAGGGGAAGGGAGTAGGGAGCGTGGGCCTACAGGTAGAGTGTGGGAACCACAGTGAAGGCCGGCAAAGAAGGGCCATGGCAGTGAGAAACTTGTAAAGCACCCAGCTGAGGTGGTGGCGGTGGGAGGGGCTTGTCCTTGTCCTTGTCCCAGCTCTGCCCCTAGCTGCATAACCACAGGCTTCTCCCTCTGGTGGCTGAGAACACAGGCTGGGGAAGGAGGAGGCCAGTCAGGCAGCTGCGCATTGCAACGTGGCAGGTGGCCTCGGCCAACCCCAGGGCCGGCCTGGGTGGGGATGGGAAGGACACCCCTGCCAGACTGTGGGCCCATCTGTCCATCTGTCAGAGCACATGTGTCCGACAGCCCCCAGCTCACACCCACGGCCCCACCCCACCGGGGGCGAAGGCTGCCCGTGGAGAAACAGGAGCCTTGGCCTAAAGGCTGAGGGTGGAGCATTCCTGATGCAGCATCCAGGAGGAATCTCCGCTTTCTCCTAGCCCCACACTCAGCCTCACACACACCCTGCCGGCCACCTCCGCCACATAGCACCACTGAAAACGTTACCCCAGCTGCAAAATCCTGCCTGGGCTAGGTCATTTCTGTATCTCATTTCCTCTGTGCTGAGTCCCCTCTCTCCATGGCAGCCCACCCCCTAGACCATAAACTGTTAAATGGCATGGAGTAAGTAAAGCACGCACCACTCAGCAGAGGGCCAGCAAGGTCAGCGATTACTGTTAATATTGTTAACGAAGCCCTATTATAACGAATGCTATTAGCTTTCAAACTTGAAAAGGACTGAGGAGCTGAGAGCACAAGCCTCCCCACCCAAGAGTGGGTGGAAGTGTGCGTGGACATCTTTGGTTCACTGTAGGCCTCTGGTGGAGTGAGCAAGTGCCACACTGCACCCCTGTAGGTTGGGGCTCAGGGAGAGGAGGCTGGGCACATCCTTGCTGCCCCACCCTAATCCCCAATGGCCTGGAAGCGGGGGCCAGGGTGTGTGTGTTGGGGGTGCAGCTATCCAGGGATCAACTGAAGCCATAAACACCTGGGGCTGGAGAAGGAGGCTATTTGTGGAGAAGGAACTTCTGACTGAAGCCTGAGAAGGCAGCAATTGGGCCTGACATTTGAGCTGTTCCTACCATTGTCCCTGGAGGGCTCTGAGGCTTCTGGTGAAATCAGCCAGGCTTCAAGGCCACAGCTCCAGGAAGCCCCAAGAAGCTTGCACTGCTCCCCACCCAAGAGGGCATGCCCATTCCTGCCTCGGTGTCTGTCCTAGTCATGCTCCCCCGCCACACTGTGAGTTCCTTGAGGGCAGGTACGTGTTCCCCTCACCCCGTGCTGTGCATTTGGCACCTACTGTGTGCTCTCATCCCTACGACAACACTAGAAGGCAATGTCTTATTCCAATAACCTCATGGAAAGATGCTCCACAACACTAATCATCAGGGAAATGCAAATCAAAAACCACGAGATAGCGCTTCACACCCACTAGGATGGCTATGATCCAAAAAATGGAAAATAACAAGCGCTGATGAGGATATGCGAAATCAGAACCTTTGTTCATTGCTGGCGGGAATGTAAACTGATACAGCTGCTGTGGAAAACAGTTTGGTGGTTCCTCAAAAACTCAAACATAAAATTACCACATGAGCTAGCAATTCCAATCCCACAAGAACTGAAACCAGGGACTCAAGATACCTGTACACCAATGTTCACTGCAGTATTAGTCATAGTAGTCAAAAAGTAGAAGCAATACAAATGTCTATCCACAGGTGAACAGATAAGCAAGATGCAGTCTCTCCATACAATGGAATATTACCCAGCCTTAAAAAAGAGGGAAATTCTGAAACACGCTACAACATGGATGAACCTTAAGGACATTATGCCAACTGAAATAAGCCAGACATAAAAGGGGAAATATGTATGATTACATTTTTTTCTTTTTGAGATGGAGTCTCACTCTGTCATCCAGGATGGAGTGCAGTGGCATGATCTCAGCTCACTGCAACCTCCACCTCTCAGGTTCAAGCAATTCTCGTGGCTCAGCCTCCCGAGTAGCTAATTACAGGTGCACACCACACCCAGCTAATTTTGTAATTTTGTATTTTTAGTAGAGACGGGTTTCACTGTGTTGGTCAGGCTGGTCTCGAACTCCTGACCTCGAGTGATCTGCCCGCCTTGGCCTCCCAAAGTGCTAGGATTACAGGCATAAGCCACATGAGCCATCACGCCTGGCCTGATTCCACTTTTTTTTTTTTTTGAGACAGAGTCTCGCTTTGTTGCCCAGGCTGGAGTGCAGTGGCATGATCTCGGCTCACTGAAACCTCCGCCTCCCGGGTTCAAGCAATTCTCCTGCCTCAGCCCCTGAAGTAGCTGGGACTACAGATGCACACCACCACACCCGGCTAATTTTGTAATTTTGTATTTTTAGTAGTGACAGGGTTTCACCATGTTGGCCAGGCTGGTCTCAAACTCCTGACCTCTTGATTCACCCGCCTCGGCCTCCCAAAGTGCTGGGATTACAGGCGTGAGCCACCGCGGCTGGCTTGATTCCACCTTTATGAAATGCCTAGAATAGGCAAATCATAGAGACAGAAAATAGAACAGGCTACCAGCGGCTATAGGGGCAGAGGGGAATGGGGAATTATTGTTTAATGGGTACAGAATTTCTATTTGAGATGATGGAAAAGTTCTGGAAATGGATGGTGATGATGGTTGCACAAAAAGGTGAATGTACTTAATGCCACTGACCTGTACACATAAAAATGGCTTAAATGGTTAATTTTACGTAATGTATATTTTTCTCACAATAAAATAAATAAACCAAATCACCTCCCACAAAGGTAGTAGTATTATGACCTCCACTTTACAAAAGGAAAATGAAGCCCAAGGAGGTTAAATAACTTGCCCAAGGTCACGCCAGCTCTCAGGGACAGAGTAGATTTGAACACTCCCGTCATCAAGTCTCCAGGCACCTGAAGTCAGGGTTGTAGGCCGCAGGGAGGAGCATAGGAGCAGCTGGAAACCCACAGGGCAACAAAGCAAAGAGGAGCAGAGAATCCTGCAAATGAGGCCATGGTGAAGAAGCGGGGGGCAGGAGCCCAGGTGAAACTCCGTGACCTCTGTCCCATCACCTTTGTGAAAAGACCCTCGACGTGCTCTATCTAGTCCCAAACTCAGGCTGAGTCTGGTCCCGGTTCTGCCTCTTATTAGCTGTGTGACTCATCCAGAAAACGAGGGAATCCCTTCACCTCTGACAGTCTGACGAACCAACAGTGCTTTGCCCAGATCCTCCACCAGGGTCCCCCAAACCCACCATGTGAAGTCTCGCCTCTAGACTGATGCTCACAATCTCTCCACCCCCTTGCCTGGAGCACTGCTATGGTTTGAATATTAGTCCCCTCCAAAATTCATGTTGAAATGTAATCCCCCATGTGGCAGTATGGACAGGTGGGCCTTTAAGGAGTGATACGGCCCTGAAGGCACTGCCTTCACGATGGATTAATCCACGCAGGGATTAATGAGCTAACAGAGCGCAGGAGTGGGACTGGGGGCTGTCTCCGAGGAAGAAAAGGCCTGAACAAGCACACTCGGCCCCTTCGCCACGGGATGCCTGCACCACCTCGGGACTCTGCAGAGTTCCCTCCAGCACGAAGGCCCTCACAGATGCAGCCCCTCAACCTTGGACTTCCCAGCCTCTGTAACTGTAAGGAATAAACTCCTTCTTTATAAATTACCCAGTTTCAGGTATTCTGTTATCAACAACAGAAAACAGACCAAGACAAGCACTCACCCTCAGCTCTGCTTCCTTCAGGAAAACTCCCAAGATAAATCTGGTTAATATCGGCTGTGGACAACCCCAGTGTCTGCTTGGGTGGCTAACTGTCCAGAGAAGTTTTTCCTGCCCCTCTCATTAGACCATGAAGTTGTGGAGAGCAGAGACCACACGGCCTCAGCCCGGCCTGCCCAGTGTGGGGTGGTCACTTAATGAGAACTGACGGGCTGCTAATAGGATGGCCCACCTGGGACACAGGAGGGGAGAAGCAGAGAGAGAGGCAGGGAAAAGAGGCAGGAAGACTCGGGAAAGTCAAGAGCAACCTCAGGAAGGTGAGAAGCACAGGAGGCAGAAAGGGATGAATGCAGAGGGAACCCCAGAGCCAGCCACAGCCCTCCAGAGAGCAGGAGGCGGGACACGAGCCCACCCGGCCAGCACTGAGTGTGAGGAGCGGGGAAGGCGGGGAGCAGGCAGAAGGGGGCGAGAAGTTGTTCGAATCCCACCACCTGCACGCTAGGCTAGGCCGACTGTGAGCCTGGCCAAAGGAGGTCAGGGTGGCCAGCGTTGGCTGTGCCAGGGGGAGGGTCACACAGTGACAGGGCAGAAATGAAAGCGGCCGTGAGCAGGAGAAGGCAAGCACCCCGGGCTCGGGAGCCGGCCCAGGAGGGTAAGAGGTGCTCAAGGGGAGGGCTGGAGCCAACAAGCGTGGGAGACTCAGCTCAGAAATAGCAGGTGTTAATCTGCCGTGCTGCTTTGCATGTCATCTGCATGTCTGCCTGGCCTTGGTCAGCGTGTCCTATGCTGGATGTTCCGTGGGCGGAGCTCGGAGCAGGCCTAACCCCTGTCCTCAAACAGCTAAGGCCGGGTCCCCAGGTCGGGAATCATCCTCTTAGCCCCACCCCATACCCCACCGGGCCGGCCCACTTGGAAAGGGGCTGGTGGCCTTTGGATGCAGGGAAGTGAGGGGGGAGAAAAGACCAGAGCTCTGGGGATGCTAGAAGCAGCTGGGGGCTCAGAATGGGGCTGGGGTACACAGAGGATGGGAAGCGCAGATGCCCCAAGGGAAGATGAGAAGACAGGAGGGGAGCAGCCACGGTGAGCTGAGGTCTGAGTCAGCTCTCAGCTCGGCCTCCCATTCCGCCTCCCAGAGGGCCCATCCCACACACTGGGGGTGAGCTCAGAGCTATCTATAGCTCCCAGCCGGGCTGGTCAGCACTGCCTGCTGAGAGCCCTCCATCAGTCCCCACGCAGTCCTGCCTTGGCTCGGCCCCCGGGACTGGTAAGAAGAGACGGGGTGAGCGGGTGTCTGGATCCCAGCAGAACCTATTCTCATGCAGGACAGGTGCTGTGGGGGCTGGGCGGTTGTCAGAGCCTGCAGTACAGCCTCCAGGGCCCTGCCCAGGGCCTGACCCACCTGGAGCCAGGGCCAGGCAGTGGAGGAGCAAGGCCATTCAGCTGACAGAGGAACGCCAAGCTCGGAGGCAGGAGAACTGGGTTAAAGCCCCACTCTCCACTTCCAACTTGAGAGACTGGGAGAAACTCTTGGCTTCCCTGAATTTCCATTTCTGCATCTGCAAGCAGAGGTGCCATTCCTCCCTCCTTGAAGGGACCGTTGAAAGGACCGAAAGATCACAGATGCCCAGGATGCTGGGAGCGCTGACGTGTTATGAAGCACAGTGAAGCAGCACCTCTGCCTCTCCTCACTCTTCCTCCAGGCCCTCCCGAGCGTCCCCATCCCATGCCCCTCCCTGGGTCTCAGCACAGGGGAGGAGCAGCATCCGAGATGCCAACACGGCCAGGACAGTTTGCCAAACCATTTTCAGTCTGCTTCCCTGAGTCAGTGGCTTCCCTCCTGCCAAAGAGAATTCCAACCCAAGTCCTGCCAGAGATCCACAGCCCGGCGCTTCCCCAGGGTTGGTCACGGTCTCTTAACCCCAGTATCTTTATATGTGAAGCAGGGACAGAAATATCTACCTATAACAACTAAATAAAACTAAGCATCCACCCAAATGTCTGTCGGCAGATGAACAGATAAACAGAATGTGGTCTATACAATGGAATATTACTCAGCCTTAAAAAGGAAGGAAACTCTGACCTAGGTTATAATACAGATAAACGTTGAGGACCTTGTGTTAAGTGAAATTAGCCAGTCACAAAAGGGCAAATGTTGTATGATTCCACTTACATGAGGTAACTAAAGGAGTCAGACCCATAAAGACAGAAAGCAGAATGGCAGTTGCCAGGGCTGGAGGGCGGGGAGGATGGCGAGAATGGGGAATTATTGTTTAAAAGGTAAAGAATTTCACTTTGAAATGAAATATTTCTGGCGATGGGTGGTAGTAATGGCTGTACATCAATGTGAATATATTTAATGCCATCAAATTATAAACTGAAAAACTATAATGATTAAAATGGAAAATGTTACGTATTTTTTAACACACACACACCCCCCCCCCGAAAAAGCAAGTCCTCAAAGCCCTTGGTCCCCAGGGGTGCTCAACTCCACAAATGTCTGTTGATTTAGTGCATTCTAGCATCTCCACGGGGCCCTCCCAGACACCCACAGCGCCCTCCGCCCTTGCCCCTTGCTGGATGCCTCATGCACACTTTCGTTTTCCGGCCCACCTCTGTCTCTAAAGCACACAGACCTGCCCTGTGAAGGGTCCAGGACATACACCACAGCTCCCCAGCCAAGCCACCTGCCCTTCCCTACACTCCCCCTGCCCTTTCTCATTTCACACCTAAGCTACAATCTATACCCATCCCCTCCTCCACCAAAGCAGAGCCCGGGGGGTCCCAGAGGCTGCGTCCCTCCTGGCTAAATGGCAACAACCTCTGCAAAGCACCGAACACCACACCAGGCACCCCCAGGTGCTCCACACACAGCTGTCTCCCCCATGACGCTTCCCCAGGCGCTAAAAGTAAGAAGCAGAACTTCACAAGTAGAGGTGGAAGGGACTTCACAGGAGTTCTGGCCAGTAAATATTTCAGGGGTTAGTTTCCCAGTGTCTTCCTTAAATGTATCCAGGTCACTCTTCTTCATCCCATTCTCCTGTCTGCTAGCTGCAATGTAACTCCTGGAGCTGAAGCAGCTGCTTGGGCCTTAAGGGAACATTCACAATGGAAGGCATGCTCATGAGCCACAAGACGGAAGCATCCTGGGTCCCTGAGAGCTTCATGGAGCAGAGCTGCCACACCTTCCCTGGACTACCTACCCTCCAGACATTTATAGGAGAGAGAAGGAAATTTCCCTTATGTAAGCCACTGTTATTTGGGATCTGTTAAAGACAAATTTTATCTTAACTGCCACAAACACATTCAAGTATTTTATTTAGAAATACAGATGCAAGGCCGGGCATGGTGGCTCACACCTGTAAAATCAGCCGAGCGTGGTGGCGCACGCCTGTAGACCCAACTACTCGGGAGGGTGAAGCAGAAGAATCACTTTAACCCACGGGGCGGAGGCTGCAGTGAGCCGAGATTGCTCCACTGCACTCCAGCCTGGGCGACAGAGCAAGACTCTGTCTCAAAAACAAAAGAAAAGAAAAGAAAAGCTGGGTGCGGTGGCTCACACCTGTAATCCCATCACTTTGGGAGGCCAAGGTGGGCGGATCACCTGAGGTCTGGAGTTCAAGACCAGCCTGACCAACATGGAAAAACCCTGTCTCTACTAAAAATACAAAATTAGCCAGGAGTGGTGGCACGTGCCTGTAATCCAAGCTTACTCGGCAGGCTGAGGTGGGAGAATCGCTTGAACCCGGGAGGCAGAGGTAGCGTTGAGCTGAGATTGCGCCCATTGCACTCTAGCCTGGGCAACAAGAGTGAAACTCCATCTCAAAAAAAAAAAAAGAGAGAGAGAGAAAAGAAAAAGGAAAAAATAAGCAACCATCAGAGCAAGAAGTGGTCAAAGCAGGGAGAGTCTAGAGGGCCGACCCAGAAGTAAGGGCGACCCTGGGGAAGCCGAGCCAAGCAACAATGGTGGGGGTGGCACCAGCGTTGGGTGTGGGGGAGAAATGAATGGAAACCCGTGGGGGTGGGCAGCTGGTCTGGGGCCATCCTGTTGGAAGCCAGGCAGGGGCCCCGTTGTCACTGACTTCAGCCATTTAGAGACCCACTCAGGGCTCTCACTCCTGCCCCAAGACCACTGTTTTGAGCTAGGATTCCTAGAGGACTTTCCAACAGGAACAGAAGCCTTATCTGGGCCTTCCAACAGCCATTCAGTTTTTATTCTTGCTTCATTTTTTTTTTTTTTTTGAAACAGGGCCTCACTCTGGCACCCAGGCAGGAGTGCAACAGTGCACTCATGGCTCAATGCAGCCTTGACCTCTTGGCCTCAAGAGATCTTTCTGCCTCAGCCTCCCCAGTAGCTGGGACTGCAGGCTGGCACCACCAAACCTGGGTAATTTTTTTTATTTTTACTCCAGATGGTGTCTCGCTTTGTTGCCCAGGCTGGTTTCAAACTGCTGGCCTCAAGTGATCCTCCCACCTTGGCCTCCCAAAGTGCTGGAATCACAGGCTTGAGTGAGCCACCATGCCCAGCCCCTGCTTCATTTTTCCAGATGCCCCCTCTTCCATCCAAAAGTCATCGTGGCCCCATGCCAACTGCTTGGTCCTTCCCATGCATCGCTGAACAGTTTCAGCTGTGTTCTGCAACCCCAGCCACTCACAAAGATCAAGCCGTTTCTGGTGACCCTCTGCTGGGTTGGGGGGGGCCTTTCCTAGGGGAGTGGTCTCCAGCACTCTGCCTCTCCTAGGAACTCTCCAGGCTGCCTTGCAGAGCAGGTATCTGTGAGCTCACATTACCCTCACCCCAGATGACAGGCTGGGACTAGACCCGTCTAACCCACACCAGGCACACAGAAGGCTCGGCATCTGTTTGTTGCATGAATGAGTGAGGGAAAGAGGGGATGAGTGAGCATCCTTCACAGCCAAGGTGGGCAGCCTGCTGGTCAGGCACCTGCTGGGGTACAGCTTGTGGGGTGCTCCCCACCTGCTCTGGGGGGATGTTCTACCCCACCCAGATTCGCCTTTTCCAAGATTCCCACTCCCATCTCTGCTCACCGCCAGGGGCCCCACCCTCCACACCCCCTCACAGGCTTCTCCTCAGATGCCCCCATCCCTTGGGAGCCCAGGAGGGAAGAAAGCAGTGTCCACCCGACAAAGCCCCAAGTGGTCATCCCCTTCTGTGGCCCGGCAGGAACCCCAAGGTTCTGGTGTCGGCCCCTTGCCTCAGCCTCAGGTACAGGGCTGAACCCGACGGGCTCCTTACCATACATCTTGCCCTCGTCCGACAGGATGATTTTGCGCCTGCCACAGGGCGGGTAGATGGCGAGGGCCTCCTGGAAACTCTGCTCAATATCCGGGCTCCACACGCCCTCTGCGTCATTGTCGATGGGCTTGTCCAGTGCCTGACTGCCCCCAGAGGCGGTGCTCCCCTCAGGGGAGGTGGGAGAGCTCCACTCGTTGGAGGTAATGGTGCCGGCCGTGCCCTCCAAGGCTCCGCTTGGAGGAGCGCTCGTTGGACCTGTGGGGACAGGAACCACAGCCCCGGTGAGCAGTGGAAGAACTGCGTGGGCCACGGGATGAAGGCACTCCGGGGAGTGCCAGAGCCCGAATCAGTTGCTCAGGAAGCAAAGCGTGAAGTGAAAGATCTGTGAGAATCAGGCCTGGGGTCTTGAACAGGTCCCATCCCCTCTGGAGAGCTCATCTTCCCATCTGTCGAATGAGCACAATGACCTAGGCACTCCCTGGTATCAAGGAACCCAGACAAGGGCTGAAAAGTAGGAGACAAGGATGCAGTGCCGGGGATGCACTGACATTAAATCGACCCTGGGCAAAAAGCATGCAAAATCCTGGGTACTGTTGGTGGGAATGCAAAATGGTACAGGCCGGGCGCTGTGGCTCACGCCTGTAATCCCAGCACTCTGGGAGGCTGAGGCAGGCAGATCACTTGAGGTCAGGAACTCGAGACCAGCCTGGCCAACATGGTGAAACCCCGTTTCTACTAAAAATACAAAAATTAGCCAGGTGTGGTGGCGGGCACCTGTAATCACAGCTACTCGGGAGGCTCAGACAAGGAGAATCGCTTGAATCCGAGAAGCAGAGGTTGCAGTGAGCCGAGATCCCGCCACTACACTCCAGCCTGGGTGACAGAGCAAGACCATATGACCCAATACCTGGGTATATACCCAAACAAACTGAAAGCAGGGTCTCAAAGATATATATGTACACTCATGCTCGCGGCAGCATTATTCACAAGAGTCAAAAGGTAGAAGCAAACCAAGTGTCCATCAATGGATGAATGCATGAACAAAATGTGGTGTATACCTACAGCGAAATAGGAGCTTTAAAAAGGAAGGCAACCGGGACACGTGCTGCAGCACAGACGGACCTTTAGGACATTATGCTGAGTGAAACACGCCAGTTACAAAACAACCCAAACACTGCATGATTCCGCTGACGAGGTATCTAAGCAGTCACATTAGGCCAGGCACAGTGGCTCATGCCTATACTCCCAGCACTTTGGGAGGCTGAGGCAGGAGGATCCCTTGAGCCCAGGAGTTTCAGACCAGTCTAGGCAATATCGGGAGACCCCATCTCTACAAAAAATTAATTTAAAAAAAATTAGCCAGGTGTGCTGGCTCGCACCTATAGTCCCAGCTACTCTGGAGGGTGAGGGCAGAGAATCACTTGAGCCTGGGAAGTCAAGGCTGCAGTTAGCCATGATTGCGCCACTGCACTCCAGCCTGGGTGACAGAGCAAGGCTCTGTCTCAAAATAAATGAATACAATAAAATAAAAATAAAGTAGTCGGCAGGGTGCAGAGGCTCACACCTGTAATCCCAGCACTTAGGGAGGCTGAGGCAGGAGGATCATTTGAGTCCAGGAGTTAGCAAGACTTCATCTCTACTAAAAATTTTTTTTACAAAATGTTCTTAAGTGGTCAAACAAATAGAAACAGAGTAGAATGGTGGTTACCAGGAGCTCGTGGGAGAAAGACACAGAGTTGTGACTTGACAGGTACAGAGTTTCGGTTTTGCACGATGAAGAAGTTCTGGAGACCTGCTGCGCAGCATTGTGAATATACGTAACACTACCAACCTGGATACTTCAAGAGGGTTAGGATGGTACATTTTGTGGTCTTTTTTACCACAATGAAAAATTTTTAAAAACGCATATACAATATAATGTAGGTCACTATTCTCCTGTTCCCTTCCCAACTCAGGCTCTTTCTGAAAGAAACAGTCTTGGCAGCTCCTCACACACTGGAGCAACGGCAGGATTGACTTTCTGGTGCCTCTGGAGGCTCATGGTCACAACCCCACCTTCCCCTAACATGAGACAAATCCAGTGACCTCTTGGCTCCAACCATCCAAGCTGTAAGCTTCCAAACATAGTTCTCAGGGGTTTGTGAAGGAGCAGGACATACCAGTAATCTTAAGGCAGTTTTTGGGTTATGAGTACCAGCTGGGAACCACGTACCTCCCACAGCCCTCGCAGAGCCCCCAACTTCTCCCCATCCCAGCCACCGAGTCCACTTGTAAAGGAGGACCTCACCGCGTCACACACATTGCCCGTCCCTTCTCCCCCACTAGCCTTGAGGAGCAATGCAGTCCAGCAGCCCAAACCCAGGCTGGGGGTCTAAACCCCTGAGTTCGACCACTTCCACCTCGGATCCTCTGAAGTGGGACCTCCCAGAGCATTCCTCGCTTATCATTGCCCTCCATACCCTCAAACCCCTCATCTCCCACCCATGGCCTGTGAGAAGGACAATTTCCTTCACAGAGAGGCACTGTGAGGGAGGGGGTGAGGATCGAGGGGAGGGAGGGGCTAAGTGTGGGAGGCACATCCCAGGAGGAGAGGTCAAAAGGAGCTTGGCAAAGCAGCTGGCACAGACATGCAGTGGGAAAGAGGTTAGAGCCACTGACACGTAAAGCAGGAACCAGCCGGGCGCAGTGGCTCACACCTGTAATCCCAGCACTTTGGGAGGCCGAGGCGGGTGGATCCCCTGAGGTCAGGAGTTCGAGACCACCCTGGCCAACATGGCGAAACCCCGCCTCTACTAAAAATAAAAAAATTAGCCGGGCATGGTGGCGGGTGCCTGTAATCCCAGCTACTCAGGAGGCTGAGGCCAGAGAATCACTTGAACCCGGGAGGCAGAGGTTGCAGTGGGCCAAGATGGTGCCACTACATTCCAGCCTGGGCGACAGAGCGAGACTCCGCCTCAAAAAAAAAAAAAAAAAAAAGCAGGAACCGCCCCCCCCAACCCCCACCACAGGAAACCTAAGCAGCTCCTTCAGCTTGCTGAAAAGGGCACTGAGGCCCAGAGGCCTAAGGACACGCCCAAGGTCGCGCAGTGAGGCCAAGGTGCAGGTCAAGGTCTTGTTCTCAGCCCTTCAGAGTCACTGGCCTTTTTAGTGTAACAAGTGTTGCCTGTTGTCTCTGTGGCTGTTAAAGTAAGTTTTCATGAGAGTTTGGGGGCAGAGTCGCTTTTTCGGGAATAAACTAGCTTATTCTCATCAGAAATTCTGGTCTTGATTCTATCCTGAACATGAAAACATTTTTCCATACTTCCAAAACAAACTTCTTTTTTTTTGTGGGGGGACGGAGTCTTGCTCTTTCACTCAGGCTGGTGGGCAATGGTACAATCTCGGCTCACTGTAACCTCCGCCTCCCAAGTTCAAGCAATTCTCCCACCTCAGCCTACTGAGTAGCTGGGATTACAGGCACACATCACCACACCCAGCTGATTTTTGTATTTTTAGTAGAGACGGGGTTTCGCCACGTTGGCCAGGCTGGTCTCAAATTCCTGACCTCAGGTGATCCATCCACCTCGGCCTCCCAAAGTGCTGAAATCACAGGCGTGAGCCATCATGCCCAGCCTGAAACAAACTACTTAAAAGAGTTGCCAACTTTAATTTCTGGCAATATAGTAGATAAGATGATTTTAAAACTCTCACTCTATAAATAAATTTAGAAACGACTGAGCAAAGCTCCCTTAGTAATGAGGAAGCTGGTTTTTTATTTTTCATCACTTTAAATTTTTATTATTTTTTATTTTTTAGAGACAGTGTCTTGCTCTGTTGCCCAGGCTGAAGTGCACTGGCAAGATCATAGCTTAGTACAGCACTGAACTCATGGGTTCAAGAGATCCTCCTGCCTCAACCTCCTGAGTAGCTGGGACTCTAGTCACGCACCACCATGCCCGGCTAATTATTTATTTACTGTAGAGATTATGTATTTACTGCAGAGGTCTCACTAGGTTGCCTAGGCTGGTCTTGAACTTCCAGCCTCAAGCAATTCTCCCTCCTTGGCCTCCCATGGAGTGAGCCACCATGCCTGGTCACAACTGGGTTTTAATGGTTGCTCAGAGATGAGACCTTAGACCTAAGAGATGCAGAGAAGCTGAAACTGGGAACTATACCTAAATCCTCAGAGAACCAGTAGAACACTGACAAAATATGACAGCGAAGATTCTCTGGGCCAGGCGTTCTCTGGGCCAGGCGAAGTGGCTCATGCCTGTAATCCCAGTACTTTGGGAGGCCGAGACAGACGGATCACTTGAGGTCAGCTGTTCAAGACCAGTCTGGCCAACATGGCAAAACCTCTTCTCTACTAAAAATACACAAATTAGCTTGGCATGGTGGCACACGCCTGTAATCCCAGCCACTCGGGAGGCTGAAGCAAGAGAATGACTTGTACCTGGGAGGCAGAGTTGCAGTGAGCTGAGATCACGCCACTGCACTCCAGCCTAGGCAACAGAGACTCCATCTCAAAAAAAAAAAAAAAAAAAAAAAAAAAGATTATCTGTCTTAGCCTAAATTCTAGATATAAAAAATAATTCTTAAAAAAAAGAATTTGTAACCAAGGGCCTACCCTTTAATGGATTTGAAATTTGAATTTTATATCGCTTAGTAACCTCTAGCCAATTCTTAAAAATAAACAGTGGTCCCAGGCTGAAAATCTCTGAAGAGATTATGTTTAAATGATTATTGACCTAAATAAGGAATTGTAAATATGGGAAAGAATAAGATATTATCAAAACTACAAAGTAGGCTGGAAAAAGAACTACATCAAACATTTAAAAATAAACATTTTAGTCACTGAAATTAAAAACCCAATGGTTGGGATTAACAACTTAGATACAGCTAGATAAAGAAGTAACAATCTGGAAGACAGAGCTGAGGAAATTACCCAGATGTATTTTTTAAATGACAGTAAAGAGCAAGGAGAACAGAATAAGGCAATTCAACATCAGAATTCCAGAAAAAGAGAACATAGAAAATAAATACAGTAGAGCAACATTTGAAGAGAAAACAGCAGGCAATTTTCCAGATTAATAGAAGACATGACTCCAATAATTCAGGAACCATGCTGAATCCTAACCAGGATAAATTCAAATAAAAGGAACACATAACGTAGGGACACTGCAGAATACCCAAAACAGAGATCTTAAAAGCATGAAGAGTGAAAAAGGGCAGATTATCTAGAAAGGAAGGACTATTAAACTGATATTGAACTTCTTTCTGGTGTGGTGGGTCATGCCTGTAATCCCAGCACTTTGGGAGGCCAAGGCAGGTGGATGGCTTGAGGCCAGGAGTTTGAGACCAGCCTGGGCAACATAGTGAGACCCCTGTCTCTACTAAAAATACAAAAATTAGCTGGGCGTGGTGGTGGGCGCCTGTCATCCCAGCTACTTGGGAGGCTGAGGCATGAGAATCACTTGAACCCAGGAGGTAGAGGTTGCGGTGAGCCCATATTGCACCATTGCACTCCAGCCTGGGCGACAGAAGGAGATTCTGTCTCAAAAACAATAATAACAACAAACTGATAGCAAACTTCGTAACAGTAACACTAGAAGACTCAATATAACATCACCAAATTGTTAAAAGAAACTATCTGTTAATCTTGAATTTAAAACCCAAACAAAAAATCATTCAAGAGTGAAGATTAAATAGAGGCATTTTTAGACAAAAATAATAGAGAATTTACCAATCAAAGAGCCTCATTGAGAAAATCAGGGCTGGGCATGGTGGCTCATACCTATAATCTCAGCACTTTGGGAGGCCGAGAGGCAGGAGGGTTGCTTGAAGCCAGGAGATCCCACAGGGTGGGGGCTCGGTTCCACAGGACTGCCTCCCGACTTCCCATGCCAATCCCATGCCCTGGGTTGTTTTACCTGTGCTTCTGACCCACCAGCTATAGGTGGGGTTCCTAGAACCCTCTCCTTAGGATCAATTAACCTGCCATAGTAGCTCACAGAACTCAGAGAAACACTATCTACCTTTACCAGCTTATTCTAAAGGATCTCACAAAGGATAGAGACGCATAGGGCAAGGCACGTGGGACGGTTCGAGAAGCTTCCATGTTCTCTCCTGGGTACGCCACCCTTCAGGTCCCTCCACCCGTTCAGCTTTCTGGAAGCTCCTCGAACACAGTCCTTCTAGGTGTCTATGGTGGCTTCATTACATAGGCATGACTGATTAAACCATTGGCCACTGGTGATCAACTTGACCTTCAGCCCCTCTTGCCTCCCTGAGGTTGGAGGGTGTGGCTGCAAGTTCCACCCCTCTAATCCTGCCCTTTGTCTTTCTGGAGTCTGGTCCCATCCTGAAGCTACCTAGGGACTGCAAGCCCTAAATCGACTCATTAGCATACAAAAAGACACATCGTTTTGAAGATTGCAAGGATTTTAGGAGTTGTATGGCAGGACACTGAATGAAGTCCCAATATATCTTTTTTTTTTTTTTTTTTGAGCTTTTTTTGCCCAGGCTGGAGTGCAGTGGCGCAATCTCGGCTCACTGCAACCTCTGCCTCCCAGGTTCAAGCGATTCTCCTGCCTCAGCCTCCCAAGTAGCTGGGATTATAGGCACCCGCCACCTCACCCGGCTAATTTTTGCATTTGTATTTTTAGTAGGGACGGGGTTTCGCCATGTTGGCCAGGCTGGTCTGGAACTCCTGACCTCAGGTGATCCACCCGCCTCAGCCTCCCAAAGTGCTGGGATTACAGACCTGAACCACCGCGCCAGACCCCTAGTATGTATTTCACAGTGTCATAATACCTAAATAAATGGAGAGAAACTGTGTTCATGAATGGGAAAACAATATTATGAAGATGTTGAATCTGTCCAAATAAATCATAAATTCAATGAAATTGTGATTTTTTATTTTATTTTATTTTGTTTTTGTTTTTTTGAGATGGAGTCTTGTTCTGTCACCCAGGCTGGAGTGCAGTGGCGTGATCTCAGCTCACTGCAACCTCCACCTCCCAGGCTCAAGTGATTCTCCTGCCTCAGCCTCCCAAGTAGCTGGGATTACAGGCATGTGCCACCATCACGCCTGGCTAATTTTTATATTTTTAGTAGAGACAGGGTTTCACCATGTTGGCCAGGCTGGTCTTGAACTCCTGACCTCAAGTGATCCTCCTCCTCAGCCTCCCAAAGTGCTGGGATTACAGGTGTGAGCCACCGTGCCCGGCCCTGAAATTGTGATTTTAAAAAATTCCACACAGTTTTCCACAAAGCTTAACAAGCTGATTCCAGGCTGGGCACGGTGGCTCAGGCCTGTAATCCCAGCACTTTGGGAGGCCGAGGCGGGCGGATCACGAGGTCAGGAGATCGAGACCACGGTGAAACCCCGTCTCTACTAAAAATACAAAACATTAGCTGGGTGCAGTGGCGGGCACCTGTAGTCCCAGCTACTCGGGAGGCTGAGGCAGGAGAATGGCGTGAACCCGGGAGGCGGAGCTTGCAGTGAGCTGAGATCGCGCCCCTGCAGTCCCACCTGGGTGAAAGAGTGAGACTCCGTCTCAAAAAAACAAAACAAAACAAAACAAAACAAAACAAACAAAAAAAACAAGCTGATTCTGAAAACACATGGAAGAAGCAGGAGGAGTCTGTAGTCTTCCAAGTCAGCTCCAGGCTTCCTTTCTCCATATTCCCTGGGCTCCATATTTCACCAGACTCATTCTATAAAGATGTGTCCCTGGGTTCTGACCTGACCTCTTCTTTTTAAACCCTAAACAGACTCCTTGGGGGATCCCCACCCAAGGCTTGCATTCCCACTCTATTGGTTTAATCCCCAAATCTGTGTATCTTTCCTGAGGTGAAGGTCCTCACAGAAACTGCCTACCAGGCATCTCTAATCAATCTCCAGAGCTCCTCAAACTCAACATGCCCAAAACCAAGTGTTCAGCTTGTCCCCATATCCTGTTCCACCTCCTCGGCTCTCTCTCAGGAAATGAACCACTCACTATCCACACAGAGACCAGAAAGCTAGGAACGCAGTCATGCACTGCATAACAAAATTTCAGTCAGCCCCAAACGTTCATTCAAAGGGGGTCCCATAAGATGATAATGGAGCTGAAAACTTCCTATTGCCTAGTGATGTCAGAGCCATCCTACCATGGCAGTGCCACACATTCCTCACGTGTCTGGTGGCACTGGTGTAAAACAAACCTACTTGTGCTGTCTGTTGTGTAAAAGTCTAGCACACACAATTATGTACAGTACACAATCCTTGACAATAAACAACTGTGTTACTGGTTAACTATTTACTATACTATACTTTTTGTCGTCTCTTTTTATTATATCTATTTTATTTATTTATTTTTTTTTATTTTTTGAGACAGAGTCTCACTCTGTCACCCAGGCTGGAGTGCAGTGGTGCAGTATCAGCTCACTGCACCTTCTGCTTCCTGAGGTCAAGCGATTCTCGTGACTCAGCCTCCCGAGTAGCTGGGATTACAGGCACGTACCACCACGCCCGGCTAATTTTTTTGTATTTTTAGTGGAGACGGAGTTTCACCATGTTGGCCAGGCTGGTCTCGAACTCCTGACCTCTGGTGATTGGCCCGTCTCAACCTCCCAAAGGACTGGGATTGCAGGCGTGAGCCACCGCACCCAGCCTTTATCATCATTTTAGAGTGTACTCCTTCTACTTGTAAAAAAAAAATTACTGTAAAACAGCCTCAGGCAGGCCCTTCGGGAGGCATTCCAGAAAAAGACACTGTTACCCTGGGAGATGATATCTCCATGCGAGTTACTGCCCCAAACGCTTTCCAGTGGGGCAGGACATGCAGGTGGAAGACAGTGATACTGACGACCCTGACGCTGTGCAGGCCTAATGTGTGCGTTTGTCTCTGTTTTTATTATTTTTTTTTAGTTTTTATTTTTTTGAGATGGAGTATTGCTCTTGTTCCCCAGGCTGGAATGCAGTGACGCGATCTCAGCTCACTGCAACCTCTGCCTCCCGGGTTCAAGCAATTCTCCGCCTCAGCCTCCCCAGTAGCTGGGATTACAGGCAACCGCCGCCATGCCTGGCTAATTTTTTGTATTTTTTTAGTAGAGACAGGGTTTCGCCCTGTTGGCCAGGCTGGTCTTGAACTCCTGACGTAGTGATCCACCCGCCTCGGCCTCCCAAAGTGCTGGGATTACAGGCGTGAGCCACCACGCCCGGCTGGTATGTCTCTGTTTTTAACGACAAAGTTAAAAAGTAAAAAAACAGGTGAGGTAGGTGGATCACGAGGTCAGGAGCTCGAGGCCACCCTGGCCAATATGCTGAAACCCCGTCTCTACTAAAAATACAAAAATTAGCCAGGCATGATGGTGCGCACCTATAATCCCAGCTACTAGGGAGGCTGAGGCAGGAGAACCGCTTAAACCCGGGAGGCGGAGGTTGCAGTGAGCCGAGATCGTGCCACTACACTCCAGCCTGGGGGACAGAATGAGACTCCGTCTCAAAAAAAAAAAAAAAAAAAAAAGATTTTGTAAACAGAAGAAGGCTTATAGAATAAAGATATAAATTAAGAAAATATTTTTGTACAGCTGTACGATGTGTTTGCGTTTTTGGGTTTTGTTTTTTGTTTTTTGTTTTTTTTGAGACAGAGTCTTGCTCTGTCACCCAGGCTGGAGTACAGTGGCGCAATCTCGGCTCACTGCAAGCTCCACCTCCCAGGCTCATGCCATTCTCCTGCCTCAGCCTCCTGAGCAGCTGGGACTACAGGTGCCTGCCACCACGACTGGCTAGTTTTTTTGTATTTTTAGTAGAGACAGGGTTTCACCATGTTAGCCAGGATGGTCTCGACCTCCTGACCTCGTGATCCACCCGCCTCGGCCTCCCAAAGTGCTGGGATTACAGGCGTGAGGTGTTTGCGTTTTAAAGTGTTATTATAAAAGAATCAAAAAATTAAGAAGTTTATAAAGTAAAAAAGTTACAGAAAGCCAAGTTAATATATTCTTGAAGAAAAATCATTTTAAATACATTTAGCGTAGCCTAAGTATCTGTTTTTATAAAGTCTACAGTAGTATCAGTAATGTCCTAGTGTAGAGTAGTGTACAGTCAAGCCTACAGTAGCATACATTCACTCACCATTCACTCACTGACTCACCCAGAGCAGCTTCCAGTCCTGCAAGCTCCATTCATGGTGTACCCCATACAGGTGTGCCATTTGTTATCTTTTATATTTTATTTTCACTGTACCTTTTCTATGTTTAGGAATGTTGAGATATACAAATACTAACACTTAGAGTTACCACTGTGTTATAGTTGCCTATAGAACTGAGTATAGTCACATGCTGTACAGATTTATAGCCCAGAAGCAATAGGTTGTACCACACAGCCTGGGTGTGTCGTAGGCTATACCATCTAGGTTTGTGTAAGGACCCTCTATTATGGTTGCACAAGGATGAAATCGCCAAGAGACACATTTCTCAGGAGGCATCCCCTTCGTGAAGCAGCACATGACTGTTTTGACTTTTCCCTCTTATTAATATCTCCCACATCTAACTAATGACCACATCCTGTCTTTCTGTCGCCTACATGTCTCCTGAATCTACTCTATCTCACAGCCCTAATCCAAGCTTCCAGCGATGCACATCTGGATGACCTGGTGCAACCCCATTCAGGCTCCATAATCTCTTCACCCCAGCCAGTGATTTTTCTAAAATGCAAACCTGATCACATGATTCTGCTACCTAAAAATTTTCAATGCCTTTTCTTTGTTCTTAAGATAACACTACACACTCCATGATGGGATTTTCTAGCGCTTCCATCTGCTGATCCCTGCTCTCCGGCCATACCTTCCGCACACAGGCACCACCCTCTGTACTTCCTTCTTTGAACCCACCTCCAAGCCCCAAACTCAGCCATCCAAATCACCCCCCAACATGCTAGGCTCTTTCTCCACTCCTGGTGGAGGTGCTGCTACCTGAAACTTCCCTTCCATTCCTTGTTCACCGGACCAACTCTTGCTCAGCCTTAAGGTCCAGCCATATGTCACTCCCTCTGGGAAGATGACTCCAACCTTAGCAGATTCCTGCATTTCCATATCCAGCCCCCATCTCCCAGTAAGGACTGGTCTCCACCACACTTTAGACACCATGGGGACAGGGACAGCTGTCTTCCTCTGTAAGTCCTCAGCACGCTGCACAGAGCTGATGAACACAGAATGAACAAACGAAGGGATATTTGTTAAGTGTTATTGTGGAATAATGATTTCTCTGTGGGGAGAACAGATTGCTCTGTGCTTAGTTTTGGGAAACAAAAGAAACCTCAGGAAATGTCTGGATTTTGGCATACCAGAAAAAGAGCTTGAATTGTGCATAAATCCCTTTGGGGCTTATTTTGGAGGCTTGTAGAATGGAAGTGTGATGTATGGGAAGCAAGAGCCTGGCTTTGGTTCCAGTTCTACCACCAACTACACAACCACAGACAAACCACCTCTCATTTTTCTGGGCCTCATTTTGCTTATCTGTAAAACAAGAAGGATGCCCTCCTTGGGATCCAGGGTCCTTTCTGTGCTAGCAGTATCTGTGGTTCACACTCCCTCCCCAGATCCCAGAAGTCTCCAGTGGCCTCTAGAAGTACCTTGCAGACTTTCATGTGTGGCTCTGCTCAGAAGGCTGGGGAACTGATCCATCCCGGAAGGCTGTCCCGCAGGAGAGATGACATAGTGAGATGTCATCTAGCGTAGGGCCTGACACAGTCAGTGCTCATAAGAGCTATTTCTTATTGTCTTCATTGTTACTAAGCCATAAACAATGCCAAGTAGAAAGTCTGAAGCCCTAATGCCTAATATTAATACTTAATTAATTAATCATTTTAATACCTGAGGCCTCTTAAGTCCTGGTTGTAGCCTAGATTTTCTTCTGGACCTGACACTAAGTACAGATGGATGCCCTGAGTCAGGTGGAGGGTGCGGTGGAGGCCAGGATGTCAGGAGACGGAAAGGAGGGCCGCCACCTCCCTTACCCCACCTGACCCCTTCTATGGTCTCTGGGCCCTGCTCCTCCTCAGAATTCCCCTTCCTTCACCCAAGCTGAGCTGGACTGGCCTGGTGAAGTGAGCACCATCAGTCCCTGCAGAAGTTGGGCCTAGGGCAGCCCAGCAGAACACACACCTGGGGAGAACCAAAGACTCCTAATGCCAGACCCTGCCCCACGAGTGGGGTTTTCTGAGGACCTGCACTCCATGTCCCTAGGATTGGGTCTGTCCCAGGAAAAGCAGGGCAGCAGGTCATCCAAGGCCCTGGGCCACAGGGTTTGTTACCGAAATGGGGTTGCTCCCAGCCCCACGTGTCCCTGGTGCTCCAGGTTCACAGCCGTCACTGGCGAGCTTCTCCTATCTGCCCGCGGCCCACATCCCGGGGCTGGCAGCTGCCTCCTGCCACCAGGCAAACCTCCCACGCACCGCCCTGCCCTGCGGCTCATGGAATGGGGTAAGCCAGCACCAGCCTCCTCCTCCTTCCCCAAGTGCACCACAGTGACCCAGGAGGGCCTGCCAGGGGAGAGCTGGAGGCGGGGGACAGATGGCATCGTGGAGCTGGGCCATGCGCTGTGAACAGAAGAGTAAAAATAATCCCAGACTTGGTTCTCAGGGCCCAGCCCAGGAGCCTCTACTCTGCCTCAGCCCCAACCAAAAGCTACAGGGTAGCCCCCAGGGCAACCCCAGAAGACAGCAGGTTGCTCCATCCTAGGGCCCACAGGTGCTAATTACTCAGGAATTTCCAGAAGGATCAGGAATGTATGGGCTTTTATTAAGATCTCCCTAATACTCAGAACAGTAAGCTCCTCCAAAAACACTTTCAGGACAGGAAGGGAATCAGGATGCTAAGTTCCAAATGGAGAGTCCAAGCCTCAGGGAGGGCAAAGGACCTGCCCCGAGAAAAGGCAGAACCAGACCCCAGGCCAACCTGACGTCCTCTCCCTAGTCCGATCCATCTCACGCTCCCAGAGCCCTCCTTTCAGAGCCTTCTGCAGCCACTGTGATCCCTAAGCCCCTCACAACTCCTCCAGCCTCTAGAGCTGAGACAGAGAATTCAGAAGAAAACACCCTGATTTTGGGGGTCACTGGGCTTCATCTCTCAAAATAAGAAATGGAGAAGTCTCTTCATTTTAAGAGAAATCATCTCTTAAAATGAGACAGGTGAAAGAGGAGCAGCAGACCCCAGCCTTCTTCCAGGTGCATCCCCACTACCCTCCAGCACCCCTGGGCTTCTCACCATCTCCTGAGCCCCAAGTCTGTTCATACTGCTTCCCTGCTTAGGGTGGGCCTCAGTACTAATTTAATTCCTGCCAACAGTCCATCAACTAACTCTTTACTTGAAGTACCTGTTCTTGGACTAAACTCTAGAGAAAAGGGTCCAGACCTTCATGGGGCTCAGACTTCAGATGGGGATGGGAGACTAGACAGACATGCAAACAGGTAAGTGCTATGGAGTGTCAGAGGCTTGGGTGGAGGTAGGTACAGGGCACAAGCGGGTGCAGTGAGAGGCCCCCTCTACCCTGAAGGGTTCCCTGAGCCCCAGTTCCCAGAGGCCCCTGAGCTGCTACACTGATTGCCTGAATGTGCTGTGCTACTCTGGCCAGTCAGTTGTCTGCTGTCTTCCACGCTAACTAAGCTTGGAAACTCAGGAGCTGGAAGACAAAGGGAGGAGGCCAGGGGACCTGGGCGGGAAAGAAGAACCTATCCTGCAGGTAGTGCCGGGTGGGCTGTGCTGCCTCCTCACACAGTGCAAGCCCCTGTGCACTGGGCAGGCGACCCTGCAGGACGGATACAGGCAGCCCAGCACTTGTGGGAGGGCTGAGTGTCAAAGAGGTGCCCTGGACACTGAGGGACACACGTTTTACTACTTTAACACTAGGAGGTGCCAGTTTCAAATGCCCACTCTGCATCAGGCACTGGGCAAAGCACTTGACTACATCTTCCTCCAATCCTGCCCCCATCCCCTTGAGGTAGCTGCACTGCCCCATTTGGCAGGTGAAGATGCTGAGGCTCCTAAGGTGAAGTGCTGTGTCCCAGCCCAAAGCCAGTAAGAGACAAGGCTCAGACTGCGGCTCTGAAGCCCTTCCCCACTGCAAGCTGCCTCCTGCCCATCATGATGCTGCTTTTTTCTTGAGATGGAGTTTCGCTCTTGACCTCAGACATCTGCCCGCCTCGCCCTCCCAAACTGCTGGGATTACAGGCGTGAGTCACTGCGCCTGGCCATGATGCTTCTTTGACCTATTTTGCCAACTTTTTTTTTTTTTAATTGAGACAGAGTCTTGCTCTGTCACCCAGGCTGGAGTACAGTGGAGCGATATGGACTCACTGCAATCTCAGCCTCCTAGGTTCAAGAGATTCTCCTGCCTCAGCCTCCTGAGTAGCTGGAATTACAGGCGTGCACCACCATGCCCAGCTAATTTTTGTTTTTTTAGTAGAGGTGGGGTTTCACCATGTTGGCCAGACTGGTCTCGAGCTCCTGTCCTCAAGTGATCCGCCCGTCTCGGCCTCCCAAAGTGCTGGGATTACAGGCGTAAGCCACCACATCCAGCCTATTTTGCAAACACTTCTGTTGACAATAGGAAGGGGGATGATCTGACTCTGCAGCACGAGGGATGCAAGTTAGATGTGCAGAGTTGGAGGGAGGGGTAGCCTGGATTGGCAGGCTAAGGGAGCTAGAGAAGTTCATCTCTGCAGACACGAAGACCTCTTGGTCTCTTTCGTTGCATGGACCCCACTGTTCCTACGGCCTCCAGTGAAGGTCCCAGCGGAGAGAGGCAGGGTTCCCAGGGTTTGTGTGGAAAGAATCTCGGGGAAGAAAACTGCCCTCCAATGTATAAGTGAGGAGACTAAGGCCCTGAGAGGTGAACTGACTTGCCAAAGACCACAAAACCTGTTAAAACTGGGACTAGAACTACATCTCAGGCCTGCACTTTTCTGCCACACAATTCCAACCTCCATGACCATCACTGGATGCCTCTCAGTGAGCACAGGAGAGGGCTTCTTCCCAGGGAGGAGAGGAACAGGCTCCCCTGCCAGAAAGATCTCTCCCTGCTGATTCTCATGCCTAACAACTCAGCACAGGTACTTCAGTCCTTGTGCCCTTCATTCACTCACTGTTCACTGGGCATGTACTATATGACAGGCATTGGGCGCTGCTCTGGTATGAACGTGCCCCTCAAAGTTCGTGGGTTAAAAACTTAATCCCCAACACAAGAATGTTGGGAGATGGAGCCTTTAAGATGTGATTGGGCCTTGCTGAATGGATTAATGCTGTCATCTCAGGAGGGAAGGAGGGAGAGTCATCTATGAAGATGCAAGTACAGTCAATCCTCATTAATCACAGAATAGTCACAGATTTTGTACTTGCAAGTTTGCCAACTTGCTAAAATTTCTAACCCCCAAATCACTACTCCCAGTATCTTCACAGTCATTTGTGGACACATGCGTGCACTGAGCAGCCACAAATTCTCACTGCCTGACGCGCACGCTCCCAGCTGAGGTCGGCAACGCCGCACTTCGTCTACCTGGGTCAGCTCTCCTGCAGGTGTCTTGTTCTGGGTCTATTTAGTGCTGTGACTTCTGCACTTTTGCAGGTGCTTTTGCTGCCTCAAGTGGTCCCAAGCATAGTGCGGAAGTGCTGTCTGCTGTTCCTGAGCACAGAATGTCAAAAGGCACCAGGATAGTCAAAAGGGGAAGCAGCCCAAATGTCCATCAATAGAGGAATGGATAAACAAAATGTGGTGCATCCAGGTAATGGAGGATGATTCGACCTTAAAAAGGAATGAGACCGGGCGCGGTGGCTCACGCCTGTAATCCCAGCACTTTGGGAGGCCGAGGCAGGCAGATCACCTGAGGTCGGGAGCTCGAGACCAGCCTGGCCAACAATGTGAAACCCTGTCTCTACTAAAAATACAAAAATTAGCCGGGCATGGTGGCAGGTGCCTGTAATCCCAGCTACTCGGGAGGTTGAGGCACAAGAATCGCTTGAACCAGGGAGGCGGAGGTTGCAGTGAGCTGAGATCACACTACTGCACTCCAGCCTGGGCAACAGAGTGAGACTCCATCTCCAAAACAAACAAACAAAAAAGGCATGAAATTCTGACATAGGCTACAACATGGATGAACCTTAAGGACATTGCACTAAGTGAAACAAGCCAGTCATGAAAGGACAAATCTCATGTTATTTCACTTCCATGAAGTACTGAGAATATGCAAATCCATAGAGACAGCCGAAGAGAGACTATCAGGGGTTGGGGATGGGGGAATGGGGAGTTTCATTCATAACATTAACAGTCATTGTCAGGCGCAGTGGTTCACACCCGTAATCCCAGCACTCTGGGAGGCCGAGGCAGGTGGATCACCTGAGGTCAGGAGTTCGAGACCAGCCTGGCCAACATGGTGAAACCTGTCTCTACTAAAAAATACAAAAATTAGCCAGGGGCGGTGGCGCAGGCCTATAGTCCCAGCTACTTAGGAGGCTGAGGCACAAAAATCACTTGAACCCCGGAGGCAGCGAGCCAAGATCGCACCACTGCACTCCAGCCTGGGCAATAAAGTGAGTAAAGTGAGACTCCCTCTCAAAACAAAACAAAACAAAAAAAAACAAAAAGACAAAAAAAAAAAACAGGCACTTACTGTTTAACGGGTACAGCGTTTCAGTTTCGGAAGATGAAAAAGTTCTGGAGATGGAAGCAGGAGACTGCAGCACAATTGTGAATGTCCTTAATGCCACCAAACTGCACACTTGGAGTTCAAATGGCAAATTTTATGTTACATATATTTCACCAAAAAAATTGTTTAAAGCGCACCAGGAGATAGAAGACAAAAAGAAGAGGGCAGAGAAGGAAAAGAGGGTCTGCAGGGGACCTGGGCCCGAAATACAGGAGCAAAGGAAAGGGCCTGGTTACAGCTGGAAAAGAAAAGAGAAGGACAGGAGAGTCCCCAGGTCACAGGCAGGTGAGTCCCGAGGGATGGAAGGAAAGGGATTGGTGGAGAAGGAAAGAACCCAGCAGAGAAATGGATTTGGTTGGGCTGGGCCGGGCCAGGCTGTGTACTCAGTTAGAAACAAACAGATCCCATTGTGATTTCGGAAGGGCCAGGGCCTGCCGGAGGCCAAAAAAGGGCCCTTCTCAGAAAACAAGACCAAGAAAACCTAGGTGTCCCAGGGCCTGAGCTCCCACCACTGGAGTGCCTTCCTCTTGCTGAGCAGTGCCCCTTCCTCTCCTGAAATGCAACAAGTTCTCGGGAAAGGCCACGTGAAGTCCGGGACATGTTAAAGACGCCTCAGAGTCCTATGACCTGAGTGAAACCTGCCTCTCACCAGCTACGTTGCACAGCTGTTCAGCAACTTACTGAACCTCCCCAAAGCTTCTGTTTCATCACCTGTCAAATGGGGATGAGCATTCCTGCCTGCAGAGCCACTGAGGATTGAGAAAAGCAAGTAAAGCCCCTGCAAGGCAATGCACGGCAGCACCTTCCCGGCCATCCTTTGGTGTGAGGCCTTCATCACACCTGGCTTCAGGACAGGATGGGGAACGGGGAGCAGGTGAGAGGGGGGGAGGCCCCACAATCCTTCCCAGGCTAAGGAGATGTTGGAACAAAAGTCAGAGAGCTGGACCCCTTGAGCAATGCCTGGTCAAAAGAGAGAGGAAAAAGAAGGGAAGGGGGAAAGGGAGAGAGAGCAGGAAGGGGAGAAAGAGAAAGAGAGAGAGAGACGCCTGGGGCAGAGATTTAGCGTTTGGGCTCTGGACTCAAGACGCCTGAGCTCAGATCCTGGCCCAGCCTCACAGGGACCTGGGAGTCCTGAGCAAGCTACTCTAATCCTCAGTGTCCTCCCAACCACTGAAGAGGCACCAGTGCAATCTCAATCTCCCCAAATAACGGCTGTGAGGATTGAATTCCATCATGTCCATGAGCACAGAGCCTGGCCCAAAAAGGGGCTCCTTGCACGTGATTCACGGTCATTGCCCTGTAGTCATCAGGAGGGATGATGGAGGGCGGGACAGAGAGGAAGGAGCAGGAGGCCTGCAGGCTAGCAAGAGGGGAGGTAAATTAAGTAAATGGAGATGGCCTGGGATGCAGGCCAGCTGGGAGGAGTCTCCAGTGGGAGGGGCAGCTCAGAGAGCAACAGAGGGAGATAAGATTCCTAAATGCTGCAGGCCCCAGCCCAGGCCCAACCCAAGCAGTCTCTTCCCACCCAGCCCCCAGGCCCGGGCGGCAATGGGGTGGCGAGTACTTGCCTGGACCCAGCATCCCATCTCCTCAGCTCTCAGCCTGGACCCAGCATCCCATCTCCTCAGCTCTCAGGGAGGTGGAAGCTGGGAACCCCACCCCCAACCCCTTCGGCGTCAGGGGCGTGGGTATCTGCAGGCCCCACCCAACACATGCAGGAAGTGGGTCAAGGCAAGTGGTGAACAGAGGCCTTGCCCCCTGGCCTCCCCTCAGCCTCTGGACAAAGCTGTGATGATACAGGTTTAGTTCCAGAACAGCGCCCGGCCCAGAGGCCCCTGGAAACAGGTACCCAGAGGAAGGCAAATTAGCCTCCAAGCGCAGCTTTGCCACAGGTTCGTGGTGCCTCTTGAGCCAGTCACTTCCCCTCTCTGGGCCTCAGTGCCTCCATTTGCAAAAACAAAAGGTTGGGAGGGGGCAGGGTGTAATACTATTCAGAAAAAAAAAAAAAGAAATGAGATGGCCAGGTGTGGAGGTTCACGCCTGTAATCCCAGCACTTTGGGAGGCCGAGGTGGGCAGATCATCTGAGGTCAGGAATTCAAGACCAGCCCGGCGTCTTGGTGGAACACAAAATGGTGTGTCTACTAAAAATATAAAAATTAGCCGGGCATGGTGGCACGTGCCTGTAGTCCCAGCTACTCGGGAGGCTGAGGCAGGAGAATCACTTGAACCCAGGAGGCAGAAGTTGCAGTGAGCCAAGATCATGCCACTGCACTCCAGCCTGGGTGACAGAGCAAGACTTTGTCTCAAAAAAAAAAAAAAATGAGCTATGAAAAGACATGGAGGAAACTCAAATGCGTATTACTTAGTGAGAGACGCCAATCTGAAAAGGCCACATAGTGTATGATTCCAACCATATGACATTCTAGAAAAGGCAAAACTACAGGGACAGTCAAAAGATCAATGGTTGCCAGAAGTGGGAAGGAGGGATGAATAAACGGAACCTGGAGGATTTGGGGAACGGTGATGCTATTCTGCATGATACTGTAATGGTGGGTACACATTATTACCCATGTGCCAAAACCCAGAGTGGACAACACCAAGAAGGGACCCTAATGTGAACTATGGACTCTAATAATGTGCTGGCTGGGCACGGTGGCTCATGCCTGTAATCCCAGCACTTTGGGAGGCCGAGGTGGGCAGATCACCTGAGGTCAGGAGTTCAAGACCAGCCTGACCAACATGGGGAAACCCTGTCTCTACTAAAAATACAAAATTAGCTGGGTGTGGTGGCGCATGCCTGTAATCCCAGCTACTTGAGAGGCTGAGGCAGGAAAATTGCTTGAATCTGGGAGGCAGAGGTTGCCATGAGCCGAGATCACACCATTGCACCCCAGCCTGGGCAACAAGAGCAAGACTCCATCTCTAGTAATAATAATAATAATAATAATAATAATAATAATAATAATAATAATGTGCCGATATTGACTCATTAATTGCAACAAATGTACATCAATTGCAACAAATGCAAGATGTTAAGACTAGGAGAAACTGACTGGGGGCGGGGCAAGAATGTATCTACGGGAAGTCTACTTTCTGCTCAAGTTTTCTATAAACCCCAAACTACTCAAAATTATAGTCTTTTTTTGTTTGTTTGTTTTAAGGGTTGAGAGACTTTTTCTCCTCGGGGCCTTTCTTCAGGGTTCTAGAATAAAGCAAAAGTTGCCATGACAGGGATACTAAAAAATAAATAAATACAAAATTTTAAAAGTGAAATAAAGCAAAAAGCAAAAATTATGAAAATACAGTACTTGAGAGGCAAAAGTACTCAACCAAACCAATTGGCTTCACTTTAAGGAGGCGTGTCCTAGGAAAATGCAGATCTGAAAATATTAATAGATTTAGCCCGGGAGTGACTAACAGAAGCACTTGCCCTGGAATTCCGTCAAAGCCAGCACACTTGTTTCCTCAGCCTCGGGGGTGGGTTTGCCCTCAATCAGCTGCTCTCAAAGTCAGGCAGGAGGATCCCACCCTGTCAGAACCCGAGGGTCAGCCCAAACCAGGTGTCCAAGCAGCACGGGCATCTGGGGTGGGGCCTCGGTGCACGCCCTGCCCTGGGAGAAGGAGGAGCCAGGCAGAAGAGGGAGTCTCCACACCGGGGAATGCCTTCCAGGACCCAGAGCCTCAGGGAGCCACAGGACATCCTGGAGGCAGTGGGGCACTAGGAGCTCCGGGAAAGTAGGACTCCAGCTCTGCCCTACTCTCCAGCCCTACGCCCTAAGCACCTCTGGAAAAGCATCTGCACCCCCAGGGGGAAGAATGAAGACTCGAGCCTCTGGACTGGGCCATGGCTCTGAGGACATAGGAGCAGGCGGGGTTAGAATGAGCTTGGACAAGAGGTGGGAGGCGGCATCCATCCTGGCCTTGGTCATTTTTCATGTAAGTCTTCTGTCCCAGAGCCACCCTGCCTGGTCAGGGATAGGAAGGAAGATTATGATGTTTCAGACATTCTGTTAACAGCTCAAAGCTGGCCGGGCACGGTGGCTTACGCCTGTAATCCCAGCACTTTGGGAGGCCGAGGCAGGTGGATCACCTGAGGTCAACAGTTCGAGACCAACCTGGCCAACATGGCGAGACTCCCATCTCTACTAAAAATACAAAAATTAGCCAGGCGTGGTGGCTCAAGCCTGTAATTCCAGCTACTCGGGAGGCTAAGGCACCTTGAAAACCTGGGAGACAGAGGCTGCAGTGAGCCAAGATCGTGACACTACACTCCGGTCTGGGCGACAGAGTGAGACTCCGTCTCAGAAAAAAGAAAAAAGAAAAAACAATAGCTGGAAGCCTTCACTCAGACCCTAGGCTGAGGTTACCATCCCAGAGGACCCACCCTGACCCAGAAAACTCACCCCCACTGATTCTGTCTTGCACCAGCCACACACCCAGCACCTTACTCCTGCAGGCCTGCCAGTTACCGCGCCTCCCATTCCAGAAGGCACGATCATCCGGTTTGGAAACAAGGCCATGGAAGTGGTTGAAATGCAGGCTGGACATGAACATTTGTTTTTCTGGATGGGGCCAGCCCGGCCTGACCCAGCAGGCCATTAGCTGCAGACCAGGTGCAGCCCGCCAGGCAGGAAGGATGCCCGGCAAACCAAAATTCCCACCTGTGCCTCTCATTCTGAACCATGCTCTACGCCAGGAACAGAGCTTCTTGGAAGGCCCCGTGACTCCTCTTTTTCATGTCATTCTCTAGGTGTACCCCACTCCTCATTCCTGGTCCCATCTTGCACTGTGAGAAAGGCCACAGCTCAGGACACCAAACTCTCACCTCACTTTCAGAGTTCCTCACTCCCATCATCTTGTGAAGATTTTCTCCATAAACTAATTTCCTCCAAACATCTGTAAATCACATATCTGACTGTCCTGACAAAGAACCTGTATCCAGAATATGAAAGAACTCTCAGAACAACAGCTGGGCATGGTGGCACACACCCACAACTGTGGGAGGCGAGGCGGGTGGACTGCTTGAGCCAGGAGTTCAAGACCAGCCTAGGCAACATGGCGAAACCTCATCTCTACAAAAAGTACAAAAATGAGCCGGGCGTGGTGGCGTGTGCCTGTGGTCTCCACTACTCAAGAGGCTGAGGTGGGAGGGACACTTGAGCCTGGGTGGTCAAGGCTGCAGTGAGCTATGACCTTGCTGAGTGAAAGAAGCAAAGACCCAAAGAGCTATGTAACTGCATGATTCCATTTGTGAGACATTCTTGAAAGGCAAAATTATAGGAATGAACAGATCAGCGTGGCCAGGGGATGCCAAGAGGGGAAGGGGGAGGGATGACCTCCAAGGGGCCAATGCATGGATGGAATCGTTTGGGGGATGGAACAGTCTTTACCTTGATGGTGGCGGTGAAAACACATTCTGTGCATTTGTCAACATCTACTACTTACCAAAAACACTGTATTTTGCTGTATGTATGTTAAAAATAAATTTAGGGAAAGATTCACTCTATTTTATAGGATGAGATGTTTTTCTACAGGCGCGGTGGCTCACGCCTGTAATCCCAGCACTTTGGGAGGCCGAGGCGGGCGGATCACCTGAGGTCAGGAGTTCGAGACCAACCTGACCAACATGGAGAAACCCTGTCTCTACTAAAAATACAAAAAATTAGCGGAGTATGGTGGCGCATGCCTGTAATCCCAGCTACTTGGGAGGCTGAGGCAGGAGAATTACTTGAACCCAGGAGGCGGAGGTTGCAGTGAGCCGAGATTGCACCATTGCACTCCAGCCTGGGCAACAAAAGCAAAACTCTGTCTCAAAAAAAAAAAAAAAAAAAAAAAAAGAGACATGCTGCCTGAGTCTAAATAAACGTAAAAAATGAACGTAAAATAAGACCTTCTTATCCTGCCCAGAGGGCCTAGCTCAAACCCACCCTGTTCATAAAACCCACTTGGCCGGGTATGGTGGCTCACACCCGTAATCCAAGCACTTTGAGGGTCCGAGACGGGAGGATGGCTTGAGCCCAGGAGTTTGAGACCAGCCTGGGCAACACAGTGAGATCCTATCTCTAGAAATAATGTTTTAAAAATTAGCCAGGTGTGGTGGCACATGTCTGTGGTCCCAGCTACTCAGGAGGCTGAGGCAGGAGGATTGCTTGAACCCAGGAGCTCAAGGCTGAAGGGAGCTGTGATCACACCACCACACTCCAGCCTGGGTGGCAGAGTGAGACTCTGTGGCTCACGCCTGTAATCCCAGCACTTTGGGAGGCTGAAGCCAGGGGATCACTTGAGGTCAGGAGTTCGAGACCAGCCTGACCAACATGGCAAAACCCCATCCCTACTGAAAATGCAAAAAATAGCCGGGCATCATGACACGTGCCTGTAATCTCAACTATTTGGGAGGCTGAGGCAGGAGAATCACTTGAACCCGGGAGGCGGAGGTTGCAGTGAGCTGTGATCGCGCCACTGCACTCCAGCCTGGGTGATAGAGTGAAACTTCACCTCAAAAAAAAAAAAAAAAGAAAGAAAGAAAAAAAAAAGGATATAAAAATAAAACCCACAGCCAGGCGGGGTGGCTCATGCCTGTAATCCCAGCACTTTGGGAGGCCGTGGCGGGCAGATCATGAGGTCAGGAGATCGAGACCATCCTGGCTAACATGGTGAAACCCCGTCTCTACTAAAAATACAAAAAATTAGCCAGGTGTGGTGGGGGGTGCCTGTAGTCCCAGCTACTCAGGAGGCTGAGGCGGGAGAATGGCATGAACCCGGGAGGCGGAGCTTGCAGTGAGCCGAGATCGCACCACAGCACTCCAGCCTGGGCGACAGAGCGAGACTCTGTCAAAAAAATAAATAAGATAAAATAAAATAAAATAAAAATAAAAATAAAACCCGCAAAAAACAAAACCCACTTACCTCCCCTCCTCTCATCACTTCATGACAATAGCCCTCAAATCACATTTTCTCTGTCTTCTCAAGGATAGTTCTGTTTCTCTTCCTCTCTGTCTGCTTCCCTCTCTCTTACACATATACACGCTTGTCAGAACCCCACCCACTCTCAAAGCCAGCTCAACTGCCTCCTCCTCTTGGGACAGAATCAATCATCCTTTACCAGGCACTGCCACAGACCCTGCTTGTGCACGTTCTTTCGTCTTGCAGTATGTTACTGCTAGCTTCACAGTCCATTTCCCTGCAAGTTCCATGAGGACAGGAACCAGGGCTTCCGTTCCATACTCCCGCTGCACCTAGCACAGTGCCGGGCACACCGTGGGTGCTGTGGCTGCTGTGGATTGGGTGAGGGCAGGTGCAGTCGGAGGGAGCTGATGCCAAGAGAGGAGAGCTGGCTGTGCTGGGCTGGCAGTGCCCTGAGGAGGTATGGGAGGCACTGGTACAGCTTACTTCTTCTCTTGCATAAGCAGCAACTATTGCTTCAACCTCCAAGTGCTGGAAGTGACCCCACCTCTCATTCCAACATGAGGTCATGCAATTTACGACGGAGCATTTCCGAGGATGCTTTTGCTTCCTGCATGCCACCCGGCACAGTTCAAGCCCCAGGCAGACAGATGCTCAGGATGCACCTGCCGAGGGATGGGAACCTGTCTTGTCATCAGGATGCTGTCATTTCTCACTTCCAGAAGGCAGGTGCTCTTCACAGCAAAGAGTAGATTAGGATCTTCGGATCTGAAGTCCATTTCATTATGGAGAACTACCACAGTACAAACGTGGACTATCAGTAACTCCACAGGGCCACTCTACGATTGGGTTTTTCCACACACATCATCGACCCCCTACCTCTTACAAATTCCAGCTTCGACAGTTTTTAAGAACCATTTATAGGTCATTTATTTGACAAACACTTACACAGTGGTTATTATGTGCCGGGGAAAGAACTAAGCACTTTACAGATATTAACTCATTTAGTCTTCACATACACCGTATGAGGTTGGTTCTATTAACCTTATTATCCCACCCAGGTGTTAAGTGGCAGAACAGAGATTCAAACCCAGGCGGGCTGGCTGGAAAGCCACACTGTGCCAACCACGACCACTCGCCCCACGTGGTTACTGAACACAAGAAACGTTGTTAGTCCAAATTGAGACGTGTTGTTAAGTGTACAATACACACTACGGTTCTAGCGCTTTGTGTGGAAAGAAGGTAAACTATCTCATTGATACTTTTTACTATTGATTACGTTAAAATGATAATATTGTAGTCATAGGTTAAAGAATATATTATTACAATGCATTTTACCAGTTAAGTTTTCCTTTCTTTTTTTTAGAGGCAGGGTTCTCGCTATGTTGCCCAGGCTGGTCTCAAACCCCTGGGCTCAAGCAACTCTCCCGCCTCAGCCTCCTGAGTAACTGGGACCATGGGCAAAAGCCACCACACCCAGCTCTTTTTACTTTTTAAATGTAACTCCTAGGCTTACATAGTATTTCTATTGGACAGCACCACTCTGGAGTCTGCACTGATAGCCACTGCTCTCTGGGGTTGTGGGGGGTCATCTTCCCCACCCTCCAGCCTCAGGGCAAGACCCAGATTCCGCCTGTTCCTAACACCGTGCTTGTTTGGACAAAGACGATGGCAGCCACGCAATAATTCCCTCATCTCCCCATTCTGCTTCCTCTGACTGCTCAGACACTGCACCCTCGTCCCAAGCCTTGCCTCCAACTCCAGGTGCAGCTTCGCTGTACTACCTCCCTGTAGCAGGAATCCCGAAGTGTTTCATCTAGTGGAATCCCCGCATGCTGATATGTGGAGAAACTGAGGCCCAGGACCACAAAATCTTCGAGGAAGCAGTGGCCCTGGAGGTGACCTAGTCCTTTCCCATGCAGGGCAGAGACTCCTCCAAAGCATCCCTAGTAAGTTCTACATAATGAAACTCTATGTACAGTAGTCCTTTGGTATCTGTGGGTGATCGGTTCCAAGGCCTCTAAGGATACTGAAACCCGAGGATGCTCAAGTCCCTCATATAAAACGGTACAGTGTTTGCACATAACTTACGCACATCCTCCCATGTGCTTTAAATCATTTCTAGAGAACTTATCATACCTAACACAACGCATGCACATCACTTCATTTGCATGGATTCAATGCAGCATTCAGTGAGCAGCAAATTCAAGTTTTGCTTTCTGGAACTCTGTGGAATGTTTTCCCCTGAACACTGTCGATCCAGGGTGGGTCGAATCCATGTGGAACCTACAGATACAGAGGGCCCACTAGTTTTATGTGGTTTTACATAATGAAGTAATAGACTTCAGGTCAGATGGACCTAACCTGCTACTGCTGTAAAGGGTGCCTACCTTCTAGAAATGAGAAATGACAGCACCCAGATGCTGGGCAGGTTCTAAGTCCTCATCCAGCCTCTGTTAAGACACTCACAGGCCCAGCACAGTGGCTCATACCTGTAATCCCAGCACTTTGGGAGGCTGAAGCTGGAGGATCGCTTGAGGCGAGGAGTTTAAGACCAGCCTGGGCAAAATAAAGATAGCAAGACCTTGTTTCTACAAAAAGTTTTAAAAATTGGCAGGGCATGGTGGCACAAACCTGTCATCCCAGCTACTTGGGAGACTGAGGCAGGAGGACCATCTGAGTGCAGGAGTTTGAGGCTACAGTGAGCTATGATCACACCACTGCACTCCAGCCTGGGCAACAGAGCAAGATCCTATCTATTAAAACAAAACAAAACAAAAAAAACACCAGCCTGGGAAACACAGCAAGATCCTGTCTCTATGAAAAATAAAAATTAAAACAAAAAAAATGTTAGGCGGGCATGGCATCACCTGTGGTCCCAGCTACTGAGACCTGAGTAGCTGAGAAAGCTGAGGTGGGAGGATCACTTGGGCGCGGGAGGTTGAGGCCACAGTGAGCTGTGATTGCAACGCTGCACTCTAGCCTGGGTGACAGAGTTAAGACCCTGTCTCACAAAAAAAAAAAAAAAAAAAAAAAAAAAGGCCGGGCGCGGTGGCTCACACCTGTAATCCCAGCACTTTGGGAGGCCGAGGTGGGCAGATCACCTGAGGTCGGGAGTTCGAGACCAGCCTGGCCAACATGGAAAAACCCTATCTTTACTAAAAATACAAAATTAGCCAGGCATGGTGGCAAATGCCCGTAATTCCAGCTACTCAGGAGGCTGTGGCAGGAGAATCGCTTGAACCCGGAAGGTGGAGGCTGCGGTGAGTCGAGATCACGCCATTGCACTCCAACCTGAGCAACAAGAGCGAAACTCCGTCTCAAAAAAAAAAAAAAAAAAAAGACCCACATGTTTGAGATCAGATCACTGGTTGGGGGTAGAGGAAGACCCACAAAAATGGCGAGCTCAATACTTAACAGCTCAGGATATATAAACTTTCCAAAACCAGATGTGGCTTCCAATGTGGCCAGAGGGTCACAGAGCTTAGTGAGTAAAGGTTTCCCTTGACACAGACCTTACCACAGCACTGGCCCACACAGGCTTATGGTTTAATGGGGCAGTTTGAGAGTCAGATTGACCTGGGTCCAAACTCCAACTGCAGTATAACTTCTACAGTGTCCCCTCTGTAAAGTAGAGGTTGAAAAACAAAACAAAAACAAACCAAACCTTTCTCACAGGGCTGAGAGGATGAAATGAGATGATGAAGGCAGAAATGTCTAGAATAATGGTCTAGCACCTAACAGGCATTAAAATGTTCATTTCCCTCTTCCTTCGTTTTTCAGCCCAAAACCCCAAGCCTTTTCCCTCAACATGAATGAAGAGTAAGTCCCACTCTATTCTAGACTTACATAATTGATGCTTTGAACTTAAATGCAGGATGTTACACTTAGACCTATTACATTTCTTCTTGAGATAAGTATATGTTCAACATTGCTCAATGTCAAGTAATTTTTAAAAGCTAAAAACTAAAAACAATGTTTTAAAGTCAGTAGGGCATAGTTAAATATAGTATAGTCATAGAATGCAATGTTACTTGGATCCTTAAAATTATGGTTTTAAGTATTTTTTATGACATGCACTATTACCCATTAGATAGCATTCAGTAGGGAAAAAAACGGGATAGAGTATAATTGCAATTATGTTAAAATATATAGATTTGCATGAACACAAATTTGGAAGGACATTCACCGAAATACCAGCCCACCCGAATTATAGTATTATGTATCATTTTTTTCCTTTATGCCTTTCTTTATTTTCCAGGGTTCCTACAATGTACATATATTAATTTTAAGAGAGAAATATTTTTAAACTTCATCTTTCTACTTAATGGCAGCATTCCAGTCAACTGAGATGATTTTGAACCCTGGTTCTATCAGCCAATGTTTGCTACCCTCAACGCCCATAAAAACGAGAAACAGGGTCAGGTGCGGTGGTTCACTCCTGTAATCCCAGCACTTTGGGAGGCCAAGGCAGGTGGATCGCCTGAGGTCGGGAGTTCAAGACCAGCCTGGCCAGCATGGTGAAACCACATTTCTACTAAAAATACAAAAATTAGCCAGGCGTGGTGGCAGGTGCCTGTAATCCCAGCTACTCAGGAAGCTGAGGCAGGAGAATCGCTTGAACCCAGGAGGCGGAGGTTGCAGTGAGCCGAGATCGCACCACTGTACTCCGGCCTAGGCAATAGGGCGAGACTCCATCTCAAAAAAAAGAAATACGCCGGGCATGGTGGCTCACACCTGTAATACCAACACTCTGGGAGGTCAAGGCGGGCAGATCACAAGGTCAGGAGTTCGAAACCAGTCTGACCAATATGGTGAAACCCTGTTTCTACTAAAAATACAAAAAAATTAGCTGGGCATGGTGGCGTGTGCTTGTAATCCCAGCTACTTGGGAGGCTGAGGCATGAGAATTGCTTGAACCCAGGAGGCAGAGGTTGCAGTGAGCCAAGATCACGCCACTGCACTCCAGCCTGGTGACAGAGCAAGACCCATCTCAAAAAAAAAAAAAGAAAGAAAAAGAAATGAGAAACAGAAGACACAGGCCACACAGGCTCCTGGGAGAGGCTCGTATCTATGGAAAACATAGAGGACTAAGCCAAAGACAGCCCTGCGGCACATCACGGGGACCTCTTCACAGTAACACAAGCTCAGGAGTTAGGAGTCAGCATCCAGCGTAGTGGGTCAAGCAGTCACACATCCATCTCCCTGCTGTATCAGCCAGACCACACTGCTTTCTCTTGTACCAAGAAGATCATTAGACTGAAAAGGCTTACTGAACATTCCTCCACCCAAGTTAGAGTTGTTTTCTCCAAGACTTGGTAGAGTGAACCCAGGTTGGCTACTAGGTATCTCACTTCATTTTCACACTCTCCACATATTTTTGTTCAAAAATCTAACCTAGGCTGAGTGCAACCGTGTACACCTGCAGTCCCAGCTACTGAGGAGGCTGAGGTGGGAGGATTGCTTGATCCTGGGAGGTCAAGGCTGCATAAGCCATGACCGCATCACTGCACTCCATCCTGGGTGACAGAGCAAGACACTGTCTACGATAATAATAATAATGATAATTTAAAAAAATTTATGGCCGGGCGCGGTGGCTCACGCCTGTAATCCCAGCACTTTGGGAGGCCGAGATGGGTGGATCACAAGGTAGAGAGATCAAGACCATCCTGGCTAACATGGTGAAACCCCGTCTCTACTAAAAAATACAAAAAAATTAGGTGGCGGGTGCCTGTAGTCCCAGCTACTGGGGAGGCTGAGGCAGGAGAATGGAGTGAACCCGGGAGGCGGAGCTTGCAGTGAGCCAAGATCACCCCACTGCCCTCCAGCCTGGGCGAAAGAGCGAGACTCCGTCTCAAAAAAAAATTATTACACTGAAATTATTTTTGATAACACTAGGGTTTAAGAAAACACCAACATTAACTTCACTTTTTTTTTTTAAGGTGGCTACTAGAAAATTTTAAATTGGCAGGGTATGATGGCTCACATCTGCAGTTCTAGCACTTTGGGAGGCCAAGGTAGGAGGATTGCTTGAGCCCAGGAGTTTGAGTTCTGCCTGGACAACAAAGCGAGACCCTACCTCCACAAAAAAACTTTACAAATTAGCCAGGTGTGGTGGCGTATACCTGTAGTCCCAGCTACTCAGGTTAAGGCAATGAGGATTGCTTGAGCCCAGGAGTTCAAGGAGTGAGCCATGATTGCACCACTGAACTCCAGCCCGGGTGACAAAGTGAGTCTCTGTCTCAAAAAATAAAAAATCATTAAAAAACAAAATCTAACCAAGAATTGGGCAAGGAATCAATTCTAGGAGTCTGCCATTTCCAGGGTCCCCATCTTGCTTCCTTGAAGAAACAAATCAAGACAGCATGTGTTGTCTCTCCTACTCCTACCCTCCTTCCAGGTCCTGGCAGTGGTTCTGGGGTCACTCCTACACCTTCTCTTGGGACCCCAAAGCCTATCTGTGAGAATCCGGCAACCTGAACTCAGGCAAAGCAGCTTGTGTGGCCTGACTCACAATTCTCTCAGGGTAAGCTGTGGCCTCCTCACAAAGTCTGGTCGACCCTTACAAAGATGGAGGCAAGACAAGAGTCCTCCGCCTCCAGAACGTTCCACCCACTGTCTCGCTCTGCCTGCGGCTAAAGAAATCCCCCATGGCCAGGCGCACGGTGGTTCACGCCTGTAATCCCAGCACTCTGGGAGGCCGAGGCGGGTGGATCACCTGAGGTTGGGAGTTCGAGACCAGCCTGGCCAACATGGAAATACCCTGTCTCTGTTAAAAATACAAAAAAAAAAAAAAAAAAATTAGCCAGGTGTGGTGGCAGGCACCTGTAATCCCAGCTACTCAGGAGGCTGAGGCAGGAGAATCGCTTGAATCCAGGAGGCAGACGTTGTGGTGTGCCAAGATTGCAGCACTGCACTCCAGCCTGGGCAACAAAAGCAAAACTCCGTCTCAAAAAAAAAAAAAAAGAAAGAAAGAAATCCCTCACGTTGTCCAGCGACCCCAGCCTGGGGACTCCCTGTCCAGAGCTTTGCCCACAACCCAAGATCGCCGTTCCAGCCACAACTGCCCAAGGCTCACAGCCAAGGTGGAGACCAGCCAGGGAGCAACAACACCAGCCTTTTATCCCAGCCAGGATGATTCGCAAAGACATCTCAGGGGCTTGAGGGGAAGGGGAAGACCAAGTCCTGGCAGGGGCGAGCGTGGCACGAGCGGAGGCTGGCAAACACGAGCCCTGTGCTAGTAAGAGCCGAAAGCTCAGCACAGAACCGGCACGGAGCTCTAGCTTCACACTGAGTCAACGGCCCCCTTTGGAGGAGGGCCCCACCCCAGAGGCCCACCCTATGTGTCATCAGCCCCTCCCCAGCGCCCTCTGCACTGCCCCCAACCCTCTACCGGATATGCAATCCCATCCCCCAGGAGGGTCACCCCTGGCTCTGCACAGTTCCCATTTCCTGCCCCTGGTGACTCCTCTGAAGTCTATTGTTCCCATGAAGTTTGGGTCAAAGGAAGCAGAGTCCCCACCCATGGGGGCCCGCCTGCCCACACCAAGCCAAGGAGCCAGCCCCCGCTACAGGGAGCCTGGCCCATCCTCTGGCCCTTCCAGGAGCCCCCCTGTATTAAATGCAGGAGGACGTGGGCATAGATCTTGGAGACCTGAGTTCTAGTGGAAATTTTCCCAAATATCCAGTCCCCACCAGCTAAGGGCCCCAGGGCCAGATCACACAGGTGTGATTAGAATCTCCCAGATAGTAGCGGGAAAAACCAAAAGCAAGGGAAGAACCGTCATCTCAGAAAGCGTCCAGGCAAAAGTGGAATTAGAAGATAGGAGCTGGAGACCGTGTTCTCCCCAGTGACAAAGCCCTGCCCCCACCTCCACCTGGGCCCTCCTGGCTGCTGACAGCCCCCTCACCCCCCTTTACTGGACAGCAGCTGTTCAGCTCCAATTTCAGAGCTTTAAAGGGAGCTGTCGTCCAACCCCGGCCAACAAAGGGTCATGGGGGCAAAGGAAGACAGGCAAGGTAAAGCCACCCTCACAAGCCCTGAATTTCCAACTGCCACTGGACTGACCTCAACTGCAGGAAAGGCAAGGTCCAAAGCTGGGGACCAACGTCCTCCACTTCCACTGGGAAGGAGAAGGAGGAGCCACAGGTTTGGCAACAGGCATTGCTTTGTGACAGTCACCGGGGCAAGACTCCAGAGTGGAAATCAAAGGAGGTTGTGACATTTGCAACCCAGGAGATCTAAAAAGATAGGGAGAACCTTCACCTGCCGGCTCATCAAGGGGAGAGGAGGGTGTGTTTTAAAGACCCGAGGGCCCCTTCCCGACTCCACAGATTCTACAGTGAGATGGCTCCTTCCCCAGAACAGCTATGTGCTTTCTGCCAGGTCGGAGCAGAGTATTTCTGCCTCCTACCAACCTTATCTGAGCGACAAGGCATGGCCCAAGTCAGTCTGCTCCAGCTTCCGCGCCTGTTGGATGAAGGCGGCTAGGGGGAGTAGGGGGTGTACAAGCACTGCAATCCACAGGGCAGGAGACAGAACGCCAAGGGGAGAGCATAGGTTCTAATCCCTGCTCTGCCACTCACCAGGGTTGCGGCATTAAGCAAGTTACTGTCCCTCTAGGAGCATCAGTTTCCCCATCTTTAAAATGGGAGACTTAGGCCAGGCGCAGTGGCTCACGCCTGTAATCCCAGCACTTTGGGAGGCCGAGGCGGATCACCTGAGGTCAGGAGTTCAAGACCAGCATGGCAAACATGGCGAAATCCCGCCTCTACTAAAAATACAAAAAACGGCTGGGAGTGGTGGCTCATGCCTATAATCTCAGCACTTTAGGAGGCCAAGGTGGGCAGATCACCTGAGGTTGGGAGTTGGAGACCAGCCTGACCAACATGGAGAAACTCCGTCTCCACTAAAAATACAAAATTAGTGGGGCACGGTGGCGCACGCCTATAATTCTAGCTACTTGGGAGGCTGAGGCAGGAGAATCGCTTGAACCCGGGAGGCAGAGGTTGTGGTGAGCCGAGATCGCACCATCGCACTCCAGCCTAGGCAACAAGAGCGAAACTCCATCTCAAAAAATATATATATATATTTATATTTATATATATATTTATATATTTATATTTATATATATAAATAAATATATATAAATATATATATATGAAACTAGCCGGCCGGGAGGCTGAGGCAGGAGAATCGCTTGAACCCAGGAGGCGGAGGTTGCAGTGAGCCAAGATCATGCCACTGTACTACTGCCTAGGCGACAGAGCGAGACTCCGTCTCAAAAATAAATAAAATAAAATAAAATAAAAATAAAGTAAAATAAAATAAAATGGGGGACTTAGATGCTGACATTAGGGTATCTAATAATGTTCAGCAAGCTCACCCTGGGGCCAAGGCAAAACTGGAATCAGAAAATAGAAGCTGGCACTCTGTTCTCTGGTGACAAAGCCCTGTCTGTCCCCCTCCCTCCTGACCTGGGCCACTAGGACCCTGGATTCCTAAGGACGCGGAACACAGCGTAGGGCCTGGCTCACAGTAAATGCTCGATTCATGTTTGCTAAATAAACATGATAGACAGGGCAAGGTTTCTCAAATGGTGCTCAGAGAAACACTAATTCAAAAAACACTAATCCCTAGGAAAAAGGGGTTCTTACTGAAATAAGCGAAGGAAACACTGGATACAACAGCTATCCTATGGAGTCCATGGGATGTGCCAGGCACTGTGCTGCTGGGTGGGGGCTCTGCAGACATCGACTTTTCACAAGAAACTTTCTGGACAGAAAAGCTCCGCTCGTATTACCCACCAGGAAACAGCCTGAGAGCCTTAAAGGTAGTGAGAGACTCAGGATTTGTACCCTGGTCTGCCTGACCCCAAACCTGTGCCCTTTCCACTCCATCAGTGCTGCTTTTAGACCAGTCGCACACCAGGCCGAAGAGGTGAGAGGGTGAGGTGTTTCCCACAAGAACATCCACATCCTCAGGATGGATGGAGGAGCAAGGACGAGAACCCCCAACCCCCGAGACAGTTTCTGGCTCCTTCCTTCCAAGAAGCCCTACACATGATATCCACGTTGAAGCCCTCATGCAACAAGCTACTCATTCCTCTTCTCAAAGGAAGTGCTGAGTGTCTGGCAAGTTGGAAAGAATGAGGGATTCTTCTACTGGGTTACCTGGTCAGCTCCGAGGAGAGTTAAACCAGGAAAAGTAGTTCAGGCTGGTATACCTCCCTGTTTGTCCTTGAGGGCAACTTAAAAGCACTATTTACACAAGTCTCCAGATTCAAAACTGTCTCCTTTTCCCGGGGATCCACCCCGACAAACCTTCCCAAATCTCACCCGCCCATCCCATCCCCCAAAGGCAAAGATCTCAACTTCCTTCAGCCTCCTACCAGCTTTTTGACCTATTCCAGGCAAGCACAAGACCCTCGCCCTGAGAAAGTCAGCCTCCTGGCTCCAAGAGGCAGGTGGAGCCAGCTTCCTTCCAGCTCTGCCCGGTCCAGGGGAAACGGAGCCTGGAGGCCACACACTCCAAAACCACAGTCAAATTATCCCTGCACTCAGGCAACCAGAGACACTGACTCTTGCCCACGGCTATGTAGGGAGGAAGAACAGTCCTAGCCAGAACCAACATCCTCGAAGAGAAACACATACTCAAGAGACGTGGCATCACACACCTACTCAGAGATACTCACTTTCAGACAGCCCCTTCTCACGCAGACATATACACACACTCTGTCACTCACGTTCAACACAAACAAATACGCCCACTGGAAGCCAAGGTGAGCCACACGTGAACAGACATCACCCACACAGAGACTCAAAGCGAGGGGGACTCGCAGTCAGGTGTCACACAGACTCAGCACAGACGCAGTCAGTCCGCGGGGCCTCAAGTGCCTCAGCACAACGGGGGAAATGTTCACTTTGGGGTTTGAAAGTTCTGCTCCCTGGATCGATCCACTAGTCCCCATCAGGAAACACAGCAGCTTCCCAAGCCCTGAGGTGTAGGACCTTTTGCAGGGGTCCCCCGACTTTCGCATCGCCTTTGCACTTAAAACAGGCAGTCCGCTTACCTCCAGGTCTCTCCCTTCCAGGCTCGAAAAGGGCCCAGCAGAAAAGAGGCATGGGTGCTGGGTCTCTTCTGTTGCCGATGCTCTCGGTTCTGCCTCTCCGGTCCTTTCCACACCGGCCTCCCTTTCCCCCAAAGTCCCGAGTGTCCACCCCCCTTACCCGCCCCTGGAGCCGCTTCGCCTCCAGCAGCCTCAGTCGCGCCGCCTCCACGTGCCTCGCTCTTCCCAGTCTCGTCCCGGGAGGGAGCTCCGCACGCACCGCGCAGACTCCTGCCCTCCGGCAAAGTCCTACCAAGTCCCCGCGCCCCAGCCTTACCGGTCCCAGGGTGCGGGAAGGTGGGATGGGTGCGCTAAGCCAGTTCCAAGGAGTCCGCCCCGAGCGCCAACTCTTCCGGCCGCGGCGATCGTTCTGCGGGGACGACAGGGCGTCAGCGCGCAGAGCCGGGCTCCGGCCGGGGCCGACGGGCGGCGCAGTGAAGGCGGGGCCGCGGGGCCAAGCCCACCCCGCGCCGACCGGCCCCGGTGCGCCCAGCGGAGCGGAGCGGAGCGCGCGGAGGGAGGAGTTTTCCCAGAATGGGACTGACGGGAAAACACGGGGATCCCTATTCCTGGAGGAGTGAGTCAACCGGGAGCGAGGAGGGGAGCGCGGGGCGGACAGGAGGGAAGCGGGAGAGGGGCAGCGAGCAGCGCCGGAGCGCGGAGGGAAGCCAGAGGTCGGGACGGAGCGCGTCGGAGCGCAGAGGTCCAAGGCGGGAACGCGGGCGGCGGAAAGAAAAGAGCAGCCGAGCACGCGGCGCGAGCGGTCGGCTGCGGCGGCGTGGGGCGCGCGGCCCGTGAGGGCGCCGGCGGGTGCGGCGGGCGCGGGCGCCTCTCACCTGGCGGGACGCGGCGGCGCCGGAGCTGCGGCCCTCCCGCCCCCTGGCCTCGAGTGTGCGAGGAGGACGCTGGAATGCGCGGAATGAGGGCTGGAATGAGATGCGCGCCGCGGCGGGAGGGAGGGAGCCGGAGGGAGTGGCGGCGGGGCCACCGGCACCTCGGGGAGGAGACTGCGCCGCGCGCGGGCGGGCGAGGGGCCGGGCCGCCGGGGCGGGGCGGGGCCGGGCCGGGCCGGGGCGGGCGGCGGGGGAGGGGGCCGAGGGACGGCGGGGACCCCTCCACCCGGGCCTCGGCTGCGGCCCCCACGCCCACTAGCCCTTCGATCTCTCCGCTCCGACTGTTTGGCTGCTCGTTGCGCGCCCCGCGCCCTCCCCTCCTGGCGGGGTCCCGACTCCCTTTCCCAGGAGCCGAGAGCCTTCCTCTTCGCCGGGGTGGGGCTGTCCCGGGGGCGGGGGGGTGGACGGGGCCCAGACTCCCGCCCCGCCACCCGGCGTCCCTCCGCACGAGTCCCTGGGAGGCCGGGGAAGGGGCGGGCTCCCGGCGCGCAGGAAGGGCTGCTCCCTTCCTGCGGCTCCCACCAAAGGACACTTGCTCCGGGGAACCAGGAAGCAGGAACTCGCGGGCTCCATTCCCAGATCCGCTGCCAGTGCCCCCTCGCTTGCCCTCCCCGGCTTTAGCTCTTTCCGTTTTTCTCTCCTGCCCCTTGGGCATCTGTAAAACCGCCACTACGAGTAAACCACATGGGAGAAAGGGCACTCGGTTTGAAGTCCATGTGGCATGCCATGGGACGCCTTCTGGGCTCAGTGACTCAATGAATATTCATCTAAGATGTGTGATGAGTCCAGATACTGTGAAGATCAGGATCAGCCGTCAGCACCTGCCCTCAAAGAGCTCAGAGTTTAGCTGGGGAGGCCTCGGTGTATACTGCCATCGGTGAGAGTCTGGACTTCAGACACACATGCCCAGGAGTCTCTTATTGGGGCAGGAGGTGCTGGAAACACGCTGGGCTCCTTGTTTGGAGACGCTTAGGACAAACGGGCTTAAAGCAGTGTGCTGGCAGGTAGCGCCATCATCTACCTGGCCAGGAGACTGAAACCAAAGGACTTTTGGCTTTTTCCAAAAATCAAATCCAACCTTTTCTGGGGCATTATCACTTAGCCTTGTGTTGGGTGGTTGTCTAGATCTTATCTCCCTTGCCAAACAGAAACTTCCTTGAAGACAGAGTAATGTCTGATTTATCTTATCTTTCACACAGATCCAGCCTGGTGCCTGGGATAGGGAAGTGCATGATAAATGCTGCATAAATGAAAAACAATTGCTACCGTGGAAGATATTGAAAGGAAAGTGCTATCGATGCCAAAGTTGTTTCCAAGAGAGGTATTCCAAAAGTGTTTCAAGCAATGACTGAGCTAAGCATCCAGTCCTGCAAGGTGAAGGCGTTGAAGACGCAGCCCTCATTTGAATAGATGAATTGTGGTATTCTTGTTAAATAATGAATCATATCAAGGCTTGGTCACACCTCATGCACATGAAAAGACCAAAACGCAAGGCAGCATATCAGCGCCACGTGAAGTACACACTAAGCACCAACTATTTAATTCAGCAATCATGGGGGGCCCGGTGGCTCACGCCTGTCATCTTAGCAATTTGGGAGGCCGAGGCAGGTGGATCGCTTGAGCCCAGGAGTTCGAGATCAGCCTGGGCATCATGGTGGCCTGCACCTGTAGTCCCAGCTACTCAGGAGGCTGAGGTGGGAGGATAGTTTGACCCCAGAAAGTTGAGGCTGCAGTGAGCCGTGAATGCACCACTACACACCAGCCTGGATGACAGAGCGAAACCCTGTCTCAAAGTAATTAATAATAATTATATTAATTCAGCAATCATTGGAGTGTTTGTTGACTTTGACACCGCACTAAGGGAAGGAGTAGGTCCCTTTCCTCAAGTAGTTCCAGTCTAGGTGAGAAGACAGACAATTATGCAAAGTTCAATGGGAACCCAAGGGAAGGAACAGTGAAATCCAATTACAGTGCATTTGATCTAGCTCTTGAGGATAAATGAGGGTTTGCCAAACTGAGACTGGAAACCCCATTTAAGACACATGGAATAGCACCTACAAAGGTGAGGCAGCCAGTCTGCTGGTGTGTTTAGCGAAGCTATGTAAACTGGTGTGGCTGGAGAATAGAGATGTGGATAATAAGATTGAAGGAAGTGGATACCAGACTTTGAAGGTCATTGCGTGCCATGCTGAAGAGTTAGGCATCAAAAAAGACACAAGTGTGACTTAATCAGCAGCACCATCAAGAAGACCGTCTTGCAACAGTCTTGCAGTTGAACTGGAGACTCGGGGTGCCCTAAAACTCAAGCAGTGGTCCTGAGGTTGAGGAGGAGGGGAAGGAGCTAGGAAACGGTTCAGATCATTTGGCTGTGTAGTGAGAGAGAAAACAAAAATCGCTAACCTTTAACAGCTGAACAATGGTTGGTGTCAGTAAGTGAGATAAGAATTCAGGGCTGGGCACAGTGGCTCATACCTGTAATCCCAGCACTTTGGGAGGCTGAGGTGGGTGGATCACGAGGTCAGGAGTTCCAGACCAGCCTGACCAACATGGAGAAACCCCATCTCTACTAAAAATACAATATTAGCTGGGCGTGGTGGTGCATGCCTGTAATCCCAGCTACTCGGGAGGCTGAGGCAGGAGAATCACTTGAACCCAGGAGGTGGAGGTTGCAGTGAGCTGAGATCACGACATTGCACTGCAGCCTGGGCAAAAAGAATGAAACTCCGTCTCAAAAAAAAAAAAAAGAAAGAAAGAAATTCAAGCAAAAGGGGAGTGGGGTGAGGTCGGAGGGGAATCCAGCCAGGTTCAGGGGACGGAGAGGAAAGCAGGACAGAGTCCAGAGTAGAAACAGGAAAGCAACCCTAGTGTCACGGTTAGGGTAGACTGCTGACAACGAACTTGGAGATCTTTATTCCCTCTAAGTCTTAACTATCCAAGACCATCAGTGATCCAAGCTGGGAAGGTGTGTCTTCAGGATCTTGACTTTCTGGCCCATACCCTTATAGTCTCCTGGAGAGCTCTGGAGCTTTGGGGACCTCAGGCTTGGAGCTGTTGAGGAATGTCTAGGTAAAGGAAAGTTAACAGATGTACAAATTCTGAAGAGTTAAAGGCAAGGTGATTTTACCCACACATCAGCCCTTCCCAGGGATGTTTACATTTCTTAAGGGACAGGACCCTAATTCACTGACCCTCAGGAATGAGTCTTTTGGTGGAAATATTTCAGCTGTCTGGATCCTACAAATGGATCCTCACTCAAGCTTGATGATGGACTGTGCAGGAGGAGGAGAGTAAGGGTGTGGGCAGGGCTGGGTGGTTTCATGTAGGGGTATTTGTGTTGGCTATATTCCAAAGTCAAAGTTAAAAATCAATTAATTGGGCACAGTGGCTCACATCAGTAATCCCAGTACTTTGGGAGGCCGAGGTTGGAGGATCTCTTCAGCCCAGGAGTTTGAGACCAGCCTGAGCAATATAATGAGACCTTACCTCTACCAAATAAATAAATAAATAAAAATTAGCTGGGCATAGTAGCACACACCTCTGGTCCCAGCTACTTGGGAGGCTGAAGTGGGAGGCTTGTTTGAGCTCGGGAGGTCAAGGCTGCAGTGAGTCGTGACCTCGCCACTGCATTCCAGCCTGGGCGACAGAGCAAGACGTTGTCTCAGAAAAAATAAATAAAATAATATAAAATAAACCAGACACATTCATGATATAAGTGGAAAAGCAGATTCTAAAAATTATATATAGGGGCTGGGCATGGTGGCTCACACCTGTAATTCCAGCACTTTGGGAGGCTGAGACAGGCGGATCACCTGAGGTCAGGAGTTCGAGACCAGCCTTGCCAACATGGTGAAACCCCATCTCTACTAAAAATACAAAAAATTAGCCAGGCGCGATGGCACGCGCCTTTAGTCCCAGCAACTTGGGAGGCTGAGGCAGGAGAATCACTTGAACACAGGAGGTGGAGGTGGCAGTGAGCCTAAATCGCACCGTTGCACTCCAGCCTGGGCAGCAAGAGTGAAACTCCATTTCAAAAAATAAATAAATAGCTGGGCGTGGTGGCTGACACCTGTAATCCCAGCACTTTGGGAGGCTGAGGCGGGCGGATCACCTGAGGTTGAGAGTTCGAGACCAGCCTGACCAACGTGGAGAAACCCCGTCTCTACTAAAAATAGAAAATTAGCCGGGCGTGGTGGCGCATGCCTGTAATCCCAGCTACTCAGGAGGCTGAGACAGGAGAATTGCTTGAACGCTGGAGGCAGAGGTTGCGGTGAGCAGAGATTGCGCCATTGCACTCTAGCCTGGGCAGCAAGAGCGAAACTCCGTCTCCAAAAAATAAAATAAAATAAATAAATAAATAAAAACTATATATCAGATGACCCTGTTTTTGAAAAAAGTTGAAAAAGTATTTTAAAGGGATTATTTCTGAAAGTTTGCAAATTAAGGGGATCTAGTTTCTTGTTTTTATTCTTTTTTTTTTTTTTTTTAAGACAGAATTTTGCTTTCGTCGCCCAGGCTGGAGTGCAATGGCACAATCTTGGCTCACTGCAACGTGCGCCTCCCAGGTTCAAGCAATTCTCCTGCCTCAGCCTCCCCAGTAGCTGGGATTACAGGCATGCACCACTGCACCCAGCCCTATTCTTTCTTTTCTTTTCTTTTTTTTTTGAGACGGAGTCTCGCTCTGCTGCCCCGGCTGGAGTGCAGTGACGCCATCTCGGCTCACTGCAAGCTCTGCCTACTGGGTTCACGCCATTCTCCTGCCTCAGCCTCCTGAGTAGCTGGGACTACAGGCGCCCGCCACAACGCCGGGCTGATTTTTTGTATTTTTTAGTAGAGACGGGGTTTCATCTTGTTAGCCAGGATGGTCTCAATCTCCTGACCTCGTGATCCACCCGCCTCGGCCTCCCAAAGTGCTGGGATTACAGGCGTGAGCCACAGCGCCCGGCCTCCTATTCTTTATTTTCTGTAACAAACTTGTAGTTTATAATCAGGGACAAATGTGACTAGAACTATATATCTAACCCTTCCCTAATTTCTCCACATCTTTAAAAAACAAAACCCTTTACACATATGAAAATATCACATTGTGGTGCTTGCCTGGGCAGCACATATACTAAAATTGGATACTGATACAGAGAAGATTAGCATGGCCCCGAGCTCACAAATTCGTGAAGTCTTCCATTAAAAAAAAAAAAAAAAAAAAAAGGCCAGGCGCGGTGGCTCACGCCTGTAATCCCAGTACTTTGGGAGGCCAAGGCGGGCGGATCACGAGGTCAGGAGATCGAGACTATCCTGGCTAACACGGTGAAACCCCGTCTCTACTAAAAATACAAAAAATTAGCCGGGCGTGGTGGCAGGCGCCTGTGGTCCCAGCTACTCGGGAGGCTGAGACAGGAGAATGGTGTGAACCCGGGAGGCGGAGCTTGCAGTGAGCCGAGATGGCACCACTGCAGTCCGGCCTGGGCAACAGAGTGAGACTCCATCTCAAAAAAAAAAAAAAAAGGCTGGGCGTGGTGGCACACGCCTGTAATCCTAGCACTTTGGGAGGCTGAGGCAGGCGGATGACGAGGTAAGAGATCAAGACCATCCTGGCCAACATGGTGAAACCCCGTCTCTACTAAAAATACAAAAATTAGCTGGGCGTGGTGGCACGCACCTGTATTCCCAGGTACTTGGAAGGCTGAGGCAGGAGAATCGCTTGAACCTGGGAGGCGGAGGTTGCAGTGAGCCGAGATCACACCACTGCACTACAGCCCTGGCGACAGAGCAAGGCTCCGTCTCAAAAAAAAAAAATGTGGCCAGGCACGGTGGCTCAAGTCTGTAATCCTAGCACTTTGGGAGGCCAAGGTGGGCAGATCATCTGAGGTCAGGAGTTCGAGACTAGCGTGGCCAACCATGGAACCCAGGAGGCAGAGTGAGCCGAGATTGTGCCACTGCCCTCCAGCCTGGGCGACAGAGCGAGACTTCGTCTCAAAAAAAAAAAATGCACATTGTACACCATAAATATATACAATTTTTATTTGTTAACTATACCTCAATAAAGCTGGTGGTGGTAGCAAAGAGATTATATAGGATTAGAAGAACTCAATGAATAGGTTCTGAGTAAACGCCACCATGTAAGTCTTCTAGACTTCTTATCGATCCACTCATTATCCTACATATTTGTTTCAACTATTGCTGACTGCCAGTTTACAACTCTAGAAACTTTTTTCCCCAGTAAATCAAACCATTCCCACCAAACAAACAACTGACAGCTGGATTGAATGGCCTAATAGGAAACTGACAGAGTAAAGAGAGATTGTTTCCTAGCTTTTAGGTGAAAGGCAAATATTTTTCTTTTTTTTTTTATTTTTGAGACAGTGTCTCGCTCTGTTGCCCAGGCTGCAGTGCAGTGGTGCAATCAGGGCTCACGGCAGTCTTCACTCCCTGGGCTCAAGTGATTCTCCCACCCTAGCCTCCCAAGTAGCTGAGACTACAGGTGTGCACCACTTCACTTGACTAATTAAAAAAATTTTTCTTTGTAAAGACAAGATTGCCCTATATGCTCAAGCTGGTCTCAAACTCCTGGCCTCAAGCCATCTTCCTGCCTTGGACCTCCTAAGTGTTGGGATTACTGGTGTGAGCCACTGTGCCGGGCCACATCTTGCTTTGGAGATTTCCCCAAAGCTGCTCCCCATACCTTGGAAAGTATTATGCAATGACTCCTGCTGGTCAGCTGTGACTCAGGTGCTTTTTCTTTTTTAACCTCTCCATCCTATATTTATTTATTTATTTATGTTTTTTTTTTTTTTAGTAGAGATGGGGTTTTGCCATCTTGGCCAGGCTGGTCTTGAACTCCTGGCCTCAAGTGATCCGCCCACCTTGGCCTCCCAAAGTCCTAGGATTACAGGTGTGAGCCACTGCACCCGGCCCATCCTATACTTTTATTTACTTTTTTCCTTAAGAGAATGTTCACTTGACATCAGCTGAACTTCATTTTGTGCTTTGAAGGACAAAACAGACCATTTCCTGTTTTTTGTTTTGTTTCTTTTTTTTTCTTTTTTTTTTTTTGAGACGGAGTCTCGCTCTGTCACCCAGGCTGGAGTGCAGTGGCGCGATCTTGGCTGACTACAACCTCCACCTTCCGGGTTCAAGCGATTCTCCTGCCTCAGCCTCCCAAGTAGCTGGGATTACAGGCGCCCGCCACCACACCCAGCTAATTTTTTGTATTTTTAGTACAGACGGGTTTCACCATGTTAGCCAGGATGGTCTCGATCTCCTGACCTTGTGATCTGCCCGTCTCGGCCTCCCAAAGTGCTGGGATTCCAGGCGTAAGCCACCGCGTCCAGCCTGTTTTGTTTCTTTGAGCGAGAGCTCTGTCTCCCAGGCTGCAGTACAGTGGCGCGATCTCGGCTCACTGCAACCTCCACCTCCCGAGTTCAAGCGATTCCCCTGCCTCAGCCTCTCTAGTAGCTGGGATTACAGGCTCTCGCCACCATGCCCAGCTAATTTTTGTATTTTTAGTAGAGATGAGGTTTTGCCATGTTGGCCAGGCTGGTCTCAAAACTCCTGACCTCAGGTGATCCACCTGCCTTGGCCTCCCAAAGTTCTGGGATTACAGGCTCTTGCCATCACGCCCAGCTAAATTTTGTATTTTTAGTAGAGACGGGTTTCACCATGTTGGCCAGGATGGTCTCGATCTCTTGACCTCATGATCTGCCCACCTCGGCCTCCCAGAGTGCTGGGATTACAGGCGTGAGCCACTGCGCCTGGCCTTGTTTTGTTTTGAGACTGAGTCTCGCTCTGTCACCCAGGCTGGAGTGCAGTGGCAGGATCATGGTTCACTGCAGCCTGGACCTCCCGGGCTCAAGCTATCCTCTCACCTAGGCAAAACGGATCTTTATCAAAGGTTTTTTTTTTGTTTTTGTTTTTGTTTTCCCCAACTGTCTATAGAATAAAAGTAGTCAATAATTTGATAAGCATACTATTCATTCTATTATGTCTTCATGAAAGGCAAATGTAGGCCAGGCGGAATGGCTCACAACTGTAATCCCAACATTTTGGGAAGCTGCAGCAGGAGGATCACTTGAGGCGAGGAGTTCGAGACCAGCCCACGCAACATAGGGAGACTCCATCCCTACAAAAAATAAAAACAAAATTATCCGGGTGTCGTGGCATGTGCCTGTAGTCCCAGCTACTTGGGAGGCTGAGGTGGGAAAATTGCTTGAGTCTGGGAGGTCGAGGCTGCAGTGAGCCATGATTGTATCACTGCACTCCCACCTGGCAATAGAGCAAGACCCTGTCTCAAAAAAAAAAAAAAAAGAAATGTGAAAGAGAACAGACCCTAGGTCCACTGTCTAGGGAACAGTATATGCTGTGGGCTAAATTGTTTCCCTCCAAATTTGTGTGTTGAGGTCCAAACCCCTAGTACCTCAGAACGTGACTGTGTTGGAGATAAGGCCTTTAAAGAGGTGACTAAATTAGCAAGAGGTCATTAGGGTGGTCCATAATCTAGTGTAACTGGTGTCCTCATGAAAGAGATGAGGACACAGAACACTCAGACCAAGGGATGACCATGTGAGGACACAGGGGGAGAAAAGGAGAAAGGTCTCAGAAGAGACCACACCTGCCAGCACCAGCATCCTCCACTTCCAGCCTCCAGAATTGTAAGAAATGCATTTCTGTTGTCTGTGGATTTTGTTATGGCAGTCCAGGCTGACTAATTCAGTGTATTTATATTTCCAAACTGAAACAAACAACAGGTTTCCATTGCACAGAGGTGGAAGCCTTCTCTGCACAATTCTCAAGCAGGGTGAAGTTCCTACGGGGTCTTATCCTCAGCTATCCAGGAGCTTCCTGAAAAAAAGTCAAAAGGAAGGAAAGGCTTTCTCCAATCTCGCTCAGCTAAAATCTTCATCTTCAGTAATCCTGTTTGATAAAATATTCTGAAAATGAGAGTGCACTAAGTTGTGTGCGATGACCTTGTCGGGCCGTTAAACAGTCAGAGTTTAAATTCCAGCTTGGCCACCTACTAAGTGAGCCTCGGTTCCTCATCACTCATTTTTTCACTCCACATTTATTGAATGTGTGGAAAACAGAGGAGTCATGATGTCTGCCTCTCAGGCTGCTACGAGTGGAACACAGGAGCAGAATTGCTAAGAAGATAGTTAGCTTGGGAACCTGAAGTTGAGATTTCTGTAGACCAACTAACATTTTCCAACACAGCTTTCTGTGATGATGAAAATGTTCTCGGCCGGGCACAGTGGAGCATGCCTGTAATCCCAGCTACTTGGGTGGCTGAGGCACGAGAAGTCCTTAAACCCGGGAGGCAAAGGTTGAAGTGAGCTGAGATCACGTCACGGCACTCCAGCCTGGACAACAGAATGACACTGTGTCTCAAAACAACAACAAAACAGTTGGGCACCGTGGCTCATGCCTGTAATCCCGGCACATTGAGAGACTGAGGCAGGTGAATCACGTGAGGTCAGAGGTTCGAGACCAGCCTGGCCAACATGGCAAAAACCTGTCTCTACTAAAAATACAAAAATCACCCGGGCGTGGTGGTACACAGCTGTAATCCCAGTTACTCGGGAGGCTGAGGCAGGAGAATCGCTTGAACTGGGGAGCTGAAGGTTACAGTGAGCCAAGATCGCACCTCTGCACTCCAGCTTGGGCAACAGAGCGAGACTCCATCTCAAAAAAAAAAAAAAAGAGAGAAAGAAAAATGTTCTCCATCTGCACTGTCCACTGTGGTAGTCACTAGCCTGAGGACTTGAAATGTAGCTAGCCTGACTGAAGAACTGAATTTGAATGAATTTGAATGTAAATAGCCACATGTTGGCCAGCACAGCTGTGCACCATCTCAGCGGGAGATGCCCAGCAACAACTGGATAACACTTGCAGAGCTTGCAAAAAAATGTGGGACTGTGGGAGAAAGCAAGTGTAAACGTGTAAACTTATGGGAGTTACTAAGTGTGAAGAATGAGAAAGAAGAGGATTAAGATGACATTAGCCTGGTGTGGTGGCTAATGGGACACACCTGTTGTCCCAGCTACTTGGGAGGCTGAGGAGGAAGGATCGCTTCAACCCAGGAGGTTGAGGCTGCAGTGAGACATGATTGCACCATTGCACTCAGTCTGGTCAGCAAAACGAAACCATTCTCAAAAATTCATTGGCCTGGTGTGATAGCTCACACCTATAATCCCAGCACTTTGGGAGGCCAAGGAGGGTGGATTATTTGAGGTCAGGAGTTCAAGACCAGCCTGGCCAACATGGTGAAACCTCATCTCTACTAAAAATACAAAATTAGCCATGCGTGGTGGCACATGCCTGTAGTCCCAGCTACTCAGGGGACTGAGACAGGAGAATCGCTTGAACCTGGGAGGCAGAGGTTGTAGTGAGCCGAGATCACACCACTGCTCTCCATCCTGGGCCACAGAGTGAGACTCTGCCTCAAAAATAATAATAATAATAATAATAAATTATTTAATAGTAGTAATTTCATATGGTTTAAAACTTCTTTTTTAATGATTCCTCCTGGCCAGGCATGATGGTGGATGCCTAGAATCCCAGCACTTTGGGAAGCTGAGGTGGGAGGATCACTTGAGTCCAGGAGTTGGAAACCAGCCTAGGCAACATAGTGAGACCCCATCTCTACAACAACAACAAAAATTACTGGGGCATGGTAGCATGTGCCTCTGGTCCCATCTACACAGGAGGCTGAGGCAGGAGGATCACTGGGACCCAGGAGGTCAAGGCTGCAGTGAGTCGTGATTGTGCCACTGCACTCCACCCTGGGTGACAAAGTAAGACTGTCTCAAGAAAAAAAAAAAGAAAAGGATTCCTCCCACATCTGTCTTGCCTTCCTGTGCCCTGTCCTGCTCCTATAGTTAACCCACTTTTTAGTTTCCAGTTTTTCAGTGTTTATGCAAAAATAATAATGGGCTTGCAATTTCCCACCCTTTGTGCACAAAAGGAAGCATACTGTATACGTGGTTCTTTAGCTTACTTCTCACGGAATGGATCCTGCAGACATTTCCACATCAATCAATACAGTCTTCCTCATACTTGTTGATTCTCCACAGTATTCCATTGTGGGAAGTACCTTAGTGGGCTTTTTCCTCTTTTTTTTTTTTTTTTGAGGCAGAGTCTCTCTCTGTTGCCCAGACTAGAGTGCGGTGGTGTGATCATGGCTCACTGCAGTCTCGATCTCCCCAGCTCAAGTGATCCTCCCATTTCAGCCTCCTGAGTAGCTGGGACTACAGGCATGTGTCACCATACCTGGCTGATTTAAAAAAAAAGTGTTGTGTGGTTTTTTTTTGTTTGTTTATTTGTTTTTTTGTAGAAACAGGGTCTTGATATATTGCCCAGGCTGGTCTCAAAGTCCTGGGCTCAAGCAATACTCCTGCCTGGGTCTCCTAGAGTACTGGGATTAATTACAGGCATAAGCCAGCTGTGTCCAGCCTTACCTTAGTGTTTTTAACTAGTCCCCTGTAGATAGGCAATTTGTACATTAATCATGTGTGTGTGTGTTTGTTTTTTGTTTTTTTTGTTTTTTTGAGACAGGGTCTTGCTCTATCCCTAGACTGGAGTGCGGTGGTGCAATCCTAGCACACGTAAGCAATCCTCCTACTTCAGCCTCCCAAGTAGCTGGAAATACTACTGGTGTGTGCCACCACACCTGGCCCAAAGGTTACATTTATGTACCTCTATCTCTCTGAATAGCTGATATACGCCGGGCGCGGTGGCTCACGACTGTAATCCCAGCACTTTGGGAGGCTGAGGCAGGTGGATCACGAGGTCAGGAGATCGAGACCATCCTGGCTAACACGGTGAAACCCCGTCTCTGCTAAAAAAAATACAAAAAAAATTAGCCGGGCGTGGTGGCAGGCGCCTGTAGTCCCAGCTACTCAAGAGGCTGAGGCAGGAGAATGGCGTGAACCCGGGAGGCGGAGCTTGTAGTGAGCCGAGATTGCGCCATTGCCCTCCAGCCTGGGCGACAGAGCGAGACTCTGACTCAAAAAAAGAAAAAAGAAAAAAAAAATAGCTGATATAGAACAACATACGACTGACCAAAGGCAAAAATCAGGAAACCTTTTTCGAGGTCACTTTCTACTTTAGCCTGGTATGGTTTGTCCTAAGTATGCATCAGTACTTTGGAAATGGAACTTAGACCCACCTTTTTTGTTGCTGTTGTTGAGACAGTCTCACTCTGTCACCCAGGCTGGAGTGCAGTGGTGCAATCTTGGCTCACTACAACCTCCGCCTCCCGGGTTCAAGTGATTCTTGTGCCTCAGCCTCCTGAGTAGCTGGGATTACAGGCGTGCGCCACCATATCTGGCTAATTTTTGTATTTTTAGTAGAGATGGGGTTTCACCATTTTGGCCAGGCTACTCTCAAACTCCTGACCTCAAGTGATCTGCCCGCCTCGGCCTCCCAAAGTGCTGGGATTACAGGTGTGAGCCACCGCGCCCACACCCGGCCTAGACACACTTTAAAAATGCTGCTCTACTTCCTAGCCCTCTTCTGCCTGTCACCCTCCTTTCTCCTCAAACCATTCTTCCTTCCTAATCTTCCTACTCCCAAACTACGGAAGAAAGAGAACTGCTGGATAATTATTCTTTTTTTTTTTTTTTTTTGAGACAGAGTCTCGCTCTGTTGCCCAGGCTGGAGTGCAGTGGCGCGATCTTGGCTCACTGCAAGCTCCGCCTCCTGGGTTCAGGCCATTCTCCTGCCTCAGCCTCCCGAGTAGCTGGGACTACAGGCACCCGCCACCACACCTGGCTAATTTTTTGTATTTTTTAGTAGAGACGGGCTTTCACCGTGTTAGCCAGGATGATCTCGATCTCCTGACCTCGTGATCCGCCCGCCTCGGCCTCCCAAAGTGCTGGGATTACAGGCGTGAGCCACCGCGCCCGGCCTTGCATAATTATTCTTGAAACACTTAAGATTCATGACAAGGGGCAGAATCTAGGTAGAAAGTGCTTAACTAGATGTTAAACCCTGTGGCTTGAGAGCCCCAATGTTAAACCAAAGAGGTATAGTAAAGGCTGGTGATAGACCAGGAAAAAGCCTGCCCCCACCTAAGCCCCCAGCTTTACCCCGCTTTGGTCATGGCCAAAGCCGTGTTGGGGCTCAGGCCTGACGGACCAAAAGACAAGGCCCATCTATAAAGAATCTTGGAGGCCCATTTTGTATTTGAAATACTTCAAAAATTTCCAACAACATCAGGGCTAATATTTGTACAGGCAGTTACTTCAAGTAAAAACAAGAGAGATGGGTACAAAGTGAGGAAAGGGAGGTAGGATCAGGGCTGGGCTAGCACTGGTGTGTGGAGTAACCTGATTAAACCGTGCTGTGCTTCTGTCCTCTCCTATTGTCTCTGAAAAACCATCTAAATTTGCTTTATAAACATGTATAAGCCATTCTCTATAAGTGCGTGGCTAAGAAGATAATTGTTCTGTTAAGTTTTTTCTTAGAGACAGGGTTTCACTCTTTTGCCCAGCTGGAGTGCAGTGGTACAATCTTGGCTCACTGCAGCCTCCTGGGCTCAAGCCATCCTCCCACCTCAGCCTCCCGAGTAGCTGGGACTACAGGCTCGTGCCACAGTGCTTGGCTAATTTATTTTTGTAGAGATGGGGTCTCCCTATGTTGCCCAGGCTGGTCTGGAACTTCTGGGCTCCAGCAATCCTCCCACCTTAGCCTTCCAAAGTGCTGAGATTACAGGTGCGAGCCACCATTCGAGCTCATTGTTTTATTTTTAAAGAACATTAATAAAAATTATGGCCAGGCACAATGGCTCACACCTGTAACCCCAGCACTTTGGGAGGCTGAGGTGAGAGGATTGCTTGAGCCCAGGAGTTCAAGACCAGCCTGGGCAACATGATGAAACCCCATCTCTACAGAATACAAAAAAAAAAAAAAATTAGCTGGGCGTGGTGGCTCACGCCTGTATGCCTGTATCCCAGCAGCTCCGGAGGCTGAAATGGAAGGATCACTTGAGCCTGGGAAGGTCAAGACTGCAGTGAGATCATGCCACTGCACTCCAGCCTGGGTAACAGAGTGAGACCCTGCCTCAAAGTAAAAAAAGATAATATAGATATCTGCCACTATACTTAGTGTTTATTCTGTGCCGGCCAGATCCTGGGCATTTTACCTAGAATACCTTAACTCGTTTCTTTCTTTTTTTTTTTTTTTTTTTTTTTTTTTTGAGACAGAGTCTTGCTCTGTTGCCCAGGCCGGACTGCAGTGGCGCCATCTCGGCTCACTGCAAGCTCCGCCTCCCGGGTTCACGCCATTCTCCTGCCTCAGTCTCCCGAGTAGCTGGGACTACAGGCGCCCACCACCGTGCCCAGCTAATTTTTTGTATTTTCAGTAGAGACGGGGTTTCACCGTGTTAGCCAGGATGGTCTCGATCTCCTGACCTCGTCATCCTCCCGCCTCGGCGTGAGCCACCGCGCCTGGCACCTTAACTAGTTTCTAAACTCCAGAAATATTAGTGTTCTCAGGCTTTCAGAAGAGAGCCATGGTCTAACACGAGGTGCTTGGTAACTGCATGGTCATGTGGTCGGCTTGCTGTTTTCGCCTGGTGACTTCCTCACCTGTGCGGGGTCTGCCCGTTTAACGCACCTGCAACATGCATTCCTGGACAGTGGGTGGCGCCATGGAACCATCTGCCGTTCTCACTGCACCCCTTCATTTGTGGCAGCCTTAGCTTTTAGTGGATGAGGGGAGTCTATTGGTTGATAAAAAAGACTGTGAGACTTTTAAAGCATATCCATCGACAGTGATAACGAGGAGACGTAAGCAGGAAAGGAGGCAAAATGATCCACTATGCCAGTGGTCAGGAAACGTGTCTCAGGAGGTGGCACAGAAACTGCCAAGTCCTTGGCATGCCCCTGGCTGGGGCCTGCGTGGGCCAGGCTGAGAGAGCTGTGGACTGAAGAGAAGCAGGTGTTAGACGTGCAGACAGTTCCCGGGCAGGAGCTGGAGGCCGAGGAAAAACGCAGCTTGCAACATGCTGGAGTTCAGGAGCAAGCTGTGTGTGTGTCTTAAGAATTGCTTGTAAGAGTTACTATAACCAAATCGACAAATGTCAACTTGGCTAATAAATCGTACTTGGTAGAATAAAGAGGACAGTTCTCAGTGCACGATCCTGTTTCTTCCACAATTCCGGTCTCCTCTCCATGGTGCCTTCGCTGAGGCAATCTGTGCTTTCCCTGAACTCTGTGTCACCTCTCAGGCTAGCCGTCCTTAGCCATGAACAGAGCTAATGAACATGAGCCATGAACATGAAGCTGTCCAGGGGTAACCAGTGAGTTCAGCTCAAAACAGGGGAATGCCAGAGTGTTGTCAGCATGAGTGGGGAGAAACATGTAATTCAAGAATGTAGCCGGGCGTGGTGGCTCACGCCTGTAATCCCAGCACTTTGGGAGGCCGAGGCGGGCGGATCATGAGGTCAGGAGATCGAAACCATCCTGGCTAACACGGTGAAACCCCGTCTCTACTAAAAATACAAAAAATTAGCCAGGCGTGGTGGCAGGCGCCTGTAGTCCCAGCTACTCGGGAAGCTGAAGCAGGAGAGTGGCGTAAACCCGGGAGGCGGAGCTTGCAGTGAGCCGAGATCCCACTACCGCACTCCAGCCTGGGCAACAGAGCAAGACTCTGTCTCAAAAAAAAAAAAAAAAGAAAAAGAAAAAAAAAGAATGTAAAAGGGCACGTAGTTCAAAGTCTCTCAATCTATAAAGGAGGCACATGGCAAATCATTGGCAGAAATAGGGTCAGAACCCAGGAAGATTTTGCCTTAGTCGAACCATCACTTTATTTCTGCACTTACAATGCTGATCTCAAGGAAATGAATTGATGCTAGTTCATTTCTTCTATGATCTATTAAACTGATCAAAAAGAGCCTTTTGCAGGCCTGTTTTTAGACTTGTAATTGACACTTGCTGAAATCTTTCATGTCAATGCCCACCAGTATGTCCCTGATCACTAGTGTACAAAACTGTGTCACAAAGAATCTATTTGGGCCAGGCACGGTGGCTCATGCCTGTAATCCCAACACTCTGGGAGGCCAAGGGGAGAGGATCGCTTGAGCCCAGGAGTTCAATACCAATCTGGGCAACATGGTGAAACCCTGTCTCTATCAAAAATTAAAAAATTAGTTGGGGGTGGTGGATGCCTGTAGTCCCAGCTACTCAGGAGACTGAGGTGGGAGGATGGTTTGAGCCCAGGAGGCAGAGGTTGCAGTGAGCCAAGATCACACCACTGCACTCCAGCCTGGGCAACAGAGCCAGACCCTGTCTCAAAAAAAAAAAAAAAAACAGAAAAACTGGCCACCCATGCACCTTAGCCAAAAAGAATCATATGAAAAAGAAAATACATGTTGTGCATGTGGAAGACTAAAAAAATAAAAAAGGAAAAATCAAGTTGTAAGAATCGACTCCAGCTCTTGTCCTGATTTTTAGGCTCTTCTTGCTTCTTTCCATGTGTTCATCACTGTGATGCTGATAAGAGCCAGAAAGCCTAGGAAAGCTTTGTGGACACTTTTTTTTTTTTTGAGACAGAGTCGCATTCAGGCTGGAGTGCAGTGGCACAATCTTGGCTCACTGCAAACTCTGCCTTCCCAGTCCAAGTGATTCTCCTGCCTCAGCCTCCCAAGCAACTGAGATTACAGGCACCCGCCACCACACCCAGGTAATTTTTGTATTTTTAGTAGAGACAGGGTTTTGCCATGTTGGCCAGACTGGTCTGGAACTCCTGACCTCAAATGATCCTCCCATCTCGGCCTCCCAAAGTGCTGGGCATAAGTCACCACACCCAGCATTTTTTTTCAACTTCTGAACATAGGGCAGCTTAAAAATGTGAAGGCCGGGCATGGTATTTCGTGCCTGTAATTCTAGCACTTTGTAAGGCCGAGGTGGGAGGCTCACTTCAGCCCAGGAGTTCGAGCCTGAAAAACACAGTGAAGCCCTGTCTGTACTTTAATACAAAAAATTAGCCAGTCTTGGTGGCACATGCCTATAGTTCCAGCTACTCAGGAGGCTGAGGTAGGAGGATCCCTTGAGCTCAGGAAGTTGAGGCTGTGGTAAGCCAAGATCACACTACTGCACTGCAGCCTGGACAACAGGAGACCCTGTCTCAAAAAAAAAAAAGGAGGGGGGGGTGCCGAGCGCAGTGGCTTACGCCTGTAGTCCCACCTACTCGGGAGGCTGAGGCAGGAGAGTTGCTTGAACCCAGGAGGCAGAGGTTGCAGTAAGCCAATATCACCCCACTCCACTCCAGCCTGGCAACAGAGCCAGACTCCGTCTCAAAAAAAAAAAAAAAAAAAAAAAAAAAAGGCCGGGTGCAGTGGCTCATGCCTGTAATCCTGGCACTTTTGGAGGCCAAGGCGAGACCAGCGTGGCCAACATGGTGAAACCTCTTCTCCACTTAAAATACAAAAATTAGCTGGGTGTAGTAGCGCACGCCTGTAGTCCCAGCTTCTCAGGAGGCTGAGGCAGGAGAATTGCTGAAACCTGGGAGGCAGAGGTTGCAGTGAGCCGAGGTCATGCCCACTGCACTCCAGCCTGGGTGATAAAGCAAGACTTCGTCTCAAAAAACAAACAAAACGTTAACATTCAGAGGCAAGCGATGGGGTCTATGAGATAGTTCATTTGTGTTGCTGCTGAACCAGTAAACAATGCCAACAAGAACAAACCTGGGAAGCGGACCTGGGCAGGCATGCAAAGAATGTACACTCTACCCTCTGTGGCCTTGCTAAGCTCAGCTCTCGGTCCCGTCCTCTGTCCAGATGCCCCTGGCTATCATGTGTATAGTGTGTCTAGGTAGCCTCCGGAACACAGCCTTCTTAGTCTGCAGATTCCTGCTCTACATCAGGATGAGAAGTTTGTTAGTAATCACCTGGTTTTACAGAACTGATGTGTTACCAAAACATTTTTTTTTCTTTTTTTGAGGCGAGGGTCTCACTCTGTGGCCCAGGGTGGCGTGCAATGGTGTGATCTCTGCTCACTGCAACCTCAGCCTCCCAGGTTCAAGTGATTCTCATGCCTCAGCCTCCTGAGTAGCTGGGATTACAGACATGCACCACCACACCTAGCTAATTTTGGTATTTTTAGTAGAGATAGGGTTTTGCCGTGTTGGCCAGGCTGGTCTCCAACTCCTGGCCTCAGGTGATCCGCCTGCCACAACCTCCCAAAGTGCTGGGATTATAGGCGTGAGCCACTGCACGTGGCCCAAGATGACAATTATGATTATATAACATGACAGTAGGAACTTCCTGAGGCATAGGACTTGCAAAGGCAGTGACACATTTTTATATAAATTAACTTTTATTTCTGTAACATATAAAAGGTATAAATAGGACTTATGTAAAAACCAATCACCTGCACACACAAATTATGTGAAATTAGTTTATATATCTCTTTAAACCAGAGGGAGGAAGAAGCAGGATGAGGTCCACCTGGCCCACCATAAGTCCTTCCCCACATGCTGTCGTGTATTAATAGCTTCTGTGGCCAACCAGGGTTATCTGCCAGGCAGTGCCTCAGGATGGGGTGGGGGGTGGTGGTGGTGACGAGGTGTGAGGCTTCTGGGCATGGCTGTGAGGGAGGCACTTGGTGGGATACATGCCTGAGATGGAAACAGTCTCGTCCTCACCCAGCAGGTGGGACTTGTCGGTGGGGGACAAGCCAAGGGTCCCGCAGCTGCCAGTTGGCCCTCCTTCACATGCTTATCTGATGTGGTGCAGGAACAACAGGCGGAGGTGAGAGGTCAGTCCACAGAAGGGAGGTCTGAGGGAGCAGCCGCCACGGGTGTCCCACCCAACGCTGGCAAACAGTTCTGTGCACAAGGGATGCAGCTGAATGGTGCTGACGGTGGAGCTCACAGAGCTCCTGCATTCTCAAGGTTTGGATACATTCTGGGAAGGGTGAACTGGTGTAAGAGTCACATAATACGTGGAGGGGTGTAATAATCAAAAAAACGTAGCAAAACACCTTCTGTGCCTGAGCCAGGGTTGAGGGAGCCGAGAAGAAAGTCCACAGCTCTGCCACACGGGCCAGCAGTGCTCATGTCTGCTGGCTGATCCTCCCCAAAGCCTCTCCTGCCACCTTTTTTTTTTTTTTTTTAACTAAACTAAATGGTCAATACTGCCATCTCTCTTGATAATGACAAAGTGTTTGCACAGGATGCCTACAGGTGTGTGTGTCGCTCCTCACTAATGGATCCGTAGTCATATAGCTGTGAGAGGCACTCCTGGGTTGAAAATGAAGGCAATTATCACATTACTGTCAGTCCTGACTGAGTCACCTCTAGAGTTTATGCTTTCAGCCTTAATTGAAATGAAGACAATTATATAAAATTCTCACATAATTGATCACAAATGTGATCACAGCCACTCTTGACTAAGATTGGTGCCGGCCAATCTGCTGTGAGGGAATGAAGAGAGGAGAGGAACTGCGATGTCAGTCCCTGATTCTACTGCAAGTTTCCAAGCACATGAAATCCCATTCTAGCTTTGGAGACCCCAATGTGACAAGAATCTCCCTGTGCTTTAAATCATCTCTCACCCATGCTAAGCTGTGATCCCTCACCAAGTCTATGAAACCTGGAAAAGGAGTGAGAGTGCGCGGGGTGTGTGTGTGTTTTATATATTCAGGGGTCGTTCCAAAAGGGGCAAACTATTGCTCTTCGTGTGTGTGTTTTATATATTCAGGGGTCGTTCCAAAAGGGGCAAACTATTGCTCTTCGTGTGTGTTTTATATATTCAGGGGTCGTTCCAAAAGGGGCAAACTATTGCTCTTCGTGTGTGTGTTTTATATATTCAGGGGTCGTTCCAAAAGGGGCAAACTATTGCTCTTTGTGTGTGTGTTTTATATATTCAGAGATCATTCCAAAAGGGGCAAACTATTGCTCTTTAAGTCCTGGGGCAGGGAGGGGAAGGGGAGGCCACTGTCTGCTCCTGAAAGCTCTGTGGGGAGAAGGGCTCCCTGCCTGACTGTTCTCTCATTCACACGCCAGCTTACTGTCAAAGCTAGAAAGACCGATGCCAAAGGCCTGTACTGCACAAAGTGGGTAGTTGTAATCCAGTGTGAACACGTCATCTGCCACACGTCCAAACTGCATGACTATATAATCAGCTAGAAACAGAAAGAAATCAACATGTTAGAATATAATGTGGTTGCACTCAGGGAAATCTTTTTCTTTTTCTTCCTTTTCTTAGATGGGGTTTTGCTCTGTCGCCCTGGCTGGAGCCTAGTGGAATGACCACAGCTCACTGCAGCCTTGACCTCCCGTCCCAGGCTCAAGTGATCCTCCCACCTCAGCCTCCTGAGTAGCTGGGACTACAGGCAAGCGCCACCACGCCTGGCTAATATTTTACTTTTTGTGAAGATAGGGTCTCACTATGTTGCTCAAGCTGGTCTCAAACACCTAGGCTCAAGTGATTCTCCTGCCTCGGCCTCCCAAAGTGCTGGGATCCTATTTATGATACAGAAAGAATCCTCCAAATAGGCCAGTTAATCACCAGGTTTCTGTAGAATAGAGAGCAGCTTGCTGGGAATGTCATAAACTCCGCAGGCTAGAGCTGCCAGGAACCTTTATTGGGGTCATTTGCCTTTGTTTCCCAAACAACCTACTCTATGACTTCTCTGATTTTTTATTTTTTTCTGAGACAGGTTCTTGCTGTCACCCAGGCTGGAGAGCAGTGATGCAATCTCAGCTCACTGCAGCCTCGACCTCCTGGCTCAAGTGATGCTCCCACCTCAGCCTCCCGGGTAGCTGGGACTACAAGTGCCTGCCACCACGCCCAGCTAATTTTTCTATTTTTTGTAGAGATGGGGTTTCACACCATGTTGCCCAGGCTGGTCTCAAGCGATCTGCCCACCTCGGCCTCCCAAAGTGCTGGGATTACAGACGTGAGCCATGGTGCCCAGCCAACTTCTCTGATTTGCTATAGCATCTCTCTCACACTCCTCTCCCCTCCTCAACACAGTGATTTACAAGTTTTCTCTAAAACTGTAGTTTCATCTTTCCAAAGAAATCCTGTCTCTCCTCCATGATTATCTGCTGACTGTCACTTCCTATCATGTACAGGGAATGTGCATTCCCATCCTGTAAGAGCATCTGTCCTCCTCTTCCCACCCAACCCCTCCTGGAGGCTTACGGTCATTTTTGTGGACTATCTGGAAGTTCTTCACAGACGCCTGAGTGACCCGGCCACGGAAGTTGAGGACATAGGACTGAGTGTCACTGTTCCAGACGGGGGCCTTGTTGTGCAGCTCAACCAGATTTTCCATAGTTCTGTTCTGCCACCTTGAGAGCAAACTGTCATGGTTCTGTCCAAAGGGAAAATCATTACTTTGTACTGAGAACTCCAACTCTACGAGGTAGAAGGTAGAGTAGGAGAATACTTTCTCCATTTCAGAAAGGGTAAACCAGAAGCGAAGAATGAAAGCCAACAATGAAGACAGGTTTTTTTTAAAATTATTCTACATCATCCAGCATTTCTCTTTGTAGAAAAAATGGTTTCAAGGCAATGACTCTGCAACTGCTCTTATCCTGAGGTTTTGGAGGGGCAGCTTTCCTAAAGAAGTGTATGGAGCTATCTCCAGTGTGGGGCTCTGGAAGCTCAATCTTTTTTTTTTTTTTTGTATTAATCTCTGTGTATTGTACTACTGTCTTTTAGAGTCTTTCACTGATTTAAATACATTCTTACTCACGTTTTGTGGCTGATAGGGGATCTGCTTATGATTCAGTGTCATTCCAGGAATGATCACAGACATTTTCCTAGGACCTTTAAATCCAAGTACGTTTGTTTCCTGGAAGATAGGAAAACAAAGCAGAACTTGGAAACAGGAAAAAAATAGAGACCACATTCTTTTATAACATGAGACTTTCTTGGGAATGTAAGATGCTGACAATATCAGCTGTATCAGCCGGGGCAGTGGATCACGCCTATAATCCCAGCACTTTGGGAGGCCGAGGTGGGCAGATAACCTGAGGTCAGGAGTTTGAGACCAGCCTGGCCAACATGGTGAAACCCTGTCTCTACTAAAAATACAAAAATTAGCCAGGCGTGGTGGCAGGCGCCTGTAATCCCAGCTACTCGGGAGGCTGAGGCAGGAGAATTGCTTGAACCCAGGAGGCAGAGGCTGCAGTGAGCCGAGATCACGCCGTTGCACTCCAGCCTGGGCGACAAGAGTGAGACTCTGCCTCAGAAAAAAAAAAAAAAAAAAAAAAAAAAAAAAATCAGGTGTACCAAAAATAATTTTATTACTTTGCTGTAAACAGAATCAAAAACAGGAAAGTAATATTATATCTCTTTATACTTCTCTTTTTTTTTTTGAGACAGAGTCACGCTCTGTCGCCAGGCTGGAGTGCAGTGGCACAATCTCAGCTCACTGCAACCTCCAATCTCCACCTCCTGGGTTCAAGCGATTCCTGTGCCTCAGCCTGGGACTACAGGCGCATGCCACCACGCCTGGCTAATTATTTTTTGTATTTTTAGTAGAGACGGGGTTTCACCAAGTTGGCTAGGATGGTCTCGATCTCCTGACCTCGTGATCTGCCTGCCTCAGCCTCCCAAAGTGCTGGGATTACAGGCGTGAGCCACTGCACCTGGCCTATACCTTCTTTAAACACCTACATTTAAAACAGAATCTCTTGGCTTGAGAGTTTACTCTTAACTATTTTTTTTTTGGGACCAGAGTTTCACTCTTGTTGCCCAGGCTGGAGTATAATGGCACAATCTCAGCTCACCACAACCTCCGCCTCCCGGGTTCAAGCAATTTTCCTGCCTCAGCCTGAGTAGCTGGGATTATAGGCATGCGCCACCACACCCGGCTAATTTTGTATTTTTTTTTTTTTTTTAGTCGAGACGGGGTTTCTCCATGTTGGTCTCGAATTCCCGACCTCAGGTGATCCGCCCATCTTGGCCTCCCAAGGTGCTGTGACTACAGGAGTGAGCCACCACGCCCGGCCTCTTACTCTTGAGTCTTAAATGTGATTTGAGATAACTGTGAACAAACTGTTCAACTTTGTCAGCACCAACACATATTTATTTCCCAGTGAGGGCATAGCACTATATTACATACAGTGAAAATTAGTTGTGGTTAAATAAGGCCTGCACTAGGTATTAAAAATGCCTGTCAAGCCAAGCAGATTATTCTTATTTTATTTTGAGATGGCGTCTTGCTCTGTCACCCAGGCTGGAGTGCAGTGGCACAATCTTGGCTCATTGCAACCTCTGCCTCCTGGGTTCAAGCGATTCTCCTGCCTCAGCCTCCCGAGTAGCTGGGATTACAGGTGCCTGCCACCACGCCTGGCTAATTTTTTTTGTATTTTTAGTAGAGACGGGTTTTTGCCATGTTGGCCAGGCTGGTCTCCACCTCCTGACTTCAGGTGATCCACCGGCCTCGGCCTCCCAAAGTGCTGGGATTACAGGCGTGAGCCACCACGCCTGGCCGATTATTATTATTTTTTAAACAGGGTCTCATGCTGTCGCCCAGGCTAGAGTGCATGGTGTGATCACGGCTCACTGCAGCCTCGACCCTCCTAAGACTCAGGTGATCCTCTTGCCTCAGTGCCCCCAGTAGCTGGGACTCCAGCGACTGCCACCATGCCCGGCTAATTTTTGTATTTTTAGTAGAGATGGGGTTTCACCATGTTGCCTAGGCTGGTCTCTCCTGGGCTCAAGTGATCTGCCCACCTCAGCCTCCCAAAGTGCTGGGATTACAGGTGTGAGCCACCAAGCCCAGCCAAGCCAAGCAGATTATATATGAAAGCTATAGAGGAAAGACACCTTACATTAAAGTGTGAAGTCAAATGGTTCTCAGGCATGTAGATAAGATCTCATGGGATTAATTTCAACTTAAGAAAGTTGAGACTTTGGAATAAAAAAACCAGCTGAGATGGGTCAATTCCTTCTTGCTTTCTCTTACTCAACAACTCTTTGAATATCTACTGTGTGCCAAGCCATGTGCTAGTATGGATATAGCCATGAGTAAGAATTCACAAGTTTACAAACTGGTGGAAACGGTTCATGTTGAACAAGTAATAACAAATACATGTGGGTTACAAATGCTACAAGGACGCAGATGAAGGAATGTCAACCACATCTAGTGGAGTACATCAGAAAAGACTTTGATAAGGCAAAAGGCCAGAAAGAGGAAAAGGGAAGCCTCTCCAAGGAGGAAAGATGAGTGTGGTTGGACAAAGGAATGACAGGAGGGCTGCTTGGCTAGAATGATGGGAAGGAGGGGCATGCCAATAGAGAAGTCTGAAAGCAAATGCTACCATGTTAGATCTCACACAATGGGTAGTCACTAAAAGATTTGAAGCAGAACAGGAGGATCAACTGGAGCCTCGTTGTAGGAAGATTCATTTGGTGGCAGCAGAGAACGAGCTAGATAGTTCTCAAGCCTTTCCCGGGTGTGAAATGAAATGAAAAAGGACAATAAAACAAATAATAATAAGATACAATTTAAAAAGAAGTGGACTATAAATGCCAAAAAGAGGAAAAAAAATAAGAAAAAGAGATTAAAAAGAGAAAAAAGAGAATGAACTAGATAGGAAAAGATTAAAAGCAAAAAAAGATCAGCTTTAATTTATTGTAACCTTTGGCCACTGGGTAAGAAGTAAAGGTCTGAATTAAGTGGCAGCAGGAAAAAAGAAAAGGAAATAAGGGAAGAAATGTTCTGAGAGTGAAAAATAATTGAACTTGGCAATTCAAATAACTAAAACTCAAATACATGGAGAAAATGGTACAGCAACAGAAATCACAGAAATAGAAACAAGCTTGGGAGGGGAGGTTCTTCAGCGACACTAGGTGAAAAGTGCCAGCAGGACACCAGGAGGGCAGGCAGCGGCCCTGGGAAAGCAGCACTCACATAGGAGATGGCAGCCAGCTCCTGCCGGGTGTGGGCCGCTCCTACCAAACCCCGGCCCTTCATGGGGCAGATGCCACGGTCATAAACTGTAAACTTGGTCCCCATGAGGTTGGATCTGGAGTCAGGAGAAAAAGTCACCATGATGATCTGTATTTTTTTTCTTATACAAACACAATCTAAGAGAAGGAAAATGGAAGCCTATTTGCCTGTTTTCCAAATGTCTCAATGTTCATCATCACTTTTTCAAAAATATCTCATTAAAGCAAGGAAGGAACTGAGATTTTCTTTTAACTTTTTATTTACTTACTAATTCGAGACAGGGTCTCGCTCTGTCGCCCAGGCTGGAGTGCAGTGGCAGGGATCATAGCTCACTGCAGCCTCAAACTCCCAGGCTCAAGTCATCCTCCCACCTTAGCCTCCTGGGTAGCTGGGGCTACAGGTGAGAACTGCCACGCCTGGCTAATTTTAAAGTTTTTTGAAGAGATAATGTCTCAGTGTGTTGCCCAGGCTGGTCTCAAACTCCTGGCCTCAAGTGATCCTCCACCTCAGCCTCCCCAAATGCTGGGATTATAGGCCTGAGCCACCACACCAGCCTTATTTTTTTATTTTTTTGAGACAGACTCTCATTCTGTTACCCAGGCTGGGGTGCAGTGGCACTATCTTGGCTCACGGCAACCTCTGCCTCCTGGATTCAAGCAATTCTCGTGCTTCAGCCTCCCGGGTAGCTGGAATTACAGGCTGTTCTACCACACCTGGCTGATTTTTGTATTTTTAGTAGAGAGGGAGTTCTGCCATGTTGGCCAGGCTGGACTCCAACTCCTGACTTCAAGTGATCCGCCCGCCTTGGCCTCTCAAAGTGCTGGGATTACAGGTGTGAGCCACTGCGCCCAGCTTTTTTTTTTTTCCTTTTTCTTTTTTTTTAAGATTACAACATCAATACATGCTAGTTGTAACCAAGATAAGGACTGTTCTGCAACTATAGGAATAAGACTATCAGAAAGAATAGGACAGTGATCTAAGGTTGCTTTCACCTAAGCTTGCCGACATAACTTTCTCCTTCACGAGATAAATCAACTGGATCAATGGAGATAAGGTAGTTGGCTGTTTTGCTCTTTTTCCGCTTTCTAGCTGCAAGAAGAAATATCTGGGAAAAGAAAAAGTGTCAGTCAAAAATGAAGTCCAGAGAACCTGCCCCACCTCTGGTCATGGTTGTCCTACATATTCATTCAGCCAGTGCTTAGCAAGTCCTCAGCATATGTCAAGCTGTTAATCTTTGGGCCTTTATCCCTTTCTCTAACTCTCTTATCAGAATTCACTATCAGGCAGGGTGTGGTGGCTCACGCCTGTAATCCCAGCACTTTGGGAGGCCGAGGTGGGCAGATCACAAGGTCAGGAGATCGAGACCATCCTGGCTAACACCGTAAACCCTGTCTCTACTAAAAATACAAAAAATTAGCTGGGCGTGGTTGCAGACGCCTGCAGTCCCAGCTACTCAGGAGGCTGAGGCAGGAGAATGGCATGAACCCAGGAGGCGGAGCTTGCAGTGAGCCGAGATCATGCCATTGCACTCCAGCCTGGGTGACAGAATGAGACTCTGTCTCAAAAAAAAAATAAAAAATAAAAATAAAATAATTCACTATCAGGGTTTTCTTCCTATACAGTTTTTCTAAATTCACTAGCTTGATTCTCCATATAATTAGTTACAACTTCATCCCTAAAACTTCCAGTTAAAAAAAAAATCTCCAAAGCTGGGCCAGGTGGCATGAGCCTATAATCCCAGCTGCTTGGGAGGCTGAGGTAGAGGGATCACTGGAGTCCAGGAGTTCAAGGCCAGCCTGGGCAACCTTGCAAAATCCAATAAATAAATAACAATCAATGTTCATCCAATGCCATGATTAAGAGTCTTTCCAACCTTAGGAGAGACAGGATCCTGAAAACCTTCCCATTCTTTACTGTGATGGCTTTTTTTTTTTTTTTTTTTTGAGATAGGGTCTCACTCTGTCACCCAGGCTAGAGTGCAGTGGTGCAATCACAGCTCACTGCAACCTCTGCCTCCCAGGTTCAAGTGATTTTCCTGCCTCAGCCTCCCGAGTAGCTGGAACTACAGGTGCATGCCACCACTCCTGGCTAATTTTTTAATTTTTTGCTAGAGGCAGGGTCTCCCCATGTTAGCCAAGCTGGTCTCGAGCTCATGTCCTCAAGGGATCCACCTGCCTCAGCCTCCCGAAGTGCTGGGATCATACGTGTGAGCCACCGCACCTGGCCTGTGATAGCTTTCTTCATGCCATGGGGACACAGACAGAGGAATGTCAACCACATCTGGTGAAGCACATCAGGAAAGACTCTGATTAGGCAAAGGGCAAGAAGGGACAAAAGGGAAGCCTCTCCAGGGAGGAAATACTCTTTTTTCTATACTGCTGTTGTGTTAAACCACTGTGACCTCAATGGCATGAATACCATCCTATATAGGCATCCTTCCTAAACTCTCCTAGACTAGGACCATAATAGGGAAGCAGGAGAGTGGCAGTGGCTAAGCAGGAAGACTTTAGAATTATGCAAAATAGGTTTGAATTTGGCTCTGCCACCACTTAGTGCAACGTGGGGTAGGTAAGTCACTCCCTAAGCCCCAGTTACCTCATCTTTAAAGCAGAGGTAAGAAATCCTACCTAACAAGGTGGCTGCAAGGATTACAGGTGATAATATATATAGATATATATGCATATGCTTGGTCTGTCGTAAACACTCAATAAATGGTGGTTAGAAGAATTAACACCTAGTATCATTATCTTATTTCTAGGCTCTTAAAATCATCTGTTAAGACCTGGTATTAATACAAAATTAATAAAATAAAGTTCATCGCTGGCTCAAACTTATAAAATAAATTAGAACTTCTAGGGTGAGAAACAAGACATTTAACTTGTAGGTCCTTCTGTATTTCTAATTCCTCCTATTCCCTAAAACTCACTCTCCTTCCACAATGTCATGTTCTTCCGTAATAAAAAGAAAAACCAAAAGAACAAACAGTAACATTCAAAAACTCAATCATGGGAGACAGGTGAAAATAATTACATTAACAACTACCCGTCCATTTTCCCACTTCGTGGATAAAGCTCTTATTTGTGGGAGGGTAGAGCTTGCTGCCTATTAGACCATGAGCTCTTTGCAGAAAATGAGAACACAGCATCTGGGGACTGAAAGATACAATCTACTTCCAGCTGGCTTGGTCTAATACCAGAGTTAGTTCCCTAAGGCCCATCAACAATCTATTCCCACAACATTCTTCTCTCTCTCAAGAGTTTTCTTAGAAATCAATTCTCATACCTTCTGATTTTCTTCTTTTTCCAAGTACATATAGTAGGTGGGGAAGAGACCCCGATCCATTCCCCTTTTATCCCGGATTATCCGACATCTTACTGTGACACCTTGAGGGGCAGGACTATACACAAAGTCCTCCAGGTCGTCTATGTCTCCCAGGAGGTTATCAGCTGGTTGGGCGGCAGTAGCAGAACCGGAAGTGCCTGTATCCTGAAAGGACAGCCATACATGAGCAACAACAGGCCGAGACTCAAAATCTGATTCTCTTTGAAAAACACTTAGTGGACAAAGCAACTTAGTAATTTACCCGTGTCTTCAGTCTTCTGACAGAATGAGGAAAACTGAAAAGTTAAATTAAGTATATGAATATTGAGAGTAATGAAGAGTAAGTATCAAAATGGGACAAAGCCTCACAATAGCTGACCTGAGACAGAAAAAATTAGATCATAAACTAAATTTGAGCTTACACTTCTGAAGGAACCCTCACTCAGTAATGGTATTTAAATACTGAAGATATGTTTGAGGGCTGGGCACGGTGGCTCATGCCTGTAATCCCAGCACTTTGGGAGGCTGAGGCGGGCGGATCACGAGGTCAGGAGATCGAGACCATCCTGGCAAACATGGTGAAACCCTGTCTCTACTAAAAATACAAAAAATTAGCCGGGTGTCATGGCGGGCGCCTGTAGTCCCAGCTACTCGGGAGATTGAGGCAGGAGAATGGCGTGAACCCGGGAGGCGGAGTTTGCAGTGAGCTGAGATCATGCCACTGCACTCCAGCCTGGGTGACAGAGCGAGACTCCACCTCAAAAAATACATAATAATAATAAATAAATAAATACTGAAGATATGTTTGAGAAAGAGTCAAATTAGCTCTAATGGAAGAAGTTTCAGAACTACATACGGTTGAATTCTGGCTTGATGCAGAATTGGGTCTTTCTAAACATGCTGACTGGGATATTCCATCAGTCTCCTCATCGAAGTTCACACTTTCAGAGATATCTAGCAGAAAAGGAAGAACTGTTAGCACTGCCAACACTGTTTAAAAAAGGTCTTTGAAACAAAGATAGTTTTAATTTTCTTGCTTAAAACATTCTTAACTATTCTGACCGTAAACACAACTATTTTGTCCAAATACATAAAACAGGCAAATTCATAGAGACAGAAAGTAGAATAGAGGTTACTAGGGGCTGGGGGCAGGGGAGAATGAGGAATTATCTTGAATGGGTGTGAAGTCTCTGGGATGATGAAAAAGTTCTGGAGATGGATGGTAGTGATGGTTGCACAACATTGTTAATACACTTAATGTCACTGAATCTCACACTTAAAATTGATTAAAGTTGTAAATTTTAGGCAGGGCAGGCTGGGCGCGGTGGCTCATGCCTGTAATCCCAGCACTTTGGGAGGCTGAGGTGGGCAGATCACGAAGTCAGGAGATTGAGACCATCCTGGCTAACATGGTGAAACCCCATCTCTACTAAAATACAAAAAATTAGCCGGGTGTGGTGGCACGCACCTGTAGTCCCAGCTACTCAGGAGGCTGAGGCAGGAGAATCGCTTGAACCTGGGAGGCGGAGCTTGCAGCGAGCCGAGACTGTGCCACTGTACTATAGCCTGGGAGACAGAGACTCTGTCTCAAAAAAACAAAACAAAAAAAATTTAGGCAGGGCACAGTGGCTCGTGCTTGAACTCCTAGCACTTTGGGAGGCTGAGGCAGAAGGACTGCTTGAGGCCACCAGTTTGAGACCTGTCTCCATAAAAAGTTTTTTTAAAAAAATTAGCTGGTCACGATGGTACCTGTGTGTCTGTAGTCCTAGCTAGCTGAGGTGGTTGGATCACTTAAGCCCAGGATTTTGAGGCTAAAGTGAGCTATGCTTGTGCCACTGCACCCCAGCCTGGGTGACAGAATTACACCCGAACTCTTTTTTTTTTTGAGACGGAGTCTCGCTCTGTCGCCCAGGCTGGAGCGCAGTGGCGCGATCTCGACTCACTGCAAGCTCCGCCTCCCGGGTTCACGCCACTCTCCTGCCTCAGCCTCCCAAGTAGCTGGGACTACAGGCGCGCGCCACCATGCCCGGCTAATTTTTGTATTTTTAGTAGAGACGGGGTTTCACCGTGTCAGCCAGGATGGTCTCTATCTCCTGACCTCGTGATCCGCCCGTCTCGGCCCACCCGAACTCTTAAAAAAAAAAAAAGTGTACTTTTTGTTATTTGGAAGGGAAGGGAAGGCTTCAGTAAAAACAGGAAAACTTGCTAGACAAATTCTAAAAAGAGCTGCAGCACTGGTAAATTATTATGATTTTTTGAGATGGAGTCTCACTCTGTTGCCCAGGCTGGAGTGCAGTGGCACCATCTCAGCTCACTGCAACCTCCGTCTCCTGGGTTCAAGCAATTCTCTTGTCTCAGCCTCCCCGGTAGCTGGGATTACAGGTGTGCGCCACGAAGCCCAGCTAATTTTTTTGTATTTTTAGTAGAGACAGGGTTTCACCATGTTGGTCAGGCTGGTCTCAAACTCCTGACCTCAGGTGATCTGCCCACCTTGGCCTCACAAAGTGCTGGGATTACAGGTGTGAGCCAACATGCCAGGCCAACACTGGTAACTTCTATGTTACGATGCATATTTTACCACAGTAAAAAAAAAATTCAATGATGCATTATTCTTTACAGCAGTTTTATTCCCCTCAGCATTTTCTTTTTATTTTATTTATTTATTTTTTTTGAGATGGAGTTTCGCTCTCGTTGCCCAGGGTGGAGTGCAATGGTGCAATCTGGGCTCACCGCAACCTCCGCCTCCTAGGTTCAAGCGATTCTCCTGCCTCAGCTTCTCGAGTAGCTGGGATTACAGGCATGTGCCACCACATCCGGTTAATTTTTTATTTTTAGTAGAGACGGGGTTTCTCCATGTTGGTCAGGCTGGCCTCGAACTCCCAACCTCAGGTGATCTGTCCGCCTAAGCCTCCCAAAGTGCTGGGATTATAGGCGTGAGCCACCATGGCTGGCCCCCTGGCATTTTCTTAATCTCTGTCTAGTTAACTAAATCTAACTAGGAATGTTTGAAATACTAGTACTTTGGATTTATGGAGCATCTTTTATAGGAAATTTAAAACTGCTGGATGAAAAACTATTTTTTCATTTTATTCTTACATTTGAGTTAGAGGAGGAGATACTGATAGTCTTTTTGTTTTCTATTGTTTCTTGTTCATGGAGTATATAATCTGGAGAGGAATGCAGATGTAAAATAAAGTGTGATCAATGTGTGTTATGAAAGAGTGACGAGCCTCAGATTTATATGTGGGAGTACAGGCTCAGGAAGAATCATTTCTCCAAGAGAAAGAGGCAGAGCAAGACCTAAACTAAATTCCCTTGTGTCTAGTATCTGCGGGGTGAAGTTACCCCTCACTGAAATGGTCCTTGAATCATAGATTTACAGATGGAATTAACAAGTGTGGCTTTTTTCTCTGAACCACTTTTTGTGCACATTCAACATCTCGGAAAGAAAAATGATCTATTTTTATACGGTACATACATAGATTGGTATTAGCTTTACTGAAGAACACAAGGATAAGACAAAGGTCAGTTTTAAAAAAATCAATCTCAGGCCGGGCGCAGTGGCTCATGCCTGTAATCCCAGCACTTTGGGAGGCCGAAATGGGTGGATCACAAGGTCAGAAATTCGAGATCAGCCTGGCCAATAAGGTGAAACCCTATCTCTACTAAAAATGCAAAAATTAGCCAGGCACCTGTAGTCCCAGCTACTCAGGAGGCTGAGGCAAGAGAATCCCTTGAACCCAGGAAGCAGAGGTTGCAGTGAGCCGAGATCACATCACTGCACTCTAGCCTGGGCGACAGAGCAAGACTTGGTCTCAAAAAAAAAAAAAAAAAATCAGTCTCAACTGAAAACATAGGTCCATACAAAAACTTATGAGTGTTGATAACAACATTATTCCTAACAGGGAAAGTGGGAACAATCAAACGTCCATCAGCTGATCAACAAAATGTGGTTTATCCATACAATGGAGTGTTATCCAACAATAAAAAGAATGGAGTACGGACACTTGTTATAACATGAAGGAACCCTGAAAACATTATGCAAGTAAAACACTAGACACAAAAAGACAAATAGTGTATGATTCTATCAATATGAAATGTCCAGAACAGGCAAATCCACAGAGACAGCAAGTAGACTGGTGGCTGCCTAGGGCTGAGGGGATTGGAGGGAAATGGGAAATGACTGTTGAAGGTTATGAGGTTTCTTTTGGGGGTGATGAAAATTTTGTAAAATTGATTGTGAAAATGGTTGTAGAACTCTGTACTGAAAACCAATTTATTGTTTATTTATTTAAAGACAGAGTCTAGCTCTTGTAGCCCAGACTGGAGTGCAATGGCGCGATGTCTGTTCACTGCAACTTCCACCCACAACGTTCAATCGATTCTGCTGCCTCAGCCTCCCGAGTAGCTGGAATTACAGCTGCCCACCACCACCACACCTGGCTACTTTTTTTTGAATTTTTAGTGGAAACGGAGTTTCACCACGTTGGCCAGGCTGGTCTCGAACTCCTGATGTCAGGTATCTGCCTGCCTCTGCCTCCCAAAGTGCTGGAATTACCGGCGTGAGCCACCATGCCTGGCCTATTGTTTACTTGAAATGGATGAGGAGTATGGTCTGTAATTTATATCTCAAAAGAGTTGTTACTTAAAAAAATTATTTGCTTTGCAAAGGACACTTTTTCCTTCTGCTGTCTAAAATACTAACTTATTATTTTTTGAGACAGGGTTTCACTCTGTTGCCCAGGTGGGAGTGCAGTGGCCAAATCACAGCTGCTCAGTGCAGCCTCAACTTCCCGGGCTCAAGTGATCCTCCCACCTCAGCCTCCTGAGTACATAGGACTACACCATGTCCAGGTAATTTTTTTGTAGAGATGGGGTTTCACCAAGTTGCCCAGACTGATCTCAAACTCCTGGGCTCAAGCGATCCGCCCACCTCGGCTTCCCAAAGTGCTGGGATTACAGGCATGAGCCACCACACCTGGCACCCCCCCTTTTTATTGGTAGCAGAAAGGCAGAAACTCCTGAGATATCACTATCGTATGGCTATCTTCACCTATTACTATGCTTTCAAATGCCATTTTAATACCAAGAACTCAGTTCCCGTGAATCTGTCTTGAGAGATCAAAGATCTCTCTGAAACTTTTAAGACAAGCAAATTGGACCCACTTACAGGGACATAATCTGCCAAACTGACACTTCTTAGAATTTAATCAAAACAGCACTTAATGGGTTTTATAGTCAAGATGCAACCTGTTGAGACATGAAAAGGCGTTAACTCACCTGGCACTGGAAGGCCAATTCTGAAAACGAACAGCCATTTCATAGAGCAGTGCACAAGGAGACAGTGTGGTGTTTACAGTCAGGGATAAAGAACCAGACTAAGAATCAGAAAATCTAAATCTGCCACTTTTCAGCTAGTTGACTCAGGGTGAGTAATTTAGCTTTGGTTAAATAGAAAATTATTTTTGCTCCGACTCATCCTATCTGTCCAACGCATATCTTTCACTTTCTTTTGTTGTAAAAATAGTGGTAGTAAAATAATAGGAAAGTACCATGGTCACCTTCATGTTAAAGACAGGAAAACTGTCTTTACAAACCCCCAAGGCACTATTACAACTATTAAATCAGATGAGGTAGTACATGTCAAGTGCCTGACACATGATGGACACTCACAATGTCAGGCTCCAGCTACTTCCCTGCTCCCCTAGCACGTAGGCAGACACACATCCTTCTTTGTTCAGCGGAATCACCCCCTCCCTTCCTCCTGGTACCTCTCTTGTCTCTTCTCATTGCCCTAGCAGAGCAATTCTGCATCTCCCCTGCCTGTGCTTTTGCAAACACCACACTATATTGGAACTGGAGGTCAGGCCATCATCAGTCAAACGATCTCCTAAATAGCTTTCCTGTTTCTGGACTTCCCCCTTCAATTCCTTCTTTCTGGTACACAGTAATTTTTCCACAGCTCAACTGTGATCATATCATTGTTCAGCTTAAAATTCCTCACAGGTTCTTACTGCTCTTTTTTTTTTTGAGACGGACGGAGTCTTGCTCCGTCGCCCAGGCTGGAGTGTAGTGGCGTGATCTCGGCTCACTGCAAGCTCCGCCTCCCGGGTTCACGCCATTCTCGTGCCTCAACCTCCCGAGTAGCTGGGACTACAGGCGCCCGCCACCACACCTGGCTAATTTTTAGTAGAGACAGGGTTTCACCGTGTTAGCCAGGATGGTCTTGATCTCCTGACCTTGTGATCCGCCCGTGTCGGCCTCCCAAAGTGCTGGGATTACAGGCATAAGCCATAGCGCCCAGCCCTATTTTTTTTTAATTAATTTTTATTTTTAATTTTTATTTTTTGAGACAGGGTCTCACTCTACACACAGGCTGGAATGCAGCAGCACAATCTTGGCTCACTGCAGCCTCGAACTCTGGGGCTCAAGCAATCCTCCCACCTCAGCCTCCCAAAGTGCTGGGGTTATAGGCATGAGCCACTCCACCCAACCCAATTTTTTTTTTTTTTTAATTTTTAAAGACATGGTTTCATTCTGTCACCCAGGCTGGAGTGCTGTGGCATGATCATAGCTCACTGCATCCTCAATAACCTGGGCTCGAGCAATCCTCCTAGCACAACCTCTCAAGTAGCTGGGACTACCAGTGTGTACCACCACACCCAGCTAATTAAAAATTTTTTTTTGTTAGAGACTGGGTCTTGCTATGTTGCCCTGGCTGGTCCTGAACACCTAACTTCAAGCAATACTCCCACCTCAGCCTCTTAAAGTGCTGGGATTACACATGTGAGCCACCATGTCCAGCCTTCTATTACTCCTTAGATAAAGTCCCAATTCCTGACATGGTCTATTAGGTCCCATATAATTAGAGCCCACTTCCCTCTCCTGGCTCATCTCTCTACATCCCCCTTCCTACCCTATGACCACACGCCCTGAGCTGCTGCCATTCTGAACTGGCCAGCACCTCTTCCTGAGTCAGGCACTAGCTCAAATATCACTTTCTCTGGGAAAGTGTCCAAGTGGAGTGAGGCGTCAGGCTCTCTCAGCACCTTGATTTTCTAGCTCTAGCCTATTTAAGTGCATGAAGCTTCAATTAGAATAAGCGCTCCATGAGGGCAGGAACCATGCTTACTCATGTATCCTAAGTACCTAGAATGTTGCCTCAGATATGGTATGTACTCAAACATATTTTCTTACTTTACTTCTGTTGTTGTTGTTGTTGAGACGGGGTCCTGCTCTGTAACCCAGGCTGGAGTGCAGTGGTGCAATCGCAAGCTTAGTGCAACCTCCACTTCCCAGGCTCAAGCCATCCTCCTGCCTCAGCCCCCCAAGTAGCTGGGACTACAGGTGTGCGCCACTGCACCCAGACAATTTTTTTTTTTTTGCATTTTTTGTAGAGACAAGGTTTCTCCATGTTGCCCAGGCTGGTCTTGAACCCTTGGACTCAAGTGATCTGCCCGCCTCAGCCTCCCAGAGTGTTAGGATTATAGGCATGAGCCACCATGCCTGGACTCAAAACATACTTTCTTTTTCTTTTCTTTTTTTTTTTTTTTGAGAAGTTTCACTCTTGTTGCCCAGGCTGGAGTGCAATGGTGCAATCTTGGCTCACTGCAACCTCTGCCTCCCAAGTTCAAGCAATTCTCCTGCCTCAGCCTCCAGAGTAGCTGGGATTAATAGGCACCCACCACCATGCTTGGCTACTTTTTTTATATTTTTAGTAGAGAAGGGTTTCACCATGTGCTGGTCTCAAACTCTAGACCTTCAGGTGATCCACCCACCTTGGCCTCCCAAAGTGCTGGAATTATAGGCGTGAGCCACTAAGCCTGGCCAAAACATACTTTCTAAATAAGTGAATATACAAATTTGTTTAAACGTTCATTTATTATGCCATTCCGTGGTAGAATCTCCTGATTCATATATGCCAGGACCTAGCAATGTTTGCCTAATGCAAAGTAGGTACCCAATACATATTCATTATTGGGCTTCAGTTTTCTCATCTGCAAAGGGGATGCTTAATCCCTTCTCATTATAAAATTATTTTTCGGCTGGGCGTGGTGGCTCACGCCTATAATCCTAGCTAGCACTTTGGGAGGCCGAGGCGGGCGGATCACCAGGTCAGGAGATTGATACCATCCTGGCTAACACCGTGAAACCCCGTCTCTACTAAAAAAATACAAAAAATTAGCCAGGCGTGGTGGCGGGCGCCTGTAGTCCCAGCTACTCAGGAGGCTGAGGCAGGAGAATGGCGTGAACCCGGGAGGCGGAGCTTGCAGTGAGCCGAGATCGCGTCACTGCACTCCAGCCAGCGCGACAGAGTGAGACTTTGTCTCAAAAAAAAAAAAAAAATTATTTTTCTAAAAAGGAAAGAAGACTACAAGGGACCTTTGAAATGTATGGGAATATTTATGGAAATGAGAGCTCCAACTAGAAGAAAGGCTATCAATCATCACCAACTATGAAATGGAGGTGGAGTAGAGGGGTTGAGTGACAACTCTGTCAGAAGAAGAGGGTGGGAACTGAAAATAGTCAAAAAGAAACAAACAGTCATCTATGGCCATCTATGGCAGCTAGTATTTTATATTTAATTATCTTCTTTTTCTCAGGCAACAGTATAAATACTACCATTGCTGACAATTACCAACATTCAGATGTAAAAGATGCTAAACACTGTCACCTCTGTGAGGCCCTAAGCCATGAGTCATTTTCAGTCATGTAGATTGTTACCCACAATGAAAAGAAAGGAAAAGATTACAATTGAGTAAGGAGACAAATTGCCTTAAAATCATTACCAGTCCTCACCATGCTTTTGGAGACGCTCCTGAAGTCCTGGCTTGGAAGCAGTATCCACGGTGTTTTCAGCATCTTCTTCCACAACAGAGGAGCTTACTGATGGAGCATGAACTTCGTCTGGTTTCAGGACAGCAGCTGGACCATCAATACCTAAGGGCCAAAATAAAATGAATTTTAAAAAAGGAGCAAAGTATTATTCACTAGTTGGGTAGATTTGGCATATGTGATCAGAATTAAGAACTACCAAATCATTTTATCTGCCCTCCTTTCTTAACATCCATAAGAACATTTGTTAAGAGAGAAGGTCAGAACTGGTGTTCTTTTTTTCTGAGACAGGATCTCACTCTGTCACCCAGGCTGGAGAGCAGTGGTGTAATCACAGCTCACTGTAGCCTCGACTTCCTAGGCTCAAACGATCCTCCCACTTCAGTCCCCCGAGTAGCTGGGACTACAGGTGTGTGCTACTACACCTGGCTAATTGTTAATTTTTTTGTAGAGATGGAGTCTTGTTATGTTGCCCAGGCTAGTCTCAAACACCTGGCCTTAAGTGATCTGCCTTTCTGGCCTCCCAAAGTGCTGGGATCACAGGTATAAGCCACCACGCCCAGCCTGGTGTTCATTTTATTAACATGCTCTGTTACTAAAGTCATATGTACTTGTACTTCAGTAACTGAAGTAATATGTACTTCAGAAACTTAAGAATGAGACCAAGAAAACAAAGTAGGTCCTCCATAGTACAGATCCTGTACAAGCCAATAGCTCCAGTGGCTTGATTTAGAGGCACTTACAATCTTATTCTTCCTCCGCCCCTCCCCATCTCAGATGATCCTTTCAACTATCTGTTGGAAGAATGGACGCTCTCTACCTATTCCCGGCTTCATGATTCACCTCTGCCACGATTTAACAATCAAGAGCTCCTCAAATAGGTCATTCTAAACTCATTCATCTGGCATCTAGAAAACAACAGTTCTTGCCGGGCATGGTGGCTCAAGCCTGTAATCCCAGCACTTTGGGAGGCCAAGGCGGGTGGATCACCTGGGTCAGGAGTTCGAGACAAGCCTGGCCAACATAGTAAAACCCCGTCTCTACTAAAAGTATAAAAAAATTAGCCGGGCATGGTGGCAGGCGCCTGTAAACCCAGCTACTCGGGAAGTTGAGGCAGGAGAATCACTTGAACCTGGGAGGAGGAGGTTGGCAGTGAGCCAAGATCGCGCCATTGCACTCCAGCCTGGGCGACAAAAGCAAAACTCCGTCTCAAAAAAAAGAAAACAACAGTTCTAAAATGGACGCAAACCTTAAGGCATCTTCCACTGATTATATCATTGCTTTTATTCTCCTCAAAGACCCCAAATGTGATTATAAAGATTTATGAAGGTACCTAGTAATGGTGCTAATAATATTGTCCCTTTGGTCCGTCTGACAATCCTCGTGCCTTCTAGGTTTGTGAAAATTGTACCCCACTAGGAAGTGATGCTGCCTAAATACACACCATGTAAGATGACATTGCTGTGGGGAGTATGACAGTTCACCAAGGGAGTCTGCTCATCACTGGCCCTTGGCTTTGCCCGACGTAGCCTGGCTTCTGGATTGGGCTGCACCATAAATGGCTCAAGGCGCTTTTTCCTTTGCCTCTTCTCAAGTAGTAGCCTCTGGGAAAAAAGCGATATGACAGCCAGCAAGGAGAGTTTTGACATGACCTAACCATTTCCAACATGCCCAGTTTGTTTTTCACTGATCCTCACAAAACATCTTGTAAATTATTTTTTCCCCATTTAAGAAATGGGAAAACTGAGGCACAGAGAGGAGTAAGGATTCAATCATTTCATTTAACAAATACTTTTGAACACCTAACACCTATAAAGATCTATTTAAAATCAGATGATGCTTTTTTTTTTCTTTTTTTTGAGACAGAGTCTCACTCAGTTGCCCAGGCTGAGTGCAGTGGCACCATCACAGCTCACTGCAGCCTTGACCTCCAAGGCACGCCCAATCCTTCTGCCTCAGCCTCCTGAAGAGCTGGGACTACAGGTGTGTGCTACCATGCCCAGCTATTTTTTGTATTTTTGTAGAGACAGGGTTTCCCGACATTGCCCAGGCTGGTCTCAAACTCCTGAGCTCAAGCAGTCTGCTTGCCTTGGCCTCCCAAAGTGTTGGGATTACAGGCGTGAGCCACTGCACCTGTCCCACACAGTGCATTTGTAACCAAGTCTACTAAAGATGTATGGGAATCATCATAGCATTATCAAATGTGACCACAAGCTCAAAACATACAAACACACATGCACGGAGGACAGATGGAGGAACACAGCAAGGGTGGTTTCTTCAGGTGGCAGACTATGGCATGATTGTTTTCTCTTTTCTAGTCTTTTTTTTTTTTTAAGTTTTCTTACTTTTGTAAATGGAAGAAAAAAACTTTATTATTCTCTAAAACTCAAATTATTTCCATGTTCTAATTAGTCAAAGGGCAGTAAGTTTGGCATTCTTGTTTATCTTATATAATTAGAAATCAAATTTGGATCAAGGGTGAGAAGAAAAAAATGGCAGTTGGAACATATCAAATAGAAAGCAGTCAACTCTATGAATAAAAGCAAGATAAAGACTATGGTAGCAAGAAAAGTCAGGAAACAAGCATGACAGACTATGAGAAAAAAAAACCAATGAAATGGAAAGGAAGGTACTAGCACATAGTACTAGTACCTTTTGGCAAATAAGGGTTTATAATATATAGAAATTATTATTGATCTGGGATAACTCAGAGTAGGAAAAATGTTAAGCCCCATGCTAAAAAATAAAGACATGATTAAAAAACAAATATATTATAACCCACTTACTACTGTTTTTCAGGCAAAAGAAGCCATCTGTTTACTTTTTTCCATCGATACTGTTTTAGAAAAGTGCCTCCAGGAAGAAGAGTCACTCCAAGGGGTGAGACTATCAAAAAAGGAAGTGTGTTTTTCCTGAACTGGGCTGATGAGAGCACACTGATTAATTCAATAGCTTGCATATAGAGGGAAAAGATTGGGGAGTTAAGATAACGTGCCAATACAGAATATACCATCAAGAATGAATAGGTGTTAGAGCAAGGACTAAGTTGTTTGGAGATTATTTTGAGATTTCATGAATTACCATGAATAGAAGGACATTAACCCAGGAACACTAAATACACAGGAGGCTATAATGACTTCCACCAAACAGAATTGGCCACTGAGATTCTTCTAGCAGCCGGGCGCAGTGGCTCACGCCTGTAATCCCAACACTTTGGGAGGCAGAGTCAGGTGGATCACTTGAGGTCAGGAGTTTGAGACCACCCTGGCCAACATGGTGAAACCCCGTCTCTATGAAAAATACAAAAATTGGCCTGCGTCATGGCGCATGCCTGTAATCCCAGCTACTCAGGAGGCTGAGGCAGGAGAATCACTTGAACCCAGGAGGTAGAGGTTGTGGTGAGCTGAGATCATGCCACTACACTCCAGCCTGGGTGACAGAGCAAGACTCGAGACTCTGTCTCAAAAAAAAAAAAAATTCTTCTAGCAACCAAGAGGTCTTGTATAATGGATAAAAAGTAACTTGCTGGCCGGGCACAGTGGCTCATGCCTGTAATCCCAGCACTTTGGGAGGCTGAGGCGGACGGATCACCTGAGGTCGGGAGTTCAAAGCCAGCCTGACCAACATGGAGAAACCCCGTCTCTACTAAAAACACAAAAATTAGCCGGATGTGGCGGCGCATGCCTGTAATCCCAGCTACTCGGAGGCTGAGGCGGGAGAATCGCTTGAGCCTGGGAGGCGGAGGTTGCGGCGAGCTGAGATTATGCCCCTGCACTCCAGCCTGTGCAACAACAGCAAAACTCCATTTCAAAAAAAAAAGTAACTTGCCTGAAAAGGTGGTAAATATGAAGTACTGAAATCATAAGAAACTGCCATATCTTATCTATGTGGCCACAGCTATTTCATCTCATACATAGTCTGTGAAATGATCGATGAAACAAAATCACATACTGTAGGCTGGGCGCGGTGGCTCACGCCTGTAATCCCAGCAGTTTGGGAGGTCGAGGTGGGCGGATTACCTGAGGTCAGGAGTTTGAGACCAGCCGGGCCAACATGGTGAAACCCCGTCTCTATTAAAAAATAAAATTAGCCAGGCGTGGTGGCAAGCGCCTGTAATCCCGGCTACTTGGGAGGCTGAGGCAGGAGAATCACTTGAACCTGGGAGGCAGAGGTTGCCGTGAGCCGAGATTGGACCACTACACTCCAGCCTGGGCGACAGAGCGAGACTGTCTCAAAACAAAAACAAAAACAAAAATGAATGCTGTAGCTATTTTTTGAGACGGAGTTTCACTCTTGCTGCCCAGGCTGGAGTGCAATGGTGCAACCTCAACTCACTTGCAATCTCTGCCTCCTGGGTTCAAGCAATTCTCCTGACTCAGCCTCCGGAGTAGCTAGGATAACAGGCACCTGCCACCACACCCAGCTAATTTTTTTTGTATTTTTAGTAGAGATGGGGTTCACATGCAAGGAAAATATTTTCTTTTTTTTTTGAGACAGAGTCTTGCACTGTCACACAGGCTGGAGTGCAGTGGCGCGATCTCGGCTCACTGCAAGCTCCGCCTCCCGGGTTCACGCCATTCTCCTGCCTCAGCCTCCCGAGGAGCTGGGACTACAGGCGTCCGGCACCGCGCCCGGCTAATTTTTTGTATTTTTAGTAAAGATGAGGTTTCACCGTGTTGGCCAGGATGGTCTCGATCTCCTGACCTCATGATCCGCCCGCCTTGGCCTCCTAAAGTGCTGGGATTACAGGCATGAGCCACCGTACCTGGCCAAGGAAAATATTTTCTATAGAAAAGGAGTTTTCTGCTGTGGTCTAGAAAAGGGAGGCCAAAGAGCTAGAATTTGATAGGGTTATCAGGTTTGTCCAAGAAAGAGAAGTATCTTTTTTTTTTTTTGAGACAGAGTCTCGCTGTGTTGCCCAGGCTGGAGTGCAGTGGTGCGATCTCGGCTCACTGCAACCTCTGCCTCACGGGTTCATGCAATTTTCCTGCCTCAGCCTCCCGAGTAGCGGGGATTACAGGTGCACCCCACCATGCCCAGCTGATTTTTAAACTTTTAGTAGAGATGGAGTTTCACCATGTTGACCAGGCTGGTCTCAAACTCCTGACCTCATTCCCTCTGATTCCTTGCTCACCAATAAGCCTTCTAATTTGAAGTTTAACTTCTTAGGTATCGTATTCCCAGGAAAAGAGTATTATGAACAGTAGACATGAATACACACTGAAAGAGTAGAGCTCCCTTTATAAATTAATAACTTGGGGTTCTGGTTTTAAAACTTACTGGTGTGGGTTTAACTAGCGTGAATTTGTGCCAAAGGACCTGGTTATATCCAGTTCACTGACAAACTAAGCTCTCACTTGTTAAGGGGAGACTAGACCCCTGACCACAGTGTTCCTGCCAAGGTATCTGGGGAAGCCTCTCTCTATCTACTTACAGACAAATCAAACTCATTTAGACCAATGACTTAAGAAAAAAACAACTGTAGACTCAAACTGTAATCAGGGCCACAGCTACTATACCTCAGTATTGAATGATCTTACTACTGTCCAAGTTTACAAATAAGAAAAATACCATTAAACATATATGTGCAAGCTGCCATCTTGGTGAAAACCGTCATGCAGTTTGGATGGGGGAGGAGAGAAGTGCTACTTGTGTTTGAATGTAACAATGTCAATTCCTATTCCATCTATATTTTACTTCCCTGAAAACCTAAAAGTGCTTTAAACGAGGCTACATCAATGAAGGACTCATTACCAAGATAGAGTAAGTCAGGGAGCCAGGAAGAAAGCCAGAGCTGATGGTTAGATGCCCTAAATGCAATTAAAACACACTGCCTTCGTGATTTTAAGTGTCATATAAACTAAAACTTAATCACTTTTAAATTTCCTAATTATCTTGGGAATTGAACTGTAAAAGAATCTATCTTCCCAAGAATTTAGTGGTATGTCTTACTATCCTGCTAAAATATTGAATGGTGATGTCAAAATAAACAGTAAGAAATTAAAGGAGATCAGATAGGTGGAAATTTCCATGAAATAACTTTATCCAATAAAATAATAAAGCTCTGACCGGCGCAGTGGCTCATGCCTGTAATCCCAGCACTTTGGGAGGCTGAGGTGGGCCGATCTCTTGAGGTCAGGAATTCGAGGCCAACATGCCGGAAACCCCATCTCTACTAAAAATGCAAAAATTAGCTGGATGTGGTGGCACAAGCCTGTAAATCCAGCTACTTGGGAGGCTGAGGCAGGAGAATTGCTTGAACCCGGGAGGCAAAGGTTGCAGTGAGCCAAGATCGCGCCATTGCACTCCAGCCTGGGCAACAGAGCAACCATCTCAAAATAAATAAAACTTCATTTAAATTAATGATAGTTTAACTAATTCTCAATTTTCCTAGACAAGGAGTCACCCTAGAGGTGATGGGCTAAGGTTACACTATGACAGTTTTCCAACAGACTGACCAACCACAGAGTACAACCAGCATCAGGCTAGTTGTCTGCAGTCTATCAGTTTGTTTAAAAATCTCGGCCGGGCACGGTGGCTCACGCCTGTAATCGCAGCACTTTGGGAGGCTGAGGCGGGCAGATCACGAGGTCAAAGGATTGAAACCATCCTGGCCAACATGGTGAAATCCCATCTCTACTAAAAATTAAAAAAATTAGCTGGGCGTGGAGGCATGCGCCTGTAGTCCCAGCTACTCAGAAGGCTGAGGGAGGAGAATCGCTTGAACCTGGGAGGTGGAGGTTGCAGTGAGCCTGAGCTGAGATTGCACCACTGCACTCCAGCCTGGCGACAGAACGAGACTCTGTTTCAAAAAAAAAAAACAAAATAAAAAAACTAACTTAATCTCCCCGCCCACAAAGCAAGATCATAGGAAGGTAAGACTAAAATTTTTAAACTAGACTTCTTAAAATATCATTCAGTGCAGTGATGACCTCTCATCATACAAATAGATGAGCAACTTGGCTCAAAGGAACTATGTTGTACTTTAATCCATTTTCATCAGACGAAATAAATGTACTCTACCTAATATGCATCCATGTCAGAAATATCACAGCAAGAATCAGAAAATCCATTCTGGGCTGGGCGCAGTGGCTCACGCCTGTAATCCCAGCATTTTGGGAGGCCGAGATGGGTGGATCACTTGAGGCCAGGAGTTTGAAACCAGCCTGACAAACATGGCAAAACCCTGTCTCTACTAAAAATACAAAAAATTAGCCAGGCATGGTGGCGTCTGCCTGTAGTCCTAGCTACTCGAGAGGCTGAGGCATAAGAATCGCTTGAACCCGAGAGGCAGAGGTTGCAGTGAGCCAAGATCATGCCACTACACTCCAGCCTGGGCAACAGGGCTACACTCTTGTCTCAAAAAAAAGAAAAGAAAAGAAAATCCATTCTGCAGCTTGCTAAGGTGCCCACATACCCTGAAAACGAGTATCTTGCCAGGTATGGTGGCTCACACCTGTAATCCCAGCACTTTGGGAGACCAAGGTGGCTGGATCACTTGAGGCCAGGAGTTCAAGACCAGCCTAGCCAACATGGTGAAACTCCATCTCTACGAAAAATACAAAAATTAGCCAGGCGTGGTGGTGCACTCCTCTAATCCCAGCTACTCTGGAGGCTGAGGCACAAAAATCACGTGAATCTGGGAGGCAGAGGTTGCAGTGAGCCAAGATTGCGCCACTACACTCCAACCTGGGCAACAGAGAAAGACTTCTCCTCAAAAACAAGAAAGAGTATCCTAGTGAAACTGGTAAAAATAAAAGCAAGATATACTCAACAGGAAAGTATTTCGATAAATGGTGTTGGGAAAGCTGAATATCTGAATGAAGCTGAATCTCTGTTTCACGCTATACACAGCAATTAATTCAAACATACAGTTAGACAGAAGAAATATGTTCTAGTGTTCAATAGCACAAGAGGGTGACTATAGTTAAGAATAATTTATTGGCTGGGAGTGGTAGCTCATGCCTGTAATCCCAGCACTTTGGGAGGCTGAGGCGAGCAGATCACCTGAGGTCGGGAGTTCGAGACCAGCCTAACCAACATGGAGAAACCCTGTCTCTACTACAAATACAAAATTAGCTGGGCGTGGTGGCACATGCCTATAATCCCAGCTACTCAGGAGGCTGAGGCAGGAGAACTGCTTGAACCTGGGAGGCAGAGGTTGCAGTGAGCCAAGATTGCGCCATTGTACTCCAGCCTGGGCGACAAGAGCAAAACTCCGTCTCAAAAAAAAAAAAAAAAGAATTATTTATTGTATATTTCAAAATAGCTAGAAGATTTGAAATGTTCCCAACACAAAGAAATGACAAATGTTTGAGGTGATGGATACCTTAAATAACATGATCATTACAATAATTTGATCATTACACGTTGTGTGCATGTATCAAATATCAAATATCATGTGTACCCCATAAATATGTACAATTATTATACGTCAGTTTTAGAAGTAAACCACAGAGGCCGGGCACAGTGGCTCATGCCTGTAATCCCAGCACTTTGGGAGGCCGAGGCAGGCGGATCATGAGGTTAGGAGTTCGAGATCAGCCTGACCAATATGGTGTAACCCAGTCTCTACTAAAAATACAAAAATTAGCCAGGTGTGGTGGCGCACGCCTGTAATCCCAGCTACTCAGGAGGCTGAGGCAGGAGAATTGCTTGAACCCGGGAGGCGGAGGTTGCAGTGAGCTGAGATTGTGTCACTGCACTCCAGCCTGGGGGACAGAGAAATACTGCATCTCAGAAAAAATAAATAAATAAAAATAAATAAACCACGGAAAGTGTAAAAGCTAAAACTATAAAACTTGACCAGGCATGATGGCTCATGCCTATAATCCTAGCACTTTGGGAGGCAGAGGAAGGAGGATCACTTGAAGTCACAAGTTTGAGACCAGCCTGGGCAACACTGCAAGATCCCATCTCTAAATACAGGAAGAAGAAAAGAAAAAAGAAAAATTAGCCAAGTGTGGTCGTGCATGCCTGTAGTCTCAGCTACTTGGGAGGCTGGGGTGGGAGGATCGCTTGAGCCCAGGAGGTCAAGACTTCAGTGAGCTATGACCGTATCACTGCACTCCAGCCTGGGTGACAGAGTGAGAACCTATCTCAAAAAAATAAAAAAAAATAAAAGGCCACCACACACACACACATACACACACACACACACACACAAACTCAACATAATTAGTCATTAGGGTAATGCAAATCAAAACTACAATGAGATACCACTTCACACCCACTAGAATGGCTCTAAATCACAGACAGACAATAACAAGTGTTGGTAAGAATGTGGAAAAACTGGCTGGGCACAGAGGCAGAGGTTGCAGTGAGCCGAGATCGTGCCACTGCACTCCAGCCTGGCGACAGAGGGAGACTGTCTCAAAAGAAGAAAAAAAAAAAAAAAGAACGTGTTAAGGGAAAGAACAAGATCTACCCTATGTCTCTAGCACTAAGGCAGGGAGAATGTCCTGGGCACATGCGAATCTCCTTCCTTGGGTAGGTATATCCCTTCAGAAGAGGTGAATTAATCCTACTATCATATTTTAATGTGTCACTATAAATAGCATTTTACAAACTCTACCTGCTCTGATTTCGAATATACCAAGCTATGTCCCGATCGCAAACTTCCCACAGATATTTCTACTGGGAATGTAATGACCAGCTAATTCTCGAACACAGTTCACTAGAAAGTGATTCTCAGATTCAGATTCATCACTTACGAGACTGGCTAATACAAACCAATCCTCGGGAGACTGATTAACTTTGGTTGCTTTTAGCTGTTTCTTATCCTACAGAGCTCATGACCAGTGACACTTAACCAAAGGGACACTGCCATAGCAGAATTCCTGAGTCTAATCTAATGTACATCTGGGCAGGGCTTCCCCAGCCTCTGCCACCTCCATTGAGGGTAACTGCTAGGATGTGCCACCGTCACTGATGGGTGTGCACTGTATCCCTTGGGCAGGCTGGCCTACTCTGGACTGTGAAGCTCGCACCAAGATACTGCCCACCTGGGATGCCTGGGCTGAGCTGTAGCCTGCCCTTCCTCAATATGCCTCCATCTTGGCTCTAACTTAGACACGCTTAAGATTCTTTCTAACATTCTATTATTTTATCCAGTCTAACTTCACTCTACAGATGAAATGACTGAGGCCAACTGACTTTAAGAACTTTACCTAAAATCACACAGCTGAATAATGGCAGAGCCAGAACTAGACCAAAGCCTTCTGATTCCCAGCCCAATGTTTTCTTCATTATGTGGTGCTGCCTTTGTTGCTGTTATACACCATTTGAAAGCTCAGCTTGCATTTGTGGAAATTCCCTTACCCCCTACTGAGTGACTTCCTTCTTAAGCACTTATTGGCATTTCATGGCTCTAACAACATTCTCATACACTTTTTTTTTTTAAGAGATGGAGGGTGGTGTCTTGCTGTGTTGCCCAGACTGAACTAAAACACTTGAGGTCAAGGGATCCTTCCTCCTCAGCCTCCCAGGCAGCTGGAACTACAGGTGCACACTACCATGCCAGCTTCTCGTACGTTATTTAACACCAGAATGTATACATCTGATCCAAAGAGATTTTTTAATTTTAAAATATTCCTTTGAAACTCCTAGGCATGTAAAAAAAACTCCTATAAAATTTTATGTCTCTAAATTCACTGACTCAAAAAAAAAAAAAAAAAAAAAAAAAAAAAAAAAAAAAAAAAAAGGCTGGGCGCAGTGGCTCACGCCTGTAATCCCAGCACTTTGGGAGGCTAAGGCGGGCGGATCATGAGGTCAGGAGTTCGAGACCATCCTGGCTAACACAGTGAAACCCCATCTCTAGTAAAAATTAAAAAAAAATAAAAAATAAATTAGCCTGGCGTGGTGGCAGGCGCCTGTAGTCCTAGCTACTTGGGAGGCTGAGGCAGGAGAATGGCGTGAACCCGGGAGTTGGAGCTTGCAGTGAGGCAAGATTGCGCCACTGCACTCCAGTCTGGGCGACAGAGTGAGACTCCGTCTCAAAAAAAAAAAAAATTCACTGACTATCTCTGGAAGATATATTAAAAGTCAGTGATAGCCACTGATAAAGAACTGAGCCAAGCAGAGAGAGATGTTTTCATCAAACATCTATCTTATATTATTTGAATTCTTATGTTTTTATTACCTATGTAAAAACATAATTTAAAAAAAATTGTGCTACAAAAAGGCTTACAAAAGTTACAACATTTATTATCACATGTAGCATTTTCAATGAAAAGAATACAATTACAAAATATTAGGGCCACCTTAAAAAAAAAAACTCAGAAAATGTATCTATATACAAAATTTAAAGTTTGATGTCTTAGAACATGATCCATAGATGAACCATAGATTTTATCTAATGTTAACAAAGTAGGTACAATTGGGCCTTACGATACTAGGATGCCTAAGAATAAAAATGAATAAAAATAAATCAAAGATCTACATTTTTGTGCCCACTTCTCCCTAAATACAATTTGCTCTGCAACAGAATGAAGAAAATAAAGGGCTCATCACAATTACTGTGATCTCTGCGGGCAGAGGGATAAGTGTGTATGTATATGTGTGTGTGTGTAACAGAATTTTCTCCAAGATCACAGTAAATTAGTTTGTTTCTTAGTTTTCAGTAATTCCACCTTTAAAATAATTTATTAGGCTAGAAGTCCCATTATTAGTTCCACCAACCACATAAAGAAGAGAAGACAAAACTTTAGAGACTTTTAGTCACCTATTGAATCCAGACATCTTGACTGTTAACGATCCTAGCTACAGAATTTGCTGAATTAGAATAGATTCATAGAAAAAAGCGAATATAAATGCAATGTATGTTGGGTATACGTTCTAAGCTACCTGAATATGATGATCACAGCATGTAACAACACAAAACCGTTCATTTAGTCCTTCCTTTGTTCAAATACCTAATGAAGGATTACTACATGTCCAGCACTGTGCTGAGAACTTCTGATATAATGGTTATCCAAAACATGCTTGGCTCTGTTCTCACAGAGCTTAGTGTAATGGAGAAAACAAACTAAATGTGCCAGCAGCTCTGTGAAGAAAATTATTCTCTATGCGATGGGGATTTTTTTTTTTCTTTGAGACGGAGTCTTGCTCTGCTCACTGCAAGCTCCGCCTCACTGCAAGCTCCGCCTCCTGGGTTCACGCCATTCTCCTGCCTCAGCCTCCTGAGTAGCTGGGACTAGAGGTGCCCGCCACCATGCCCGGCTAATTTTTTGTATTTTTTAGTAGAGACTGGGTTTCACCGTGTTAGTCAGGATGGTCTCGATCTCCTGACCTCGTGATCTGCCTGCCTCGGCCTCCCACAGTGCTGGGATGACAGGCGTGAGCCACTGTGCCCGGCCCTGCGATGGAGATTTGAAAGCAGCACGGCAGCAAGCTCGGATATGCATTTTCGCATAAGAACACCATCTTGCAGTTAAGTGAAATGACATCGTAGAGAGGTACTTAAGGTAGCAGAACCAAATTACTACACAGAAATACAATGTTAACACTCTTCTAATTCCTCAGAAAGAAAGGCGCCAAGGAATTTTTGGTGATTGTAAATCCAAGGCCAGTCTTGTTGCTGACATCCTCAAAGCACTTTGGTCTTGCCATAGCCAGAGCCTTGGTTCAGCAACCACTAACTCCAGACACTGCTTCACAGGTAACCACCCGAGCCTTCTCCTTTCCAGTCTTCTTTCCATAGCCCTGCCAAAGGCTTCAGAGCCAAGACCATCAGCATCACGGTCAGTATAGTTGGCCACCTATTTCAAAAGAGGAGACTCTGCTCACCTGATAATCCAGCTTAGCCTGTCGCATCTTCATCATTTCTTCATGGAAGACACTGTTAAAAAAAAAAAAAATAAAGCAAGTATATAAAAAGAAAACGCCTTGTCAATTTCATCTTTTTATGTATGTACTCTTTTGGGCTATTTGGAACCAATCGATTCTGCCTCATAGAAGGCATCAGCTTCTAGAGGCTACCCACACTGGCTACAGGAGGACTTCCCACCCTTAACACCACACTTATTCCAGAGGACCTGAGGAGACTGAAATACTCCAAGGACAAGAAAAAGATGAAAACACAGACCCCACGCATGCAGGGATTTCCTTTTGTTTTAAACAATGTCTTAGGTACGCATTATGCTCTGAACACAGTGGTAGGCATTTTACATGGTATTATTCTGTTTATTCTTTCAAACAGCCCTAGGAACTAGGTACCATTATTTTTTACACTTTGAAGATGAAGAAACAGACTTGAAGAGTCATGTGTAAGGCTAAACAGCAGAAACAGACCCCAATTCTGGTCTCCTTCTGGCATCTAAATTACATCTGAAAAATCAAATATATTTATTTATTTTTTGGAGTTAGTTCTAAGACGGGAAAAATTTCACTGTGTATAGCATCTTACTAGAGCCTACTGAATTCCTGAAGATCTGGGCATTTCACTAAACTTACTCAAGTCTGTCATTAATAACACTTACTATGCCAGTCATCAAAGGAGAGGAGGACTGTAAGTATGGATGAACAGATGACATTTATTGCCACTGAGAGACAGATTTGCTTGAAGAAGGAAAAAAACAATAAAAATGGAATAAAACCAGTCTTCAGCTGATAAACCAAGCCCTTCTGAACATTTAAAAACTTTTTGGGCCAGGCACACGGTGGCTCACACCTGTAATCCCAGCACTTTGGGAGGTCAAGGCAGGTGGATCACAAGGTCAGGAGTTCGAGACCAGCCTGTCCAACATAGTGAAACCGTCTCTACTAAGATACAAAAAATTAGCCAGGTGTGGTGGCCACACCTGTAATTCCAGCTATTCAGGAACTGAGGCAGGAGAATCGCTTGAACCGGGGAGGTGGAGAAGAGCAAGATCACACGATTGCACTCCAGCCTGGGCGACAGGGTGAGACTATGGCTCAAAACAAACAAACAGAAAAAAACAACCTCTCTCTGAAGCCTTTTCTATTTTTGACAATTTCCTAATTTAAGACTTTTATTTTGTGACTCGGCATTCTTGGAAAGTGTGAAGTATGAAATAAGGCATAAATGGTTCTCAATTATTTGGATGATAAATGTTTACTGGGAACTTAGCGCCAGAAAAACTGGAACTACAAGGTGCTATTTAAGAAGACAAATTCCATTACCACAAAGAGAAACATGGTTTTTGCTACATTTGGGGCAAATATACCAAAGCATTTATGTATGGCTTAATGGTGTGCCACTATATTCCTACATTTTAGAAGGTTCTATGCATCTTACTAATGCATAGCAACTTCAATTTGCATGCTGTCTCAAAGATTCTTCCTCTTCATCACTTGGGAGGCACGTTTAACAACCCTCACACAGACGTGCAGGTGCTTTGTGATTTTCTGACATGCCTCTCTATTAATTCACTCATGACCTTCATGTTTAAAAAACAAATAAAAAAACACCGGGTGCTCAATAAATCTCTTTTCTCCCAGCTCCAAAGAGGAACAAATAAACAAAAATGTCAGATACAACAGCCTCTGGCCTTGACTTTGTGCCCCCCATGTTTCACCTACATATGTTCCTATGTTTCTTTAATGTTTTTTATCTGCAGTCATGTATTTTTAAATCCCAAATTTAAAAATCCTTCATTAATATAGTGTGACAAAAAAAGATAAAACAAAAACAAAACTAGAGTGCTAGAACATTACAGGTGTTCAGTGTGTATAAGAATAAAAAATTTTTTTTTTTTTTGAGACAGAGTCTCTCTCTCCTGCCCAAGCTGGAGTGCAGTGGCTTGAACTCATCTCACTGCAACCTCCGCCTCCCGGGTTCAAGCCATTCTCGTGCCTCAGCCTCCTGAGTAGCTAGAACTACAGGCATGCACCATCATGCCCAGCTAATTTTTGTATTTTTTTTTTTTTTTGGAGACGGAGTCTCACTCTGTCGCCCAGGCTGGAGTGCAGTGGCACGATCTCGGCTCACTGCAACCTCTGCCTCCCAGGTTCAAGCGATTCTCCTGCCTCAATTTTCCAAGTACCTGGGACTATAGGTGCACGTTGCTACACCGGGCTAATTTTTTGTATTTTTAGTAGACGGGGTTTCACCAGTCAGACAGGATGGTCTCGATCTCCTGACCTTGACCTCGTGATATGCCCACCTCAGTCTCCCCAAGTGCTGGGATTACAGGTGTGAGGCATCGTACCCGGCCAATTTTTGTATTTTTAGTAGAGATGGGGTTTTGCCATGTTGGCCAGGCTGGTCTTGAACTCCTGACCTCAAGTGATCTGCCCACCTCGGCTTCCCAAAGTGCTGGGATTACAGGCGTGAGCCACTGCACCTGGCCGTGTATCAGTATAAATTTTTTAAAGTTCTGCATAAAATGACATTATATAGCAAAAGGAAAACTTGGAGAAAAAAGTCCACTGTTATGGACTAGTAGTTTCATTTTTTAAAATTTATTATTTATTTATTTACTTATTTTGAGATGAAGGGTTCACTCTTCTTGCCCAGGCTGGAGTACAATGACGTGATCTTGGCTCGCTGCAACCTCCGCTTCCCAGATTCAAGCGATTCTCCTGCCTCAGCCTCCTCAGCAGCTGGGATTACAGGCGTGTGCCACCACGCCCGGCTAATTTTTGTATTTTTAGTAGAGACGGGGTTTCATCATGTTGGCCAGGCTGGTCTCAAACTCCTGACCTCAGGTGATCCACCCACCTCGGCCTCCAAAAGTGCTGAGATTACAGCCATTTTTTTTTAATTAAAAAAAATTAGGCCAGACGCAGTGGCTCATGCCTGTAATCCCAGAACTTTGGGAGGCCAAGGTGGGTGGATTGCCTGAGCCCAGAAGTTCGAGACCAGCCTGGCCAACATGGTGAAACTCCGTCTCTACTAAAATACAAAAAATTAGCTGGGCATGGCGGCATGCACCTGTAATCCCAGCTACTCAGGAGGCTGAGGCAGGAGAATCACTTGAACCCAGGAGGCGGAGGATTCAGTGAGCCAAGATTGCGCCACTGCACCACTCTAGCCAGGATGACAGAGCGGGACTCCGTCTCAAAAAAAAGAAAAAAGAAAGGGCCAGTGGCTCACGCCTGTATTCCCAGCACTTTTGGAGGCCGAGGCCAGCGGATCACGAGGTCAGGAGTTCAAGAGCAGTCTGGCCAACATGGTGAAACCCCATCTGTACTAAAAATACAAAAAATTAGCCGGGTATGGTGGTGGGCACCTGTAATCCCAGCTACTTAGGAGACTGAGGCAGGAGAATCGTGTGAACCTGGGAGGCGGAGGTTGCAGTGACCCAAGATGGCGTCACTGCACTCTAGCCCAGGTGACAGTGCAAGACTCTCTCTCAAAAAAAAAAAAAAAATTTTTTTTTTTTACACAGGGTCTGGCTCTGTCGCCTGGGCTAGAGTGCAGTGGCATGATCTTGGCTCACTGCAATCTCCACCATGAACTAGTATTTTCAAACAGCTGCTGCTACAAATCTGCACTCTGTTCTCAACACTAAACCAAAGGTGTGATGACTTCTGGCATGGGGGAAAACAAATCATTCCCCACCCATGCTAAAACTTCCTCAAAAATGCTAAGTTCTGGCATATGACTAAAGTTTTCAAACGTTTCTCTTAAGGCCTCAAATAGTGAAAAAAACAGGTGTGTCTCTGACAGTACATCTAGACACCACTTATTCCTTTCATCAAGCCTGGGCAAGCTGAACAGACAATCTGAATAAATAGGGTATAATCAAAGCATTTTGACCCGAACAGAAGAGACAATAAATACATGTTAAGTAACTGTAACATTTACAAGTCTCCTATATATCAAAAGTCACACTTTCTCCGAGTTCTAAGTTTAAATAAATTATAATTTAAAAAGTTATACCTTTAGTTAAATTATAACCTATAAAGACATTTTATAAGGCCGGGTGCGGTGGCTCATGCCTGTAATCCCAACACTTTGGGAGGCGGAGGCAGGTGGATCCCAAGGTCAAGAGATCGAGACCATCCTGGCCAACATGGTGAAACCCCGTCTCTACTAAAAATACAAAAATTAGCTGGGCGTGGTGGTACATGCCTGTTGTCCCAGCTACTCGGGAGGCTTAGGCAAGAGAATTGCTTGAACCTGGGAGGTGGAGGTTGCAGTGAGCCAAGATCACGCCACTGCACTCCAGCCTGGCAAGAGAGCGAGACTCTGTCTCAAAGGAAAAAAAAAAAAGATATTTTATAGACATATTCAATCTGAACTAAAATTTCTAGTCTAATCTGGAATATCATCTTAATAAATTTACATTTTTCTGATTTAATATTCTTTTTTTTTTGAGACAGAGTCTCACTCTGTCGTCCAGGCTGGAGTGCAGTGGCACGATCTCAGCTCACTGCAACCTCCACCTCCCGGATTCAAGCGATTCTCCTGCGTCAGCCTCCCAAGCAGCTGGGATAACAGGTGCCTGCCATATTTTTAGTGGAGACGGGGTTTCGCCATGTTGGCCAGGTTCGTCTCAAACTCCTGACTTCAGGTAAAGATGATCTGACCACCTCGGCCTCCCAAAGTGCTGGGATACAGGCATGAGCCACCATGCCCGGCCTGTGTTAATATTCTCTTTCCTTCATTTTAACTTAGTTATTGAATAGTAAGCCTAACCATAACCAAGCCTGGTTAATAAATCAACACAAAACAGAAAGAATTTCTACAGGAAAAAAAAAAGTGGAGTAATTCTTTTTCCTCTCATTTTTCTCAAAGAAAATTTCCTATTTTCTTGGTACAAACAGGGGAAACCCTAAACACACATCTTGAAGAAACACAGAAACACTCAAGCGTGGCAGAGGAGAATGCCCATAGAACACCATTCTCTTGAACTATTCTCCATTTACCAACCAGTAAAGGCTAAACTGAAGATACCTGCTGGGCATGGTGCCATGAGCCTGTGGTCCCAGCTACTCAGGAGGCTGAGGTAGGAGGAGTGCTTGAGCCCAAGAGTTCAAGGGTGCAGTGAGCTGTGACTGTGACCCTGCACAGCAGCCTGAGCAACAGAGCGAGATTCCATCTCAGATAGATATAGGTGAGACAGACAGATAAAATAAAAACTAACTGAAGATAACTACAAGGCCTTACAACACTGCACAGTGTACAGAAAGAGAATTTTCTGACAATGTGGTGAACCTTTATTTACGGACACCAAAAAAACCTAGACTAGGAAAGAGACATTAGTGGGAAAACTGACAAAATTCAAATAAGGCCTGTGAATCAGTTAACAGTACTGATTCTATATTAATTTCCTGATTTTGATAATGTGGCTATGGTTATATAAGATGTTAACATTAGGCCAGGCACGGTGGCTCACGCTTGTAATCCCAGCACTTTGGGAGGCCAAGGCGGGCGGATCACGAGGTCAGGAGTTCAAGACCACCCCGGCCAACACAGTGAAACCCCGTCTCTGCTAAAGATACAAAAATTAGCTGGGCGTGGTGGTGGGCGCCTGTAATCCCAGCTACTCAGGAGGCTGAGGCTACAGAATCGCTTGAACCCGGGAGGCGGAGGTTGCAGTGAGCCGAGATCGTGCCACTGACTGCACTCCAGCCTGGGCAACAGAGCTAGGCTTCATCTCAAAACAAACAAACAAACAAAAAAGAAGACGTTAACATTAGGGGAAACTTGGTGAAAGGTATAGAGGGATTCTCTAATATTTTTGCAAATTTTCTGTAAGTCTAAAAAGATTTTTTAAAATCAGGTATAAAAAATATTAGTGATGAATCTAGGTGAAGGGCATAGGTTTATCAACTGTGCTTTCTTGCAACTTTTCAGCAAATTTCATTTTTTTCTTTTTTCTTTTTTTTTTTTTTGAGATAGAGTCTCGCGCTTGTTGCCCAGGCTGCAGTGCAGTGGCGTGATCTTGGCTCGCCGCAACCTCCGCCTCCCGGGTTCAAGCAATTCTCCTGCCTCAGCCTCCCAAGTAGCTGGGATTAAAGGCATGCACCACCACGCCTGGCTAATTTTGTATTTTTAGTGGAGACGGGGTTTCTCCCTGTTGGTCTGGCTGGACTTGAACTCCCGACCTCAGGTGATCCACCCGCCTCAGCCTCCCAAAGTGCTGGGATTACAGGCATGAGCCACCGTGCCCGGCCAAATTTTTCAAAATAGAAAAAAAGAAAATATACATTTTCAAAGAGAAAAAAAGAAAATATACATTTTGGTAATTTTTTTTTCATTGTTGTGGACTGGCTACCTTTAAAAATCCCACTGCTACCAGGTGCAGTGGCTTATGCCTGTAATTCCAGAACTTTGGGAGGCTAACGTGGGGAGATCACTTGAGGTCAGGAGTTCGAGACCAGCCTGACCAACATGGTGAAACCCCATCTCTACTAAAAATACAAAAATTAGCCAGGCATTGTGGTCCGTGCCTGTAGTCCCAGCTACTCTGGAGGCTGAGGCAGGACAATCACTTGAACCCAGGAGGTGAAGGTTGCAGTGAGCTGGGATCACGCCATGACACTCTAGCCTGGGCAACAGCGCGAGACTCTGTCTCAAAAAAAAAAAAAAATCCCATTGCCCTTTAATCTAGCACCTAAATTATGCTCACACAGTATTTCTAGGGAATGAAGATGGTATGAACAATGAAGAAATTTGCTAAAGATAAGTAACAGAGAAACTTTGAGCATACTTTAAAACGTTACTCTCCATTGCTAGTCTAGTGCTATACCCAACAGACCACACTGCCAAGTACTTTGAAGCACTGAATAATGTTACTAATGACCCTCAAGAATCTATGATTATTCGGGACTCTCAATGTTCCTGTCAACTTCTCTCAGCCTGTTAAGTGTAAATTTTTCGAGCTGCCAGTAACACAAAATCTATTGCCACTAAACAATCAAGAGTGTTTCTTGCTGCTTCCTACACTGTGCCAGATAAGGATGCTGTAATCAGCACTCAACTGCAATTTGGCCACTGATGCAGGAGGCTAAACAGGCTCCTTCTGTGGTACTGGAGAGAGTAAACACCATCCTTGCCAGGAAAGCAGCAGGATAAGACTTGCAAAAATAAAGCCTGTGAGCAGCCCGTTGCTTTTCCTGATAGTAACTTGAGTGAAGGCTTCCTTTACTGACTACAGTATTGCTTCAGAACATCACAAATTGATGTTTTTTAGACTTAGAAATTAGATATAGTTATCTTCTCTCATTAATGCAACAAGTGCCAGTGTGCAGTGATAAAGAGGACAACTTGGCAATTTAGAGAAATTCATAATTGTAAATATTTAGTAATCAGCTGCTGCATGAAGCTAAAATAAATATAATTTACAAAAATTTGGTTCAACTCAACCTATCAGAAATAAACATAGTATGTGTGAGACAAGGAATTACTGCAAAGATATTACACAGGAAAGATAAAGGAAATAAAAGGTTTACCTCAAGAAAACAACTACAAAAAACAATTTTTTATTCTTAAATCTAGTTATTCATGCTTATTTGAAGATTGACTAACATCCTTTAGAAGAAAAACTGTAGGTATGATTATGACTTTTACTTAAATTCACATACTTAAAAATCAGCAAGTTGGACTTCATCAAAATGAAAAACTTTTGTTCTGCAAAGATACTGTTATGAAAATTAGAAGGCAAGCCACAAACTAGGGAAAATATTTGTGAAACATATATCCAACAAAAAATTAATATTTAAAATCTAAAGAACTCTTACAGATTAAGACAAACAACCTAACTAAAAATTGGAGCCAGGCACGGTAGCTCACACCTGTAATCCCAGCACTTCGGGAGGCTGAGACGGGCATATGACTTGAGGCCAGGAGCTGGAGACCAGCCTGGCCAACATGGTGAAATCCCATCTCTACTAAAAATACAAAAAATAAGCCAGGTGTGGTTGTGCTTGCCTGTATTCCTGGCTACTCAAGAGGCTGAGGCAGGAGAATCGCTTGAACCCGGGAGGCAGAAGTTGCAGTGAGCTGAGATCACGCCACTGCACTCCAGCCTGGGCAACAGAGTGATACTCTGTCTCAAAAAATAAAATAAAACAAAATAAAAATTGGGCAAAAAGCCTAGGCAATATAAGGAGGCCCTGTCTCTACCAAAAAAAAAAAAAAAAGAAAGAAAGAAAGAAAGAAAAAAAAAATCAAATTAGCCAGGTGTGGTGGAGCGCTCCGGTGGTCCCAGCTACTTGAGGAGAATGAGGCAGGAGGATTGCCTGAGTCAGGAAGGTCAAGGCTGCAGTAAGCCGTGATTGTGCCACTGCACTCCAGCCTGGGGAACAGAGACCCTTTCTCAAAAAAAAGAGGTGGGGGGAGGGGGCCCAAAATATTCACAAAAGAACTTTTCCGAATGGGTAATAAGCACATGAAAAGATATCCAATATGATTAGTCATTAGGTAAGTGTGTACTGAAACCACAACATGGCCAGGCACAGTAGCTCACGCCTGTAATCCCAGCACTTTAAGAGGCAAGAGGATCGCGTGAGCCCAGGAGCTCAAGACCAGCCTGGGCAACATGGTGAAACCGTCTCTACAAAAAAAAAAAAAAAAAAAGTATTTCGGCTTGGTTGCGCATGCCTATAGTTCCAGCTACTTGGGAGGCTGAGGTGGGAGGATTGCTTGAGCCCAGGAGGTTGAGCTATCGTCACACCGCCACACTCCAGCCAGGGTGAGAGAGCAAGACACTCTCAAAAAACAAAAAATAAAAATAACTGCAAGTAGAAAAAAAAAAAGTATCTGCAAGGTCTACAGGAATAGAAGAATTCCAGAAGGATATACACAAACTATTAACAATAGTTACCTCAAAGGTAGGGTGTTAAAAAAAAAAGTATTATTCAAAACAGATGTTTTTGAGTTTAAAAAGAGTACTTTATTAATTCTACCAAGACATCAGCTGACAAGGGTAGCAGAATAGGAAAGCTTGCCATCTCCCTTAGGCTTTACTTTTGTAATTTCATAGACCCAGTCACCGATCATTATTCCCTTTCAGTTTTTGGACATTTAAATTTTGCACTAATAATCTGTTATTGATATATTGATGTTTATACAGGTTACTGCAGGCAACATTTCCAATCCAAGTGCTTCAAACAGCCTAAGAAAGTGCTTTTATGCTCTAAATGAAATTGAGGAGAAAGGAGGAAAGTACGGTCCAGAGACCATCTACAGAACAACGTATCTTTAGAATCCAAGTTTTTTTGTTTTTGTTTCTGAGACAGAGTCTTGCTCTGTCGCTAGGCTGGAGTACAGTGGCGCGATCTCGGCTCACTACAACCTCTTCCTCCCAGGTTCAAGCTATTCTCCTGCCTCAGCCTCCCCTGTAGCTGGGAACACAGGAGTGCGACCACGCCTGGTTAATTTTTTATTTTTTTTGTATTTTTAGTAGAGACGGGGTTCCAACACATTGGCCAGGCTAGTCTCGAACTCGTGATCTCAGGTGACGCGCCTGCCTCAACCTCCCAAAGTGCTGGGATTACAGATGTGAGCCACCACAGCCGTCTCCAAGTTTTTTTTGTTTTTTTTTTTGTTTGTTTTTTTTTTGAGACGGAGTCTCGCTCTGTCGCCCAGGCTGGAGTGCAGTGGCATGAGCTCTGCTCACTGCAAGCTCCGCCTCCTGGGTTCATGCCATTCTCCTGCCTCAGCCTCCCGAGTAACTAAGACTACAGGCACCTGCCACCACACCCGGCTAATTTTTTGTATTTTTAGTAGAGACAGGGTTTCACTGTGTTAGCCAGGATGGTCTCGAACTTCTGACCTCGTGATCCGCCCACCTTGGCCTCCCAAAGTGCTGGGATTACAGGCGTGAGCCACCACGCCCGGCCCCCGCCTCCAAGTTTTATCTTGAAAATTAAATTCTGGGTTTTATTCCATAAGGTAACGGGTTCCATTTTAATATAAAAACAATCTTCAATGCTCTCTTAAATAATATTCACAGTATGAATAACTATGACCTTCCAGGAAAAAATACTTTTATGATTTAGCACAGGGGCTGCAAACTATAGCGTGTGGGCCAAATCTGGCCTGCCGTCAGTTTTTGTACTGCCTTTGAGCTAAGAATGAATTTCGCTGTTTTTTTTTTTTTTTTTTTGAGACGTCGTTTCGCTCTTGTTGCCCAGGCTGGATTGCAATGGCGTGATCTCAGCTCACCACAACCTCAGCCTCCTGGGTTCAAGCGATTCTCCTGCCTCAGCCTCCCGAGTAGCTGGGATTACAGGCATGGGCCACCATGCCCGGCTAATTTTGTATTTTTAGTAGATACATGGTTTCTCCATGTTGGTCAGGCTGGTCTCTAACTCCTGACCTCAGGTGACCCACCCGCATGAGCCTCTCAAAGTGCTGGGATTACAGGCGTGAGCCACTGTGCCCAGCCTATGAATTTCACATTTTTAAAAGGTTAAAAATATCTGAAGAATAATATTTTGAGACATGTAAAAATTATATTAAATTCAAATTCCAACCAGGTGCAGTGACTCATGCCTGTCATCCCAGCACTTTGCGATGCCTATGTGGGCAGACTGCTTGAGGCCAGGAGTTTGAGACCAGCCTGGGCAACATAGTGAGACCCGTCTCTACAAAAAATTTAAAAATTAGCCAGGTGTGGTGGTGCACACCTGTAATCCCAGCTACTCAGGAGGCAGAGGAAGGAGGACTGCTTGAACCCAGGAGTTCAAGGCTGTTGTGGGCTACGACTGCACCACTGCACTCAGCCTGGGCACATAGTGAGAACCTGTCCCCCCAGCCCAAAAGAAATTATCACTGTGCAGGAAGTAATGAATAAAAAGAAAAAAGTCTTCAAATTCCAGTGTCCATAAAGTCTTATTGAAATAGACACATTCATTCACTTACCTATTATCTATGGCTGCTTTTGTGCTACAACAGCAAAACTGAGTAATGAGCAACTGGGACAGAGACTGTATGGCCCACAAAACCAAAAACGTTTGGTTAAGACCTTCGCAGAAAAGGACTACTGGCCAGGGGTGATGGTGCATGCCTATAGTCCCCGCTGCTAGGGAGGCTGAGGCGGGAAGATGGCTTAAGTCCAGCAGTTCAAGACCAGCTTGGGCAACAAAGCAAGACCCCATCTGAAAAAAAATAATTAAAAAGGTCTGCTGACCCCTGGCTTGGCCTATATTAGTTCAAACTAATTGTAAGTCCCCATTTAGAGACGTGTGCTATGTGGTTACAGCACAGTTCCCAGTACAACTTAACCTAGTAAAGCCTCAAGTTTCCTAATTTACAAAGTGAGGACAATGACACTTAACTCAGAAGGTTATTGTGAAGATTAAATGAAACTTGGCTCATAGTAAGCACTCAAACTGCAACTGCTATTATATCTTTTTTTTTTTTTTTTTTTGAGATCTAGTTTCCGCTCTTGTTGCCCAGGCTGGAGTGCAATGGCGCGATCTTGGCTCACTATAACCTCTGCCTCCCATGTTCAAGTGATTCTCATGCCTCAGCCTCCCAAGTAGCTGGGATCACAGGCATGCGCCACCACACCTGGCTAATTTTGTATTTTTAGTAGAGACAGGGTTTCACCATGCTGCCCAGGCTGGTCTCTAACTCCTAACCTCAGGTGATCTGCCTGCCTTGCCCTCCCAAAGTGCTGGGATTACAGGCATGAGCCACCGCACTGGGCCTAGAATTTTTTTTTTTTTTTTTTTTAAGAGACAGGGTCTCGGGCCAGGCAGAGTGGCTCATGCCTTTCCAGCATTTTGGGAGGCCGAGGTGGGAGAATCACTTGAGGCCCGAGTTCAAGACTAGCCTGGGCAATACAGCAAGACCCTATGTCTTGAGAGAGAGAACAAACGAACATGACAGACCAACAGACAGACAGGGGGTCTCACTATGTTGCCCAGGCTGGTCTTGAGCTACTGGCCTCAAGTGATCTCCTTCCTCCTGCCTCAGCCTCCCTAAGTGCTAGGATTATAGGCCTGAACCACTGTGCCTGGGAAGATTTTTGTTTTACAATACTTCTTAATACTACAAATGAATGTGTTACCTTAATCTTCACTTCAGTGAGAAGACTAATGATTTCATCATAATACTTTATCACCTTTCAAAAGCTTTCGAATGTTGGAAACCCAGAAATTTCTAATAATTTCCCCTGTATTAAAAAAATCTTTAGGCTGGGCGTAGTGGCTCATGCCTGTAATCCCAGTACTTTAGGAGGCCGAGGCAGGTGCATCACCTGAGGTAAGGGGTTCGAGACCAGCCTGGCCAACATGGTGAAATCCTGTCCCTACTAAAAATACAAAAATTAGCCAGGGGTGGTGGCAGGCACCTGTAATCCTACCTACTCAGGAGGCTGAGGCAGGGAGAACTGCTTGAACCCAGGAGGTGGAGGTTGCCATGAGCCGAGATCCTGCCACTGCACTCCAGCCTAGGCGACAGAGCGAGACTCCAAAAAAAAAATTTAAAAGTCCAAAATTGTATTGTTATTGAAACATTGTTAAAATGTGTTGTCACTCTGCTAGTTGCACTTAAGTACAGTTCTACTTAGTGAATATTTAATACTGCCTGCCAGGAATTATATTAAATATATATTATTTTTCACATATGATGTGTGATAATTTTCACGATAACCTTGACAAAGTAGGCACTATAATCTCATTTTACAGACAGATATGAAACTCATAGATGCTCTAAATGAATTTCGGGAGAAAGGAGGTGAACTCCTTTCATATGAGTTTCATATCTCTCTGTAAAATGAGATTATAGCACCTACCTTGTAGATTTATTGAAGTTTCTTCCTGCAAAGCTAAATAGCAATAATTTTATTTTTCCAGGAGCATATTTGAAAAATATTTCTTGCTTTGTTACAGCCTTATTTTCTACACATCACAGGAAAGCAATTTTAAACTTACAACTATAGTTCATATTCTAAAGGTCAAACAGCTGATCAGCGAAAGAGCCCAAATTCAATCACAAGTCTCACTCCCAATCTACCTGAATGTGTTAAACCACACGACTGAACACGTGTATTAAAATGGTCAGCAGAGACAGGAATTTCATTCTCTGGTATTTCAATATGTTCATTAAAAATGCCAGCTGACTTGCTATTTTTAGGTAGAACTTCCAAGCCAGTGAATGGATTTTTAAGCAGCCCTGGGGAGGAGTGCCCTGAATAACGACATTTAGGTCAACCATACTGCATATACAACAGGGGTCCCCTAAGATGATAACACCACATTGTCAGCCAGGCACAGTGGCTCACGCCTGTAATCCCAGCACTTTGGGAGGCAGAGGCGGGTGGATCACTTGAGGTCAGGAGTTCAAGACCAGTTTGACCAACATGGTAAAACCCCGTTTCTACTAAAAATACAAAATTAGCTGGGCATGGTGGTGCACGCCTGTAATCCCAACTACTTGGGAGGCTGAGGCAGGAGAATCACTTGAACCTGGGAGGCAGAGATTGCAGTGAGCCGAGATCATGCCATTGCACTCCAGCCTGAGTAACAAAGATGCGACTCCGTCTCAAAAAAAAAAAAAAGTATTCTCACTGTACCTTTGCTATGTTTAGATATGCTAATACTTACCAGTGTGTTCCAATTGCCTACAATATTCAGTACAGTAACAGGCTGTATAGCTTTGTAGCCTAGGAGCAACAGACTGTACCACAGGGCCTAGGTAGGTAGTAGGATATCCCATCAAGGTTTGTGTACACTATGACGTTCACACAACAAAATCCACTAATGACACATTTCTCAGAATGCATCCCCATCATTAAGTGGCAAATAACTGTATAGAGTGAAAGAGGCATCAGATTTCATCATGTTCAAACTGATAACAATTTCAGATAATTGTGGAAAGAGCTATTAACAAAGTATGTTTCCTAACTCAATTGACAAATAGGTTCACCTTGTCCAAATCCTAAATGTCAATATTCGAAGGCCATGTTTTTACACATACTGACACACCAAGAACACATCTGGCTTGAACAAAATATTGCTTCTGAGAAAAGACACATAAAGGTCATATGAGAAGTGTCAGAAAAGAATTCCTTTGACATCTATCCTTCCTCATCTAGGGAGAAATGTTAGTATTCTAAGCTCAGCTGTCCTCTACTTGAAAGACGGCCACAATCTGGAGCTAACTTAATTGAAGCCAGGGAATGAACATCCATTTCCTAGGAGGCCCATTTAGTAGAGACACAATCAGAGCAGGGAGAACTGCCTGGGGAGAGGGAGGCAATGAGAAGCAAAGGCTGGCCGCTGATTTGAGCATTCCCATAGCCCCAAAGAATGCTGCAGGGAAAACTATTTTAGAGTAAACCCCTCCTGATTTTGCAAGTACCACACAGCAAAAGCAAAAAGCATTCTTTTGAGTGAACTAAACAAAAAGGCTATTTAAGATGTATGATTTAATCCAGAAGTTAAAAGAATGCATTTATTACTTGTAGATTCAAACAGACATTACTCAGAACTTAAGTTCGTTTTAACTTTTGCCCAATTCTCCCTTCTCAGGGGTTATATTTTCTCTCTTCGGGAATGTTATTTATTTTCACTATTTCTTATTTTTATTTCATTTTATTTTATTTTTCAAATGGAGTTTTGCTCTTGTCGCCCAGGCTGGAGTGCAGTGGTGTGATCTCGGCTCACCGCAACCTCCGCCTCCCAGGTTCAAACAATTCTTCTGCCTCAGTTCCCGGAGTAGCTGGGACTATACGCACACACCACCATAACTGGCTAATTTTTGTATTTTTAGTAGAGACAGGGTTTCGCCATGTTGGTTGGGCTGGTCTTGAACTCCTGACCTCGTGATCTGCCCACCTCCGCCTCCCAAAGTGCTGGGATTACAGGCATGAGCCACTGCACCTAGCCTATTATTGAGCTTTTTATCTTGACAGATCTCTTTTTTGTGTGCGTGCGTGTGTGTGTGTGTGTGTGTGTGTGTGTTTTTGAGACGGAGTCTTGCTCTGTCACCCAGGCTAGAGTGCAGTGGCACAGTCTTGGCTCACTGCAACCTCCACCTCCCTGGTTCAAGCGATTCTCCTGCCTCAGCTCCTGAGTAGCTAAGATTATAGGCACCTGCCACCATGCCTGGCTAAGTTTTGCATTTTTAGTAGAGATAGGGTTTCTCCATGTTGGTCAGGCTGGTCTTGAACTCGTGACCTCAGGTGATTTCCCCCCCCCCGCCCCGCCCCCCCGCCATCTCGGCCTCCCATGGTGCTGGGATTACAAGTGTGAGCCACCATGCCCAGCCTACTGTTTATATTTCTAAAGAGAAATCATGGTATATGGACAAACCACCGACTGGGATTTCTTAGATGACTCCAGCTCACAAGGTCACACCACAGTGGGAAGCACGCCTTCAATTCTCAATTCTCTATCACTTACAAAAGGCCAGATAGGGCTCAAGTTCCAGCACCAGCCAACCCCCGTCATCTCCAGGGAATCTATATTATAAAATGCCTAGCCTCAACAAAGGTCCTGAGTGTTGTTTCAAATTTCACCTCCAATTTTCACTAAACATTTCTGATATAAGAAAATAGGCCAAGCCTGGTCGCTCACACCTGTAATCCCAGCACTTTGGGAGGCTGAGGCAGGAGGATCACTTGAGACCAGGACTTCAAGACCATCCTGGGCAACATAGTGAGACCTTGTCTCTACAAAAAAATAAAAATTAAAAAAAATATTTGTAGTTAATAATTTCTCTATTTTGTTGAAAATAAATCTGCTTCATGATAAAAGTTACATAATTCCAAGAAAAAAAAAAAACACAGAAAACCTAAAAGTTGGTTGTTATCCTTACATTGAAAGGCAGTAATACAGAAAATTCTATCAATGTATTTCATCAAAAACATTAAACAGCCAGGCAGGGTTGGGGGGCTCACGCCTGTAATCCCAGCACTTTGGGAGGCCGAGGCGGGCGAATCCCCTGAGGTCGGGAGTTCAAGACCAGCCTGACCAACATGGAGAAACCCCCTCTCTACTAAAAATATAAAAATTAGCCGGGCACGGTGGCGCATGCCTGTAATCCCAGCTACTCAGGAGGCTGAGGCTGGAGAATCACTGGAACCCAGGAGGCAAGTAAGCCAAGATGGCGCCACTGCACTCCAGCCTGGGCGACGAGAGCGAAACTCCGTTTGGAAAAAAAAAAAAAAAAACACATTAAACACACAACCTGAAGCCCAAAAAGAGAAAAAAGCAAGAGACTCCCTCTTAGTAACAAATGAGTTAAACACTGATAGAAGTTGCACTAACATTACAGAGGGCAGGAGAAACATTTGGTGACTCACACATTCCCCTTTGATGTCAATTTTACAATTTAGGGCCAAGTGCAGTGGCTCAGGCCTGTAATCCCAGAAGTTTTGGAGGCTGAGGCAGGCAGATCACTTGAGCTCACTTCGACACCAGCCTGAGCAACATGACGAAACCCCACCTCTACAAAAAATACAAGAAATTAGCCAGGTGGTGCCACGCACCTGTGGTCCCAGCTACTAGGGATGCTGAGGTGGGAGGATCGCTTAACCTGGGGAAGAGGTTGAAATTAGTTGAGATCGCCCACCACATCCTAGCCTGGGCGACAGAGTGAGACCCTGTCTCAAAAAAAAAAAAAAATTAAAATTAAAAGAAAAGAAAATAAAATTTAAAGAGCTAGTTTCTTTCGGAAGAACAAGGAGGGGGCCAGGCGCAGTGGCTCACGCCTGTAATCCCAGCACTTTGGGAGGCCGAGGTGGGCAGATCACCAGGTCAAGAAATCGAGACCATCTTGGCCAACATGGTGAAGCCCCGTCTCTACTAAAAATACAAAAATTAGCTGGGCGTGGTGGCGCGTGCCTATAGTCCCAGCTACTCAGGAGGCTGAGGCAGGAGAATCACTTGAACCCGGGAAGCGGAGGCTGCAGTTAGCCGAGATCGCACCACTGCACTACCGCCTGGCGACAGAGAGAGACTCCGTCTCAGAAAAAAAAAAGGAAGGAAAAGCCTCTTGGTCCCAATTTCAAAGTCAATCCCGCATCCCGTTTTTTTTTCCCCAAAAAATCTGAGTCATATCAAACATCTGGTACTCATGAAATTTACTACTTTAAATTCATGGAATTAAAACTGAGCGCCCACAACTGAACAAATATTTTCGGAATTCAACCAGAGATGCTGAATACTAACTTTATCTCCTCTACCACTTACACCTGTAAATGTAGTTTTCTTCCTCGACTTGGGAAAAAAAAAAGCACAGTGAACAAATTTCAGAGTGCAGCTATCACCTCAATAGAACTTGACGAAAAAGGAAAATACATGTTCTTTACCCCCAACAACTTTGTGACAATTTTTAAAAATGGTTTAAAATTGTTTAAATATCTACTAGTGGAAATATCAAACTAAATACTTACACGTCAAATCATTTTTTTTTTAAGGTGACAGGATGTCACTGCGTTGCCCAGGCTAGCGAGCTCAGTGGCCCAACACAGGAGTTTGGAACTCCTGGGCTCAAGGAATCCTCCCTCCTCAGTCTCTCGAGTCGCTGGAACTACAGGCGCGCACCACCGTGTCCGGCCAAATTTTAATTGATTGACTGATTGATTTTATTTTATTTTATTTTTTTCTAGAGATGGGGGTCTCGCTATCTTGTCCAGGCTGGTCTCGAACTCCTGAGACCAAGCGATCCTCCTGCCTTGGCCTCCCAAAGTGCTGGGGATAATAGACGTGTTCCAAGGCGCCTGGCCCCAAATCTTTGTCTTGGTAATGGAATAAAAAGCGGGGTATACAGTTGGCGTGTAGGGCTTAAATCCTCAGATGACGCCAAAGTTTCTAACCAATGATTTCAAACGGCTTCCCATTAACTTCTCATTAACCTAGCGAACAAGAAAGTGACACGCTGAGATTTTGGATCCTTTTTTTTCCGAGGCTCTCCCTCTGGCAGAGAAAGAGGCGCACAAACAAGGGGTGTGGCCCACTGGCAAATCAGTCAGACCATCCCGAATCAGGGACAAACACTGGAAAGCAGAGAGGAAAAAGAAGTTTCGCGTTTCCGCTCCTCGGACTCTGCTCCAGAATTCAGCTTTACCCGTCCGAAGCAGCGGCGTCAGAACAAGCTACTAAACATCACCCGCACCGCCTCCCGGGAGGGGCTGGGTCCCCTCTCGGCTGTGACACCGCCGGGCAGTGGGAGCTGAGCGGGGCCAGCGCCTCTCCCCCGAGGGAAACCCGAGGCCCAGAGGGGCCGAGGGAGCCCGTCACGAAAACTCCAGAAGTTCCTAAGCAGGGACCTGAACCAAAGGTCTCTGCCCACGGCGCGGGATGTAGTGCCGCCGCTCCACTTGAGAAAGGGGTCCCCACACGGGAGTAGGGCGAGGGGGTCGCCTCCCGCCGCCGAAACCAGTCCCTCCCTGAGTCGCCAAGTCCCGAGTCCCGCCCTCTCCCCGCAGGGCTCCCGGAGAGGACCTCCGCCTTCTCGCTTCGCCCCTCCGCCTCGCTCAGGAGGAGACCTGCCACGGCCCTGTCTGACCTGTCGCCGCTGGGACTGAGCCGGCAGCGCGAAGCCTCCATGCCCGCCACCGAGGAAGCCCCCACCACGTACACACTCTTCCCCGCCGTCGCTAGAGTGGCTAGGCTGGCACGCCGCCGCGTCCCGCCTCCTGGCAACCGCGTTCCACACTGTCGCCGCCGCCGATTGGTCCGTGTTCTCGTGGCTCCTGTCTCATTGGCTATTGCCGGGGCCCAACGATGCGGGAGGGTTGCTAAGGGGCGGGAGGCGAGCGGGAGTTAAACGCGCCTGCGCGGGGGTGGGGTGACGCGAGCTAAGGCTTGGTCCTCTGGAGCGCCTCGCGGGGCCGGTACTGAGCGGGAAGACTTTGTTTTTGCCTGGGCCTCGCCCGCCGCGCGGCCAGCAGGCGAGTCCGGTCAGAGGAGTCTCCTATACCGCACCAACCGCCACGCACGCAACGGCTCCTCGCACCCCCGCCATTTTTACCGAGCCCACCCAGAGCGCTTCCCGAGGTCTGCCCTGTGAGGATGTACAGACCTCTGCCGCTTCCCATTCTGGCCCCTGCCCTGATACCAGCGGCCTTCGTGGACCCCCTCTGGTACCCTCTCCACTCCATCAGTCACTCCCAGTGAAACGCATCTTCCATAGGCTGGCCTTGAACTTCAACTGCACAGAACTTAAGCTTCCCCTACTCCAGCCCAAGCTTTTAGGTCATTCCTAGACCTGCTCTACAGACTCCCCTAAAGCACACGAGGGAATCCAGAGACTTTAATTTTTTGAGACAGGGTTTCTCTCTCGCCCAGACTGCAGTGCAGTGGCCCGGTCTCAGCTCACCGCAACCTCCGCCTCCCAGGCTCAAGCGATTCTCCTGCCTCAGCCTGTGGAGTAGCTGGGATTACAGGCAGGGGCCACTACTGCCTGGCTATTTTTCGTATTTTTAGTAGAGATAGGGTTTCACCATGTTGGCCAGACTGGCCTCTTAACTCCCGACCTCAAATGATCCACCCGCCTCAGCCTCCGAAAGTGCTGGGATTACAGGCGTGGGCCCGTCCTGGAGACTCTTTCCATCTACCTTTCTACCTCCTGTGGGCCTTCCTCAAACATCCATAGCCCACCGTGAGAGCCCCTGTCTAAATGTGTACTCTTGTCTCCAATAAATCCCGTCCCCAAATGTCAGTCCCTTTCTCCCTACCGACATGCACATTATAGTCCCTACAAAACATCCTGAGTCCTGACAAGTCACTGCACAAATGGCTTTATGGCGTTCTAAGGTCAAAGTTGTTTCCACATTGGTTTTGAACCTACAAGTTAGTACTTTAGGAGGCACACGCTGAGAGTGGACCGTTACACTGCCTGGGTCAGCGTGCACTCACTGTGTGACCTGTGCATGGTTCATTCTCTGCATCAAACTCCCATCTGTAAAATATACAGTAATCCCTGCTTGATCTAGTTGGGGCTGGACCTGACACAGTAGGTCCAGCTGAATGAATGCTAAATGAATGGGTTTAATGAGATGCTACTTGTCTGAGTAAAAGGCCGAGACATTCGGTTGACTGGGGAAGTCCTTCTGCATTAATTACAATAAGTAATACTCATTGAAAACTTTCCTTATTTACACACAGTTGAACAGTTATTCTAAGAAACCATTTTCCCACCCTATTTAATATTGACAGATTTCTTCAGTTAGAAACAAAAACTCAAAACACACGCAATCCTAAAGAACTCATCTATGTCCCCCTTATCTCCCCTCATCTTATGTAGTCCCTAAAACAGGGCTTGCTGCCCTTTCTTCTTCTTGCCTTTTCAGCAGATGAGTCAAGGTTGCAGAGGTGGCAGTCAACCATAGAGTCACAGAGTTTGATTTTTTTCCATCCATCAGGTCGTAGAAGCTGCCACTGAGCCTGACAAGAGTTGGTACTCAAAAATGCAGAATGAATTAGTTTGAATGAGGTGATTAAGGATTAATGAGTAGTGGTTAAGGAAACAAAGACCATTAGTGGATGGGGTAATATTGCTGTATTACTGATGGAAGCAGGATTCTCTAAAAAAACTTTCTGCAGCCATTTACTTACATACATTTTAAAGAGTTACTACAAGATATTTTAAAAATTTAAACAGTTAATACAAGAAAAATATGAAGTGAATAGTTCATGACACTAAACTGAACTGTTCATGACACAAAGTATCTTAGAAAACAAATCTCGGCTGGGCCAGCACTTTGTGAGGTCAAGGCCAGCAGATGACTTGAGGTCAGGATTTTGAGACCAGCCTGGCCAACATGGAGAAACCACATCTCTACTAAAAATACAAAAAAATTAGCCAGGCATGGTGGCTGGTGCCTGTAATCCCAGCTACTGGGGAGGCTGAGGCAGGAGAATCGCTTGAACCCAGGAAGTGGTGGTTGCAGTAAGGTGAGATCATACCACTGCACTCCAGCCTGGGCAACAGAGCAATATTACATCTCAAAAACAAAAACAAAAACCCTAGGAATTGAATTCCTTTATGACTCCAGAAAACATATCTCTTTTCTATTGAGATTACTGATGGCAGTCAGCTTTTCACAAGGAATTGGCTTCTGCTCAGCTTCCCTCTCTCCCTGAGGTAAGCAAGCAGGTGCTGTCGTCTCCTCCATGTGACCTTTATTCCATACTTGTCCTCGGGGGTGTCTTTAACCAGAACAGGTCCAGGCTCTGGGCTATTAGGAGTGCCAGTGTGAAGAGTGCAGCTTAGAAGGCTGTTTTCCTTCTGATCTTGGGGAATGAGTTCTTCCTTCACAGACGATGACTCTGGGGTCTGGATATCAGGTGGAATGAACACATAAGGTAAGCTCTGAAGTGCCTGCACTGACATGTTCCCACAGCTTTGGGGACTGAGCACTGGAACTAAGGGTCTTCTGGAAACATCCTTTTCTGATTCACTGGGGCACTCTCGGATTAAGGGGATCCCCAATGTCTCTGAACTGGAAGATTGCGGACTCTCAAAAGTTAGATGTGGAAACTTGGAGGTGGTAGGTTTTCGACTTGAGTGTCTCGCCCGGTTTTGGTGTTTCTGGTAGGCTGGGAACAAGCTTCCTGCTGCTGTATCAAAATCAGGTGATACCTTAAAAAAAAAAAAAAAGTGAGGTGAGCCTAACTAAGTACTAACCTAAGAGAGGAAACTGTATCTGATGACCAGACTCTTAAATCGGGGTCTACTGTAGTAATGAACACAAAACTAAAATAACTGTCTAATGGCATAATAACAGGAAGCTTTGGGCAAATTATTCCATCTCTCCGGCCTTCAGCTTCCTCATGTGTAGGAAAGGGGACGATGTCTCTTTCACTTCATCACACCATATGGATATAACTTTTTTTCTTCCCCCTGGGATGGAGTCTCACTCCGACGTCTAGGCTGGAATGCAGCGGCACCATCTCGGCTCATTGCAACCTCTGTCTCCCAGTTCAAGTGATTCTCCTGCTTCAGCTTCCCGAGTAGCTGGGACTACAGGCGCCTGCCACCACGCCCAGGTATTTTTTTTTTTTTTTTTTTTTTGGAGACAGAGTTTTGCTCTTGTCGCCCAGGCTGGAGTGCAATGGCAGGTCTCTGCTCACTGCAACCTCCGACTCCCTGATGCAAGCGATTCTGCTGCCTAAGCTTCCCGTGTAGCTGGGAATATAGGTGCGCACCACCACGACCAGTTAATTTTTGTATTTTTAGTAGAGACAGGATTTTACCATGTTGACCAGGCTGACCTTGAACTCTTGACCTCAGGTGATCCACCCACCCCGGCCTTCCAAAGTGCTGGGATTACAGGCATGAGTCACGGCACCCAGCCAATTTTTATATTTTTAATAGAGTCAGAGTTTCACCGTGTTGGCCAGACTGGTCTCAAACTCCTGACCTCAAGTGATCCACCCACCTCAGCCTCCCAAAGTGCTGGGATTACAGGCGTAAGCCACAACACCTGGTCTAGATATAACTTATTTATCTTTAAACTTCATGAGGGTAGGGACCAGTGGTCTTGTTCTTGATTCCCAGCACCTAGCAGAATGCCTGGAACAAAGAAGGCCCTCAGTTAATGAATAGCCAACTCCAAGCATAGCGGGTGAGAACTAGCAGAGGACCTGGCATATAATGAATATTCAATAAATGTTCATTCCTACTCTCATCCACAGGATTCTGATGTTTAGGTTTCTTCCACAATCCTGTAGCAGGTATTATGGTTCTTCCAAGCAGTCCTGAATAAGTTACATTTATTAAATACTCCTAAGCCAAGCTTATGCTTTTGTCTGGCCCTTTTACTATACTACTTTCCTGTTGTATAGTAGCTATATTCTCTTCCCAGGGTTTCTATTTTTTTTTTTTTTTTTTTTTTGAGACAGGGTCTCACACTGTTGCCCAGGCTGGAGTGCAGTAGCACAATCTTGGCTCACTACAGCCTTGACCTCCCGGTTCAAGAGATCTGCCCACCTTAGCCTCCCAAGTAGCTGGGACTACAGGTGCGCACCACCATGCCCAGCTAATTTTTCTATTAATATTTTTAGTAAAGATGGGGTTTCACCATGTTGCCCAGGCTGGTCTCGAACTCCTGGGCTCAAGCAATCCTCCTTCCTTGGCCTCCCAAAGTTCTAGGATTACAAACATGAGCCACCACACCCGGCCTCTCTTCCCAGGGCTTTTAAGCGGTCAAAATATGACATATGCTATTCTTATGGGGTTTTATTTTTCAAGGTTCAATCCATTACACAATAAACAGAGTATCTAGCCAAGTACTCCACCTTTCACATGAAGTTGAGGGAACAATCTCATTTTTAACTTGTTCTGCCATTTATCTGGCATTCTCACCCAGCTAATGGGTAAAAAAACTTTTACAATGAACTCTTTCAGAGGAAAATAGGGGAAGAGAAAGACTCCAGTTCCAACTAACCCGTTCCTCAGTTTGAACTGAGAAAAGAAGATGTACCAGGGAAGATGGCTGGCCACAGACAGAATACATTAACTCCTTGCCCCCGCCCCCATGAATCTTATTCTTTGGAGTCCCTGGTTCAAGGGGCAGAAGAGTCAGCATTCTGGAAAACCTAACAGAGTAAAAGTCAAAGTAGGCCGGGCAGAAGAGTCAGCATTCTGGAAAACCTAACAGAGTAAAAGTCAAAGTAGGCCGGGCGCGGTGGTTCACGCCTATAATCCCAGCATTTTGGGAGGCCGAGGCGGGCGGATCACGAGGTCAGGAGATAGAGACCATCCTGGCTAACACGGTGAAACCCCATCTCTACTGAAAATACAAAAAAATTAGCCGGGCGTGGTGGCGGGTGCCTGTAGTTCCAGCTCCTCGGGAGGCTGAGGCAGGAGAATGGTGTGAACCCAGGAGGCGGAGCTTGCAGTGAGCCAAGATCGCGCCACTGTGCTCCAGCCTGGGCGATAGAGCGAGACTCCGTCTCAAAAAAAAAAAAAAAAAAAAAAAAAAAAAAATGTCAAATAGTAATCCCATGGGCCTACCCAGGAAGTGATGGTGCTGTGGTCAATGGGCTTGCTGGGCACCTGTCGAGTGTGAGTGATGGGAAGCTGTGTAGATGCACAGCTGTGTTTGGGGCCCTCCAGTGGTTGTTGGTGGAACAGCAGCGGGGCTTTCTGGGAAGGCTGGCGGCGTTTTTTTCTGGGAGGCATCAACCGGTGAATGAGGAACAGTTAGTAACCACATGATGCTGTTAGCCTTCGGGTTGGGGGATAGGCTCCAATTCCAACCCATGCCTGTAGAGAAGAAACAAAAGCTGGGAGCAAATAATTCAGATGATTCCCCAGTTCTTCCTGATCCTCTGCCAGCCAATTCTACCATAAACTTCAAGGCTTTGGGGAGCACAGCCTCCTATACCTACAACCACCAAGCAAAACACAATATTCATATTCAACATTCATCTAACGAACATTTATTGAGTATGTGCTAAGTGTCATGCTGGGTGCTGGGAATTTAAAGATGAATAACCATTTATTCAACAATCATTAACTGAGTGCAAAGCACTTGTAGTGATACAGAGGTCATCCCTGTTTCGAGGAGCTGAAAGTCTAGCAAAGGGAAACAGACATTTACAACACTGTATGAGAATACAGTATGGTTCCATTCATTCCAAAGGAGGCTTTCTGGAAAGGGAGATACCTGACCTAGGTATGAAAGGCATAGAAGAAACAAAAAAGCAAGGAGGGCACTCCAGCCTGAGGAACAGTGTACACAAAGGCATGGAGACGAGACGGAGTATTGTGAATTCTGGGAATTACAAATTCAATGTATCTGGACACAGTATGAGAAGATAAATGGCAAGAACTCAGGATAAACATGGTGTCAGGCTGAGGTTAAAAAAAAAAATAGGTGACATGGCTGGGTGAGGGGGCTTACGCCTGTAATCCCAGCACTTTGGGAGGCTGAGGCAGGCGGATCACCTGAGGTCAGGAGTTTGAGACCAGGCTGGCCAACATGGTGAAACCTCGTCTCTACTAAAAATACAAAAGTTAGGCTGGGAGTGGTGGCTCACGCCTCTAATCCCAGCACTTTGGGAGGCTGAGGCAGGCTGATCACTTTAGGCCAGGAGTTCAAGGCCAGCCTGGCCAACATGGCAAAATCCCACCTCTACTAAAAATACAAAAACTAGCTGGGCGTGGTGGCACATGCCTGTAGTCCCAGCTACTCAGGAGGCTGAGGATCACTTGAACCCAGGAGATGGAGGTTGCAATGAGCTGAGATTGCGCAACTGCACTCCAGCCTGGGCAGCAGAGCTAGACTCTGTCTCAAACAAACAAACAAACAAAAAAGATTAGCCGGGTGTGGTGGTGCATGCCTGTAATCCGAACTACATGGGAGACTGAGGCAGGAGAATCGCTTGAACCTGGGAGGTGGAGGTTACAATGAGCCGAGATTGCACCACTGCACTCCAGCCTGGGAGACAAAGCGAGACTCGTCTCCAAAACAAACAAACAAACAAATAAAAAAAAACAGGTGACACCATATGAGTTTGGACTTTAAGCAGAAGAATTTGATCCCACCTGGCTTTTAAAAAATTTTTCACTCCAGATAATGTCAAATATATACTAAAGTAGACTGAATAATGTAATGGACCCTGTGTACCAATTATCCAGCTCCAATAACTGTCGGCTAGGCTAATCCTGACCCATCTACACCCCTAGCCACTTCTTCTATCCCTGGATTATTTGGAAGAAAATATATTTGGCCGGGCGCGGTGGCTCATGCCTGTAATCCCAGCACTTTAGAAGGCCGAGGCGGGTGGATCACCTGAGGTCGGGAGTTCGAGACCAGCCTGACCAACGTGGAGAAACCCTGTCCCTACGAAAAATACAAAATTAGCTGGGCGTGGTGGCACATGCCTGTAATCCCAGCTACTCGGAGGCTGAGGCAGGAGAATCGCTTGAACCCGGGAGGCGGAGGTTGCGGTGAGCAGAGATCACGCCATTGCACTCCAGCCTGGGCAACAAGAGTGAAACTCCGTCTCAAAAAAAAAAAAAAAAAAAAAAATATATATATATATATATATATATATATATATATATTCTATCCTTCCCATTAATATGACTAAACAAATATATAAATTCTTTAACATTAACAAATATCCAGCCAGCCAGTGTTCCCATTTTCTTTTTTTTCTTTTTTTCGAGATAGGGTCTCATCTGTTGCCTAGGCTAGAGTACAGTAGCATGATCATGGCTCACCACAGCCTTGACCTCCCAGGCTCAGGTGATCCTCCCACCTCAGCCTCCCAAGTAGCTGGGACTACAGCTCGTGCCACAGCGCTGGCTAATTTTCGTATTTTTGTAGAAATAGGGTTTCGTTGTATTGCCCAGGCTAGTCTTGAATTCCTGAGCTCAAGCTATCTGCGCACCTCAGCCTCCCAAAGTGCTGGAATTACAGGTGTGAGCCACCACACCCCAGGTTTTCTATGTGTTTTTTTTTTTTTTTTTTTGAGACAGGGCCTTGCTCTGTCACCTAGGCTGGAGTGCAGTGGTGTGATCATGGATCATTGCAGCCTCAACCTCTAAAGCCCAAGCAATCCTCCCACATCAGCTTCCTGAGTAGCTGGAACTACAAGCAAGCACACTGCACCTGGTTAACTTTTTTTGAAACATTTTTTATAGAGATGAGGTCTCACTGTGTTGCCTAGGCTGGTCTCAAATTCCTGGGCTCAACCAATCCTTCCCTCCTTAGCCTTCCAAAATACTGGGATTACTAGCAGTTCTTTAGATAGGCCTTCCCTAATAACTATGTCTAAAATAACAGTCAACTCAACCCCTTGACCTGTTTGATTTTTCTCTATACTTTTATCTTTTGAGACGGAGTCTCACTCTTTCGTCCAGGCTGGAGTGCAGTGGCTTGATCTTGGCTCACTGCAACCGCCACCTCCCGAGTTCAAGAAATTCTCCACCCTCAGCCTCCCCAGTAGGTTAGATTACAGTCACCTGCCACAATGCTTGGCTAATTTTTATATTTTAAGTAGAGATGAGGTTTCACCATTTTGGCCAGGCTGGTCTTGAACTCAGTTGAGACCTCAACTGATCTGCCTGCCTCGGCCTCCCAAAGTGCTGGGGTTACAAGCGTGAGCCACCATGCCTGGCCCCTCTGGTAGCCTTCTAACTGAGTTCCCTGCTTCCTTTTTCCACCCCCATCTCCAACCCGACTTTTCTCACAAGGTGCCTAGAGCATCTTTTTTTAAAGTTTTATTTATTTATTTATTTATTTATTTATTTATTTATTGTAGAGACAGGGTCTTGCTTTGTTGCCCAGACTAGTCTGGAACTCCTAGGCTCAAGCAATCCTTCTGCCTCGCCCACCCAAAGTGTTGGGATTACAGGCATGAGCCACCACGCCTGGCCCAGATCAACTTTAATAAGGGCTTCTTTGGTGGAATGGTGGGACACAAGGTTGAATGCAATAGGTAGAGAGGTAAATGAGAGTTGCAGCTGAGCATGCTGGAAAGACACAACAGAGCAGGTTGGTTCTATGCATTTGTGATCCATTCAATCAACAACAAAAAATAATATGCTTTGACTTATATGACTAGGCAGTAGAGATACAGGTTAAGAAAAAAAAGGACACAGTTTCTCTTTTTTTCTTTCTTTTTTTTTTTTTTGATGGAGTCTTGCTCTGTTACGCAGGCTAGAGTACAGTGGCGCGATCTTGGCTCACCACAACCTCTACCTCCTGGGTTCAAGCGATTCTCCTGCCTCAGCTTCATGAGTTGCTGGGACTACAGGCGCACGCCACCATGCCTAGCTAATTTTTGTATTTTTAGTAGAGACGGGGTTTCGCTATGTTGACCAGGCTGGTCTCGAACTCCTGACCTCGTGATCCACCCGCCTCGGCCTCCCAAAGTGCTGGGATTACAGGCGTGAGCCACCATGTCCAGCCAAAGTTTCTATTCTTAAGGAACTAACATCTTATAGAAAACACAAAAAATATATATATCCATTTGTTCATTCACTCATTCATTCACTTGAGAAATATTTACTGAGTGCCTACTGTGTGCTAGGCACTGTTCCAGGTGCTGAAAATATATACCAGAGAATAACATAAAACCTCTGCCCTTGTGGTGCTTACATTCTAGTCGGAAAGGAATAAAAAGTATAGAGAGGCCGGGCGCAGTGGCTCATGCCCTTAATACCAGCAGTTTAGGGAGCTGAGGCGGGCAGATTACTTGAAGTCAGGAGTTCAAGACCAGCCTGCCCAACATGGTGAAACCCCATCTCTACTAAAAATACAAAAATTAGCCAGGCGTCATGGCACACACCTATAATCCCTGCTACTCAGGAGGCTGAGACAGGAGAATCGCTTGAACCCGGGAGGCGGAGGTTGCAGTGAGCCGAGATCACGCCACTGCACTCCAGCCTGGGCAACAGAGCGAGATTCAGTCTAGAAAACAAACAAACAAAAAGCTACCACAGAAATCCAGTGAAAAGATAACAGTGGTAGCAATGGCTATAGTTTTGAAATTCATGACTTGCTGAAAGTCATCAGCTTCAAATGGGTACGTTGCTCAGCAATCCTGTTTCCTTGATCAACTCATTCTCCACAAAGATTATCTTAAAACTTCTCCAAGCTAGGTGCAGTAGCTCACGCCTGTAATCCCAGAACTTTAGGAGGCTGAGATGGGAGGACTGCTTGAGGCCAGGAGTTCAAGACCAGCCTGGGCAACATAGAGAGACCTCGTCTCTACTACAAATTTAAAAGAATAATTAGCTTGGCATGTTGGCATGTACCTGTAGTCCCAGCTACTTGGGAGGCTGAGGTGGGAGGATCACTTGAGCCTGGGAATTTGAAGATATGGTGAGCTATGATCGTGCCACTGCACTCTAGCCTAGGTGACAGACAGACCCTATCTCAAAATAAATAAATAAAGTGGAAATTTTGTTTGTTTGTTTTGAGACAAAGTCTCACTCTGTTGCCCAGGCTGGAGTGCAGTAGCGTGATCTCGGCTCACTGCAACCTCCTCCTAGGTCCAAGCGATTCTCCTGCCTCACTCTCCCAAGTAGCTGGGATTACAGGCGCCCTCACCACGCCCAGCTAATTATAGTATTTTTTAGTAGAGATGGGGTTTCACCACGTTGGCCAGACTGGTCTTGAACTCCTGACCTCAGGTGATCTGCCCACCTCGGCCTCCCAAAGTGCTGGGATTACAGGCGTGAGCCACCACGCCCAGCCTGAACATTTTTATTTTAATTTTTAAAATTATTTTTAGAGATGGGGTCCTGTTCTGTTGCCCAGGCTGGAGTACAGTGACACGATCATAGCTCACTGCAGCCTCAAACTCTTGGGCTCGAGAGATCCTCTTGCCTCAGCCTCCCGAATAGCTGGGAATACAGACAAGCACCACCACACCTGGTTAGTTTCTTATTTTATTTTTTGTAGAGATGAGGTCTTGCTTGAACTCCTGGGCTCAAGTGATTCTCCTCCCTCAGCCTCCTGAAGTGCTAGGATTACATGTGAATCACCACACCCTGCCCACTTTCTTAGAACTTCAGAACACCCCTTTTCTCTTAACAAATGACTTTACTTCCTACTTGACAAAGAATACAGAAGACATCAAAGGAAATACTCTCATTTTCCAGAAAGCAAATATACAAACCTATGCGTATCAACATCTATCTTCTTTCTGCTCTAATTAGAGGTCAGTTCATTCTGCTGTCTAAGTCCTTCCCCTCTGGTTGTGCTTTGGAGCTGTTCTCACTCTATATACTTTTCTTAGGCAAACTCATCTGCCTGTATTTCAGTATCCACCTAGAAGTAGATGACTTCAATATTTATATATTTTAGAATTCCTTAAGTTTGGGACCCAAATATCCCATTACCTACCTGAACAGCAACTAGATATTTCAAACGCACCTCAAATTCAACATGTGTAAGGCTGAGCGCAGTGGCTCACGCCTGTAATCCCAGCACTTTCAGAGGCCGGGGTGGGCAGATCGCTTGAGCTCATGAGTTTGAGACCAGCCTGGGCAACACAGTGAAACCCAAATTCTACAAAAAATACAAAAAATCAGGTGGGCACGGCTGCGTGCACCTGTAGTCCCAGCTACTCAGGAGGCTGAGGTGGGCAGATCACTTGAGCCCAGGAGGTGGAGGCTGCAGTGAGCCGAGATCGTGCCACTGAACTCCAGCCTGAGTGACAGAGCCAGAACCTTGTTTCAAAAAAAGAAAAGAAAAAAAAATTCAACAAGTTTAAAACTGAACTTGGCCGCGCACAGTGGCTCATGCCTGTAATGCCAACACTGTGAAAGGTGAAGGTGGGAGGATCACTTGAACCGAATAGTTCAAGATCAATCTGGGCAACAGAGTGAGACCCTGTCTCTACAAAAGATACAAAAATTAGATGGGTGTAGTGGCATGTGCCTGTAGGGGGTCCCAGCCATTCAGGAGGCTGAGGTGGGAGGATCACCTGAGCCCAGGAGGTTGAGGTTGTAGTGAGCCAAGGTCATGCCACTGGACTTCAGCCTGGGGGACAGAGCAAGACCCTGTCTCTAAAAAATAAAAAGATAAATAAAAATAAATATATAATTAAAAAAAAAACTCATTCTGAGCATTGCTTTGTAGTAAAAAAACAAAAACTGAATTCACGATCATTCCCCTGACAACCCCCCGCCCGTCCCTTGGCCAAAGTGATTATCTTCCAGGGCCCTTGGTCAGGGAATAGTGTCATTATTCCTTCAGTTATGCAGCTGAAAATCTTGACACTTCTACCTCCCATCCAACCCACCATCAAGCCCTGTCAACTTTACCTCTTAAACATGTTTTCTTAATGCCCCTTTTTTACTCTCTCTGTCTCCTTCTTTCTCTTCCTCTCTCTCTCTCCCTGCCACCCTTTTTCAAGCTCCAGCAGTTCTTGCCTGGAGTATTGCAACATCCAACTGTTCTGCCCTAATCCACTCTAGCAATCCCCGCTATAGAGGGACCTTTTAAAATGCAAATCTGACCTGGATTCACTTCTGCTTAAAGCTTATGACTGGTTTCCTTTAATTCTTGGATAAGCACAAAACTTCTCGGTATGGCTAAGGCTCTGCTTCCTCCGGCTCCAGCTTCAACTCACACCACACTCCATTCAGGTCGATTAGCTCAAACCCCTCAGATATTTCTCAGCCTTTGTACTCACTGTGCTTCCTCCTGCCATCCAGCCTTTGCACGCCTGATTCCCTCTGCTTAGAGGAGTTCCCTCCTTTCTTTGTAAAAGGCATCAGATCTCACACCAAGCTCTCATTACAAAAGCCTTTCCTGTCCTACCTCTCAAGATCTCGTTATTGTAAATACTCAAAGTATCATTAACCTCTAATGTTTCAATTTACAGCAATAATTCAACATTTGTTTGTTTTGGAGACGGTGTCTCCCTCTGTCGCCCAGGCTGGAGTGCAGTGGTGTGATCATGGCTTACCATAGCCTCCACCTCTCGGCCTCAGGTGATCCTTCCACCTCAGCCTCCAGAGTAGCTGGGACTACAGGCACGCACCACCACGCCCGGCTAATTTTTAGTAGAGAAGCGGTTTCGCTATGTTGCCAGGCTGGTCTCGAACTCGTGACCTCAAGTGATCCACCCGCCTCGGCCTCCTAAAGTGCTGGGATTACAGGCGTGAGCCACTATGCCCAGCCCACATTTGTTTATTTGATTAAAATGTCTGTGCCCCTCTTCCAGGATTGGGCTGTGAGCCCAGGGGAAGGAAAGAACCTTGTCTGCCATTGTATCTTCAGGGCCTAGCGGTGCCTGGCGCACAGCAGTTGCTCAACTAGACTGGTTGACTAAGTCAATAAATAAAGCACTACGGTCTATTATATCCGAAGGCTTGGCTTCGGGAGGGGCAAAAGACAGGTTTCGCGCTGAGGTAGGGTTCATGGTGCCGACATTTTTTTTCAAGATGGAAGAAAGCGGAGATAATACGCAGCCCTCAAAGGAACTTAGTCTAATCGGGGGGAGCAGACGATCGTTCACTGTGGGAAAATGGGGTACGATTTCCCCCAGTGAGGAAATCAACTAAAGCCGAGCTTTGAAAAGGGGAGCAGAGGAGCCTGAGGGGAAGCGGGGGCGTGTCGCCTGGCGTGACCAGCGCGGCAGGAAAAGCGGGCCCAGGGACCCGGGCCTGTCACGCCGCTTCCGCGCGTCCCCAAACTCTCCCTCGGCTCGCCCACCCACGCGGCGGGGACCCCTCCGGCCCCTCCCCGGCCCCACGGCCACTTCTTCCCCCACAAGCCGGCCTGCGGTCCGCCTTACCAGCCCGGGCCGGACGGGGCCGCAGCTCCTGGCAGACCGCACAGCCTTCGAGCCCGGAATGCCGAGACAAGGCCGGCGCCGATTGGCGACGTTCCGTCACGTGACCTTAACGCTCCGCCGGCGCCAATTTCAAACAGCGGAACAAACTGAAAGCTCCGGTGCCAGACCCCACCCCCGGCCCCGGCCCGGGACCCCCTCCCCTCCCGGGATCCCCCGGGGTTCCCACCCCGCCCGCACCGCCGGGGACCCGGCCGGTCCGGCGCGAGCCCCCGTCCGGGGCCCTGGCTCGGCCCCCAGGTTGGAGGAGCCCGGAGCCCGCCTTCGGAGCTACGGCCTAACGGCGGCGGCGACTGCAGTCTGGAGGTGAGCGGGATGCAGCAATGGAGTCCCAGGCCTGGCCTGGGCACAGGCGGGGAGCAAGGCCTCCGGGCGCGGAGGTCAGGGCGTCTAGCAGCAGGGCACGGGCCACGAGTGGAGATTTGGGTCACACGGGAAGAATCTGAGCCAGGGTGCAAGTTTTTTCTGCGTCCACCTCCTGGCCGTGGCCTTCTCACTGCTTAAAGCGCCCCTTGGCCTTCCCTGGAAGTCTGACCTCCGCACCCTGCCCGCGGCCTCGGGAGGGCTGGGGTGGCCTACCTTCTTAGGCCGACTGTGGCTGAGATGAAGACTGAGATTGTACTACATTGAGTCAAAGACCAACCTGCATACACACTCCCCTGCTCCCAGGCTGTCTCACCACTAGGCAACACCGCCTCCATCTTACTTACCCTTTTGCAGGGCCCTTTTCCTGGTTCTTGAGAATGTAGCAAGATTTCCCCGCTCAGGATGGGGATGGGTCGGAGGAGCCACTCTGGAAGTTTCCCGGGCAAGAAAGTGTTGGCAATAATAATAACGGGCTGGTCAGGAAGTAGAAGAGAAAATTAAGACTTAGATATCCTGTGGAAAAAGAGGAATAATATCTACTGATTGATGCGGGGAGAGAGGGAAGCCTGGAAAGATCGGAGGTGAAAGTAAAACTGAGATTTGAAGGTAGAGGTGTGGAGGGCCTGTGAACTCTATGCAGATGACAAATGTCAAAAAAGTGCAGTTGCTTTTCAGGGAGAGAATAAGTGTCCTAAAAAAGAGACAGCCAATTCCTCTGTCTTCCAAAGTTCCGTGAAATAGAATTACACAATTTTGCTTAATGGTAGAATATTCCATGTATCTATTAAAATCAACAAAAGGCCGGGCGCAGTGGCTCACGCCTGTAATCCCAGCACTTTGGGAGGCCGAGGCGGGTGGATCACCTGAGGAGTTCAAGACCAGCCTGGCAAACATGGTGAAACCCTGTTTCTACTAAAAAAAAAAAAAAAAAATTAGCTGGGCATGGTGGTGCATGCCTGTAATTGCAGCTACTCGGGAGGCTGAGGCAGGAGAATCGCTTGAACCCGGGAGGCCGAGGTTGCAGTGAGCTGAGATTGCGCCATTGCACTCCAGCCTGGGTGACAAGAGCGAAGCTCCGTCTCAAAAAAAAAAAAAAAATTAAAAAAAATCAACAAAAGACTTAAAAAAAAAAGACTACACTGTTAGCATTTCAGAACCACCTTAGTGTAATGATGATAGCTCATTGTGGTACTAAGAAGACAGGGGTTATAGTCTTATTTCTGGAAAAGAAATTAATAAAGTGGCATGCTTAGTTAAAATATATATAACCACATGCAAGTACTAAAATGCCACTGTATAAATACAATACAAATTGTAAAAGAAAACATGCTTTTTAAATTAGAGCAAGTATAATAGCCTGTGAAATAAATGTCACCCTCTAGAGTTGTTCAGTGCACAAGCTGCACAACTTTACATGGGCCTTCAGTAGAGGTTTCCATTTTATGTGAGGTTTTGTAAACTGGGAGATGATTTTTCCAGTAGTGTGGCAATAGTACAATCTGCCTTTCTTCCCTGATTCTGTGTGCACTGGTCCTATTTACAAAGTAATATAAAAATCAAAAGGCTTGGCCAGACGCGGTGGCTCACGCCTGTAATCCCAGCACTTTGGGAGGCCGAGGCGGGCAGATGACCTGAGGTCAGGAGTTTGAGACCAGCCTGAGCAACATGGTGAAACCCTGTCTCTACTAAAAATACAAAAACTAGCCGGGCGTGGTGGTGGGCACCTGTAATCCCAGCTACTCAGGAGGCTGAGACGTGGGACTCGCTTAAACCCAGGAGGCAGAGGTTGCAGTGAACTGAGATCGTGCCACTGCACTCCAGCCTGGGTGACAAAGTGAGACTCTGTCTCAAAAAAAAAAAAAAAAAAAAAATTAAAATCCTTTGTCTTGAATGGATTATGGGATCAGAGTTTCATCAGGACTCCTAATTACCATATGCTTTCCTATTCTAGCATCTTCCATTTCTGTCCATACAGTCATTGCAAGTGATCTATTTATATTATAGTAGGCAATTATAGAGATTTCCACATATTTGTAGCTATCCCATCCATTTCTGTAGCCAAATATTCTGAAGCTTCAAGGAGATCTTTGTCTTATCTCCAACCCAGTCCCATTTTTGCCCTTTGAATTGCTTCTGTCTGCTGTAATTTTAGCCTTCTTTTGTCAGTAAAGCTTATCTCCTTATTATCTGAGGTCTTTACAAAAGTCCATGGAATGTTTACCTGGGCCTTTAGGCTCATGTTCCTGGTCATATAAAGAGGAGCACCTTTCTCTAAAAGGACCTCTTCTCAGCCTAAACAATCTCTAACATCTTGCCACTATTTGCATTTTCCAGGGTCCACACTTGTGATTCTCAATGGAGAGTGAAAACGCAGATTCATAATGAAAACTAGCCCCCGTCGGCCACTGATTCTCAAAAGACGGAGGCTGCCCCTTCCTGTTCAAAATGCCCCAAGTGAAACATCAGAGGAGGAACCTAAGAGATCCCCTGCCCAACAGGAGTCTAATCAAGCAGAGGCCTCCAAGGAAGTGGCAGAGTCCAACTCTTGCAAGTTTCCAGCTGGGATCAAGATTATTAACCACCCCACCATGCCCAACACGCAAGTAGTGGCCATCCCCAACAATGCTAATATTCACAGCATCATCACAGCACTGACTGCCAAGGGAAAAGAGAGTGGCAGTAGTGGGCCCAACAAATTCATCCTCATCAGCTGTGGGGGAGCCCCAACTCAGCCTCCAGGACTCCGGCCTCAAACCCAAACCAGCTATGATGCCAAAAGGACAGAAGTGACCCTGGAGACCTTGGGACCAAAACCTGCAGCTAGGGATGTGAATCTTCCTAGACCACCTGGAGCCCTTTGCGAGCAGAAACGGGAGACCTGTGGTATGTGGTCTTCCAGGGAAAGGGGTGAGGGAGCCCAGCCTTTCCTCTGTAGTGGCAAGGTGTGTAGTCAGTCTTGATGCTTACAACAGTCAGGCTTCTGGCCGAGCACAGTGGCTCATCCCTGTAATCCCAGCACTTTGGGAGGCTGAGGCGGGCGGATCACTTGAGGTCAGCAGTTTGGACTAGCCTGGCCAACATGGTGAAACCCGTCTCTACTAAAAATATAAAAAAACTAGCCGAGCGTGGTGGCACACGTCTGTAGTCCCAGCTACTCTGGAGGCTGAGGCAGGAGAATCGCTGAACCTGGGAGGTGGAGGTTGCAGTGAGCTGAGATTATGCCACTGCACTCCAGCCTGGCCACAGAGGGAGACTCTGTCTCAAAAAAAAAAATAAAAATGAAAAAAGAAGGGGTCTCAAAAATAAATAAATGAAGAAGGGGTCTCACTATGTTGCCCAGGCTGGTCTCGGACTCCTGAGCTCAAGGGATCCAACCATATGGGCCTCCCAAGGTGCTGGGATTATAGGCATGAACGACAGCGCCTGACTTCATTTTCCTTCTTTTTTTTTTTTTTTTTTTTGAGATGGAGTCTTGCTCTGTTGCCCAAGCTGTAGTGCAGTGGTGCAATCTCAGCTCACTGCAATCTCCACCTTCTGGGTTCAAGTGATTCTCCTGCCTCAGCCTTCTGAGTAGCTGGGATTACAGGCACCCGCCACCACACCTGGCTAATTTTGGTATTTTTTAGTAGAGACAGGGGTTTGCCATGTTAGCCAGGTTGGTCTTGAACTCCTGACCTCAGGTGATTCGCCCACCTCGGCCTCCCAAAGTGCTGGGATTACAGGTGTGAGCCACTGCGCCTGGCCTCATTTTCCTTCTTGATAAAGGAGAAAACTGAAGCAAGAGGAGGAAAATGACTTTTTCTTTAGAGATGCGGTCTCGCACTGTCACCCAGGCTAGAGTGCAGTGGCGCAATCACGGCTCACTCTAGCCTCGAATGCCTGGACTCAAGCCATTCTCCCACATCAGCCTCCCAAGTAGCTGGGACTATAGGCATGCACCATCATTCCCAGTTAATTTTTTTTTTCTTTTTGCAGAGATGGGGTCCCACTATATTGCCCAGGCTGAAAAGTGACTTTTTTGGTGTGCATATCTCAATAATTCTTTTGTAAGCCTGCCTTGATTGATCTCTAAGGCTCAGTGTGGCTCAGCTTGAAATGCAATTTGAACTATGCTCCTAAATTTGTCCTGAAATGCATAATGGGGCAGAGTAACTTAGAGCCACAATAGATTCAGCATGTGTTCTCCGTCCCTAAAGGCAGAGGTCTTGGACAAGTGATCCCTAGCCACCAATTCTTTCTTTTTTATTTTTTATTTTTCTGAGACAGAGTCTCACTCAGGCTGGAGTGTAGTGGCGCAATGTTGGCTCACTGCAGCCTTCGTCTCCCGGGTTCGAGCAATTCTCCTGTCTCAGCCTCCTGAGTAGCTGGGACTACAGGCGTGTGCCACCACACCCAGCTAATTTTGTATTTTTAGTAGAGACGAGGTTTCACCATGTTGGCCAGGCTGGTCTTGAACTCCTGACCTCAGGAGATCCACCCGCCTCGCCCTCCCAAAGTGCTAGGATTACAGGTGTGAGCCACTGCACCCGGCCTGCTAGCCACCAATTCTGATGGACACACCTGGGCATCTGATGAGGCAGCTAAGTGGGGTGTTGGATTATTTTCCCTCTAGCAGATGGTGAGGCAGCAGGCTGCACTATCAACAATAGCCTATCCAACATCCAGTGGCTTCGAAAGATGAGTTCTGATGGACTGGGCTCCCGCAGCATCAAGCAAGAGATGGAGGAAAAGGAGAATTGTCACCTGGAGCAGCGACAGGTTAAGGTGAATTGTTCCGTCCCTCACTAAAGAAATCAGATCCAGTGTAGGGAATTCCTAGGTAGGGAAATGGATCAAGTGGCCTGATGGACCAGAATTTCCAAGTTCTGGTATTAGCTCTCCACTTCATGCTATTCTGCATAACTTTTGAGCTATTTTTCTGCCTGGGATCTTTTCTCTCCCATCTGTGAAATTTCCTTGAGGGCAGAGTCCCTTGGTCACTCTGTATTCCAGCCAGCACTGGGTTTAGTATTTTGTCCTTAGTAGGTATTCAGGAAATGATTAAGAGGTCTTCATTTTGGGAATCCACCTGAACTTTAAAGATGCTTCCCAACAGTATGAACAGTATGAATTGAATAGAATACAACAAGTTAATTTTATTAGAAGATATAATATTAATAGCAGATAAAGTCAGTTATATATATACACGTATATATATTTTTTTTTTTTAAGACAGCGTCTTGCTCTGTTGCCCAGGCTGGAGCGCAATGGTGCAGTCATGGCTCTCTGCAGCCTCGACCTCCAGGGCTCAACTGATCCTTCTACCTCAGTCTTCCAAGTAGCTGGGACTTGCCAGCTTGGTGCATGCCACCATGCCCAGCTAATTTTTGTATTTTTTGTAGAGATGGGGTTTCGCTATGTTGCCCAGGCTGATTTCAACTCCTGGGCTCTAGTGATCCTCCTGCCTCAGCCTCCCAAAGGGCTGGGATTACAGGCGTGAACCACCAGCCTGGCCTAGATACGAATTTTAAATACTTCTCTAGCAATCAAAATTGATCTAACCCAATTGTGTAGTCTGGGTTTTTTTCCCACAGTTACCAATATAACACATCTAGATTCTATTGTATATATGTGTAAATCACTCATTCAACCTTTATTTTCTTTTTTTTCTCAACTTTTATTTTAGGTTCAGGGGGTACATGTGCAGGTGTGTTACATGGGTATATTGTGTGTCGCTGGGGTTTAGTGTACAAATGATTTTGTCACCCAGGTAGTGAGTATAGTACCTGCTAGGTAGTTTTTCTGTCTCCCCCTCCTCCCACTCTCCACCCTCAAGAAGGCCCTGGTGTCTAGTGTTCCCTTCTTCATATCCATGTGTGCTCAATGTTTAGCTCCTGCTTTTTTTTTTTTTTTTTTTTTTTTTGAGACGTAGTCTTTCTCTGTCTCCTAGGCTGGAGTGCAGTGCTGCGATTTCAGCTCACTGCTACCTCCACCTCCCAGGTCAAGTGATTCTCCTGCCTCAGACTTCTGAGTAGCTGGGATTACAGGTGCCCGCTGCCACGCCCGGCTAATTTTTGTATTTTTAGTAGAGATGGGGTTTCACTATGTTGGCCAGGCTGGTCTTGAACTCCTGACCTCGTGATCCACCTGCCTTGGCCTTCCAAAGTGCTGGGATTACAGGCGTGAGCCACTGCGCCCGGCCTCTTTTTTTTTCTTTTTGAGACGGATTCTCTCTTTGTTGCCAGGCTGGAGTGCAGTGGCACAATCTCTGCTCACTGAAACCTCTGCATCCCAGGTTCAAGTGATTCTCCTGCCTCAGCCTCCCGAGTAGCTGGGACTATAGGCGCCCGCCACCACGCCCGGCTAATTTTTTTATTTTTAGTAGAGATGGGGTTTCACCATGGTGGCCAGGATGGTCTCAATCTCTTGACCTCGTCATCCACCCGCCTCAGCCTCCCAAAGTGTTGGGATTACAGGCGTGAGCCACCGTACCCAGCCTAGTTCCTACTTATAAGTGAGAACATGCAATATTTGGTTTTCTGTTCCTGCATTAAATCGCTTAGGATCATAGCCTCCAGCTCAACAATCTTTAAAAGTGAAAATTTGGCCAGGCGCGATAACTCATGCTTGTAATCACAGCACTTTGGGAGGCCAAGGTGAGTGGATCACCTGACGTCGGGAGTTCCAGACCAGCCTGACCCCGCCTCTACTAGCAATACAAAATTAGCTGGGTGCAGTAGTACATGCCTATAATCCCAGCTACTCGGGAGGCTGAGGCAGGAGAATCACTTGAACCCAGGAGGCAGAGCTTGCGGTGAGCCAAGATCGTGCCATTACACTCCAACCTGGGCAACAAAAGTGAAACTCTGTCTCAAAAAAAAAAAAAAAGTGAAAATTTACATGCGTGTATATGTAAGTAAATATTAATTGTGCTATATACATAAAATTTGTGTACTTTAGAAAGTAATATCTCCAATTTTAAAAATGTGAATGAGACCGGGCATAGCGGCTGACAATTGTAATCCCAGCACTTTGGGAGGCCAAGGTGGGCAGATTGCTTGAGCCCGTAAGTTCTAGGCCAGCCTGGGCAACATAGCAAAATCCTGGTCTCTACTACTAAAAATACGAAAAAAAAAAAAAAAATCGCCAGGCGCAATGGCTCATGCCTGTAATCCCATCACTCTGGGAGGCCAAGGTGGGTGGATCACCTGAGGTCAGGAGTTCGAGACTAGCCTGGCCAATATGGTAAACCCCATCTCTACTAAAAATACAAAAAAAGTAGCTGGGCGTGGTGGCAGGCACCTGTAATCTCAGCTACTTGGGAGGCTGCAGCAGGAGAATCGCTTGAACCCAGGAGGCAGAGGTTGCAGTGAGCCGAGATCGTACCATTGTACTCCAGCCTGGGCAACAAGAGTGAAACTCCATCTCAAAAAAAAAAAAAAAATTAGCTGGGCGTGGTGGTGTATGCCTGTAGTCCCAGCTACTTGGAGGCTGAGACAGGAGGATCACCTGAGCCTGGGAAGGTCAAGGCTGCAGTGAGCTGTGATCCAGCCACTGCACGCTATCCTGGGTGACACAGTGAGACCCTGTCTCAAAAAAAGAAAAAGAAATGTGATTGATCAGCTCTTTGCCTAAAACTTAGCTAACTGTGTGCTTTGCAGACATTGTCTGACTCATAGTCTTGAGAATGTTTCTCTCATACAAACATTGAAATGAGATGCGTTTATTCACAGCACATCAGGAACAGAAATGGGACTAAGACCTAGGTTTCTAGACCCAAAAGTCTGAAAAACGGGCGTGGTTTTAGTGTAACATCAATGCTTTGAGAATCAAAGTACATACTCAAACTTTCCTAAGAAATTTCAACTGGAAGGGACTGGATTTTCTCCAAATTCAACAAAATGATGGATGACAAAACCAGTTTCTTATTGGCTAGGGTCTAGGCTAGATCATCTCCAAGATTCTTCCCAACTCTAAAATTTTATTCTATGAGATAGTGGTCTCAGATGAGTTTGTTTCTAGACCGTCCTATGGGATAAAGGTTTCTCTAGATGTTCTTCAAGGGCTTGGGTTGGGGGTGCTTCTCATGAACTCTTTCATGTCATTCCCTGTGTCATAACCCTCAGGTTGAGGAGCCTTCGAGACCATCAGCGTCCTGGCAGAACTCTGTGTCTGAGCGGCCACCCTACTCTTACATGGCCATGATACAATTCGCCATCAACAGCACTGAGAGGAAGCGCATGACTTTGAAAGACATCTATACGTGGATTGAGGACCACTTTCCCTACTTTAAGCACATTGCCAAGCCAGGCTGGAAGGTAATGTGTCCCACAGCAACCAAAATCAAGGTCAGCCCAGCCTGACAGTCTCTCCAGTGCTGTACTGCAACTTGTATCTGGGACAGCAGTTAAGTGCAAAGGACACTAGAATGATAAACAAATGTATCTTTTAGATTGTGACTCAATCTTATTGAATCCAGGCAAAATCATTAAGAAGAGCTCCTTAACTACTTCATGTGTTACTACCTAAAGTCCATGGAGGGTCTTCAATGTAGCACTCAAGCCCACTTTTCTGCTACACTCAACAGCCGTCCTAGATGCCAGCAGCTAGAGTGGCTAAGTAGTTTTATGAAAATGTCTTGATTAAAAAAAAAAATGCTGTCTGTGAGCCTCATGACCCAAGATGTCATCTCCTGTAGCGTCACATAGCATTTCTAGTGGGCAGGGGTTTTCCTTTCACTTCATTCATGGAAAGACCGAGATGCCTGTGAGTCAACATAGCTCACGCAGTTGGTCGGTGTCAGAGCCACAAATGAGGTCTTCTGACGGGTGCTCAATTCCAAGTCAAGTGTGCTTTGTTTTCCTCATGGTAGAACTCTTTCTTTTTTTTTTTTTTTTTTTTGAGACAGAGTCTCGCTCTGTCACCCAGGCTGGAGTGCAATGGCAGATCTCAGGTCACTGCAACCTCCTCCGCCTCCAAGGTTCAAGCGATTCTCCTGCCTCAGCCTCCCGAGTAGCTGGGACTACAGGCATGCGCCACCACGCCTGGCTAATTTTTTTGTATTTTTAGTAGAGACAGTGTTTCACCATGTTGGTCAGGCTGGTCTCGAACTCCTAACCTCAAATGATCCACCCGTCTCGACCTCCCAAAGTGCTGGGATTACAGGCATGAGCCACCACACCTGGCCCCTCATGGTAGAACTATGTTTTTTTTTTTTTTGAGATGGAGTCTCGCTCTGTCACCCAGGCTGGAGTGCAGTGGCGCGATCTCGGCTCACTGCAAGCTCCGCCTCCTGGGTTCACGCCATTCTCCTGCCTCAGCTTCCCGAGTAGCTGGGACTACAGGCGCCCGCCACTACGCCTGGCTAATTCATGGTAGAACTTTTAATTTTACTCCCTTCCATCAGCTTACTTTCCTAGTTTTTTGTTTGTTTGTTTTTTGAGACAGGGTCTCACCCTGTTGCCTGGGCTGGAGTGCAGCCTCAGCCCCCTGGGCTCAAGCTCTTCCCTCCTCAACATCCCAAGTAGCTGGGATAACAGGTGCACCACCACAGTCCGCTAATTTTTTTTTTGTAGAGACAGTTGCCCAGGCTGGTTACTATGTTGCCCAGGCTGGTCTGAACTCCTAGTCTCAAGCACTCCTCCTGCCTTAGCCTCTCAGTGCACTGTGATTACAGGCGTGAGCCACCACACCCAGCCTTAATTTCCTAGTTTCTTGTTTGTTTGTTTGAGACGGGGCCTCACTCTGTCACCCAGGCTGGAGTGCAGTGACATGATCTTGGCTAACTTCAACCTCTGCCTCCCAGGTTCAAGTGATTCCCCTGCCTCAGCCTCCCGAGTAGCTGGGACTAAAGGCATGCGCCACCATGCCTGGCTAATTTTTATATTTTTGATAGAGACAGGGTTTCACCATGTTTGCTAGGCTGGTCTCAAACTCCTGGCCTCAAGTGATCCACTCACCTTGGCCTCCCACAGTGCTGGGATTATAGGCGTGAGCCACCACGCCGGGCCTAATTCCCTAGTTTCTTAATTTCTCTGAGCCACCTTTCTTGCTATTGATCACTACCTCACAGCCTTACTCTGCTTTTCTAGCCCCTGACAGCTATCTAGGTCTTTTCTTTATCACAATCTAAGGTTGGCATCAGTCTTTATTCCCGTAGAATAGATGGGTTTATGGCTGAAGGTGACGGCTCTGCGGTGTGGAGTGTCAGGAGAGTTGCCAAGAGGGCTGCAAAGACACCAGACGAAGCCTGTGCTGAGCACAGTGGGAGGGGCCTGAGGCTGGTTTCCCCATGTGTTTGAAGGGTGATGTTTCTGAATCTAAAGTAGCTGATAACCAGTTGTCTTGCTCTTCTTCCAGAACTCCATCCGCCACAACCTTTCCCTGCACGACATGTTTGTCCGGGAGACGTCTGCCAATGGCAAGGTCTCCTTCTGGACCATTCACCCCAGTGCCAACCGCTACTTGACATTGGACCAGGTGTTTAAGGTGAATGCCCTGCTTTCCTCTAAATAGGGCCTAAGTTGGAGGTTGTCATAGCCATCTCAAAAGGAAACAAGTTCTGCTAGTGATGCTTTCATTTGATCAGGGGAGAGTTAGAAGCCAGCCACCCAATTAGTGACTTGCACAAAACCCAGTGAATTAAGTACACTTGACAAATACCAAATGACACATTTTTGTGCCAGACCAGAGCAAGGAGAAGGCTGTTCTGACCCAACAGAAAGGGCTCCCCAGGGCAGTGTTTTCCTAACTTCCCTGTGAATGGGAATTGCCTGGGACATTGTTAAAACACAGCTTCCCAGACCCCTCTCTTGGGGCTCTTGATTTAGTGCTTCTGGGATGGGCCCAGGAATTTGTATTTTTAGCAAGCATCTCAGGTGATTCTTACAAGAAATTCTGGGAATGCTTGCTCTAAAAAAAGCCCTTCCTGCTGGGTGTGGTGGCTCACGTCTGTAATCCCAGCACTTTGGGAGGCTGAGGCAGGTGGATCACCTAAGGTCGGGAGTTGGAGACCAGCCTGACCAACATGGAGAAACTCCGTCTCTACTAAAAATACAAAAATTAGCTGGGTGTGGTGGCGCATGCCTGTAATCCCAGCTACTTGGGAGGCTGAGGCAGGAGAATCCCTTGAACCCAGGAGGCGGTGGTTGTGGAGAGCTGAAATCGCACCATTGCACTCCAGCCTGGGCAATAAGAGTGAAAGTCTGTCTCAAAAAAAAAAAAAAAAAAAAAAAAAAGCCTGCCTTAGGCTGGAGACCAGAAGCTGAGCTACCAGAACGTCTTTTCAGAAAGAAGTTATTTTGGTTTTTCAGAGTGCCCATAAGGCTGCTGGTAGCTGTAACCATTCTCCTGGGAGGGGCAGTTGTCTGGGGTGTCTTTTGTCATCAGTCAGGAATAAGTGTTTTTCCCAATCCGGTCAAATTGACCACGTTGGTGGTAACTTCATCTCATTTCTCTCCCACAATGCCTGGCCGCCACCAGCCACTGGACCCAGGGTCTCCACAATTGCCCGAGCACTTGGAATCAGTAAGGTTCTTTCCCTCTGGCTCGGGGCTTGGCCTTGTTTTCCTTTCACTGCTCAGCATGGCTTTAGTGGACAGAGACAAGATGTGATGTGGGGAAGGGTCCCTATGGCCATGTTTTGTCTAGGTGCCAGCCCTAGACACAGAACACCCTGAGGGTCAGGCACACACCCACTTCCCTCCCCTTCCATGGGCATCACAAGGGCACACTGAGCAGAGCAGGGCACAGCAGGGGAGCATGCTGCAGCAGCCACAAGCGCATGGCACCAGCCTCAGGGGCGGCAGTTCGTTCGCTCACTTTTGTGCCTAGCTTTTCTTTGCCACGCATATAGCTACCTGCTCTGGCATCCCCCAGGGGTGTTGAGGACACGTGGGTGAAGCGGTAGTGCCACTCTGCCATCATGTGTCTGTAGGCCACCCACCTGCCCACTCATCACAGTTTTGGAGACTGCTCGCCTACGTCCATCCCCTCAGGTTGGCCTCCTCTCTCTGGGCTGTCATTAACTCAAGCACACACCACCAGAGCAGCTGGTGGGGTTTTGCCATCCCCTCTTTACCTTATTGTGTTAACATAGGTTTCTTTCTCTCCCCATCTGCCACAAGCAGCAGCAGAAACGACCGAATCCAGAGCTCCGCCGGAACATGACCATCAAAACCGAACTCCCCCTGGGCGCACGTTAGTATGGGAGAGTGGGCCTTGGGCCTGGTCCTTGTTCTGGGGCCATATCTTTAGGGAACCAGACTCTGGGATTCTGTTCCCACCTCAAAGGGATCTGAGCCCAGAGAAGGAGAGCAAAGCTCCTGGGGCTGAGAAGGGGTGTACTCCAGTCCCCCTGCTCCTGATCTCTCGTGTTTCCTCCTAGGGCGGAAGATGAAGCCACTGCTACCACGGGTCAGCTCATACCTGGTACCTATCCAGTTCCCGGTGAACCAGTCACTGGTGTTGCAGCCCTCGGTGAAGGTGCCATTGCCCCTGGCGGCTTCCCTCATGAGCTCAGAGCTTGCCCGCCATAGCAAGCGAGTCCGCATTGCCCCCAAGGTGGGTGTCCTATTTTCCTCTGAAGAGAGATTCTGGCCAATTAAGAATGTTGGACCTTCAGCTTGCAAAGCACTCTGATAAGTGTTCCTTGAGAGCTTATAAATCTAGTTGGGTAGAAAAGGCATAAAAACATAGGGAAGTGTAATAGCATTAGAAGAGCTAAAAAGGTATTTGGATTACAATGTAAGTGGTGTCAGAAGGCCCATAAATACCTGATGAGCTTGTAAGAATTCAGACAAAAGTGATTGTGATAGATGGGCTAGGATTATTAAGGAAGATACACAAGGGAGGCAGGCCTTAGAAAGAGATGGATTTGGCCGGGCGCTGTGGCTTACACCTGTAATCCCAGCACTTTGGGAGGCCAAGGCAGGTGGATCATGAGGTCAGGAGTTTGAGACCAGCCTGGCCAACGTGGCGAAACCCCGTCTCTACTAAAAAATACAAAAATTAGCTGGGCTTGGTGGCACATGCCTGTAATCCCAGCTACTTGGGAGGCTGAGGCTGGAGAATCACATGAGCCCAGGAAGGGAAGTTGCAGTGAGCCGAGATCACTGCACTCCAGCCTGGGTGACAGAGCGAGACTCTGTCTCAAAAAAAAAAAAAGAAAAGAAAGAAGTGGATTTGAGGCTAGACGCTGTGGGTCTCACTTGTAATCCCGACACTTTGGGAGGCCGAGGCAGGGGTATTGCTTACAGCCAAGAGTTCGAGACCAGCCTGGGCAACATAGCAAGACCCCAGTCTCTGCTAAAAATGCAAAAAAAAAAATTAGCCACGGTGGTAGTACATGCCTGTGGTACCAGCTACTCAGGAGGCTGAGGCAGAAGGATCACTTGAGTCCAGGAGGTTGAGGCTGCAGTGAGCCCTGTTTGCACCACTGCACTCCAGCCTGGGCAACAGTGAGGCCCTGTCTCAAAAAAGAAAAGAAAAAAAGTAGATTTGGGTAAGCAAACAGGTGTAGAGAGAGCATGCTAATGGGCAGTGCCATGGAGGCGGGAAATGCAGTTCGTACCTGGCAGTAGTAAAGTGACTGGGTCAGACTAACTCAGGGTTTCTCAAGTACTATTCACGTTGACAGCTGGAGAATTCTTTGTTGGGCGTGGGAGGGACTGTCCTGTGCACTGAAGGGTGTTTAGCAGTATCCCTTGTTTTCCCCACTAGACGCCAGTAGCACCCACCACAGGCGCGGCAATCCAAATGCCTCCAGACATTGCCAAATGTCCCCTGGCAGGGAGGGAATCACCCCTGCTTGAGTATCACTGGTCTAGCTTGAGGGGAAGGTGAGAAGGGTAAATTCAGAGCCAACTTGGATCAGCCATCAGATCTGCACTTAACACTGTTAAAGGGTTCTGTGAGTACGGGCTGACATGTAACCAAAGTGAAAAGCTTCCCCCATCCCCTTCAGAGAGATGAAAATAGCATAGAGTCTGGAGTTTAGAGCGACTTGGGTTTGCTTTTTTTTTAATATATAAAATCTTTTAGGCCATGCACAGTGGCTCACACCTATAATCCTAGTATTTTGGGAGGCCAAGGCAGGAGGATCACTTGAGGCCAGGAGTTCAAGACCAGCCTGGGCAGCAAAGTAAGACCCTGTCTGTAACAAAAAAAAAAAAATTTTTTTTTAATTAGCCAGGCATTTTCATGTATACCTGTTGTCCCAGCCACTTGGGAGGCTGAGGCAGAAGGATTACTTGAGCTCCAGAGCTGGAGGCTGCAATGAGCTATAATCGTGCCACTGCATTCTAGCTTAGGCAACAAAATGAGACCCTGTCTCTAAAAAACATTTTCTTTAATTATAAATAAAACATATTACACACAAAATTATACCACACATACATAATTTAGCGTAAATTCATTCATGTGGCCGTAGCATGTGCCCTGTTTGGGTTTTCATGCAGTGGGTTTTCTCCCCTTTCCTTTTTGGCTCCCTCTCCACCCTACCATCACCCACATCACCCCTACTCCCAAGATAACTGGTTGATAATTTATGATGCTTTCTTGCATATTTTATCAATGCTCTTAGTTATACTATACATGTATAGCGATAGCCATTTTATATGTACACATACAACACACAGAACATTGATAATGTAATCATGTTGTGCATACTTCTCTACATGTCTCTTTTTTTTTTTTTTTTTCCTGAGACGGAGTCTCACTCTGTCGCCCAGGCTGGAGTGCAATGGCATGATCTTGGCTCACTGCAACCTCCGCCTCCTGGGTTCAAGCGATTCTCCTGCCTCGGCCTCCTGAGTAGCTGCGATCACAGGCGCACGTCACCACGCCCAGCTAATTTTTGTATTTTTAGTAGAGATGGGGTTTCACCATGTTGGTCAGGCTGGTCTCGAGCTCCTGACCTCATGATCCGCCTGCCTTGGCCTCCCAAAGTGTTGAGATTACAGGAATGACCCACCACGCCCAGCCTCTACATGTCTCTAACTCAACAATGCCTCATGGAATTTCTTCCAAGTCACTTGGCATAGTCCTAATTCATTATTTTTTAGTGTCCATGTAATATTCCATGATGTGGCTACACCACAGATTTTTCAGCCATTCCACTTTTATGGACAGATTCTGTTTCTCAAATTTTGCCCAATGAACGACACTGCAATAAATATGTTTGCAAGGATCTCTCTTACTAGTGCTTTCATTTCTCTAGGATAGAGTCCCAGATGTGAGATTGTTGGGTGAGAAGGTATTTTAAATTCTACTAAATATTGCTAGATTGCTTTCCAAAAAAGCTATGATAAGTCATGTTTAAACCAGCAATATATGATAAGATCTATATCTTTGCCAGCAATTGGTATTATTAGTCTGTTTAATATCTGCCAATCTAATATGTATAGGTTATATCTTCTTAATTTTTTAAAATGTTTTATTTATTTATTTTTAAATTTTTTATTTCCATAGGTTTTTGGGGAACAGGTGGTGTTTGGTTACATGAGTAAGTTCTTTAGTGGCGATCTGCGAGATTTTGGTACACCCATCACCAGCTTGTTTAATTTTATCTTTCTTTGTTTATCAGTAAGTCTGAGCACCTTGTCATTATGTTTGGTGACTTGGAATTGTCCTCTATGAATTGGTTATTTATGAACATTGCCCATTTTTATATAGGTTTTGTTATCAATTTGTGAGAGCTCTTTTTTTTTTTTTTTGAGACGGAGTCTTGCTCTGTCACCCAGGCTGGAGTGCAGTGGCGTGATCTCAGCTCACTGCAGACTCTGCCTCCTGGGTTCAAGCGATTCTCCTGCCTCAGCCTCCCAAGTAGCTGGGATTACAGGCGCCCACCACTGCGCCCAGCTAATTTTTGTATTTTTTAGTAGAGACAGGGTTTCACCATCTTGGCCAGGCTGGTCACGAACTCCTGACCTCATGATCCACCCACCTCGGCCTCCCAAAGTGCTGGGATTACAGGCATAAGCCACCACGCCCAGCCTGTGAGAGTTTTTTTTTTTTTTGAGATGGAGTCTTGCTATGTCACCCAGGCTGAAGTACAGTGGTGTGATCTTGGCAACCTCTGCCTCCCGGGTTCAAGCAATTCTCGTGCCTCAGCCTCCCGAGTAGCTGGGATTACAGGTGCATGCCACCACGCCCGGCTAATTTTGTATTTTTAGTAGAGACAAGGTTTCACCATGTTGGTCAGGCTGGTCTCGAACTTCTGACCTCAGGTGATCTGCCTGCCTTGGCCTCCCAAAGTGCTGGATTACAGGCGTGAGCCACCGCACCCAGCCCCCTGTGAGAGCTCTTTGTTGTTAAAATAATCTTCTTTCTTTTATGCTGAAGATATTTTTCTACTTCTATTGTTTATCTCTTTACTTTCCTTTCTTTTCTTTTCTGAGACAGGATCTTGCTATGTTGCCTAGTCTGGAGTGCAGTGGTGTAATGAAGGCTCACTACATCCTTGACCTCCCAGGCTCAAGTGATCTTCCCACCTCAGCCTCCCACCTGTAGCTGGAACTACAGGTGCATGCCACCACATCCAGCTAATTAAAAAAAATTTTTTTGTAGAGATGGGATCTCACTATGTTGCTCAGGCTGGTCTCAAACTGGCCTCAGTGTCTTGCAGTGCTGGGATTACAGGCATTGTTTGTTGTTTCTTAACTTTGTTTATGGTATCTCTTGCCACAGTAAAATTTTAAAGTTTTATGTAGTCAAATGTCTCTCTTCTCTTTTACAGTTTCTGGGTTTCCAGTCTTGGTTAAGAAGGTCACCCGCACCCTCAGATTGTATATGTAGTCTCCTAGATTCTCTTTCAGGATTTGTATGATTTTAAGGTTTTCATTTTTTTTTTAAAGCCAGTCAAATTTAGCAGTTGGGGGTTGTGTACCAACTTTAGTGACAATAATGTCACTACCCGCTACCATCAGAGCAGCCTAAGGTTCTTATTTTCATGCATTAAATCTTTGTATACAGTGTAAGACAAGCATGCAATTTTATTTCCTCTCGGATGAATGCTATTATAATTATGCCACTACATACTACATACCCGCATCTTTTACCCCCAGAATTGAACTACCAACTTCAACATACATCGTATTCTCATATTTAATAGATTTTAAGACTTCAAAACGACACAAAGAGGATCAGAACCCGTATGTGATATTTTTGTGCGTCCTGTCTGGTGACCGTTGGTTCACCTTATCTCTGTTTCCCTTTCAGGTGCTGCTAGCTGAGGAGGGGATAGCTCCTCTTTCTTCTGCAGGACCAGGGAAAGAGGAGAAACTCCTGTTTGGAGAAGGGTTTTCTCCTTTGCTTCCAGTTCAGACTATCAAGGAGGAAGAAATCCAGCCTGGGGAGGAAATGCCACACTTAGCGAGACCCATCAAAGTGGAGAGCCCTCCCTTGGAAGAGTGGCCCTCCCCGGCCCCATCTTTCAAAGAGGAATCATCTCACTCCTGGGAGGATTCGTCCCAATCTCCCACCCCAAGACCCAAGAAGTCCTACAGTGGGCTTAGGTCCCCAACCCGGTGTGTCTCGGAAATGCTTGTGATTCAACACAGGGAGAGGAGGGAGAGGAGCCGGTCTCGGAGAAAACAGCATCTACTGCCTCCCTGTGTGGATGAGCCGGAGCTGCTCTTCTCAGAGGGGCCCAGTACTTCCCGCTGGGCCGCAGAGCTCCCGTTCCCAGCAGACTCCTCTGACCCTGCCTCCCAGCTCAGCTACTCCCAGGAAGTGGGAGGACCTTTTAAGACACCCATTAAGGAAACGCTGCCCATCTCCTCCACCCCGAGCAAATCTGTCCTCCCCAGAACCCCTGAATCCTGGAGGCTCACGCCCCCAGCCAAAGTAGGGGGACTGGATTTCAGCCCAGTACAAACCTCCCAGGGTGCCTCTGACCCCTTGCCTGACCCCCTGGGGCTGATGGATCTCAGCACCACTCCCTTGCAAAGTGCTCCCCCCCTTGAATCACCGCAAAGGCTCCTCAGTTCAGAACCCTTAGACCTCATCTCCGTCCCCTTTGGCAACTCTTCTCCCTCAGATATAGACGTCCCCAAGCCAGGCTCCCCGGAGCCACAGGTTTCTGGCCTTGCAGCCAATCGTTCTCTGACAGAAGGCCTGGTCCTGGACACAATGAATGACAGCCTCAGCAAGATCCTGCTGGACATCAGCTTTCCTGGCCTGGACGAGGACCCACTGGGCCCTGACAACATCAACTGGTCCCAGTTTATTCCTGAGCTACAGTAGAGCCCTGCCCTTGCCCCTGTGCTCAAGCTGTCCACCATCCCGGGCACTCCAAGGCTCAGTGCACCCCAAGCCTCTGAGTGAGGACAGCAGGCAGGGACTGTTCTGCTCCTCATAGCTCCCTGCTGCCTGATTATGCAAAAGTAGCAGTCACACCCTAGCCACTGCTGGGACCTTGTGTTCCCCAAGAGTATCTGATTCCTCTGCTGTCCCTGCCAGGAGCTGAAGGGTGGGAACAACAAAGGCAATGGTGAAAAGAGATTAGGAACCCCCCAGCCTGTTTCCATTCTCTGCCCAGCAGTCTCTTACCTTCCCTGATCTTTGCAGGGTGGTCCGTGTAAATAGTATAAATTCTCCAAATTATCCTCTAATTATAAATGTAAGCTTATTTCCTTAGATCATTATCCAGAGACTGCCAGAAGGTGGGTAGGATGACCTGGGGTTTCAATTGACTTCTGTTCCTTGCTTTTAGTTTTGATAGAAGGGAAGACCTGCAGTGCACGGTTTCTTCCAGGCTGAGGTACCTGGATCTTGGGTTCTTCACTGCAGGGACCCAGACAAGTGGATCTGCTTGCCAGAGTCCTTTTTGCCCCTCCCTGCCACCTCCCCGTGTTTCCAAGTCAGCTTTCCTGCAAGAAGAAATCCTGGTTAAAAAAGTCTTTTGTATTGGGTCAGGAGTTGAATTTGGGGTGGGAGGATGGATGCAACTGAAGCAGAGTGTGGGTGCCCAGATGTGCGCTATTAGATGTTTCTCTGATAATGTCCCCAATCATACCAGGGAGACTGGCATTGACGAGAACTCAGGTGGAGGCTTGAGAAGGCCGAAAGGGCCCCTGACCTGCCTGGCTTCCTTAGCTTGCCCCTCAGCTTTGCAAAGAGCCACCCTAGGCCCCAGCTGACCGCATGGGTGTGAGCCAGCTTGAGAACACTAACTACTCAATAAAAGCGAAGGTGGACATGCTGGGCTCTGTGGTTTATTGGCGTCTGATTCCTAAGGCACCAGGAGAGGCTGGAAAAGAAAGAGGGTGTTGATGGAGACGATGGTGATAGGGAAGAGGCAAGGCCTGAAGTTCACCCAAAGCAGCAGTTGGAGCACTTGCACAGGCACACACTTGACAACACAAATTGCCAGTTTTCCCAGTGCTAGTCCTGCACAGCTCACCTCTTTTCCCTGGCGTCTCTGACCTTGTTCCTTGGGACCTTTGGACCTGCTGGTTAACTTAGGCCTTTTGAGGGTTCTTAATAAGACAAGCTCACGAGGGGTAGGGCCCCCTGAACATTAGGGCAGGAAGGGCCCAGTTACAGGTGCTTCATTCCCACTGCCATCCCCACCCTGAGGCCTGGGAGCCAGCCTGCCCTGCTTTTCTTCTGCCCGGCAGCAGCTCCTGTTACAGTTTTTTGCAGTCAGAACTTGAAGAAAGTGCTATCCCCTGCCTGTCTAACCTGAAAAGTAGCCAGGGGCCCAAGGGTCACAAGAGGCTCCAGGGACAGGTGAGGGCCTCTTCTCTGCATCACCACTCAAGCAGCATCACCATAGCAACCCCAGGAGTAAACAATGGTGCCAGAAAGGGCTTCCCCACAAAGCCGCCCCTCCTGGCTCTGAGGCCCAGAAGAATGGCCAGTAACCGGCAAAGATCACTCAGAGGGCCCAGTCACCCATCTCATATGGAAGAACCTTTCCTGCAGGTAGGGGGTGGCCCATCTCTGCCGCCTACCTTTTTGTACCCCACTGGGCTACAGGCTGTCCCTTATAGTGGGCCAGGCTTTCTTCTGGGCAGCAGACTGCCTGGCCCATACATTTTCTGCTGTCTTCCCCTTTTCATCCTATGACACTAGGAACCCAGAGCTCAGAACAGAGAGGAGATGCCTGGCTAGTGCCACATCTCCCAGCCCCACCCACTGGGGTGATCCTGTAGAAATGACTTAGGGGCCCAAGCTCAAGAAACAGGTGGGTTTTTGCAATCAGAAAAGTCCTGGGGGCCAGGCACAGTGGCTCACGCCTGCAATCCCAGCACTTCGGGAGGTCGAGGGGAACGGTTCACCTGAGGTTAGGAGTTTGAGACCAGCTTGGCCAACATGATGAAACCGTCTCTACTAAAAATACCAAATTAGCCAGGCATGGTGGCACGCGCCTGTAATCCCAGCTACTCAGGAGGCTGAGGCAGGAGAATCACTTGAACCCGGGAGGTGGAGGTTGCAGTGAGCCGAGATTGCACCATTGCACCTCCAGCCTGGGTAACAAGAGTGAAACTCCATCTAAAAAAAGAAAACATCCCTGGGGATGGATAGGAGGGCGAAGCATTTTAAAAGAGGCACATTTTTGTTGCAGTCAGGCACTGTGCTAAGTAAGGCCATTTCATTTCACCCAGCATGGTATGCCAAGCAAGAGCACAGACAGAGGGCTTAAGTCCCAGCTGTCACTCAGGCACCAGCACCCTGTGTGAGTCACCTACCCTTACTGTGTGTTGCTTTCTGCATCTTTGAGATGGGGACGATAGCAATACTTGCTCATAGAGTTGTGGGGGTTCAATAAGATCCATGTAAGTATTTAGCACAGCATCAATATGTACTTGCTGCTGTTTATTTAATGGGGGGCAGGGTGCAGAAAGGGGAAGGAGCTGCCATTCTAGATGCTTTCTATACTAGCGTTTTAATGAGGAGTGGGAGGAAAGCGTCAGTGACGGACAAATGAGTATTGAGAGGAGTCTGGGATGGGAAAACCCCTGGCCCTATTTTCTGGAGGACTTTCCTGGTATACCGCCAAGACCAGGAGCAAGTGAAGGTGGGCTGCCCCCCTTGGCATGGTAGGGAGCATTTCCCTTCATGATTTCCTGAGGCCTGATGTGCCCTCTAAGGAGCACCAGTTCCTGGGTGGGAATGTGGGGATGCCAGAACGGAGGAGGGAGGTGAAGGTAAAGAGTGAAAGCTGAGTACAGAGGGTGGGAAGTCAAAGCCAAAATATGGTCAATGGCAAGAGATCAAAAGATGAGTGACTGTGAAGATGATACGCAGCAGCCATAACTTCCGCCGGGAAGGAGAGGGATGGAGATGCGGCCCTGCCAGGACTTCTGCGTCCTCATGAGAATCCTGGGCTGGCAGAGGTCGTGCCTGGGAAGGAGAGCGGAGTGCCTCACCCACCTTTCTGCACCCCTGTCTGCACAACCTTCCCCAGGCTCCCTTTTGTCTCTCCCTAGATGGTCCAGGCCAGCGAGTCCCTCCCACCCTCCCAAACGTGGGCTCAGCGTGAGTTCTTCCTCCCCAGCGAGTCCTGGGAGTTCCCTGGCTTCACCCGGCAAGCCTACCACCAGCTGGCTCTGAAGCTGCCGCCCTGCACAGATATGAAGTCCAAGGTGCGTCAGCGGCTCATCCACCCTTGGAAGGGTGGCGCCCAGCACACCTGGGGCTTTCACACGTGGCTCGATGTGTGCCGTCTGCCTGCCACCTTCCCCACCCAGCCTGACAGGCCCTACGATAGCAATGTCTGGCGCTGGCTGACCGACTCCAATGCCCACAGATGCCCCCCCACGGAGCACCCCATCCCCCCTCCCTCCTGGATGGGGCAAAACAGCTTCCTGACCTTCATCCACTGTTATCCCACGTTTGTGGACATGAAAAGGAAGAAGCAGGTGATTTTCAGGACAGTGAAGGAGTTGAAGGAGGTGGAGAAGCTCAAGTTGAGGAGTGAGGCAAGAGCACCCCCACTCGATGCCCAGGGCAACATCCAGCCGCCAGCGAGCTTCAAGAAGTAAGACGGTGCCTCCTCAGGGAGCCCACCCAGCCTGCCCTGCCCAGGTGACCCCTCCCTCTCTCAGGTTCCTGTTTCTAACCGGGACTCTGTCCTTCCCCGCTCTGGCCATCTGAAAACCAAACTCTTTTCTGAGTGTAGCTGGAAGGACGAGGTGGAGACAAGGGAGGAACAGCGAGTGGAGGCAGGGAGTTTCACTAAAATCTGGGGGACAGCTATGCAGGTGACACCTGGTAGGCACTGGGGACACAGAGAAGTGTGACTCAGTGCCTGCCCTCAAGGAGCTTTGCAAAGATAGCTATCAAAAAAAGGCTACACATGCAAAGGGCCCAGAGTGCGAGACAGGGGGTGTTGTAAGGAAGTCAGTTATTAATGTAAAGAACTGGAGTGAAAGCTGTAGCCCGAAGGCCTGGAGTACAGTTCCAACCCCATCACCATGGTGAGGTGCCCAGCTTCTCCAGCCTCAGCTCCCTCACCGATGAAGGGGGGAGCCTCAGGTACCGACCTCACTGTGGGAGGATAAATTGAGCTAGTGAATATGTGGAAGAACTGAACAAAAGTTAGATGTTATGGCAGGGCGTGGTGGCTCACGCCTGTAATCCCAGAACTTTAGGAGGCCGAGGCGGCCGGATCACCTGAGGTAGGGAGTTCCAGACCAGCCTGACCAACATGGAGAAAGCCCATCTCTACTAAAAATACAAAATTAGCCGGGTGTGGTGATGGGTGCCTGCAATCCCAGCTACTCAGGAGACTGAGGCAGGAGAATCACTTGAACCTGGGAGGCGGAGGTTGCAGTGAGCCAAGATGGTGCCATTGCACTCCAGCCGGGGCAACAAGAGAGAAACTCCATCTCTAAATAAATAAATTAATTAAATAAAAGTTAGATGTCGTTACAGAAATTCAGGAGAGAAGGGGTGCAGCGACCTGGAGTGTCCCCGCCACAGGAAGGCCTCATGGGGAAGTCAGGGTTCAGGCTGGAAGGGTGGAAAGCCAGCAGACAGCTAAAAGCAGTGGCTGAGCCCCTCCAGGCAGGGCTGAGAAGTCGGGAGCGGAGCCAGGAACGTTGAGAGGAGCCGCTGTGAACCCCGCAGCTCCCCCTCCCGGCCACCCTGGGAACTCACGGATGCTTCCCAACTGTGTCCAGCCCAGGCACTACGCATGCAAGAGTAACAAGAAAGGGGGAAGGCAATGAAAAGGAATGTCTCAAATTCCAATCCCAAGGGCAGGACCAAAGCACTGGGGAGTTGGAGTGGCTGTGAAGATTTTTAATCTGAAAAAAAAACAAAAACAAAAACAAAAACAACAACAACAACAAAAAAAACAGGCCGGGCCTGGTGGCTCACGCCTGTAATCCCAGCACTTTGGGAGGCCAAGGCAGGCAGATCGCCTGAGGTCAGGAGTTCGAGACCAGCCTGGCCAACATGGTGAAACCCCGTCTCTACTAAAAATACAAAAATTAGCTGGGCGTGGTGGCAGGCGCCTGTAATCCCAGCTACTCAGGAGGCTGAGGCAGGGGAATCACTTGAACCCGGGAGGTGGAGGTTGCAGTGAGCCAACACGCCACTGCACTCCAGCCTGGGTGACAAGAGCGAGACTTTGTTTAAAAAAAAAAACAAAAAACCAAAGGTTGGTGACTTTGAGAGATCAGTCTCCTTTGTGGGGACCCAGGCTTCTCCCTGCTTCCCTGCTACCCTTGCCCTGAAGATTGCCAGTTGCTGATAGGTGCTGACCCTGGCAAAGGGGAGAAAGACTTAGAGTACTCCAGAGAGACTCACAGTGGCATGACAGTGCCAGGTGGTGTTCTGCCAAACACTTCTCTGTATTATTTAATCCCCCAGGACCTTCTGAGTAGAAACTATCATTAACCCCGTTTTTTTTTGTTGTTTCTTTTTTTTTGAGGCAGAGTCTTCCTCTGTTGCCCATGCTAGAGTGCAGTGGTGTGATCTTGGCTCACTGCAACCTCCGCCTCCTGGGTTCAAACCATTCTCCCTGCCTCAGCCTCCTGAGTAGCTGGGATTACAGGCTCCCGTCACCATGCCTGGCTAATTTTTGTACTTTTTAGTAGAGACGGGGTTTCTCCATGTTGGCCAGGCTAGTCTTGAACTCCCGACCTCAGGCCCAACTCGGCCTCCCAAAGTGCTGGGATTACAGGCGTGAGCCACCGTGCCCGGCCTCATTAACCCCATTTTACAGGTGGGCTATCTGAGCTGGACAGGTCAAGTATCTTGCCTAGCCGAGTATGATGGTTCATGCCTGTAATCCCAACACTTTGGGAGGCCGAAGTGGGAGGATCGCTTGAGGCCAGTTCAAGACCAGCCTGGGGCACCATATGAGACCCCGTCTCCACAAAAATATCAAAAAATTAGCCAGGCATGGTGGCACATGCCCATAATCCCAGCTACATGGGAGGCTGAAGTGGGAGGACTGTCTGAGCCCAGGAGGTCGAGGCTGCAGTTAGCCATCACTGTGCCACTGCACTCCAGGCTGGGCAACGTGGTGAGACCCTAGCTCAAAAGAAAAAAAAAACAGTTCCCACAGCAGGTGGTTAAGGTGGTTAGAGGGTCAAATGGCACAGGGCCTAGCATACATACAGAAGGGGCTCAATAGATTGTATCATTATTAGTATGGTATCTCCATGACAGTAGGATCCTTGTCTCACATGTTTACTGCTGTAGGCCCAGGCCCTGGAACCAGGAATGAAGGAATGTGTCTCAGACAAGGAATTAGGTCCCCAGAGAAGGCAGGACACATAACAGGAAGTCATGTGCCACAAAACCTTTTGGTCAGTGACAGACCACATATACCACAGCGGTCCCATAAGATTATAATGGAGCTAAAAAAAAAACTCCTGCCTGATGATGTTGAAGTTGTCTTAACATTTTAGCACAATTACCTCATTTTAAAAATAAATTTAGTGGACCGGGAATGGTGGCTCACGCCTGTAATCCCAGCACTTTGGAAGGTTGAGGCGGGCAGATCACTTGAGGTAAGGAGTTCAAGACCAGCCTGGCCAACATGGTGAAACCCTCTCTCTACTACAAATACAAAAATTAGTCAGGCGTGGTGGCACATGCCTGTAATCCCAGCTACTGGGGAGGCTGAGGCAGGAGAATCACTTGAACCCGGGAGGTGGAAGTTGTAGTGAGCTGAGATCACGCCACTGCATTCCAGCCTGGGTGACAGATCAAGACTACATCTTGGGAAAAAATTAAAATAAAAAAAATAAATAAAATTAAAATAAAACAAATTTAGCGGCCGGGCGTGGTGGCTCACGCCTGTAATCCCAACACTCTGGGAGGCCAAGGCAGGTGGGTCACCTGAGGTCAGGAGTTCAAGGCCAGCCTGGCCACCATGGCGAAACCCTGTCTCCACTAAAAATACAAAAACTAGCCGGGCATGGTGGCGGGGCCCTGTAATCCCAGCTACTCGGGAGGCTGAGGCAGGAGAATCGCTTGAATGCAGGAGGTGGAGGTTGCAGTGAGCCAAGATCATGGCCACTGTGCTCGAGCATCAGGGACAGAGTCAGACTCCATCTCAAAATAAATAAATAAATTTAGTGTCACCAAATCATGTAGTGTTTATGAAGTCCACAGTAGTGTACAGTAATGTCCTAGGCCTTCACATTCACTCACTCACTCTCCACTCACTCACTCACCCAGAGCAACTTCCAGTCTTGCAAACTCCATCACAGTAAGTGCCCTATACATCTTTAAATCTTTAATTTTTTTTTTTCAGATGGAGTTTCGCTCTTGTCGCCCAGGCTGGAGTGCAATGGTATGATCTCGGCACTGCTCACTGCCTCCTGGGTTCAAGCGATTCTCCTGGCTCAGCCTCCCAAGTAGCTGGGATTACAGGCACGTGCCACCATGCCTGGCTAAGCGAGACTCTGTCTCAAAAAAAAAAAAAAAAAAAAAAAAGACTCTGGGCCTGGTGTGTTGGCTCATGCTTGTAATCTCAGCACTTTGGGAGGCCAAGGCGGGCGAATCACTTGAGGTCAAGAGTTCGAGACCAGCCTGGCCAACATGGGGAAACCCCATCTCTACTAAAAATATAAAAAATTAGCCAGGAGTGGTGGTGCACCTGTAATCCCAGCTACTTGGGAGGCTGAGGCAGGAGAATCACTTGAGCCTGGGAGATGGAGGTTGCAGTGAGCCAAGATCGTGCCACTGCACTCCGGCCTGGGCAACAGAGTGAGACTCTGTCTCAACAAAACAAAACAAAACAAAACAAAACAAAACAAAAACAAAGACTCTGGATCAGTCAGTGAGCACACTGAAGCACTGAAGCTGTAGGGACCCAGAGGACTTCAGACATAGAATGAGATGTAAGCATGATCTTGTTGAGGAAATACAACATTTACATGTAAACCTGGCAGCCCATTATCATGACCTGGGGCCCCATTTTTTTTTTTTTTTTTTTTGAGACAGAGTCTTGCTCTTGCCCAGGCTGGAGTGCAGTGGCATGATCTGGGCTCACTGCTTGCAACCTCCTCCTCCCGGGTTCAAGTGATTCTCCTGCCTCAGCCTCCCGAGTAGCTGGGACTACAGGTGCCTGCCACCATGTCTGGCTAATTTTTGTATTTTTAGTAGAGACGGAGTTTCATCATGTCGGCCAGGCTGGTCTCGAACTCTTGACCTTGTGATCCACCCGCCTCGGCCTCCCAAAGTGCTGGGATTACAGGTGTGAGCCACTGGGTCCGGCCTAGGGGCTCTTTTTTCAAATGCTGAGGTTTGAGCCTCCCTCTGGAGATTCTAACTAACTGACCTTGAGGGCAGTGTGGGTGGGTTGTGTTTAAAAGCTCCCAGGGTGATTGTAATGTGCAGCCAGGCTGAGAGCCCCTGCATAAACCAACAACAGCAAACAGGGGACTATCTGCCGAACCAGGGGCAAAGTGCGCTGAGTCATAGAAAACTGGCCACTATTCAGCTGTGTTAAAAGAAACAAAAGTCTGTTTCCTACTGTTCGACCCAATACCGCAGGCTTACTGAGAAGAGGCAGTTATCCAGTTGAGCTGAGTTCTGTGATTTTCCCACTGTCACTGCATTAGTGGAAAAGGTGAGACTTGAAGGACAGTTAGAATCTGGATTGGGATCTGGATCATAATATTATATGCAGTATGTCAAAAGGATGGAAGGCTTACTAGCTGCACGACATTATTTCACCAGCCTAACACCAACACACACACATAAGGTGCAGGCCATTTGGCACAGGTCAATATCCGATTAGGTGGAGAGACAGAAGGGATTCCCTGCCGCCTGATGGCTAACTAGCTTGTGGACAGCGGCATCACCCTTCCCCTTCCCCGTCTCTCCACTGTCCCTGGATCTCTTCTTTGATCTCTCTGTTCTCTCCATACCCTTCTCCCAACAGGTACCGGCACATATCCGCTGGTGGGAGGTTTGAACCCCAGGGCCTCCAGCTCATGCCCAACCCGTTTCCCAATAATTTCGCCAGGAGCTGGCCCTGCCCAAACCCTCTGCCTCACTACCAGGAGAAGGTGCTAAAGCTGGCCTTGCTGCCCAGCGCGCCCCTGAGCCAGGACCTCATAAGGGATTTCCAAACCCTGATAAAGGACAGAACTGCCTTACCCCTCCACCATCTCTCCAAGGCACAAGCAAGCAAATCCCCAGCAAGGAAGAGGAAGAGAAGACCTGGACACTTCTAGAAGGGCTTCCAGAGGGGACGATCGTGATACCCAGAGCCCCAGGCTCCAGTGTTCTCAATCAATGCTCCTTCAGCAAGAGGCCCTGGGGTAGCAAAAGGACTCTGGCTTCTGCAGAACAGCCTCTCCACCATCCTCCCAGCCTCAAGCCACCTCTGTACCCCAGGCTATTGGAGATTCAACTGAAATTCTAAATTGTTATATTTCTTCCTTGGAGGACTCTCATCGAAGGTGGGAGGACTGCGGCCAGGAGGCTGGGTAGAGCAGGGAGAACAGGGAGGGGCTCCAGTTCCTAAGGAGAGGAGAAGTGGGAAGGAAGGAGTGTGTGTGTGTGTGTGTGTGTGTGTGTGTGTGTGCGTGTGTGTGTCTGTTGGGGTGGGGGAAGAGGCACTGTAAGAAACATGGATAAGAAGAAGCTATCTCCACTCTCATAACCCATTGGGAATGAGGCTGGGATTGGTCAGGGTATAGAAAGCCTCTTAGGCAAAAATAACCAAAATGCCACCCCCTCCCTGGACCATTTGATGTCTGGACAAAGACCAGACACAGCTGTGCTTGGTTGCAGGGCCCCATGCAGGGTTTGGAGGAGGAGAGGTCAGGTCAGGGCTGGTGCTGGAGAATGGGAGAGTCAGGCCCCAGGAAGGCTAACCAGGTCTCAGCAGAGGAACAAGAGTAGAACAAAGTAGAACTTCAAGGTAAAAGAGCGGCCTCTCCACACCCTGTTGGGGATACCTGTGGGGGAAGGGTGTGGAGGACTTATGCCAAAAGAGCAGTCAGCCCAGAGGCCTTGGGCCTCAGCTTTTTCTATCAGGGAGTCAAAGACCAGGGGTAAAGTAGAGGCAGGCAAAGCAACAGTCAGAATGGTGTTGGCCCTGGCTGGGGTGGAGATGGTTGGGGAGGGTGATGGGAAGGTGGCTGGAGGGGAAGAAGCTGAAATGGTGGGGGCCCTACCTCACCTCCTCCCACCCCCATCACATTCCCACATTGATGGTCACACCTGCTGGGCTTCTCTTGGCCTCCTGCCCACGGCCTTCTTTGTCTCCATTTCTCTCAAGCCCTGCAGGCACCTGGGAATCAAGACATCACAGGGCTCTAGAGCTGCTTTAACCACTAAGCAGCAATGTGACCTTTGGAAAAGTCACTATTCCCTCTGGCTTTCAGGTTCCTCACCTGCACAATGGGGACCATTAGTTTATAAATAAATGGAATAAATACAAGAATATAGGTGAAGGACCTGCAAAGTGTGTAGCACACTGGTGGCCCTCCAGAAATGAAGCTGTCAATCAGTGTTCATAGAATAAAAATAATAAGTAGATAGAATATTATGTAGCCATAAAAAGAAATTGAGTATTGATAGATGCTACAGTGTGGATGAAACTTGAAAACATCATGCTGAGTGAAAGAAGCCAGACACAAAAGGCCACACACATATTGTATGATTTCACCTACGTGAGGTACCTAGAATAGGCAAACGTATAGAGACAGAAAGTTGAATAGAAGATATCAGGGGCTTGGAGGAAGGGCATGGGGAGTCAGTGATTTTTTTGGGGGGCTTTTTTTTTTTTTTTTTGGACAGTCTTACTCTGTCACCCAGGTTGGAGTGCAGTGGCGTGATCTTGGCTCACTGCAATCTCCACTTCTTGGGTTCAAGCAATTCTCCTGCCTCAGCCTCCCGAGTAGCTGGGACTACAGGCGTGCGCCACGATGCCCGGCTAATTTTTTGTATTTTTAGTAGAGACGGGGTTTCACCGTGTTGGCCAGGATGGGCTCGATCTCCTGACCTTGTGATCCGCCCACCTCGGCCTCCCAAAGTGCTGGAATTACTGGGATTACAGGCGTGAGCCACCGCGTCTGGCCGGGAGTTACTGTTTAATGGGTACAGGGTTTCTGTTGGGGATGATGATGACAAAGTTCTGAAAACAGACAGTGGTGATGACAGCACAACATTGGGAAGGGACCACCTCATGCCACTGATTTGTGTACTTATGAATGATTAAAAGGTAAATGTTATGATATGTATATTTTACACATTAAAATTTTTTTTAAAAGAATACATGTTACAACATGGATAAACCTTGAAAACATTATGCTAAATGAAAAAAGCCAGACACAAAAAGCCACATATTATATGACTGCATTTACATGAAATGTCTAGAACCTGCAAAGCCACAGAGCTGGAAGGTGAATGGATGCTTCCCAGATGCTGGAGGAGGGGAGAACTGAAAATATTTTTGAACTAGATAGGGGTAGTGGTTGCACAACACTGTGAATATATGAAAAGCCACTGAAGTGTACGTACACTTTAAAATGGTAAATTTTGTGTTATGTGAATTTCATCTAAATTAAAAATAATGTAATACATCGAACTCTTGTAGAGCGTTTCTCAGTTTCCTTCTAACGCCATGTCCGTGATTGTCTTACATGGTCCTTCTCTTTGCTCCTCTCTGCTTGGTGTATGTGAGTCTATGTGTGACGGGGTGTGTGAGAGCAGAATTGAGGGGTGAAGGAGCGTTTCCTGAGTGCTCCACGGGAGTGCCAGGGCTCTGGGAATTTACCCAATCTCCTCACTCTGGACTGGGAATGAGGGTGGAAAGGAGGGTTCCCTTTACATAGGATCCAAAAATGTCAGAGCTGGGCAGGCCATTAGAAAACACGCCTAACAACCTCAGACTTCAGATGGGCAAAGTGAAGCCCGTCGAGAAGTGACTTGCTCCGGACCACAAAGCCAGGCAGCCTCCTGGCGAGAGGACGGGAGGGGTGTGCTGGAGCGGGGACTGCAAGGCCTGGGCTACCATCTGCTTCTCGGGCTACTTGCCACCTCACAGCGAGAGGCCCTGGGCATGGTTAGAGGGTGGGCAAGAAGATTTAGGGAGTGGGAGGAAGAAAGCCATTGGGATTCTTGAAAACAAGCTGCCTACTCTCTGGCCTTAAGCTAGGGGCGGGCAGAAAGGAAGCTGCACTCACACAGGCTCCTGCCCTGGCAGACCCTGCCCACCCAGAAGCTCCCAGCCTCTAGTCAGGACTTCACCCCGCCCCACCACCTTCCAGCCCTGCTCTCCGGAACAGCCTCTGCTCTGCAGCAGTATCCAGGCTCTCTTGTTCATCGGCCAGAGACACAGAAGTAAGGCTTCTGGCGCCCCCTAGCTCCAGCAGGCCATGGGGGTCTGCGGGGCAGCAATAGCAAGCACGCGACCTTCCGGGCCTGGGGACCCTAACGAGGCAACCCCCAGCCAGGCAGGTGCAGTGGTGTGCACCTGTAGTCCCAGCTACTTGGGAGGCTGAGGCAGGAGGATCGCTTGAGCCCAGGAGTTTCAGACCAGCCTGGGGAATACAGTGAGACCCTAACTCAACAAAAAAAAGAAAAAGAAAATCACCCCAGCTCAGCCTACATACACTTGGCTGGCAAGCATGAGCAACCTCCTTACTCCATCCCCACACACGAATGAACCTAGAGGTCCTGAAAGCCTTTGGTGGGGTGGGGTGGGGGGAATCTCTGTATCTGTATCTGCCTAAAGATCCACTCTTTCACCACAGCTGGAGTGCAGCTCTGAGAGGGAGGCAGGGGTGAAGGTATGGACACCCCTTTCCCCCACATACTTCACTCCCCAGAACACCCTGTGCCCTGCTGAATGCCACCAGCTTCACGGACAACAGTTAATCCCAGCAAAGGAAGTCTTCCCAGCCATTTCCGGGCCAAAAACTCCCCTCCCTCCACCTCCCCCTTTCCAAGCCTGATCTTGGTGTCATGACCTGAGCTGCTGACGCAAGTTCCTGAGCTGCTGGGAGCTTGAGGAATGGCTGGGGCCAGGGAGTCGGGAAGCTGTGGGGACTGGGAACCCCTGGGGGACCATACAGGGCCACCCACGTTGCCAGTCATGCCCTGCCAGGGTTGTCTCATCTAATTACCATGCCTCAAAAAGCCCCATAGCTGCTCCTTGAGATGACAAACTCGAGCCAAGATCCCCTCTGCAGACAGTCCCCACCCAACTCACTTTCCAGCTTCCCTGCGACCCTCCAGCCTTCATTCCAACTCATCGCTGCCTCACTTGCTGGGAGCCCCTTGTCTTCATGCCTCTTTTCCATCACTGAGCCCTGTCCTTAGTTGTGCTGCCACCGAGCCGCACACATTTGCTCTTTTCATTACACAGTGTCAATAGTGGCTGCTGCCCACCTGCCATCACAGGTAGCGGTTCCCGTGGCTCTTCACATAGCTGCTCCACTTATGTTAGTCCCAAGCCAGTTCATTCCCTGCCAGTCCCAGGGCAGAGCCTCACGAACGCCTCCACGCTTGTAAAGAATGTGGCTGCATCTTGCCATTGTCCAAATTCCAAGACAGGAATTTCGATGTGTGGCTTCCCTTAGACCACACTTATGTTTACTGGGTGTTTATGGAACGTTGACACTAGGTATCATGACATGGTTCCCAAACAATAGTCAGTGACTTCTTTAGTCTGAGTATCACTAGGAAGGGGAGGTCGTGTCCAAGGGTGCCAAGTGCAGGCCCACAGCTTAGGCAAGGAGGAGGGAAAAATACAGGGGAATGGAAGCGGGAAATAAAAAAGATAAACAAAGAGGGAGGGACAGGAGTGCTGAAGGTAGGTCCTGTATGATTTCCACCTTGGAGATACTAAGCTGAGGCATACAGTTTACTATTATTTAATTTATTATAATTATTATTTTGAGACAGGGTCTTGCTCTGCTGTCCAGGCTGGAGTGCAGTGGTGTGATATTGGCTCACTGCAACCTCTGCCTCCTTGGTTCAGGTGATTCTCCTGTCTCAGCTTCCCAAGTAGCTGGGATTACAAGCGCACACCGCTATGCTCAGCTAATTTTTGTATTTTTAGTAGAGACAGGGTTTCGTCACATTGGACAGGCTGGTGTCGAACTCCTGACCTCATGTGATCCGCCCACCTCAGCCTCCCAAAGTGCTGCGATTACGGGCATCAGCCACCATGCCCAGCCTTATTTTATTTTTTTTGAGACAGGGTCTCACTCTCACCCACGCTGGAGTGTAGCTGTGTGATCTCAGCTCATTGCAACCTCTACCTCCCAGGCTCAAGCAATCCTCCCACTTCAGCCTCCTGAGTAGCTGGGACCACAAGCGTGTGCCACCATGCCTGGCTATTTTTTTTTGTATTTTTAGTAGAGATGGGGTTTCGCCATGCTTGCCCAGGCTGAACTCCTGGGCTCAAGAAGTCCTCCCTCTTTGGCCTCCCAAAGTCCTGGGATTACAGGCGTGAGCCACCATGCCTGGCCTAGTTTACTACTTTTTGCTATTCTGTCTCATTCAAACTTCGCACCAACTCTACAGATTATGTGTTATTTCATTTTTACAGATGAAGAAACAAATGCCAAAAGATTAAGCACTTCACCCCAGGTCACCCAGCTAGTACAGGGACAGAGTTGGAACTTTTTTTTTTTGAGATGGAGTCTCGCTCTGTCACCCAGGCTGGAGTGCAGTGGCACGATCTCAGCTCACTGCAACCTCCACCTCCCGGGTTCAAGTGATTCTTCTGCCTCAGCTTCCTGAGTAGCTGGGACTATGGGCGCACGCCACCATGCCCACCTAATTTTTGTATTTTTAGTGGAGACTGGGTTTCCCTATGTTGGCCAGGTTGGTCTCGAACTCCTGACCTCAGGTGATCCACCCACCTCGGCATCCTTAAGTGCTGAGATTACAGGCATGAGCCACCATGCTCGGCCATGAGTTGGAACTCTTGATCAGGCCCCTCTGAGTTCACCATGCCATGCTCAGGCTGCTTTCATCAACAGAGCCAAAGCACTTGACCTCTTCGTGCCTTGGTTTTGCCATCCATGAAACAGGAAAATAATCCTAGCGTCAGAAATATAAAATGTTGTCCTTGCCTGGCAGCCTTTGGAAGATCCACCTCTTTGGGATGGCAGTAGGGAGGTGTGCTCTCCTGGCAGCACGGGCTGCCTGCGGCCCTTGCTGGACAGGAGAATTCTGGAAAACAACTTCATTCCTGTCTTCAGTAGATCTGACAGGCCCAGAGGAGAAAGCCTGAAATAGAAACTGGCTGCCCTTAACCCTCCACGGGTTCAAGAGAGCTGTTTGTCTAGCTCTGAATAACCCATTCTATAAAGAATATTCCGGGAATTTCCTTATGTGGCAGGGCACTGGACTGGGTGATTTCACTGGGCCAGAGGAGCTCTCCTCTCCATCCCCACCAGCAGAGACAAGAATTGGCACTATTCAGCCTTGAGGAAAGAATGTTGAAAAGATGGAAAGATCTCTGAAGGCATGAACGGCTATGACAAGGAAGGTGGGATACAGTTCATCTCTATCTCTGCTAGGCTTGGATAAGAGGGCATGAACTTTGAATATAGCCACCAGGACTTAGATTAAAAAAGAACTTCCTGAGAGAATTGAGATTCTATCAGGAAAGAGGAAAGGAGCTGTAGAATCTATTTAGATCAGGGCTGTCCAACAGAAACATAATGGAGCAACATCTATAATTAAAATTTTTTGTTTGTTTGTTTTGAGACAGGGTCTCACTCTGTAACCCAGGCTGGAGTGCAATGGCATGATCTTGGCTCGCTGTAGCCTCTACCTCCTGCGCTCAAGCAATTCTCCTGCCTCAGCCTCCCGAGTAGCTGGAACTACAGGCGCATGTCACTATGCCTGGCTGAATTTTTTTTTGTAGCGACGAGCTCTCACTATGTTGCCCACACTGGTCTTAAACTCCTGGCCTCAGGTGATCGTCTTGCCTTCCAAAAATGTGGGATTACAGGCTTGAGCCACCACACCCGGCCTAAAACATTTCTTACTTTTTTTAAAAAAAAAGGAAACAAGGCTGGGCGTGGTGGCTCATGCCTGTAATCCCAGCACTTTGGGAGGCCGAGGCGGGTGGATTACGAGATCAGGAGATCAAGACCATCCTGGCTAATATGGTGAAACTCTGTCTCTACTAAAAATACAAAAAAATAGCTGGGCGTGGTGGCACATGCCTGTAGTCCCAGCTACTTGGGAGGCTGAGGCAGGAGAATCCCTTGAACCCAGGAGGCAGACGTTGCAGTGAGCCGAGATCGTGCCACAGCACTCCAGCCTGGGCAACAGAGCAAGACTCCATCTCAAAAAAAAAAAAAAAAAAAGAAACAAGTGAAATTAATTTTTATTATTACATTGTTATTATTATTATATTATTGTTTTTATGTATTTTATTTAACCCAATAGATCAAAAATATTATCAATATGGGGCCACACACAGTGGTTCATGCCTGTAATCCCAGCACTTTGGGAGGCTGAAGGGGGTGGATCACGAGGTCAGGAGATCGAGACCATCCTGGCCAACATGGTGAAACCACATCACTACTAAAAAGACAAAAATTAGCCGGGCGTGGTGGCGGGCGCCTGTAGTCCCAGCTACTCGGGAGGCTGAGACAGGAGAATCACTTGAACCCAGGAGGCGGAGGTTGCAGTGAGCCGAGATCATGCCACTGCACTCCAGCCTGGGTGACAGGGTGAGACTCTGTCTCAAAGAAAAAAAAAAAAATCAATATAAAGTAATGCAATCAATTAGAAAATAATTCATGAGATGTTTCACACAGGTTTTTGTATTGTTTTCAAAATCCAGCGTGTGGTTTAACTTGCAGCATATCTCAGTTCAGATTGGCCACATCTCAAGGGCTCAATAACCATATATGTCTAGTAGTTACTGTATCAGACAGCATGAGTTTAGGATCACCAATAACTGTCTGACACCCAGTGGTAAATGCAAGGTGTGGTCTGGTTTTATCTAAAGACAGAAAGTGTTTTAGGAGGCCTTTGTGCCTGAGGGCTTATCAAGCTGGAAGGCCAAGGGAGCCTTCCTTTTTAAGCCCTTCTCTGCCCCTTCATCATTGCTAGAAATACAAAAACACCAGAGCCCTCTGGCGAGTCTGAGAACGCACTCAGTGGTACTCCGTGATCTCCGTTCTGCAGAGGGAACCCAGGGTCTGGCAGCCTAACAGATTCAGTGGGATGGGCACTATGCCAGGGTGACTGAGCAGCGGGATCCAGGACAAGGGCTTGCTCGTGGTATAGACAAGTTAACCCTATTCTCTCCATAGCAAGAGATGACGTTCTGTACTGCAGCCAGTCTGTTGTTAGCAGATGTGAGTGACTAGCCATAGGAGGAGACGGGCCTGACAGAGGGGATGGAGAAAGGCCAGTCCACCCCCTTGCCCCAGGCGGGTTTGGGGACATAAGAAGGACAATCCCAGACTACCCTGTCTTACCTGCACTCTTCCCTGTGTCTGTGGCACTCCTCCAGGTGTCTGCATGGCCCTCTCCATAGTGACCTATGTGTAAATGTCATCGCTTCTAAAAGAGCCACTCTGCCCAGCTCAGCTCCACCACTTTCTCTTCTTACCCTGCTTTTTTCTCTTTTTTCTACAAAAAAAAAAAATTGTATTTGGATTTTATTTAGAATTTTATTTATTTATTTTGAGACGGAGTCTTGCTCTGTCACCCAGACTGGAGGGCAGTGGCGTGATCTCAGCTCACTGAAAGCTCCGCCTCCCGGGTTCACGCCATTCTCCTGCCTCAGCCTCCCGAGTAGCTGGGACTACAGGCGCCCGCCACCTCGCCCGGCTAAGTTTTTGTATTTTTAGTAGAGATGGGGTTTCACCGTGTTAGCCAGGATGGTCTCAATCTCCTGACCTCGTGATCTGCCTGCCTCGGCCTCCCAAAGTGCTGGGATTACAGGCATGATATTTAGAATTATATTGAGTTTATGGACAAATTGGGGAAGAAATTAAATCCTTTTTTTTTTTTTTGAGACAGAGTCTCGCTCTGTCTCCCAGGCTGGGGTGCAGTGACGTGATCTCGGCTCACTTCAACTTGATCCACCTCCCGGTTTCAAGCGTTTCTCATGCCTCAATCTCCCGAGTAGCTGGGACTACAGGCATGAGCCACCACACCCAGCTAATTTTTTTTTGTATTTTTAGTAGAGACGGGGTTTCACCATGTTGGCCAGGCTGGTCTTGAACTGCTGGCTTCAGGTGATCCACCCACCTCGGCCTCCCAAAGTGCTGGAATTATAGGCGTGAGCCACTGCGCCCGGCCATCTTTATATTGAACCTTCCTACTCATGAACTTGGTAGATCTTGCCCTTTTTTTTTTTTTTTGGTTAGATTCAGGGGGCACATGTGCGGGTTTGTTAGAAGGGCACAGTGCATGGTGCTCAGGTCTGGGCTTCTCTTGATCCTGTCACTCAGAGAGTGACCACAGTACCCAACAGGAAGTTCTTCAGCCCTAGCTCCTCTTTCCTTCCTCGCTTTTGGAGTCTCCAGTGTCTGTTGTTCCCATCTTCGTGTCCATTTGTACTCATTGTTTAGCTCCCGCTTATAAGTGAAAACACGCAATATTTGGTTTCCTGTTTCTGTGTTAATTTGCTTAGGATAATGTCCTCCAACTGCATCCATGTTGCTGCAGAGGACATGATTTTGTTATTTTTTATGGCTCCATACTATTCCATGGTGTATTTTCTTCAGCACTTACCACCACCTGAGGTTATAAATTTAGTTGTTCATTATCTACCTGTTCCATTAGAATGTGAACTCCATGAAGGCAGGGACCTCATCTGGCTCTCCACTGTACACCCAGGGCCTAGCTCAGCGTCCAGTACATAGTAGGCGCTCAATAACTACTTTTTTCTGAATGAAAAAAAACTTCATTCATAGAAGAACCAATGCAGCGAAGGAGCCATATTTATCACTTTCATTTTTTCTCTCAGCATTTCTGAATTTAGATCCATTCACTTCAGAGAATA